>NC_000008.11:123214222-124464222 GCF_000001405.40 Homo sapiens | reverse complement strand
TGTTACATAAAATTCAATTTTAGCTTCATGTTCATGCAATATTTTCGTTTACCCTTGATTCAACCTTGACCTTTAAAAAGCCAAAAAGACAAATACCTATTTTGACACTGGTTCTGATCTCTCTGAAATTCTGTGTGACCAATGGTCAAGTAACCTTGCAGGTTATTTATCATGTCTAATCTGAAAAAAGTCATTGTATTTACTAATATTTTAATATTCACCTTATAGGTAAGCATTCTAAACATGATTGTGGCAAGAAATTCTTATATGCTTTACATGTTGAAATTCTGTGTCAAATGAAGTACATATGTATATTATTGCAAGAGTGAATTTCTTCAGTAATGATTGTGACAGCTAGTAAATTTAAGTAGAAAGTAATTATAAACTTCCAAATACTTTTTTTAAATGGGCAAAATATATGAAACAATGGCCCTGAAGGCATTGGACATAGGCAGTGAAGGATAGTAATCCATGAGAGATGGAATGCAAACAAGGTGAGCAATACAATTGCTCCAACTTGCTGCCTGAAGAAAGGCTTTGGCATGGGGAGAGGGAACCCAGAAGACTCTGTGAGGTGAGGAGATATAAGTGGGAGTCCTGAGAGCCCAAGGCAACTAGAGTTCACAGGGTAGAATACTAGAGAGGACAGAGTGACACAGAGAGAACTCCAGAGATCTGCTGACCATTCTCCTGAAGTATTAAGCTAAATAATGATTAGTACATGCATGAGAGGAAATAACCAAAGGCTTGGCAAAGAACCATCAGAAAGGATTAAAGAAAACAATACTCAAAGCTCACACAGGATGGTGAATGATTCCTGATCCCGTCAGCAAGAGTGGAAAAGATCCTAATTCACAAGGCACCAGTTAGAGTACTAAGAAAGGTCTTGCTTCAATAGCGGGAAAAATTAACCCTCGACTAAATGCTCTAGAATAACCTAACAAAGCTTAAAAGAGAGACCCAAAAACATTCAAACTGTGTCCAAATAACTTAATCATACTCCAGAAGAAAGTTCAAACTGTTTTAGGGATATGAAAATAATCTACAAAGTAAAATTCACAATGGCTGGCATCCAATCAAAAATTACCAGGCATGCAACAGAAAAATACAACCCATAATAAGAAAAATAAAACATTCTGGGCTAGGTGCAGTGGCTCACACCTGTAATCCCAGCACTTTGGGAGGCCAAGGTAGGTGGATGACCTGAGGTCAGGAGTTCAAGACCAGCCTGGCCAACATGGCGAAACCCCGTCTCTACTAAAAATACAAAAATTAGCAGGGAGTGGTGGTGCTCACCTGTAGTCCCAGCTATTCAGGAGGCTAAGGCAGGAGAATTGCTTGAACCCAGGAGGCAGAGGTTGCAGTGAGATTGTGCCAATGCACTCCAGCCTGGGCAACAGAGCAAGACTCCATCTCAAAACAAACAAAAAATAAAACATTCTGTCAAAACTGACTCAGAAATTACAGATGATGAAGATTATTAGACAAGGACATTAAAACAGTTATTATAATTATATTCCATGTATTCAAGAAACCAGAGGAAAGACTGAAGATATTACAGACAATGAAGGTATAAAAAGACCCGTATCAAACTTCTAGAGATGAAAACTCCAATGTCTGAGATGAAAAATATGTTAGATGAGATTAATGGCAGATTAGATATTGCAGAAAGAAAGATCAGTGAACTTGAAGATGCAGCAGTAGAACCTCCCTGAAACAGAGAGAAAAAAGAATAAAATGAGACACACACCTCCTACCAAAATAAATAGAGCATCAGTAAAGGGTGGGACAACTTCAGGCAGCCAAATGCATGTGTATAATTGCAGTCCTTGAAGGAGAAGAGTGGGGAGCAAAAAATGGTGGTGGTCTAGTCCAAAGTAAGTAGAAAAAAAAGAAATAGAGCAGAAATCAAAAGGTGGGCCGGGCACGGTGGCTCATGGCTGTAATCCCAGCACTCTGGGAGGCAGAGGAGAGTGGATCACGAGGTCAGGAGTTCAAGACCAGCCTAGCCAAGATGGTGAAACCCCGTCTCTACTAAAAATACAAAAAATTAGCTGGGCTTGGGGGTGGGTACCTGTAATTCCAGCTACTCGGGAGGCTGAGGCAGGAGAATCACTTGAACCCAGGAAGCGGAGGTTGCAGTGAGCTGAGATCGCGCCACTGTACTCCAGCCTGGGCGCCAGAACAAGACTCCATCTCAAAAAGAAAAAAAAGAAAGAAAGAAAAAGTAGAAATACAATAGAGAAAAATCAATGAAACCAAAAGCTAATTCTTTGAGAAGCTAAGTTTGATAAAGCTCTAGGCCGACTGATCAGGAAAAGAGAGGACAAATTATCAGTATCAGTAATGAGAGGTGATAACACTACAGATTTTACAGTTGTTAAAAGGAACATTTTGAACACTTTGTATCAGTATATTTGGCAAATTAGATAAAACAGAAAAATTCCTTGAAGATGCAAACTACTAAAGCTCAGCCAAGAAATAGATACCCTAAAAAACTCTTTCAGAGAAACTGAATTTGTAGTTACAAATCTTCCCATAAAGAAAAAAATCCAGGTCCAAATAGCTTCATTGGGGATTTCTAACAAACATTAAGGAAGTAATAATAATTGTACATAAACTTTTCCAGAAAATGGAAGAATGCATCCCAACTGAGTCAACTAATTCTATGAGCCAGCATTTTTCCCATGAACGTAAACGAAAAATTTATTGACTATGAATTATGTATACAAAGCCAACTCCTTGTACAATCCCATGTCACCACAGTTGTTGGAAATGAGGGTGGGCAGATGAAGGAATATTAGGGGTTAGTGTATGTGTTGAGTATATTTTTAAATGTTTTAGAATACTAGGATTTTGATAAACTGAATTTGCAAGACATCACATATTTAACCATGTCACATTTTTGCTTAGACCCTTCAATGACATCCCATTGCTGCTGGGATGGTGTTCTTAATATAGCCTACATTGCCCCCTGCCTGATCTGACCATCACTTAACTCTGCAGCCTAATTAACATTCCTTCACCCCTTACTCTTTCCTCTCCATCCACCCTACCCTTCATTTTGGCCCCTCAAATTCCTCCACATGGCACTTGCACACACTGTCAGAGCCTGGAAAGCTGTTCCCCATTTTAGCCACTCATTAATTCCTACTCACCATTCAGCTCGCAGCTAAGTCATCAAATTCTCAGGGAAGACTGCCCTGACCTTTCTGACCAGGCCAACCCGTCATAGGTTCCAATTGCACCCCGAGAACCTCTCCTCACAGCATTTACTAGAATGCAAGTTGTTACATGAAATGTTGTATGTGGTGTGTGATTATTGGATAAATGCCTATCCCTCTCATTAGAGTATAAGGTCCATGGAGTCTGGGATTGAGTCTTGTTTTGTTGGCTATTTTACTCCCAGTGGTTGCCACAGTGTCTGGCACATGATTGGGGCCCAAAAACATTTATGAAAGGGCAAGAAGAGACAGAAGGGAAAAGAGACAAAACAACACTCCAGCCTGTGGTCTAGTAACTAAGCTTCTGTGCTTTTATGGCTACAGCCTGAGTTAGATTCCTGTTCAGGGAACGAATCCCATTATTGAGTATCTATCACTTTGATTAAAAAAAAAAAAAAAAGACCAAACGCAGTCCTTGGAGTCATGGATAAATTAATTTCAAGGCTGAATGAAGTTTTTATTTCACTGGATGGAAGCATTAACCGATGAAACACCTGAAAAAAAGAACTGATTTCAAGATGCCCTGTTTTGGGTGGTATGAGCTCTGTGAGCATTCCCACTCAGTTTTTATTTACTCACTTCTATTATATATGTCTAATTTATTTGGTTAATCTAGTACTCAGAATATCAGGTAGAAATATTTCTTGCCTGTAAGTTAAAAAAAAATTCGCACAGTGACTTAAATAGACTTGGGGGTGGGATTGCAGGTTATTTTATTTTTTTATTTTTTCACATGACAAGTGCAGAGATAGACATTTCAGGGCTGTGTAGCTGATCAAAGATCCCCTTAAGAAATCAGTCCTACAATGCTGCTCTGCCAGTCTTAGCATGCTTGGAGAGATGGCTGCTACATCTCCAGGGTCAGAGACCCAAAGCCCTCCCCGGGGACCTCTGCCTGCAGCTCCTTGCCAGAACTGGTTCACATGGTCACTATCTGTGCAAGAGAGGCTGGGAAATTTAGTACTTGAGTTTTCCAGCTTCTCCTTTTTAAGAGAAAGGGGAATTGGGATGGATACTGTGAGTCAATTCTGGGCCCCAGTGAAAAGGTTCTTGGGAACAACTTGGAGAATCTGGAGAAGGGCCTATAGGAAACACACAATGGTAACTGTAAGATTCAAAAGAAAGTTTCAATGAGACAAATAGCTTATCTTGGAGAAGAGGTTAAGGGGCCCTCACTTCCTCTGCCTTTACATAGTTGATTCTATTCAAAATTCAGCTCTAGGACAGGCACCATGGCTCATGCCTGTGATCCCAGCACTTTGGGAGGCTGAGGTTAGAGGATCACTTGAGCCCTAGAGTTCGAGACCAGCCTGGGCAACATAGTGAGACCCTCTATCTATAAAAAAAATTAAAAATTATGGGTGGGCACAGTGGCTCACACCTGTATTCCCAGCACTTTGGGAGGCTGAGGTGGGTGGATCTCTTGAGGTCAGGAGTTCAAGACCAGCCTGGCCAACATGGTGAAACCCTGTCTCCACTAAAAACAAAAATTGGCTAGGCATGGTGGTGCACACCTGTAATCCCAGCTACTCGGGAGGGTGAGGCAGGAGAATCACTTGAACTTGGGGGGGTGGGTGTGTGGGAGGTTGCTACTCAGGAGGCTGGGGCAGGAGGATTGCAGTTCAGGAGGTCAAAGCTGCAAGTAAGTCTTTTGTTTGTTTGTTTGTTTGTTTGGTGGGGGACAGAGTCTCACTCTGTCACCCAGGCTACAATGCAGTGGTGTGATCTCCGCTTACTGCAACCTCCGCCTCCCGGGTTCAAGCGATTCTCCTGCCTCAGCCTCCTGAGTAGCTGGGATTACAGGTGTTTGCCACCATGTCTCACTAATTTTCGTATGTTTTTTTTTTTTGGGGGACGGAGTCTTGCTCTGTCACCCAGGCTGGAGTGCAGTGGTGTGATACTGGCTCACTGCAATCTCTGCCTCCTGGGTTCAAGCGATTCTCTTGCCGCAGCCTCCCGAGTAGCTGGGACTACAGGTGCCCACCACCACCCCTGGCTAAGTTTTGTATTTTTAGTAGAGATGGGGTTTCACCATCTTGGCCAGGCTGGTCTGGAACTCCTGACCTTATGATCCACCCGCCTCAGCCTCCCAAAGTGCTGGGATTACAGGCATGAGCCACCGCACCTGGCCAATTTTTGTACTTTTATTAGAGACAGGATTTCACCATGTTGGCCAGGCTGGTCTCAAACTGCTGACCTCAGGTGTGATTTGCCCACCTCAGCCTCCCAAAGTTTACAGGCGTGAGCTGGGATTACAGGTGTGAGCCACTGCACCCAGCCTGCAGTGAACCTTGATTGCGCCACTGCATTCCAGCCTGGGCAACAAAGCAAGACCCTAAAAATAATAAAATGCAGCTCTGGTGTTCCTTCCTGTAGGAAGTGTTTCCAAGTTCTTTGCTTTTTTTTTTTTAACAGCTTTATTGAGATATAATTCACATACTATAAAATTCACCCTTTTAGTATATATGTTGCTGAAGCAAGTAGGGAAATTCACCCTTTAAAAATATACAATTAAATGGCTGGTTCATATATTATAGAGTTGTGCAATCATCACCACCATCTATTTTCAGAACATTTTCATCTTCCCACAAAATCAACCCAGTACCTATTAGCAGTCATTCTCCATTCTCCACTCCCCCCAGCACCTGGGAACTTACTTTCTGTTTCTATAGATTTGCCTATTCTGGCCATTTCATATAAATGGGACCATACAATAAATGACCTTTTGCAACTGGATTCTTTCACTCAGCATAATGTTTTCAAGGTTCATCCAGAAACCATGTATCAGTACTGCATTCCTTTTTACAGATTCCATTGTATATATATGACATTTTGTTTAACCACTCATCAGTTGATGGACTTTGGGTTGTTTCCACATTTTGTCTATGAATAATGCTGCTACAAATATTCACGCACAAGCCTTTGTGTGGACATATGTTTGCATTCTCTTGGGTATATATACCTCTATCACATATGTCTTATTTATTTGGTTAATTCACTGCTGGGTAATATGCTAACCCTATGTTCAACACTTTAAGGAACTGCCACAACTGTTTCCCAAGTGAACAGGGTTGGATCTTTATTTTAAACATTTTAAATGCTTGTAATCATTTTAAATAATAGTTGAGTTTGAAAATGACTACTTTTACAGCTTGTGCAATATAAAGTGGCTGTACCCTGAGGCTGTTCAGAGTGATATATATTGGATTTTGTCACATGTATGCCCAGGGTAGGAGAAAATGAAATTTAAATTCTATTTGTTTCTTACTATTTTTAATTTCTGTTCGTGTATGGTTTTTCTGTTTTTGAGACAGAGTCTTGCTCTGTTGCCCAGGCTGGAGTGCAGTGGCACAATCTCGGCTTACTGCAACCTCCACTTCCTGAGTTCAAGAGATTCTCCTGCCTCAGCCTCCCAAGTAGCTGGAATTATAGAAGCCCACCACCACACCTGGCTTATTTTTGTATTTCTAGTAGAGACAGGGTTTTGCCATGTTGGACAGGCTAGTCTCAAACTCCTGACCTCAGGTGATCCACCTGCCACAGCCTCCCAAAGTGCTGGGATCACAGGCATAAGCCACCGCACCTGGCCTATTTGTGTATTTCAAAGGCACATATTGTACTCATATATTACTGCACTCATATAATTTTTTAAATTACAAAGTTAATAAAGCAGCTCAAGTTTGAGGGAGTTTTTAAAAATTACTATTTTTTAAAAATCACAATATCTCTATCAGGTGGCTGCATTGACTGGCAACTAATACTGAAGCTTGCATGGGAAGCCTTTAGAGCTTATACAAATTGCTGGACTGAGATGACAAGGACCCCATGAGCCTCCCGAACCCTTCAGTCTTTTTTCATTGGTTCCATAAGATGCCTCTTCCCAACCAGGGCAATCCAGCAAGTCCTCAAAGAAAACTAAAATGTAAATGAACATGCTTAAGTAGAGAAAAAGCTTAAGGGAGGCTTCTGTTCTTCCATCCACACATTAACTCCTGCTCATTCTTTAACACTCCCTTAGGCATCCCTGCTCCTACCTTCCTAGTCACCCTGTTCAATCCTCAACCCACATCCTCAAATGAGGGTGGCTGCCTCTCCTATGTGTGCCCATAAAAACCCTTATTTCTATCTAAGCACTCAGTAAACAGCACTGACATTGTTTTCTCTGTATCTGTGTCACCAGATAGTGATCCCATTGTGGGCAGGACTCAGTTTTATTCATCTCTATGTCACTGGCTCCAAGCACAGCGCTTAATGGAGAGAGTACACAGTATCTCCTAATTAATCAGTGAATGGCTTTTCAAAATAATGACATTCTGCCTCAAGTAGGCCAGACATACAGCAACCCCTCACAGCCAAATTGGAAAGTGGTGGTTCATCATATACAAAGACTGACTGATAGAATGAAGTGTGAAAGGAAAATAAAATGTCAGACCCCAGGCCGGGCGCAGTGGCTCACACCTGTAATCCTAGCACTTTGGGAGGCTGAGGTGGGTGGATCACCTGAGGTCGGGAGTTCGAGACCAGCCTGACTATGGAGAAACCCTGTCTCTACTAAAAATACAAAAATTAGCCGGGCGTGGTGGCACATGCCTACAATCCCAGCTAATCGGGAGGCTGAGGCAGGAGAATCGCTTGAACCTGGGAGGCGGAGGTTGTGGTGAGCTGAGATCGTGCCATTGCACTCCAGCCTGGGCAACAAGAGCGAAACTCCATCTCAAACAAACAAACAAACAAACAAACAAGTCAGACCCCAAACTTACTATGCCAAAGGGAAAAGTGAAGCCTGGAAACTCAGTCATGCAAAAAAACTGCCTTTCCTTTTGCCTAAACACAGCCGCAAGATAGAAGATTCCATATCTCCTCAGTTGGCCTCCCTTACCTTGACAATGTAAACAGCTTATCTTCACAGATACAGCACAAAGTCAAGACTAGAAACCATCCCTCTGCCCACCTCAGACATATGCATATTTACTGAGTCCTGACAAATGCTTAATTGACTGTTCCTCTACCCCACTTCACATGTAACATGTGGATTCAGTGAGCACTAATCAAAGCCTCACAAGAATGTGACCACTTAACTCACTACCTACACTCCTTTTTGTTTTTTTCCTCTACCCCTACTCCTCCTACCCTCACTTTCCCCTTTAAATACTGAAGCCCTCAAAATCCTCTTTGGAAAAATGTGTGGGCCACAGATCCTACTGTGACTTGTGTCTTTTTCCCATGTGTGTCCTCAACCTTGGCAAAATAAGCCTCTAAACTGATTGAGACCTGTCTCAGATACTTTTTATTTTACAAAAGTATTCACCACTCAGTGAGTCACGATGATGACAGCTTAACATATATTCATTTAAACCTAAGAACTACCCTACAGGATATGTACAATTGTTAACCCTAATGTACAGATAAGGAAACTAAATCTTGAGAGATTCATAACTTGCCTGAGGTCACCCAGAAAGTAGAGGAGTCAGGAGTTGAATGAGTGGAATCTAAATTCTAAGAGGCATTTGGGAGGCCGAGGCGGGTGGATCCCTTGATGTCAGGAGTTCAAGACCAGCCTGGCCAACATGGTGAAACCCTCTCTACCAAAAATACAAAAATTAGCCGGGCATGGTGGCAGATGCCTGTAATCCCAGCTACTCAGGAGGCTGAGACAGGAGAATTGCTTGAACCTGGGAGGCGGAGGTTGCAGTGAGCTGAGATCGCTCCACTGCACTCCAGCCTGGGCGACAGAGCGAGACTCCATCTCCAAAAAATAAAAACAAATAAATTATATGAAGGCAGAGCCATGTCAGTCTTACATCACTGCACACACAGGGCCCATATATATATGTATATATTTATTTATTTATATATTTATATATGAATATATATATTATATATGAATATATATATTATATATGAATATATATTATATATGAATATATATATATTATATATGATATATATATTATATGAATATATATATAATATATATATGAGAGAGGGAGAGTGCAAGCATGCAGGAGTCCAACAACTGTTGGTCGAATGAGTTCAACTGGCCACACCTGACATCAGCTGTCTATCCAGAGCTTGTGGCAAAAAGGCAAATCCTCAGTCCCCAGACTGACTCTCTGGCTCCTCTTCCTCATTGTTTCTCCTTGTTCCCTTCCCATATTGGCTCAACCTCCAGGTTGGTATCTTTATAGTTTGAGGACAGCAAGCCATGGACACACAAGTGAGGAAAAACCCACTATGTAAAAGAGGAGATGACTGGCTGGGCATGGTGGCTCATGCCTGTAATCTCAGCACTTTGGGAGGATGAGGCGGGCAGATCACAAGGTCAGGAGATTGAGACAATCCTGGCTAATTCGGTGAAACCCGTCTCTACTAAAAATACAAAAAATTAGCCAGGCGTGGTGACACACACCTGTAGTCCCAGCTACTTGGGAGGCTCAGGCAGGAGAATCGCTTGAACCCAGGAGGCAGAGGTTTCAGTGAGCCGAGATTGTGCCACTGCACTCCAGCCTGGGTGACAGAGTGAGACTCTATCTCAAACAAAAAAAAAAAAAAAAAGGAGGAGATGATTAAGGTAACACAGGAAGACCGCTCTGTGAGATGGGAATGGAAATAAGCAGGCTGTTTGTTTTTGTGGTGGGATCACATGCTGGCTAACATCTCCCTAGGGGATTACTGTGTACAAGACACAGTGCTTTTTTAATCCTTACAACAACCCCCATCTTCAACACATCTCTCACTGCTTCCTCTGTTCCAAACTTATCTAATAACAACATACCATTTTCTGAGGATTCAAACTTTTGCATCTGTTATTCTCTTCTACTAGTGCCTGTTTCTACCCGCAACCTACCCATCAAAATCTTACCCAGTTTTCATGAGCCAATTCAAACACTACCTCTGAAGACTTCACTATTCAGTTCTGAGAACTCCTTTCCCACCTTTTCATTCCTACAACGTGCTATCACTCACATGGCACTCATCTTACTGCATTCCAAGTCTTTCTTTGAGTACTTGTGTTATTTCTGCTGCTAGATTGTGGGTTTCTCAGAGACAGGAACTCTATCTAATGGATCGTTATGTTTCCTGTGGCTTTTGTATATAATAGGCACTTAATATTTGTTGGATAACACAAACAGCACCAACCTGTCCTTACTGCTACTGTTGCAAGAGAAGGATGAGTAGCCATGCCCAAATCCAGCCAGCCAAATGTCAGGTACAATCATACAAGGCCACACTTTTCTATATTTCCTTCACCTAGCAAACCAGCCTAGATAGCTTCAAAATACACCAGAACAAAGCTCTGAGTGGTAATCAACAATTAGTCATCTTGGGTCATGCGTGGTGGCTAACACCTGTAATCCCAGCACTTTGGGAGGTCGAGGTGGGCAGATCACTTGAGGTCAGGAGTTCCAAAACAGCTTGGCCAACATGGTGAAACCCCATCTCTACTAAAAATACAAAAATTACCTGGGCATGGTGCTGCACACCTGTAATCCCAGCTACTTGAGAGTCTGAGGCTTGAGAATCGCTTGAGCCTGGGAGGCAGAGGTTGCAGTGAGCCAAGATGGTGCCACTGCACTCCAGCCTGGGTGACAGAGCAAGACTCTGTCTCAAAAAAACAAAAAAGCAAACAAACAAAACAACAAACAATTATTCACTCCAGTGGCAAACCATCTTTTATGGCAGACAGCCATAAAATAAGGTGAGGCTGGAAATGCTCTGCAGAATATCTCACATTCCCTATAGCTTCTTAGGTTGTCCCTCCTGTTCTCAGCCACGGTAGGAAGATGAAGAGGGAGTATGAGGCCTATACGAATCTAAGATTTTAATAGGAACTTTAAACTAATAAGTATTAATTGGCAGCTATTGCACAAGCTTGAGGCTAGAAATCTAGATTCCCTATGATTTAGAACAGTGATTCGTCCTCAGCAGATGAGCTTTAAAAAAAAAAATAGACTGGTGATTCTTAACCATATTTCTACCACAACAAACCAAATTTATAAGACAACCCCTCACAATCATTTAGGAATGCCACAGTAAGGGAATGGAAATACACTAAAATAATTTTTGTTCCCTTCTCTCTCTAATTTAGTCAGTCATAATAACAAAGCAGCTTCATGTTAAGGACTTAATTCTGATTCCATTGCTTGGTCTGTCAATTTTATTTATCATATCAATCTACCTCCCATTACCACCATCCGAGTCCAAGTTACCATCACCTCAGACCTGGACAACCACAGAAGCCTCCTCACTGGTCTCTCTGTTTCCATCTTGGCCCTCCTTCAGTCAATTTTCTATATGGTAGCCAGAGCAATTTGGAAAAAGCACTGTGTCTTTCACTCTAAAATAACCGATGTCCTGTGTATAGTTGCTTAATAGTCACGTGAGACAGTTCAAAGAAACTCTCATTTTGCAAATAACGAAACCCGAGGCCAAAACATACTGAAACTTCAATTCCAGAACTGAGGTCAGAATTTGGAATTCATAATTGCACAGATGAGCCTCATTTCAATGGGCCATGCTGCTTCTCCCAAACAGGTATTTCATTTTCTGTTATCAATGAAAGACAAATGAAATAATTTGAATTGATCTAGAGCCTGCTTTCAGGGCTATAAAATATGAAAAAAACTGATCACCAGGGGACAAAAGGGATGACAACCTGGACTGAACTGATACATTTAAGGGCCACTCGCACGTGGATCCCATGTGTCCCAGGATCTACCTCCTCTAGCCAACTGAAGGACAGGGGCAGCATTCCAGATCCAGGACTATGTGATCCACATGGGGAGCATAGGATTTCACTGGTTGGATGTGCAGAATTTGTGTCTTCCATGGTTTCCCATGCACCTGCTGAAGAAGAGTGGCGATTCGAGTTTCTGCAGATTCTGCCCACCTTTGCCACTCTGGCTTGGTGGCTGGTGACAGCATTTTTCCCCTAGAATCCCTGGTAGCTCCATTTTTCCATTGGTTGGTGGTAATTTGCTGAGGATACAGCCAATGCTCTTTCTCTACTTTGCTGACTCCAAGAGCCTGAAGATTCTTCCCTGGGAAAGATTCCACATTTTGGTGGATATGCAAAATGCCTCCAGCATCCTGCCTTAACACTTGGCAGGCAATGGGCCAGCCTTCTTCAGAGCTGGGAATCAGCCCCAGGATCACCCTATCTGCAATATTTGAGAGCTTCAGTTTTCTGTTATCTCCAAAGTGTATTTGGCACCGATCTGCTACTCCATTGATCTCAAGGTTATTTCTCAGAGCAACTACAGCATGGGGATTCCACTCACAAGCATGGACGAAGGCAGCACCAGCATGAACTAGGAAAGGCAATGTAAAATAACCAATCCCTGCATAGAGATCCACCAGCACTTCTCCAGCACAGGACAACGATGCCACTCGAAGCTTCTCAGTGATGTTTCCAAAGGAGAACATACACTGGGTCACGTCAAACTTATAACGGATACCATTATCCACATGCTCTACCCAGCCATGGTCACCCAGCAGCAGTGTCACTGCTGGAGTTCGAGTACCATCCGGTGATACCCGCCCTCGTTTTGCCAAACGCTGGACGCCAAGTGCCAAGGCAACGGTCTCCCAGAGTTCCGGTCCCAGATTTTTCCACTGCTTGGCTTGGAAACAGTCTTCACTCAGCAACAAGAGATTACCATGCCGTTGCCATGATCGGGGCAAATCAGCCTCCAACTCGGCTGACCACTTGACTCCCCGACCCTCCACCCAGCGACTCACCTCAAGACACAATTTTTGGGCAGGTGAACAACCCTGGGCCCTCTTCGAAGGAACAGGATCCGGGAGCTGCGTGAGCATACAGGGACTGCCTGGGGCAACACGATTCCTCAGCTCCTGCAGGTGCTGCTCTGGAAGCGTCTCTCCCAGCACCGGTAGCGCCACCGAGCCATCCGGCATCTTTTCCACACGGTGCTGTGTATCAAAGAGTTTCTGCCTCTGGAGATATTCTCTGTATCGCTGGGTAAACCAAGGCTCAGTCACAACTGCGACAACAGCCACGGGCTTCCCACTTTCTCTCTCCATGTTGCTAACAACCACATTCTCTCTCATCACCTCAGCGATACTCCATCTCCTCAGAGTCGGCTCACCAGGCTGACTAAATTCCCGGTCTTAAATAAGGTAGCCTGCAGCTCACCCGGCCATGCCGGTGCCGGAAATGACGTGCAAAGAGGCCGGAACTAAATATATTGATGCGCTTGCTTGAGAATGGCGTTGCCGTTGCTGTGGAGAAGCTGCGGCCGCCATCTTTTTTATGGTCAACCATTACTTTTTTTTCAGCCTAGGAAGACATTTATAACAGGGAATCTTATGGACTAAAAGACTTCAAATTGCTATTTTCCAGAAACCTCATGCACTCTCTTCAGTGCTGCTCATGAATTCAAAGAGAAAAATTAACATGAAATTGTCAGAGGCGCATGAACCAGAGCAACTCCATCTTAAATAGGAGCTGGGTAAAATGAGGCTGAAACCTACTGGGCTGCATTCCTAGACGGTTAAGGCACTCTAAGTCGCCAGATGAGATAGGAAGTCAGCATAAAATACAGGTCAAAAAGACCTTGCTGATAAAACAGGTTGCAGTGAAGGAGCGGCCAAAATCCACCAAAACTAAAATGGCCACGAGAGTGACCTCTGGTGGTGCTCACTGCTACACTCCCACCAGCGCCATGACAGTTTACAAATGCCATGGCAACGTCAGGAAGTTACCCTATATGGTCTAAAAAGGGGAGGCATGAATAATCCACCCCTCGTTTAGCATATCATCTGGAAATAACCATAAAAATGGGCAACCAGCAGCCCTCATGGCTGCTCTGTCTATGGAATAGCCATTCTTTTATTCCTTTACTTTCTTAATAAACTTGCTTTCACTTTGCACTGCGGACTTGCCCTGAATTCTTTCTTGCATGAGATCCAAGAACCCCATGTTGTAGTCTGCATTGGGACCCCTTTCCTGTAACAAAATGATGATCTGAATTTGGAGAAAGCTTTCCCATAGCCTAATGCTGCTCTCAGGTTAGCATCAGCAGCCACCTTATTTTCTGAAAGTGAAGAGTCAGATACAGCTCCCTTTTTCCCTTTTCATGCAGATATAGTCATCACTGTTTCATTGTCCTTTGGTCCAAGAAACAACTATTTGAAAGTCAGAAGGATCTGAGTTCCAGTAAATCGTATCACCCCTCAAAATTGGAATCTTCACTTATAAAATGGAATCTAATCTTCAGAAGATTGCTATAGTGAGTAGAGACATTATAGTGTCTTAGACAATAACTAGTAAAGAGTAGATACTTAAAAAGATACAAAGTAACAAGTTGGCTAGCTCACAGGTACTAAATACCTGTTGAAATGCTTTGATATTCCTAAAGAAGACAAAGGGGAATTCCATATAGACTAAATCAAATAGTTGGATATAAGAACTGTAAAGAAACCCTATCACTTCTACTTCACTCCCGCTGTCAGAGGAGTCCAAACCAGAGTGACTCCATCTTGAATAAAGGCTGAATAAAGCAAAACCTGCTGGGTTACATTCCCAGAAAGTTAAGTACTCTCCATAATAAGACTGAGGCAGGAAAATAGGGTCTGGAGGCAGGGAACCTAAGGCTGATTCACACTGACTTCGTAGAACTAAATCAAAAGGAAAAAACCAACTATCTATGCCTAAGTAACAGAAGGACCAGAGGTTACTCCCTTTGCAAACCTGCTTTTCTGCAGGGCAGAAGGAAAATTGAAAGTACCTCTGATTGGTTGCAGAAAGCCACCAATCAATCCAAATACCCACTAGAGGTTTCCCATTGGCCACTTGGTGTGCACTCCATGCAAATGAAATAATGGCCTCAATCAGACGTTTGCATAGGAGTGCAACTTTGTAACTTTACTTCAGCCTCTGATTGCAGGCCACTACTTCATTTGCATGGGGTGAACACCAAGTGACCAGTAAGAAACCTCTAGTGGGTATTTGGACCCCAGAAGATTCTGTAACCCAGCTGTTGAGCCCCTAGACAGGGGCTGCTCCCATCCTGGGGAGTGTACTTTCATTTTCAATAAATCTGATTTTGTTGCTTCATTCTTTCCTTGGTTTGTACATTTTGTCCAATTCTTTGTTCAAGATGTCACGAACCTGGACACCCTCTACCCATAACAAGACCTTTTGGCTGAACGAGCTAATGATTCTTACTCACTAAACAAGACCCAGAACTTAAGAAGATGTCCTGATATCTTGAGAACAGAAAGCATTATTAGTTTAAGAATAGGTTTCTCTTTAAAGATAATAGTATTTTCATAAATGTTTGCTGAAATCAATAGTTACACAGAGAATAACACTACTAATACTCTGTCACAAGTGGATCACAAGCTGTTGTACTAAAGCACATGAGACCATTATTCTTAGCTAGCTACATAATTTTTGGTGTGGGGTCCTCCTCTCGCCTTCTGAGAACACCCTACTCTGTAATAGAGTAGTCTTTAATAAACTTGCTTCTTTCACTGTGCTCTGTGACTGGCCCTAAATTCTTTCCTGTCTGAGATCCAAGAACCTGTTTTTTGGGTCTGGAACAAAATTCCTTTTAAGTAACATTTCCTGTGGCAACTCCCAAGGACTTTATTGAGGTGAGACCTTCAACCCAAAAGAAATAGACTGCGCAGGACCAACTGACTGACTTTGGGTAAGAAGGGGAATACATTTTTATACCGATGAAGGACAAGGACACTTATCTAAGATTGGGTTTGAGGCCTACTTGGGAGGATTAAAGGCCCCTCACAGCTGAAAATGGGTTTAGCACAATGGGATGTTAACCATTATTCACTGTGGATTCGTCCTCCTTGTGCTCTCTGTAAGAGCTTTCCAAAGGCTGCCACTTGCCAGTTTCCTGATTGCTTTCTATGCTTTACTGCTACTTTATGAGAGAGATCTTGTTGAACTGGTCCTGAGGTTTTTAACTTTCCTTTTTCTTGTTTGCCTTTGGGTTATGGGCCATTTGCCTGTTGTTCTGGCATGTTGCTAGAAGACATTGGGGACAAATGGCTCTGTAATATTTACTTTCCCTAGATCTAGACCACTTAAATGAATTGTTTATTGTCTCTCCTTTTTTGCAAAGCTTACTTGGAATTTCGCATTTACAAGTTTTAAATGAAAAGGTCCAATGTGAAAGATTAAGCCTGGCAGCAATTATACCAGTCCCCCCTAGGTGAACTGCTCCAGGATGGAAAACTGGAGATTGCTTTTCAGCAGTTCTTTTTCATCTCCTTGCTAATGGAATGACTTTTACTTTTTGGTTACAAATGGCAAGGCCATGTAAATCTTGTCCTGCTTGCCGCTACTGGCCTGAACTTGGACATTCCTTTCTAGAACTTTGTCATTTCCCTTCTCTAGTGAAACATTTCTTTTGCTGAGTCCCCTATTGTGGTCTTTACTTTTGATTACCTAATAATCTTTTGGTTTCTGTGTTAACTTGGACAATTCTTCCCCGTGGGTTTAGGGACAGGCTTTACTTTCTTCCTTTATGTGGCTGAGAAACAAGGGACAGCCCTAAATGTTCTTGTCTAGAAACAGGGATACATCCCTTGACCCATGGCATATTTTTCTAACCAATTGACCATGTGGCTTCAGGATGACTCAGATGTTTCAGGGCAGTTGCAACAACTGCTCTTCTCATAGATGAAGACAATAAATTAACTTTGGGACAACATCTGGAGGTTTTGACCCCACACCAAATAACAGAGGCCCTAGAAGCTAAAGGGCACCAATAGATGAGTAGGGGATAGTTATTAAATTATCAGGCTTTATTGCTAGATACTCTTGATATAACTCTTAAAGTATAACAGAAGACCTTAATCCTAGCTACGTATCTACTTGGATCCAAAGGCACCCTAGATCATTCATGTACACAAGCTATGGAACAAATTTATTCCAGCTGGCAGGATTTAAAAGACGGGCCACTAGGGCTGGGTGTGGTGGCTCACACCTGTAATCCCAGTACTTTGGGAGGCTGAGGCAGGCGGATTACTTGAGGTCAGGAGTTCCAGAACAGCCTGGCCAACATGGTGAAACCCCATTTGTACTAAAAATACAAAAATTACCTGGGCGTGGTGGTGCACACCTGTAGTCCCAATTACTCAGGAGGCTGAGGGAGGAGAATCACTTGAACCCAGGAGGCAGAGCTTGCAGTAAGCCAAGGTCATGCCACTGCACTCCAGGCTAGAGACAGAGCGAGACTCTGTCTCAAAAAAGGATAATAATTTTAAAAAAGAATTAACATGTACACAAACTCCAAGTATGGCTTTCTGGTGCTTCATGCTCATGCTGCTATTTGGAAATAATGGGGACTCTTTAACTTCTAAGGGCTCCCCTATAGAACATTATTTGGGAATTTTAAATCTACTAGATGCTTCCTTGCTGCCTAAGGAAGTTGCTGTGATTCACTGCAAGGGACATCAAAAAGAAAACTCCAAAATATGCCAGGCACTGTGGCTCACACCTGTAATCCCAGCACTTTGAGGGGCTAAGGCGGGCGGATCATGAGGTCAGGAGTTCGAGACCAGGCTTGCCAACAGGGTGAAACCCCATCTCTACTAAAAATACAAAAATTAGTTGGGCGTGGTGGCTCGTGCCTGTAATCCCAGCTACCTGGGAGGCTAAGGCAGGAGAATTGCTTGAACCTGGGCAGCAGAGGTTGCAGTGAGCCTGAGATCGTGCCATTGCACTCCAGCCTGGGCAACTTGAGCAAGGCTCTGACTCAAAAAAAAAAAAAAAAAGAAAAAAAAGAAAAGAAAAGAAAGAAAGAAAACTCCAAAATAATAAAAGGGCATTCTTTTGCAGATGCTACAGCTGAGGCAGCTTCATTTGAGGGAACCAGTTAATCTGGTAGGCATGTTGGTGCCCACTGCCTTGGTGACGATAAAACTAGAGCATGGTTAATACTAGAAAAGAACAAAAATGGGCTAAGACCCATGGGTTAACTATAAGCACTTCCAGATGGCTAATTGATGAAAATGACAGATGATATGTACCAAGAGCTGATCAATGGAAAATAGTTAAGTATTGGCATGGCTCTACTCATTTGGGAAGAGATTTCTCATTTCAATTAATATGGCTCATCTGTTTATAGGGAAAGACTTTCTTTTTTTTTTTGAGACGGAGTCTCGCTCTGTCACCCAGGCTGGAGTGCAGTGGTGTGATCTCAGCTCACTGCAACCTCTGCCTCCTGGGTTCAAGCAATTCTCTGCCTCAGCCTCCCGAGTAGCTGGGATTGCAGGCATCTGCCACCATGCCCAGCTAATTTTTGTATTTTTAGTAAAGACAGGGTTTCACCATGTTGGCCAGGCTGGTCTTGAACTCCTGACCTCGTGATCCACCCACCTCAGCCTCCCAAAGTGCTGGGATTACAGGCGTGAGCCACCGTGCCTGGCCGAAAAGACTTTCTTAGAACAGTAAAACAAGTGACTTGGGCCTGTGAATTGTGTGCCCAAAAAAACCTCAAACAACCAAACTTTACCTCCTCCATTAGTAAAGCCTGTTCAGCATAGGGGGTCGTACCCAGAAGAAGATTGGCAAACACACTATACCCAAATGCCCCCATGTAAAGGATTCCAATATTTATCAGTGTTGGTTGATACCTTTCTTTACATGTTGGATTGAAGCTTTTCCTATCTGGCCTGAAAAGTCAATCAAGGTTTCTAAATTTTCATTCAAGGATATGATTCCCAGATTCAGGTTGCCTAAAAGCTTGTAGAGTGATAATGGCCCATCTTTACAGCAACAATAACCAAGACATAGCATCCGCTCTAGGAATTCAATATGGTCTTCATTCCGCATGGAGGCCACAGTCTTCAGGAAAAGTAGAAAGGACCAATCAAATTTTAGACAGGACCCTTGCTAAGCTCTGACAGGAAACATCAGAAACCTGGCTCCGTCTATCGCCTGTGGCCTCGCTGCAAGTTTGGGCTGCCCCAGTGGAAGGCTCAGCCCTTTTGAAATAATGTACGGAAAGCCTTTCTGAAAGAATTGCTGATTTCCTAGTAGATGGAGATACTTTCAAATTACAGAATTATGTTGCCAACTTAGGTCAGGTGCAAAAAGCTCTTCTTGAATACAGAAATGAGAGACTTCCTTCCCTCACTAAGGAAAAAAATCCTATTGTAATCCAGCCAGGAAATGGGATCCTGTTAATGACTTGAAAAAATGGTCCCTAGCAGATCAACTTTCCCACAGTGGAAAGGACCCTACTAAGTAAGTACTCCTTAGTGCCTCAACCGCAGTTACACTTCAAGGAAGAAGCAGCTGGGCTCATTGATCTTGAATTAAGTCTGTTTCTTATGAAGTCCCACAGGCTGCTGGAACACAAGAGACTGATTCCACTTATTCCTGTGAACCAACCAGTGATATCTGGCTCCTGCTTAGAAGAAACAAGAAAGATAAATAACATAAAAATCTGGATTAATATCCCAATTCTGGACACATATTGGTATTAGCTAAGAGGCAATCTCTTTGCTGGCTGGGCACAAACTTCAGCCTCCCTACACAACAAAATGGATTGCCGGGTGTGTGGAGAACTACAGCTCTCCTCCACCGTGGTGCTGCCATGATACATCCTGCCAGCCAATATGAGTTTATGGGATCATCATTATGATTGGAGTGAATATCCATCACGTTTTCCCATGTACTATAAAAACAAAGGGTCCAGCCCTTTCATTTCTCACAATGAAACAAGGAAGCGTCTTTTTTGTTTAATGAAGAAACAGCTAAATTCCACCCTGCCCTGTTATGCTGTGCATGATGGACTTGGGTGGATGACAGCTGTCCAAGTGCAGGTATCAAGCATAGTGTCCCTATGCTTTGAAAGACATAGTAACAGTTATGAAGAGACTGAGACCTGTAATATGGGAAGGTTACCACCCCAACAATGTAATCACACCCTTGTAAGTGACCAAATGTGCATGGAATGGCAGAATAAGTCCTAGCCACTGGTTGCTTGTCTTTCTCCTTGGGGCTGGCTATGGGCATGTGGGTCTCATGGCTGGCTGTATTTATCTTGTAATTGGATTGGAAGATGTACATGGGGTCATCCTTATCTCCCAGGACATATCCTCACTAAATTAGACTCTCTCCCGTCTAACTGGAAAGTTGGGAAATCTCGCCACAGGTGACCAAAGAGGTCTCTTTTTTTTTCTTTCTTTCTTTTTTCCAGGACGGAGTTTCGCTCTTACATCCAGGCTGGAGTAAAGTGGCATGATCTCCGCTCACTGCATCCTCCGCCCCCTGGGTTCAAGCAATTCTCCTGCCTCAGCCTCCAGAGTAGCTGGGATTACAGGCACCTGCCACCACGCCCAGCTAATTTTTTTGTATTTTTAGTAGAGATGGGGTTTTGCCATGTTGGCCGGGCTGGTCTCAAATGCCTGACCTCAGATGATCCACCCACCTTGGCCTCCCAAAGTGCTAGGATTATGGACGTGAGCCACCGCGCCTGACCCTACTTGGTGGTTTTTCTCGAGGGCTATATTACTGTCAGAGGTGGCTGTAATGGATGTCAAGTGGCAAGTTGAATCTGTATTCCAACATACAGCTACAGCTTTCAATACTACACAGCATGCCATTATCCTACTAACTGAAGAGACTTCTCAAATTAGACAGGTAGCCTTACGAAACTGCATGGCTTTGGACATTTTAACAGCGGCTCAAGGGAGATCTTGTGCTATCATCAAAATGGAATGTTGTTTGTATATTCCATAATATTAACATAATATTACTCAGGCCATGAAGGACTTAGACACCCATATCTCTGCCATTAACACACTGTCAGTTGACCCCATATCAGGGTGGTTCCAGCAATTGTCTGGTTCATGGAAAACCTTTTTGTTCAGATGCTTGGAACAGATTCTGTTTTGTTGCTGTGGAATGTATTGCTGTTGTAATTTTTGTGCAAGAAAACAAGGTAAACCTAGCCAGGCACAGTGGCTCACACCAGTAATCCCAGCACTTTGGGAAGCCGAGGCAAGCGGATCACCTGAGGTCAGGAGTTTTAAGACCAGCCTGGCCAACGTAGTGAAACTCCATCTCTACTAAAAATACAAAATTAGCAGGGCATAGTGGGACACAGCTGTAATCCCAGCTACTCAAGAGGCTGAGGCAGGAGACTCGCTTGAACCTGGGAGGCGGAGGTTGCAGTGAGCCGAGATCATGCCATTGCACTCCAGCCTGTGCAACAAGAGCAAAATGCCGTCAAAAAAAAAAAAAAAAAAAAAAAAAGAAAAGAAAAGAAAACAAGGTAAACCTATTAAATAGCTTCTTTAAATTGAACACTTACTAATTTTCCAGATTTCACCTTTTGTTGAAAGTCACAATAATGATTGGTCCTCACCACGCCAACACTTGCTGAGTGAACTCCTCTCCAATCTAAATACAAGGGATCCCAGTGGTTAGGGAGGAATATCATTGCTCCTGTTCACCTTGAAGACATTTATGAAGATGGACCTCTGTCCCTCTGTACCCCTTAGAATTAAGGATCCCCTTATAAAAGGGAGGAGGAAAATATATCAGAGGTGTCCAAACCAGAGTGACTCCGTCTTGAATAAGGCCAAATGAAGTGAAACCTGCTGGATTCCATTCCCAGGAAGCTAGGCACTCTCCTTCACAGGACCTTTATGGTTGAGAGAATGAGTTAATGATAAGTAAACAAGACCCAGAACTTAACAGAAAGTCTTGAAGTCCTGATATCTCAAGACCAAAAAGTATTCTTAGTCTAAGAATAGGCTTCTTATATTAATAGATAATAGGTTTCTTATACTAATAGGTAATAGTATATCCCTAAATTCCTGCTGAACTCAATAGTTACACAAGAGGATAACATCAGCCTGTCACAAGCTGGTCACAAGCCTTTATAATAAAGCACATAAGTTCATTATTATTCTTAGCTTGCTTTCTTCTTCTTGTTTTTTTTTTTTTTTTTTTTTTTTGAGACAGAGTCTCGCTTTGTTACCCAGGCTGTAGTGCAGTGGCATGATCTCTGTTCACTGCAACCTCTGCCTCCCAGGTTCAAATGATTCTTCTGCCTCAGCCTCCTTAGTAGCTGGGATTATGGGTGCACGCCACCACACCTGGCTAATATTTTATATTTTTGATGGAGACAGGGTTTCACCGTGTTGGCCAGGCTGGCCTTGAACTCCTGACCTCAAGTGATCCAGCCTCCCTGGCCTCCCAAAGTGTTGGGATTACAGGTGTGAGCCACCATGCCTGGCCAGCTCCCTTATTATATAGCATTTTATTTGTGTTCAGAGTCCTACTCTTGCTTTTTTTTTTCTTTTCCTTTTTTTTTTCTTTCAAGACAAGCCTTATCTGTCACCCAGGCAGGAGTGCAGTGGCACAATAATGGCTCACTGCAGCGTTGACATCCCAGACTCATGAGATCCTACTGCCTAGTCTCTCTAGCAGTTGGGACTGCAGGTATGCTACCATGCAGGGCAAATTTTTTTTATTTTTAGTAGAGATGGAGTCTCATTATGTTGTCCAGGCTGGTCTTGAACACCTGGTCTCAAGCAGTTGTCACACCTCATCTTCCAAAGTGCTGGGATTATAGGTGTGAGCTACGGTGCCTGGCCTCCTCTTGTTGTTAGTTCTGAGGATGCCCTACTCTGTAATAGAGTAGTCTTTAATAAACTTGCTTTTTTCACTGTGCTCTGTGACTGGCCCAGAATTCTTTCCTGTCAGAGATCCAAGAACTCACTCTGTGGTCTGGCTCCAGACCCCTTTCCTGTAACAGTTTGAGCAATAAAAGTAGCCCGGGCTGGTACCAAGCACCAAAGTCAGATTTCTCAACAGTCAGGACCACCTCCACTCAGAGTCCCTTCTGTTGGATGCCAATTTGTCAACCAAAATATGTCTGACACAAGTCTCAGTCAATTTAGAAGTTTGTAAAGTTTAGAAGCCAATGTAAGGCACACGCCAGAAGAAGGGAATATAGAAACCACAGAAACAGTCTGCGATCTGTGCCTTTCTCCAAAGATGATTTTGTGGGCTTCAATATCTAAAGGGGAAAAGCAGGCTGGAAAGAGGGAAGGTCCAGTCACATCACAGAATCCACATGTTGCAAGAGACAAGGAACAGGTAGGGGAATAGTCAGTTATGTATTTGTCTCATGCTCAGTAAATCGGCACTTGATAAGATAAGGTGGACAACCAGCAGCTGGAGATATCTGGCCTTTTATCTGTAGCATCTGCTTAGGAACAAAAGAAAAGGCAGCTTCTTGCGTGACTCGGCTTTTGGCTTATTCTTTTTTCCTTTTGGTAGGCTAAATCGAGATCCTGAGGTTTTATTTTCCTTTCATAAATGAACAAATGAATGAATGAATGAATGAAAAAAGAAAGTGCGGAAGGAAAAATAGTTCATGTCCCAAAGCAGTGGTGTAGTTCTAAAAGATGGACACTAGATGGCAGCAGGCACCTGCACCGAGGCAGCTGAGGGTGGTGAGGAATGTCCGGTATTTGGCCTTCAGATGGAGGGATGTCCAGGGCGCCTCAAGGGCCCCACAGGTTTTGTCAGTGCATCTCCATTAAATATCCCTTATGGCCTAGCGCGGTGGCTTATGCCTGTAATCCCAGCACTTTGGGAGGCCGAGGCGGGCGGATCACCTGAGGTCGGGAGTTCCAGACCAGCCTGACCAACATGGATAAACCCCATCTCTACTAAAAATACAAAATTAGCTGGGCGTGGTGGCGCATGCCTGTAATCCCAGCTACTCCGGAGGCTGAGGCAGAAGAATCGGGAAGCGGAGGCGGAGGTTGAGGTGAGCCGAGATCGCGCCATTGCACTCCAGCCTGGGCAACAAGAGCGAAGCTCCGTCTCAAAACAAACGAACAAAAACAAAAAACAAACAAACACCAAAAAACAATCCCTTACTGACAGGATAGTCAGGTGCGTGAGTGTGTTTGGCAACAAGTAATGGAAAGTTCAACACAATTTCCCTTTGCAGCCCTGGACCCCTTTTAACTGAGCTGGTGCAAAAGTAATCACGGTTTTTTGCCGTTACTTTTCATTAAAGGGGTCCAGGGCTGGTGTTGCTGCAAAGGGAAATCCTCAGTCCGCCAGGCTCCTTCTCAGCCTCGGTGGGACCCTTTATTTTTGTGGTTTTGAGACGGCTGCTGGACTTCTGGGCTTCTTGAGCAATTAAGACAGAGCAGAAAGACCTAAGAAGCATCTGCCCCATGGACTTCCGCCCGCCTCTCGAGGGCAAAATGGGTTCCCATGGCTACTCCTGACTACTGGGGAGGCTGGAAAATGATTTGATTTTACCTCTTGGTCCCTGTAATCAAGGACACATGAGGGAGAGTGGCGAACACTAGCCAGTAAGTGGCCTTTCTCTAGGCAGTGCGTGAAAGGCCCCTGGGAACCACAGAGCCTCTGGAGAGGGCTTTACATGAAAGACAGAGAGGAGAGGAAGAGCAAAGACCAGCAGCTGGGAAAATATGTGAGTCAGACAGGCGAGGTTAAAAGAGGCTGGGGTGAGCTGGGTGGGGCTGGGTGCTGTGGCACACACCTGTAATCCCAGCACTTTCGGAGGCTGAGGCAGGCAGATCACTTGAGGTCAGGAGTTCAAGACCAGCCTGGCCAACATGGTGAAACCCCGTCTCTACTAAAAATACAAAAATTAGCTGAGCATGATGGCGGACGCCTGTAGTCCCAGCTACTCAGAAGGCTGAGGCACGATAATCGCCTGAACCTAGAAGGCGAAGGTTACAGTGAGCTGAGATTGCGCCACTGCACTCCAGCCTGGGTGACAGAGAGCCAGACTCCACTGGTCTCAGAAAAAAAAAAAAAAAATGGGGTTGGGGGGTTGCTGGGCAGACTCTTGCTACCTTCACCTTCACCCAGGAGACACATTTCTGAAAATTTGGATTCAGATTTAGGATCGCCTTCTTCAAGAAGACCTTCCAGGGTTTTCTTTCCTTTCTGTCCCATCTCGGTTGACTTCTAGGACAGTTAAAAAAAAAAAAAAAGAAAAGAAAAGAAAGCTTTAAAATTATGTAAAACAGTGGCACTGAGGAAAACAATGAATATTCTGCAAGTGTTTACCATGTCCCTGGCCCTGATTCCAATGCTTTGTATTAATTAAGTTTTCTAAGGTTTCTGTGAGGTGTAGACTATTACTAGTCTTCTTTTGGAAATATTTATTTACTTATTTTTAAATATATTATTAAGTTTATTTTAATTACAAAATATGTCAAATGTACTGAAAATAATATAGTAGACACTTATGTATTTACATTCCAAGTTTTAAAGCATTTTTTTTAAGACAGTCTCACTCTGTCACCCAAGCTGAAGTGCAGTGGCACAATTTCAGCTCACTGCAACCTCCACCTCCTGGGTTCAAGTGATCCTCCTGCCTTAGTCTCCTGAGTTGCTGGGATTACAGGAATGAGCCACCATGCCCGGCCCCACAATGTGTTCTTGAAGGCTGAGTTTACTTGTTTTATATTGTGGCTCCATTACCACATTTTTGTGATTACAGTGACTAAGCTGTAGTACACTGTGGCTCTCCCTCCAGCAGGGCCAAATGTGGGCTACATGCCTGCTCCGGGGTCTGGGAGGTGCTATGTCTTGTTGGCTCAGGCAGCTGGGCTCTGGAACATGGACAACTTGTTCATCACCCTTGGCAGTAAGCACTGCAGTGACTACCAGGGCTGTTAAGGTCCTTGGTATTATCTCTCATTCTAGGGGCAGGTAGCACTGAGGGCCGGCTGCAGGTGTGTTTGTCACGCAGGGACGGGCCGTGGGCACTCGAAGGCTGGTGCCAGCAGCAGGAGCCATTCATGACTTCAGAAGCCAGCAGAGGTTACTTTTGTTCCTAACTTTGTATGTGTAATTTTGATTCTTTTTCTTAAACAGGGCCACAAATGTTTAAGTTCAATGCCGCATTGAACCTGGATCTGCTCCTGGCTGTTCTGAGAATGGCATGGGGGTGCTGGAAGAAGGGCCTGAGCTTGCACTGTTCCCTCAACCTTAACAGCTCAGGGAGTCCCAGCTAGCAGTGCAATAAGGAATGTGTGCAGCACAGGCCACTCATGCGTTCTCTTGATTGTGAGTGGACACTTAACCCCTACATTTGGAACAAGTAGTGGCTGCCTTATTTTCTATAATTCAACTTTATTTCTATCTCAAGGTGGCCTTCCTCCTGGTTGATAGAAAATGACCTCATCCCCCCAGCCCCCCACACCTTTTTTAAGAGACAGGGTCTCACTCTATTGCCCAGGCTGCAGTGCAGTGGTGTAATCATAGCTCACTGCAGCCTCAAACTATTTGGCTCAAGTGATCCTCCCATCACAGCCTCCTGAGTAGCTGGGACTACAGGTACCTGCACCACCATACTGGTGGTTTAAATTTTAAATTAATTTAAATTTAAAATTAAAATTTTCAGTTAAAAATGTAATCAACATTTTTTGTGGAGACAAGATCTTATTATAACGCTCAAACTGGTCTTTAATTCATGGGCTCAAATGATTTCCTCCCACCTCAGCCTCCCAAAGTGCTGGGATTCTAGGCATGAGCCACTGCACCTGGCCTGACCTCATTGCTGGACTTCTCTCCACTGAGGGCTGGGCCATAGTTATGCAAGCCCTCCTGATACCTGAGATTTTGCTGTGATTTTAAGATTATGATGATGCCAAAGTGTGGAAGGATGGTGGGTGATCAGCTGTGATTACCACTGTCTACATCTATGTGGCCTCTAAGCATTCCTCACTGCACTTGGGTCAAGGGACTTTTGAAGGAGTCTTCCTGTATTTCTGCCTGCCCAGATAAACCCAGAGACTATATTGGGATGTAGGACCTGCTTCCCTCTTCAGCCAGGACCTATAGACCTTTCTCATCCCTCATTTCCCCCATCCCAAATCTCAAATCCCCGTCCCATCAGAATTTTTCTTTCTTTACCCTCTTCAGCCAGGACCTATAGACCTTTCTCATCTCTCATTTCCCCCATCCCAAGCAGAATTTTCCTTTCTTCATTTTGTCCCCAGGCTTCTTGTAAAGACTTTTAGTTTGTCCCTGGGATTCCTTCCTGATCCTGGGGATTAGGCTTTCGGGAAAAAAATTCAGGAAGATGGGCAGGCTATTTCTACTCTCTCCTGTTACATCCATCCTGGGGTGACCAGCAGGGAGCAGGCCACAAACATGCATGACAACAAAGGGAAAAGGAATAACTGGGAAAAAGAAAACAATGTAAATTAATACTCCAAAATGTAGCCCAAAGCCTACATTTATTCTCAGTATTTTTCTCAGGCCTTGTCCCATGAAAAGTCTTGCATTCTATTTCACTTAATCTGCATTACAGCTATATTAGTCCGTTTTCATGCTGCTGATAAATGGAATGTGTGCAACACAGGCCACTCATGCGTTCTCTTGATTACCCGAGACTGGGTAATTTATTAAGAAAAAGAGGTTTAATGGACTCACAGTTCCACGTGGCTGGAGAGGCCTCACAGTCATGATGAAGGCAAAAGACACGTCTTACATGGCAGGAGGCAAGAAAGAATGAGAGCCAAGCGAAAGGGGATTCCTCTTATAAAACCATCAGATCTTGTGGGACTTATTCACTACCACAAAAAAGAGTATGGGGAAACTGCCCCCATGATTCAATTATCTCTCACTTGGTCCCTCCAACAACATGTGGGAATTATGGGAGACACAATTCAAGATGAGATTTGGGTGGGGACAGAGCCAAACCATATCAACAGCCCTGTGAGCTGAGTTTTATACCTGCTCTATTAACAATGAAACTGAGCCCAAGAGAGACTGGGTAACTTGCACAAGACCACACAACTCGTGTGTGGGTCTTAACCCAGCCTAGGCAATCCTCCCGTGGTGATGGTGGTGTATCGTGTGGTCAGGGCAGGGTTTGGGGCTTATTGCTATGGAATCTAGGGAAAATCTTGTGTCAGAGAAAGACAGAGCTGGGATTGTGGCTGTACCAGCTCAGCCAATTCATAACTGTGTGATCCTGGGCACGTCACTTAAATTATCTGGGCCTCAGTTTCTGCATTAGTAAATTTACAAGGTAGAGCTACGTTCTCTGGGCCCCAGTTTCCTCACAAGAAAATTTATAATGCGGAACTGGATGGCTTCAAATGCTCTTTCTAGTGCAGAGGTCTTCTGGCCTCCAACCATCTTTTAAATTCCCATTACCAAAGCAGTTTCCCTCAGAATGACCTCACTACCTACCTACACACACACACACACACACACACACACACACACACACACACACATGCACGCACACCCCTTCAGAATCTGGGGAGCATGCTTAAAAATCTAATACCTGGAATCACCCAAGATTTAAGCAAGTCTGAACACGAATCTCTGGAGGTAGGACCCAAGAACTTGTATTTAACAAGCTACATCTCAGACAATCTAAAATGTACCTTGTGTTACTGAATGACTTGAAACAAGGTAAGATTTTGATAAGGAGAGAGAGAAAAAGAACATCCTAGGAAGATAACTGGTTTGAGAAAAGGCCCAGAAATGGGTGTTTTGGGGGAAGTGAACAGACTAGTCTGACTAGAGAGAAAGACAGTATCACACAGTTGCAGAAGATTAATTTGGGAAAACAAATTCACCAAATCCTGAGACAGAATGTACTTTTTTAGTGATGACAGTGTTCATGTCCATTAGATAAAATGTCCTTACCTTGGCAAGGACAAAGAAGCAATTGCATAATCTAAGCCATTCTCCAGTCTCTAAGCCTTTCTCTTGGTGGTGACAGGAATATAATTTTATTTCAACCATTAAAAAAGCAACAGGCAGACATTTTTCTCTTGCAGAGTTGCATTTTCATGAGCATATTTTAGTGTGGCTTCTCCCCAGTGCCGATTAATGAAGAGTCATCTCACCCACAGTACATGCCTCCCAGATTCTGGTGTAATGGTCATGAGCAGAGGGACTGCCTGGATTTGAGCCCCAGTTGTGCCACCTACCGGGGTGCCTTAGAGAGGTCGTTCAACCTCTCCTTCTTGCAATTTCTTTTTTTTTCTTTTCTTTCTTTCTCTTTTTTTTTTTTTTTTTTTGAGACAGAGTCTCACTTTGTCGCCCAGGCTAGAGTGGTGCCATCTTGACTCAGTGCAACCTCCACCTCCCAGGTTCAAGCAATTCTCGGGCCTCACCCTCCTGAGTAGCTGGGATTACAGGCACCCACCACCACGCCCGACTAATTTTCATATTTAGTAGAGATGGGGTTTCACCATGTTGGCCAGGCTGGTCTCGAACTCCTGGCCTCATGATCCACCCACCTCGGCCTCCCAAAGTGCTGGGATTACAGATGTGAGCCACTTTGCCCCAGCCTACCTTCCTGCAGTTTCTACACCTATAAAATGGTGATTATGTTACTAGTCCCCAACTCATAAATTTTTGTGATTAATTGAATAGAGCATATTAGCTCTTGGAAGATGTTACTTGCTATTATCATCTCCTCATAGAGAAGTCTGGTTTATTTTCAGCTCTGTCTCAGGAAATAGCTCTCCCTGGATTTGCTCATAATCATCTCTTCTCCTGCCCATGGGTCCTCTTTCATATAGGTGCCAGCAGCTCTCTCTTCTCTAACTGAAATCGTGAAGATGCTACACTGGGCCTGACCTAAAGCAGAAAGGCAGATAGAGGGGGGAAAAATAGGTGAGCCAGGGAGTCATGACTTCACGAGTGGTTTTATATTATTTTCTTGCCACATCTGTGTATGGACATCGTGGTGTATGGACTTGACATCAGGCACACCTACCCATAGCCTTACAATCAACACTAATTGAGTTCCTACTCTATAACAGGCACTGTGTTAGGTAATGGGGATGCAGAGGAAACAAGGTAGTCATGAACTTGGATTTTTAGGGAGGTTCTTGTGGGTAGGATTCCATTTCTGCCTTCATTTCTCTCTGTGTCTTTTTTATCTTTTAAGAGACAGAGTCTTGCTATGTTGTCCAGACTGGCCTCAAACTCCTGCGCTCAAGTGATCCTCTTGTTTCAGCCCCCTGAGTAGCTGGGACTACAGGTGTGAGCCACTGAGCCCAGCTCTCTGTCCTTGTTGCTTTCTACTGTGTTACCTGGGGCAAGTCACTTAAACATTTTGTGCTTCAGCTTCATTTTTACATTGGTGTTAATAATAGAGCCTACATTATAGGGTTATAGGAGAGTTAAAAATGATAATGTATGAAGTCTTCTGTATAGTGCCTGGCACATTAGTGAATGATCAAAAATTTCTGGCCGCTTCTCTGTTCCTCAGAGGTTACAAAAAATATTCTGCTTATCATCAACACCATCACTGTCATCATCATCCCAAGACAAAATGGGTAAGATTTTCTGCATCTGTGTTCATCAGGGTTGTTGGTGAATAGTCTGTCTGTCTTTCTTTCTTTCTCTTTCTTTCTTTCTTTTCTTTCTTTCTTTCTTTCCTTTCTCTTTCTTTCTTTCCTTTCTTTCTCTTTCTTTCTTTCTTTCTTCTTTCTTTCCCTTCCTTCCTTCCTTCCTTCTTTCTTTTCTTTCTCTCCTTCTTTCTTTCCTTCTTTTTTTTTTTTTGAGACGGAGTTTTGCTCTTGTCACCCAGGCTGGAGTGCAATGCTGTGATCTCAGCTCACTACAACCTCCGCCTCCTGGGTTCAAGTGATTCTCCAGCCTCAGCCTCCCGAGTAGCTGGGATTACAGGCACCCACCACCACGCCCAGCTAATTTTTATATTTTTAGTAGAGACAGGGTTTCGCTATGTTGGCCAGGCTGCTCTTGAACTCCTGACCTTAGGTGATCCACCCACCTCCGCCTCCCAAAGTGCTGGATTACAGGCGTGAGCCACCGCGCCTGGCCAATGGTTTTCTTTTCTTGGGATATCTCTGTCTGGCTTTGATATCGGTATAATGCTGGCATCATAAAATGAGTTTGGAAATGTTCTTTCTTCTTCAATTTTTTCAAGGTTTGAGAAGGATTGGTGTTATTTCTTCTTTAAATGTTTGGTAGAATTCACCAGTGAAGCCCTCTAGTCCTGGGCCTTTCTTTCTTGGGAGGTTTCGGGTTAGTAACTCAATCTTCATGGTAGTGATCAAATCTTTTATTTCTCCCTCTCTCCCTCTCTCCCTCTCTCCCTCTCCCCCTCTCCCCCTCTCCCCGTCTCCCTCTCCCTTTCCCCACGGTCTCCCTCTCCCTCTCTTTCCACGGTCTCCCTCTGATGCCGAGCCGAAGCTGGACGGTACTGCTGCCATCTCGGCTCACTGCAACCTCCCTGCCTGATTCTCCTGCCTCAGCCTGCCGAGTGCCTGCGATTGCAGGCGCGCGCCGCCACGCCTGACTGGTTTGCGTATTTTTTTGGTGGAGACGGGGTTTCGCTGTGTTGGCCGGGCTGGTCTCCAGCTCCTAACCGCGAGTGATCCGCCAGCCTCGGCCTCCGGAGGTGCCGGGATTGCAGACGGAGTCTGGTTCACTCAGTGCTCAATGGTGCCCAGGCTGGAGTGCAGTGGCGTGATCTCGGCTCGCTACAACCTCCACCTCCCAGCCGCCTGCCTTGGCCTCCCAAAGTGCCGAGAGTGCAGCCTCTGCCCGGCCGCCACCCCATCTGGGACGTGAGGAGCCCCTCTGCCTGGCTGCCCAGTCTGGAAAGTGAGGAGCGTCTCTGCCCGGCCGCCATCCCATCTAGGAAGTGAGGAGCGCCTCTTCCCGGCCGCCATCCCATCTAGGAAGTGAGGAGCGTCTCTGCCCGGCCGCCCATCGTCTGAGATGTGGGGAGCGCCTCTGCCCTGCCGCCCCGTCTGGGATGTGAGGAGCGCCTCTGCCCGGCCGTGGCCCCGTCTGGGAGGTGAGGAGCGTCTCTGCCCAGCCGCCCCATCTGAGAAGTGAGGAGACCCTCCGCCTGGCAACCGCCCCGTCTGAGAAGTGAGGAGCCCCTCTGCCCAGCAGCCGCCCCGTCTGAGAAGTGAGGAGCCCCTCCGCCCGGCAGCCACCCCGTCTGGGAAGTGAGGAGCATCTCCGCCCAGCAGGCACCCCGTCCGGGAGGGAGGTGGGGGTCAGCCCCCGCCAGGCCAGCCGCCCCGTCCGGGAGGGAGGTGGGGGGGTCAGCCCCCCGCCCGGCCAGTCGCCTCGTCTGGGAGGTGAGGGGCGCCTCTGCCCGGCCGCCCCTACTGGGAAGTGAGGAGCCCGTCTGGGAGGTGTACCCAACAGCTCATTGAGAACGGGCCATGATGACAATGGCGGTTTTGTGGAATAGAAAGAGGGGAAAGGTGGGGAAAAGATTGAGAAATCGGATGGTTGCTGTGTCTGTGTAGAAAGAAGTAGACATGGGAGACTTTTCATTTTGTTCTGTACTAAGAAAAATTCTTCTGCCTTGGGATCCTGTTGATCTGTGACCTTACCCCCAACCCTGTGCTCTCTGAAACATGTGCTGTGTCCATTCAGGGTTAAATGGATTAAGGGCGGTGCAAGATGTGCTTTGTTAAACAGATGCTTGAAGGCAGCATGGTCGTTAAGAGTCATCACCACTCCCTAATCTCAAGTACCCAGGGCCACAAACACTGCGGAAGGCCGCAGGGTCCTCTGCCTAGGAAAACCAGAGACCTTTGTTCACTTGTTTATCTGCTGACCTTCCCTCCACTATTGTCCTATGACCCTGCCAAATCCCCCTCTGCGAGAAACACCCAGGAATGATCAATTAAAAAAAAAAGAAAGAAAAAAAAATCTTTTATTTCTTTGTGATTTAGTCTTGGTTGTATGTTTCTGGGAACTTACCCATTTCTTCCAGGTTATCTGGTTCATAGACACACAACTGTTCGTAGTAGTCTCTTATTATGCTTTTTATTTCTGTAGGACCAGTTGTAAAGTTTCTACTTTCATTTGTGATTTTGTTTATTTGAGTGTTCTCTTTTTTAGTTAGTCTTGGTAAGGGTTTGTCGATTTTGTTTATCTTTTCAAAAAACCAACTCTTAGTTTTGTTGATTTTTTTCTATTGCTTTTCATTTTCTATTCCGTTTATTTCTGCTCTAATTTTTATTATTTCTTTCCTTCTCCTAACTTTGGGCTTAGATTTGTTTTTCTTTTTCTAGTTCCTTGAAATGTAAAGTTAGGTTGCTTATTTGAGATCTTTCTTCTTTCTTAATGTAGGTGTTTATCACTCTGAATTTCTCTTTTAGTAGTGCTTTTGCTGCATCCTGTCAGTTTTGGTATGTTCTGTTTTCATTTTTGTCTCAAAATACTTTATAATTTCTCTTCTATTTCTTCTTTGACCCCTTGGTTGTCCAGCTTCTCAAAAAGTTGTAAGAGTCATCCTTGCATCTTTCCTTTCCTAATTCTCTACAACCATTCTGCCAACAAGGTCTGTTAACGCTAATCTAAAACATATCTTGAATGTGTCCACAACTCTCCACACCTATTCCTTCATCCTAGTACAGTCACCATTATCTCCTGCCCAGATTTCTAACCAGAAACTGCAATCCTCATTTGTATCCGGAATTCATTTTCCATGCACTTAAAACCCTCTAACCAGAAACTGCAATCCTCATTTGTACCTGGAATTCATTTTCCATACACTTAAAGCCCTCCACTGTCTTCCCACTGTACTTAGGCCATTGTCCACATGCCCCCACCTAAGTCCAGCACAATCTGGCCCCTGCCCAGCCTTATAAACTCATCTCACATCAATCTCACCTTTGCTCACTCTCCTGTAGCCACATTGGTCTGCAGTTTGTTCTTAACATGATCCAGGTCCTCTGCTGTCCGACAGCATTTATCCCTGCTTCCGCTCTTGGGGATGCTCTCCTTCAGATCTTCACAGGGATCCCTTTTAATTCATGAATCTCAGTCAAATGTCACCTCCTCCTTCAGAGCAGCCTTACCTGACCACCTAAAGTGCCCTTTTCCAAGCTGCTTTTTCTCAGCATCCTCCTTATTTCCTTAGTGCATTCTTATAACCTGCTCTCTTCTTTATTTGCTCATTACTTATATATTATATATTTCCATTTTCTTCCAGCAAGTCAAGGAAGAAAATGGAATGGCCTTATTCATCACTGTCTTATTTAGCCTTATTCATCATTGTCTCTTCCAGAGCTTAGCCCAGTGACCAGTACATAGCAAACATTCAATAAATACTTGCTGATCTAGTGAATACATGAAAAAAGGAAGACACAATGAAATGAATGATGAAATAAATGTTGTTTGGTCCTGCTAATCTCCCACTGTCCTGGATCCAGTCCTGGATAAAAATCTTTGCTCCATTTTGTGTATGGTGGGGTTGAGAGACTCAGCCCATGAGAGAGGGTATTCAGAATGCATCTAAGGACACAACCTGACAGCAACAGAGATTTATCTTATCATACTTCCTAACAATGCCCTTGAGGCTACACCGGAGGAATACATTCCAGACAAGGGGCGTTGGCAACACTGGGGCAGCAAAGCAGTTCCAGTCTATAGCCCATTTCAGGGAAATGAGTCTTGAGAGAAAAGACCAGAACCATCAGCTCCCTACAAATAAATCCACCACACACTAGCATGGTTGGTTGGTTGAGAGGCTGCGGCATCTTCTGCTGCACTTGGAGGAAATAGGGGAAAGGGTGGCAAGGTGGAATATGACAGCATGGATGCCCACAGAAGAACTCTATTAGCATTCGGTGACTCAAAAGTCAGTCTTCCTTCTTTTTTTCTTTCTCTCTTTCTTTCTCTTTCTTTCTTTTCTTTCTTTCTCTTCCTTCCTTCTCCTCCTCCTCCTTCTTCCCTCCTTCTTTCTTTTTCTTTCTTTCTTTCCTTCCTTCTCTTTCTTTCTTTCTCTTTCCTTCCTTCCTTCCCTCCCTCCCTCCTTCCTTCTTTTCTTTTCTTTCTTTCTCTCTCTCTTTCTTCTCTCTCTCTTTCTTGACTCAGAAGTTTTTCTTTCCTTTCCTCAAGTGATCCTCTTGCCTCTGTCTCCCAAGTAGCTAAGATTGCTTTTTAAAAGTTTTTGTAGAGATGAGATCTTGCTATGTTGCCGAGGCTGCTCTTGAACTCCTGGCCTCAAGGAACCTTCTAGCTTCAGCCTCCCAAAGTTCTCAAATTACTGGCAGTAACTACTGAGCCTGGCTGTGAGTCAGAAGTTCTAATGTAAAGCCTTTATGTCTCTGCTTCTCATGTTAAAGGCAGACTAAGTGACTTAAGAGACTAAGTGACTGGCCGGGTGCGGTGGCTCACACCTGTAATTTCAGGACTTTGGGAGGCCGGGGCAGGTGTGTCATTTGAGGTCAGGAGTTTGAGACCAGCCTGGCCAACATGATGAAAACCTGTCTCTACTAAAAATACAAAAATTAGCTGGACATTGTGGGGCATGCCTGTAGTCCCAGCTATTTGGGAGGCTGAGGCACAAGATTTGCTTGGATCCAGGAAGTGGAGGTTGCAGTGAGCTGAGATTTTACCACTGCATTCCAGCTTGGGTGACAGAGTGAGACCCTGTCTCCAAAATAAATAAATAAATAAATAAATAGTAAAAGAGACCAAGTGACCTGGCTGGGCACCTGGGGAACGGGAAATGGTCCATAGACCCCTTGTTTTTACTATCAAATGAATATTAAACTGTTTTACTATCAAATGAATATTAAACATGATTCCTCTTATTACCCAACCAACAGTCTCCTCTTTCTCTTACAGGGGAACACATTAACAAAACCTTAAACCCTCCATGCTTCTGTGATAGCTTAAACAATTAATGAAACAATAAACATTCCACAAAGAAAAATAAATGTTAACACTTTATTTTAATTAAAACCCCCAAGGGGCCTGGCTGAGATCCCTATCTACTTAACATATGTAAAGTGATAGACTGTTCCTAACCCTTAATAAACAATTTATGCAAACTGCTGAGCCTCAGGGGCATTCTAGCCATGCTAGACTTTCCCCTAGTCTCCACCTAGAAGGAGGGGGAATCAATGGTGTTAGGGCTCTGCTACAGGAAGCCCTAACCCAGGAAGCCATTGTGTAAATGCAGGCGGAAAACTTTGCAGTTCTGGATTTCACTTAAGTTTTCTATGGAAAATTGGGCATCTTCCTGTTTATTTTTGTTGTTGTTGTTGCCCTTCACATTTCCAAGATATTTCAACAATAACTGGTTGCATGACCACATCTAAAAATGTTTAGTTCCCCAGGTTATACTTCATTTATTATACATGCCTCTTTACAGCCTGTATGGTTTTATGGATCCTTCGAGGTTCCCTTGGCAAATAAAATTAAGTTACAAGTCACGTCATTGTTAAACATATATCAGCAACAAATACCCTTGAGGCATTCTGAAGAATGTCCTATTAACAAATGTAGTGGGTTGAATAGTGAGTGCCCACCCTCAAATTCAAGTTCATCTGGAATCTCAGAATGTGATCTTATTTGGAAATGGGGATCTTTGCAGATGTAAATAGTTAAGATGAGGTTATACTGGATTCAGGTGGGCATTAAATCTAATGAATGGTGCCCTTATAAGAAGAGGAGATGCCTGAAGATACACGCAGAGGGAAGAATACCATATGAAGGTGGAGTCAGAGATGGGAGTGATGTGGTTGCAATCCAAGGAACGCCAAGGATAGCCAGAGCTGCCAGAATCTAGGAAGAGGCAAGGAAGGATTCTTCCCTAGAGCCTTCAGAGGGAGCATGGCCCTGCCAGCACCTTCACTTTGGACTTCTAGCCTCCAGAACTATGAGAAAATAAATTTCTGTTGTTTCAAGCCACTGAGTTGTGGCCATTTGTTATGGCAGCCTTAGGAAACTACTACATGCATACAGTCTTCTGTAGAATAAAAACTATCTTCAACATTGCTCATTCATTCATTTGTACATCCACTCAGCTGTCATTTTTGTGTCTATGTGTGTGTGTGCAGGGGTCGGGGGGCACTGACCAAGGCCTGGAGAACGCATGGATCACAGATGCAGTTTCTGTCTTCACTGTCCTTAGTACACACACGCTAGGGTCAAGGCTGGCATCATGGGTGTGCAAGCTGGGCAGTCGTACATGGCACGGGGCTCAGGAGGATCCCATGCTCGGTTTAATGCTCTGCTGTTGCTGTCTTGAAATGCTTAATAGTTTTGGAACAGGGGACTCCTCTTTTTTTTTGAAAGAGGAATACAGATAAATTTATTAGTTAAATACTGATTTTACAGCCATTTCACCTTAAGACAATGTTAACAGTTTTGTGGGTTAGGGAGGGTATACAAGGGGGCCTTTGGAAAGAAAACAATGTAAATTATGATTAAAACAGAATCTTGGTTCAAAGGTATTCTCTGTTACAGCCAGTAGGATTTTGGAGTGAGGGGGCTGGGCATGTGGGGAGGCTTGGTAATGCCAGAGTCAGCTACAGCTCTGTTGAGAACCAGGACAAGGAAGTCGTCTCTGTGAGCTCCAGCGTCAGGGGCAGAAACTGAGCAACATGCGGAGGAGAAGGCGGCCCGTCCCAGAGCAGGTCAGAGCCGGAGGCTCCCTCCAGGCCCCCCTGCCATATCTTAGCAGTCATCTACTTTCCATGAATTTTGTTTTGTTGTGTTTGCTTTGAATTCTTGTTGCGGAATCTCTGGCTTTTTGGCCCCTGGACAAAAGACTTCTGCTGGGGCGAGGATGCAGGTCCAGAGGGACTCTGGCTGCCGCCTGACCAGGGGCCAGGAGGAGCAGACAGCAGGCGGGCCAGCCCTTGGGACACCCCTGCCCCCCGAGCAGGACACTGTCTACCTACACTCTCCCCGGAAGGATCCTGAGGCTTGGCTGAGTGTTTGCCACACTGGCCTGAGCGGCAGAACGTTTTGTTTTTACTCAGAACCCCTCTGTATGTGACGGGGTGAATGAAGGACCTGCAGTGGCCTCGAGGGGGCGCCATTTGGCTAAACTACCCAGCTCTTGTTTTGCCAGGGGAGAGACATGTACAAGCTGCAGGCAGAGCTGAATCGCTCAGAGCGGGAGGAGGGATTTTTATTTTGAGAGATGTTGGAAGTGAAGGAGCAGAGGCCCGCAGCAGCGGGAAGGCACCTGGGGGAGAAGTCGCAAGCTGCATTTTGATGAAGCTGTGCTGTGTGGTGGTTGAAGTGCCCCCAACCCCAGCTCCCCAGGAAGCGTTCAGTCACTTGTATGTCACACCACACAGTTTTGGAGTCAGATTTGGTATTGGAGATGCAGGACCGTGCCATGGCTCAAAAGGATGGGGCAAGGGCAGCTCCCCAGGGGCAGGTTGCATCCAGGTACATGGCAAACAGATGCCGTCATTCTGGAGCAAGGGGACCCCTCATTTTCATTTTGCACTGGACCCCACGAATTATGTAGCTGGTCCTCACTAGAATAATTACAGAATCACCAGTGCTGTAGAGCAGATAGAGAGGAGAACCTATAATCTGAGGGCATGTTTTACTAAGGCAGTGAGGTAGGATAAATGAAAGGAAACGTTTGCTCACAGACAAGGTTCATTTGCCAGATGGTCATTTAGGCAGCGGGAACAATGTGTCCATAAGCATGGTGGGTGGGGGAGTGGGGGCGCGAGAGAATATGGGTGATTGGACATCAACAGGACTTTGACAGTGCTAGTGCCTAAAGTACCACTAGGGGGTGCTCAGGGAGAATTGATGATAGATAGGGGTCAGATCTCAAAAGGCTTTGGAAGGACAATGCAGGCCTTGGGCTTAGTCCAGAAGGTGATAGGGAACCATAGAAGATATTGATCAACAGAGGACAAGACTGGATCCCCCAATTCCATTCCTCCAGGATTCCAGGAAAGCCACCCTGTGCTCAGAGACGCAGGCCACAGACTTGTATGTCAGGAAAGAATTTAAAGGGAAGCTGGGCATGGTGGCGCACACCTGTAATCCCAGCACTTTGGGAGGCTGAGGCGGGCGGATCATGAGGTCAGGAGATAGAGACCATCCTGGCTAACACCGAGGAACCCTGTCTCTACTGAAAAAAAAAAAAAAATTAGCTGTGCCTGGCATGCACCTGTAGTCCCAGCTACTCGGGAGGCTAAGGCAGGAGAATTGCTTGAACCCAGGAGGCGGAGGTTGCAGTCAGCCAAGATCATGCCACTGCACTCCAGCTTGGGCAACAGAGTGAGACTCTGTCTCAAAACAAAACAAAACAAAACAAGAAAAGAAAACAAAGGGAATAAGAATAAATCGATCCTCCTTTCTAGTGTCCGCTGCTTTTTTCCTGAATGCTAACAAAGTATATGAATAACAATATTTGTTTAGAGTCTGTCAGGATTTGCTAGCCTGAAATGAGATGGTCCAGGAGGACTTTCTAGTGAAGCACTGTGGGCTTGGCCTCTTGGGGATGTTCAGATGTTCATGAACCTTCAAAATAAGGTTCATGCAGCACAGGAGATTTTCAGGAACATTAGACCTTATGGTAGGCTGAATAATGGTTCTCCGAAGATGTCCATGTTCTAACTCCCGGAACTGTGAATGTGTTGCCTTACACAGTGAAAGGGGCTTTGCAGTTGTTATTAAATTGAAGATTTTGAGATGGGGAGATTAGCCTTGATTACTTGTGTGGGCCCAGTGTAATCACAGGGTTATTATGAGAGAAAGGCAGGAGGAACAAAGTGAGTACTAGGAGGTGTGACTACAGAAGCAAGAGGCTGGAATGAGGCAAAGAAAGAACCAAAGAATGCAGGAAGTTTCTAGAAGCTATGAAGGGGAAGGAAATGGATTCTCCTCTGAAGCATTCAGAAGGAATGGTATCTTTTTTTTTTTTTTTTGAGACAGAGTTTTGCTCTTGTTGCCCAGGCTGGAGTGCAGTGGCACGATCTTGGCTCTCTGCAACCTCCACCTCCTGGGTTCGAGTGATTCTCCTGCCTCAGCCTCCTGAGTTGCTGGGATTACAGATGCGTGCCACCATTCCTGGCTAATTTTTGTATTTTTGGTAGAGACGGGATTTTGTCATATTGGTCAGGCTGGTCTCGAACTCCTGACCTCAGGTGATCCACCTGCCTCGGCCTCCAAAGTGCTGGTATTACAGACATGAGCGACTGTACTCAGCCTACTATTTGAATTTTTGATTGTGTCTCAAAGTATGTTCAGTTTAGAGATTATCTCTATTTGTGCTTTTATATTCCATAAATGCACACATATGTATATGATAAATATAGATAAACAGGCTGCCCCTCTGTCTGGCCTGTGGACAGATGGGATAATTATTCAGGACTCCAATCCTACGAATTATTTCCTTTATAACTGGGTTTGATTCTAAATTTCCTTTGCATAGAACAATCAAATCAGTATCATATAATTGCAAGTATTGCACAATTACTAGAGATTTGAGCTTATTTTTCATTATTTTCACCATTAGTGGTTATTTACATTTAAAATACACATTGGATTCTCATGGTAACATTTTCTCTATACAGATCCACTTAAAAACTGGCCTTAGGAACTACATGAATGAAAAGAACTGGATACACAGTTTCTATTAAATTATTTTTTGGGGTCAGGTGCAGTAGCTCACCCCTATAATCCCAGCACTTCGGGAGGCTGAAGCAGAAGGATTGCTTGAGGCAAGAAGTTCAAGACCAGCCTAGGTAACATAGCTAGCCTCCCTCTCTACCAAAAAAATAAAAATTATAAAAGATTAAAAGAATAAATTCTTTTTTACATGGATTTTTTTTTTTTTTTTTTGGCAAAGTCTCACTCTGTCGCCCAGGCTGGAGTGCAGTGGCGCTATCTCTGCTCACTGCAACCTCCACTTCCTGGGGTGATTCTCCTGCCTCAGCCTCCCCAGTAGCTGGGATTACAGGTGCCCACCACCAGGCCCAGCTAATTTTTGTATTCTTAGTAGAGACGAGGTTTCACCATGTTGGCCAGGCTGGTCTTGAACTCCTAACCTCAAGTGATCCACTCGCCTTGGCCTCCCAAAGTGCTGGGATTACACGTGGCCACCGCACCCGGACTTGCATTGATTAAAAAAAAAAAATTCAGAGAGAAGTCTCCAAGGGTCATAATCAGAACACTACATAGAGGTACATGGGAAGTTGTTCTTATTTTGTGTGCTAATTTCAGAGGAAATATAAAGAAATTAGAGTGGTTATGTTAAGGGGTCAATTTCCTTACGAAGGTTCTCATACTGACTGATATACAAAAAGGACTGTAAACAACACATAAAATCAGAGGAAATTTTCTAACATGCGTATCTGGTCAATTCATTTTCCTGCTGAATATCCTTCAATGGCTCCCCATTATTTACAGAATAAAGTTAAAATTTCTCGGCATTGTGTTTGAGGTGTTTTTCACTGTGGGCTTAATCTCTCTGACATGATATCTAGCCCCTCTTCAAAAACACCCTGTGCTTTGGCCTTGGGAAATGATCCCTGCCCCACGTCACGCCCTTCCTCTGTCTGAGCAACACACACAGACTTATTTTTGCCATCCTTTACAATATCGCTCTCATGCCAGTACCTCCTCTCAGATGTCTTCCCGGGCTGCCTGCCCTTCTCCCTGGCTCAAACGCACAGCTTTCTCCTTTATGGGCCCGTGATACAGCCACTATAATTACTTGTTTACAAGCTGTCATCCCCAACAGACTGAACTGCTGCAGGGCCGTGACTTCCTTCTTTTCCTCTGAATGCCCTGCCTTTGGCAGATATGGGCAGTCTGAACCTGTCGGTCAGTTCTTCTCAGTTCTTTCTAGCTCTGAAAGTGTGAAAGTATGGATTCTGTATTTAAGGATTCATGTCTTTGAAGACCAGGGACAACTATTATTTGTATTACACTGCATGGATAATTTAAGAGACATATAAAGTTAATTTCGGTCTATACCTGAGCACACTTAAGTGCCTAACTCTTGCATAAGAAAGAATTCTGGCCAGGTGCGGTGGCTCATGCCTGTAATCTCAGCACTTTGGGAGGCCGAGGCGGGCAGATCACCTCGGCCAGGAGGTGATCAGGTCAGGAGTTTGAGACTAGCCAGGCCAGGTCAGGAGTTTGAGACTAGCCTGGCCAACATAGTGAAACCACATCTCTACTAAAAATACAAAAAGTAGCTGGGCATGGTGGTGGCAGGCAACTGTAGTCCCAGCTACTTGGGAGGCTGAGGCAGGAGAATCACTTGAACCCAGGAGGCGGAGGTTGCAGTGAGCCGAAATCACACCTCTGCACTTCAGCCTGGGCAACAGAGTGAGACCCACCCACCCCACCCCTCCAAAAAAAGTTAGAATTCCATTGTAATAATTTTATACCTGCTATATACACACTTTACAAAACTTTTCAGTGTAAGAATTATAACCCTACATCTCAATACAATTTACTTCTAAATGCGTTAGCTGAACTGGGTGTGGTGGTGCACGCCTGTAATCTCAGCTACTAGGGAGGCTGAGAGGGGAGGATTGCTTGAACCCAGGAGTTTGTGATCAACCTGGGCAGCATAGTGAGATACCCATCTTAAAAAAATATCATTAAGGAGCTTACTATCTTATAAAGAAAAGGAACAATAGCATAAGTGTATCTTTGTGTAACAACAGTATGTTGCTGGATTTGTTTTCAGAAGGGAGCTGTCGCTAGACAAAGCTACAGCTGTCATGGTTAAAAAATAAAACTGGGGACCAGGTGCAGTGGCTCATGTCTATAATCCTAGCACTTTGGGAAGATTCCTTGAGCCTAGGAGTTTGAGGCTAGCCTGGGCAACATAGTGAGACCCCATCTTTTTTTTTTTTTTTTGAGACGGAGTCTTGCTCTGTCACCAGGCTGGAGTGCACTGGTGCAATCTCAGCTCACTGCAACCTCCGACTCCCTGGTTTAAGCAATTCTCCTGCCTCATCCTCCTGAGGAGATGGGATTACAGGCACGTACCACCATGCCCAGCTAATTTTTGTATTTTTAGCAGAGACGGGATGTCACCCTGTTGACCAGGATGGTCTCGATCTCCTCACCTCAAGTGATCTGCCCACCTTGGCCTCCCAAAGTGCTGGAATTACAGGCGTGATGAGCCATCCCATCCGGCCGAGACCCCATCTTTAAAAAAAAATTAGCTGGGCGTAGTGGCGCATGCATGTAGTCCCCAGGTACTCCAGAGGCTGAGGTGGGAGGATCCTTTGAGCCCAGGACTTTGAGGCTGCAGTGGGCCATGATGGCACCTCTGCACTCCAGCCTGGGATACAGAGCAAGATCCTGAGTCAATAAATAAATAATAAATAAATAAATAAAACGGGTTAATGTCTAAATAAGATCATAATCTCAGGAAGAAACAAATTGAATTATCTGGCATTGATGTTGACAATGAAAACCATTTATACATTTAAACTGGTGTGGCATCCATTTATTATATTTAGTATTGCCTTTTAGAAACAGAACTGCTTGAACTGCACTTCTGTGAATCAAATAGATCTTATATTTCTTGGTATAGTTCACCCAAGACAATATTTTATAGAGCAACTGTCCTCAGGAAGAAAATACTCTTGTTTCAGTTATTCAATGGGATTTCATAATAAAGTTAAACCAGGATTGAAGGACTTAATCTGCTGCTGCAGACAATTTACAGTTTTACCATCAGCATTCATTTCTCTGTGACATAGCATAATTTAGAAAATTCAAGGAAAATGTTAGTAAATCATAACATCAAGCCTAAGCGGTCATTTGTAAACTTTTGTATGCCACTGGCAATTTATCATTTGACTTGCTACCCTCCCACCCAAGTTCATAATCCTCTTGACTCCCCAGTTAACATTAAATTTCCAATTCACACCTACCAAAGGAGAGTTTCTGTAAAATAATCCTTGGATTACTGGCATGGGAATCATTTGGGGCTCATGTGAAAGATGTAAGTTCCTGGGTCCTACCTCCAGCCCACTGAATCAGAAATCCTGATGGCGAGGACCTTCCCTGACATAGTTGATTAACCAAAAGGTTTTAGTTTTTTTTTTTTCCCCCTTATATAAACAGGCACGCAAGTAGGTAAACTAGGGTAGTAATGGCAGCTTAATGCTGCCATCTGAGACCAGAGATCCTCCTGGCTTTCTTACATGTTTTTATTCTCACGGTGTCAAAATGGCTGCTCCATCTCCAAGCACTGAGCTACATTATCGGAAGGAAACAGGGAAAGGAGTAAGGGAGAAAGTCAAAAGGCCTGGTGCTGAGTCGGCCATCTTTAATACACTTCCTTAGGGGTTCCACCCAGTGAATTACACTTGTTTTTCATTGGCCAGAGGTGGGTTACTGGTCACCAATAGCAAGGGAGTCTGGGGAGGTACTCTTTAACAGGGGACATTGACACCCACACTAATCAGAACTGTATATGCTGGCGCGGTGGCTCACCGCTGTAATCCCAGCACTTTGGGAGGCCGAGGCCGGCGGATCACTTGAGGTCAGGAGTTCGAGACCAGTCTGGCCAACATAGTGAAACCCTGTCTCTACTAAAAATATAAAAAATAGCCGGGTGGTTGCGCACACCTTTAGTCCCAGCTGCTCCGGAGGCTGAGTCAGGAGAATCGCTTGAATCCGGGAGGCGGAGGTTGCAGTGAGTCGAGATCATGCCACTGCATTGCAGCCTGGGCGATAGAGCGAGACTCTGTCTCAAAACCAACCAACCAACCAACAAACAAACAAACTGTATTAATAAGAAAGCAGGGAAGAATGGATTTTTAGTAGGCAATTAATGTCTGCCACACACATCTTTTTCTTTTTAATAACTTTTTAAAATAAGTAGAGCAGTCTGGTGCTTTAACTTTGTTATTTTTTATAGTATTTAAATTATATTATAATGTTATTAATTACATTTTGGATGTTTAAGAATGTTTTTGCATCTTTTAGTATGGCTTTGTTTGAAAACCAAAATATTCTTGAAGAACTGTCTTCACTTTTATAATGGTTACCAGTGGCAAAATTAAATTTGGTATATTAAATTTTGCTTTGTATCTGGAATAAAAAACTATCAGACAAGAGTACAGCTAGCTATTCTGAATCATATGTCTTATCACTGATTGCTAGTACAAAATCAACTATATTCTGATACAAAATCTTCTGGTTCCATGTCTTAACAAAAAATTATGGTCATAATAAGGGGATTCATATTTTCAACTGTGTCTCTATGCAAATATTTTTCCCCTCTTTCTTTACCGCAGCAACACTTTTCAAGTTTTAAGAAAGTCCTTAAAACTGAGAGTTTCATATTTGATGGTTAAAAAAATTTATATGTTATCTAATATGATGTCCAACATATGTAAATACTTAAAAGAATTATATTTTAAAAAGGGAAAGATAAAGAAACTCAAATGGAATGAAAATTTTAAAATAACTTATAACTGCATCAGAAACACAAAATACCATGGGATATATCTCATGGAGGATGTATAAGACCTCTACACTGAAAAGTACAAAACATTGCTGAGAAATTAAAGCAAGATATGTCCCTAGCATAGGAAACTGCCCTGTGTACCCAAGGACATCCTACATATCAGTGCTTTATGTCTGTGGCTGGGATGCATCTTTGAAGCTTATGAATGTTGGCAGACACCCATCATCCATTAGGCACAGGTGTCTGCTATCAAATCCAGGCCATATTGTCATATTTCCTATTTATCTTTTGTGTTTATTATAAATTACCTAATGCCAAATTTCTCATTCTGATGCTGAATACTTGTCAAACCATTAGATGTTTACTGACTATAGAATGGAATCAATTCTTTTTTTTTTTGAGACGGAGTCTCTCTCTGTCACCCAGGCTGGAGTGCAGTGGTGGGTTCAAGCAACTCTAATGCCTCAGCCTCCTGAGTAGCTGGGATTACAGGCATGCACCACCATGCCTGGCCAATATTTGTATTTTTTTTTTAGTAGAGAAGGTGTTTCGCTATGTTGGCCAACCTGGTCTCTAACTCCTGGCCTCAGGTGATCTGCCTGCCTTGGCCTCCCAAAGTGCTAGGATTACAGGCATGAGCCACCATGCCTGGCCCAGAAATCAATTCTTTCCTCACTGTGTAAACCCATGATAGCTTTCCTCCATTGGCTAGTGCCTCTTCTGTGATGCTTCTCTACTCAGGTACCTTAGCTTGGATTCTCAAGGCCCAAACCCCCTCAGGCTCCACCTGTCCAGCCTTACTTCTCACTACTCTCCAACACAGCAGCATAGAGTAGTGGAAAATCTTAAGTCTGGGAATCAAGAATGCTGGAATGCTGAGTGTATTCCTGAATGTGCCACTTTTTATGTGGATGTGCCTTTGTGCAAATCATCTTCCCCGTCACACAGGAGTTTGAACTCCCTGAATTTTTTTTTTTTTTTTTTGAGACGGTCTCTCTCTGTTGCCCAGGCTGGAGTGCAGTGACACGATCTCAGCTCACTGCAACCTCTGGTTCCCAGGTTCAGGTGATTCTCCCACCTCAGCCTCCCAAGTAGCTGGGATTACAGGCATGAGCCACCCCACTTGACTAATTTTTGTATTTTTAGTAGAGACGGGGTTTCACCATGTTGGTCAGGGTGGTCTCAAACCCCTGACCTCAGGTGATCCTCCCACCTTGGCCTCCCAAAATGCTGGGATTACAGATGTGAGCCATCGTGCACAGCCAACTCCCTGAATTTTAATCCACTGCTTGCAGCATTTATCTACACATTCATTTGACTGCATCTTTGCTTCAAAAAAAATTGCCCCTTTTTTTGTGCATCAATCATTAATTAACCATTAATAAATGATGCAAAACGATTAATTTGATTTTAATGTATTATTGTTTATTATAAATAATATAATTATAATATACAATATAACACATTATATTTATTAATTATAATAATAAATATAATTATTTATTATTGCTTATTATAACCGTAATATATCATTTTTAAATTTTATTTTTCTCCTCATAGTGCCTGCCATGAACATAATATACATGCTTATTGAGCCCTTAATTGTACATTGAGATAAATACTGTGAGATATGGCAAGATCTATAAAATAGCACTTACCTTTAGTCAACCTATAGTTTTATGCGCTTATCCCCAAATTTTTTTTTTTTTTTTAGATGGAGTCTTGCTCTGTCGCCCAGGCTAGAGTGCAGTGGCGTGATCTGCAACCTCCGCCTTCTGGATTCAAGCAGTTCTCCTGCCTCAGCCTCCCAACTAACTGGGACTACAGGCGCAGGCCACCATGCCCAGCTAATTTTTTGTATTTTAGTAGAGACAGGGTTTCACCGTGTTGCCCAGGCTGGTCGTGAACTCCTGATCTCAGGCAATCCGCCCGCCTCGGCCTCCCAAAGTGCTGGGATTATAGGCGTGAGCCACTGTGCCCGGCCTTTTTAAAGTTTTTTTTGAGATGGAGTCTCGCTTTGTCACCCAGGCTGGAGTGCAGTGGCGCAATCTCACTCAGCTCATTGCAACCTCAGCCTCCCAGGTTCAAGCAATTCTCCTGCCTCAGCCTCACTAGTAGCTGGGATTACAGGCACGCACCACCACGAGGGCTATTTTTTTTTTTTTTGAGATGGAGTCTTGCTCTGTTGCCAGGGCAGTGCTGCGATCTCGGCTCACTGCAACCTCCACCTCCCGGGTTCAAGCGATTCTCCTGCCTCAGCCTCCCGAGTAGCTGGGACTACAGGCGTGCACCACCATGCCCAGCTAATTTTTGTATTTTTAGTAGATAGGAGGTTTCACTATGTTGGCCAGGATGGTCTCCATCTCTTGACCTCGTGATCCGCCTGTCTCGGCCTCGCAAAGTGCTGGGATTACAGGCGTGAGCCACCGCGCCAGGCCTAATTTTTGTATTTTTAGTAGAGATGGGGTTTCACTATGTTGGCCAGGCTGGTCTCAAACTCCTGACCTCATGTGATCCACCCACCTCGGCCTTCCAAAGTGCTGGGATTACAAGCATGAGCCACTACGCCCAGCCTGAAAGCTCGAAGATTCTAATCATGGCTTGGTCTTTCTGGTAAGCAGCCCCCATCCAGGGGCCCACCAAGAGCCACCTCATTAGAACGGAAGATGCTCCAATCACCCAAGAAACTCAAAAGTATTTAGGAGTTCAGTGTCAGGAACCACAGTCAAAAACAATATATTAGAACAAAAGATGCAGCTAGCACCTCTATTGCTCAGCAAATTACAAGGGTTGTAGGAGCTCTGTGTCAGGGACTTGGGGCAGAGAACAAATACGTATTTCTTACTATATCACAACATCACACCTTCAATTCCATTTGAGCTCGCCTTTCTTCTTCTACTCCCTCTCACAATGTTACCATGAGGAATTCTCTCCAGCTTGTTTGCCATTCTCTCCCGCTTTCCCTCCCCAGACAGCAGTCCTGCTCATGGCTCCTATGCACTTTGGCTCCCGCTTAGCTGAGCAGCTGGTTGGTGAACTGTGTGGGGCCACTAATTGTTACCCACAGGCCCTGATTGGGGGAGGACCCTGAGGTAATGATCCTCACACTATCCCCCTCACCAAGTAATTATGGGGGGCAAATGAAACCCTATCTTTTGGGCTCTTAACTTGAGTCACAGAATGCTTTGGAATGACCCTCTGCAGAGTAATGGATATACAATCTGGACTTTGCCTAAAATTTCAGGGCAGTCACTCTTGAAATCCAGAACTTCTTTCTGTCTGGTGGATAAATCCACTACACATCCCATAGACTCTGCGTCATAAATACCTGATGTACAAGAGATAGACACTTTATAAATCATCAACACTGACTTTGGCAGAGCCTATTACCAATATTATTTCCTGGGAGCCAGAGGAATACAAACCAAAAGTCTCCTGGTCCCTTTTCTGCCACTGGAGTGTGACTCACGGCAACTCCCTATGCTTTCTGTCTCTCTCTTTTCCCCCAATTCAGTCTCACCATCCTGTTTGGGGATTTACATAGTGGTTGTGAACCAAAGATTCACTTTGGAGGGAAACCTGGCCTAGTGATGATCCTTAGGCATCTTGTTATATATTAAAATATATGGGCCTGGTATGGTGGCTCACACCTAGTTCCCAGCACCTAGGGAGCCAACACACGAGGATCGCTTGAGCCCAGGAGGTTGAGGCTGCTGTGAGCCGTGTTCATGCCACTGCACTCCAGCCTGGGCAACAGAGCTAGACCCTGTCTCTTAAAAAAATGAGTCAACAAATTTAAATATTGTAATTATGCTCAAAAGGAAGTAGCAATTTGGTTGCTTTATTTATTTTGGGATCACTTCAAGTTTATGGACTAAGTTAGAAACATAATGCATTGCATATTTACTATGTCATATACTTATAAGTGTATATTGGCCAGGTGTGATGGCTCATGCCTATAATCCAGCACTTTGGGAGGCCAAGGCAGGTGGATCACTTGAGGTCAGGAGTTCGAGACCAGCCTGGGCAACATGGGAAAACCCCGTCTCTACTAAAAATACAAAAATTAGCTGGGCATGGTGGTGCACGCCTGTAGTCCTAGCTACTCGGGAGGCCGAGGCAGGAGAATCGCTTGAACCCGGGAGGTGGAGGTTTCAATGAGCCAAGATTGTGCCACTACATTCCAGCCTGGGTGACAGAGTAAGACCCTGTCTCAAAAAAAAAAAAAAAAAAAAATATATATATATATATATATATATAGAGAGAGAGAGAGAGAGAGAGAGAGAGAGAGAGAGTAATATGTTACATATTACAAATATATTTTTATTACCATTTTCATTTATATAATTACTTATGTAAAAGTTATGCATTTGTATAGAAATACACATATGCATACATTTCTATAGAAAACTATGTTAAGGGAAACCATTGTAAAAAAAAAACCCATTTGCAATTTTCGTATCTTCCTTATAAATCCTTGAAGAGAAGCCACTAAATTTAATACATCTCAGATAACTGTGATTCATAAATGGTAGGGGATGAAAAATATATGGCTGCTGCTCTCAAGGAATTTACAGAAAAGTAGGCATTTCATAAATACTTGGTGATTTATAATGCACTGATCTTTGGAGCCTGGATAACCTGGCTACTTAATATGTCACGCCTCGCTGATATCAAATAGACACCCAAAGGTAATGATTTCAAAGGTTATTCTAATTAACAAGGGACTACTTCAGACTCTGGCAGAATATGGTTCATTAAGTACAATTTAATCATTAAGGCAATAATATTAATTATGCATGCTTTCTGAGAAAACACCTTATCTCTTTATTCTTATTAATAACCATCTCAATTTTATAAATTACATTCAAACTTATGTACTGAAAGTTATGCAAAGGCAAGGGACCATTGTTTTAGATAGAAACAATAAATTATTTACCCAAAGCTATTCAGAAAACACTAGTCAAAACTGAAACTAGGCTTCCAAACACCCTGTCAGTATTTAAATATGTCAAGGTCAAAGTCAGATTAAGCAACTGGTCTTAGATATTTTTAGCAGTAGCTACAATTAAGATTTAATAACAGTACACAGGTCTGGAAAATGTCATAATGTCATACACCAATTATTATCTTGAAATTCATTAAGAACTCCATAATCATAAGAGTTTTGGGAGACAGGCAATGGAAAGAATATCTTGTTAGGTACCTACTATGAGCCTGGTGCTCTATGGTTCATTATGAAAATCATCTCAGTGAATTCTCGTAACAACCTTGTGATGCACATTTTTAATCTTCATTTCATCCACGAGGAAACAGAGGGGAAGAAATTTGCTCTGGTTCATTGTGCTAGTAAATGGAAGAGCTGCACAAGTTTAAATCCATAAAATAAAATGCAGAGAAGTACAAAGACAGTTGTATTTAATAACTGTAAAATGTATTAGAATGTAAATAAATAGTACCTATCTAAGTATTTTCCTGCTTATTGATGAAGGTCAGTATTTTTTTTTTATTATACTTTAAGTTCTAGGGTAGATGTGCACAACATGCAGGTTTGTTAGATATCTATACATGTGCCATGTTGGTGTGCTGCACCCATTAACTCGTCATTCACATTAGGTATATCTCCTAATGCTATCCCTCCCCACTCCCCCCACCCCACAACAGGCCCCAGTGTGTGATGTTCCCCTTTCTGTGTCCAAGTGTTCTCATTGTTCAATTCCCACCTATGAGTGAGAACAGGCGGTGTTTGGTTTTTTGTCCCTGCGATAGTTTGCTGAGAATGATGGTTTCCAGCTTCATCCATGTCCCTACAAAGGACATGAACTCATCCTTTTTTATGGCTGCACAGAATTCCATGGTGTATATGTGCCACATTTTCTTAATCCAGTCTATCATTGATGGACATTCGGGTTGGTTCCAAGTCTTTGCTATTGTGAATAGTGCTGCAGTAAACATACATGTGCATGTGTCTTTATAGTAGCATGACTTATAATCCTTTGGGTATATACCCAGTAATGAGATGGCTGGGTCAAATGGTATTTCTAGTTCTACATCCTTGAGGAATCACCACACTGTCTTCCACAATGGTTGAACTAGTTTACACTCCCACCAACAGTGTAAAAGTGTTCCTATTTCTCCACATCCTCTCCAGCACCTGTTGTTTCCTGACTTTTTAATGATCGCCATTCTAACTGGTGTGAGATGGTATCTCATTGTGGTTTTGATTTGCATTTCTCTGATGGCCCGTGATGATGAGCATTTTTTCATGTGTCTTTTGGCTGCATAAATGTCTTCTTTTGAGAAGTGTCTGTTCATATCCTTCACCCACTTGTTGATGGGGTTGTGTGTTTTTTTCTTGTAAATTTGTTTGAGTTCTTTGTAGATTCTGGATATTAGTCCTTTGTCAGATGAGTAGATTGCAAAAATTTTCTTCCATTCTGTAGGGTGCCTGTTCACTCTGATGGTAGTTTCTTTTGCTGTGCAGAAGCTCTTTAGCTTAATTAGATCCCATTTGTCAATTTTGGCTTTTGTTGCCATTGCTTTTGGTGTTTTAGACATGAAGTCCTTGCCCATGCCTATGTACTGAATGGTAATGCCTAGGTTTTCTTCTAGGGTTTTTATGGTTTTAGGTCTAACATTTAAGTCTTTAATCTATCTTGAATTAATTTTTGTATAAGGTGTAAGGAAGGGATCCAGTTTCAGCTTTCTACATATGGCTAGCCAGTTTTCCCAGCACCATTTGTTTTTGTTTTTTTTTGTTTTGTTTTGTTTGTTTGTTTGTTTGTTTTTTGAGACGGAGTCTCACTCTGTCGCCCAGGCTGGAGTGCAGTGGAGCGATCTCGGCTCACTGCAAGCTCTGCCTTCTGGGTTCACACCGTTCTCCTGCCTCAGCCTCCAGAGTAACTGGGACTACAGTCACCCGCCACCACGCCCGGCTAATTTTTTGTATTTTTAGTAGAGACGGGGTTTCACTGTGTTAGCCAGGATGGTCTCGATCTCCTGACCTCGTGATCCGCCCACCTTGGCCTCCCAAAGTGCTGGGATTACAGGCGTGAGCCACCACCCCTGGCCTACCATTTGTTAAATAGGGAATCCTTTCCCCATTTCTTGTTTTTGTCAGGTTTGTCAAAGATCAGATGGTTGTAGATGTGTGGTATTATTTCTGAGGGCTCTGTTCTGTTCCATTGGTCTATATCTCTGTTTTGGTAACGGTACCATGCTGTTTTGGTTACTGTAGCCTTGTAGTATAGTTTGAAGTCAGGTAGCGTGATGCCTCCAGCTTTGTTCTTTTGGCTTAAGATTGACTTGGCAATGCGAGCTCTTTTTTGATTCCATATGAACTTTAAAGTAGTTTTTTCCAATTCTGTGAAGAAAGTCATTGGTAGCTTGATGGGGATGGCATTGAATCTATAAATTACCTTGGGCAGTATGGCCATTTTCACAATATTGATTCTTCCTATCCATGAGCATGGGATGTTCTTCCATTTGTTTGTATCCTCTTTTATTTTGTTGAGCAGTGGTTTGTAGTTCTCCTTGACAAGGTCCTTCACATCCCTTGTAAGTTGGATTCCTAGGTATTTTATTCTCTTTCTAGCAATTGTGAGTGGGAGTTCACTCATGATTTGGCTCTCTGTTTGTCTGTTACTGGTGTATAAGAATGCTTGTGATTTTTGCACATTGATTTTGTATCTTGAGACTTTGCTGAAGTTACTTATCAGCTTAAGGAGATTTTGGGCTGAGACAATGGGGTTTTCTAGATATACAATCATGTCATCTGCAAACAGGAACAATTTGACTTCCTCTTTTCCTAATTGAATACCCTTTATTTCTTTCTCCTGCCTGATTGCCCTTGCCAGAACTTCCAACACTATGTTGAATAGGAGTGGTGAGAGAGGGCATCCCTGTCTTGTGCCAGTTTTCAAAGGGAATGCTTTCAGTTTTTTGCCCATTCAGTATGATATCGGCTGTGGATTTGTCATAAATAGCTCTTATTATTTTGAGATACGTCCCATCAATGCCTAATGTATTGAGAGTTTTTAGCAGGAAGCGCTGTTGAATTTTGTCAAAGGCCTTTTCTGCATCTATTGAGATACTCATGTATTTTGAATACATGGTGAATATCATGACTTTATTTATTTATTTATTTATTTATTTATTTATTTATTTATTTTTGAGACAGAGTCTTGCTCAGTCACCAAGACTGCAGTGGTGTAATCTTGACTCACTGCAAACTCTGCCTCCTGGGTTCAAGTGATTCTCCTGTCTCAGCCTCCCAAGTAGCTGGGATTATAGCTGTGCACCAGCACACTCGGCTAATTTTTGGAATACCATGACTTTTATGTGATGTAATCGCTGGCCCCAATCCATTCACTTTAGTGATTGTTCTTAAAGCTGATGCCGCTATAACAAGATTTTTTTTGGGGGGGTGGGCGGGGAAGCTAATGTGACTTCTACTTTTCATCTTTCCAAAAATCTTTTCATATTTGGGGACCTACCTATCTTGATTATGCAAAAAAAGATGCAAATAGAACAGCTGTACTTGATTCTGGGGCTGAAATCAGTAAATATTTATTGAGAATCTACTTTGGTGCCAGGCACTAGGCTAGGTACTGGGGGTGCTATGGGGTATTGGACAGTCAGACAAGGTCCAAGACTACTTGGGGTTGAGAGTTTGGGAAAGGCCTCTCTCAGGAGGTAACATCTGTGCTGAATTTGAATGATGAAGAGGAGCCAGTGATGCAAAGATCTGGGCTCAGAATAACCCAGGTAGTGGGAATAATACATGCTCCATTCTGATGCAGCAACACGCCTGGCATGTTATAAAAACAGAGAGAGGCAGAGGTTGAGATCAGGTAGTGAAGTAAGCAGGGGCTAGATTATGCTGATTGTATAATCAGCATAGGAAGTCTAAGTTTCTTTTAAGAACAAATAGAAGCATTGGGAATTTTTTTTTTTTTTTTTTTTTTTTTTTTTTTTTTGAGACAGAGTCTCACTCTGTCACCCAGGCTGGGTGCAGTGGTGTGATCTCGGCTCACTGCCAGCTCTGCCTCCCAGGTTCACGCCATTCTCCTGCCTCAGCCTCCCGAGTAGCTGGGACTACAGGAGCCTGCCACCAAGCCTGGCTAATTTTTTGTATTTTTAGTAGAGATGGGGTTTCACTGTGTTAGCCAGGATGGTCTCAATCTCCTGACCTCGTGATCTGCCCGCCTTGGCCTCTCAAAGTGCTGGGATTACAGGCGTGAGCCACCGCGCCCAGCCGGGAATTTTTAAGCACAGGAATACATGCTCATGTTTATAAACTTTTACAGTATCTTGGATCACAGGTCTTCAGAACTTAAAGGGAGTTTAGAGATTGCCCAGCTAAAATTTTACTTAAGAGTGAAGAAAAACTAAATCTCACAGGAATTCCATGATGTGGCCAAGGTGACACAAATAGTGCAAGCAGAGTGAGGATGTGTCCCAGTTCTGGCTCCAGAACCAATGTTCTTTCTATTTCAGTACTTGACCTTGCCATCTTAAGCTAGTACTTTTGTGGAAGAATTTAAAGCATTCTTTAAGTCTCTTTGAAAAACTGTTCCTAAGCCACAAGATAATCTATTAACGTGAACGCTGTAGTCAGCAAGCTTTAAAGACAGCACAAAGTCCTTGCTAATGTCCTGAGAAAAGTCAATACTTAGTTGGAGTGTCAATTACACTAGTGTCCCATGAATCCAATTACTTCTCAGTAACTTCAGACACCATCTATGCCAAATAGCCAACATATAATCCTGGAATCAAAATTGTCTAATGAAAGGAACCTTTGGGCTCATTTAGTCTAATCTTTTTAACAATAAGGAAATTGACTTACCTGTGTTCCTCCAAGGACTCTCCCAGTGGTTTTTCTTTCTATTGAAATACCATCTTAGCCAGGCCTGGTGGCTCATGCCTGTAATCCCAGCATTTTGGAAAGCCTAGGCAAGAGGATTGCGTGGGGCAAGGGTTCAAGACCAGCCTGGGCAACACAGGGAGACCCCATCTCTACAAAAATTAAAAAAAAAAATAGCTGGGCATGGTGGGATGCCCTTATGGTCCCAGGAGGCTGAAGTGGGAGAATGGCTTGGGCCTCGGAGGCTGAGGCTGCAGTAAGCCATGATCACACCACTGCACTCCAGCCTGGGCAACAAAGGAAGACCCTGCCTCAAAATAAGTAAATAAATAAATAATAAAAAGTAAACAAAAATACAAACAAATAAAATGATTTCAGATAACTAAAATTGCTATTTTAAATAATAAAGAGAAATGACATTATCTAGAGTAAATGTGGCAGAGATAACTCTATGTAGGCTGGTCAGAAAAGGTTTTGACAAGAGGACAATTTTGGGGAGGAATTTTGTTTTTTCTGTTGCATGCAGAAGAAACAATAGCTGCAAAGGCCTTGAGATAGGAACAAGTTTGGTCTGTTCTGGAAACCTAAGAGAAGCCTGTATGGCTGAAGTGAAGAGCAAAAGGGAGCATGGCAGGAGAGGAATCTCAGGCATGGACAGGGGCCAGAGAGGCCATGGGAGGCCCAGTGGAGCTTGGTGAGCTTGCTGTGTCACCCAGGCCAAGTGCAGTGGCACAATCGTGGCTCACTGCAACCATGACCTCCTGAACAAAAGTGATCCTCCCACCTCAGCTTCCCAAGTAGCTGGGACTACAGCGACATACCACTGCACCCAGCTAATTTTTCATTTTTTGTAGCAAAGAGGTCTTGCTATGTTGCCAAGGCAGGTCTTGAACTCTTGGACTCAAGTGATGCTCCTGCCTTACCTCCTGAAGTGCTGGGATTACAGTTGTGAGCCATTGCACCAGCCTAGACCCTAAATAAATAAATAAAAAATAAAAAAGAAGAAAAGTTAACTGAAGAAATAGCCTTCTTCCTAGGTAGATAGTAGGAAAATCAGAAGAGTGTCTCCCCAGATGCCAAGAAAAGAGAGTATTTCTAGAATGAAGAATGAGGGAGTAATTCACTATTTCACATATGTTCGAGACTTGAAGGAAAATTGGAACAGAAAAAATAAACACTGTGTTTAGCAACTGTACTAGTCAGCGTTCTCCAGGGAAACAGACCAAATAAGGTATGTAGAGATATATAAGAGAAGATTTATTATAGGAATTGGCTCATGTGGTTACAGAGCCCAAGTCCTACAATATGCCATCAGCAAGCTGGAAAACCCAGAAGGTGGAGGTATACTCTGCATAAGCCTTAAGGCTTGAGAAGCAGGAGCGCCAATGTCCAAGAACTGGAGAAGATACATGTCGCAGCTCAAAAAGACAACAAATTTGCTCTTCCTCTACCTTTTTTTTTGTTGTTCTTGTTTTGTTTTGTTGTTGAGACAGTCTCGCTCTGTTGCCCAGGCTAGAGTACAGTGGCATGATCTTGGCTCACTGCAACCTCCGCTTCCCAGGCTCAAGCGATTCTCATGCCTGAGCATCCCGAGTAGCTGGGATTACAGGAGCATGCCACCACACCCGGCTAATTTTTGTGTTTTTAGTAGAAATGGGATTTCACCATGTTGGTCAGGCTGGTCTCAAACTCCTGGCCTCAAGTGATCCACCTGTCTTGGCCTCCCAAAGTGTTGGAGTTACAGGTGTGAGCCACCACGCCCACCCCTCTACCTTTTTATTCTTTTTTTTTTTTTTTTTTTTAGAGAGACAGGGTCTCACTATGTTGCCCAGGTTTGTCTTTAACTCCTAGGCTCAAGCAATCCTCCCACCACAGCCTCCCAAAGTTCTGGTATTAGAGGCATGAGCCACTGTGCCTGGCATTTTTAATTCTATTCTGACCCTTAACTGATTACATAATGCCTACCTACATTGGTGAGGGTGGGCCCTCTTTGCTCGCTGATTCAAATGCTTCTTACAGGCATTCTAAGAAATACTGTTTCATCAGCTATCTGGGCATCCCTTAGTCAAGCTGACAAATAAAATTAACCATCACAGAAACATAGACCTCATTAATCGTCTGATAAAGCAGTTTTTGTGGAGTGGTTAGGGTGGAAGTCCAGCTGAGAGGGTTAAAGAGTAAAGGGGAAAAGAGGAAGTAAAAATGCTAACCGGGAATATCTTCAAGTTTTTCCCTGGAGTGGAAAAAATAGGGCTGTAGCTTTATGTGCATGTGTGTTCAAGGGAAGATCTGTTTTTGTTTTGAAGATGGTTTTATGCTTGTGGAAGTGTTCAGTAGAGAGAACTGGAAGATGGCAAAGACTGACAGTTAATTCTAGAAGTGATCTTCCGAAGCAGACAAGATTGAATGAACAAGCCTCTGATAAGAACAGAAACCATGGCTGGGCACGGTAGCTCACACCTGTAATCCCAGCACTTTGGGAGGCTGAGGTGGGTGGGTCAACTGAGGTCGGGAGTTCGAGACCAGCCTAACCAACATGGAAAAACCCCGTCTCTACTAAAAATACAAAATTAGTCAGGCATGATGGCGCATGCCTGTAATCCCAGCTACTCGGGAGGCTGAGGCAGGAGAATCACTTGAACCCAGGAGGCGGAGGTTGCGGTGAGCCGAGATCGCACCATTGCACTCCAGCCCGGGCAACAAGAGCAAAACTCTGTCTCAAAACAAAAACAAAAACAAAAATGAAAACAAAAACAAAAACAGAAAACATTTACATATTGTAAAGGCTGAGAAGGCCCAGAGAGGTAGAGAAAGTTGTGATAAAAGGCCAGGGCCAGGCAGTGGCTCACACCTGTAATCCCAGCGATTTGGGAGGCTGAGGTGGTGGATCACCTGAGGTCAGGAGTTCAAGACCAGCCTGGCCAACATGGTGAAACCCCACTTCTAGTAGAAATACAAAAATTAGCTTGGCGTGGTGGCATGCACCTGTAATCCCAGCTACTCAGGAGGCTGAGGCAGGAGAATAGCTTGAATCCTGGAGGCGAGGGTTGCAGTGAGCCAAGATCACACCATTGCACTCCAGCCTGAGCAACAGAGTGAGACTCCATCTCAAAAAAAAAAAAAAAAAAAAAAAAAAAGTTGTGATAATAAAGAAGATTGGGCCAGGTGCGGTGGCTCATGCCTGTGATCCCAGCACTTTGGGAAGCCAAGAAGGGCAGGTCACTTGAGTCCAGGAGTTCAAGACCAGCCTAGGCAAAATGGCAAAACCCTATCTGTACAAAAAATACAAAAATTAGCCAGGCACAGTGGAGCATGTCTGTAGTTCTAGCTACTCAGGAAGCTAAGGTGGGAGGATCATTTGAGCTCGAGAGTCAGAGGTTGCAGTGAGCCGTGATCACACTATTGCACTCTAGCCTGTGTAACAGAGCAAGATCCTGTCTCAAAAAAAAAAAAAAAAAAAAAGAAAAGAAAAGAAAGGAAAAGGTTGTGATTGTGATGCTCTTTACTCACAGGCCTCTGCTCAGGAACAGGTGTGGAAAATTAGCCAATTATCCACAATTGGGTTTAGCTAGAGTTGATATTTTGCCAAACAAGCAAGATGGAGAGTGAGGACAGCAAGCAAATTAATAGTGTTTCAAAGATAGTGATTATAAGGCCATTGACTTTAGACGAGGCTCAAAGGGAGGGGAGGACCTACGACGGTTGATGAGTGATGAAAAAGTTAAAAGAGTCAATAGGTCAGAGGCCCTGATAGGGTCAAACAATTGTAGGTTTTGAGGAGTAAGAATAAGTCATCTAGAAGAATAGGAAGTGGTGGTCAGAGTACAGAGCTATGATTGAATTTGAAGTTGTTGAAATTATTTGTGCTGACCAGGCCAGGTATGACTATGAGGAAAGTGGCCAAAATACGGGGAGTAAAGGATCATTGCAGGGAGAGAAGAGATCAGGATGCTTTGCACTAAACTAGGTAGAGAGAAGGTTACCAATACCAATAAATAGGCACAAATGAAGAAGACTGGGCTGGGCGCAGTGGCTCACACCTGCAATCCCAACACTTTGGGAGGCCAAGGTGGGTGGATCACCTGAGGTCAGGAGTTCGAGACCAGCCTGGCCAACATGGCAAAACCCCATCTGTACTAAAAATACAAAAAATAGCCAGGCTTGGTGGTGTCTGCCTTTAATCCCAGCTACTCAGGAGGCTGAGGCAGGAGAATTCCTTGAACCTGAGAGGCAGAGGTTGCAGTGAGCCGAGATCGTGCCACTGCACTCCAGCCTGGGTGACAGAGCAAGACTACGTCTAAAACAAAACAAAACTGAACTACGTTAATCCTTTTTAACAGTTTTTGTGTTTCGGTGGTCTTTTTTTTTTTTTGAGACAGTCTCACTGTTGCCCAGACTGGAGTGCAGCGGCACAATCTCGGCTAACTACAACCTCTGCCTCCCAGGTTCAAGGGATTCTCCTGCCTCAGCCTCCTGAGTAGCTGGTATTAAAGGTGCATGCCACCACAACTGGCTAATTTTTGTATTTCTAGTAGAGATGGGGTTTCGCCATGTTGGCCAGGCTGGTCTTTAACTCCTGATCTCAGGTGATCCGCCCACCTTGGCCTCCCATAGTGTTGGGATTACAGGCGTGAGCCACTGTGCCCAGCCCCAAATAGTTCATTGTAATTACATTTGCATTTCTCAATCTCTCTCTCGTTGGTTTTTTTTTTTGTTTTTTTTTTTTTTTTTTTTTTTTTTTTGAGATAGAGTCTCACTCTGTCATCCAGGCTGGAATGCGGTGGCACGATCTCATCTTACTGCAACCTCCGTCTCCTGGATTCAAGCAATTCTCCTGCCTCAGCCTCTCGAGTAGATGGGATTACAGGCGTACACCACCATACCTGGCTAATTTTTTTTTTTTTTTGAGACAGAGACTCCCTCTGTTGCCCAGGCTGGAGTGCAGTGGCGCGACCTCAGCTCACTGCAAACTCCACCTCCTGGGTTCAAGCGATTCTCCTGCCTCAGCCTCCCAAGTGGCTGGGATTACAGGCATGTGCCAGCACACCCAGCTAATTTTTGTATTTTCAGTAGAGACGGGGTTTCAACATGTTGGCCAGGCTGCTCTTGAACTCCTGACCTCAGGTGATCCACCCGCCTCAGCCTCCCAAAGTACTGGCAATACAGACATGAGCCACCACGCTGTCATTGGTCTTAATGGACCTCGTATTTAGTGCATTTATGTTACAGAACTTTTCCTCAAATGATATATTTTCTAATGCTTCAGGGACAACATTGCATGAACAAATTATTTTGGATGATTAAGAAGGGTAGTGAGAATAGGAAATTCAAACTGGAGCATAATAAAGTCATTAGACATGGAGCTAGTCAGGCAACAGATAATTTATTGAGGGAAGTTGCTACTGGAGCTATGAAGAGGATAAACAGATTTTTGATTTTGAGAAAACTTGAAACTCATGCAGAAAGGTTGCAATGACTCATTGTCTCTCAGCTGTAAAAATATGTCAATGCTTGAATTTGTTGGGCTTTTGAGGAGAAAAAGCTTTGAACTCTGGAGCCATAGAGACCAGAGGTTTGAATCCTGTCCATCATTTATTAGTTGTGTGACCTTGGGCAAATTACTGAATATGTCTGCACCTTTAGTTTTTATCTAAAAAATGGGGATTAAAAATAGTTCCTCCCTGATAGAGTTATTAATGAAGATAAAGAGACATTATCTGTATTGAGGGTTTAAAACTGTAACTGAATCATGGTAAGCACTCAATAATGGTGAGTTATAATCACTGTTATTACTGTTAAATATTATCTATAAATTGGAGACACCAAAAGCCACTTTTCAAGGCTAACAGAATAAGTGAGATGAAGAATACAAAATACCTAGCACAGTATATGCCATGCATGGAATTCTAACTGTTAGCTATTTCTCTGAAATTGATCAGCAAATCTAATTATCTAATCATTTAACTGAGAAGTGATAGAGCAATTGAGAAGTAGTAGAGGGAAAAAGTAGAGCTCTCCCTCTCTTGAACCACTTACTGATTAATGGTAGCCTTTGAAAGTCTTTCCGGGCTGGGTGTGGTGGCTCACGCCTGTAATCCTAGCGCTTTGGGAGGCCAAGGAGGGTGGATTGTCTGAGCTCAGGAGTTCGAGACCAGCCTGGGCAACATGGTGAAACCCCATCTCTACTAAAATACAAAAAATTAGCCAGGCATGGTGGTGTGTACTTGTAACCCCAGCTACTCGGGAGGCTGAGACACAAGAATTACTTGAACCCAGGAGGTGGAGGTTCAGTGAGCCAAGATTGTGCCACTGCACTCCAGCCTGGGCAACAGAGCCAGACTCTGTCTCAAAAAAAAAAAAAAAAAAAAAAAAAAAAAAGGCTTTCCAAATGGTAAAGCAGAGACTCTGATGGAAATAGCTTCAGGATTGAGGAGTCCTGAGGTGTCTGAAGAGATGAGGAAGATTCAAGCAAGCACAACTTCAATTAGCCACATTCTTTTTGAGAGCCTACATCTGTTCTCTACCTTCAGCTCAAAGTGTTATGAGCCTTTCAACAAATAACCCTCATTTTTTTCATAATAAGAACTCTGCAGCTCTCTTTAATTCCAAAGCTAATGTTCTTGGCAACTTTGTAATAGAGATGTAACCACTCAAAATAAAGCTTTCACTTATTGAATTTATATGATGTACTCCAGGCATTATGAAAAACTCTTCATATACATTATCTAATTTAAGTACAGTCATGTGCCACACAATGACATTCCAGTCAACAATGGACCACATATATATGTGCTGGTGGTCCTGAAAGATTATAATCTTTATCATCTAACCTATAAGCTGAAAAATTCTTATTGCCTGGTGATGTTGCAGACATTGTAACCTCACAGCACGAAGCATTACTCATGTGTTTGTAGTGATGCTGGTATAAACAAAGCTACTGCACTGCCAGTCATAGAAAAGTATAGCACATAGAGTTGTAACCACCCAAGGGGTTCACCTTGCCTCCTGCCTAGACAGAGCCAATTCATCAAGACAGGGGAATTGCAATAGAGAAAGAGTAATTCACACAGAGCTGGCTATGCGGGAGACCAGTTTTATTATTACTCAAGTCAGTCTCTCAAGCATTTATTTGGGGAGCAGAGGTTTTATTTTATTTTTATTTTTTTGAGACAAAGTATTGCTCTTTCCCCAGGCTGGAGTGCAGTGGTGCGATCTTGGCTCACTGCAACCTCTGCCTCCTGGGTTCAAGTGATTCTCCTGCCTCAGCCTCCCAAGTAGCTGGGAGTACATGCCTGCCAACACGCCCAGCTAATTTTTGTATTTTTAGTAGAGGTGAAGTTTCACCACGTTGGCCAGGATGGTCTTGATCACTTGACCTCGTGATCCGCCCGCCTCGGCCTCCCAAAGTCCTGGGATTACAGGCGTGAGCCACTGCACCTGCCCTACAGAGCAGAGTTTTTAAGCATGATTTGGTGGGTGGGGGAAGTCCAGTGAGCCAGGAGTGCTGATTGGTCAGAGATGAAATCATAGGGAGTTGGAGTTGTCTCCTTGCACTGAGTCAGTTCTTGGTTGGGGACCACAAGATCAAATAACCCAGTTTATTGATCTAGGTGGTGCCAGCTGATCCATCAAGTACAGGGTCTGCAAAATATGTCAAGCACTGATCTTTGGAGCAGTTTAGAGAGGGTCAGTAACTTGTAGCCTCCAGCTACATGACTCCTAAACTATAATTTCTAATCTTGTGGCTAATGTTAGTCCTACAGAGGCAATGTAGTCCCAGGCAAGAAGGAGGTCTGCTTTGGGAAAGGGCTGTCATCATCTCTGTTTTAAACTATAAACTATAAGTTTCTCCCAAAGATAGTTCAGCCTATGCCCAAGAATGAACAAGGACAGCTTGGAGGTTAGAAGCAAGATGGAGTTGGCTAAGTTAGATTTCTTTCGCTGTCTCAGTCAGTGAAATTTCACTGTCCTGGTTGCCTTTGCAAAGGCGATTTCACAGTTAGGTACAGTATAGAATACTTGCTAGTAAACAACTGTGTTGGTAGTTTATGTGTTTACCATACTATTTTATCTTTATTTATTTACTTATTTTTGAGACAGGATCTTGCTCTGTCACCCAGGCTGGAGTACAGTGACATGATCTGTGCTCACTGCAACCTTTGCCTCCTGGGTTCCAGCAATCCTCCTGCCTCAGCTTCCTGAGTAGCTGGGATTACAAGCGTGTGCTAACACGCCTGGCTAATTTTTGTGTTTTCTTAATAGATATGGGGTTTCACCATGTTGGCCAGGCTGGTCTTGACTCAAGTCATCTGCCCACCTCGGCCTCCCAAAGTGTTGGGATTACAGGCATGAGCCACCGCACCTGGCCCTTATCATTATCTTAGAGTATACTCCTACTTATAAGATAAACAGCCTCAGGCAGGTCCTTCAGGAGGTATCCAGAAGAAGACATTGTTATCATAGGAGATGACAGCTCCAGGCATATTATTGTCCCTGAGGACCTTTATGTGAGACAAGATATGGAGGTGGAATGCAATGATAATGACTGTGACCCTGTGTAAGCCTAGGCTAGTGTGTATGTTTGTGTCTTCATTTGTAACAATAAAAGTCTAAAAAGTAAAAAATAAGTATTTTTTTAATGGAAAAAAAGCTTATCCGATGAAGACATTAAAAAAAGAAAATATTTCATTGGGGCGCGGTGGCTTATGCCTGTAATCCCAGCATTTTGGGATGCTGAGGCGGGTGGATCACCTGAGGTCAGGAGTTCGCGACCAGCCTGGTCAACATGGTGAAACCCTGTCTCTACTAAAAATACAAGAAATTAGCCACACATTGTGGCGGGCACCTGTAATCCCAGCTACTCGGGAGGCTGAGGCAAGAATCGCTTGAACCCGGAGGCAGAGGTTGCAGTGAGCCGAGATCGTGCCACTGCACTCCAGCCTGGGTGACAAGAGCAAAACTCCATCTCAAAAAAAAAAAAAACAAAAAACAAAAAAAAACAAAAAAATAAGAAAAAGAAAAAGCAAAAAAGAAAAGAACAAAAAGAAAATATTTTTATACCACTGTACAATATGTGTTTTAAGCTAAGTTTTTTTGTTTCTTTTTGTTTCAACAGCTTTTGGGATGCAAGTAGTTTTTGGCTACATGGATGACTTGTATAGTGGTAAAGTCTGAGATTGTAGTGCACTGTCAACCTAGTACTGTTCATTGTACCTCCTAAGTATTTTTTTATGCCTCAACCTTTCCCAGCCTCCCTTTTCTGTGTCTCCAATGTCTGTTACACATCCACTCTGGGTTTGTTTCTGTTTTTGATTTTTGAAACGAAGTTTCGCTCTTGTTGCTGAGGCTGGAGCGCAATGCTGCGATCTTGGCTCACTGCAACCTCTGTCTCTCGGGTTCAGGCAATTCTCCTGCCTCAGCTTGCCGAGTAGCTGGGATTACAGGCATGCGCCACCACGCCTGGCTAATTTTGTATTTTTAGTAGGCATGGGGTTTCTCCATGTTGGTCAGACTAGTCTCGAATTTCCAACCTCAGGTGATCCGCCTGCCTCGGCCTCCCAAAATGCTGGGATTACAGGCATGAGCCACGGTGCCCGGCCTATACCTCCACTCTGTATGCCTTTGCATATCCATAGCTTAGCTCCCACTTATAAGCGAGAACATAGAGTATTTGGTTGTTCACTTAGAATAATGGCCTCTAGCTCCATTCAAGTTGCTGCAAAAGACTTACTTCATTCTTTTCATGTCTGAGTAGTATTCCATGGTGTATATATATCACTTTTTTTTTTTTGAGATGGAATTTCGCTCTTGTCATCTAGGCTGGAGTGCAATGGCACGATCTCGATTCACTACAACCTCCGCCTCCTGGGTTCAAGAGACTTTCCTGCCTCAGTCTCCCCAGTAGCTGGGATTAAAGGCATCCATCACCACGCCTGGCTAATTTTTATATTTTTTGTGGAGATGGGTTTCACCATGTTGGCCAGGCTGGTCTTGAACTATTGACCTCAGGTGATCTGCCTGCCTCGACCTCCCAAAGTGCTAAGATTATATAGGCATGAGCCACCGTGCCCAGCCGTATATCACATTTTTTTTAATTCAGTTATCTGTTGATGGGCACTTAGGTTGGTTCCAAATCTTTGCAATTGTGAGTTGTGCTGTGATAAACATGGATATATAGGTGTCTTTTTGATATAATGACTTCTTTTCTTAAGCTAAGTGTTATTACAAAAGAGTAAAAACGTTGAAAACATATATATGTGTGTATACATATATTGTGTATGTGTGTGTGTATATATATATATATATATATATATATATATATTTTTTTTTTTTTTTTTTGAGATGGAGTCTCACTCTGTCATCCAGGCTGGAGTGCAGTGGCGCAATCTCGGCTCACTGCAACCTCCGCCTCCTGGGTTCAGGCGATTCTCCTGCCTCAGCCTCCCAAGTAGCTGGGATTATAGGTGCGGGCCACTGCACCTGGCTAATTTTTGTATTTTTAGTAGAGACAGGGTTTCACCATGTTGGCTAGGCTCATCTCGAACTTCTGATCTCAGGTGATCCGCCTGCCTTGGCTTCCCAAAGTGCTGGGATTACAGGCATGAGCCACCACACCCGGCCTATTGAAGAAAAAATTTTTTTTGAAAAATTAAAAAAAAAAATTTAGTGTAGCCTAGGGGTACAGTGTTTTTAAAGTCTATAGTAGTGTGCAGTAATGTCCTTGGCCTTCACTCACTTACTACTCACTGACTCACCCACAGCAGCTGCCAGTCCTGCAAGCTCCATTCATAGTAAGTGCTCTGTACAGGTATACCATTATGTATTTATTTATTTTTTGAGACAGAGTCTCACTCTGTCACCCAGGCTGGAGTGTTGTGGCATGATCTCGGCTCACTGAAACCTCTGCCTCCTGGGTTCAAACGATTCTCCTGCCTTGGCCTCCAGAGTAGTTGGGATTACAGGTGCGTGTCACCATGCCCAGCTAATTTTTATATTTTTAGTTGAGACAGGGTTTTGCCATGTTAGCCAGGCTGGTCTCAAACTCCTGACCTCAGGTGATCCACTGCCTCGGCCTCCCAAAGTGCTGGGATTACAGGTGTGAGCCACTGTGCCCGGACAGGTATATAATTTTTTAACTTTTATACTGTATTTTTACTGCACCTTTTCTATGTTTAGATATACAAATACTTTCCATTGTGTTACAATTGCCTACAGTATTCAGTACAGTAACATGCTGTACAGATTTGTAGCATAGAAACAATAGGCTATACCATATAGCCTAAGTGTGTAGTAGGCTATAACATCTAGGTTTGTGTAAGCTCCTCTATGATGTTCACACAATGATGACATCATCTCATGATGCATTTCTCAGAACATATCCCCACTGTTAGGCAATGCATGACTACATATAAACAGCCCTGGGAGGTAGGTAGCATTATTGTCTAAATTTTGCCAAGAAGGAAACTGAGGCCCAAAGAGAGTAATCTGTTCAAGAATCTGCAGCTAGTGAGGGGCAGAGGCAAAATGTTAGTCTAGGTTATTCTGTCTCTGATGTCTCTGCTCTTAACCTTTAATTACACTGTAAATACCCACCATGCACTCCTCTTACCTCCTTGAGCCCAGGGTTGGTAGCAGCACAACTACGACTAAGCTCTGCGTTACTGTGCTATCTCTTGTGGCTCCTCTACACCCTACACCCATACCTTTGTAAATGGTCCTTTTGAAAATAACCCCTGTTCAAATGATCCTAGTTAGGGTATACCACCATAGGTGTCCTGCTGTGACCTTCACTGGTATAGCTCACTATGGAAGATATGGAAGAGAAGGAGTTAAACTACTCTTGCTTCCTTGCTACACAACATATATATGGGGCACACACACACACACACACACACACACACTCTTCCTGTTATGAACCGAATGGGTACCCCTGAACTCATATGTTGAAGCCCTAGCCCTCAATGTGATGGTATTTGGAGATGGGGCTTTGGTGAGGTAACTAGGTTTAGGTGAAGTCAGGAAGGTGGGGCCCTGGTCTGATGGCATTAGGGTCCTTGTGAGAAGAGAGAACAGGCTGGGCGCAGTGGCTCACGCCTGTAATCCCTGCACTTTGGGAGGCCGAGGTGGGTGGATCACCTGAGGTCAGGAGTTCGAGACCAGCCATGACCAACTTGATGAAACCCCATCTCTACTAAAATAGAAAAATTAGACTGGCATGGTGGGCACCTGTAATCCCAGCTACTCGGGAGGCTGAGGCAGGAGAACCGCTTGAACCAGGGAGGTGGGGGTTGTAGTAAGCCGAGATCACGGCACTGCACTCCAGCCTGGGCAACGAGAGTAAAACTCCATTTCAACAAACAAGCAAACCAAAAAGAGATAACAGAAGATGGAAAACTGGAAGCATTATTAGCATTCTTCTCCCACTTGGGAAGACAACATATTGTGTAGAAAATAGTGTGTAGAGATTCACACTGTGAACTTGTTTCCAAGAAGCAATAGGAAAAGTGAAATAAACCACAGGCCCTTTGAAAGAAGTGGCAGGCTGAGGCCTACACAGTAAGCCAGGTGGAAAACTGTAAGTCCCCAGAGTGTGAAAGGGGGATAAACTGCCCCAGGGATATACACTTTTACTGAGGGACCTGGCAATCCAGGCCATGGGGGAAGGCTTTAAGCCTACCCAGTTCTTGAGCTGATTTAGTGAGCGGTGAGGAGTATATGAGAAGGAGCGGCACCTGGACAGGCTTTGTGTCCAGCTCCAGCAGGGATGGAGCGAGGCGATTCCTGAACCTACCTCACAGGGGACCTCCTGGAAGTCTGCTAGACCCAGGTGGCAGTCACAAGTTGTGAGAAGCTCCCAACTGAGATTTGCAATATTATGTTGAGTGGGGACAAATGCCCTTGGCCAGAACTGAGGGGCGAGTGGGAAGTGTGCTGCAGGCATGAGGACAGGAACTGGCTGCCCCTGCTTCATGGGTGGACCAGGAGGGGCATGGTCTGAAAGTCAAGGTTTCTGTCTTGGTCAGGAAAGCTTATGGCTTGGGGCGATTTTGAGTTCTGAGTGCAGACTGTCTGGAAGCAAGCTAGCTGCTGACAGCAGAACACTGCAGGTGTGAGACTGCCTCGACAAGTGCATGGGAGCTGGATGGAGCTTACTGCCACCTGCTATACCCCATTCCCCATGTAGATTCTTTTGTCCAGCAGCAATAGCTGTGCCCCTCCTGGGGACATTACCCCAGTGGCCAGAGAACTGCCTTCCAATCCCCACTGGGGCTGCTACTTGCCCCACACATGGAGAGCCAGAGCACAGACTTGCCTGACCCAGCCCCCACCTGGCGTTACCCCTCCACCTGCCCTGGTAGCTTTACACAAAGGACACAAACATTTGGGAGCTCAATGGGTCTGACCATTGCTTGAGACATCAGAGTACCTCCCCTGGGTAACATAAAGCAAGCATAAATCCCACCTCTACCACTGCAGCTGGCACTCTTTCAAAAAAGACCACCACCTGGCTGTAGGCCAACTGGCGCAGGTAGAATAATGCAGTGCCCAGGAAGGAGAAAATGTGTGTGTGACTTCAGCTGTCACCATTGCCTGCACTATCCTGGCTAATCAGGAGATCCTGAGTCTGTCTACGTGACCAGTTCATTGTTACTACACCTGGCATTTGAGAAAGCCAACACAATAAGGCTATTTATAACCAAGGAATGTCACAGAGTCTGCATCACTCCCCTCTCACCCCCATTAGAACTAGTGCTGGTACCCACTGCTGGAAGACTTGAGGACAGGTCACGTCACTGGATCCCTTGACGACATTCCCCAGCACAGTTTGGAGTGTGGCAGCCCTACTGGGTGGCCAGACCCAGAGGAGCAGCAGCATTCACAGTAGTCTGGCTCTCAGGGCTGCTACTCTTAGGGGAAGGGGGAGTGCACCACATCAACGGAACACCTCAAGGGACAAAATAATCCAGAAGGAAGGCCTTGAGTCCCAGAACTTTCTGCTTGTGAGAAGTTTTTTCAGCAGAGGTGCAGGTGCAGTGCTGGGCTCAGCAGGAAAAGTCTCTGGCTTTATCCCAGCAGTCAGGCAGCCTTGGTACTTGTGAAGGAGAAGGGGACTTCTTTTCTCCTTCATCTGCCACTGAAGACATATCTGGGATACTCCCATGGGACCTCAGTGAGGGTGTACCTACAGACAGCCTTTCTGGAACACTTTGGAGTGACTGCATCCCTGCAGGAGGAGTACCCTCCAGGTTTAGGCTTGCACAGTGGCTAGAGTCACAGGTCCTTTCTACATGGAATATCAAAATTCCTGCAGCCAAAAAGAGGTGCCCATCTGGTATGAATTGCTGGAACACTGGGTCAGGAGTGTAACTAGGAGGTGGATCACTTTCCTGCTGGCCTGGTGAGCTGAGGTGACTTCCAACCTTCCCCCTGATAAAACCTCAGTACATTTCACTGAGAGCTCCCTCAGCTGCCTCTGTTAAGGCTGGGACCTCTGCCCACCATTTGGTATTGCTTTTACCCACCTGATTTAGCCACAACCAGTTTCTACCCAGGGATACCTTCCTTACTGGTCTGAAGTCTGAAATGTTCAACCCAGTAGATCAAATACTGGGGGATAAATATGTAAATATAAAAGTGCACATCACTGGGGAATGAGATAAGCTTCAAGAGAGCTCTGACATTCCAACCCTACAGGAGATGGTGAACCTGCTCACACACTGAACACATTTCTACTACAACAAGCATCTGAGAAAGCCATCATACAAAGACTGTCTATAACAAAGGAACTCATACAGAGTCTTCACCCCTGAAAGCAATGAGAGCTGAATTAGGCTACAGTAAACTGTAAACATTAAAGTCACATCCTCAAGGGAAAAAAGAAAGAATTTTCTTTTTTTTAAAAAAAGACACAGTTGAATCAAAAATAAATCTAAGAATAATTAGAAGAGGCTTGGTGCAGTGGCTCATGCCTCTAATCCCAGCACTTTGGGAGGCTGAGGCAGGCAGATCACAAGGTCAGGAGTTCAAAATCAGCCTGACCAACATGGTGAAACCTTGTCTTTACTAAAAATACAAAAAAAATTAGCCGCGTGTGGCGGCGCACACCTGTAATCCTAGCTACTCGAGAGGCTGAGGCAGGAGAATCACTTGAACCTGGGAGATGGAGGTTGAAGCGAGCCAAGATTGCACCACTGCACTCTAGCCTAGGTGAAGAGCAAGAATCCGTCTCAGGGTGGGGTGGGGGGTGGGGAAGAATAATTAGAAGAAACAGTCTACCCAAATGAGAAGGAACTGAAAAATAATTCTGGCAATATGACAAAACAAGGTTCTATAATACCCCCCAAAAATTGCACTAGCTCTCCAAAAATGGATGCAAACCAAGAGGAAATCTTTGAAATACTAGATAAAGAATTTAAAAAGCTGATGATTAAGGTATTCAAGGAGATATAAGAGAAAGGTGACAACCAGCATAAAGAAATTTTAAAAAATTCCGAATATGAATGAAAAATTTTCTAAAGAGATATATATCTTAAAGAAAAAACAATCCAAACTTCTGGAAATGAAAAACACATTTAGGGAATTACTAAAGGCAGTAGAAAGTTTTAAGAATACACTAGGACAAGTAGAAGAAAGAATCTCAAAACTTGAAGACAAGGCTTTTGAATTAACCTAATCAGACAAAGATAAAGAGAAAAGAGTTAAAAGAAATGAACAAAGTCTCCAAGAAATATTGGATTATGTAAATTGGCCAAACCAAAGAATCATTGATGTTCCCAAGGGAGAAGAGAGAGAAAAAAATTTGGAAAACTTATTTGAGGGAAGAATTGAGGAAAATTTATCTGGCCTTGCTGCAGATTTAGATATCCAAATACAAGAAGCTTAGATAATTCCTAGGAGATTCACTGCAAAAAGGATATCACCAAGGCATACAGTCATTAGGCTATCTAAAGTCAATGTGAAGGAAAGAGTTCTAAGGGCAGTGAGATAAAAGTGTCAGATAACCTATAAAGGAAAACCTATCAGACTAACAGCAGACTTCTCAGGAGAAACCTTACAGGCCAGAAGGGACTGGGGTCCTATCTTTAACCTTCTTAAACAGAATAACTATCATCCAAGAATTTTATGTCCAGCAAAACCAAGTTTCATAAATTAAAGAGAAATAAAGTCTTTTTTAGACAAACATATGCTGAGTGAATTTGTCACTACCAGACCATCCTAAAAGAAATGCTAAATAGAATTCTAAATCTTGAAACAAAATGTAGAACCTCTTGAAAGCATGCAACTCACAGGGCTTATAAGAAATAACACAATGAAGAAAACAAAATGTCTAGGTAACAATCAGCATGATGACTGGAACAGTACCTCGCATCTCAATATTAGCATTGAACATAAGTGGTCTAAACGCTACACTTAAAAGGTACAGATTGGCAGAATAGATAGAAAATCACAAACCAAATATCTGCTGTCTTCAAGAAACTCAGTCAACACAGAAGGATTCTTATAAACTCAAGGTAAAGGGATGGAAAAAGATATTCCACACAAATGGAAACAAAAGCAAGCAAGAGAAGCTATTCTTATATCAGGTAAAATAGACTTAGCCTGGACAACATGGTGAGACCCCATCTCTACTAAAAATACAAAAATTCAGCGGGGTGCAGTGGCATCCACATGTAGTCCCAGCTACTTAGGAGGCTGAGACAGGAGAATTGCTTGAACATGGGAGGTGGAGGTTGCAGTGAGCTGAGATTGTACCATTGTACTCCAGCCTGGGTGACAAAGCAAGAGCTTGTCTCAAAAAAAAAAAAAAAAAAAAGACTTTAAAGCAACAACAATAAGAAAAGACAAAGAAAGCCATCGTATAATGATAACAGGATCAATGCAACAAGAAGAAATTACAATCCTAAATATATATGCACCTAACTCTGGAGCTCCCAGATTCATAAAATAATTACTACTGGACATAAGAAAGAGATAGACAGCAACATGACAATAGTGGGAGACTTCAACACTCCACTGACAGCACTAGACAGATCATCAAGGAAGAAAGTCAACAAAGAAACATTGGACTTAAACTACACTTTTGAACAAATGAACCTAACGTATATTTATGACAGTCTACCCAAGAGCTGAAGAATATACATTCTTCTCATCAGCACAAGGAACATTCTCCAAGATAGATCATATAATAGACCACACAACAAGTCTCAATAAATTTAAAAAATTGAAATCATATCAAGTATCTTCTCAAACCACAGTGGAATAAAACTAAAAATGAACTCCAAAAGGAACCCTCAAAACTTTACAAATATATGGAAATTAAGCAATCTAATCCTGAATGACTTTTGGGTTAACAATGGAATCAAGATGGAAATCTTTGAAATGAACGATAATAGTGACACAAGTTAACAAAACCTTTGAGATATAGCAAAAGCAGTGCTAAGAGGAAAGTCTATAGTGCCAAATGCCTACATAAAAAAGTCTGAAAGATCACAAATTCATACTTCAAGGAACTAGAGAAACAAGAAAAAACCAAACCCAAAGCTAGCAGAAGAAAATAAATAACAAAGATCAAAGTAAAACTAAATGAAATTGAAAGAAAAATACAAAAGATCAATGAAACAAAAAGTTGATTATTTGAAAAGATGAATGAAATCAATAGACCATTAGCTAGATTAAACAAGAAGAAAGGATTTAAGTAAGCTAAATCAGAAATAAAATTGGAGACATTACCACCAACACCACAGATATATAAAAGATAATTTGAGACTACTATGAACACCTCTATGCACACAAACTAGAAATTCTAGAGAAAATAGATACATTCCTGGAAACATAAAACCCTCCTAGATTGAATCAGGAATAAATAGGAACATTAAACAGAACAATAACAAGCAATATGATTGATCAGTAATAAAAAAATTGCCAAAAACAACAAAAAAGCCCAGGCCAAATGAATTCACAGCTGAATTCTACCAGACATTCAAAGAAGAACTGGTACTAACTCTGCTGAAACTATTCCAAAAGATTGATAAAGAAGGAATCTTTCCTAACTCACTAATGAAGCCAATGTCACCATAATACCAAATCCAGGACAGGACATAACAAAAAAAGAAAACTAAAGACCAATATCCCTGATACAAACAGATGCAAAAATGCTCAACAAAATACTAGCAAACTGCATCCAACAGCACATCAAAAAGATGATACACCATGATCAAATGAGTTTCACTAGGGGATCCAAGGATAATTTAACCTATGCAAGTAAACAGATGTGATACATCACATAAACAGAATTAAAACAAAAACCACATGATCATCTCAATAGATGAAGAAAAAGCATTTGATAAAATCCAGTATTGCTTTATAACAAAAACCCTTAACAAACTAACCATAGAAGGAACATACATCAAAATAATAAAAGCCGTCTATGACAAACTCACAGGCAACATTATACTGAATGGAGAAAAGTTCAAAGCATTCCTCCTGAGAAGTGGAACATGACAAGGATGCCTACCTTCACCACTTCTATTCAACACAGTACTGGAAGTCCTAGCCAGAGCAATCAGGCAAGAGAAATAAATAAAGGGCAAACAAACTGGAAAAGAGGACGTCAAACTACTACTGCGGATGATGTGATCATATATCTAGAAAACCCTAAAGACTCATCATTTTTCTCAGAATTAGAAAAAACCATCCTAAAATGCATATGAAACCAATAAAGAACTTGAATAACCAAAACAATCCTAAGCAAAAATAATAAATATGGAGGCAGCACATTACCCAACTTCAAATTATACCAAAAGGCTATAGTAACCAAAACAGCATGGTATTGGTATAAAAGTCGATACATAGACCAATGGAACAGAATAGAGAACCAATTAATAAAGACAAATACTTACAACCAACTGGTCTTTGAGAAGCACACAAAAACATACATTGAGGAAAGGACATCCTATTCAATAAATGATGCTGGGAAAATGGATAGCCTCACGTAGAAGAACAAAACTGGATCCCTATCTCTCACCATATACAAAAATCAACTCAGGATGGATAAAATACTTAAATCTAAGACCTGAAACCATAAAAATTCTAGAAGAAAACATAGAGAGAACTCTTCTAGACATGGGGCTAGGCAAAAAATTTATGACTAAGACCCCAAAAGCAAATGCAACAAAACAAAAATAAATGGGACTTAGTGAAACTAAAAAGTTTCTGAACAATGAAGGAAATAATCATCAGGGTAAACACATAACCGAAAGAACGGAAGAAAATATCTGCAAACTGTGCCTCTGACAAAGGACTAATATTCAGACTCTACAAGGAACTCAAACAAATCAGCAAGAAAAGAACCAATAGTCTCATCAGAAAGCAGGCAAATGACATGAATAAACATCTCTCAAAAGAAGATATAAAAATGGCCAACAAAAGTATAAGAAAAATGCTGAATATCACTAATCATCAAGGAAATGAAAATTAAAACCACAATGAGATACTATCCTACCCCAGCCAGAATGGCCATTATTAAAAGGGGAAAAAACTATAGATATTGGCACAGATATGGTGAAAAGGGAATGTTGTATTCTATTGATGGGAATGTAAATCAGTACAACCTCTGTGGAAAACAGTATGGAGATTTCTTTTTTATTTTTTTTTTTGAGACGAAGTGTCACTCTGTTGCCCAAGCTGGAGTGCAGTGGCGTGATCTTGGCTCACTGCAACCTCCACCTCCCAGGTTCAAGCGATTCTCTTGCCTCAGCCTCCCAAGTAGCTGGGACTACAGGCACATACCACCATGCCTGGCTAATTTTTGTATTTTTTTGTGTTTTTTAGTAGAGACGGGGTTTCACTATGTTGGCCAAGCTGGTCTCAAACTCCTGACCTCATGATCTGCCCGCCTTGGCCTCCCAAAGTACTGGGATTACAGGCATGAGCCACCATGCCTGGGCAGAGATTTCTTAAATAACTAAAAGTAGACCTACCATTTGATTCAACAATCCCCCTACTGGGTATCTACCCAAAGGAAAAGAAGTCATCATATACAAAAGACACTTGCATGTATATGTTTATCAAAGCACAATTCACATTTGCAAAGGTATGGAATCAGCCTAAGTACCCATTAAGTGATGATGAGTGGATAAAGAAAATGTGGTATACATATATACATATATGCCACGTAAAAGAATGAACTAATGTCTTTTGCAGCAAATTGGATAGAGCTGGAGGCCATTATTTTAAGTGAAGTAATTCAAGAATGGAAAGTCAAATACTGTATGTTCTCACTTATAAGTGGGAGCTATGCTACGGATACACAAAGACATACAGAGAGGCATAATGGACATTGGAGACTCAGAAGTGGGGAGCATGGGAGGGGGGTGAGGAATAAAAAAATACCTATAGGGTGTGATGTATACCATGCAGGTGGCAGGTAAACTAAAAGCCCTTACTTCACCACTATACCATTTATCCATGTAACTAATAACCAACCACATGTGCCAAAAGCTATTGAAAGGAAAAAATAAATACATATAATGTTTTAAAAAGATAGGCCCGATAGTGTTTATAGAAGTGTATATCATGATCTATACTCACAGAATCCACAAGCTCACTGGAAAAAGAACTCCAGAAGATATAAAAAAGAAAAGTGACTTTGGATATTTGATAAATTCTTGTATTACATTTTTTTCACAGTTTCCTATCACTTAATTTAGAAACCATCTTACTATCAATTTAACTTACAAGGTATGGTGTTTGCTTTGTAGTGTGATATAAAGTAATGCTGTATTTTAATCCATATAGTTTTGGGGTTGTTCATGGAATATGCCATTAAAGATTAAGTTATTTGCTACAGCAAAAAGAAGAGATAACAGAGAGCTTCCTTGCTCCTTACCACTTCCCCCTGTTTACATGCACACAAAAAAAAGTCCATTTGAATACATGGAGAGATGATGGCTGTCTATAAGCTAAGAGAAGAGGTGTCAGAATAAAACCTACCTTGACAGCACCTTGATCTTGGACATTACAGCCTCCAGAACTCAGGTAAATAACTTCCTGTTGCTTAAGCCACCAAGACTATGGTATTTTATTATAGCAGACTGAGCAGGCTAATACTTCCTCTCCCCAGTCTGCTCAGTTTAGATATATCATAATTTTAGGTTAAATCAACATTCTGTGTTATTATGCTACTGTAAATACTGCTTACCTGTCACCTTTTAATGTATTGTATTTCTTCTCTAATGGAATTTTTATTAGTAGAGTTAAAAATTGCCTCAGTTTTTGTTTGGCAAGTTTTCTAGGAACCTGTTACTAATTCATCTCCAAACTCCCACGGAGTATAACTCTCCATTCAATATTTTCAAATATATCAGATAAGCTGATTAAGTCCATCTCTTTGTTAGAGGCATACCTCCCAAGACTTCCCCTTGCCTTGGTCCCACATATCCCGGTTGCTTCCTAGGCCTGTCGCCCTATAATTTCCCTTTGTCATCCATTCTTTTTTCCTCACTACTGTCTTAGATCTCATTTCCTGAATCTCTTGGTTTATTCCTTCAATTTGATGGAGCACATCTTCCAGGTTCTTCCTGATATGAAGCATGAGATATAAATATTTTGAGTCTCTGACATGTGAAAAAGTTGTAATCAGCTCTCACACTAGATTGCTGGGTATAGAATTCTAGATTGGAAATAAGTTCCATTGTGTTCTGGCTTCTAGCATTGCTGTTGAGATGTCCGAAACCATTCTAAAAGGGGAACCTTTTTACTTGAACTTTCCTTGATAGTTATCTGCCTTCCACCATTGACTTTGCTGCTAGACACTTAGTATCTTCTCTTTGTCCCTAGTAATCTGAAATGTCATGATGACATGACTTAGAGTGGATTTTCTCTTTTTTCATCCAGTTTTCTGAGCCCATAGCAGACCTTCTCAATCTGGGAACTGTGGAGGCTAAAGGAACTCCATCTTGGAAGTTAATCCATCATGTTGGCCTCTAATTAGCCCCTATTCCAAGAAAGCATCTAAGATTTCCAATTTATCTATTGTTCCTTGTGTAAGAGCAGGTACTTATTATAAATCCTGCCCCTAGGTCAAACAATTTTGATGTTATCATACTACAATTGTTCTAAACATCCCTTCTGAACAACCTCTCCCCTAGGGTACATAAGCCCTGGGTCTTGGGGTTAATGGTATGGGGATCCACCATCTCATCTTGCAGTTGCCTGAGACACAGACATCGCTTCTGTTTGTAAGTCTCTATTAAATGATTTCTTCATAAGAAACTGGGTTTGTCAGCCTCTTTCTTTGGCCTCTCACCTTCTTCGGACTTTAGGGTTAGGTTTACATAGGCCTGTACACTGCACAACAAGAACAAATGACCTCCACTTTGGGGAACTTTCCTTCAAATATTTCTTTGACAATTTTCTCCCTTACATTTTCAAAACTGTTATATCTTCCTTAACTATCCTGTACTTCCTGACCTAATTCTCTGATTTTGTCGTTTATTTTCCATTTTCTATTCCTTTCATTATCTATTATCTACTTTAAAGAATTTTTTCTCAATGTTATCTTAATCATTTTTCTACATTTTTTTATTTTGACTGTCATATTCTTATTTATTTATTTAATTTCATCTTTGAGAGAGGGTCTTGCTCTGTCACCCAGGCTAGAGTGCAGTAGAGCAATCACGGCTTACTGTAGCCTCCACCTCCCTGCCCCAAGTGGTCCTCCCACCTCAGCCTCCCAAGTAGCTGGGACCACAGGTGCCCACCACCAGGCCTGGCTAATTGCTTTTTTTATTTTTTTAAGAGACAGGGTCTCCCTATGTTGCTCAGGCTGGTCCTCAAACTCCTGGGCTCAAGCGATCCTCCTGATTCAACCTTCCAAGGTGATGGGATTACAGGAAGAGCTACCATACCTAGCCAAACTCTCATATATATATATATATATATATATATATATATATATATATATATATATATATATATATATATATATTTTTTTTTTTTTTTTTTTTTTTTTTTTTTTTTTCCTTGAGATAGAGACTTGCTCTGTCACCCAGGCTGGAGTGCAGTGGCACGATCTGGGTTCACTGAAACCTCCATCTCCTGGTTTCAAATGACTCTTCTGCCTCAGCCTCCTGAGTGGCTGGGATTACAGGCCTGCGCCACCATGCCTGCATAATTTTTGTTCTTTTAGTAGAGACAGGGTTTTGCCATATTGGCCGGGCTGGTTTTGAACTCTTGGCCTCAGGTGAGCCACCCACCTCGGCCTCCCAGAGTGCTGGGATTACAGGCGTGAACCACCACACCCAGCCTCATATTTCTAATTTTCAAAAAATCTTTTTCATTTTCTGGATGTTCCTTTTTTTAGAGATTCCTGTTTTTCAACAGATTCAGTTTCTCTTCTTATTTTGCAAAGATTAACATTCAGGCTTATTTAAATGTTAAATGTTATTCCATGTTATGCATTTTCAAAAGTTTTATTTTGCTTCCTGTGTCCTCAGGGTTTCTTTTTTCAAAACAATATTGGCTATTTTGGTTCTGTCTTTCCATTTTTGAGGCTTTCTTCAATTGCTTAATGATTTTAGGCTTTTGGCTCATATTTTATATTCAAGACTGTGACAGTCGGCCGGGTGCAGTGGCTTTTGCCTGTAATCCCAGCACTTTGGGAGGCTGAGGCAGGCAGATCACCTGAGGTCAGGAGTTTGAGACCAGCCTGGCTGACATGGCAAAACCCAGTCTTTACTAAAAATACAAAAATTTGCCAGGCATAGTGGCCTGTAATCCCGGTTACTTTGGAGGCTGAGGCAGGAGAATCACTTGAACCTGGGAGGCGGAGGTTGCAGTGAGCTGAGATCGCGCCATTGCACTCTAGCCTGGGTAGTAAGAATGAAACTCCATCTCAAAACAAAAACAAAAACACTGAGACAGTCAAAAGCTATTTGGACACCCTATGATTGTCAGGGCTGGTTAATTGGTGGGCTTCATCGTAAGATGGTCTGGCTGAACTCTCACTGGGTGCTCAGAAAGGAGTCCTTTAAAAGCATGGCTACCAGGCTACCAGTGTTCTTGAAGCAGACCAGGAAAGTGACAAGGGATCCATGAGGGAGTGTGGCCTTATCTCCTTGTTTTTGGTATGCCTCCTTTCTCCTAGATGTCTTGGTACACTAAGACCAGTGACTCTCTAGTAGTAAACATGTAGACTTCCGGGATCTGAGGAAGAGTCATGGGTGAGGGAGGGATCTGGGCTTACAACTATTCTTTTTAGATGTCTTCAACTAGTTCTTTTTTTTTTTTTTTTTCAAGAGACTAGTCTCTAGTGTGTTTACCAGGCTGGGCTCAACCTCACAAATTCTTGTGCTCAAGTGATCCTCTCTCTTCAGTTTCCTAAGCAGTAGGGGACTACAGGCACTTGTCATCATGCCCAACATAGTTCTTTTGTTTTTAGGTTAATTGTATCTCTACTTTCAGAGGTACCTGGTGCCTCCAATTCCTGCAGTGTTTTGAGGCTTTGCTTGAATTAACCTTCTTCTAAGTTGTTCCATTCCAGCTTAATTTTCACCATTCTCTGGTCCAGTAGGTTAATGACCACTCTTTCATCTGCTTTCCATCTTATGTTAATGTGTTACTGTCATTTCTTCTCTCGTTAACTCTGGGCTTGTGAGGCTATGTCTTTTAAAAATCCACTTACGGGCAAAAACTGGAAGCATTCCCTTTGAAAACTGGCACAAGACAGGGATGCCTTCTCTCACCACTCCTATGCAACATAGTATTGGAAGTTCTGTCCAGGACAATCAGGCAAGAGAAAGAAATAAAGGGTATTCAATTAGGAAAAGAGGAAGTCAAATTGTCCCTGTTTGCAGATGACATGATTGTATATTTAGAAAACCCCATCATCTCAGCCCAAAGTCTCCTTAAGCTGATAAGCAACTTAAGCAAAGTCTCAGATACAAAATCAATGTGCAAAAATCGCAAGCATTCCTATACACCAATAACAGACAAACAGAGAGCCAAATCATGAGTGAACTCCCACTCACAATTGCTAGAAAGAGAATAAAATACCTAGGAATCCAACTTACAAGGGATGTGAAGGACCTCTTCAAGGAGAACTACAAACCACTGCTCAACAAAATAAAAGAGGACACAAACAAATGGAAGAACATCCCATGCTCATGGATAGGAAGAATCAATATTGTGAAAATGGCCATACTGCCCAAGGTAATTTATAGATTCAATGCCATCCCCATCAAGCTACCAATGACTTTCTTCACAGAATTGGAAAAAACTACTTTAAAGTTCATATGGAATCAAAAAAGAGTCCTCATTGCCAAGACAATCCTAAGCCAAAAGAACAAAGCTGGAGGCATCACGCTACCCGACTTCAAACTATACTACAAGCCTACAGTAACCAAAACAGTATGGTACTGGTACCAAAACAGTGATATAGACCAATGGAACAGAACAGAGGCCTCAGAAATAACACCACACATCTACAACCATCTGATCTTTGACAAATCTGACAAAAACAAGAAATGGGGAAATGATTCCCTATTTAATAAATGGTGCTGGGAAAACTGGCTAGCCATATGTAGAAAGCTGAAACTGGATCCCTTCCTTACACCTTATACAAAAATTAATTCAAGATGGATTAAAGACTTAAATGTTAGACCTAAAACCATAAAAACCCTAGAAGAAAACCTAGGCAATACCATTCAGAACATAGCCATGGGCAAGGACTTCATGTGTAAAACACCAAAAGCAATGGCATCAAAAGCCAAAATTGACAAATGGGATCTAATTAAACTAAACAGCTTCTGCACAGCAAAAGAAACTACCATCAGAGTGAACAGGCAACCTACAGAATGGGATAAAATGTTTGCAGTCTGCTCATCTGACAAAGGGCTAATATCCAGAATCTACAAAGAACTTAAACAAGTTTACAAGAAAAAATCAAACAACCCCATCAACAAGTGGGTAAAGGATATGAACAGACACTTCTCAAAAGAAGGCATTTATGCAGTCAACAACAGACACATGAGAAAATGCTCATCATCACTGGTCATCCGAGAAATGCAAATCAAAACCACAATGAGACACCATCTCACACTAGTTAGAATGGCGATCATTAAAAAGTCAGGAAACAACAGGTGCTGGAGAGGATGTGGAGAAATAGGAATGCTTTTACACTGTTGGTGGGACTGTAAACTAGTTCAACCATTGTGGAAGACAGTGTGGTGATTCCTCCAGGATCTAGAACTAGATATACTGTTTGACCCAGCCATCCCATTACTGGGTATATACCCAAAGGATTATAAATCATGCTACTATAAAAACACATGCACACATATGTTTATCGCAGCACTATTCAGAATAGCGAAGACTTGGAACCAATCTAAATGTCCATCAATGACAGACTAGATTAAGAAAATATGGCACATATACACCATGGAATACTATGCAGCCATAAAGAAGGATAAATTTATGTCCTTTGTAGAGACATGGATGAAGTTGGAAACCATCATTCTGAGCAAACTATCGCAAGGACAGAAAACCAAACACCGCCTGTTCTCACTCATAGGTGGGAATTGAACAGTGAGAACACTTGGACCCAGGGAGGGGAACATCACACACCAGGGCCTGTCGTGGGGTGGGGGAAGTGGGGAGGGATAGTATTAGCAGAAATAAATGATGAGTTAATGGGTGCAGCACACCAACATGGCACGTGTATACATATGTAACAAACCTGCATGTTGTGCACATGTACCCTAGAACTTAAAGTATAATAATAATAATAAAAACCATTTACATTCCTTCTAGTGTGATTTTCCAACAGCATGGTCGTAATTATATGTGTTCAATCCACCATTTCTAATGAGCACTTTCTGTCCTCAATTTACTTGATTTTGCTGCTGCCTTTGTAACTCTAGACTACTAATTCTAGAAATGTTATTATCCTTTGGCTTCTGTGGCTACAGAATTTTTTTTCTCTTGAGGTATCATCTCATTTCTTTCTTTGGTTCTTTCTTCTTCCACTGTGTATCCCTTAAATGTTGTTGTTCCCCAGGTCTCTGCCTTAAGTCCGTTATGCTTTCATTGACACATTTGTCATAGACAATAACATCCACTTGTTTGGATTTAATAACTTCCTTAATAATGTTGACTCGAAAATCTATGTCTGTGGCTCCAGACTCACATAAAACTCAGAAACCAGATAGAGGAAAACAGGATCCTGTCTCTCTGTATCCTAATCAGGTCAGACAAACATCCTAGTGCCAAAATAGGTCCTCCGTTTAGGTAAAGGAAATAGCAGGAATAAAGGAAGGCATTCAACTTCATAAAAACAACAAACAGAACCAAGGAAGAGCTGTATCACATATGTGAAGTTTTGTTTTGTTTTGTTTTTGAGATGGAGTCTTGCTCTGTCACCCAGGCTAGAGTGCAGTGGCACGATCTCGGCTCACTGCAACCTCTGCCTCTTGGGTTCAAGCAATTCTCATACCTCAGCCTCCCAAGTAGCTGTGATTGCAGATGTGTACCATCATGCTGGGCTAATTTTTTTTGTATTTTTAGTAGAGACAGGGTTTCACCGCATTGCCCAGGCTGGTCTCGAACTCCTGGGCTCAGGCAATCCACCCTCCTCGGCCTCCAAAAGTGCTAGGATTACAGGCATGAGCCACTGTACGCGGCCTCATATGTGAGGGTTTTTTTTTTTTTTTTTTTGGTATTTTTAATTTTTTTTGTATTTTTAGTAGAAACAGGGTTTCACCATGTTGGCCAGGCTGGTCTCCAACTCCTGACCTTAGGTGATCCACCTGCCTTGGCCTCCCAAAGTGCTGGGATTACAGGCTTGAGCCACCATGCCGGGCATATGTGAGGTTTTGATGCAGTAAGAAGCAATCCCAAAATCACACTGATAATACATAAGAGTTTATTTCTCTGTCTTGAAAAGTCTGCCGTGGGTTGAGGAAAATCCCCAGGGAAGCTGTCCTATATTGGCTATCTATTCCAGGTCTCATCAATTTCACGGAACATCAATTTCAGCACATGTTGTGAATCTCACCATGGTAGGAGATGAGAGAGCTGCATAGTTGAGCACAGATATTCAGAAGTGAAATATGTCAGGTCTCTATTCATTGTCCAAAGCAAGCCACAAGATCACCTCTAACTTCAAGGGTTCAAGGAAGAACAGTTCCCTTGGACCCGGAGAATTGGACACTATTGAATAGCAGTAATTCATAACATTTAAAATATTAGACCTTAAACAGAAAATTTGGCTTTAAACAAAGTATCTATTTGTATGCTCCTAGTACCTAGAGTGATAGCCAGTACAGAGTGGGTGTCAATGTGTTGAATTGAGATATGTTTTAGAAGATGATTTGATAAGTATCTTGGAAAAGGTGTTCAGCATATCTGTATCGACACCTTATTTTCCCTTGAACACAAACAGGAACAGTGAACGTCTTTCAAACACTGACCTTTCTCCTGGGCTCAAAAGCTGGAGCCTTTTCTCAAAAATAGTTCTTGCAACATTTCTCAAAAGGAGACCTACAAATGGCAAACAGGCATATGAAAAGGTTCAACATCACTGATCATCAGAGAATTGCAAATCAAAAGTACAATGAGATATCATCTCATTCCAGTTAAAATGGCTTATATCCAAAAGACAGGCAATAACACGTGCTTGCAAGAATATGGAGAAAAGGGAACCCTTGTACACTGTTGATGGGAATGGAAATTAGTACAACCACTATGAAGAAAAGTTTAGAGGTTCCTCAAGAAACTAAAAATAGAGCTACCATATGATCTAGCAATCCCACTGCTGAGTATATAACCAAAAGAAATGAAATCAGTATATTGAAGAGATATCTGCACTCCCATGTTTATTGCAGCACTATTCACAATAGCCAAGATCTGGAAGCAACCTAAGTGTCCATCAACAGATGAATGGGTAAAGAAAATGTGGTACTTATACACAATGGAGTACTATTCAGCCATAAAAAAGAATGAAATCATGTCATTTGCAATAATGGAACTGGAGGTCATTATGTTATTAACATAATGTGAGATTAACCAGGCACAAAAAGACAATCATTGCATGTTCTCACTTATTTATGGGATCTAAAAATCAAACAATTGAAATCCAGGACATAGAGAGTAGAAGGGTGGTTACCAGAGGCTAGGAAGGGTAGTGTGGGTGTGTGTAGGGGAGGCAGTGATGGTTAATGGGTACAAAAAAAATAGTTCAAAAGAATGAATAAGACCTAATATTTGATAACAAAACAGGGGGACTATAGTCAATAATAATTTAATTGTACATTTTAAAATAAATAAAAGAGTAAAATTAGATCATTTATAGCACAAAGGATAAATGCTTGAAGGGATTCATACCCCATTTTCCATGATGCGATTATTAAGCATGGCATGCCTGTTTCAAAACATCTCATGTACCCCATAAATACATACACCTGCTATGTACCCATGAAAATTAAAAATTAAAAAAATAGTTATTGCAGCATCTAAATATTTCAAAGCCTCACTAAGAATTTGACTTTAAAGTTTGAAGAGAGGGCATTTTATGTCTATGCTTATATTTACTTTAATCAAGACCCTTCCCCAACCTCAAAGGCAAAGGTCAACATGGAAGGGGAAAAAGTTACAAAATAGTGCCTTGAAGAGTCAGGTAGTTGTTTGTGTGTTTGTGCCTGTACATGCATGTGTATGTGTGTGTATGTGTGTCTCTCTGTGTATTTGTGCACGTATGCACTTTTTATGTTGGGTGTGGAATAAAGACTTGTTGCATATAGGTGTGTTATTGTAGGTGTTGCATATAAATGTGATATTATAGGCAGATAAACATGAGCCTCATAGAGTATGAAATTAAGCACAGAAGTTTTGAGTTTCCAAGTGACAGCCCCTTTCTTATATTTTTCATCCTGTTTTCATGAAATACTATGTCTTGCCTTGTGCTTGGCATTTTTTAGCAGGTAGATTAAATCTTTTTTTGTTGTTGTTTTTTGTTTTTTGTGATGGAGTCTCACTCTGTTGCCCAGGCTGGAGTGCAGTTGCATGATCTTGGCTCACTGCAACCTTTGCCTCCTGGGTTCAAGCAATTCTCCTGCCTCAGCGTCCCAAGTAGCTGGGATTACAGGCATCCACCACCATGCCCAGCTAATTTTTGTATTTTTAGTAGGGGGGTTTCACCATGTTGGTCAGGCTGGTCTCAGACTCCTGACCTTAATTGATCCACTCGCCTCAGCCTTCCAAAGTGTTGGGATTACAGTCGTGAGCCACCACACCCAGCCTAGATAAAATCTTTAGAAATGAAGTGCCCCAGTGGTGATGATGAAAAGCCGTATTGAATGAATGGTGTAGAGGAGTACAAAGGACTCAAAAGAGGAGATTGTCTGTTTGAGATTTATTTAGGATTTCTCAGGTATTTTAGACCAAAATAATTCCATAGTTACTTTCTTTGTTTCTGTTTAAATTGTGTATACTTATCATAAACAATTCAAGCAAGAGAGACAAATGCAAAGGAGAAGGTTACAAAAATCATTCAAGTTTCCAACAACAAAAATGACCAGTCTTACATTAGGTGAACATAGTTTCAGGCCATAAACCTCAGCAGTCTCCAGTTTTCCTTCTACCTTGTTGCCTCATGTGCCTCTTACAAGTTCTCACTGATGAGGAGTCCCAGGGTCAGGACCAGACTCTCTGCTCATCTCTATCTTTACCCCAATGGCAACCTGATCAGCTTATAGCTTTAAATGATACCTGGATGCTGATGACTCCCAAATTTATGTATCCAAACTTCTTCCTTTGAAACCTGGACAGCTAGAATGTAAGGGGTTGTTGAGTGAAGGAAAGCTGAGAAAACAGAGATCCTAGTTGTGTTCTCTTTCTTTTAGCTTTAAAGTTGAATTAGTCTCTGACACTTCTAGATATACGGTCTATTGCTAACACTAGTTTTTACATCTTGAGGCCTTTTAATGCTACCTATCATTTGTTGAACATCTACTACATGTTAGGTACTGTGTCTTTCTTTTTTTAAACATACATTGTCTCATTTTACCCTTATGATTCTGTGAGGTAGATTTTCATAAAAATCAAAACAAAACAAAAACAAACAAACAAAAAAAACAAAGGCTTAGATTGATAAGCAACATGTCCGAATTGATACAGCTGGTAGGTGTTAGAGTTAGGATTCAAGCTCAGGGGATCAATCCTCTTTCTGGTATGCTATATCTATTTGTATTTCAATGTGAATTTTCATATCAGTTTGACAATTTCCACACACACACATACAGACACACAAACCCAGCTGGGATTTTGACTGGGATCAAACACTGAATTTATAGATTAATTTGGTGTGATGATTAATTTTATGTCAACTTGACTGGGCCAAGGGATGCCCAGGTAACTGGTAAAATATTATTTCTGGGTATGTTGGCGAGGGTATTTCTGGAGGAGATCAGCATCTGAACTGGTAGACTGAGTAAAGAAGTTCACATTCACCAATGTGAGTGGGCATCATCTAATACACAGAAGGCTGAAATAGAACAAAAAGGCAGAAGAAGGGTAAAAATACTACCTCTGCCTGAGCTGAGGCATCTGTCTCCTCCAGCTCTCGGACATTGGTGGTCCTGGTTCTCAGGCCTTCAGACTTGGACTGGGACTTACACTTGTGACCCCCTGGTTCTCAGGCTATCAGAATTGGACTAAATTATACCACCAGCTTTCCTGGGCCTTCAGCTTGCAGACAGCAGATAATGAAACTTCTCAGCCTCCATAACCATACCAGCCAATTCCTCATAATTAATTTCATTCTGTATATATTTCTATATCCTATTGGTTGTGTTTCTCTGGAGAACCCTGACAAATGCATTTAGGGAGAATTGACATCTTATACTACTGAGTTTTTCAATCTTGAATTGGTATTTCTCTCCACTTATTTAAGTCTTCTTTAATTGTTCTAATAAGACTTTGTGGTTTCCATTGTGAAGAAACAATTTATTCACCACCACTGTGATGGGGCAGAGGCCTTCCAGGGGTCAGAATACTAAGGCAGGAGCTTGATGGATGAGAAGTGCAATGAGGAAATTGCAAAAATATGGGCAGAAGAAATGATTAAAGGGTCCACTAGGTAAAGCAACAATTTCAAGAATTTTAAAGCAGAATAGCTGGGTGTATAAAGTTTCATCAATGGCAGGCAGCAAACAGCTGTGTGCCCTGCCAGCAACAGGGAAGCCAGGAACTCTGGAGCGTATTTATATGATGCAGCTTACCATGGACTGATGATTCAGCAGCAATTTTTCATGAGGAGGAAACTGTGATTGTTAACCGAGGTATGACAGTTGTCCTCTTTAAAAGCGAAGAACAGGCTGGGCTGAACTCAGGCCAAGTTTGCCTTCTGGGCTTTCCTTCCTTCTATCTTCCATTTCTGTAGCCCCTCCAGCCTGCTAGCATTTCCTCTTCAGCACCATCATATTTCTTCGGAAACTCCCCTTTGCCACCTGCATCTAGACCTGCTCCACAGCCCCATAAACGATCCCCAAATTATCTCCCTCCCTAGATCCTTCATCCATTCATATTTAGGATATTCAGGTGTTCAGAGAAGGAAGTGGTTAGGGGATGCAGTTAATACACATCCATGTATTAAATGACAGATAGCTAGGTGGGCATTTCTCAAATGAGGGTCCAAAGACATAATCGTAGAGATTTGAGAGGTCCGTGGGCATTTAGATAATAATAGCTAGTATTTATTGCATGCTTGTCATGTATCAGGTGCTGTTTGAAATGCTTTACATGTATTATTTGGTTTCACTATAACATTACAAAGCAGATGCCCTTATCTATATTTAACAGGTGAGCAAACTGAACATGTTCTTATTCCCATTAAACAGATGGGCAACCACGGAAAGGTTGATCAGCTCAAGGTTACACAGCTAAGAAATGACAGTATAAGGACTCAAATCCAGGCAGTCTGAGTCTAGAGCTAGTGCTCTCAACCCCAATGCTGTCATCTGGGGCTCAATTGAGCCTGGATGGTCCAAGATGCTGTCATGCATGTTTGGCAGTTAGCTGGGGCTGTTGGCTACGGCCTCCTCCTCCATTTGGTCTTTCCAGCAGGATACATCAGACTTCTTTATGCAGCAGCTGGATTCCAAAAGGTAAATGTCTTCGAGGCAATTTTTCCATGTGGAAAATTACCTTGATGCAATGGCAGCCTCCATGTATACACCTACAGGTCACGAAATAGATAGGCTTATAGGCCAAATTAAGAAGCTTAAATCACATTATCTGGTGGTTCTAAAACGTATCCTCAAAGGTTTTGGCATTACTCCTATTAAGATGTGGGGTTTATATCCCTTTCCCTTGAATAGGGGCTGGCCCTAGGGGTTGGCTTATAGCCAGTAGAATACAGTGGAAGTGATACTGTGTGACTTCCAAGGATAGGTCAGAAAACGCCACAAGCCTGCTTCTTTTTAGACATTCACTCTGGGGAAAGCCAGCTGTCTGGTGAGAAGATCACCATGCTGGAGTGGCTGTGTGAAAGTGCTCTGGTTCTCAGCCCCATTTGAGCTACCAGTCAGCCATGTCAGTGAGCCATCTTAGCTATTCAGCCCAGCTGAACTTTCAAATGACAGCAGTTGTGTTGAAATCTGATTGATACTACATAAACGACTCCAATAAAATAACTGTCCAAGTAAGTTCTTCCCCAATTTCTGAGCCTCAAAATTAAGAGCAAAATAAATTGGCTAATTAAACTACTAAGTTTTGGCATAATGTGTCTACCCAAAGAGCAGCAATAATAACCAGAAGAGTTTACCAACCAACATAAAACAGAGTGAGAAGCAAGGGGAAAGAGATAGGGTAGATTAATAAGCTTAGGATAGGCTGAAGGACCATAGCACCTAAATTCTGTTTTATGCAATGTTCTCATGTCTTATCCCTCTCCACCATCCAGTCTTCTCAGCACATAGTGTGGCTACAAGGACCAGACTGGAGAGTAAGTAAGGTGACTCAACAGACTGAAGGGGCCTGGGCTCAACATATGTCTGTTCTGTTACAGAGCTGAGGGGCAAGTGTGTCTGGTTATAATGGTAGCTGGCATTAGTTGGCTTTGTAGCTGGGGGTTTATCTGCTTTTCTTGGGAAGAGATTACATGAGGCCATAATAGCGTTACAATGGGTGTTACCAGTAGGTATGCAATTTAGGGATGACATGGCTGTAAATCTGAAGATAGTATGATCTGTACCTTATTAATACTTAAAAGTCCACTTTGTCTTTCTGCCTCTATCTAAAGCAGCATTTTCATTTGTTCCATCCTTTTTATCTATGTTCAACCCATATCCATTCATTCTATGTGTAACCTTTCTCATAAGTGACTTGCTTCTACATTTTAGTTTCTCTTGTTTTATAATAGAATTAAATATTCTATAGTAATATAGCAAAAGCATTACAGCAAACCCCAATGAGCAAACATGTATCATATCACGTTTATGATGTCCTCCTATTTATTGACCAAAACAAGTCAAATAGCCAAGCCCACAGTCAATGTAGAGGTGGACCACACAACGGAGCGGATAATAGAAGGTGTAGTTCATTGGGGATCACTACTATAACAATCTAATACTAACACATAGTTAGGAGACGGTTGATCCAGGGATCGAACTTTCCACAGTCTGTCTCTGGAGGCTACACACTAAACTACTATTCTGGAGGTGGTTGGGAATGGGTTCTTACTGAAGAACTTTTTTCAAACCTCACTTCCCAGGTCTGGGGCCTGTGATCCACCCCAGTGAATCAGAATATCTTGGGGGTAGGAAATTGTGGGGGGGATGGGGTGGTACTCCCATGAGCCTGAGACTGAAATAGCTCTGCAGAGGATTCCAGTGCACACTAGGGAATGAAGGGGGTTTCAAAGACAAGGAAGATATACTTTATGCACTCAAAAAGCTTTCATTTCCACAGAGAGCATTCTTAATTGTTGTTATTACATCACAGAGGCATCACCTTGGAATTTAAAAAAGAAGCGATTCCTTTCAATGTTTAAGAGACATCAGTGTTTCTCAAGCTTTCGTGTGTGTTATTACTGGAGGGCTTGTTAAAACCCACATGACTGGGTCCAATGTCTACGTTCTGATTCAGGAGGTGTGAAGTGGGGTCCACTATTTCTCACGTCTAAAAAGCTCTGGGACACACTTTGAGAACCAGAGTTAGAGAAGTAGGAGGCTTTAGTGGTAACAATCCTCCATTATTCAGTTTAATATTCTACTTACATGTAGCACATTTACTACCTACAAGTTTCCGGGCTGAGTGCAGCACTGTTTATGATAAGGATGGGATTTAGATCTTGATTACGCTCCAGCAGATTTATTAAGTGGATTTATTCTCTAAGGGTGCCTAAGCGTCATTAGACAGGTTCAGATAAAGCAGAGATCTCCTCCCTTAGAAGAGATTAGGGACAGCTTAATGAAGTAGGAGACCTTTCACCTGGGCCTTGAAAGATGCCTAGGACCTGGATCAGGGGAAATCGTGGACAATCAAATTATTCTTCCCGCTTTAGCACAGAGACAAAAAAATCACAAGCAACCACTAGGAAAGGTCTATGACATTCTTGCCTCTGCCTCTAGCATTAACAATTTGCATGCCAGCTGCTGGAATCTGAACGGGGAGGACTGTTCTCGTGTCAAGGGCTCAGTCTCAGACCCTCCTTGGGCAGGGGTGGAACTGGCTTCGCTTTCTCTTTGGGGCGCCCAGAGCGACTGCATTAGAGCCGGCCTGCTCGGCCGAAGCGGCGGTGGGCGCTGACTTGGCGAAGGGCGCAGCTGGGGCGCTTCGTTCCGGAGCAGAGCGCCGTGATCCCGTCGGGGCTGGGGTGGCAGCGCAGCTCTCCGCCTGTCCAGAGCGGGGCCGCACGCCGGGGCACCTTTCAGAACAAGCTCCAGATGTGGCCCCAGGTTGGGGGCCGGGTGGCAGCTGTACTACCCTGGCGGGCGAGGGGTCCAGAGCTCGTTTTCCCTATTCCGATCTGTAGGTTTAACGCCAGCACAGGGTGGCGCACCCTACCTCCTTCCACCTTCACGCACCAGCGCGGGAGGGGACGCGTGTGCACGCTCCTCCCCTAGGAGGGAGGGCGGCCCGAGAGCCTGCAGACTGCGCCTGCGCAGCCTCGCTCACACACCTCCCCGCCCCCCCGCACCTCCTTCCCCTTTCGCCCCGCCCCGTTCCCACTTCTGCTGCCGCTAGGGGTAGCGGCGGCGGCGGCGGCTGCGGCTCGGGAGCGCGGCTGCTTTGAGGGCTCGGGAACCTTACAGAGTGGGGACGTGGGGAGGCTAGAGGGTGAGAAAGCTGGCGGGAGAGTAGGGCGGCGCTGGAGGAGGGCGGTGCGTGGCTGACTCATCCTCTGGAAGATCAGACTGACAGAGACACACACTAGCCCGCCCCGCCCGCCCGCGCCGCTCCTCCTCAGCCGGGAGGCGCCCGCCCGCACCGACCGCCCGCCCTCTCCGGGCGCTGTCCGGGCCCGGCCGTCTCAGAGAAAGTTTTTCCCATCGGAGGGGCGGGAGCCGCCGCGGGCCTTTTGGAAAGGAAGTGGGGACGGAACAGGAGGCGAGAGCCGCGCGGGCCCGCGGAGTGCATGGTGCCCGGCGCCTCGGCTGCCTGGCAGGAGGACCTCGGGGCGGGGTCGAGCTGAGCCCAGCTCCTTCTCGCCTCAGCCGCGCCAGAAACCGCCTTGCCGGACGGCCGCGGGGGTCCCAGCTCCTCAGCTCGCCATGTCCCGGCTGCTGCCGCTGCTGAGGAGCCGGACCGCGCGCAGCCTGAGGCCGGGCCCGGCCGCCGCCGCCGCGCCCCGCCCGCCGTCCTGGTGCTGCTGCGGGCGGGGGCTGCTGGCGCTCGCGCCCCCCGGCGGCTTGCCGGGCGGCCCCAGGCGGCTGGGCACGCACCCCAAGAAGGAGCCCATGGAGGCGCTGAACACGGCGCAGGGCGCGCGCGACTTCATCTACAGCCTGCACTCCACGGAGAGGAGCTGCCTGCTCAAAGAGCTGCACCGCTTCGAGTCTATTGCCATTGCCCAAGGTAAGGGGGGCAGGTGGGGGGCGAGCCCGGGGGCCCCGACGCCCTCCTCTTCTCGCCAGCCCACCGGGAGCCCGCTGCGGCCCTGGATCTTGGACCCCCGCCGCCGCCCCCCTTCCGCCCCCCTCGCCTGTCTGGCCCCACGCCTGGGACGGCTGGGGGCGGGGAGACTTTCCGCCGCCCGAGTTTCCCCCAGGCAGGTAGGACGGGCGCGGGTCGTGCCAGGCAGCCGAGGCCAGCGCTAGCTACTTCCTCCCCAGCCTCCGAATCCGGAGCTTCGGCCTAAAATGCCAGTTAACGCTGTTGGGATTGAGTTTTGATTTGCCCCGTGCCTCCCCTCCCCAGCCCTCCTGTCCCTTAGCCCTTGCTGCTTTCTTGCGAGCGTGCACCCGTGCAGGTGGCATGCTGTGCCTGCTCCGAGAAAGTGCTGCAAACCCGCCTGGCAGGAAGAAACTTTTTGAACGGTTATCAAATGAAGACGTATGGGTGGGTAGCCAAAAGAAGGGGTGTAGCTTCGAAAGTCAGGGATGCTCATAGCTGCTTGTTTCCACACATGTCTGATTGCGTTAATTTCAGCAGCCAAAGGAAACATTTTCTCCAGAAATGGAAAGACAGATTCAAGTTAAACTCCAGTTTTGGTTTTTCCCAGAGGTTGAAAGAATGAAATAAATAAGGAGGTATATTTTTTGGAAATCTGTGGCTCTGTAGTAAAAGTCAGACTGATGCTCAAAAGTAATTGGGAATGATGAAAGCAAAACGATTTTTAAACTAGCATGTTAAAATAGGATATTTCTAAAAGGAGTCCAGAATGGGGTAGGGCAGAATTTGAGTCTAGGTGAAAAAGCTAAAAGTTCAGAAAATAAAAAGGATGAAAGGAGCAAACGACTAAAATGGATGTCTTAAAATATTTCTGCCACTTAAATACAGTTATGTAAACAAAACACATTGCTTCAGTTTGTATTACATTCTGATGTGTTTGAAAGTTTTAAAAAAGTTTACTCTCCTCTCTAAACTTGGTAGGTACATAAACATCTCATAGATTCCAAAGTGTAGAGCACATTGATTCGGATCATGCCATTTGATTTGCCAGACTTGAAAGTATATCTTTAGCTGATGTGCAGGAATGGAGGAAAGAATTATCTACCTCATGTAAGCAGGACGTTATCTGTACTACTTCAGAAACTTGTTTTAGTTGTGGCTTTTAATCAGATGTTTTCCCCCTCAGTTCAGGAAATTGTGGACCAATTTATAGTGGATGATTGATTCCAGACATTGTTTACCCACAGTGCTTTTACAGGAAAATGTAACGTCCGATCAATTCCGTTATTCAATGTGTAATCATGATGTTATATGCAATCATAATGAAACACTAGCACATTTGTAATCTATGTGTGCACTCAGTATGCAGTTTAAAAATAGTCAATTCTGAAAATATGCTCCTTGGAAAAATAATATAGTCAGTCATGTACTAGAACATTAACTTTTGAATCTTTCTGCACTGACAAGACTATTTGAACACACATTTTACCTTTTCCAAGTAATTTCTTGGAAATTCTGCATTGTCAACAAGTTACAAGATTGGAGGGCCCTATGAATATAGTTTTGTGGCAGTTCTTGAAAAACATGTCCTGCAAGGTGACTGAATAATTTTTTTCTCATACATTATTATTTTTTACATGCCAGCAGTATTGCAGTAGCAATGCTACATTTCCTAATAAAGATAATATTTTTAAATTTAACGTGGTTTTAAATATTCTGAAAAGGACCTAAGCACTTTAGTCAATGGAGATCATTAGCATCAATTAAACTTAGTTATGTTACTAATATGAGAGAGAAATTAGTAATTTAAATTGTCTTCTTTGCTCAGGAGAAACAGTCAAGGATATTTGAAACAATGGTTAGTCAGATGCTTATCTCTCCTCTTTATATGCTAAAGAACATCAAAGTTTAAATCAGCTATTTTTGCTGATGTCGATGACAAAATGATTGTCCTATGAATCAAATGACACAGATGCTGCTGCTTTGTTAGTGTATGTAGTCTTGGTGTTCACTTACTGTTTTCAGTATCAATACATATAGTTATGGAGATAACTAGAATCATCACTTAGGAAATTACCTTATTCATTAATCATTAAGGTAAAAGGGATTTTATTATGTTGGGAATGCGTACAGCTCATTCCATTGCTGAAATCAACAATTTTTTTCCAGCCAGATAAATGAAAAACTCCCATGTTTTCTTTTATTGTTGCTTTTTGAATAATGTTTTGAAGTACTCAACCGATGTATTGTGTGTGTGTACTAAGTGTACTTTCTAACAAAATTAATTCTATTTAAAGGGCTATTTCTTGCCATAGGCAATCTTGTGTGTCTTTGGAAAGGGTGCTTGTATAAACTAATGAAGTGTTTTGGATTTGGTATGGAAATGTTACTGAAAAAATATCATCCATGCTTTGATATGGCAGTGGAATCTGCTGTTGAAATTTGGCACATTTGCCCTTATCTTTCTTATATGTTTATCAGTAGGCATGTGATATAATCTGTGATGAGATAAAGCTTTGGAATCAGTTCGTAATAGATAAGGCAGACCTTGTGGGATATCTTATCATAGTTAAATAGAATATTGTGATTTTTAAAATTACAAACCAATTTCTTTCCCAATTTAAAAAAAAGTTGAGTTTGCGCCTTCAATTTACCTGCTCAGCCTGATCTCTCTTCTTCCAGAAACAGACCATATTCTGCTGATAGAGCATTATTCATGTTTTTACAAGTAGTACTGGCAAGCTGACATTATTACAGTGGCCTTTCAATGTTAGCCAAAATTTTTAAAACAAATTTTCTTCCCAATTTTTGTAATTAATATTTCCATTTATAATTATTTTTTAAAGCTTTTAAAATATAGCAATTTGGTATTGAAAAATAGACAGTGCTCATTGTATTAGTTATCCATTGCGGTATAACAAATTATCCTAAAACACAGTGGCTTAAAACAAGCATGTATTAACTCATAATTTCTGAGGCTCAGGAATGCTATAGCATCTTAGTTGAGTATTTCTGGCCCAGGATCTTAAGAAGTTGAAATCAAGCTCTCAGCTGGGGTGGCATCATCTGAAGTCTTAACTGGGGCTGGAGGATCCATTTCCAAGAAGTCTCACTCACATGGCTGTTGGCTGGATGTCTCAATTCCCTCCCATGTGGTCCTCCACAGGGCTGCCTGAGTATTCTCATGACATGGCAGTGGGTTTCCTCTAGAGCAAGTGATGAGAGAGCGAGAGAGCAAGAGAGAGCGAGTGTGTTTGCAAGACAGCACCTGTGGGCACCTAAGCTGGAAGCCACAGACTTTTATAACACAGTCTTAGTAGTGACAGTCCATCTCTTTTGTCCTGACACATTGTGGGAGAGTACTACAGAAGGTGTGAATACAAGGGAGTGGGAATCATCGGGGGTACATCTTTGAGGCTGGCTTCCACACTTATTTAAGGTGGTGTAATTAATGCTCATCAGAGAGTTACACAGAGAGACAAGAACTGGCTATTGGAGAGGTAAAATGAGAGATATGTTTTGAAAAAAGGAGCCTCTTAGGGAATATTTTTGTTATAATATGTATACTATAAGCCACAGACTTTTAAAACGCAGTCTTCGAAGTGACAGTCCATCTCTTTTGTCCTGACACATTGTGGGAGAGTACTACACAAGGTGTGAATACAAGGGAGTGGGAATCATCGGGGGTACATCTTTGAGGTTGGCTTCCACATTATTTAAGGTGGTGTAATTAATGCTCATCAGAGAGTTTACACAGAGAGACAAGAACTGGCTATTGGAGAGGTACAATGAGAGATATGTTTTGAAAAAGGGAGCCTCTTAGGGAATATTTTTGTTATAATATGTATACTTAAGATATTTAAAAAATGAGATTGTTTTTACATATAGCAAATAAAAGATGTATTGAGGTGAACAGAGCAGTTTTTCTATCAATGTTAGGTCTCAATTAGCTTGCATTTTTTGATTACTCTATGTGAGTGGTAATTGTGTGCTTTTGACATTTTTTACCATTTATCTACGTCTGTATACATTAACCAAATAATTCTAAACTTTAATCTTGTAGTCCCCCATTTTTTGTGATTGTTTAAGGTAGGGTGAAGAGCTTTGTTTTGAGAACTTGCCATATAGTATAAGAGGACGTTGACAAAATGAAAGACTGAAAGATAAAGAGCTTATACTAAATTGAGTATCTAAAACACTTAAAAATAAATTAGGCTTTCTTATGGAATCCCTGTTCACTAGAGATCTTGGACCTTTAACAAGATTATCCTTATTTTTTTTCAGCCCATTGCTCAGGATTATGTGAGAAAATAGAAATTCTTTTCTTAAATTTTTTTTATTTTTTGAGACAGAGTCTCACTCTGTTGCCCAGGGTGGAGTGCAGTGGTGCGATCTCAGCTCAGTGCAACTCCATCTCCCAGGTTCAAGCGATTCTCCTGCCTCAGCCTCCTGAGAAGCTGGGATTACAGACATGCACCACTGTGATTGGCTAAGTTTTGTATTTTTAGTAGAGGTGGGGTTTCACCATGTTGGCCAGGTTCATCTCGAACTCCTGACCTCAGGTGATCCACCGAGCTTAGCCTTCCAAAGTGCCGGGATTACAGCTGTGAGCACCGTGCCTAGCCTAAATATAAATTATTTTAAGCTATGAGCCTCTGGAATGGATTGGGAATAGTTTGCTTTTGTCCAATAAGAAAAAGGGCAAGAAAAACATTTTATACTGCAAATAAAGATACGTGAATAAAGATATTTCAGTGCCTTTGTTGAGATAGTAAAAAGGAATAAGGGAAGTATAGCCCCACCTAGGCCCGGCAAGAGGGGAAGAACAAGGACGTGGATAAGAAGTATGAATTGAGGCAAGAGGAGTGAGAGATCTCTGATGAGCCATGGGCTTCTATAAGTTGAGTTACACTCAGTTAAATGAAGCTTTGCTACAATCAGTTATTTTACCAATATGGAAAGAACCTAATTACAGTAGTATATTTCAGCAAGCTTAATTCTGAGTTCTTTAGAGTTACGGGGTATGTTGGAATGGTCTTATTACTAGGGATTACTGCCAGTAGAAGACAGATAATCAAGTAATCAAGTAAAGTTTTTTTTTTTCCATTATGAAAGGCATATATGCTGTTTAACAGTGTTTAATCATCACTTACATATAACATGTCCAGAGTTACGTGTGACTTCAAATAACAACCCTTCTATCATAGCTCATGATTTTGTGGATCAAGAATATAGGCAGTTGCAGGTACAGAGTTCATAGGAAATAAAAAAATAAAATTGAAAAAAAAAGGATATAGGCAGGGCTCAGCTGGATGCTGTTTCTTATGGTATCTATGGAGGTCATTACATAAACTTTGGCTGGCTGATGGTCTGGTCAGAAGGTCCAACATCGGTTTGTTTATGTGTCTGGTACTTTGGTGGATGGCTGGAGGGCTGGCCTCAACTGGAACTGTTGACCCAAGGAGATGGATGTGGCCTCACCAGCATGACAATGTTAGCATGGTTGTAATACTTAGGTCAGGGATCCCAGAGAAAATGTTCCAAGGGGGCTGGGTAGAAGCTGTAAGACTTTGTATTAGTTTTCTTTCTCTTTTTTGAGACGGAGTCTCGTGCTGTCACTCAGTCTGGAGTGCAGTGGTGTGATCTTGGCTCACTGCAACCTCTGCCTCCCGGGTTCAAGCGATTCTCCTGCTTCAGCCTCCCTGAGTAGCTGAGACTACAGGCACACACCACCACACTTGGCTAATTTTTGTATTTTTAGTAGAGGTGGGGTTTTGCCAGGTTGGCCAGGCTGGTCTGGAACTCCTGACCTCAAGCAATCCTCCTGCCTCGGCCTCCCAAAGTGCTGAGATTACAGGCGTGAACCTCCACGCCCGGCCTGTATTAGTTTTCTATTGCTGCTGTAACACCACAAATACAGTGGCATAAAACAACATATTCTCTTAGAGTTGTCAAAGTACAAAGTCCAAAATAAGTCTTAAAGGACTAAAATCAAAGTGTCAGCAAGGCTCTGTCCTTCTAGAGAGTCCAGGGCAGAATGTATTCTTTGCTTCTTTCATCTTTTGGGATTCCTTGGTTCCTGGACACATCACTAAAATCTCTGCTCCCTCATTGACCTTTTTGCCTCCCTATTATAAGAACCCTCATGATTATATTTAGGTTTTACCTGGATAATCCAGGATAATCTCACTCTCTCAAAATCCTTAATTTAATTACACTTGCAAAATTCTTTTTGCCATATAATGTAACATATATACAGGTTAGGGAATTAGAATGTGGGATATCTTTGGGGGCCATTATTCATCCTACCACAGACTTGTTATGACCTAGCTTTTGAAGTTCCAGAACATTATTTCTGCTGCATGTAATGGTCAAGCAAGTCACTAAAACCAGTTCAGATTCAAGGGAAGGGAAATTAAAAGGAGGACAGAAAGGTGATTCCTTATCAGACTCTTCACCTCTCTATTAAATAAACTTTTGGGTAATTGTTTTCCTTGATTGTGTTGTCTCTTCACTTCTAAATTCTTGACTAAATTGTAAATATTAGAAATTTGGGAAATATGGCTTCCAGGTAAGTCAAACACTTATATGTATAGTTTAATTTATCAGTAATTAATTTGCTGTTTTTCACCTTAATAGTCATTTATTGCCTATTTTTTATTTGTGACAAATTGTTATGATCAAATTTGTGGATAGGAAAATTGAAGTAATATAAAGTCAGCAATTTATAGGGTCATCCAGAGGGTCAGGTGGAACTACAGATCACGATCTTGAAAGTTTGAGATGATGTGATATTTTGCCATTATTAGTGGAGATTGTTTTCATTTTTCTAAAAATAGTGATGAGTTTGCATAACCACACTCTTGTCTGGTTTCCTTTGGTGTGTCTGGGTATAAAATAACTTGAACAAATAGGGACTAAATCCTTGAGTGTAGATTTTATTAGCATCTTGCCCAAGTCATCTGAATTAGTTAGTATGTAGCTTTACAGGACTGTAGCCTTGTCTTTGACTCACAGGTTTATGTCTGCTTTAAGTAAAGGAAAACACATAAAAACAAGTAGTTATATATTAAAATTACCTCAGACAGACAATAAGAGGTAAGAGTAAATAAGAGGTTCTTGTAGATAAAAGACTGTAGGTAACAAAATCATTTCTCCTAAGCTCTGAGACATTTACTTTGATTGCTTTTGATGATAAAATATTTGAACATATTGCATTTTTTATCTGCCTTAGTAAAAATATAATGAGCATAATTTAGCTTCTACCAGATGTCGGAGTCCTTATATACTATATTTTAATACAATAAGTTTCTTTGAGGTTACTTCTATTTGTAGACATGCTAATCATTACACCAAATGCCTCCAGAACACTGCTGTTTCAGTTGGCATGCTTTTTAGACTCTGTCATAGTGGTAGTGAAATGTGCTGGGCTTAGTCTGCCCCTCCCTCCTCCTCAGTGCTCTCAGACTTTTCTACTCTATTCTCATTCATTCCTTGTAGTTATGGTAAACTCTTTTCTGCTGTGTAAGGAGGTCTGCTTCATGACATCCTGTTATTGTTTCTAAAGTCTGATTTTACTTCTGCCAATTGTCACTCTTCCATTGTGTTTAATTTTCTTCTTTTTCCTGTCTTTTTACTTCCTCCCTTTGCTTTTCAGCAGGGTTTAATCTTGATAGACATTTCAAGGATCACTGTTCTCTTTTGTGTTTTCAGCTAACTAGTTGCATCTATCACATTATTATTGATTTTTGACTCTAGCTCTTGTACTAAAGATCTTTCTTTGATAATATCCCTCATAATAGGTTTTATAGTAGATTCTACTGCAAAGGCTATGGTTGCACAACAAAATCCTTTACATTCTCTTACTAAAGTTGTACTAGATAATAGAATTGCTCTAGATTACCTACTGGCTAAGTGGGGAAGAATCTGTGCAGTTGTTGATACTTCTTGTTTTTTTTTTTTTTTTTTTTTTTTTTTTTTTGAGACGGAGTCTCGCTCTGTCGCCCTGGCTGGAGTGCAGTGGCGGGATCTCGGCTCACTGCAAGCTCCGCCTCCCGGGTTCACACCATTCTCCTGCCTCAGCCTCCCAAGTAGCTGGGACTACAGGCGCCCGCCACTACGCCCGGCTAATTTTTTGTATTTTTAGTAGAGACGGGGTTTCACCGTTTTAGCTGGGATGGTCTCGATCTCCTGACCTCGTGATCCGCCCGCCTCGGCCTCCCAAAGTGCTGGGATTACAGGCGCTTCTTGTTTTACATGGATGTCTACATCAGGTATTATGGAGATTCAGTTGTAGGGGATTAATGAACAGGCTGCTTGGTTGAAAATGCATCAGAATTAAGCAGTTAACTGTGGAAATGACTTAAAATGGTCATGGTTAAAGACACAATTGACAAGAAAATTTGGTTATTTCTGTGGCCTACAATAATTAATTTAAAATAATCACCATAATTAGGACTGATAACATACCAAGACACACCAGAATTTTAGGAGGCTTATACAATTTTGGACTATATATTAGTAACATATCCATAAACTATAACTCAAAGAAGATTAAACATCATTTCTTATTTGACAATGCTTCCCATGTAATTTAACTTACCAGATAAGCTTGTTTCTTATCTCTCTCTTGGATGCTGCAAGGACCCTCTGTGTAACGTCTCAAAGTTAGTTTGAGGTCAAAAGACTAAACTTTCAATTTGAAATTTGATTTTGGAAGTGCATCAAATTTGTCAAAGATTTAACGCACTTAATCAAAATAGGATCAAAGATCACTGTAAAATAATTGTCATACCTTTAGCCAAAGTGGTAATTAAAAGGTTTTTAAAAGCAAAACCATTTATTCTTCGATAGAGGATTGACTCTATTTTCCACACAATCAGAAATCCTAATAGATAGCATGAGATGGAATCTGTCTCTCCTCTCCCCTCTTTCTTTTTTTGCAGTTTACTTAAAAGGTAAACAAACACATTTACTCTTTCTTTCTTCTTAATACTACACAAAATTCTTGTTCAAAAGAGAAAACCAAATTTTACTTTTGTATTAGTATATTACCAATACTAAAACTACAGCTAATTTTATTAAAAGCTTATAAACAAATTGGATTTTCATAAACCTTTTATAATCTCTTAGCATTTTTTCTATTTTTTTTTTTTGAGACAAGAGTCTTGCTCTATCACCAAGGCTGGAGTGCAATAGCATGATCTTGGCTCACTGCAACCTCCACCTCCTGGGCTCAAGCGATTCTCATGACTAAGCCTCCTGAGTAGCTGGTACTACAGGCGTACACCACCATGCCTGGCTGATTTTTGTATTTTTAGTAGAGACAGGGTTTCGCTATGTTGGCCAGGCTTGTGTTGAACTCCTGACCTCAAGTGAACCACCAGTCTCTGCCTCCCAAAGTTGTGGGATTACAGGCATGAGCCACTGCGACCAGCCAATTTTTTCTATTCTCTTTCTTTTTCCACCTTGCTATATTAATTTAGTTTTATCTGTATCTTTTAAAAAATTCCTTCATTTTGAAACAACCTTCAAATATCTTCTAAACTAGATAGATGAAATTATTTTTTCTCAGCAAATACACATTTTCATGCTTTTTACAACTTTCCTTATCAAAAACATATCTTGGCCTGGCACAGTGGCTCATGCCTGTAATCCCAGCACTTTGGGAGGCCGAGGCGGGTGGATCACCTGAGGTCAGGAGTTTAAGACCAGCCTGGTCAACATGGTGAAACCCCGAATCTACTAAAAGTACAAAAAATTAGCTGAGCGTGGTGACGGGTGCCTGTAATCCTAGCTGCTTGGGAAGCTGAGGCAGGAGAAGTGCTTGAACCCAGGAGGCAGAGGTTGCAGTGAGCCGAGATCCTGTCGTTGCACTCCAGCCTGGGCTATAAGAGCGAAACTCCATCTCAAAAAACCCTCCAAAAAACCGACAAAAAAAATCTTGCTTTTTAAAAATTATTTATTTATTTTTTATTTTTTTGAGATGGAGTTTTGCTCTGTTGCCCAGGCTGCAGTGCAGTGGCGCAATCTCCGCTCACTGCAACCTCTGCCTCCCGGGTTCAAGCAATTCTCCTGCCTCAGCCTGCTGAGTAGCTGGGATTACAGGTGCATGCCACCATTCCCGGCTAATTTTTGTATTTTTTAAATAGAGACGGGGTTTTCACCTTGTTGGCCAGACTGGTCTCGAACTCCTGACCTCAAGTGATTCACCCGCCTCTGCTCCCAAAGTGCTGGGATCACAGGTGTGAGCCACCGTGCCCGGCCCAAAATCTTGCTTTTTTTTAAACACTCTGTATACAGACTTGTTTCCTCTTATATCTAGTAGTTTTAATTATATATATTAACTTATTAACTACAGGATTTTTTTTTTTTTTTTTCGTGAGACAGAGTTTCGCTCTTGTTGCCTAGGCTGGAGTGCAATGGCGCAGTCTCGGCTCACCGCAACCTCTGCCTCCCTGGTTCAAGCCATTCTCCTGCCTCAGCCTCTGGAGTAGCTGGGATTACAGGCGCCCACCACTACGCCCAGCTTATTTTTTGTATTTTTAGTAGAGACAGGGTCTCGCCATGTTGGCCAGGCTGGTCTTGAACTCCTGACCTTGAGTGACCTACCCGCCTCGGCCTCCCAAAGTGCTGGGACTACAGGTGTGAGCCACTGTGCCCGGCCTACAGTTTTAACTCTTAGTAGCCTTAATGTCTAGCGAAAACCTGTGAAGTTGTCTTGAACTGTTTTGTATCAGTATTTGTAAATGAAAACCATTTTGCATTTTTTTAGAAAGATGTTTTCTCAATTTTTTTGTTTATTAACAGATCTAAGTATACTTAACCTTTCTGTGCCATATGAATGAATTATATATAACTGACAATTCAGAAGCCAGTCCTATTTAATTTTACTAACAATTTAAAAACTAGTTTTATTTATCAAATATTAACACATAGACACACAGAAGCAGATCTTACAGCTTTCATAAATAATTTTCATTTGCTGGCTTTTAAATAATTTTTTTTCCCCATTCTACTACCAATCTTCCAATTATCTGTTTCATTGCCCTAAGCAATTGTTAGCTGGGCAACCCTAAATTTGCATTTTCAAAGGGATGGCTCTTAGATGAAACGAGGTAGAAAATTTATATCTCCAAAGCACAGAGCTGAGATTTCAGGCCTAAATAATTAATTGTATAATCATTTGCCCAAACCAAGGAAGAAGGTTGTTGGTAAAGGCCCAGCTAAGGCAAGAGAGCCAGGAAAAGCACCTTAAACAAAGGTTAGATTTGTTTTGTGAATTCAAACCAATGGTAAGAGTTTCTAGTGACTCAGTTCTCCCTCTCTTCCTGGTGCACAGAGGCAGACACCCTTACAAATGGAGATTTTTTTTTTTTTTTTTTTTTTGTGACAGAGTCTCCCTCTGTCACCTAGGCTGGAGTGCAGTGGTGAGATTTAGGCTCACTGCAACCTCTGCCTTCTGGGTTCAAGCGACTCTCCTGCCTCAGCATCCTGAGTAGCTGGGGCTGCAGGCGCGCGCCACCATGCCCGGCTAATTTTTTGCATTTTTAGTAGAGACTGAGTTTCACCATGTTAGCCAGGATGGTCTTGATCTCCTGACCTCGTGATCTGCCTGCCTCGACCTCCCAAAGTGCTGGGATTACAGGCGTGTGCCACTGTGCCTGGCCGAGATTTTTTTTTATAGATGTAAATTTCTTTTTCAGAAGAGTTTCAAAATAGCCAGCTACATGCCAGAAAGGTATGTCTTGAAGACTTATTTAGTTGAATAGGCAGTCTTTTTAACTTAGCTACTGTTTCCTAGCTGAAATTATTGAGTTTAGGGTGAAGGCCATTAAGGAAAAGGGCAAAGAAAGCGTTCTCTGCGCCTAGACTCAATATGATAGCTCTGAAAAAGAAGCAAGGCTACTTTACCTGAGGTCCTAACTTTTATAAACACTTTATCTAGGATAGCTTTCTTTTAGCCTTTAGTGTGGTATAATTACTAAGCCAAAAGGTTAGCAGATTTAATTTTCGTTATCAATTAGTTGTTTAAGCTTTTTATTTGCCCTTTATAGTCTTTTTCCTTTTTTTTTTTGAAACAGAGTCTTGCTCTGTTGTCCAGACTGTAGTGCAGTGGTGTGATCTCAGCTCGCTGCAGCTTCTGCCTCCCAGGTTCAAGCCTCCCTTGTGCTTCAGCCTTTTGAGTAGCTGGGATCACAGGCGTGTACTACCATGCCTAGCTAATTTTTATATTTTTAGTATAGATGAGGGTTCACCATGTTGGCCAGGCTGGTCTTGAATTCCTGGCTTCAAGGGATCTGCCTGCCATGGTCTCCCAATGTGCTGGCATTACAGGCATGATCTTACAGTCTTTAAAAAGAGGCAGTAAAAATGTTGAAATCTTTTTTAGAAACTTCTGCACATCAATAGACATCGTTGGATGAGACTAATTGAGGATTCCTCACTTTCAAATGTACTGAATTACCTTTAGTAAGATTTTGCTATCTCTTTAAGTGTTTGCTGCTTCCAGGGCTTAATATTTATACATGTATAGGTAGGCATAGCCGGAAGGTGGAGTACTCAGTTCTTCAGAAATTAAGGATCTCATCTATTTGGCTTTGGCTCTTGGATCACCTTGATCAATTTAAACAGTGATTTTTCCCTACGTAAGGGTGAAAGAAAAAGAAACAAATGGGGTAGAACACAAAAATTCCTCTGAATTTCCAAAAGCCAAAGCTTGCATCCCCGGCAGTGTTGCCATTTACTACCAGTTTCTGTCTGACCCAGTCAGACATCTGAGGCCTCTAACTGGATCCAGGCCAGTTAATGATTAGATCCAATTCTGTCCTGGACCCAGTCCAGTTTCTGTCACAACTTCCAAATTCAGTTCAGATAAAAAAAATTGCTCAAACTCAGATAGCTCAAAACATACATCCATGGAGCTTTGGAATCCTAGAGAGAAGCACCCCATTTGCTGCGAGAGAGCAGTAGACACAATGGATCCTGTGGGTACCTCACTTGGCCGCTTGTTTCTGGGGGTTGCTGGGAGCTCGACTTTGGATCGCACTTCTGACACCATCTGTTAAGGGAAAACTTGAGACAAATTTAACAGAGTTTATTTGAGCAAAGAATGATTTAAGAGTTGGGCAGCCCCTGAACCAGAATAGATTCAGAGCCACTCTGGTGTTGTTGCATGGTCAGAGAGGATTTATGGATGGAAAAAGGAAAGTGACTTATGGAAAATGGAAGTGAGGTGCAGAAGCAGGCAGATTGGTTGCACCTTGACATATGCCTTATTTGAATGTGGTTTGAACAGTTTGCTACCTATGAATGCATTGGAGTATGGCTGCTGTGATTGGCTGAGACTCGGCTATTTGTTAGAAGAGTAGATTATGACCTGTTTACATACCTGCTTGGGTTATAGTTCATTATGTATATGGAGAAACCTTCAGGCTTAAAATATGTAAGGAGGCAGCATTAGGCTAAACTTAATTTAAAAACACCATGTTCACTACCATTACTTACCAATTATTGAATACTTGTTGTGTGCCAGACATAATGAGCTGAGTTTTTATGTGATTATTTTGTTTACTTCTCTTGGAGGGAGAAGGAATTATCTCTATTTTATAGATTAATATACTGATGCGAAGATTAGCTTGCCCCAAATCCTTCAACCAGTGTGTCAGAGTAGAGTCAATAACAGCTTTGGCTGGGCACAGTGGCTCATGCCTGTAATCCCAGCATTTTGGGAGGCCAAGGTGGATGGATCACCTGAAGTCAGGAGTTTGAGACCAGCCTGGCTAACATGGCGAAACCGTGTCTCTACTGAAAATACAAAAACTAGCTGGGCGTGGTGGCAGGTGCCTGTAATCCAAGCTACTCAGGAGGCTGAGGCAGGAGAATCATTTGAACCTGGGAGGCGGAGGTTGCAGTGAGCTGAGATCATGCCATTGCACTCCAGCCTAGCAATAAGGGTGAAACTCCATCTCAAAAAAAAAAAAAAAAAAGATAAAAAAGTAAAAATATATATAAAAAAAAAGGTTTGTCTGACTCCAACCTCTCTTCCTACTTACTACTTACTGCCCCTCTCTGGATACTTATATCCAGGATTTTAAACACATGGGGAAAATAACACCTCATGGTCAATAAAAGTTTAATTTTTAAACTAACTGGATGTACTGGTAACATATCTTAGTCTCCTGTATCTCCTGTGTGTTTGCATAATATGCACCATTCAATACAAAAGCAAATATGGTATTCTTACTTTGAAAATAAGGGGAATCAATGTGCAAAAAAGTTAATATATAGTGTGAAAAGTTTGGAAAAGTCAGAAAGCTAGTATTTAGGATTTGTAACTCATAAATCTCTAACCTTTAGTTTTCCTTTAGATTTTGGAAGATTTTTTATATTTGTTTTCAAAATGAATTCCTAACTCGAATGACTTTTTAAAACGAAATCTAACATTTAACCTATAGGAAAGCTCTCCAGACTTTGAGTTCATTTTCAGCTTTACTGGGTATTGTGAGATAACTATATAAAGATATTTAGTAATTAATTGTATATATCAACTCTGGAGCTCCAGAGTAAGAGTCAAGTTTGGGACTTCTACCCATATAGGTAGTAACTAGGGCTAGGCAGTATAAATAGAGTGATAGGAGAAGATCCCAGGAGAAAATGCTGAAAAACACCAGTGTTTATTGGAAGAGAACAGGAAGAAGAACAAGAACTAGAAAGAGAGAGAGGAGTAATGTCCAGAGAGACAGGAAAAAAAAAAAAAAGATATCCTAGAAGCTAAGGGTGGAAGAGGCATTTCAAGAAAGAGGGAATAAGACCAGGAACGGTGGCTCACACCTGTAATCCCATCACTTTGGGAGGACGAGTTGGGAGGATTGTTTGAGTTCAGGAGTTTGAGACCAGCCTGGACAACATGGTAAAACCCCGTCTCTACTAAAAATACAAAAATTAGCTGGGTGTGATGGTGCAAGCCTATGGTCCCAGCTACTTGGGAGGCTGAGGTGGGAAGAACACTATAGCCTGGGAAGCAGAGGTTGCAGTGAGCTGAGATCACGCCATTACACTCCAGCCTGTGTGACAGAATGAGACACTGTCTCAAAAAAATAAAAATAAAAAAAGAGTGATCTGATGCTTTAGATAGGTCAAGTAAGAGGAATATTGGGGCTGAGGTGTGTGTGGGGTCCATTAGATTTAATAACGTGAAAGAGATTGATGTCTTTGTCAGAGCAGTTTTAATGATAGCTATGTGAGGAGAAGCCAGATTTTAGTTGGCTGAGAAGGGAGTATCAATAAGGAAGGATTCAACTTTCTGAAGGAAACTTTGGATGTGGAAGGGAGATGTTGGGCAATAGCTTGATTTTATCTGAGGTCATCTCTTTACTCATAAGTCAGAAATGTGAATTTACTTTAAGTATATGTTACTGGTGTAGAGAGAAAAGGAAAACTCCTTTGCCCTCTGAAGATTCACTGACAGAAGGCAGATTAATAAGAGAAATGGCCTACAAATTTATTGGCATGCATGGGGGAAAATCACAGAGTGATTACCCGCTATCCTAATGGGGCCCACATACTTATATAGCCTTCCTTATTTAAGAAGGGAGGGGAGAGATGGGTAAAACAGGTATGTATTAGGCCATTCTTATGCTGTTATAAAGAAATAACCTGAGACTGGGTAATTTATTAAAAAAAGGTTTAATTGGTTCACCGCTCAGATTAAGGATTGACTCGTAGAGATTGGGAGAAGGATCCAGGTAGAGTTTCATGTTCTTCCTACAATACTGCTATTCCCCTCCTTCAGGTTTCTACTACAATGGGCACTTTCTTAGGGCTTTCTTGTCTTTTTTGTGTGTATCTGGTGTGATTTCTAGCAACAGAACCTGCAAGAAGGTGTGGACTCCCCCAGTTTATGCATACCCTAGTAGCTTCATACTGCCTCAAAATCTCCCACTCTGCCTTCACCTGTTCACCTACTATTTAGCTGTACCCTCTTATGGTGTCCAGTTGCAGCTATCCTAAGTAAGCAAGTACTAAGATCCTGTCTGTCCTTGCAGGTGCCTGCCCCTCTTTTGATTTAGGGCCAGTTGATTGCTCTGTGACTTCAGTTCTCTTATGGTTTAGAAATAAGCCATCAATTTGAATTGAATTTGACTGTGTTTCATTATAAAGGTGGGATGAAGCCCCTATGTTATATCACACAGTGAAAACTAGACCCCTGCTTCCCAAATTTTAATTTGCATACATCATCTGGGAATCTTATTGAAATGCAAATTGTGTTTCATTAGGTTTGAAGTGGGGCCTGAGATTCTGCATTTCTAACACATTCCCAGGGATTTCAGTGCTACAGGTCCAGGGACCATATTTTGAATAGCAAGGTTACAGAAAGTATTTTTGTTTTTAAGATAGGAAAGAGTTGAAGACATGTAGATAGTAGCTTCAGGCATGCTTGAATTGTGAAAGAAAATAGGCAAATGTGATAATGATAATATAAGATGTGGTACATTTTGTGAACTGGCTGAATTTTATGTGCATGAGAAAGATCTTCTGGTTTAAAAAACGTCCTAGAATTTTTTTTTTTTCTGCTCAAAGGGACTTCTTAATGACAATTTGAAAAAAGGTGAATTGTTAACCCTGATTTTGTAGCTATGCAACAATCACATTTGAGAAATAAATGCCGTGTAAGAGATGTGTTCTTTTTGCCTATCTTCTTTTACTTCCCATTATTACCTGGAATACACTGTCCATTGGTTAGTCTAATTTCTTTATTGAACTGTGACCTCCATCATACTTTTTTCTTTTCTGCTTTTCTTCATGTTGTTCTCCTGTGTTTTTCCCACCGAATTTTTTTATTCCTTTTTACATTTTGAAACAGTCTTAAATTTACAGAAGAGTTTCAAGTATGGCACAACAAACTTTTTTTCTCCTCTCCTAAATCATTGGATAATAAGTTTCTGATATGATGCCCTATCATTCCTCTCACAGATTGAGTTCCTTGGCAAGCAGTTTCTGAGACAAAGGTTAACATGCAAGTAGTTGATTGAGTAGTGTGCTGGTGAAATTCTCACCTTGGGAAGGGAAGGGAAAGAAGCAGGCTTGGGCAGAGGTAGAAGTAAAGGTGTAATATAGTTTCAGTGGAAGCCTCAGCTAACACCGTAGGGAGTTTTGGAGATGGGATGACACTTTTGTGTTGTCTGGAGTTGGGCAAAAGGGTTGGGCCTCTGCTTCTGTGAAAACAAGCTATTAGATGTGGAGTGCCCTGGGCAGGGTGCAGATCCCTGAGCGAGGCAGCATTCTTCAGCTGTGTCGGTCCCCCAAGATGACTGATTGTTGAGGGCTGTCTATTATCAGGACTTCTGGCAGCTAAGGATCAGATTATGTACCACATTGTCCACTGCAACGGGAGTACTGTGGTATGGATTTCCTATAAACAAGAACATTGCCCTGGATAACCACAATATAACATGGGTACTTTACTACCATCTAATACTCTGATGTCATTCAAATTCCACCAATTATCTCAGTAATTCTTTAGAGCAAAAAGATTCAGATCAGAATTGTGTGTTGCATTTAGTTGTTACCTATTTTTAATTTCCATCCATCTGGAACAGTTCCTTAGTCTTCCCCTTGAGTTGCATTGATCTTGACACTTTTGGGGATTACAGACCAGTTTTTTTGTAGCATGTCTTTGGGTTTTTTGTAGCACGTCTTTGAGAGAAACCAATTTGGGTTTCTCTCTTTCCTCATGAATATATTTCAGTTATGCATCTTTGACAGGAGTATCACAGGATTGATGTTATATTCTTTTTCATCCTATCATTTGGCCCATGATTTCAATTTGTCCTTGGTGATGTTAACTTTGGACGTTTGATTAACATGGTATCTATCTGACTTATGCACTCTAAAGTTACTGTTTTCCTTTTTATAATTTATAAGTCTTTTGTGAAGTGATACTTTGAGTCTATGAAATATCCCATTCATTTTAGCAATTTATATCAATATATTCTATTCAGTAGATTATAATTCATTACTATCATTTTTGATCTTCCAGCTACCCTATATGTGGCCAGTGGGAACCCCTTCAAGCTGGTTTCTGTGTCTTTTTGACGTGTCTTCATTACTCTTTGAATAATTCCTGGCTTGAATACTCCACAAGATGTTCCAGACTCATCTTGCACTTTTGCTGCCCTAGCCTTAGAATCAGCCATTTATACAAGAGACTCTTTTTTTTTCTCAGTGTAGATTAGTATTTAGAAACCAAGATCTGGGTGTTAGGTGTGCTCATAACTATTAGGATGTTGCCCTAAGAGTGGACAGAGCTAGTAAATAAATGAATATATGTATTTATATATAAAAGCTATATTATTTATAGTTCTATGTGTCTTTATGTATTATAAAGATTCATTACAGTTTCTTCAATACTAAGCTAATAACACAGGGCATGTTCTAGTTTTCTCACTTTCCGTATTTCTAACTCCATTCTCTGATGGAGAAATTCCTAGCTCCTATTATTTTTAATATATTTATTTATTTTTCACCACTGCTCCTGTCACCAAAATCCCATCACCACTACTGCCCACATATTCCTATACAGATGCCCTCCTTGCACCAACTTGGGCACTGACACCCTGAGCCACAATCCCTTCCCCTTAGTGTGTGGAAGCCTGTCTCAACCAACTGGTTCTTTTTTTTGTTTTTTTTTGAGACAGAGTCTCCCTCTGTCACCTAGGCTGGAGTGCAGTGGTGCGACCTCAGCTCACCACAACTTCTGCCCCCTGGGTTCAAGCAACTTTCCTGCCTCATCCTCCCTAGTAGCTGGGATTACAGGCGTGCACTACCATGCCCGGCTAATTTTTGTATTTTTTGTATAGACGGTGTTTCGTCATGTTGGCCAGGCTGGTCTCAAACTCCTGACCTCAAGTGATCTGCCCGCCTTGGCCTCTTAAAATGCTGGGATTACAGGCGTGAGCCACTGGACCCGGCCCAACTGGGTTCTGACACCTTATACCAGACCAACCTGCCTGTGTGGATACACCTCACACTGCTTGAGCTCTAAAACGCTGTTCTAGGCTTCTGTGGCTTCCCCTGCCTCCTATACAGATGCCTGCCTCACTCATTTCTTCCTCATGGCTTTTGGACAGAACTTTATGGGAGAGGGAAGAGAAATCCCACCTCCCCTCACTTACTGAAATCCTGCAATACTTTAAGGCTAAATCCTACCTCTTCTAGGAGTCTGTCTCCCACTTCTTAGGGAAATAATTTCTCCTTTCTGGAATCTTACCTGTATTTTTATTTTATTTTATTTTATTTTATTTTATTTTATTTTATTTTATTTTATTTTATTTTATTTTATGATAGTAAATTCAAGGAATTTAAGTGGAAAACATTTGACTTCTAAGAAAGAGAATCTTGTTCCTTTGATTTTACACTAATTTGTATAGGCAGAAAAAAATGTATATTAAATTTTAATGCCCTATTTCTCTGGATTTATGCAAATTCATTAATAATTCATTTTTCATTATTATAGGCAATCCCTGCTTTATATAATTTCTATATGCATGAATCTCAGTAACCATGTTTTAGTTAAATAACACCAGTTCCCAACAACTCAGTTCAAATTTCATTTAGAACAGTATAACTTTCAGTAATTGTATAAAGTACAAACTTTGCTGCTAGCTCCTCAGTCCATAAATCACTCTGTAGAAACATATGTACATCGTAATCATGACCAATCACATTGCTTTTCTTTAATAGTCTGTTGGTGATTGGTTACTATATGTCTGTCATTCAGTTCACACAGAGACAGCAAAGCATGTAGGTGTGTTTCCTCCTTGTCTCCCAGTGATAACGTGATGTTTTACAAAAATGGATAATCAAAAGGAAATGGACCAAAAGAGATAAAAGCGCAGCCAAGAAACAAAAAGTGAAAATGCTGAAGTGAAATTCTGGGAAGTGTAAATGGAGTATAGAAGAAATAGCTGACTGTGGGAATATTGACACTGCTATTGAACTGCTGTCATTTAAGAGACTCCAGATATACATCCAGAGGAGGTTAGGGAAGGTGAACTTATGGATATAAATGAAGAAAGTGAGGAGGTTGTGGTGAAAAGATGAAGCCGTTTCAGGGGAAGTGACCCTGGCAAAAAGTTCACATTAAAGGAACTCTTGGAGATATTTCATGACGTTGAAAATGTAAAGGATAAAATGTTATAAACTCATCCAGATTTAGAAAAGTGTGTGACAATTTATCAAGGTATGGAAAGATGCTCGCTGCATTTTGTAAGTTATATGATGAGAAGTTATATGAGAAGACTAGCACTGTTAAACCTGCTTCTGATAAGTTTTTTCCAAAGAAACAACACACTTTATCAGCGTTTCTAATGTTTTAAAGTATACTAAATAAACATTAGTTTTACTATTTTCAAAATTGTCCTTTACATTTATACCTGTCAATAAGAGAGTTTTTCATGTTTTGACAAAAAAATTTGAAAGGTCACAGAATGATTACAACTTTTCCCATCTGTTACTAAGGCTGCTTTGCACAGTTTAAGTTTGCGTTATCAGTTATATGACCCCACATTACTGTGCAAAGTAAAGACTGCCTGTATACTAGCATGTGGCACTTCTAAGTTTTATATATATTTTAAAGTTTATATATATATTATTTATTTTGTTGCATGCATATATTTTGATTTTAAAATATCTTTTAGCATGCAGATATCCCAAACCTGAGATTGCCATTGTGAAGCTTGCGAAGGAAGTATCCTCAGCAGAGACCCCTGATAGCTTTGGTATAGTACAGTCTTACAGTGTTGATTGCAAGTAGTGAAGCATCTATTTGATGGAACTTCTTGCTTGTTTGAAATAGACTGCCTAATTTTTCTGTTTTTGCGTTAGTGTTTTTGACTGTCTGTATGATGGAACAATAACTGCATGCTCAACTAACTGAAGGATTAAATTTTATAACTTTAAGAAAAGGCAAAATATTTATATTTAATTATATTTAAATAGAATATTTAAAAATTGTTGAAATAACCATAGCAAGTGAAACATAAGAAGCAGCAAAGTCTATGAATTTCTTTAGGACAAATGAGTAGGTAAAAAGGGCCACACACAGTGGAACCTTCAGAATATTGCGAAGAGAGACTGTATTTAAGTACAATGACTAAACTTCAGGAAATGTTCAGTATTTTAAAAATATATTTTTGAATAGTTTGACAGCCTTAAATAAGTTCATACTAAGGTCATTCATGAAAGTTTTTTAGATTCATCCACCATTCAGCTTGATATCTAACTCAGGTTACATGCTACGGTGATGGTAGAAGTGTGTGTGTGTGTGTGTGTGTGTGTGAGAGAGAGAGAGAGGGAAAGAGAGAGAGTGTAGGGGTATGTTATGAAAGAGGGAGTGGTGAGAGAGAGAGAGAAAGATTAAAACAAATATCTCTCTGTCCCTGTTTTATTTGTTTCTGATTACTATTTGATTTAGATACTTTGCCTAAGAAGTATAACACAGTGTATGAAAGGGAGTCTGAAATATTTTGTGGACCAATTGAAATTTTGTAGGGATAAGAGTTAAATAAAACTCAGACTGTATGTATAATGTCAGGCAAAAATAGCAAAAACTAAGCTGTAAGAACTTTAGAGAAATATAGGGGCATAGTGTTTTTACACACATGCACACACACACACACACACACACACACACACACTGATGTATTAGTACATTGTCTGCAAAAATACCCCAGTATACTCTTACTTTGCCAGCTCCAATATTAAAAATTTTAAATCTTAGTTTGCATGTAGAAGTTAAACATTTAATGCAAATGTATTTTGAAGAATAAAGTGTTAATTTTGAAATATTCTGAAGATATTTTAATTAGCCCTCAAATACTTATTTGATACTTATTCAAATTTATTCAAATAAAATTCAAATTTTATTCTATTAAGAATAAGATACTTATTCTTATAGATAATGGCACACAATATCACTAGGAGATCAGGAGCTGCTGAATGATAACTGATAGTAGGACTTGCCTGTCAGTGCTCTTGCCTTTTGAGACTCAGTGTTTGGTTATATCCCTACTTAGAGTAGTATGCTTCTTTATGAATGTTTAGGTGGTACATCTCTTGAAAGGATCATGAAGACCTGAACTCATTTTTTGTAACATAAAACTAAGACCCAGAGGGCTTGTAACCTGCTGAAGATTTAGTGACTAATTATATATCAGAGTAGGTATTTGTGTTAGGTCTTTTGGGTTTTTAGTTCGGTGCTGTTTTTCACTCTAATACATTTCTTCAGTGTTAGCAGTGGATTAGCCTCAGGCTATAGGGTATCCAGTTGTTTTGGAACCATGTAATAGTTTCCAGTTGTTCTGAAACCATCCAGCAGAAACCACCTAATACCTCCATTCAAAAAACATTTTATTTGGTAACTATGATGTATCATTTGATTTTCTCCTCTTTATTTTAACTTCAATTTTTTTTTAAAAAAAATGTATCTGAAGGGGAATTACATTTTATGAGGGGAAAAAAAGCAATTTGAAAAGGATATTAGTATTTTAGCTAATTGCAGTTTTATTTCAATTTCAAATACTAATGAATAACCAGTGTTTTGACAATGTTTTATATATGCACATACAATTGATTCTTGGTTCTTCCATATTTTTCTATTGAGAATTTATTAACTGAATGAGAAGTAGAATGGGAAAATGAGAATCTGAGTTCTGGACCTAGCTGTGTGTCTTTGAGTAAGTCACTTAACATCTGTGGGCCTAAGTGGCTACATCTTCAAAGTGGAGAATGAAGTCAGTATTTCACAGTGAGTGTGCTTCTGGTATTTGGGCTGGATAATTCTTTGTTATGAAGTACTCTGTTGTGCATTGTAGGAAGTTTAGATTCCTTAATGCTGGTGGTAGCATTTCCCAGTCATTATCATATCCCAGACGACCCTGCATATCCAAACCTCTTCTAGTGGGGAGGGACCACTTCATATTGAGAACTACTGGCAAATGGTCTCTAAGAATTCTTTCAGCTTCAACATTCTGTGAAAGAATTCTTATTTGGGGCATGATTGAAAAAGAAGGTAATATATCATACACCGAAAAACCTCTGCTGCTTCCTGGATACGAAACAATTTTATTTTAAAATGAATAACTTTTACGAATCTGTGTAGCCCTACTCACAGATCTACCATTTATGATGTTCCAAGATAAATTATTTTATTCTAGCTTGCCTTAGGCTTTTTCTCTACAGTATTATCCATAGCTATATGATTTTTTAAACTAAAAATTATATAGTACCATCTCTATATCTAATAAGTAAAAGCAACAAGATTTTTTTTTAAGTTGTACTATTGTTTTAATATCTTAGCCTTTAAAAAAGGAATATCATTGTATATAGTAATTATTTTCTTTATCTTCCATAGGCATAAAAGAAGGGAAGGAATATAATTTTCTGTGTTTAGAAGTATATATAGTTGTTGAAGCACACAAGTTATATGTGTGAAACTACAGGTCAGTAGTATATCTGATTATCCTTAAAAAAAAAAACTACCATGAAATGCAATAAGAAAAATAAATTATTGGCCAGGCACGGTGGCTCACGCCTGTAATCCCAGCACTTTTGGAGGCTGAGGTGGGTGGATCACCTAAGGTCAGGAGTTTGAGACCAGCCTGACCAACATGGAGAAACCCTATCTCTACTAAAAATACAAAATTAGCCAGGTATGGCGGCGCATGCCTGTAATCCTGGCTACTGCCTGTAATCCCGGCTACTGCCTGTAACCCTGGCTACTGCCTGTAACCCCAGCTTCTCGGGACACCGAGGCAGGAGAATCGCTTGAACCTGGGAGGCAGAGGTTGCGGTGAGCCGAGATCACGCCATTGCATTCCAGCCTGGGCAGCAAGAGCAAAACTCCGCCTCAAAAAAAAAAAAAAAAAGAAAAATTATTGTACCTCTAGTATTTACTATTATTTAAGTCAGAGTTAAATAGTTAATAGGGATGGTACATTAATATGGTTGATAAAGGTGATGATTAATTGAATACTATAGTTTACTTTGTGATTGCTTCTGGCCAACTCCTGTCCTCAGCTGTTATACCACTGGTCTCAACCAGTCTGGAATTCATTAGTTGCTTCTAGGTAACAGGTTGCAGTGAAGTCCCAGGTTGCTTGGTAAGTTCCCTGGAAGGTTAACAATGTGACAGTTTTAGTTCTTTTATTTACTTATTTATTTAATTAAAAAATCAATAGTTTTAGGGGTACAAGTAGTTTGTAGTTACCTGGATGAATTGTATAGTGATGAGGTCTGGGCTTTTGGTGTACCCATCACCTGAATAGTGTACGTTGTGCCCAATAGGTAGTTTTTTGTCCCTTGCCTTTCTCTTGCCTCTTCCATTCTAAGTCTCCAATTTCCATTACAATGTTAGTTTTTATAAGATATAAGTAGAAATTTCTTTCCTACATAAGGTATATGTTGCAGTAATTACTTTTAAATGCTAAATAAAATTACAAGATTACGCTCAAATGCCTTTATGGGTTTTACGTAAGACATATATATTTAGAAATAATTAAAAAGTCCTTTTACAATTAAAATTTCTGTTTAAAAAGACAGGTTAATTAAAATCTACTAAATTAAAAGTTAAGCTCTGCTGTTTCTAAAGAGCTTAACTTTAGAAAGCTTAACATTCATTTTTCAATTTTGAATGTCAGGTTTTGTAAGTATATAACTTGGCCATATTAATTTGTTTCTTTTTAAAAAAAACACTGCTGTGTTGCTTTATAAACCACTTTTGGTGCACGTTAGACTTTTTGGCATTTGATTTGCTTAAATTATTTTACTTATAACATGGTTTGCATTTTAAGTTTGTATTCTTTAATATGTTGTATATTTATTGTAAATTTTACCTTACTCATTTGAACTTTTGGTTCTATTAAAGGACTAAGCAGTTATTCATAATGTTCAGAATTGTGGGTAACTGAGACCCTTGGTCCCCAAATTGTTGCTGAAACTCACTAGTTTAATATCTATTATTTTCATAAATTTTCTAATTAGGCCAGACTGTGATTTGTGTTGTCATGTCTACTTCCTGCACTTTTGTGGGAAAGATATTAGGGTGAGTTTGGAATAAATATTAGGTGGTCAAAGGTCAGCAACTGCATAATTAGACACTTAAAGAATACTGAGTTATTTGTAATAAAGGAATAGTATATGCATTAAGCTGTTCCTTTTCTGTCATCTCAGGGTGAAGCTGCTTTGGTACTTTTCTTATTAAGTTTATTATAAATAATTTGGATTTTTACCTTCATTTGTGATTTTTATATTGCTTTTTACATCCATGATAATAGGCTGAAATATCACGTTAAGAGTCATTATTTCCATGAAAGCATAATAAAAAAAATAGACTAGGAAATAAGACTCTTTCTTTTTCAGATTTTCTTTTATTTCAAGTATGGATTTACACACCCTGTAAAGTGTGTGCTATAGTTTCACTCTGTGTCCCCACTCAAATCTCATCTCAAATTGTAATCCCCACCTGTCGAGGGAGGGACCTGGTAGGAAGTGATTGGATCATGGGGGTGGTTTCCCCTATGGTGTTCTCATGATAGGGAGGAAGTTCTCACGAGATCTGATGGTTTTAAAAGTGGCAGTTTTCCCTGCACGCTCTGTCTCTCTTGCTGCCATGTAAGATATGCCTTGCTTTCCCTTCACCCTCTGCCACGATTTTAAGTTTCCTGAAGGCTTCCCAGCTATGCGGAACTGCAAGTCAATTAAACCTTCTTTCTTGGCAGGGCACGGTGGCTTATGCCTGTAATCCCAGCACTATGGGAGGCCGAGGCAGACGGATCACGAGGTCAGGAGTTCCAGACAAGCCTGACCAACATGGTGAAACCCTGTCTCTGCTAAAAAATATACAAAAATTAGCTAGGCATGGTGGCATGTGCCTGTAATCCCAGCTACTCTGGAGGCTGAGGCAGAAGAATCACTTAAACCTGGGAGGTGGAGGTTGCAGTGAGCCGAGATTGCACCATTGCACTCCAGCCTGGGTGACAGAACGAGACTCCATCTCAAAATAAATAAATAAATAAATAAATAATAAACCTCCTTTCTTTATAAATTACCCAGTCTCAGGTAGTATCTTTATAGCAGTGTAAGAATGGATTAATACGGTAATGTTAAATTTAATGGAACATTCAACATGAAAATGACAAATTATAGTTTCTATTAAATAATAGAGCTCACTCTATATGCCATTAGCCCTGTTTCTGTGTTACAGCATCACCATTGTTGTAAACATGTTTTGTAATTTTATGATGGAGGCTAAAATGTAGAAACTATAGGTGTTGCACATTTCTTTTACTAAAATCTATTGCTTTTCAATTTAGGATGTATCTCTTAGTAGTGTTAAAAGATAATCTTTAGAAAAATTAAAGTTAGCAGGATTCATTTGAACAAAGAGACAACTCACGTGTTGGGCAGCTCTCTGAATGCTTACTGGTGACAAACCAGCACAGGTTTAGAGAGTTCCTCCCAGCAACACATGGGCAGGCAGTATTTATAGACAGATAGAAGTGCTATACAGAAACAGCCTTTTGTTTACAAGTTGGTGTTTTCCTTATTTGGACATGTCTGAGCAGTTTGCAGCCTGTCATTGGCTGAAAGGTCAGCTCCTATGATTGGCCAAAGCTCAGCTACTTGTTACAAGAATATACTTTGAGGTAGGTTGCAGTGTGTTTACATATGAAATTAGATTGCAGTTTGCTACATATGGAGGCAGCTCTAGGCCAAATTTAATTTAACAATTTCCCCCTTTTGATCAGTCTCTCAATTTTGAGAGATTGACCAAAATTTTGGGCATTGACACCATTCTTTGTCACTCACCATCATAACAGACTTGCTTGGTCTCTATGGAATTCACAATTGTTAATGTCAGGTAAGCTGAACGTTTATGTTCTCTTCATGTTTTTATTGTTCTAACCATAGCGAGGCCATTTGATATATATTGTATGGCTATACATGAGCACTTAATACTCTAGAGAGGATATGGTGTACCAGGGAGACTATTATGGCTATCAGGAGGATAATACTAAGAGACTGAAGTATACTTCTTAACAGGAGCTCCTGTCAATTGAACCAATCAAAATCAAATATATAAAAAATGAGCCAAAAGAAGAATCTACTTGTTTTAACAAAGTAGCTTACTTAATGATTTCTGGCAACTGACTTTCTATCATACCAGATATATTTATGCAAGTGCAGCAGGAGGTGTTAGCTATTGCATGCAGTCTTCTTTGTTCAGACAGCAGAGTCCAAAGGAATGATGCTGTCTGAAACAGTTTTAGCAAGAGAATTTGAAGAAGTTTGCTGGGCAGCTATAGCCTTTGCAGTAGAGTCAGCTGTAGTAGCTAATGTTTGAGACAAATTTCTAATCATAACCTCATTTACATTTATGCCAAGCCAGGGAAGGAGTATTTTACCAGAAAAAATAAAAATAAAAATGCCTATTTAGAGTGATTTACACCTGCTGGCAAATTCCCCTTTATTTTATAGTGCAAATTAAGAGGTATAGACCAATGTTCATTTTCCAGTTGGTTATGGAGTGACAGTGATACCATTAGAATCCCTAAACCACATTGGTTCCTTATTTTCCACTTATTGATACATGGAGTTACCCACATATGTGGTTGATCATAAAATCCTCCACAGATAAAAATGTATCTTGGAGGTGCACAACAGGCAGTTCCTTATGAAATGCTTTGTACATTAGAGGCCACTATTAGAGAAGCACTAGCAATATTTGTCTAAGGCTCCATTATTGGAATCATTGCAAGGTTGGAGGCTACTGACAAGGAATTAGGGTTACACATTTGCCTATAAACTGTCAAATCGTCTTCCTCTGGTTTTCTTATACAATTTCTGGCGTAATTTAACTGCAAAACCCTCACTATAGGTTTTGCCTACTGTTAGTAACATGACATATCTAACATTCAATTGCAGAAGATGTTGGTTATGAAATCTTAATTATCACATTATCTTGCCATATATAAACAGAAAAGGAACACAGGCCAAAGAGGAAAAGAGGCACAGGTTTCATAGTGACAGAGAAGTCTTGATTTGTAATCTTGGGAAAGCTGTTCACATCCAGGATGCCATCTGCTTCTGGGTAAAATAAATAGCTTTCCTGGTCAGCCTTACCTTGAGGTCTCTGATTGGTATACAGTCTGAAGAGTCTAGAGAGGCCCTCTTGAGTTAAGAGATGTGGATCAAAGACTCGAGGTCCTGAAATTTTACTGCAGAGAACATGTTGGTATTGTTTTTTCCAACAGAATTCAAGGGCAGTCATTCTAGGTCTTTTTCAAAAGACCTAAACTCCTGGTTCTAGATAGTGAAAGGTCTGATTGTCATCAGTTGGTGGGTCATGAAGGGCTTCTTTTACCTGATGATAATATACTTTGGCATCTTGCATTTAAACCTCTCAATACTGAATCAAGTCAGAGTTTATAAGAGTGGTAGATACATGAGGTTCTATTATCAGGGACATAGGACTTCCAGTAACTGTTATATAAGGGGTCAATCTATGTTTTCTAGTGGAGTGGATCTGATTGCCATCAATTGGTAATACCTTTGACCAAGGCCATCAAGTCAATTCAGTTAGCTTTGTTTAATGCCATTGTGTTTGTAGAACCTTATTTGTTTTACAACTTGTCCATTGAAGTGAGCTTTGTTTAATGCCATTGTGTTTGTAATACCTTATTTAATTGTTTTACAATTTGTCCATTGAAATGAGTAACTTTATCACTGGAGATTTCTCCAGAAATACCCTATAAAAGAAACATATTTTCTAATAACCTTTTAATTGCTCTTACAGCATCGGCCTTATGTGCAATCAGAAAGCTTCTATATAATCATAAAACCTATGTTAAATGTGGTAATTGAATGAAATTCATCTGTAAGTGGTCAAATGATTCATTAGGTGCTAGAAATGTATTACCTGAGGTTTTTTATTATCTTACCAGAATTATGGGTTTGCCAAACCAAACATTAGTTATAAACCACTTTAGCAATCTTAGAACAGTCACTCGAACAATTTTTCCCTGTAATTTGGATCATTTTATCTCTTCTGTGATGAGTCTTGGAGTGCAGAGCTTTTAATAATGGAAGTTTTCAGGAGTCAGGAATGACCAGGCAGCTGTCCAGGCTTTCCATGAGCCCATGCTTAACATTGGATTTATATCCTTTTAAATAACAATTTTATTTATCTAATTCAGGTGCATAGCACTTGTTTATTATATAGGTTATCATAGATAATTTGACTTGGATTAATCTCATAGAGTTCGTTCAAATTGCATATCTTAACAATTTCAGTACTGGCTGAACTACTGTGAAAATCTGCCAAGGCATTTCCTTAGTATTTAATTAATTCTTGTTCTGCTTTATGTTGGGTTAGCAGTTTTATGAACCAATGAGTTTCTTCCTTAGAGTTCTTGGACTCAGTCCAATGGTATGATCTTAAAGTTATCAGAAACTTGTACTTCTCAGAGTTCTTTACATGAATCTCCTTGAAGATGTAACCCTTTAGGCTTATAGTTGCTCAGGAAAGTACAAGAGTAAATAACCAAATATGAATGATAAAACTTACAATGGCCATGATTAAATATCTGATGAGAGTTCATTACAGTGATGATACAGTTGACAGGGAAATTTGATTATTTCTGTTGCATACAGCATTTGAATATAATAACTAGAATGATGACTGATTGTATTATACCAGAACCATCAGATTGCTATGAATTTCATACAGTTTCTGAAACACATCCATACAAATGAAACTCAAAGTTTAGCATTACTTATTTGGCAATACTTCTCATATAATTTAATATGTCAAATAAGCCCAGTTAGTTTAATATCTGTCTTTTTATATAAGGAGAAGCATTCTTTTGAATGCTTATATACGAGATGTTTCAAGGGCTTGACCGGAAAATCAAAGTTGAGGTCAAAAAAAAAAACTTTATTAAGAATCTAAGTTTGGGAAATGTGTTAAAAATATCAAATGTTTAAAATCCGTGATTAAAATAGGGTTACAGGTCACTGTGAACAGTAGTCATTCATTTAACAAAAGTGAAAATTACAAGACTAGACTTCAAAGGTAAATACAGAAAGCTACATAGTTGTAGAGAAAACTTAGCTCTAAATTTTAATAGAGAATATTTTGTTTTCTTAAGTGGTCAAACACCCAATAAAAGCAACATGGACCACAAGAAATTACTTTGGTAAAACACAGAATCTGTTTCCTAGATCAATTACCTAAAAGGTAAAGAAAAACTTTTCACAATTTCCTATTAAAAGTAGACCAGTAGTCCAAGAAATTCTTACTGTTTTAACACAGGGAACCAAATTCTAATTTTGTATTAGTATACTTTTGGTATTAATGCTCAGTTTTTAGAAAAACTGATAAATAATTCCCTTCTAATCTTAGCTGGCTTTGTCACACATAAAATTCTTTTTACAAGATTCGTCCTTTGCAAACCTACAACTTTCTTCTGCATTTAGATTTTGTTTTATACTTTTCCTGTTCTCATCTTGGGATGACCAGTCATTCTACTTTCAAACAAAAATTACATTTTTCCCTTAATGAAACAAAACAGCCTCATACTTTATAGCTTTTGCTTACCAAAATCATGTATTACTTTTCTTTTATACTTTATATAAAATTATTTCTCTTATTTCTAGTAATTTTAGTATATATATTAATTAGAATTCTGAACTCTTAATGACTTTAATTTCCAAAGGACACTAGGAAGCAAATAATTGTGAACTATTTGTCACACCAGCCATGTGAAGATTTGCAAATCTATGAATCATAATATCTGGAAGCGTGTACTTTCTCATAGCACAGTTTGTCAGTGTGGCACAGAACATGTTTACTAATGGCCCCAAGTATCTTTAGTCTCTGTAATAAGAAACTGTAGAAGAAGCAAAATGTTATCTATCTTCTTTGGATTTTTGGCTAGGCCTATTTGTGCACATTTTTCTCAGCCTTAAATTTCCATTCTTGATGATAAGAATGTTAAAACCTTCTGGTATAGGGAAGACATCGTTCACATGGGACTTTTATCTCTATTTAACTCACTCGTTTTTAATAATTATGCTTGGATTGCTTAGCAAGATGGGACATCAAACAGCTAGTCATCATCTTAAGTTACTTTTCTTGCTGATGAATTTTGTAATGTAGAGATAACATAAGTTTATTTCACCAGTAAACCTAGGTAGGAAAAGTCATGTATCTGTGTTAATTTTAATGTTAATGACTGTGAAGATATGTCTGTTTTAATCAAACCAATAATATTCTTATTTGCCAAAGATTACCCAAGTCGTGTGAGCTTCAAAAATCATTTGGGTCATTTCCTATTTTTCTGAGCAAATACTTCATTTATCTAAGTGCTTATTTTTCTTTAAGTCAAATAGATAGCATTCTTATACACTTTAATTTGGCAATATCATAAGGAAATAGAAAATATCACACATATATAGATATACATCATAGATGCAGACATATATAAACAGAAACAGATCTTACACCTTTCATTTAAAACTTTTAGCCATGTTCCACATACAATAATACAACACTCATGAATTTATTAAAGAATACATGGATCCAAATTGTTTTTCTGGCCAGTGGAATATTTCCTGCCCAGATAGCTACAACTTTTGAATGATATTTGTGAAAAAGACTTTAAGATGTTTTTACTTGCCTTCTGTAAAGAAGCTTTTGAAGAGGCCGTCTTTGATTTATTTTTTAAATGCCTCTGCTTGCCAGTTAAAGAATGCATCCCATTGCTTTTGTGGCATTGGGATCCTTTCTTTTCTGATACACCTCACAAGTGAGCAATTTAATCTAGGTTAAAACTTCCCTATTGTGGCCACTGTAATTCTAAGTTGTCCTTAGTAAGATTAAGGACATTTTTTTTTTCCAAAAATACACAGGTTCTGGGCCTGTAATTTTTCTCTATAAAGTTAGCCAGTGTCCCAGAAGGTGGAGTCCCAGACTCTTTAGATTTAGGGGAAACCACTTTGAAAAGGTACCTACCTGAGTCCTCCAACTGGATCCAATCCAATCCAATCCTGAATCCCATCTAGTAAAAAATGCTCAAATAAAGTCAGTGAGCTCAAAACTCAAATTCATGCTGCTCAAATCAGAGGGATCAATGTGCACAATTGGCTCTGGCCCTTTGCTTGGACACTTGGTGCTCCTGGAGGTATACTTCAGATCTCACTTTTGATGCCAAATTGCTAAAAGAAAAACATTAGACAGATTAAATATAACAAAGTTTATTTGGGCAAAGAAATAACTCATGAATTGGGCAGCACTCTGAACCTTAAAAGGTTCAGAGAGCTTCATCCAGCAATGTGGGCAGACAGTATTTATAGATAGAAAAAGGAAATTATATACAGAAATAACTTTTTTGCTATAGCTTGTGTCTGTCTTGTTTGGACATGTGTGAGCAGTTTGCAGCCTGTAATTGGCTGAAAGCTCAGCTGCTGTGATTGGCCAAGATTCAGCTACTTGTTGCAAGAATATTTTATATATATATATATATATATATATATTTTTTTTTTTTTTTTTTTTTTTTTTTTTTTTGAGACAGAGTCTTGCTCTGTTGCCCAGGCTGGAGTACAGTGGTGCGATCTGGGCTCACTGCCGCAAGCTCTGCCTCTGAGGTTCAAGTGATTCACCTGCCGCAGCCTCCTGAGTAGCTGGGACTACAGGCGCCTGCCACCACGCCCAGCTAATTTTTGTATTTTTAGTAGAGACGGGGTTTCACCATATTGGCCAGGCTGGTCTGGAACTCCTGACCTTGTGATCCACCCGCCTTGGCCTCCCAGAGTGCTGGGATTACAGGCGTGAGCCACCAGGCCTGGCCAAGAATATATTCTTAAGGTGGGTTGCAGTTGGTTTACATACTGTATCAGCTTACAATTCACTGTGTACTCAGGCAGCTTTAGGCCAAATTTAATTTGACAGTAGCATAACTTATTTAAAAAAGAAATATATCAGGCATAGTTTATCCTAAAAAGTATTTTAGATGCTTTTGTTAATATTGGACTGAAGGTTTTTTATAAAGAAGTTATTTTTAAAGGGAAGTATAATAAAGAGGAGATATACAGGTTAAATCTTATAGTGAACATTCAGACTTGTTTTGTTCTATGTATTGGAATCTTGTTGTCAATTAAAATAAGTTTGAAATTGTTGCTTGGAACTTTCTTTTAAGGATTTTGTCTTAATGACATTTTGCCTGCATTCTGAAAACATGAAAATATGAGTGTAACATTAAAAAAATAAAAATGCAGTGAGATGGGGGTAACTTGACATACTTTGTCTGCGATGAATTTTGCAGAAATAAAAAAAAACCACCCTTACATATATTCTCTCTTGCTGTTGCTCTTTCTCACTCTTTGGTTCAGTAATGCCACTTATAGGAATCTATTCTAAGGAATTTTCAGAGCAGTGCAAAATAATTTAGGTACAAATTAATGTTATTTGAAAGTATGAAAAGTAACAAATATCTAATAATAGGCTATTAATGAAATGACTATATCATTAAATACACTTTCACAAATAAAATTATTTTCTTAAAAAATTTAAAGATGTGGGAAATATTCATTATTTAATGCTTTGTGGAAAAGGCAGAATACAGTTTTGTGTATATATCTTTATAGGAAAAAGATTGAAGGACAATACGTCAAAACATTTATTTCTGATAAACTGTGGATGCTTTTAAGTTTCTTTTCGCTTTTCTGAATCTCATTAACTTTCTATAATTATATAATCTTTATAATGAAAAATAAACCAAATAAATTAAGTATTTTAGATGTTATTTTCTAATTTTTACCTCAAAATTCCTTTTAATAAAAAACAAACTCAATATCCTCATCCTTTTAACATATGCAACTATGAGTATAAGAATGTAATACTTTTATATAAAAATGGCTTGTTTAATGTAAAATATTTGCAGTCAAACCCCTATTATAACAATCAGTTTTGACTAAAATGCGGAGTCAAAGGAAAAGGCTTTGTTGACTTCTTAAAACTCTACTTCCTCATGAACAGATTGGAGAGTCTCATTTCAAACAATTTTCATTTGACTTACTACAGCATAAATCAGCAGTTTATAGTAACTGTCTTATCTTATTTAACCTTTAGCAAAGACTTTAAAATGTGAAATCTAAAGGAAAGAAATTTATATGTAAATATTATCTCATGGATTCTTGTAGATAATTTTTCTATCCTATGTATTTCTTCACATGGAATCCTATTAAGAGCAACTTTTCCTTCATTGGAAAATGTCTAAGAAAGAGGACATGTAAAGAAGTTTGGATGTTGGTTATTTTTGCCACTATTATGAATAAACTCTTATACTTCGGAAAGCAGAATATTTATTATGCCATTAAGGCTTTTTGTTCTGTGTTCATGAGGAATAGTCATCTGGTTTTCTCTTCTTTGTAAATTTCTTGGTTAGGCTTTGTTTTTAATGTTGTTCTGTCCTCATTAAATGAGTTGAAAATTATTTCCTCATCTATTTTTTGGAAGAGCTTTTGAGTTTGTAGGATTGATGTTTTTTCTTTAAATGTTTTAACAAAATTCATCAATGAAACCATCTAGGTTTGGAAGGGGTGTGTGTGTGTGCGTGTGTGTGTGTTTACATATAAAGTTTTTTGGTAACAAATAAATTTTGTTAGAGCTAGTCAGATTTTTGTTTGCTTAATCTGCTAGTTTTGGTAGGTTATATTTTTCAAGGAATTTGTCCATTTCACCTATGTTGTTGAATTTTGGGTGTAACGTTTTTCATAATACTCTTTTCTTTTTAATATCTGTGGGATCTGTAATGATGCCCCTTCTTTCATTCCTGATATGAGTAATTCTTATTCTCTTTTTGTCTATCAGTATAGCTAGAGTCTTATTAATTTTATTGATCTTTTCAAAGAACCAATTTTGACTCTTTATTGTTTGCTTTCTGTTTCATTGCTTCTTTCTACTACTTAGTTTATGTTTACTTTGCTCTGTAGCTTCTTAAGATGGAACTGTAGTTTATTTATTTTAGACCTTTCTTCTTTTTAATGTAAGTATTTCAAACTGTAAATTTCCCCCTAAGCATTCATTTAGCTGCATTCTACAAATTTTGATATATTGCATTTTCATTGTTACTCAGTTTGAAATATTTTCTAATTTCCTTTTTGATTTCCTCTTTGGTCCATGTATTTAGAAGATGTTTAATTTCCAAATTTGTTTTGTCATATATCTTATTGTTACTGATTCCATTATAGTCAGAGAACATATTTATGATTTTAATCAAATTTATTAACATGTTTTGTGGATCAGCATATGTTCTATTTTGAGGAATGTGCCATCTGCACTTGAAAATAAGATGTATTCTACAGTTGTTGAGTGTCGTTTTGTATAAATATCAATTAGATCAACATAGTTGGTAGTGTTCAAGTTTATATCTTAGTGATATTTTTGCCTAGTTTTCTGTCAATTACTAAGAAAAAGGCTTTTATATCTCCAAGTATGATTATGGAAGTGTTTGTTTTGCCCTTTAATTCTGTTAGATTCAGCATCGTGCATTATGAAATTCTGTTATTAGGCATAAACATGCAGTTGTTATGCCTCCTGATGCATTGACCCTTTTGTCATTTTGAAATGTCCCTGGTTTATTTCTGGTAATACTCTTTGTCTTTAAGTCTACCTCATCTGATATTAATAAAGCTCCAGCCTTTATAAGCCTACTGTTTGTGTAGCATATTTTTTGCCATCCATTTACTTTCAACCTATTAAACTGTAATCCTTGGGATATCATATAGTTGGGTCTTACTTTTTTTGTTCGTTTTTGTAGTCTCTGCATTTTAATTGCAGTGTTTAGTCCATTAAAATTGAATGTAATTATTGATATGGTTGGATATAAGTTTACTATTTTGCTATTTGTTTTCTGTTTGACCCTCTGTTTTTTGTTTCTGTTTTCCTTTCCTGCATTCTTTTTGCTTAATTGAACATTCCTTCAGATTCTCCTTCAAGTTACTTATTAGGTTCTTAACTATGTTCTCTTTGTATTTCATCTGTATGTGTAGTTACTCTAGGGATTACAGCATGTATTCTTAACTTTTTGCAGACTCTTATAGCTAATATTGGACCATTTTATTTTCATCATAGAAATGTTGCAACTAAATTACCAAATCAGTCCATTTACTGCCCCGTTCATCCTTAATGTTATGATGTCATATGTATTCATCTACATATTTTATAAACACTATAAGACAGTGTTACAATTTTTGCATTACACAGTCATGTCTATTTAAATTAAATCACTAGGAAAAAGTAATCTTTTATATTTACCCAGACATTTACCATTTCTGATGCTCTTTATTCCTTCCTCAAGAATTTACTTTTCAACTGCTATTTCCCTTCAGACTAAAGAATTTCTCTTGCACTTTCTGTATCGCAGGTTGACTGTTAACACATTCTTATAGCTTCAGTTATCTGAAATACATTTTGCCTTCATTCTTAAAGGATACATTTTTGGATGTAGAATACTGGACTGACGCCCATTTTCTTTCTGCATACTGAAGTTATTTTTTTGTGTGTTTAATATGTATTTAGTTCTGACTGCTTTCAAGATTTTTTCCTTTATGATAATTTTCCTTCATGTTTATTCCACTAGAAGTTCACTGAACTTCTTGAATCTTTTGAAATTTTTGTCTTGCACTAAATTTGGGAAATTTGTAGCCATTATTTATTCAAAGAGTTTTTGTTCCTAGTTTCTCTACTTGCCTTTTAATTACAATCATACATATATTAGCATATATTAGCCCTTTTAATATTTAGCCATTGGTCCCTGAGACTCAGGTTTATTATTTTTTCAATCCTTTCAGTCTCTGTTGTTCAGACTGAATAATTTTTATTGATCTGACATCATTTTCACTAACTCTTCTCTCACCTTCATTCTGCTTGTAAGCCTATCCAGTTAATTTTTTTTTAATTTTTAATTTTCTTTCTTTTTTTTTTTTTTTTTTTGAGACGGAGTCTTGTTCTGTCGCCCAGGCTGGAGTGCAGTAGTGTGATCTTGACTCACTGCAACCTCCACCTCCTAGGTTCAAGCAATTCTCCTGCCGCAGCCTCCTGAGTAGCTGGGATGATAGGTACCCCCTACCATACCTGGCTAATTTTTGTATTTTTAGTACAGATGGGGTTTCACCATGTTGGTCAGGCTGGTCTCAAACTCCTGACCTTGTGACCCACCCACCTTGGCCTCCCAAAATGCTGGGATTACAGGTGTGAGCCACCGTGCCCAGCCCCAGCTAATTTTATAATTTCAGATAATGTATCTTTCAGTTCTAGAACTTTTTATTGGTTCTTTTTTCGATATTTTCTTCTGTTTCTCTGATGAGATTTCCTGTCTTATTCATTTAAGCATATTTTTATTTACATCTTTGAATACAATTTTAATTGCTCCTTTAAAGTTTTTGTCTGCTAATTCTAACATTTGAGTGACTTTGGGATTGGTCTGTATTGTCTTCTGAAAATGGGTCACATTTTTCTTTTTCCTTGTTTGTGAAGTAATTTTGTATGTATCCTAGTTATTCCTGTAATTGCTACATTGTAGAGACTCTGGATTCTGTCTTGTTCATCTGAAAAGCATTGATTTTTGTTTGTTTTAGCAGGCATTTAATGGTTAGGTTCAAACTGCAAACTCTTGTGGGATGCCTTCAAATCTTTACTTATTTTGCCCTTAGTCGGTATTTTTGGAGTTTTCCCTGCACATGTGTGGTTCCACAAGCCAGCTGTAGACTTGAACTGAATGTATGCACAGAATTTAGGACTCTTCCTTTCTGACTCTATCCTTTCCAGGATTCCTCTCTCACTTTCTAGTTGTTTGGTTACCTGGCACCTCATCCTCTGGTTCTTCAGACAGAGACTGAGGAATTTTCATCAGAGCTTTAGTTGCTCTGCATGTTGTGACTGGAGCCTGCCCACAGGCTGAAAGCTGCAACAAACAGGTAACTAACTCACTTAGTGTCATTTCTTTTTCTGTGTTGATTCCCCTCTAGATCAACCTGGTTTCAATAATTTTCCAGTGCTTTCAGGTAGTTAATTTGTTGTATTTTTGTTTGTAGTTTGTGGTTGTTCCATGCAGGAGAATTCCTCTGATAAGAGGTTACTCAGCCATTATGGAAAGTAATATGGCAAATGTGGTATGGTGAAGTACAAGCTTAATAGTTATCTTATTGTTTTAAAATATCCAGAAAAGGAAAAGAGTATGATGTATATAATACACACAGACACACACACACACACACACACACACACGCACACACACACACAGATGGAAAGAACTGTTTTAACTCCATAGTTGATTTAATAAAACATTGGAGCAGAACACATTTCCAATGTAAGTGTAGATAGTTTATTATATGTCAAAAGAAAATTCTGAAATTAATTCATAAAATATATATATATGGAAATAAACCTTCTGGGATGTATTGTGACTATTTTCAGGGATGTTATACTGGCAGTAATTACATTTTAAAACCCATACAGATCACTGAAACCTTGGGCTGATTTACAAGTTCCGTTTTGTATTTTATAGGTAATTTTTTTTTTTTTTACTTCTGATGTATGTTTTGTTTTGATTCAGTTAACATAAGAAAGAATAACTTCTGATTTTAAAAAAAATTGGGCTGGGCATGGTGGCTCACGCCTGTAATCCTAGCACTTTGGGAGGCCGAGGTGGGTGGATCACCTGAGGTCAGTTCGAGACCAGCCTGGCCAACATGGTGAAACCTCATCTCTACTAAAAATACAAAATTAGCCAGGTGTGGTGGCACACACCTGTAGTCCCAGCTACTCGGGAGGCTGAAACAGGAGAATCGCTTAAATCTGGGAGGTGGAGGCTGCAGTGAGCCGAGATCGCGCCACTGCACTTCAGCCTGGGAGAGACAGAGTGAGACTCCATCTCAAAAAAATAATAATAATATAAAATAAATTAATAGATACTTCCTAATAAGATTGTCACTTTCTAGGAAATGTTCTTTTCATGATTCCTCTTGTACTCTGTAGGTTCTTTGTGAAGCAGGAGGCAGAATCTGTGTTTTGATTTTACTTTCACCTCTGTGCCAGTAGTTTTCCTCCCTGTTGTATCTCCTTTATTTTATATTTCTTTCTCTTAACATTTGTTATTGCCTCTGGTTTTTAATTTTTTATGTGTAGTAGGAAAGAAAGAAAGGAATATTGATTACATTATTTGATTTTTTTCTTTATTACTACACGTTTTTTACTTGCCTAGCCCTTATCTTTTCTTCTTCGCTGTTGTAGAATATTTTTAATGTTTTACTCAATGAGTTGGGAATTTGAAGAAGTAAAAGCAAGGACTCCATATACTCTCATTCTACTGGGGAGGTCCTGCTTGTTGAATTTTTAGGTATTTCAAGATGTTCCAGTCAACTGACAAGGACTTCTCACAGTGTCAGAACTGTAGTGATGATGAGACTAATGCAACTAACAAATAGTTCTGGTATGTAAATAACCACTTTTGCATGTTTACTTCACCAGAAAATTCTCTGGAGTATAGCAGTATCCTGTATTCTTAGTTAGAAATTTGGCAAACCACTTGGATGCTTTCAAAGGAGATTTTGAGTTAATGATGCTAATCAAAAATAAGAATATATTTTAATCAGATGTGAAATTCTGTAAGATTAGTATATATATCTTCATTTCTTAATTCTTCTAAAAAAGGAAAAATAAAGCTTAAGTTTGCTTCTTAGAACTTTCTAAATACTATGAAAGTTAATTAAACTCGAGGTTTTAGTGTATTTCTTACTGTAAAGCCATTATGGAACTTGGAAAATACCAGTCACTAATGTGGACCATATTTCCTTTTATGTAGGTTATCAATGGAGATTTGACTTTTACTTTTTTATACTAAATTCCTTAGTTCTTTTGTTGTTATAAAATATAAATAAATATTTTTGAAGATGTACATCTAGTTTGTAATGCGTTTCTTTGGATAATCTGGTTGTACTAAATCTTTAGAGTGATCCACTCTATGGGTTCTTCTCTATATGATAACAATTAATTCTGTCCAGTTGGTTGATCATAAAGAAGGTAGAATTTTCTACCTTTTTACCTTAAACAAATGGTGAGATGCTTATTGTTATAAGACCAGGTAGGCTGCTGCCTGTAATAATTGTTAATTTTTAGGTATAATGTTGACACGTAAAGATACTCTCTGGCTTATACTTGGGAAAACTTTGTTACTTGTGATTCTGAACAACACCCTACTTTTAAAAGTTGTTTTAATGTATGGAATACCCTATTATCCAGTGTATAGGTTCCAAAAGTTAAAATATTCAGTTATATTATATATCAATATAATATATCTTATATATTAATTAATATATATCAATATTATATAATACTATTAATATATTATAAAAGTTAAAATATTCAGTTATATCAACAGAGATTAAGGAACAAAATACAATTCAGTGAAGTCATTGTTTTCATACATTGCTTTAAAAATATTTTCTTCATTTTAAAGATATCTAGATCTATTTGAATATTCATGTTTTCCACTATCAATGATGCTTGTTTGTGTATTTCTTAAGTCATCTAGGGTTGCCATCTGAAAGAAGAGTACCTTTATTTCTAAAGTGTTTTTCTAGTGTAATTAATGCAAACAGACTCATTATCTAGATGTAAGGACTTTAAAGAAATCTGAAAAACAAAAAACAAATGAACTTACCCAGGGCTAGAGTCCATGTTAAGCTTGTAACTAAGCTCAGTTTCATTTGCTGGCCTTCTGATTTAATCCATACTGATTAATATTTTCTGTATGGACAAATGTGGTCCCTTAACCTAAAGATAATTTATGAATAAACTCTGATATTCTCCCACGTTGTAAATCTTCTGGTATTTTCTTCATTGTAATAAAAAATATCACGCTGTAGTAACTAATTCTTGCCCCACATCCTTTTTCTCCCCTTTAGAAAAATTGGAAGCTCCACCACCCACCCCAGGACAGCTGAGATATGGTAATGGTTCTATAATTGTTAAATATATGTTCATCTGTCTTTTGGCCTTGAAATAACTGTATCATTCATTGATAGCACAGAAGAGTCAGTAAATTAAATCTTTCCAGATAGAGTGGATTATCCTGTTCATTATATGAAGCACAAAGTTTATAAACTTGGCTAAGGATGTAACACAATATTGTAAAATATCTAATATTGTTAAAAATATCTAATATTATTAAAATATTGTTGCCATTTAGAAATAGAATTATTTTTATGATAGAAGTTTTCTTAATTTCTAGGAAAAAGGATGTATTTACTTTAGTTTGAATTTAAGTTGGGTAAATGCAGAACTAGAATTTCTAGGCCCAAGGCGAGATACAACTGTTCTCTGGTAGAGAAAATGTTTCCGGCTGGCTGTTTGTAAGAATGAAAAGAATAAAGTTTATTTAAAACTACGTGAAGAAGGACCTTATTACAATGCTGCTAGTGTTCTTTCTTTTCTCTATTATGATAGGAATAAATATTCAAGAATATACCAAAATAATGTAAAACAAGTTGGGATGTTATTATAAAGATGGAAGAAGTGAATTATTTAACAGTATAGTGAATTAGAGTAGGTTGTAAATTAAAGCTAAATATGAAACGTGATTTGCTAACAACTGGCAAGTTATAGAATAGTGTTTCTGAGAGTAAATTGAAGAAGCCACAAATTAGTAGGAGATCATTATATACTAGAGAGCAAATTTATATAATTTTTAAAAAAACCTAATGGCCAGTTATTTTTTCTCTGACAGGTAGAATGTAATTTATATTAGAGATTAGTAACTTTCCTCAAATACCAAAACAATTTAAAAATTCTTTAACACTTGTGTTCCCAAGTAATTTATGATTCTCCCACCTTAGATTCATACAATCTATAGTTCATAATACTGTATACTATTATCATTTTTTGTAGGTGGTATTGAAATTTACTGTTTGTATGGCTGTGTTATCATACCTAAACCCCTTTAGGGCTGGGAACCAAGTCTTATTTATCTTTGTATCTCAGGTGCCCAGTGGAGTGCTCTGTACATGTTTATTTAACTTTTTGAAAAACTATATTTTTTCCTTTTAGTTAAAATAAATTATAATTTTTAGGACATATTTATATAGGTATAAACACTAAAAACATACATCGTATAGTTCAAAGTGATTGTTTGTAACAGAGTGCCTTGGTTTTACTGACCAAGTTTTTACTAAGATAGCAATTAGTGTAATCTTAACTTAATGGGCTTATCACCTAATTTTAAGATATTTGTAACTGGCCAGTTTTAGAGATGCTATTAAAAGAATCCCAAAATGCTAATTAATCCTAACCAGTTTCATCATTATTTTTCAGTACTTAAGTAGCTTTCTCTTCACTGTAAATGTTTTATTTAGTGATTTTTTAGAATTTCATTATACTCTTCTAACCTGTTAAATTTGTAATGTGTATTGGTTCTGGAAGCTGCTTTTTATAAAATTTTGAGTGTTCAGTAAATAACCAGATTTAGGCAATAAGTGAAAAAACTAAGGCTAGACTCTTTAATTGAAAAAAAATCCCATTTTATTAATGTTTTACTTGATTTTTACAACCTTTAATAACAAATAATATTCTTTGTAATTAAAAATGTTGTCCTTGATCTTGGACATTTTTACTTAAAACAAGACGAAATTTTAAATGACCTATTTTATACCTATTATGTACTGGTTTATATAATATTGTATAGCTATAATAATATTGAATATAATAGTATTCTTATACTGTATATAGTATTGTCCCGTGGTCTTAGTCATTTATAGTGGTTGTGGGTAGAAGTGCTTTTTTTTGAGTGCTTATTAGCCTTTCCTGCTAGGTGCAGAGCTCAATATAGTAATATCGAATTTTTATAACTTCTGGATTATATTTCAATTATACTTTCTGTGGAGATAACTGCATTAAAAGAAAAAAAGACTCTAAAAATTAATAGACACATATAACCAGTTGGTTTAAGGGATTATTTTTTTGGACGTAGTACAAAACTCAGCATTTTAATGTTTGTTGAGAAAAGTCCTCAGTTGAACGGATGTTCACTATACCTTGGCAATTTTATAGATTAATTAGAATAAAGTCTTTTACCTATTCCCAGCTTTTAATCTATTTCACAGTCTGCCTTCAATTCTCCCAATCTGGAATTCTCTTCCTTTCCAGGTTAGTGGTCTTCAACTTAATGAAATAATATTTTTTGAGCATCTACCATGCCCTCAATATTCTGCTGAAGATGTAAATATGAAAGAAATGAGAATAAATGTATAAAAAATATGTAGGTATTAGTTCTTCCTAGTTACAATTTTTTTTTTTTTTTAAGATGGAGTCTTGCTCTGTTGCCAGGCTAGAGTTCAGTGGTGCAATCTTAGCTCACTGCAACCTCTGCTGCCTGGGTTCAAGTGATTCTCCTGCCTCAGCCTCCCAAGTAGCTGGGACTACAGGCACGCACCACCACACCCAGCTAATTTTTGTATTTTTAGTAGTGATGGGGTTTCACCATATTGGCCAGGATGGTCTCGATCTCTTGACCTCATGATCCGCCCGCCTCAGCCTCCCAAAGTGCTAGGATTACAGGCGTGACCTAGTTACACTTCTAATATCTCAGATCATTGAATTTATATACCCAATAGATGAAGTAAGGTGTGTTTTTGGTAGCAAGAGGTGAAGTGATAGTTTGATTTAAATCAAATATTGATTGTTTATAGTTTGCAATAGCATTTGGGAATATTGATGAATTTTGAGGGGGGAAAAAGACTGCACATAGATGAGGTAATATAGATGAGATAATCACCTTTTTCTAACATTTCTTTAAAAAAATTAGTTAGTAAAAGCACCCAAATAACTTTTCTGACATTTGATTTAGGACATTTTCATTATTTCTAATACAGAAATCGATTTTATAATATCAGACTTTAGTCATAATAGAAAAAGAGATTAATGTCAGTAGCAATCAGGTAAAATGTGGTACTCATATATGTTTACTAATTTGTTCTGTTAATTGTATGTATATATTTGTGTGTGTGTGTGTGTGTGTGTGTGTGTGTGTGTTACCAGTAAGAAAACACAAAAGTCTAACACAGTTATTTTTACATGTTTTATACTTTTTCTGGTTTGTTTTGTTTTTTCCCAATATAGTTTCTACTTATAGCAGTAGCAGCATCTATTGGCTCTGGAAAATGAGAATCAAATTCTAGAGATTATCAAGTCTGTTTAGGATACTTTGATCATATCATCTGTTTTTGTCATTCTAAGTTATAGAAATCTTAAAATATATTTTTCTGTTTTTGATGTTTTTCAGTATTCATCCACAATGCGATACCTTTCATAGGGTTTGGCTTTTTGGATAATGCAATTATGATTGTTGCTGTAAGTTCTTTCTCTCACTGCTTCTATTTTGAGTTCATAAATTAATGTGGTCTACATTTTCCTAATAATTTTTCTATTGTGATTATAAAGTTTTAATATCATAATGAACAAGGATATTTTTTACTATATCTCAGACTATAGCTCAATTTTAATTAAGCTATATTTAATATTTATTAATCATTAAGACTTTAGGTAAAGCATTTAGACAAATAGACTTTTGGTAGAGCATTCAGACAGAACATTAAAGGCCTATATTGTCCTATTCTAATTTCAACATTCTTAATAAAGAAAAATAATATGTAAAATGTTCTGATGTTCTTTAATGGTGTTGGCAATTATCACATATATAGGTAATTATTTGATTTAGTTCCTTGTTCAATTTTCCAATGTGAAAATGTTTTAAAGCATGTTTTGATACATAGTCTAGCCTTCAGTCTAGCCATTGTTTAAAGTTTCAATTCAATTAAGTGACTGTATCTCCCTTTTGCCTTGTTCCATTGTAGTGTTAAAAAAAATTCCCCTTTGTTGTGGTATTTTAATGTAAGGGTGCTCCTTAAACCTGTTTAAGCTCAGAGATGGCTGACTTACCTTTCTTACTACTATATAAGGCCTGCTAATGGATACCAATATTAGGTTCATATTCTAAAGTCAGAAGTAGATCCATAATTAAAATGCAAGTCTTCAAAAACTGCCCAGTGCTCTGTTTTCAAGAACATACCAAGTGTTAGCTACAGCTTATGAATTTATCATAATGGGGTTTTCATTACAATTAGATTTGATTTACATTAATTGTTTAAATAATCTAGCCAACTCAGATTTTAGTAGTTTCCGAGAAGGCAGTGTGGTTCTAAATAGTTGAATAAGTTTCTCACATTCACAGATACATAAATTGGCCAGTTTTATTCTTATATACATATTATGAAAATGCCATAATCAGTCAAAAAACTATTCACTCCTCTTATTTTGTCCAAGTAAAATAGATTGATCACAGTCCAGTTATTATGGCAATTATCAACTTTCAATACATATTTTTAGAATACCTTATGTGAAGTCATTCTTTTCAGATATTAGCATTAGATTGAAGGTAATAGATCTTCAGTACATTTAGTGGGAGGAGAAAAAAATATCATATACTTTGAATACCAGTTTATGAGTTCCCAGGTGGGGTCTTTATTTAAACTTGTTTGAGAAAATCGAAGTGCTTCACAACTAGAAACTTTTCTCAGTTAGGACTTAGAGAGTTTGTTGTCAGTTTCACTGACTCTAACTTTTAAAAACATTTTGTAAATGATAGCTAAAGTGTAGGAGACTACTGAAAAAGTGGAATGACCTTAGGATTGTTGAATGTGAGGAAAATATACATGAGAGATGCAGGTTTTCTTTTTGGTGTTTTGGAGATCACGTGTACTACAAATGGACATAAATAGAAGATTTGGTTTCAAAGTAGGAATTTTAAAAGTAATTTACATTGTATAGATTATAAAATTTATGTAAACATGGTTTATTCAAGAATGGTTTTGTTTGCTATATAGTCTAGCCTTATGTCCAGATTGATGGGGATCAGCTACCAAACCAAACACCCACATTCTAGAGTCAAATTATTGTAGTAATTTGTAGTTCACTATTTGGTGTTCCCCAGGTCTGTGCCTCATTGTTAGTATAACTAAGAGTGCACTATTTTTCCAGGCCTGAGATGGCTGACTCCAAATTAGTAATACCTGTTATTCTGTTTCTATTGAAATCCAGTTTCAGGGGCTTATGGGCCATTTTGTTTATTTTTTCTTATTTTTTTCCCCAGCACATCCAGAACACAGAAAATCAGTTTTTATTTAAATAATACTGAAATAAATGTTTAAGCCACTGACTTCAAGTTAAGAGTAGTAGGTGTGGCAAAAATATTATCCTGTGATAGCTGCAAACTCATTCAGAGACAATAAAATTTTCCAGTGAGGCTTCGTTATATAGAATGCTGAGACTAAAACATATAAATAATGTAACTGTAGAATCTATGAAAGGGGAAATAAGTGATTATTATCTTAAGAATGTTTTTCATCTTTTAATTAAAAAAATACTGATCAACCCCTCTCATTGTGGGACAGCTATGACTGTTTTAAGATAGTAAGTTGAGGAGATAGTTGATTCTTCTTTTTTTTTATACCATAGACATTTGATGTTTTCCTCCTTCCTGTTAGGTGTACTTTCCCACCCTAGTTGTAGTCGTAAAAACAAATTCAAACAAAAACAAAGAGGTGTGTAACCTCTTGTAATAGATTTGGCCTTTATATTGGTTGGTGTTCATATTAAGCCTTTTGTTTCATAGTTTAAAAAATATTTTTATATTATTGGATTGCTTTTTATAACTTATATTTTAGGGTTAGTTTTGGGTTACTTTACTTACAGTTTAATTGGATAGAATTTATTAGAATTCTAGAGTAGATTAATTGTATTAAGGATAATGAACCAGGTATAACTTTAAGACAACTATTAGTATTCGGTTTATTTATAATTTCTACCTCACCTATTAACACAAAATTTGATGTAACTATGGGACACAGTAAAGAAGTGGATAGTCCATTGCCCCCAAACCATCTTTGACTTTATATGGGGCTTTTCCTGCTGTTAGAAGGACCTTCAGCTGTGTTACATTCAACCAAATGATTAAGCACTTAACTATTTTTTAAATGTATGTATTGCAAGAGATTCTTCTTTGGCCACTGCCAGCGATTCATTGCTGTTAAAGATGCCATATTTATTAGACTGTTGTTATCAGGTGCCTCTCTTCTATATTGGTGCTCCAGTTTTTTTGCATTCAGATATGATGATACATATGTTTATTCTTTTTCTCTGCCTGTTTTTACCTTTTCTTCCTCTTTATTTCTTCTTCAGAAATCTGTTTCTTGGGGTATATTTACAACCTTGTCATTTGAACTTTGTGCATCAGGACAAAAGACTTTTGAACTTCAGTGCATCAGACTGTTGGGTCCATATTCGACAAGAATTATATCTTAAAGTGATGCAGCCAAAAGCTCTAGGGGAAAGAAACTTGAGGAAACCTCTTTTCAGTTTTGTAAATAATTGATGAGTAATGCATTATTTCTACGTAAAATACAGGGCGTTTTTTTCCCTCCACAAATATCATTGAGATTTGAAGCATTTTTTAGAAATGTTCAAGCATCAGTATTCAAGAGAACTCTTGAAAATTAAGTCTTCTAATGGCAGCATTGCTCAGGGATTAGAATTGAATTAGCACAATAGATCCTAGGATTTCTTCTTTATTCTGTTAGAATAGTTTAATTGTCTTCACTTCAGTTCCTCCTCTTTAAAATGAAAGTAAAATATGAGCCCCTCTTTTCTTCAGAGGAATGATGATATACATATAGAAAGTCTTAAACTCTGTCATTAAATTCAGTGGCGATACGATGGGGCTTTGTTTTGAGTGTAGATCTATTGTACTAAATGCCGTTGCTGCTTATAAATTGAATGTATAGTTTCACTACTTAATGGTTCAAGAGCTAAGTGTTATAAGGATAATTTTATAAACCCCAATTTCCCTAGAAACTGGTTTAGTCTCCTTTTAATCTTTTGATAGAGTAAATAACAATAGTATAGATGTATAGTTCAGAATTTAAAATCAATGTGAGTCGGTCTTGTTTTCAAAGAGCTTTAAAGCATTTTTCTCTGTGGTAGAAAAATAGAAATTCTAGATTTTTAATGATGAACTATATTTCTACATGTGTTGCTAATTTTATTTTTAGAAGCCTAATTTGAATGAATAAAATGTTATTGATGTTATTTCTGTATGAATGCATATATTTAATAATTTAATGAATTACTATATTATATGTGCATATATGATGTATGTAATTTTGCAGCACTAACATGTTGATTTAACTTGTATCTGTTTTTATTAATGCTTTGCTATTCTTTTATAGTCACTTCAGCTTTAATTTTTAAGATTAATTTTTTATCATATTTCAGGGAACCCATATTGAAATGTCTATTGGAATTATTTTGGGAATTTCAACTATGGCAGGTATTTAACAGTAGTAAATGTTATTATTTCATTGTACACTTATAAAACATTTCAGTAGATTAAGTTTAGAGGAGGGTAATTTATTTGAATGAGTTTACTCATTGAGATATCTGTTAATTTTCTTCATCCTATTCTTCTGATTCTTAGTTTTGTACATGTAGCACTTTTTCTGAAAATTTTAGGTACTTTATATTATTAGTTATTGGATAACAATACTCTGCTATATTGATTTCGTTAAGACAAGATTTTCTGGCAATTCAGTGTTACCCCTAAACATTTCTACCCTTGGTCTCTTTTATTTATTTATTTATTTATTTATTTATTTAGAGACGGGGTCTCACTCTGTCACCCAGGCTGCAGTTCAGTGGTGCAATCTCAGCTCACTGCAACCTCCACCTCCAGGTTCAAGGGATTCTCCTATCTCAGCCTCATGAGTAGCTGGGACTACTGGCGCCTGCCATCATTCCTGGCTAATTTTTGTATTTTTAGTAGAGACGGGGTTTCACCATGTTGGCCAGGATGGTCTTGAATGCCTGACCTCGTGATCTGCCCGCCTCGGCCTCCCAAAGTGCTAGGATTACAGATGTGAGCCACCACGCCCAGCCTATTATTTATTTTTTATTTATTTATTTTTGAGTTGGGTAGAATTTTTTTTTTCTTGAGTTGGGTAGAAAAATCAAAGAAGGAAATACAGGATTAAACATCTGTCTTCTCTGTCCCATTTACCACTCTATTCTTCACAGAGGTAAAATTTGGGAAGAGTTCTATGTTGTATTTATTGTAGAAAGCATTAGGTAAATGAGTTAATGAAAGAAACATATTTTTCTCCTTGACTTTCTTGAATTTCATAGCTGTACATGCAACTTTACCAATTCCTTTAAATATTATATGAAAGATACTACAAAATATTCTACAATTAATATTGAAACCAAAATGGAAATTGGCTGCCATAACAAAAAAACCTACTACTTAATGGAGGTAGAATAGCATAATTTCAAAATTGTGTTCTATTTCAAAACCTTGAGAGTAAGAGCTGTCCAATGAGTTACTTTGGATATGGTTGCTGTTGTTTGAGAAATATGAGAACTCTTCCAAGATCAGTGCTTTATTGATTACATAGTGATATAATTATTATTCTTTTATGTAACAATTATTTATTTTTCAAATTTTTAGCTGCTGCTTTGGGAAATCTTGTGTCAGATCTAGCTGGACTTGGGTAGGTTCATTCACTTATTCATTTGTATATTCTGTACTTGCTGTCTTTCTGTTCCCCACTCTTCTTTAATTGAGAAGCATAACAAAAGAATATTTCATTTTTCTTTGTTTTCTAGAATTAAAATTTCAAATTTACTTTTTCTAAACTAATAGTACTAAATCTTTGGTATCCATCAAATATAGATGCCTGGGTGATATCCCAGTTATACATTATTAGTGTCTCTGGAGAGGGAGCCCTGGCAGTTGTGTTTAGTAATTTTCATGAGTGGTTCTGATGTATGCAAAAGTTTATTCTAAATTTACCATAATGTAAGCAAAATGGAATTTGTGTTTACTGAAGTATTTATATGTATTTTATAGACATCTCCAAGGGTAAGACAGGAGTAAAAGGAAGAACCTCTCTCATTATTCCACCTCACCCTACTCCCAGAAAACCCAAAGAGAAGGGATATGGCTCGAATTTGAGGATACTGACTAGACATGTTTTCTAGAGGGGGGAACTTTCAAAGGAAATAATGGCCAAAGCATATATGGGTTTGGCTGTTTTTTGCTCTCTTTACTTTATGTGGCAGGAATAATGAAACAAACTAAGGACATCTATTTAGAAAAGGCCAGCTTTCTCTCTCTCTTTACATTCTTGTTCCAAGTAGCAGATGGCCTGAGTTGCTTCCTGAGCTTGGGGAAGCCTGGGGGAGTATAAATTAGACTAAGTGGACATTATTATGATAAATATGCTCTGTCTTGCTCTGTCTTTGATTTTGTCTCTTCTTTCCTTGACTCATTTGAGTGTTACAATTTCAGATTTGAATTTTTTCTTAGAAGTTTACTTAGCCCTATAATCTAGGCAAAGCAGCTTTTTAAGTGATCTAACCTTAACCTTTTATATTAGACTTCTGCACTGGAGTTTGGGGCCAAAGCCACAGTTAAAAACAAAGTTTCTTTGTTTTAGGACCATGGCAAGAATTTTATATTCTTCGAATTCCTGGCATAAATGTATCATGATATCATCTCTTAAACATTCTATTCCCAGTTTCCAACATTAAAGTAAATAATGAGAATATTACAGTCATTGTATAGCTTTCTGATATATTTAATAGAACCAAATGATCTAAGAGATTTTAAAGCCATTTAGCTATATATTGCATCATAAAACAATTGTTTTTGTTTAGAGATGAAGATTTTTCTGGAAGTCTTTGTATTTAAAAACTATTTCTCTTCTCTCTTTTGGGGGGTATCATTCAATAACAAATACCACATTTTAGGCATTCTCAGATGCATTTTAACGTATCTGATATCAGGATCCATCTTATTGTTGGTAGTATACATAGTTTAATTAGCAATATTTTTTCTTTCTTACAGTTCATAAAGTAAGGATGTATCCAATAAATGATGGCAACTTAGAATTGATAAAATACTTGAGATTGGCCTGACAGTTCTAAGGTGTTTTTGTTAGTTTACCAATCTGAGGAATTTTGGAAACTTTTGCTGTCTGATAAGTTACTAATTTGTATCATATGTTAAAGTGCTTTGCTTTGAGTTTGGAATAATTGCAGAAATTCTAATTATCTGTACAAATTGTTACATACCTTGAATTGTTTTTAAAAATAATAATAGAGAATACTTGCTCTGTCATTAATTTTCCTTTGTGTTAAATATGTTAATAAAATATTTTTAAACAATATATGCAATAAAAATTAAAAGTTGTAAAGAATGTTTATGTCATTTCTAGAGTACAAGTGCAAATGTAAAATTATCTTGTTTCTCCTTGTAGTAATTAGTTTACTATATGAGGACATTTGCATGTCTTTTTAAAAACCTATATTTTGTCCTCATGTCTTTGTTTTGTTTTGTTTGCTTTTGTAAAGGCTTTATTGAAACATAACCTATATATCATATTGTCTTGTTTCTTCAAAGACTTGCAGGCTACGTTGAAGCATTGGCTTCCAGGTTAGGCCTGTCAATTCCTGATCTCACACCAAAGCAAGTTGACATGTGGCAAACACGTCTTAGTACACATTTGGTAAGTAATTTACATGGTTTATGATAATGAGTTGGGTAGCCAGAGCAAGATTCTGTATAGTTCAGGCCCTTGAGAAATTTGAGACTAAAATTGGTTTGAATGGAGTTTTTAACAAAAATTGTCTAGACGTTGGCAGTTTTCAGAAGAACAGTAATTTGTGTTATTAACTCCTTATTTTTTGTAGGTATACTTAATTTTTAAAAAATATTTTGTAATTCACTTAGTATTAGGGAGTATCTCTTATAGGTTGGGGTCTAAAGAACATAAAACGAATAATAAACTGTGGTTATCCTTGAGGAACTTGTTTAGGTGGAAAACCAAACATATAAACAAATTATAATTTGGTATGACATATGCAGTAATGAATTATGTACAAGATATAACCATGATACAGGTAAGGGAATTAACACTGTGGGGAGTAACTTCTTTTGGTGGGGAGATTTCTTGGTTATTATTAGATCTAAGCCGATTTTTGAATTATAGATGAGACATTTACTAGATGAATAAGAGGAGTTCCAAGCATACTGACTAGCAATTAGAAGAGGATGATAAAAAAAGGGTATATTTAGGTAAATACAAGAACCGACTTTAGGAATATAATATATAGTAGCTGTAGGTATAAGCAGCAGCAGGAGACAACATTGGAGAAGTAAGCAGGGATCAGACAGGAAAGCTATTGTATGTGAATGCTAAGGAGCTTGAGCCTCTTACCTAAGTGATGGAGAGCCAGGGGAGTTTTAAGTAAGAAGTAAACTGGATGGATCATGATGCCATCAATAAAATCAAGAAAAAAAGGAGGAGGAATAAGCTTGTAAGGGAAGATAATGAGTTCTATTTTGGACGCATTGAATTTGAGATACTAATAGGACATTTGAGTGGTGACACCTAGTAGGCATTTAGGTTAGAGTCAAGAGTTAGATAGGTCAGAGTTAGTGATAATGGGTATTGTCACTCCTTCATTCAACAAATACTTATTGTTTACGTATTATATGCCAAGTAGAGATACAGGAGTTTTGAATACATTGGTTAACAAAATAAGATCTTATTTCTGATAGATCTTACATTCAAGCAGTGAGGAGACAGACAATAAACAATCTGATAAATAAAAATATTTAGCATATTAGAAGTTTATATGTGTTATGAGAATAAAAAGGGAAAACAGAGCGAGGTAGAAGAGGCTAGGAGTGCTAGGATGGAAGCAGACTGCAATATTCAATAGGAGAGTCACTGTAGGCCTCACTGAAAAGGTAGATGATTGTTCAAACCATGGGAGAAGATGAGATTTCATAGGAGAGTGGTTCTCAAAATGTGGTGCCAGCATCAGCAGGATCAACATTACCTGGTAACTTCTTAGAAATGCAAACACTCAGTCTTCATCTTAGACCTATCTATTATTGTGTAAATTATTGCAGCTGGATGGGGTGGCTCATGCTTGTAATCCCAGCACTTTGGGAGGCCGAGGCGGGTGGATCACCTGAGGTCAGGAGTTTGAGACCAGTCTGATCAGCATGGTGAAACCCTGTCTCTATTGAAAATACAAAAATTAGCTGGGCGTGGTGGCAGGCGCCTGTAATCCCAGCTTACTCAGGAGGCAGAGGCAGGAGAATTGCTTGAACTTGGGAGGCAGAGGTTGCAGTGAGCCGAGATCAAGCCATTGCACTCCAGCCTGGGTGACAGAGTGAGACTCCATCTCAAAAAAAAAAAAAAAAAAAAAAACAAAAACATGCAAATTCAGCAGCTTAAAACAACATATATTTGTTATCTCTCATTTTCTGTGGGTCAGATCAGGAATAGCTTAAATGGGTCCTCTGGAAGGCTGCAATCATGTCCAGCTAGGACTTCGTTCCTGTCTAGAAGCTCAATTGGTGATGAATCCACTTCCAGGCTCACCCAGGTCTTTGGCAAAATTAATTTTTTTGTGGCTGTGAGGGACCTAACCTCTGGCTTGCTGTTGCACTCTCATGTCCTGGAGGCCTCCCTCCATCTAGAGCAAGCTTGTGCAACTCGCTTTTGGTAATCCAAAAGTTTACCACAAATTGGTAAACTTTCTTAAAACATTATGAGATTTTTTCTGTGATTTTTTTTAAGCTTATCAGCTATCGTTAGTGTTAGTGTATTTTATGTGTGGCCCAAGAAAATTCTTCTTCTTCCAATGTGGCCCAGGGAAGCCAAAAGATTGGACACCCCGATCTACGGGTCACCTGCAGTTCTTTGCCATGTGGCCCTCTCAGTAGACCCTCTCACAACATGGCAGCCTGCATCTTCAGAGCCAGCAAGGGAGAAAGGGAATGAGTCTGCTGGCAGGATGGCAAGATGGAGCCTTATGTAATGTAATATAATCACAGGAGTAACACCCCATCACCTTTCCTATTACTCAAAGCAAGTTAGAGCATCCTACCTATGCTCAAGGGGAGGAGATTATGCAAAGACTTAAATACCAGAAGGAAGGTATCATGGAGGCCGCCTTAAAATGTGCCTGCTACAGATTCACAAAATGAAAAGTTCTGGAGACGGAACCCAGCAATTTGTGTTTTAATTCTGTTGTACATTAAAATTTGAGAACTGTTGTTCCAGAGAAAATGTGCAGAATTAAAGAACCCTAGAAAATACCTAAGAGCTCATAGTCTTATGGGAGCTATCAAGGACGAAGTTTTAAGAAGTAATGAATGATAACCAATTCCTCTTGATATAAAGAAATCAAATAAAATTTCTGAAAATTTTTTTTTGTTTTTGGATTTGGTATGTAGTTGCTCATTGATAATCATTTCTGAGCAATTTCTATGGACTGATGGAAGAAGAAAAATCAAATGACAATGAATTGAAACACTAACGGGAGGTGAAGAAGAAGAATAAAATATAAAATTAATGTTAAGTTAGATGGAATTTATTTTAATGAAGATATTGAATGTTTTGGAAGTAAACAATTTTTACCTGCAAAATATTCATACAGAGTACAAAAACATACACATAGGTAATATAGAGTTAAATTCATCACTAATCACTTTAAATCACTTTAAATCTGCAATAATTACTACCCTTTAAAATATGAGTAGTAGAAGGATCACAACTATACCAGGGAAGTGTTTGCTTTTCAATCAAAATGTAGGAAGAGTGTGGAGAAACAAAATGAGGACCTATTTGCTTGTTGTAATTTTTACTTTATAAAGGTTGAAAAGTCTTTTAAGAAAGTAGAATGTTAATTTTGGGCTTTTCCTTTTAGTTTACATGTGTCCATATCTTACAATTTGTAAGTAAAGTGAGACTAGCCCCTGATACCAGCTGGAGTTTTGAGGGAATAAGGATATTCTAACATTCTAGCAATTTGTCTTAAAAATTTTAGCATTAAAGTTGGGATCAGAAGTTTATTTTCCTGGGGCATAATAATTGTTTTCTTTCTGTATTAAAAGCAGGTTCATTTTCTCTTCTCTATGACAAAAGCATCAGATTACTAAACTAGTATTACTATATTGAGTGTGTGTGTGTCTGCGTGTGTATTGTGATAAACCCCTCACTGGTTTATGGCAACAGTGATTCTGTTCCTTAGTTGTTGACTCTGCTTGTTTTTAGAATCAAATCTTCTACTCTGTAACATAACATTTTGATTCTATACAGCCTGAAGTATTTGAAGTTAGTGACCAGCCATCTACTCATGACAAAAGCTAACTCTGAAATTTACCCATGATAGAATAAATACAGATACACATGCAGGTTCCAGTTGACACAGGTGTATTTTAAAACCTCACTTGTAATTTGGTTGTTTGAAATTCAAAAAATATTTTCTTATAAAACAGTATTACAGATGGGACTCAAGTTCTACAATTAGCCCCAGTGTAGTTAACTATGGGGCCTAGAGTATTGTAAGACATAATGATAATGTATAAATAAATGTTTTCACAATGGAAAAATTTGTTTCAGGTCCTGGATCAGGGAGTGAGAAAAGTATATCACTTTTTTTCCTCTTCTCCACCCTATTGACATTATATCTCTTGAGATAATTGGGTCAGAAATCACTGACTGGTATTCCTAAAGTGAGGGGCAAGGAAAGCCTTGGTTGCAAGAGGAATTTAACAGAATGGGTGGGAAGTGAAAGTGGGGCCTATTGGCAATGGTTATTTTCTGTATATGGGAAAGTCAGGAGTCTGAAATAGAATATAATGATTTCTCTATGCATATATTCAAATGAGTAAATATGTTAAAGTCAAAAAACAAGAAGCTAGGATTAACTTTATCAGCATGTGGAATGAAGAAAATTTCTTCTTGTTAAAACTCTGCATGAATGATACCTTTTAAAGTTTTGGCATAACGAAAATAACAGTTTTGACTATTAATATCAAGCAGTGGTCATACTACTAATACCACTACCACCACCAAAAGCCTCAAAATAAGAGTTGAAAAATTTTTATGCAAGCTATTGTCAAAATATTAATGTCTACTATTAAATTTGTTAGAAAAACTGTAGGATGTGGGCTGGGCGGGGTGGCTCACACCTGTAATTCCAGCACTTTGGGAGGCCGAGGCGGGTGGATCATGAGGTCAGGAGATCGAGACCATCCTGGCTAATACAGTGAAACCCCGGCTCTACTAAAAATACAAAAAATTAGCCGGGCGTGGTGGTGGGCACCTGTGGTCCCAGCTACTCAGGAGGCTGAGGCAGGAGAATGGCATGAACCCAGGAGACGGAGCTTGCAGTGAGTCGAGATTACATCACTGCACTCCAACCTGGGCCACAGAGAGAGACTCCGTCTCAAAAAAAAAACAAACAAAAAAAAAACTGTAGGATATGATAGCTAAATAGACAATGTATAAGAGAAAACATTTCATTCAAGACTAAAGATTATGTAGCTATCATAGTAACTGTAATGTTTGATAGAACTTATTTTGTCTTTCCCTGTGTACCTAACTAGAAGTTCCTGGAGGAGAGAGACAGACTGCATAAGATTAGTCCATCTCCATGGTACACCCAGTACAGAGTTTGACACATAGTAGCTTCTCAATAAATATTTGTATGAGGAAATGAAACTTAATTGAAAAGTATATAAACTTGATAGTCATCATAGGAATGCAAATTTTGAAAACCATTTACAAAAATAACAATTTTAAATTTTTATAATGATCTGGGTGTGGTGGCTCCCAGAGCCTGTAATCTCATTTGGGAGGCCAAGGTGGGAGGATTTCTTGAAGCCAGGAGTTCAAGATCAGCCTGGGCAACATAGGGAGACCCTGGCTCTACAAAAAAAAAAAATAATAAAAGTAACAAAATTATCTAGGCATAGTGGCATGTGTCTGTAGTTCTAGTTACTGGGGAGACTGAGTCAGGAGGCTCGCTTGAGCCAAAGAGTTCGGGAAGAGATCAGGAAGATGGCTTGAGCCAAGGCTGCAGTGGGTTATGATCATACCACTGCGTTCCAGCCTAGGTGACAAAGGGAGACCCTGTCTCTAAAACAAATAAAATAAATAAAAATGAAATAAAATTTTTATAATGTAGGTGAAGTTGCAGGATAATTGGTATGTGTGTCTACATTTATGTATACTGAAATTGCTATGTAAGTATGTGCAGCGTTGTCAAGGATGAATGCTTCATGAAGATGCACAAATATTAATACTGTTTGACTTTTAAACAAATCATTGGGGAAGAAATATACATGGAAATGCTTATTGTTATTTCACTTATAATGTTGAAGAAGTAGCAGTGGCTATGGCGGTAAAGAGAGATTTAAGTAGAATATAGACCCGTCAATTCAGTTGAACTTAGAAGTCTTTAAGTTTGTGTAGCAGTTTGGAAAAGAGTTTGTGAGAAAATGTGTGGCTATGCAGGGGTACGGATTGAGGAAGAAAACAAAGCTATGTTTACATAATGATTATATCTACATATAATTAGGTATACACAGGGATAAATATTGAAGAGGAATATATATGAAGGGTAGCAAATCCAAATATATTGAGAAGAGCTGGTGAGATTTTTTCTCTGCCTTCTTGTTATCAGAGATAAAGTAACTTTAAAAATGTTCTCTTTTGTTTCCTTAGGGCAAAGCTGTTGGGGTGACTATTGGCTGCATTCTAGGAATGTTTCCTTTAATTTTCTTTGGAGGAGGTGAAGAAGATGAAAAACTGGAAACGAAAAGTTAATCCTCTTAGAATACCTATAAAAAGATGTAAACTAATGTACCTCAGTAATTAAATATGCTGTCACAACATTTAGGAATTAAGACAGTAACAGTATAGATATGGGATCAAATAATTTAGCATGTATTATGGAAAACACTAACTTATTGTGGCTTGATCTTCTTAGGACATCTTTTTTAAAAAGCTGTTTAGTATCATTTTGTGTATATTGTTGAAATGCTTTTTCATCAATAGCAGTCAACATTTTATCCTTTCTTTTTATATTCATAATGTTATTTAAGTGTCATTGATGTACTGTATTGACTTGGGGTTTGCTTATTTGTTACTTAACATGTGTACATGCATGAAAGCATTTTTCGTTGTTCCCTGATAGTTACATTTCAACCTTGGGATTTTTCCAAATTACTTAAGATGTTTAATGTCAGTTAAAGATTTTTTTACCCTCTTTTTGGGAACATCAATTTTGTACTGTTATGCAGTAAACATTTATAATAATATAATTTCAGTCATTTCTTAACTGTCACATCTATTGAAAATGGATATAGATACAGGTTTTAAGTATTTTAAGTATATATTACTTATTTTAATTTTCTGACTTTACTATTTTAAGGGCCAGAGGGTTAATCACAAAGAGCAATTATGTGGTCTCCCTGCTACATGAAACCGTGTATACTAACAAGCGTACAATTTTTAGTTGATTTTTTTTAACCTTTTAGTTTCCCAGTTTTGAATAATTACATGGTGGATTCTGACTTTTGAGGGGAAGCAAATGATTATTTTAGAGTCTTTGAAATGGGGATTGTGGAATTAGATTGAACTAAGGGATTTAACATGATGCTTGGAAATTAAGAGACTAAAGCTTTTTTTAAAAAAAGGTGGAAAATAGGAACTGTCAAGAAGGTTTATGGTATAAATGATGAAGTTGAAGTGATGTTTGAAAGATTAATGAGATACAATTTATATTATTTGGTAAGGTTTTTTTTTTTCCCTCCAAAGATGTCATCTTCTCATCTGAATGGAATAAGTCTGAATACCCCATATTCATACTCCTAATCTCATTATATCTTATTTAGTGAATTTTATTTATGAATAATTTCTGTTGAAGTGAAAACTAGATATTTAATATTTTGCTTTTTTGCTACATAGTCTACTCAAAAATTACATGAGGAGAAATCCTTTTTCCCTTTGTTTTTCTTTTTTCTTCTTTTGTGGTATTTAAAGCATATTTTAGGTTGAAGTTACTTATTTCTAGTCTTGTACTTCTGGCTTAAGTATAACCATGTAAGAATTATAAATTTTAGTTTTCTGAACCCTTAAACTTTTTTAGCATGTGGTCTGTTACACATGCTAAAAAATTAGTCTTACTTGTAACAGCGTAATTAAACACATCATGGAGGAGAGAAACTTAAAATTAAAATAGTATTTTGGCTTTTGAAGTTATTTGTGTTGCTAAATAGATGCAGAGGTTTTACAGCAGTTTATTTTAAGGTTTTATTTATACATAATTACTTTGAACTCTTCAGAGTAGATATTTTTTCACAAGGCAGTTTGTCATAAATTCTCTCATGCGCTTCAGAATGCATAAGTGCCATCCTTTAATCATAGACTTTGAGGAGAGAAAGCATAAAAATATAGCATATAATCTAAAAATAAATATATAACATGCACAAATAATGTGACATTCTTACTGAATCAAATCATGATTCTAGAACTTGAGATCTTAAATAGAATTTCGGTTTGTATCTTCCATATAATAACCACACACAGATAACCACACAAAAAATCCTTTGTAAAATTTCTGATTGATAGGATTAGAGTGCTTAAATTTTTGGGGGGGGAAGGGTGGGGTAAAGTGTAAGTGCTTTCTTTTGTCCCTAACTTGTGTATTGATGGCAGTCCACTCTGTTTTCTAAAAATGTATTTTACTGTGGTGCTTAACTTCTTATTAATTAAATCCCGTATCAGAAACCTTGCCTGTGACTTTAGAAAGGGCTTTTGATTATTGTTTTTTCTTCTTGCTCTTGAAAGTAATCTGGTCCCAGGGAATTACTGGTTTAACTGAACATCTCCAGAATTATTTAAGGTGTCAAAATATATAACCTTCACATTGAAAGATAATTTTAATTTATGGGCATAATAAAAATTTGAATCATTCAGGTAATTTTCAAAAAATGGAGACCATTTGTCTTTAACTGAAGGTATATGTTTAAGATCATAGTCTACCCTAGTATGGTGCTTTGCCACAAAGTGATTTCTGAAGAATGGTTCTTTTTAAGATAATGACTTCATATGATCATTGTTTCATGTTACTTGCCACAAATAACTTTAATTTAGGTTGAAACTGGAACTGTTTGTTTCTCATATTAGCTACTTCTCTATTAGGAGCACAAGAACCATAGTTAAATGCAACATGAGCTACTTTAGTCCTGTTTGTTTAAATTTGTGTTGTCCATGTATTATGATTTATTAACTTGTTGATGCATGTAAATTGGGTGCATTTTGTTGCCATGTATGTTAAATGGTGACCAATGTTTTTACAAAGGAATTGAACAAAAAAAGTATCTTTTAAGAAATTTGGAATGTGGTTTTGATTTTGAAATTTGATTTCTTACTAATCTCAGAGGGCCTTGGTATATTCTGTTACTAAAGCAAACAGGATTAATGAATACGGATTTGTTACAAGGTGGCAGCAATGTCACTGAGATAGTGAATGGAACAATTTACCACCTCCCTGGAATCTGCACCTGAGATACAACATCAGCGTATGAGTGAAGAGTGAGCCCATAGAAAAGCTTTAGATAGACTCACATAAGTCACACTGATGGGTATTTACAGCAGATATATCCAAGCTGTTTATGTAATAGTCTCATTTACTTTATTCTTTTTCTCTAGAACATAAATTTTGAAGGTAATGGAAGTTTATCTTTTATACCAAAAGTTTGTATGAGCCATTTTGAAGTAAATCTTTCTAATTTTAGAATTATATTTTCTCGCCATCTTAAGACAGTATATTAAATATAATATAACCTTTTTCTTAGTGGCTAAGCATTATCTTTATGTATATTATTATTGTGTGGTAATGCAGTACCTTGAGAATCTAGTTTTTATAGTTTTCATTTTTTTTTCTGATCTTGCTTCTGGCAACTTTTATCTCTCTAATCTGCTTTTTTTCTCAGTTGTCTGGACTTAGAAACTGGTTAGCCTATCTTACCATAAATTATTTGGGAAATACTAAAAAATTGGCTTTGGATCCTGACTGAGATGATGATGATGATAGTAGTAGTAGTAATAATAATAGTTCCCTTTTATTAAACACTTATTTGGTCCTTTATGCACTAGTAATTTACACACATTATTGCATTTAATCACCTTAATGACAACATTAAGTTGGGGCTATTATCATTATCATCTCTATTTTCTCATAGCTAAATTGAGGCATGAAGAGGTTAGTTTGCCACTACGAATAAGTGGACTGGAATCCTATTTTGTCCAAGTATGAAGCCTGTCTTCTTAACTGCTAGGCAGTAGGGACATCAGTTGCATGGGCTTTGCAATGTCTGCTCTCTGCCTAGGTTCCTTTTTACCTCCAGATTCATGGAGTCATTTTCTTATCTATAATTTAAGAATATTGTGCTTACAATCCAAGATTCATTTAAGAAATCTTGTGTTCTTTATTACATACTATGTGCTAGGATGTTCAAGGCACTGAGTGAACAACCAGAACATCTGTACCCTCATGAAGCTTATTCTTTTGGGGTGGGTAGTAATAGGGGAAGAGAACACAGAAAAGCAAATATACTTTTTTTTGAGATGGAGTCTTGATGTCACCCAGGCTGGAGTGCAGTGGCGTGATCTTGGCTTATTGCAACCTCTGCTTCCTGGGTTCAAGTGATTCTCCTGCCTCAGCCTCCTGAGTAGCTGGGATTACAGTCACGTGCCACCGAGCCTAATTTTTTTGTATTTTTAGTAGAAACGGGGTTTCACCATGTTGGCCAGGCTGGCCTCAGACTCCTGACCTCCTGAGTAGCTGGGATTACAGGCACGTGCCACCGAGCCTAATTTTTTTGTATTTTTAGTAGAAACGGGGTTTCACCATGTTGGCCAGGCTGGCCTCAGACTCCTGACCTCAGGTGGTCCACCTGTCTCGGCCTCCCAAAGTGCTGGGATTACAGGCGTGAGCCCCTGCGCCCACCTGCAAATATACACTTAAATATTGTTTATGTCAGATGGTGGTAAGTTCTATAGAGATAAATGAAACAAGATAAAGAGGATAGAAAGTACCAGTGGTCATAAGTGAAGATGGTCAGTGAAGACCTGAAGGAAGCGAAGGTACAAACAGTACAGATATTCTGTGAAGAGAAAGTATCATGCTAGGTACTAGAAAGTTGGTGTTAAGAAAATCTCAGATATGTGAAATATGTTTCACTTTGGAATTCATTGTAAAATGTTTTCTTTTTGTTTCATATTACTAATAACTGCATTAAGCCTAAAGAGTAACAGTTAAATATTAAGATTAATACTTACTTCTTGCATGTTTACTGACAGCAGTAGGTGAAAATGGCACAGAAGTGTGGGGAAGCAACCCTAGAATTCAAAAAAGTCTGTAGATATTCCCATCAGCAAATCATTTACAGTTGACTCTTGAACAATGGAGGGATTAGGGACACCAACCCCCTGTGCTGCTGAAAATCTGAATACAACTTTTTACTCTCTCCAAACTTTACTTATAGCCTCCTATTGGCTGGAAGCCTTTCTGATAAATAAGCAGTAGATTAACACGTATTTTGTATGTTATATGTATCATATATTGTATTAAAATAAAGGTAGAAGAAAGAAAATGTTATTAAAATCATCAGGAAGAGAAAATACATTTACTATTCATTAAGTGGATCATGATAAAAGTCTTCATCCTCCTTGTCTTCATGTTGAGTAGGCTGAGGTGGAGGAGGAAGAGGAAGGATTGGTCTTGCTCTTAGTGGTAGCAGAGGTGCAAGGGGAAGCAGGAAAGGCAGGCACACTACGTGTAATTATGAAAATGCATTGTAACTTCTGTCTGATGTTTTGCTTTTTTTCATTTCTCAAAATATTTCTATATATGGTATTAATCCTTCTTCCACCATTTGCTTTAGTTTTAGTGCCTGTGTGATAGAAGGGTTCATGTTGTAAAATCAGTCTTGAATAATCAGAACACTTCTACCAGATTGTCTAATGTTGATTTGTTTTCTGGCACTGCTTCTAAATGTCTTCCTCCTCATTCTGTGGCACTGATTCAGAGGCACTCATCTCCAAAAGCTAAGCTTTTGAATTGCTTAGCTTTTGATTCACTCCAGGATTCAGATCTTGAAACTTTCTACCCTCCACCATTTATTTATTTATTTAATTTGACATATCTACAACCTCTTTCATGATTTTCTTGATTGGCTCTGTTGTAAATTCTGCGAAGTCACACACAACATCTGGTTGTTTTCCTCAGCAGGAATTTATTGTTTTGGGCTTGATGGCTTTCATGTCTTCTGTAGCAACAATGGCATCATCAGTGGTGGAATCCTTCCAGACTTTGATGATGTTCTCTTTGTTAGAGTTCTCTTGCATGGCACTGATGGTTCTTTGCATAGAGTACTGTGTGTAATGAGCCTATAGGTCCTTATGACTCCCTGATCTAGAAACTAAATTAGAGACATTGTGTTTGGGGGCAAATAGATCACTTCGATGCCTTTAGTATTGAACTCATGGAGTTCTGGGTGGGTGGCCAGGGGCATTGTCCAGTATCAAAACAACTTTAAAAGGCAGTCCTTTACTGGCAAGGTACTTCCTGACTTCAAAGACAAAACAGCAATGGAGCCAATCCAGAAAAAGGGTTCTTGTCGTCCAGGCCTTCTTGTTATACTGCCAGAAGACTGGCAGCTGGTGTTTATCTTTTCCCTTCAAGACTTGGGAGTTAACAGCTTTATAGATAAGTGCAGTCTTGATCATAAACCCAACAGCATTTGCAAAAACCCATAGCATTAGCCTGTCCCTTTCTGCCTTAAACCCTGGTGCTCACTTCTCTTCTTTACTAATAAATGTTCTTTGTGGCATATTATTATTTTTCCATAATAGGGCACTTCTGTCTGCCTTAAGAACCTGTTTTGGTAGATATGCTTTCTCCTCAATGATTTTCTTAATGGCATCTGGGAACTCATTTGCTGCCTCTTGGTCATCAGGAGCTGCCTCTTCTGTTATCTTAACATTTTTAAAGCCAAACTTCTTTCTAATATTATCAAGCCATCCTTTGCTGGCATTAAATTCTCTAGATTTAGATCCTTCACCTTCCTTTTGCTTTAAATTGTCATATAATGACCGCCTTTTCTCCAATCATATTAGAGCCTATAGGTACGTCTTTCTTGTAGCAATACTGCACCCACATAAAAGTTGCATTTTTAATACGAGATAAAAAGGTATATCACAAAAAGTGTAAGGTTTGCTGGTATAGATGCAGTAATGGCTTCATAAATTTTCTTAATTTTTTTTAACAGTGGTCCTTATGCTGGATTCATTTATCTTGAAGGATGGGCAACTACAGCTGCAGACCAGTACACATCAAGCAATTTAACTTTTTCTTGTAATGTCATGACTTTGCTCCTTGGGAGCACTTCCAGCGTCACTAGCGGGACTTCATATGGGTCCCTTGGTATTATTGCAAGGTTTATGGTTGTACTAAACATGATGAAAAATAACTGAGAACCATGAGAGATCACTTTTTACTACGATACACAATTTACTGGAGAGATGAACTGCCCATGTGGAGATGATAAACATCACATGGCATTTTAAGTGAATACAGCACTTGAGCTCACAGCAACAGCAACAGGAGGTAGCTCTGAAATTATGGTAGTAGTGCAGTATGTACTATAGTTAATCTTATCCAGTTGTAATTTAGTACTGCATCTTTATGTTTGTCTCAACTGCAAATGGCTCCAATGTATAGTCTGTGTATGCGTTAAGTTTTGATAAATTTTAACTTTTTTTTTTTTTGAGATGGAGTCTTGCTCTGTTGTCCAGGCTGGAGTGCAGTGGCACCATGCCGGCTCACTGCAACCTCTGTCTTCTGGGTTCAAGTGATTCTCCTGCCTCAGCCTCCCAAGTAGTTGGGATTACAGGCATGCATCCCCATGCCCAGCTAATTTTTGTATTTTTAGGAGAAACAGGGTTTCACCATGTTGGCCAGGCTGCTCTTGAACTCCTGACCTCAGGTGATCCGCCTGCCTCGGCCTCCTGAAGTGTTGGGATTACAGGCGTGAGCCACTGCGCCCGGCCAATTTTAACTTTTCATAATAGATTTGTATATATTTATGGTAGTAAATGATAAAATAGACTAGTGTCTACATATATTATATGAATTCATGACACACCTTTTTCTTAGTTTTTCAGTATTTCTAAGCTACATGGTGCATCTGCAAGTTTTTTAAATTGTTGCAAATTTCCAAAAAAATTTTCAATATATTTATCAAAATATGCATATAAGCGGTCCTATGCAGTTCAAACCCGTGTTTGAGAATCAACTTTATGACTTCCAGTGTCATTCTCCACCATTTCTGCAGTTTATCACATTTTGCTTCAGGCAGATTTGGTAAATCTTCAATGATAGTTCTCTAGGCCATTGTTTTGTAACATGATCAAATGCTTAATGGGAAATAGAATATGTATATGTATTCTTTGTCTACCAACTACCAAAGAAACAAATACTCCTCAGTTTGACTTGACTTAGTAAATAAACTTGTGTTGGGTTAATGGAGCTAATGGTTATTTTACTTTCTGCTGAATCTGTTCTCTAACCTTTTGCCCTGAGGATTAATATTAAGTATATTGATGTACAATTTTTAGAATGTGCCTGCCCCCTCTCTTCTTAACGTGACATTGCTTACCTAACTCTGGGCTTAATACTTTTACTATTCTCATATTTTATAAACAGAACAGTTTTGTGGTTATACTTCAAATTCTTTAGATATCATAAATCAATTATTTTAAACGTTTTGGCCTTAAGATCTTAACATTTAAGAACTTAACACTCAAGAACTTAATGCTCTGGAAAAATATTGATGTCCCCAAAGGGTGTTTTCTTTTTCTTGCTTTTAAAAAAGTTTGTATAAATTTAAGGGGTTTAAGTGCAGTTTTGTTACATGAGTATATTGCATAGCGGTGAAGCCTGGGCTTTTAATGTAACCATTACCTGATTAGTCTACATTGTACTCATTAAGTAATTTCTCATCCCTTATATGCCTGCCTTCCACCATCCCACCCTTCCAAGTCTCCAGTGTCCATCATTCCACACTCTATGTCCTTCTGTACACCTTATTTAGCTCCCACTTACAAGTGAGGACATACGGTATTTGACTTTCTGTTTCTGAGATGTTTCACTTAAGATAATGACCTCCAGCTCCATCCACATTGCTGCAAAAGGCATGATTTTATTATCTTTTATGGCTGAATACTGTCTCATATATATATAAATATAAAAAATATATATATATATATAAATGATGACACACATGCACACGCACACACACACACACTACATTTTCTTTATCCAGCTTCAGTTGATGGTCACTTAAGTCAATTCCCTATCTTTGCCATTGTGAATAGTGCTCCAATAGACATAAAAGTGTAGGTCTCTTTTTGATATAATGATTTCTTTTCCTTTGGGTATATACCCATTGGTGGGATTGCTGGATCAGACGGTAGTTCTGTTTTTTTTCCCCAAGTAACTTTTGTTTGTGAAGGTTTATATTGACTATATCAGAAATGAAAACTGACAAATTTAAAAAAATATTTACCAATCTTTTAAAATAAACCAATTTCATGCTAACAACATATTTTATGATAATTATTTTTCAAAAATAATTTAGTGAGAAGAGCAGCATTGTTAATACACGTTTTGCAAATCTTTTCAATGTCTGGCTTAATAGAAGACAGCTGGATTATCATACCTGTTTCTCCATTCAGTCTGTTTGATATGTTGTTTTGTTTGAGGTAAATGAAGAAATTCATCCTCATGGAGGTATTAAGTTGTAAAAGGGAGGAATATTTTAATAGCCTAGGCTGTAGATTTATTCTTGGACACTGTACCAATACTGAACAAGGGGTAGTATCTAAAAGGTTATTTGCAACATAGAATCTGAAGCCACATAAATGAGATTTTGCATTGAATTTCATTAGACTCCAGTGGTCTACCTTGCACTTTGAGTGAAACTTTTTCCCATGAATAATTTTGTGAAATCATGCATTTGGCACATGGAAACTATTGATTCACTGAGTTACGCACATCTTCCAAATGTTAATATTTTGCCATATAAAATGTTTAAAAATCATGTTTAATATGACCAGCAATCTCATTTTAAAAAGCCTCTTTAATACTGAGAGGCCATCAAATTCAGATGGCAGATACACATTTTCCAAAATAATTTTCACTTGAAAGCTTAAAATTTATCATTGGCAACAAATACTGTTAGTTTTTCTTGAAGTGACAGTTCACTTTGTTCATGTTTGAGGAAATGTCTGTCAAATACCCACATCTGAATTGCCTCGAGACTCACTACTCAAAACAACCTCACTAGTGCTTTTCCTCAAGACAACCATCATATTTTGGTATCCTCAGAAGTACTTCACATACAGTTCTCATTTTTTCATACAGAAAATTTAAAAGACTTAAGAGTAAAGATTTAAAATAAGTAATTTTTACTGCTTTATTAAGGACATTGAAGGAAACCACCCCTCCCCCACAACCCCGACTTACATGTGCATGGCAATGAAGAATACAATGACTACTAGTGCCTCATTTCAAAGATGCTGGTGCTTTTACCCACCATTGTTTTTGCGCCATTGGTGAATGTGTCACCATAGTTAAAAAGACATATAATGTCATAGTATATTTTGAAAATGTTTTGATTTCACAAACTCCCTAAAAAATTCAGAAGTCCGCAGACCATACCAACACACTTTGAGAACTGCTGTCCTGAACTTTCCTAATTTTATGAGGCTTAGTTGCAAGTAACAAAACCCCAAAATAACAGTCACTGAAATAAGATAGAAATGAATCTCCTATGGAAAATTACTGTGGCATGTTGTTCAGGGCTGGTATAAGGGTTATGCTCTGGAAAGTGGTGGTCAGAGGTCCAGCTTTTCGTCCTTCTGCTTCATCATGTACAGCTGTCATTCTCAACGTTACTTCATGATCTAAAATGGCTGCTTCAGTCCCAGCCATCTTATCTACATTCTGCCCAGGGGAGAAGAAACTAAAAAGAGATAAAAAGGCCTTGCGCCAACATTTTTTGTATTTCAAAAATTTATCTCAAACTGTGTATAATGGAGTAAAGACATAAGTTGAAAATGTACCTGTTACAAGGATGATATTAGTTCAAATATATACATGGATTCTCGGCAGACTGATTGAAATACTACAGAGCCGAATCTTTTAAAATACAACTACGGAAAACAAAGGGGGAAAACCTTAAAATACCACAATAAATTTACAGAAATATTACAAACCATAGGAAAATATTTCGAACACAGTAACTTCATTTTTTTAATCTGAACAAAATGGAAAGTTGGGATTGAACAAAAGCTATTATAAATTACCAACCATGTAAGTTTTGCACTTTTGCCCTTTTAAACAAGACCACAGAGATGGTTTGCCAGTACTTATTTTAGTTTTTTCCTTTCTTACAATTTTTTGTCCAAATTTCAATAATTTTCTTCTTTCCACGTTTGCAATTGTGCTAAATTTCAGCTGCAGCATCAAAATGCAGCAAGAAGCTTCTCGTTGAAAAATACTGGCAAATTCTCAGCTTGTAAACAGTAGACATTTTGATTGCCATGTTTATCTCGATAAATACTGTACAAAAGTTGCTTGCAAATATTAGAATATTTTTTCATCGCCTGGAGACTAGCTCTAAATATTATTGGTAAAGACCTGCAAACTTCCTGCAAAGCTCCTACCGTACCACTAGAACTTTTTAAAAGTTTTTTGTAGCTTGCTTTCTTCCAAATCTGCACAAGATCCATTCCTCCACCCTCCCCACCCCCCTGTTTTTCTCTGTACAAAAATAGTCCCCCAAAAGGAAGTTCAGGATCTCTCTCATAGAAGTTTTCTTGTCGGCATCGCGGTTTTTGCGTGAGTGTGAATGGGATTGGTGTTCTCTTTGGCAGCTGCCATTTGCTGTGGGTGATGGGATATATATATATAAATATATAAAAGAATATATATTTATATATAAATATATAAAAGAATATATATTTATATATAAATATATAAAAGAATATATATTTATATATAAATATATAAAAGAATATATATTTATATATAAATATATAAAAGAATATATATTTATATATAAATAAAAGAATATATATTTATATATAAATATATAAAAGAATATATATTTATATATAAATATATAAAAGAATATATATTTATATAAATATATAAAAGAATATATATTTATATATAAGTATATAAAAGAATATATAAATATATAAAAGAATATATATAAAAGAATATATATTTATATATATAAAAGAATATATATTTATATATAAATATATATAAAAGAATATATATATATATATAAAAGAATATATATATAAATATATAAAATATATATAAATATATAAAAGAATATATATTTATATTTATAAATATATATAAAAGAATATATATTTATAAATATATATAAAAGATTATTTATAAATATATATAAAAGAATATATATTTATAAATATATATAAAAGAATATATAGTTATATATATAAATATATATAAAAGAATATATATTTATATATATAAAAGAATATATATATAAATATATATAAAAGAATATATATATAAAAGAATATATATATAAATATATATAAAAGAATATATATTTATATATAAATATATATAAAAGAATATATATTTATATATAAATATATATAAAAGAATATATATAAATATATGTAAAAGAATATATATTTATATATATAAATATATATATAAGATAAAATATATATATATTTTTCCATTTTGAACGTATTGGGTTTTTTCCATGCTGTTTCCTACTCTCCTCTTTTGCACCCCTCCCATTTCCTTCGTTTTTCTTCGAAAATTTCTTCCCCCTCCAGTTCGCTGTCCGGCCCTCACATGTGCGAGAGGGGCAGTGTGTCGTTAATGGCCGTGGCGGGCACCGGGCTGCTCCTGTAGTGCTGGGACATGTGAAGTTGGCTGGGGCGGCGTGTTCCGGCACCTCGGCGCGGGTAAGGTACGTGCTGATCAGGTCCCGGAGGTCCCCGGCCTGGCAGGGCGCCCTGGAGTGGGAGGAAGAGGTAACCACAGCGGGGCTGGAGTAGGGTGCCCTACTGCGAGTAGGACGTGCTGTAGGTGGGCGAGCAGTTCTCGCAGGTCTGCGAACTGGTCATGGAGTTGTACTGCAGGGCGCCCACGTCATAGCGGTGTATGGGCTGCATCTGCGCGGCACCGTTGGCGTGGAGGCCCGGGTGCTGTGCGTAGCCCAGCTGGTCCTGCATCATGCTGTAGCTGCCATTGCTCCAGCCGTTCAGGTGCTTGTAACTGTCCATGCGCTGGTTCACGCCCACGCCCAGACCGGCGCCCACCCCGACCCTGTTGAGCCAACTTTTAAGTTGCCACATGACACATCTTGTCCATCAGACCTATATCACATGATCACACTGAGCTGAAAGAGAAACTTTAAATGTCTTCATTCTGTATGTCCAGTTGTATACCAAAAACTGGAAGAAGGGAAGGACATCTTGGGGGACAACTGGCTCTCTTATGACAATCCACCGCTTTGAATACCAAGTTTTCATGCCTCATTTTTTTTTCCCCAGTGTGGAAGATACCCATCCACAAGAGAGTGGGCTCAAAGTGACTGCATTTACTTCTAAATGTGCCATACTCTCTATAAGGTCTTAAATTAGCTCCTTGTTATACTTCATAAATGAAAAGAGTATCTTCCCCTACGTACCCAGAGTGTAGTAACAATTTCAATTCAGAAAGGGAAAGAGGCCGGGCGTGGTGGCTCACGCCTGTAATCCCAGCACTTTGGGAGGCCGAGGCGGGCGGATCACGAGGTCAGGAGATCGAGACCATCCTGGCTAACACGGTGAAACCCCGTCTCTACTAAAAATACAAAAAATTAGCCGGGCGAGGTGGCGGGCGCCTGTAGTCCCAGCTACTCGGGAGGCTGAGGCAGGAGAATGGCGTGAACCCCAGGGGGCGGAGCCTGCAGTGAGCCGGGATTGCGCCACTGCACTCCAGCCTGGGCGACAGCGAGACTCCGTCTCAACAAAAAAAAAAAAAAAAGAAAGGGAAAGAATGGGCAACACAACTCTCACTAGTTCCTACCAGTTATCAAATCCACCGCCACTATCCCCCAGCAGAAAAGCGGGATAAAATACGGGACTCATCTATTTGAAGGCAGTAGAAATCTGTCCAAGCAGGACTCTAAAAAGGAGTGAACATTTCTGAGGTGAGCTGACCTGTGGCTGCTTTTAGTTTGGGGGCACTTGTCCATTCTGGTTGCAGACCGGAGGCTGGTAATTTTGATTTTGTATTTTTTTAAAGCTTGCCTCCAGAGGACAGCAACCAAGAAAGCTTTTGGTAGAGATATGGAACAGCCTTAAACATGGGCAATTTCCACTCAGAAAATTTGCAAAGTTGTGGTGCTGTTTAGGAGAGAAAACAAAAGTAGGCAGAAAGCTTCATAAAACAAAGATTAAAAATCAGGACTTGCCAGAAGGAGGGGATCTGGAGAATATCCTAGGTGACCATTAGAAAACTCTGAGGCTAGGGGCACGTCAAATGTAGAATGAGCCTTATGCCAAGATTTGTAACTCTGCCTTGATTTATCATGATTCTTGGTTGGATTAAGTTCTAGCAGAAGACAGGTTGCCTCACTGAAGAAAGACATCACCCAAAGCCAGTAACATTAAAACATCTGGAAACCAATGGAAAATTACAAGAAATGCCAAAACCACATGGACCACGTGACCAAAAACTAAGAGAAAAAAAAGTGACATGAGAAACCAAGCCACAGACAATTCACATATTGGAGTTCACTGGCAAGAACTCTAAGATAACTATGACTAATGTGTTTGAGACAATTATGGATAAGATAATAGGCAAAGACTTTGATCAGAAAAGTAATCTATAAAAATCAAATGGATATTCTAGAACTGAATACAGTGTCTGGAGTTGAGAACACAGTAGGTGGATGTAATAGTGGATTTGTGTAACAAAAGACAAGATTAGTGAACTACAAGACAGGTCAGTAGAAAAAAATACATACTGAAGCATGTATTGGAGGCATGTAAACACAATGAAAAGCCTTTAGAAAGATAATTGGAGTCTTGGAATAGAATGGGGCCAAAGTAACATTTGACCAAGCTCAGAAAACTAAAGCAGGACAAAGAAAAATAGAATCACACTTAGGCACATCAAAGTAAACCAACTAAAAAGTAAAGACAGAAAACATCTTAAAGACAGCCATCTCCCACAGAAACAATGGAAACCAAAAAGACTAGAATAATACTTTTAAAGTGCTTACAGAAAGTAGCTGCTGATCTAGAAATTCATACCCTGCAAAAAATATCCTTCAAAAATGAAGGTGAAATGGGGCTGGGTGCAGTGGCTCACGCCTGTAATCCCAGCACCATGCCCGGCTAATTCTTTTGATTTTTAGTAGAAATGAGGTCTCACTGTGTTGCCCAGGTTGGTCTTGAATTCCTGAGCAAAAAAGATTCTCCTGCCTCAGCGTCCCAAATTGCTGAGATGACAGCTGTGAGCCACTGTGCCCATTTTGTTTTTGGTTTGTTTGTTTTTTAATTTGGCTCTTTTAGTTGATTTTCATGGGAGCATTGATCTAGAGCAAGTTAGTACATCAGTAGTTTCCAACCTCGAGATGATTGTGTCCCCTCCCCAGGGGACCTTTGGCAATATCTGGAGACATTTTTGACTGTCATAGATTGGGGTCAGTGAGGATACTACTGGCATCTAGTGAGTCAAGACTAGGGATGCTGGTTAACATCTGTAACAGGATAGCCCTCTGTAACAAAGAATTATCTTTCCCCAAATGTCATTAGTATCAAGATTGAGACATCCTGCATTATAAAGTTTTGATTTTAGTATTTTTTTAAAAAGCTCTCTGATTTCAGATATTTTTCTGATTTTACATTTAAAAGACCTTAAATGGCACACAAACGGTATAAATTCAAGTTGATGAACATTGAGTTCAATGTGAGTTAACTGAAGAGAATAGCCATTGGATTCTTATGTCACCCCTATTTATCTCTCTAGAGATATATGGAGGATAACTTGGTGGACAAAATACAGTTAGAAGCTGAGAATATTGGTCTCAATTTCAGCTGAGAATTTGAGATGAAACATGTATGCTTGGAAGTCATTTATACACAGCTGTTAGTTGAAGCTATTGTAATGTATAAGTCTTCTCATTTGTAAAGCACAAGAGAGCAGGGCCAAGGACAGAACTCTTAAGGGCAGGGGAAGGAGGGAAGACCATTGGTGTTTAAGGACTCCATTCCTCCATATGATCAACTCAATAGATGCAAAAAATAAATTGACAAAATGTAACACAATAATCAAACATCCATACATGATAGAAACTTCCAGCAAACTAGAACTAGAAACGAACGTTCACATCCTAATAAAGTGCATCTGTGAAAACTTACAGCAAGCATCATACTTAAAGTGAAAGACTGAAATGCTTTCTCTCTAAGATCAGAAACAAGGTGAGGGTGTATGCTCTTACCACTTCTAGCCAGTGTAATAAGGCTAAATAAATAAATGAGTAATATCCAGATTAGAAAGGAAGAGATGTCTTAATTTGCAGATGACACAATTATCTATGTAGAAAATCCTAATTAATCTACCAAAAAGCTACCAGTACCAATACATGTTTCTCAAGGTGGCAGAATATAAGATCAATTTGCCAAAATCAGTTGTATTTTTATATAGAAGCAGTGAGCAATCAGAAATTGCAATTTAAAAATAATGTAAAAAATAATAAATATTTAAGGATAACCTGCCAAAAGACATGTGAGACCTGTTCGCTGAAAACTAGTAAACACTGCTGGGATAAATAAAATCTAAATAAATAGACATATTGTATTTATATATTAGAAGATTCAACATTGTTAAGATATAATTTATTCTCAAATTCAACTATATATATTCAATACGATTTCAATAGAAATCCTAGCAGGCTTTTAAAAGAAATTACCAAATTTATATGAAAATGTAAAGAACCTAGAATAGCCAAAACAATACTGAAAAAAGAGCTAAATGGAGGATTTACACTATCTGATTTCAAGATCTATTAAAAAGCTACAGTAATCACAGTATAAAGAAAGGTAAACAGAGACAAATGGAACAAAATTTGTCCAGAAATAGACCTACAGAATTGATTTTCAACAAAGGTGCCAGGGCAATTCAATGGGAAAATGATAATATTAACAATAAATGGTGATGGAGCAAATGGATATCCATATAAACAAATAGTGAAAACAAAGAACAATAACAAAAAACAAATGAACTTCAATCCTTATTTCACACCAGCATTCAAAAAGTACTTCAAGATAAATCATAGTCCTAAATATAAGAGGTAACGTATAAAACTTCTTGAAGAAAACGTAGGAGAAAATCTCAGTGACCTTGGCTTGGCACGTGTTTCTTAAACTGGACACAAAAAGCAAGAATTATTAAAGAAAAATAAAATGGATATCATCAAAATAAAAAATGTTTGCCTTTCCAAAGATACCGTTATGAAAATGAAAATATAAACTACAAAATGGGAAAAATAGTTGGAAAACATATATCCAAGAAGGGACTTCTACCTAGAATACATAAAACTCCAATAATAACAACAAATAATTATAATAATAAATGTAATAATATAAAAAGTATACAGATGATTTGAAAAGTCACTTAAATAAGATATATGAATGGCAAATTAGTATATGAAAATATGCTCAACATAAATAGTAATGAAAATATGAATTAAAACCATACCCACTAGAATGGCTAAAACTGAATAGCTAAAATTGAAAAAACCGATACCAAGAATTGACAAAGATTTGGGACAACTGGAACGTATACTGATGGTAGGGGATGTAAAATGGTACAACCACTTTGGAAAACAGGTTACCAGTTTCATAAAAAGTTAAACATACACTTATGACTGAGCCATTCCACTTCAAGGTATTTATGCAAGGTATATTTCATAATACCTTGAAATGAAAAGAATGTATATGTCCACACGAAGACTTGTGCACTAAAGTTCATAGCAACTTTATTGCCCCCTAATAGACTACAAAACCTAAATGTCCATCAACAGGAATATGGATAAACAAATCATGGTCTATCTATACAACATAATACAAGTTAGCAGTAGAAATAAACTGTTGATACACACACAACTTGGATGGATCTAAAACTAATTCTGCTGACAGAAACCAGACAAAAAGAGTACACATTGTATGGTTCCATGTATATAAAATTCTAGAAAATGCAAACTAGTCTATAGTGATAGAAAACATATCTGGTTGTCTCAGGATGGTGAAAGGGCAAGGAGGGCATAAAGGCAGGGATTATAAAGGGGCCATAAGGAAAGTCTTGGGGGTGAGGAATGCATTTATTATCTTTTTTTTTTTTTTTTTTTGAGATGGAGTCTTGCTCTGTTGCCCAGGCTGGAGTACAGTGGTCTGATCTCGGCTCACTGCAACCTCCACCTCCTGGGTTCTAGCAATTCTCCTGCCTCAGCCTCCTGAGTAGCTGGGACTACAGGCGTGCACCACCATGCCTGGCTAATTTTTTGTATTTTAGTAGAGACAGGGTTTCACTGTGTTGCCCAGGCTGATCTCGAACTCCTGAGCTCAGCCAATCCACCTGCCTTGGCCTCCCAAACTGCTAGGATTACAGGCATGAGCCACTGTGTCTGGCCTCCCCGCATTTATTATCTTGATTGTGATAACAGGTTCACAGGTGTTTACCTATGCCAGAACTTGCCAAATTTTAGCAGTTTAAATTTTTGCAATTAAACCATATAAAAAATACCCCTAAAAAAGAAAAAAATGGGAAAACATTAAAAATCGTTACTGCTATAAGATCACCACGCATCCTCTGGGTAGGAAATAATTTCTAACTCTTCTTTATCCCCAAATCACTTTTTACTTTCATTATAGTACTTATCAGATGTCTCAGTTATCCATTATCCCAAAACTTAGTGGCTGAAAACAGTAATTTGCTATTTCTCACATTTTTGGGGTCAGCTGGGCAATTTCTCTGCTGGTCTAGCCTGAGCTCACTCAGGGGGCTGCAGCCAGCTGGTGAGTTCGCAGAAGCTGGAGGGTTTAACATGGCTTTGGCATAGATGGCTTGAAGGCGGCGACTCTCACTACATGGTCTTTCATCATTTTGTAGTCTAACTGAATATTTTTTTTCAGTGTCCATAAATCAAGTTTTATTGGAATACAGCCACATCCATTTATTTACTTTTTTAGTGAGATATGATTGTCAGACAAATAAAGCTATATATATTCAACGTATACATCTTGATGCATTGGAGGATAAGTATACACCTGTGAAACCATCACCATATTCAGTGCCCTAAACTTAACCATCACCTCTTAGGGGACTCCTGTATTAGGGTCCTCTGTAGGGGCAAAACTTACAGGATATATGTATATATGAAAGGAAGTTTATTAAGGAGAATTGACTCACATGATCACAAGGTGAAGTCCCACGATAGGCCATTTTGCAAATTGAGGACGAAGGAAGCCAGCAGTGGCAGTCTGAGTCCCAAAACCTCAAAAGTAGGGAAGCTGACAGTGCAGCCTCCAGTCTGTGGCTGAAGGCCCGAGAGGCCCTGGCAAACCACTGTTGTAAGTCCAAGAATCCAAAGGCTGAGGAACTTGGAGTCTGATGTTCAGGGGCAGGAAGCATCCAGCATGGGAGAGAGATGAAGACTGGAAGACTCAGCAAGTCAGCTTGCTCCACCTTCTTCTGCCTGCTTTTTCTAGCTGCACTGGCAGCCAATTGGATGGTGCCCACTCACATTGTGGGTGGGTCTTCCTGAGGGTGGGTCTTCCCCTCCCAGTCCACTAACTCAAATGTTAGTCTGTTCTGGCAACACCCAGCAACAACCAGATACACCCAGAAACAATACTTTGCATCCTTCAACCCAATCAAGATGACAATGTTAACCATCACACCTTGTACACTATTGGTGGGAATGTAAATTGGTACAGTCACTATGGAAAACAGTATGGTAGTTCCTCAAAAGATTAAAAATAGAACTACCAAATCATCCAACAAACCTGCTACTGGGTATATACCCAAAAAAAATTGAAATCAGGATTTCAAAGAGATGTCTGCATTCTCGTGTTCATTGTCCCATTATTCACAATAGCAAAGACATAGAAAGAACCTAAATGTCCAGATGAATGGATAAAGAAAATGTACATACAATGAAATACTATTTAGCTTTAAACGAGATGAGAATCCTGCCATTTGCTACGTCATGGATGAATGTGGAAGACATGCTAAATGAAATAAGCCAGGCCAAGTGCGGTGGCTCATGCCTGTAATCCCAGCACTTCGGGAGGCCGAGGCAGGATCACTTGAGGTCAGGAGTTCGAGACCAGCCTGGCCAACATGGTGAAGCCCCGCCTTTACTAAAAATACAAAAAAGTAGCTGGGCATGGTGGCGGGTGCCTGAAATCCCAGTTACTTGGGAGGCTGAGGCAGGAGAATTGCTTGAACCCGGGAGGCAGAGGTTGCAGTGAGCCGAGATTGCACCACTGCACTCCAGCCTGGGCAACAGAGTGAGACTCTGTCTCCAAAGTGGGGGAAATAAAAGTCAAACACGGAAGAACTACTCAATTATTCCATTTAGGAATCTAAAATAATCAAACTCGTAGAAGCAGAAGCAGAGACTTGAATGGTGATTACCAAGGTTTGGGGGAGGGTGAATCAGAGAGATGTTGATCCAAGGGTACATAGTTTCACTTATGCAAGGTGAATAAATCCTAGAGATCTACTGTACAACATCGTGCATATAGTTAACAACACTGTATTGTGTACTTAACTGAATCTTCATGTGGCAGTCGGGTACCTAATGAATAAATGCAGAAGCCATGAGGTCTCATGGGTTGCCCGGGTCCTAGATATTGCACTGTCACTCCTGCCACCTTTGACCCTTTATCAAAACAAGTTTTAAAAAACAGCCCAAATTCAAGGGGATGGAGAAATTGATGCCACCTTTCTGATGTGAGAAATGACTATGCCATATTGTAAAGGGACATGGACACGGAGATCATTAATATAATGATTTGCCCTTCCAGGTTATGCCTTATAGGCATTTTTGGTACCTGTATCCCTTCTATTAAATCATAAGTTCCTTGAAGGCAGAAATTAGATCTTATTTACCTTTGTATTTCCCTTTGCAACGATCACAGATGTTGCACGCTATGCAATAAGTGTTGAATTTTTCCGGATGACAAGACAAGTAAAAGGTAAGGGCAAAAAAAAAAAAAAAAACAAAACAAAACAGGGTTGAAGACGAAGACGCATCGTTGTAGAGGTAGGGGAGAAAAGATATATTCCAAATAATTTAAAATCATGATCTCCAAAGCAGGCAAAAGCAAAGGGCAAATATTGATGAGCCATCAGAGTATCTTTTTTTTTTTTTTGAGATGTAGTCTCACTCTGTTGCCCAGGCTGGAGTGCAGTGGCGTGCTCTTGGCTCACTGCAACCTCCGCCTCCCGGGTTCAAGCGATTCTCCTGCCTCAGCCTCCCAGGTATCTGGGACTACAGGCACACACCACCGTGCCCAGCTAATTTTGTATTTTTAGTAGAGATGGGGTTTCAACATGTTGGCCAGGCTGGTCTCAAACTCCTGACCTCAAGTGATTTGCCCGCCTCTGCCTCCCAAAGTGCTGGGATTACAGGCGTGAGCCACTGCGCCCAGCCCAGAATATCTTAATAATAACATTTTTATAGCCAAATAGGTAAAGGCAACAGATAAGAAGAGTTGAGTAGCTGCTTAAGTAGCTAGAGCTTTATTTAAATACAGCTCTTTTGATTCCAAATTTTAGGCTTTTTTTCCCCTTCTTCAAATTTTGCAACTCTGGGGTGGTATTATGTTAGGCAATTGAAGGGAGGGGTGGATAATTTAGGGGTTTTAAATTCACAGAGTAAACATTCTGGTGGTTGGTACCATGCTTTTAGTATTTATATTTCCCAGTGTATGAAATAAAAGATTTTAGAGGGACAATGCTGAAGATGCCTAAAATAAACTTTCCTTATTTATTTCTAGGCCTTTCTAAGCAGTTAGATTCCAAGAGACAAAGTATGTTGTAGAGCTGTTCTGTTTAGTCTTTTCCTGAAATTGCAGCCAGTGTTTTGCCTATCTGCTATTAACACATTACCCTTTGCCTGCCATCTCATATTTGGCATATTTTATAAACAGGCTGAAAGCTCTAAGCTGAATCCTGGCTATATCAGGTTTTGTAATTATATCTTCCTGCAATATTCTTCCCACTCAGACAGCTAATAAATAGTTTAACTGACTGAGATTCAGCCTTTCTCTTTGTCTCTGCAAAATTTAGAAATTCAAAATGCAATTCAAAATAAGTATTTTCTTCATGTACTTTCCCCATGATGTATTTGGTGTCCAACAATGAACCAAATTATGAGGAAGGTGAGTCAACAGAATCATGAGATCCAATTCTTTCTCTTGAGACTCTTATGGTATCGGAGAGATTTGCAGTCTATTTATTTTTTATTTTATTTATTTATTTATTTTTTGGAATAAGATCTCGCTCTTGTCACCAAGGCTGGAGTGTAGTGACACGATCACTGCCACCTCCGCTTCCTGGGTTCAAGCGATTCTCCTGAATCAGCCTCCCCGGTAGCTGGGATTACAGGCGACTGCCACCACGCCTGCTAATTTTTTGTATTTTTAGTAGAAACAGGGTTTCACCATGTTGGCCAGGCTGGTTTTGAACTCCTCACCTCAAGTGGTCCGTCTGCCTCAGCCTCCCAAAGTGCTGGGATTGCAGGCATGAGCCACCGCCCGGCCAGATTTGCAGTCTTTTGGGTATTCTGCAAGCTCCAGGATTCTGGGATTCTGAGTGACCCACAAAGTTCACAGTGTTGCTGCCAAGTTCTAGTAAAGCATTATGTTATACTTTTTTGTTTTTACATAATTCAACGTATTGGGCAATAAGTCACTTTGCTAGTATTCATATTAGTTAATCTTTACTCTGCAGTAAGACTTAATGTAAATGCAACCTTTTAAAATAAAAACGTTGAATTATTCCAGTTGAGGAAAAGTGCAAGTAGCAATCTTAGAGGGCAAGACATCAGTTCGGTTTAAATTAGTGAATTAAATTCTCCATGATTTCGTGGCTCCCTGTGGATACCATGAACACTCTGTTTTACCTCAGTTGTGCCATGCCTCAACATTGAGCTCCTAGAATGCAAAGGCTATTTCTAATTCATTTGTTGTGTCTTTGGTATTTGTCATAATACAATACTATAGATTATTCCTCTTTCTATGTGGTTTTAAAAATTAGGATCATTATCAATTTTGAACTTCTGAAGTCTTGATGAGAGAGTTGTAAACTCATTAAAGATAAATGAGTAGATTTAAACTATTCACGATTCTTCAGGGTTCTTTTTGTGCCTTGAGTCTCTGAGGGGAATGGTTGCTGCTGATAAGCCTAGCCACCAGTCACGTAAGAAGATATTAATATACAGCAATTTCACAGCTGAAGGCTTTTGCTTTTCCACAGCTATGTTAATAGTATTTGTCATTTGGAATCAAACAAGTCCAGGTTATTCAATTCCCGGGGGTGGGAACTTACACAAGAGAATTAACTTCTCTGAGCTCAAGTGCCCCTGTTTATAAAATGGGGACAATAAAATTTATAAAATGGTGACCTCTGTTGTAGGGTTATAAGGATTGAAATTCTATGTGTTTAGTGCCTGGTAAAATCCTTGACATGTAGAAGGTGCTCAGTAAATTATTGTAGTAAAAATACAAGTTTTTTTTTTGGGCCAGGCACGGTGGCTCACACCTGTAATCCCAGCACTTTGGGAGTCCGAGGCAGGTGGATCACTTGAGGTCAGGAGTTCAAGACCAGCCTGGCCAACATGGTGAAACATGGTCACTACTAAAAATACAAAAATTAGCTGGGTGTGGTGGTGCGTGCCTGTAATACCAGCTACTCTGGAGGCTGAGGCAGGAGAATCACTTGAACCCAGGATGCAGAAGTTGCAGTGAGCTGAAATCACGCCACTGTAGTCTAGCTTGGGGTCACTGAGTGAGACTCCATCTCAGAAAAAAAAAAAAAAGACACCAGTTTTTAACAGTCTTTCTCCTCCCTTCAATTTGGTTGTAAAATATTCGAAAAAAAAATTGGAACCTGTACATGTTTTGACCTGAAAAATAGTGGGAAAGTGAAAACATTCCACTTTCCCTTTCGGCATTTATTGTGTCACTTAATTATTTTAAGTATTGAATTTTCAGTCTGTCAGACACATTTCTGATGAAAGTTAAGTGTGATCAGGGCTCACTGCAACCTCAAATTCCTGGGCTCAAGCTATCATCCTGCCTCAGCCTCTCCAGTAGTTGGGACTATAGGGATGTACCACTGTGCCTAGCTTTTTTTTTTTTTTTTTTTTTGTAGTGATGAAGTCTCACTATGTCGCCCAGGCTGGCCTCAAACTCTTGTCCTCAAGCAATCCTTCCACCTCAACCTCCCAAGGTGTTGGGATTACAAGTGTAAGCCACCACGCCCAGCTAAAAAACAAATTTTAAAGTTATTTGTGCCACTGCTACTCCTAAAATGAATATACTGAAATGCAATGATTTGGATCCTCCCAATATTTTCTTGTGTTATGAGAAGCTGATAAAGTCTTATGAAACTCCTGTGGGATTATTGAAATAATATTTAAATCTAAGTCTTAGGTCTTGTGAGATCCTAGGCAAGTCATTTAGCTCATATGAAAAATGAGTACTACACATTATTATGATCTCAGATTTGCTTTAAGATTGAATGAAACTTTGCATGGGAAGTGGCTTTGTCATTGGAACAGCTGTTATCTTATAATAACACTGAACAGGCCGGGCGCATGGCTCACACCTGTAATTCCAGAACTTTGAGAGGTTGAGGCAGGAGAATCACTTAAGTCCAGGAGTTCGAGACCAGCCTGGCCAACATGGCAAAAACCGGTCTCTACTGAAAATACAAAAAACTAGTCAGGCACACACGTGTGGTCCCTGCTACTTGGGAGGCTGAATCAGGAGAATCGTTTGAACCCAGGAGGTGGAGGTTGCAGTGAGCTGAGATCGCGCCACTGCACTCCAGCCCGGGTGACAGAGTGAGACTCTACCTCAAAATAAATAAATAAATACATACATATATTCATACATTACAATAACACTAAACATCCATAGGGTAAAAAATGGGGGCTTTCATTTGATGGAAAACTTCAGACACAGCTCTTTTCTCATGTGAAACAGGACTGACTAATATCCGCTGGCTTCCTCAGAATTGGTTAAGAGGAGATACTTGATATCCCGGCACCTTTTTCTGATAGGCTGTTGACTGTAGCCTTAGCCTTTCTCAGCCCCTGGCCTGACTCCTCCCCTTCCCTGGGTTGTCTATATCTACCACCTCTATATCTACCACATTTTATTTATGATGGTTGTGTTGTGGGGTGAGGTGGGAAACTTGGCACTGGCTAGGTCTCCTTTGCAATCAGCCTCCCTACAGAGAAATTGGCCATTAATAATTGTATTAGGAAACATTTTATTCTTGCAGAGGGAGACCCATGCTTTACAAAAGATTCCTGACATTTGGTAGCTTGGCCTAGTTCTGGGGTGCAAAATTAGGAAGCCCATCGTTGCGGCATACCTCAGCCATATTTCCACCCCTACCTTTATCAGCTGTAAGGCTGTTATTTTTATCTTCAACTACCTGGCTTATTTATTTTCTCAAAAAGTTCAGAACTCAAATGGGAAAAAGTAGTATTCTTTATTACCCCACTGAAAAGTAAGGGCTAATTTATCCAAGTCTGGTTCCTCACAGGCTGGCCCCTGAAACACTCCACAGAAACCAGCTACTGCTGTGAGTTTAAGACAATCAACCCAACTTATGGTAGAATTCTGAAGTGGCGGTTTGGTTGGATTGATGCTCACCCAACCTAAAATACTGAGTTAGTAGACCATAGACCTGGGCTGCATATGGAGGTTCTACGTTGTTATGCAGCTGCAGCCCCCAAAGCTTGACCCCAGCCTTTTGATTTTGCCAACTGCTAAGTGCTGAGGTGATGACCCAAAAATGGAGGCCAAGGTTCTGCCACATCATATTGCTGGGACCATGGGTTTGGACCCCAGCCCTTGATCACACCATGGGAGCAGCTTATACTCTCTCAATCATGCAAATTTTTTTTTTTAAAGCCCTACAGCCAAAAGACTGAGGTTTCTCTTCCAATGCTTGACGTTTGGCCCTGCTAGATTCTTCTGTGCTGTTTGAATGCAATGGGCAACAGGGCTCACATACCTGCGATGGGTCTTTTCTCTGAATTTCTCCCCTCCCTGTCAATGTTCCAGAAGGGCCTGCTGTGTGTGTGCCCTGCTTGACCCTTCACCTCTGGTACTGTCACCCGTAACCCTCAGCATCTGTTCAGAAACAGTGATCATAATTCATCCAGAGGTCTCTGATGATTCATCCAGAGGTTTCCTAGGCAGGGAGCTTGAATTCTGAGAACTTCAAGATCACAATGAATGACAGAGATGGTTCTTTAACACCGAGGTCTTTGGTCTCTAAATTTTATGTTATTTGCCTGGGAGTTGGTACTTCCATAAACAACTATTGGGTCACAGAGAAAGGCCTGATTCCCTTGTTGCTGTGGGAATAGTTAAATGCCTTGTCTTCCAGAAGTCTTTTTATTAACCCCAGACAGCAGTTCCAGTGATGGATTTCACTGTAAATAAGAATAGCTCATTTTTCTCTGCCCTCTAGAGTTCTTTTTTTTTAGTAGATTTTTCAAAATTTTACTGAAGCTGAAGAAAAAAAAATATATATCAAAATTGATAGCACCCAGATGCTGCAGAAGTAGTGCTGCAGGTGAAAGATACCAGGCTGAGACGAATCTGGAAAAACGGGACTCTTGTAGTCGGAGCTCCAAGGAAAGACTGGATAATAGAAAAGGAAAGATGGAAAAGCCAGAAAGAAGGAGATGTTATAAGAAAGAAAAGTATACACCACACACATATGCGCGTGCACACACACACACACACACAGAGAGAGAGAGAGAGAGAGAGAGAGAAAACTTATAAAATTTTGAGTCTGTCCATTGGTAAATTACTCTGTTACAAGCCGGCAATGAAATTTGAATGGTAGTTTCCATTGCTCAATCCCATGGGAAGTTCTGAGTGTGTAGAGCAGTCAGGCCACTTTCAGTACTCTTGGGACCTCCGCAGACCAGGAGGGACTGTGATCTTGAGATCTTGATGATGCTCAACATGTATCTTGGTTCGCAAAGCATCTTCATGCAAAGGATCTCGTTTTAGTTTCACAACCCACCCGCTGAAGTAGCTGAGTGGAAACTCTCCCCTTCTACAGATAAGGGTAGAAAACAGTGACACCTAGGTCCAGGAGTAAAGATATTCACCCCTTCCGAAAATAATTTATGAATGATTTAAAATAGTTTTGTTGGGACGCAGACACAGGTACGGGATACAAAATGTAAATGTGGAGCCTTAAACATTATAGTATTTTATTTGATTTTGTGTTTTTTTATTATTATTATTATTATTATTATTATTATTATTATTATTATTTTGAGATGGAGTCTTGCTTGGTCACCCAGGCTGGAGTGCAGTGGCATGATCTCTGCTCACTGCAGCCTCTGCCTCCCAGGTTCAGGCAATTCTCCTGCCTCAGCCTCCAGAGTAGCTGGGATTTCAGGCACCCACCACCATGCCAGGCTAATTTTTGTATTTTTAGTAGAGACTGGGTTTCATCATGTTGCCCAGGTTGGTCTCGAACTCCTGACCTCAGGTGATCCGCCCGACTCGGCCTCACAAAGTGCTGGGATTACAGGCGTGAGCCACCGCACCTGGCCCATTTTGGTAGTTTAATAACCACACACGCAGGACCATCTAGGGCAAGTTCTGAGTTTGGGGGCTCCCTTGTGTAGTTCCTTCTTTTTGAATCTGTGCTGAGGATGATTTTCTTTAGATCGTGGCAGAAGTGGTACTATGCTCATTGCAGGCCTCAGTCTTAAGAAGTCCTAATGACCTCTTCTTTTGTACTCTTGGGAATCTTAAGCTGCCATGTAAGAAGTTTGGTTGCCACTGAAGAGATCACATGGCAAATCCACATGAGGAGAAGCCCTGAGATTACATGGAATGAGAGAGAGAGAGAGATAGAGGAGAGGAGAGAGGAGAGAGAGGAGGGTAGGGGAGGAGGGAGAGATCAAATTGGCTGAAAACAATAGCTGACCCCAGGCCCAGCTTTCCTGTAGCTAAATGCAGCCACAAAAGTGACCACTGTAAAGACCAGCAGAAGAACTGCTCAGTTGAGCCCCAAACCAGATTCCAGAACTGTGAGAAAATGGAATGATTGTCATTTTAAGCCACTAAATTTGGGGGCGGTTTGTTATGCAGCAATAGCTAACCAAATAGAAGTTAGCTCTCAGATGTGGTTTCTTCTGTAACAAGAACACAAAGCTAGTGGCCATGGCTTTTGGCCTGGGTGGTGAGTAGAAGCTGGAGGAGGCTCCAGGAGACTTAGTGAAGGCTGGAAGGGCAGTGAGCAGTTGGTATTAGAGTCTGGAGAAAAAACAATCTGTGTCATGTAGTGGTTGAAAGTTTGGCAACATGTTGACTATAAAAGATAGCAAATGTGTCTAAAGAACTTGGGGATCTGACTAAGAGACTATTTCCAGACAGAACGTTGAAAGTGCTAACTGTCTTCTTTTAGCTGTGCCTGATAAGGCACAAATAGAGAGAGAAGGATAAAAAATAAAAGTGTCAACACAGGAAAACTTTCCAACCCAGGACTTACTGAGTTGGAAAATAAAACTCTCTCCCCTTGCAGCTTTTCCAGTCTGCAAAAGGTTCCCAAATGGCCTTGGGGGAAGAAAGATCAAATCTAAGATGCTACCAGTAAAATGGAACATGTGAGTCAAGATCAAGTCACAGGCCGGGCGTGGTGGCTCACACCAAAATGCTGGTAATCCCAGCATTTTGGGAGGCCGAGGTGGGTGGATCACGAGGTCAGGAGTTCAAGACCAACCTGACCAAGATGGTGAAACCCCGTCTCCACTAAAAATACCAAAAAATTAGCCGGGCGTGCTGGTGGGTGCCTGTAGTCACAGCTACTCAGGAGGCTGAGGCAGAGAATTGCTTGAACCTGGGAGGCAGAGGTTGCAGTGAGCCGATATCACACCACTGCACTCCAGCCTAGGTGACAGAGTGAGACTCCATCTCAAAAAAAAATAAAAAATAAAAAAATAAAAAAAATAAAAGATCAAGTCACAAGTGTGGCTATAAGACCCTTTGTTAAGACCCCAGAAAGATTAGCAGTAGAACCTCCTAGAACCTCAGCACTAGATAAAAGTGTTTCCAAGAATCTAAAGGACATCTTCTCATAGTACTCTGACCCAAAGTATAAAGAGGTCTGTCACAAAGAGATTTGTGAGTATAGCTCTTATCTAATGGCATGAAACCTAATAAGACTTATAGGAATCCTACATAGTCTTGAAGAGAACTATATTAGCAGAAACACAGAGTTGTACTAAAAGAAACAGCTCTGCGGCCATAAAAAAGAATGAGTTCATGTCCTTTGCAGGGACATGGATGAAGCTGGAAGCCATCATTCTCAGCAAACTAACACAGGAACAGAAAACCAAACACCGCATGTTCTCACTCATAAATGGGAGCTGAACGATGAGAACACATGGACACAGGGAGGGGAACATGACATACTGGGGCCTATCAGGGGGTGGGGGGCAAGGGGAGGGAGAGCATTAGGACAAATAGCTAATGCATGCATGGCTTAAAACCTAGATGACAGGTTGATAGGTGCAGCAAACCACCATGGCACATGTATACCTGTGTAAAAAATCTGCACGTTCTGCACAAGTATCCCAGAACTTAAAGTAAAATAAATTAAAAAAAAAAGGAAAGAAAAGAAACAGCTCAACTTGAAAAGAGGCCTCTGGACTCTTTCTAAAGGCAGGAAACAGGATGAGAAAGCTATTCACCTACAGACACTGGCCATCCCTTATGGGAAAAGAAGAAATAGTCAGAAAGCAGAGTAAGGAACCATGAAGAACCACTCCCTAGGAACATAACTGTCCCTGGAGCAGGGGTAATTGGTGATATATGCCTGTCTGGACTTCAGAATTGCTGTGGACTGGCAAGTCCTGCATTCCTTCCATTCTCCTTCATTTAGATGAGAGTCTGCTGTGATTATTGTATGCTGGTCTCACTGGTATATGGGGCGAAACAATTTGTCTTCAGATCTAGAAGAAATATACCCAAGGAGTCTTATCTACACCTGGACTTGGTTTAGATGACAAGATCTTGAACCTTGAGCCAGACTGCTGCTGTAATATGGTAAGACTCTTAGGGGTCTTGGGAGAGAGTTGAGAGTATTTTGCACGTGGGAGGGCTGTGAGCCACTGGAAACCAGAGAGCAAACTGTTGCAGTTTGTTTTATTGGTGGCCCCAATAAGCTATGCCTCTTAGTATTCATAACCTTGTGTAATCCCCTTCCCATGAATCTGGTCTGGGTTTATGACTTGCTTTAACTCATCAAATGCAGCAGAAGTGACACTGTGCCAGTTCTGAGCCTTAAGAAGTACTGTCAGCTTCTGCTTTGGTGCTTCCGGATGCTGTGATCTGCCATATAAAAAGTCTAATTACCTTGCTAGAGGGGCTATATAAAAAGGCCTTAGAAAAACCCTGCCATCTCAGCATCTCAGCGGAGCCCAGCCCCCATCCAACTCACACTGAATTCAGCCAATTAGTGATCATCATCAAGATCAGCAGAAACCTTATCCAACTAAGCCCAGTCTGAATATCAGAGAGTGAGCAAATACAAAGGTTGTTGTTTTAAGCCATTAAATGTTGGGATGGTTTGTTACACAGTAATAGATAAGTGAAATAGACCCAATTAAAATAGTTGATCCATAAGCATATAACAAAACTCATTATAACAATATCTCAAAAGCATAAGAAGAAAATTCTTTATGGAAAATAAACCTTTGGTTTCACTGAAGTTAATTGACTAAATTAACTCAACCACAATTTGAGCATAAATCACAATTGAAAAGACTGACTCGGCAGAGTAAATGGAAAAGGCTCAAAGAGCCGACTATATTTAGCATCTACTTGGGTTTGGTGTGGGATGCAAGTGAGTTTTAAAATCAGGAAAAGGAAAAAACCATCAAGTCAGAGTAGAGCCTAGAGATTTGTTTATGCTTTCTCATGCCAGAAACTTGAGATCGCTTTCCTTCTTTGAGGAAGAAAAGTATGATTTGTAATTTTGCACAGCTGAGAAGAAATGTTTCCGCTATCCCTCCAAACCTCACTCCCTGCCTTCCAGCCACATACAGAACCAATGCAGCTCCTCAAATGAGCCTCTCTGCTTTGTTCATGTTATTCTTCCTGCTTGTGTTCTGTTTCCCCATCCATCCATTAACTGCTAAACTTCACCCACTTCACCCACTTGGAAAATGAGGTGAAGCTTCCACTTGGGGAAAATCTTTCTGACAACTGTCCCTCTGTGCCCTCAAGTAGGCTAATCACCCCTGCCTTGGGACACCACTGTACTTTGTTTTCACCTGTATTCTTTGGCTGTACAATTATTAGGATGGTTTGTTTGCTTGTCCTTTACTCCTCCTTGACCATAAATTTCTACTAGAGACAGGAAGAAATCCTACTGAGATAAGTATACGTGGCATTTATTACATGCTTATAATGTGGCCTAACATCAGTGGTTTTCAAAGTTTTGGTTGTATCAAGGGTGCCTATTAAAAATGCGTATTTTTAGCTGGGTGTGGGGACTCACGCCTGTCATCCCAGCACTTTGGGAGGCCAAGGGGGGCGGATCACCTGAGGTCAGGAGTTCGAGATCATCCTGGCCAACCAGGTGAAACCCTATCTCCACCAAAAATACAAAAATTAGCCAGGCGTGGTGGTGGGCACCTGTAATCCCAGCTACTTGGGAGACTGAGGCAGGAGAATGGCTTGAACCTGGGAGGTGGAGGTTGCAGTGAGCTGAGATTGCGCCATTGCAGTCCAGCCTGGGCGACAGAGTGAGTCTCCGTCTCAAAAAAAAAAAAAAAAAAAAAAAGCATATTTTCAACAACCAGCCCCAGATAGCCTCATTCATTTGGGGCTGGGAGATCTGCATTTTTAACAGGCACCTAGATACAATAATTGGTCAGGCAACTCTATCTTACAAAATATGGGCCTCAGGACCTCCTGTCTTCTCTTGCCTCTCTCTGGCTGCCTAACCTGGGCTATTTCCCTACAGTAAAGGAAAAACCAAGGAAGATAACTGGGTGAAACTCAAATCAGGTAAACACACTTTTAAAGTTCTGACCTGGAAGTTGAAGGTGCAGGCTAAAATAATAATTATTCATCAATGGTATTTATTTCCATTTTTCCTGACTTCCTTTTCCACCACTAGTCAAGAACCGGCCATATTTAAAATTATGCTGGTTGACATTTTCTCAAGGCACCCTTTGAATAACCCTTCAAAGCCAGAAAAATTTATGTATTTGGAAATTAAATTGTGATGAGCTTGTCTGTCAGCTGCATGATGTTTCCCCACTCATTCTGTTCTGGGTGATAAATCCATAATCACTGAAGTCAAGAGCTGTTCATTACATATATTCATATAACCTGGTCCGAGGCCCAGACTATCTGAATTGGCAGTAGCAATACCAGCTACTATTTATTTACCTCTTGCTTTGTGCTGTGGCTGGGATCAGTGTTTTACATCATTTTGTTCTTTAATCCGTATCAACACCTTTGAGATAGGTTTTAGAGGTAAGAAAGGTGGGGCTCAGAGAAATTTAAAACAACTCATCCAAAGGGCAAGATGAGGTAGGATGAAAAGATATGTCTGTTTCCCTCAGCACCGGAATTCCGTACTACACCGTGGGCCAGCTCCTTAGAGCCTGCCTGGGCCCGTGGCTAGGTGGTATCAGGGCAGAACTTAAGACCCACGATTCCTGGCCCCCAGCATAATTTTTTTTTATGACCTCACACATGGGGCAAAAGGAAAGCCGAAAACATTAATAATTAATTCTGGTAAAAAGAGAGGGTGGTGATATGGTTTGGCTGTGTCCCCTCCCAAATCTCATCTTGAATTGTAGTTTCCATAATCCCCACATGTCCTGGGAGGGACCAGGAGGAGAAAACTGAATCATGGGGCAGTTTCCCCCATTTTGCCGTCCTGTTCTCGTGATAGTGAGCGAGTTCTCACAAGAGCTGATGGTTTTTATAAGGGGCATTCCCTGCCCAGTGCCCCCGCCCCACCACCTTCGCTCTGCGTTATTTTCCTGCCATCATGTGAAGAAGGACATATTTACTTCCCCTTCTGCCATGACTGTAAGTTTCCTGAGGCTTGCCCAGACATGCGGAACTGTGAATCAATTAAACATCTTTCCTTTATAAATTACCCAGTCTCGAGCAGTTCTTTATTGCATTGTGAGAATGGACTAATACAGGTGGGTTGGGATTTTCCTTTACTTGTTCGGATCATTGGGAAATTTTTGATTACCAAAAGGCTAAATTATGATGTCATATGTGGCCTTGGAACAGATTATCTGGGCCTTGCCCTGTTTCCACTAACTGCTGTTTCTCTAACTTTGTGGAAAATGCTAAGACAGTTACCAATTCTTCTTGGTCCATTTTGAAGATTTGCTAAACCTCTAAAAGCCTTGTGAGACCCCTTCAGCCACTGCGGAGCTTTTTAATGGAGAACAGGAAAGGATCGTAACTAGGCCACAGGGGGGTATTTTAGTCCGAGAGCAGGCTGGTTTTATGAAAGTCCAGGCTCCCAGCAGCTTTTGTGAATATTAACGTATAAACCAGGGCAGAAAGTGGCGTCAGCAGTGCCCTGAGCAGGAAAGACTGTGGCTTTATGTAGCAGAGGCATGTCCAGGTCAGCAGCAGGGACCTGAATTCCAGGACTCTCAGCTCTGCCTGGAACTTGTGAGATCTTGGGTCAAGCTCTCAATCCGTGTGGGCCTGGTTTTTTGTTTTAAATTCTTCTAATACTACCTCTCCTGTTGGTGAACGAGGGAAATGGACATGAATGTCTGTGAAAGAACTTATCATAGGTAAGCTGTTCTGAGTGGCGCTCCATCAGCCATCTTTACTGGCTGTTTGTGGTTTTCCAACAAAACATCATAGCTTATGTGGTTAAGCAGTGTCGTGTTCACAGCAGGAATGCAACCAGCATTTGGTGGAATTGTACTGCTGAATATTTATAACTGAAAACCTCAAAGAAGAGTCCACCTCACAGATGTCACCCTTATTGCTTGCATTCCAACTATTTAAGAGCTAACCCGTTGTGCTAGTTTGAGATGACTGTTGCTTAAAGTGTGGGGTGCATTTCACTGTGATAAGCAGGATGCTTTGAAATGTCATGTAGACAAACATTTTTATTAATAATTAGGTATTTTTCACTGTGCATTTAAACAAGGTTCATTTGGAAAAGTAAATAAAAATGGACTCAACTAAAGTGTATGAAGCAAGTATTAATACAGGTGTTAGAAGGATATGACAAAATCATGCAGGTGATACATCAATGAGTATAGATTAGGATATACTCCTAGAATATAAGTCCATAACTTGTTAAGCAAAACTCATGGGGCCAGATGAGTTTCATAATTCAGAATATCTCATGCAGTATTTGACACCCCCAGAGGTAACTGAGACAACATTCTCAAGTCAAACACGTTATTATTTCTGCAGTAAAACTGATGAATATTCATCATAAGTGGGATAAAGTCTATAAATGGACTCATCAATTCAGTACAAGTTTTGCAGCCAAATGAATTACAAAAAAATATTGTTTCTCAGATGCTTTTGCATTTTGGAATTGTAGATAAGAGAGATTTTGTTGTCGTTGTTTTGGTTTTTGAGACAAGGTCTGGCTCTATCACCCAGGCTGGAGTACAGTGGTGCCATCTTGGCTCACAGCAACCTCCGCCTCCTGGGCTCAAGCGATCCTCCCACCTCAGCCTCCCAAGCAGCTGGGACTACAGGTGTGCCCCACCACACCCGGCTAATTTTTGTATTTTTTGTAGAACAGGTTTTCACCATGTTGCCTAGGCTGATCTCAAACTTGAGATCTCAAGTGATCCACCCACCTTGACTTCCCAAGGTGCTAGGATTACAGGTGTGAGCCACTGCACCTGGCCAGATAACAGATTTTTAACCTGTAGTAAAATAGGCCAAGAGGAAAAACAAGCAAATTCAAGAACCTTAGGCCTGAGCCATACTGTATAGTATGGCTATACCCCCAAACATTCTCCCTCTCATCATCTGATTTGTGAGGTAGGTCCTCCATATTACAGATGAGGAATTTGAGGCTTACAGAGGGTAGGTGACTTAGCCAAGATCACACAGCTGGTAACCAACAGGGCCAGAATTAGGATCCAAGATTAGAATCCAAGTCCTGTGCCTCCAGATATTTGATCTTTTTATACTGTAATCCATACATCATATAAGGCCTGAAGAGGCAGAGGCTGAATTCTTGAACATGTTCCCTGAGTGCAGATATGCTTTCCCCCAGGAAGGTGTCTTACCTGACTCTGTCATTTCCACCGAGGGGGGCTCTGGAGGGGAAGGATGGGAGTGGAAGATATAACCTTGGCCTTTTAATGTTGAGCTACGGATGTATCCAAGGTGCTTGGATCAATCTCTTCAGACAGTGCATGAAACCCAACTGAAATGCTTGTGACAGTCCAGTGGTATTTCAGGGAACCATTGCCTGTTTCTTCCAGAAATTCTAATAAGAATGGACATTTATTGAGCACCTGCTATATGCCAGACATTCCTTCCTCTAACAGTTTAGGGGTGTTCTTACCATTTCCCTCCCCCAGATAGAGAAATGGGAGTTCAGAGACACAGCCAAGATTACATTGCTGGTAAGTGACAAGTAAGAGTTAGGCCAGGTTTGATTCTGTTCAAGGACCACACTCTTACCCACTACCCTCAAAGAGCAGCGGCAGAGCCCTTGATTTCTGATCCACCCATGGGAGGGACGCCTTTTCCCCTGTCACCAGGGTACAGCCAGTTTCTGCATTTTGCATGCTTGTGTTCCAGAAATTCAAGTGCAAGTTGATCCAACCTCCTAAGTTTGATGGCATGGACCTTAGCATTAGGGAAGTATGCAGGAGCTGGCTGTATTCAGGAAGCCACCATAGATGCATATGGCTGGAATATTAAATGAGGGCGGGGTTTGGGGAAGAACTGGGGGCAATTGTTAAATCAGAAAGAGCCTTGTTGTTCTTGCTTAGGAGACATCAATTTTGTTCTCTAGGCAATGGAGAATCACCAGATAATTTTGCATGGGGCAATGACATGGTTATATTTCCATGTGATGTCTTATTTGGCTTGGAAATCAGGTGCTGCTTCCCAGAGGAGGTATCAGTTAACCTAGGACTGAAAGGATGGATTGGATGTCACCCAGGGACGAAGCGACTGTGACAAGATACAAGCACAGGTATGTTCGAGATTCACAATCACATGAATCGAAACAAACTACTTTCCTATATTGAGCAGCTACTGTGTGCACTGGCACATGTATATAGATTATTTCCTTTAATCATGGCAGAGCCCTGCAGGGAAAGTCATAGCTCCTAAGTCACAGGAGTGGGATTCAGCCCCATTCCTGTTAGACCTCAAAGCTCATTTTCTTTCCATCCCACACGTTGCCACTCTCTACAGATTTCAGTCTGGGCTCAGAGCACAGAGGAAAAACAGTGGAGGCTTGGACAGCCTCACACTCAGAACAGTGGAATCAGATTTTTTTTTTTTTTTTTTTTTGACACAGAATCTCACTCTGTTGCCCAGGCTGGAGTGCAATGGTGCGATATCGGCTCACTGCAACCTCCGCCTTCTGGGTTCAAGCGATTCTCCTGCTTCAGCCTCCCGAGTAGCTGGGATTACAGGTGTGCACTACCACACCCAGCTAATTTTCATATTTTTAGTAGAGATGGGGTTTCGTCATGTTGGCCAGGCTGATCTAGAACTCCTGGCCTCAAGTGATCTGCCCACCACAGCCTCCCAAAGTACTGGGGTGACAGGCGTGCGCCCCCGTGCCTGGCCAGGAATCAGATTTTTAAAGAGCCTTGACAGCTTAGTGGCTGCTGAAACTTGGTCTCTCCAGATACTTTCAGACAGTGTCCACACCCCTAAGGGGTCTATGCCAATTGAAGTCAGATGATTGCCTGGAGAAGAGGGGCTTGGTTGCTGCTCCTGTGTCTTTGTGTTTCTCTCTTCATTTTTCTGAGTCCATGTCTTCTTGGTGAAATGAGAAGTCAGGAGAAACAGTTCTGGGAGCAGGCCACACTGAGACAGGGCTGTTCAGAAGAAAAGGAGGACCCAGAGAAATTTCACACTCTTGGCCAGGATTTGGTGAATGGGGCTGAAGCCTGGGCTAGGCCTGTGTAAGACAGCCTCCACCACCCCAAGCCTCTTGACAGATGCACCGTCCTGGAGTCCAGGTGCTGACTGTCCCTGACTAATAGGCCCAGTTGAGGGGCAGTATGGAGGGGGACCGTTAAAGCATCAGTGGAAATCCATTGATAGCATCAGGTCCTCAACACGCCAGGATTTACCTGGGGGCTTGGCTGGGAACTAAATATCCCAAGGGATAGATGTATTATTATTAGGCAGGTGTGAAAGTCATTGCGGTCTTTGCCGTTACTTTTAATGGCATCATATCAATTACAGTGAGACCGGGTGGGGAGGGAGATGAGCACTCAAAGAACCAGGAGTAGCCTGAGTGTGGTTTCCCTTGGCCCAGGCTCAGACCAGGTGTGACCAGGATCAAAACAACCATGGGGACTTTAAAAAACAAACAAACAAACAACAACAACAACAACAAAAAACAAAGGTTGGGGGCGGTGGCTCATGCCTGTAATCCGAACACTTTGGGAGGCTGAGGCGGGTGGATCACTTGTGGTCAGGAGTTTGAGACCAGCCTGGCCAACATGGTGAAACTCCATCTCTACCAAAAATACAAAAATATCCAGGCATGGTGGTGGGTGCCTGTAATCCCAGCTACTTGGGAGGCTGAGGTAGAAGAATTGCTTGAACCTGGGAGGCAGAGAGGTTGCAGTGAGCCGAGATTGCACCACTGCACTCCAGCCTGAGTGATAAAGTGAGACTCCATCTCAAAAACAAAAAAAAACAAAAAAAAACCAAAAAAACCCCAAATATTGTCAAATCCAAAGAATGTGACTTACTTAAAAATGAACAATATGGCTGGGCATGGTGGCTCATGCCTGTAGTCTGAGGTGGGAAGATTGCTTGAGTCCAGGAGTTGGAGACCATCCTGGGGAATATAGTGAGACCCCATCTCTACAAAAAAATTTAAAAATTAGCCAGGTCTGGTAGCACATACCTGTAGTCCAAGCTACTCTGGAGGCTGAGGTGGGAGGATCGCTTGAGCCTGGGGGGGTCAAGTCTGCCGTCAGCTGTGATTGTGCCACTGCACTGCAGCCTGGGCAGCAGAGCGATACCGTCTCTTAAAAAACACAGAAGAAAATAAACAATGTTTTGCATATGTGTTATACTAATTTCCATGAAATGACCAGGGCCCCTCAATTCTCAGTGTACTTTTGATCCTCTTTGCTCTACATGAATATTTCTTTATGTCTTTTAGTACACGTCTTTCTACCATTGAGTCCCTGCCATTGAGGGATACAGTTCCTCCTGGCCTGACTCCAGGGCTCTCTCTTGCTGTCTTTCCAAAGGCTCTAGACCCTCGCCCCTTAGATGCTACCTTTCCCCACTGTGGCCTTACCCATCAAGAGATTTATTTTCTTGCTGCCTCTAAAGACAAGCAGATGGACTCCTCTTGTTTGAAGATTTTTTATTCTCAACTTGTCACAGTGGGGACACAGACAGCTGAGAGACAAAAATAACAAGCACAGGAGGTTATGAAGTTTTGGAAGCCTTATATAATCCGTGCTGCCACAGACCCTTTCCTGCAGGCACCGACAGCGGAGCCCGAATGGGAAGTGTAAGATGGATCCGTGTCCAAATCCTGCTCGAGCCACTTCCTAGCTGAGTGATCTTGGGTGAATCAACAGCTTACCCCTGCTAGCCTCAGTCTTCCCTCTGGAAAATGGGGATAATAATACCACTGACCCCTCTGTGTTATCTGAAGATCAAATGAGTTTACACATACCCAGTGGCCAGCCTAGTGTCAACACGTGAGAGGTGCTCCATAAATAGCTTTGTTTACAGCTTTGTGTTTACAGCTCAGATAGTATTGGAAAGGTCCTTGGACTCCACCTCTCTTTGTTCCTAAAGGTAAGGGTTATTCCTTTTCCATGCCAACCACTTTCAAGCTTGGGGGCTGCAGGTGGAATGGGTGGCACCAGTGCTTCTCCAGCTGCCTCACCTGTTTACAGAGATGGACTCACAGTTCTGAGGCTACAGGAGGGGCTGGCGGCCTCTTCATTGGGTCCTGGATGCATATGGGTAAAATGTTCCCTCGGAATGCCTTGTACATTTCGTTTCTCACTGAAAAGTAAAAGCTGGCCAGGCAGGGTGGCTCACGCTTATAATCCCAGCACTTTGGGAAGTCGAGGCAGGTGGATCACCTGAGGTCAGGAGTTCAAAACCAGCCTGGCCAACATGGTGAAACCCTGTCTCTACTAAAAATACAAAAAATTAGCCAGGGATGGTGGTGCACACCTGTAATCCCAGCTACTCAGGAGGCTGAGGCGGGAGAGTCGCTTGAACCTGGGAGGTGGAGGTTGCAGTGAGCCGAGATTGCACCATTGCACTCCAGCCTGGGCAACAGAGTGAAACTCTGTCTCACAAAAAAAGAAAACGAAGAAAAGTAAAAGACAACAATTTTATTTTCTTTTACATGCTCTCCTCCATCTCAGGGTAGTGAACATAAGGCCTGGTTATTGCTCTCCAGGGCAGGAGGCAAAGATAGCCAACTGCCTTGGAACATGCTTTATATCAAAGTGGACTTTCTGTTGGATTCTCGAGCATCTCTGCAGTTCTGAGTTAGAGGTTTTGTTGGAATGCAATCTGACCAGAGCTTTCACATTAGCTGGGAGAGTAAATCACTGTCCCTGCCATAGTGGGTGGTCACGGATTAGTCCAGCAAGGCGTCAACACTGCTGTCTCTGAGAATCCACATCCAAGGCACACCTGCCACTCCAGGTCTCCCTAACACACAGTTGTCACACTTTGATTCTTAGTTAGGATTTGAGATTGGGTTGGGGTTTGCATGCCTCCAGTTACTCAACAAAAGCTCTCCCGGGGACATCTGCACCTGTCCCCTTTTCTCTATGATAATGCTATGGGATATGGAGAGTGTCTTAGTCCATTCGGGCTGCTATAACAAATACCTTAGACTGGGTAATTTACAAACAACAGAACTTGATTGCTCATACTTCTGGCAGCTGGGAAGTCCAAGATCAAGGCACCAGTAGATTCGGAGTCTGGCAAGGGCTCGCTTCTCCCAGATGGCACCTTCTGTGTCCTCACATGGCGGAAGGGATGAGCAGGCTCCCCCAGGCCTCTTTAATAAGGGCACTAATCCCATTCACAAGGGTGGAGCTCTTAGGACCTAATTACCTCCCAAAGGCCTCACCTCTTAATAGCACCACCTTGGGGATTAAGTTTCAACAGTATGAATTCTGAGGGGGGACACAGATGTTTAGATCATAGCACAGAGGTACTAAACATGCTTTATTACTCCTGGAAAAGGAAACCAACATTATAGACCATCTAATTGTGCCAAGCACGAGTGTGGGAATGTTGCAGGCATTGTCTCACACTCTTTTTCACACCAGCTCTTTAAAAGCAGGAAAAAGGCCAGAGGCAGTGGCTCATGCCTGTAATCTCAGCACTTTGGGAGGCCAAAGTGAGTGGATTACTTGAGGTCAGTAGTTCAAGACTAGCCTGGCCGACATGGTGAAACCCTGTCTTTACTAAAAATACAAAAATTAGCCAGGCCTGGTGGCAGGCACCTGTAATCCCAGCTACTTGGGAGACTGAGGCAGGAGAATCACTTGAACCTGGAAGGCGGAGGTTGCCGTGAGCCGAGATCATGCCACTGTGCTCCAGCCTGGGCGACAGAGCGAGACTCAGTCTCAAAAACCAAACCAAACCAAAACAAAAAAAAAGCAGGAAAGAGACACTGAACCGGGGCAGCCAGTCTAATGTTTCCCTGGAACCCAGATGAAAAGTTTCCCTTTGGGAATCAAATTGGGAAAATCCACACCTGGAGGTTAGGAGCAAACCAAGCAATCATCTGTGGATGAGGCTCTAGAGGGCTTGGAACCACAAGAACTTGTACTCAGGCACGACAGGGAGTAATCCCAAGGGGACAAAACAGAATCTTTGGAATCTATTCACTTGTACTTTATAGTGTAGTGAAGGAGTATATGAATCGAAAGTGAGAGACAGGCTGGGGAACAGAAGAAAAAAAACCTGGAAGTGCCAGGAGCAGGCTGAGCCTTTCAAATTCCATCCTGCAGCATGTCTGCTGCGCCATGGATGCCACTCTCCCTATTCTTGGGTTGGTATATCCTGTTATGTATCCACCTGCAAGCACTCCAACTTGGCATCCCCAGTCATCAAGCAAGCTCTGGTTGTAATTTTGACGTCTAGGTATTTGGTGTACAGGGAAAGACGGTTGGTTGACATTTTTTACCCCATTTTACCCCATTTTTACCCCTCTGGATGTTTAGTGATGTTATTTATTTATTTATTTTGAGGTAGAGTCTTGCCCTGTCACCCAGGCTGGAGTGCAGCTGGTTGACAGTTCTACTCCTCTCCTCTAACAAACAGGCCTCGTGACCTATATAGATCAGTCCTAGGAAGTGGTGCGTGCCCCGTAGGCACCGAGGAAGGTTCTTTCCTCTGACACCCTCCTGATCTCGACCTTTGGCAGTATGATCTTGCACTGGCTCATCTATGGAAGGTCTAAGGAAGAAGACAATCATTGTTACTAACTCAATAAATCTGTAGGTACTTATTGGTTTCCAACGAAAAGTGGCAATCTGGGGAGAACAATGTCATTAAGTGGAAAAAATGAAAGGGGCAAGGTTATTATAAGTATTATAAGGTGATGCTCGTACATGGACAGAAAGGAGGAACATCAAAATCTCAAGTAGCACCTAATCCCTTCCATTCCCAGAGACGACTGCATAAGTCAGGTCGTTTTATCCCTACTGTGCAATTACGAACATCCAGAGTGGACGTGATCTGATCCAAGGAGCTGCAGCATTTATCTAATATTCACCAGAGTCTTTTTCTTTCCTTGTTGACTTTTACTGTTTTTCTCATTGAAGGAAAACACTTCACTTAGAAATGCCAGTGAATCAATAATATTTATAAAGGGCATTTTAGTTGCTCAGCATGAGGCCGGGAGGGTAATGAATCATACAAGACATAGTTTCTGCCAGGGCCGCTTTGTACAGCTGCGCAGATTGTGCACTGCACAGCCCTAGTGTGTGCTCTTTACATTGTTCCATGCACTTGTCCCCTCCCCCCAGGGGTTGCTCAGTGCAACGTGTGGGATATGGGGGACCTGTGCACATCCAGGAGGCTGATGATGAGGAGTTTGGATGTGAAGTTACAGCTACATTGTGGAGCCCCCCACAGTGCCTCTGATGTGAAACACTTTGCTCAGTGTGGGAACTGGGACTGGAAACTGTGAATTCCTTTTGTGGGAGGCTTGGTGCCTATTCATGAGAGACAAGTTCCTGTGAAGGGACTGGAAATGAAGGTGCAGAAGGCTCCTAGCCATGGGAAGAAGCTGGGATGGGAATAAGCAGAAAGTGCTCCTGCCTTACCTTTAGGCGTCAGGGGTCTCTTCAGGGAAAATAATGGACCAGAAGAAAAGAGTGCTCTCCAGAGCTGTGGCTCTTCCCTCCCTGCCACTGTTGAATGGCCCCTTAAATGTAGCTGGCCGGTAATGGAATCTCTAAAGCCACCATAAAATGAGTCAGCGTGTTTTATCTCAACTCGTGAGTTGATGTCATAGATGAGTCTGGATGTTGGGAAAAATAAATAGACTGTCTTAGTCATCGGGGCTGCCGTGATGGAATATCACAGACTGGGTGGCTTAAACAACAGAACTTAATTTTCTTACAGTTCTGGAGACTGGAAAACCAAAGTCAAAGTGTTAGCAGCTTTGCTATCTACTGAGGCCTCTCTCGGCGTCTCCCTGTGTCCTCTCGTGGTCTCTGGGCACATGCATCCCTGGTATCTCTCTGTGTCCAAATTTTCTTTTCTCATAAGGACACCAGTGAAATGGAATTAGGTCCCACTCTAACGGCCTCATTTTAACTGAATCGCCTCTTTCAGGACCTGATCTCCAAATACGATCACATTTTGAGGTACTGGGGTTTAGGGCTTCAGCATATGAATTTGGGGGAGATATAATTCAGCCTATAACATAGACCACCAGAAGTATAGTAGGGGAAAGGAAGCTTGTGCTATAAGAGAGGAGGAACGACACAGGGTCCATATTGAAATTGCAAGGCTGCTGGTCCCAGAGGGCTGTGGTTCTAAGGCAGTACCAGTTCCAGAGGCCACACACGTGGTAATATATGAATACAGTATGCACCATCTTTAGCGGTGTAGAGAGTTAAATTGAGTTGACATGTTTAGCCAGGGATAAATGTTTAAACTGAGTTTGTTGTAACCTTCCTGTTTCTATCTGGTTCTTCTCGTATGTGTAAAAATAACAATAGTAATGAATGTTTATTACATTGATTTATTAAGTGCTAGAACTACTATGCTAGAAGTTTATACAGCACACATTGCCTTCCTCAATCTGTACCACCCTTTCGGGTGGGTCTTAACTGAAATCCAGGACCCAAAGGCAAACTGAAAGTAGGTGTCGGCTCCAGGAATTGGATCTAGCCTGGCTTACTCCATGGCCTGTGCCTGTAACCACTGGGCTGTGGTAAAGGCAGAAAGGCTTGGAAAGCACCACCTGGGGTTGAAATCTCAGCTTAGCTAGTAGCCAGGAAGCCCATCCTTGCCTCTGGCTGTTCACTTCTATGTTAGAGAAGGGACTCTGGTGGATATAGATTCCAAGGAAGCCGTGTAGGGCACTATATAGCTCCCTAAACTCCCTAAGGAAGGATTGTATTTGAATGAGTTTAAGTGTATCTCTGCCTCTAGACAGCATTGGGTGGTAGTGTTGGTGGGAGGGAGATGGATTGGTGCCTCTTCTCTGATTCTATATTCAATTTCCTTGTCCAGAAAAATTGGATTACTCAAGAGGTTGAGAAAGAGAACATTGGTAATAAAGTTCAAGGAGATGGATTGTACTCAGATGTTCAATCTTTTCGATTCCAGGAAACTGATTACATTCTGCCTCTTTGACAGTGAGGGATGGCTGAGGAACTAAGAATTTCAGCCCCATTCCCAAAGGATGGCTTTTCATGTGTCTAAACAAACTCAAGAGTGATTACTAATTAACCTCGTTCTCTAGAGTCTGCCAAGAGGCCAACTATAGTGGCTTTCTAGAACCCAAAGTCATAGTCTGGAAATGCTGGTGACCCTTTATGAGAGGAAAGCTCCATCCTTAGGACTGTTGATTTCCACTTCAGAGAAGCTCAGAAACATAACACGAAGGGTAGTTTCTGGCCTCTAGTAGGAGGTGTTATTTACATATTTTTAAAAATGAAGATCAAATAAATGTATCTAGTAACGAGATTGATGACTCTTTGAAGACTCAAGGAATTGCGTCACCTCGATGATTTGTAACTCACGTATTTAACAGCAAAAATCAGTTGAAACGTGCTAAGCACTTTCACCTAGTATATTAGGGAAATAACTGATCTTCTGACCAGGAGATCTAGCTCCAGCTCTACTCTTTCCTGATCTGCTTATCTCAGTTTATAGCAGGCAGTCAACAGACACGTGTGGCCTGAATGGATAATCCAATGGGTTAAGGGCGAGACCTTGAGTAAGTCATTGTATTCATCTGCCTCAGTTTTCTCTAATCAAACTCTGATAAACCTTGACCTCTGGGCCTCTCAGGAATGTAATGAGGATCAAATGGGGACATAGATAATCAGTAGTGGCTGACATGTGTCAGCACTTACAACATGACAATCCCTGTTCTAAGTGTTTATAGAGATCTCTTTTACTCCAAATAATGATTTTCTAGATCTACAGCAAAAGTCCTCCAAAATTTGTTTAACTGTCTCTAATACTTCTCTTTCTAGTCTCATTTGAGCCCCTTTCAGTCATGCTTTTACTAAAGAGTGCTTATTAAAGTGGCCAAGGATGTCCACATGACTAAATCTATTGCCCTGCTCTGCTTCTATTTTTGAACTCTCTCTTCAGCCTTTGCCCCAGTTGGTCACGCCCTGAGAGCCGACTGCTGCCACCACGACCCCATACCTTCCTCACACCCCACCATACTACCATTCCCCTCCCTGCCCCCAGTTTTCCAGGATTCTTAGTTGGGGGAACCCTTCCCTGGCTCTGTGGTGGACTTAACGTCCATCCCACCTCACCGGTCCAGGGACTTCACTGTCAGTAGTAGCACGCCCTCCTCCCCTAGCATGTCAAAGTTTTAGGGAAATGGAAAGTCACACACTTACTATTTAGCTCAACCCCCTTGGGTGACAGGTGAGAAACTTTTGCCCCAAAGTCACACAGATACCTAAGGGTAGGGCCAGGAGAAAGCCCCAGCCCCTTGCCTCCTGCTCCAGTGCTCCAAAAAGCAACATCTCCTACGGAAAGCAATATGAATACTGTAACAATTCACAAATCAAGGCTACAAAACTTTGCTTCCAAATTTGCACTCCAGCTTTCAACTAATTTAGAATTCAAAATAAGGTTTGCAAAATGTCTATCATTTCACATTTTCTGTAGTTAACGAAAAATTTAACTTTCATGATGGGTCTTGTCATCACTTGTACTCTATGTCTGTCAGGGACCAAAGGGGACCCCAGAGGATACTGTCCAAGGGTAACAGAAGAGTTAGAATAATCCAGGTCAAAGGCAGGCAGGGTAGACTACTTAATAAGCTTTCTTCACAGATATTTTTAGACCTGCTTTTGAATATATTGTATCATTTATGGAGCAGCTACTATGTTTCTAGCATCAACTGGTTATGTTTACATATTATGATATTCAACACTCTCAAAACCTTAGGAAATAATAGTAACTACTATTTATCACTCACCGACTATGTGTCATGAATTCAGCGTTCATTACTGCCAATCCTCACAAAGCCCCTGTCTTCCTCAGGGCCAGAAACCCAAGTCAGAGTTGACTATTTGCCACTGGTCCTCAGAGTAAACATGATCAATATTCCAACTTTACACATGAGTAAACTGAGGTCTGGAGAGATTTGGCGACTTGTCTCCCAGTTTGACCTGGAAGGAAAACTTACCGAGGTCATGGCCGTTGGTAGAGTAGGAAGTGAACAGGCTGGGCTCCTCTGGGGTCAATGCACAACTTCCTTGTGTTCTTGGACAAGTTTCTAAGTGTCCAAGTTTCTGCAGCAGATGGCAGGTGAGCAAGACCTAGGATGTCTGGGATACCCCCAAGCACTTCTGAGGAGGGGCCATTGCTGACCTGGGTTGTTAAGTAAGCTTGGGGAGCTGGGATCACATGTGTCTTCCTTCGGGTCCAGCTCTAGTACATTGTCCCTGGAAAGCCACTTTCCAAACAGTGGGAAAAGTATTACTCTAATTACAAGAGCCCTTTGAAAGCCCCTCAAGAAGTTGTCAAAAAGCCCCGAATGGTTTTTGTTTGTTTGTTTGTTTGTTTGTTTTTTGAGATGGAGTTTCGCTTCATCCCCCAGGCTGGAGTGCAGTGGTGCGATCTTGGCTCACTGCAACCTCTGCCTCCCGGGTTCAAGTGATTCTCCTGCCTTGGCCTCCTGAGTTGCTGGAGTTACAAGGCGTATGCCACCACATCAGGCTAATTTTTATATTTTTAGTAGAGACGGGGTTTCACCACATTGGCCAGGCTGGTCTTGAACTCCTGGCCTCAGGTGATCCACCTGCCTTGGCCTCCCAAAGTGCTGGGATTACAGGTGTGAGCCACTGCGCCCGGCCTGCGAATGGTTTCTTAAAGTAAACAAAATTAGAAAAAGGAAAATGAAGGTGGCCCTGTACCAGAGAAGAAAAATATAATTCACAAGAACAACAAACATAGGGAACGGAGAACAAAGCTGATTTTTATTTTTGTTGTTCTGTTTTACTAAATGATTCTTCTGTGTCAGTGCTGTGCTATAAATATAGGCTAATTTCCATTTCCTCCTGCAAGCATTGGACAGATTTTACCCTCGTCTTGTCATGAGTCAGAAAGGAAGGATATTTACTATGTACTGACTGTGTGAAATAGTCAGCTGGGGTGTTGGAGTCACCTGACTAGGTCTTCCTCCCAGAATCCAGCGTCATTTCCACTTTCCTCTCACCCATTGGCTGAACTGAATTAGAAGGCAGAGGAACATGGGTGATGCAGAGCTCAGAGGCCAGCCTCCTTGGGCATAGAGGAGGTGGAGAGGGTGCAGAGGGAATCTGGAGGCTGGGTCTGCAGGGGCAGATGGAGGCTGTCTACCACAGCCCCCATGCTGAGAGCTGGGAGGGGCACGATGATCAGGGCCATCCGACAAGATGCTTAACCTGGCTTTGTACTTGGCTCATTGCTCCTGCAGATGAAGACTGGGGCTCCTCAGCAAGCCTGGGTCCTACCATAGAATGTCCCCGGGATCTTTCCAAAGCTGAAAAGTTAACCGCCGGGAGAAGGCATCTGATAGAGTGGGTCTCTTGCCTCCTAGTGGACTGACTAGGAGCCAGGAGATGTGGGATCCAGTGCAGATTCTTCCATGTGGAGTGTGTGACTGTGGGGGCAGGCCCCCTTTCTGGGCCTGATTCCTCTTTTGTGAATTTGTAGATTTAACCTAATCCAGAGGCCTCAGCCCTCCTTGTGTGTCTGAATCCCCCAGGAAACTTTAAAAACTATCAGCCTGCCCAAGCCTCACCTCCAGAGCTGCCATTTCTCTTGGCCGAGAGAGCCTGGGCACTGGTATTTTTATAAACACACCCAGGCGCGTCTCATATTGGGCTGGGATAGTGAATCTGGACTAGACCACCACATCAGTTCTGGAATTCCACTTCCAGGGGTTAAGTTCTCCTCTTTTTTCTTCCTTTCTTTCCTTTTTTTTTTTTTTTTTGAGACAAGATCTCGCTTTCTCACCCAGGCTGGAGTGCAATGGTATGATCATGGCTCACTGCAGCCTTGACCTCCCAGGCTCATGTGATGGTCCTCCCACCTCAGCCTCCCAAGTAGCTGGGACTACAGGCATGTGCCACAATGCCTGGTTAATTTTTTGTAGAGACAGATTCTCGCCATGTAGCCCAGGCTGGTCTCAAGCTTCTGGACTCAACTGATCCGCCCACCTTGGCCTCCCAAAGTTCTGGGATTACAGGTGTGAGCCACTATGACCAGCCCAGCTCTTTACTTCTCCATGGCAATAGCACAGAAGGAAATAAGCACTCTATTGAGGCTCAGCTGGCACATTTGTGATAATCATTTAGTCCTCACAACAGTTTCTAGGTTGTCATAGTTATTACACCCATTTTTATAGTTGAAGTAATTGAAGTCAGAAAGTTTTGCCATATTTTCATCAATATTTACTGAGCTCTACAGCATGTCAGTTACTATTGTAGGTGCTGGGGATACACGATGAACAAAACAGACCAACTCCCTGCTCTCCAGGAGCCCACGTCCTAGCCTGGAGATGGATAATTAGTGACAGTAGGTCCCTGGTTTTCCTGGGATTATTAACACCTGTTAACCATTCTTAGCATGACCCTTCATTCCCAAAATGTCCTAATTTGGGCAATAAATTATATTTTTATTCCATAAATAATAAAAATGTGAACATGGCTGGGTACAGTGGCATGTGCCTGTAGTCCCAGCTACTCAGGAAGCTGAGGTGAGAGGAGAGGTTGGAGGAATGAGTTCTGGAGTCAGGGCTGTAGTGAGCTGTGATCATGCCTGTGAATAGCCACTGCACTCCAGCCTGGGCAACATGGTGAGACCCCATCTCCAAAAAAACAAAACAAAAAACAGCAAAAAAATGAACATCATAGATGGTGATAAAGACATCGAATAAAATGACCACAACATTGTCTTCTCTAAAAAATTCTATGACTTATATATTTCTTAAAGTCTTTAACATCAAGACACTGTGGCTGACTCAGTTGGGAGAGTGGCTGCTGGGATTGGGTGATCGCAGAACGCCTCCCTGAGGAGGTGGCATATGAATTGAGGTGTGAATGGTAAGGAGTTGCTGGCCATGCAGAAACCCGGGAGTGATGTTTAGGTGATGGGAGCAGCAACTGCAAAGGCCCTGAGGTAGGAACAACCTTGTTTGTTGTGTCTGAGAGATTAGAAGTAGTCACTGTGGCCAATACCCAGTAAGTGCCTGGAAGGTGGAAGGAGATGAGGTCCAAGAAGTCTCGAGGACTTTGTCAGCTATGAGACGGTTTGGATGTTCAGGGCAATGGGAGGCTTAAGCTGGGGAGAGCTATGATTAAATTCAGTGGTTCTCAACCAGGGGCCCCCAGGGAACATTTGGCAATGCCTGGAGACATTTTCGGCTGTCACAATTAGGAAGGGGGAAGGTGCTACTGGAATCCAGTGGGTAGAGGACGGTGATGGTACTAAACAACAAACACGTATTGAGCCCAAAATGTCAACAGTGCTGAGGTCTTTCTTTAAAAGTTCACTCTGCATTGTTGGTGGGGATGTAAAATGGTGCAGCGGGTGTGGTGGTTCACACCAGTAATCCCAGCACTTTGGGAGGCCGAGGCGGGTGGATCACCTGAAGTCAGGAGTTTGAGACCAGCTTGGCTAACAAGGCCAAACCTTGTCTCTACTAAAAATACAAAAATTAGCCAGGCCTGGTAGTGGGTGCCTATAATCCCAGCTACTTGGGAGGCAGAGACAGGAGAATCTCTTGAACCTGGGGGCGGAGGTTGCAGTGAGCCAAGATCGCGCCACTGTACTCCCAGCCGGGGAGGAAGAGTGAAACTTCATCTCAAAGAAGAGAAAAAAGAAAAGAAAAACAGTATGGCAGTTCCTCAAAAAATTTAAAATAGAATTTACTTATGATCCAGCAATATCACTTCTGGGTATATATCCAAAAGCATTGAAAGCAAGGTCTCAGAGAGATATTTGTACACCCATATTCATAATGGCATTATTCACAATAGCCAAAAGGTGGAAACCACCAGAATTTCTGTCAATGGAAGAATGAATAAACAGAATGTGATATGCACACCATGGGCAGTTATTCAGCCTTAAAAAGGAAGGAAATTCTGACACAGTCTACAACGTGGATGAGTACATTATGCTACGTGAAATAAGGACAAACACTGAATCAATACACTTATATGAGGTACCTAGAGTACTCAACTTTATAGAAACAGAAAATAGAATAGTAATTGTTAGGGGCTGGGGGAAGGGAGAAATGAGGAGTTGCTGAATGGATACAGAGTTTCGGTTTTGCAAGATGAAAAAGTTCTGGCTTGGCACAGTGGCTCACGCCTGTAATCCCAGCACTTTGGGAGGCTGAGGTGAGCAGACCACAAGGTAAGGATCTCGAAACCAGCCTGGCCAACATAATGAAACCCCATCTCTACTAAAAATACAAAAATTAGCTGGGCATGGTGGTGCGTGCCTGTAGTACCAGCTACTCAGGAGGCTGAGGCAAGAGAATCGCTTGAACCCATGAGGCAGGGGTTGCAGTGAGCAGAGATCGCGCCACTGCACTCCAGCCTGGGCGACAGAACGAGACTCCGTCTCAAAAAAAATATTCTGGAGATTGGTTGCACAACAATATGAATATACTTACCGTTACCGAACTGTACACTTAAAAATGGTTAAGATGGTAAATTTTTCACTATTTGTATTTTATCACAATGAAAGAAAAAAGATCTCTGGCTACTAGGTGGAGAATGGACTGTTGAGTTGGTACTATGCAAGCAAGGTTACTGGTTAATAGGTTATTGCAGTGATTCAGACTAGAGATGATGGCTTGGATGTGGTGGGTAGTAACGAGATACCTGGGCAGATTTAAGGTATCTTGTGGTGGTGGAGACAAGAGGACCTGCTGCTGGTCAGGACCTGGGAATTAGGTAATATGCTTAATTCGCTAATATGCCTAATACCCAATAGGTATTAGGATTAGGTCACTCATCTGATAAATGGCAGAGCTGGGGCTTGAATGCTTGGCTGCCTCTTAAGCTCACACTCTCACTTCCTTTCCAAACATCCGCCCTTCCAACATCGTCTCTGGACTAGATATCTCACTGGGACAGCATTTGCTGCCACTTTGGTCTGTTTCATGCTATTAGGCAAATGGTAACGACTTCACAAGAGTGACTTCTAAAAAATGGCATGACATATATTTCTCAAAGCCATCAGCTTTAAAACACAGGTTTTATTTCAGATTATTGCATACTGAGCTGAGGTTTCTGCCAGCAGCTCACCGTTACACCATATCCTTTGCAGTTGTGCTTTTGCGTGGCTTTAATTGTCATGGAGGCACACAGGAATGTGGTTTTATGTACACCCTGTGGATGGGATCACAGAGATTATTTGAGCTGCCAGCTGAGACTCTTCCAACGCTGCAGAATACCTGGTCAGGGGGCAGCCAGCAGGTTTATTTACACCTCTGTTCCTTAATGTTCAGGTTGCTAGGAAACCAGACAAACATTACCAAAAAGGCTGTCTGAGGTCACCGGAGGCCCAGCTTGTGTTAATAGCCACAAATTGCAATCAAGCTTCCCTGGTTGCCAAGGTCTTCTGAAGAGGCTGAGAGTGCACCGGTTGCATTGTGTGGCCAGTTTGTTCTTTCTCTCTTGGACTTTTCCTTACCGGGCCCAAGAAAAGGCTCTCATGCAGGCAATAAAGGGAGGCTGGTAAAATCTTAGTCTGCTGATCTCAGCCATTATTCCGGGTGTGATTGGATCTCAACAAAGCAGAAAGCTTCTGCTATCTCTGAAGAATACATATGTGCAACAAATGATGGTGTCAGCAGTGTGTGTGTGTGTGTGTGTGTGTATGTGAGTGTTGGGTAGGGAGGGTGAGTGGAGAAACTTAACCACCTCTTCAAGAGGTATTTTTAAGGACTTCCCCTCCCTTTTTCTTAATGGCTGAGTCATAGTAATTGATGCTGCTGCTATAAAGCAGGTGTTCTCAAACTGTGGTCCTCAGATCGGTAGCATCAGCATCACCTGGGAACTTGTTAGGAATGCAGATTCTCAGGCAGCACCCCAGACATGCTGAATCAGTCACTCTGGAGGTGTGGCCAGCAATCTGTTTCAACAAGACCGCAGGGGATTCTGATGTGTGCTCAAGGTGGAGAGCCACGGAAAACTCTAGTCCCTGGAATCTAGCATTTACCAACTGAGTGACCTTGGGCAGTTTATTTCTAGTCCACGAGCCTCAGCCTACCACGATGAGATATTACATGCCCAGCACCTGGCATATGTCAGAGATGCTGAATTGATCCTTTGCCAATAAAACAAGCTTCACAGCAGCCTATGATTTGTTAGCTAGTAGTTGGAGGTAAACTGTGTTCAAAAAGAAGTTGCTTCTGGGGAAACTGAAGAATACTGTTTTGATGTGTCCTTTCTTATCTCAAAATCTGAATCACTGCACTTCTTCTATGATTCAGACTCTCCGCTTCTCAGAAAAAAGGAAGCTGGGTCACAGCATCTGTTCTTCCTGTTGCTCAAGGTGCCTAATTGAACTCGTAGTGACTTTGCACACAGAAGGTCAGGAAGACAGAAGGGTCCCCCCCTTCCTCATAGCCCCTCAGGTCTCGGAAACCCCTGGATCCATAGTCAGATGCCCTCCCCTAGGAGATTGATCATTCCTAAGATGTCTAGGAACCAAGACACATCCCCCAGGGGCAGCTGCTCCTTCACCATCCAGAGACACTGCCCCTTACCCTGGGGGACAGTCTTTAAAGGCCAATCTGTAACTAGGCTGAGGTTTACAAGTTTTCTTGTGCCCCACCCAAACTCTGAGGCAAAGGTTATTGGTGGCAAGCAAGAGAAAAGAGAAATTATAGGTAACTCCTCCCAGGCCACCAAGCACCGTTTGCTCTTCACCTCTTAACTCAGGATGGAATACTGAGATTCTAGAAATAATGACTACCAGGCAATCATTATGTGCCAGCCAGATGCTAAGTGCCTTCTATATATCACCTTATTTAATTTTCATGACGACTCCCAAAGAAGACTTTATCTCCATTTTACAGATGAGGAAATGGAGGCACAGAAATATTCAGCATTCTGTGGATGCCTATGGTCTCATAACTAGAATTGTAGTGGAGGCGGGATTCATATGCTGGAGGGGCAGAGCCAGGGATGCCACCTCCCAGGCTATGTGATGCTGGCTGCTGTTGAGTTGTTGTTGTTTTTATTTCCTTCCCTCCTTCCTTCCTTCCTTTCTTTCCTTCCTTTCCTTCTTTCCTTCTTTTCTTTCTTTTTCTTCCTTCCTTCCTTCCTTCCTTCTTTCCTTCCTTCCTTCCTTCCTTCCTTTCTTTCTTGACAGAGTTTCACTCTTGTTGCCCAGGCTGGAGTACAATGGTGCCATCTCAGCTCAATGCAACCTCCTCCTCCTGGATTCAAGGGAATCTCTTGCCTCAGCCTCCCAAGTAACTGGGATTACAGGCATGCAACACCACACTAGGCTAATTTTGTATTTTTTAGTAAAGATGGGGTTTCACCATGTTGGTCAGGCTGGTCTCAAACTCCTGACCTCAAGTACCTCCCAAAGTTCTGGGATTACAGATATGAACCACTGTGCCCGGCTTGTTTTTATTATTTTTCTCAATGCATGGCATGAAATTTAAAAATATGGTACGCTTCACGAATTTGCATGTCATCCTTGAGCAGGGGCCATGTGAATCTTCTCTGCATCATTTCAGTTTTAGTATATGTGCTGCTGAAGCAAGCACTGCTGTTGAGTTTTGATGGCTCAACATCCTTGTACAACCTGGGTGTCGGGACAATTGAAGCGGCTGTGGTCTTAACCTCGGTTACGCATGGGAATTGCCCAGGGAGTTTTAAAAAAATATTCACATCTGGGTCCCCCCCAGAATTTCTGATGTCATTGCATTGGGTTGTGGATTGGGCTGTGGGAGTTTTGAAAGCTCTTCTGATGATCCCAACAGCAGCCAGAATGAAGATACTCTGCCATAGACCTGAATGAGGCTTCAGAGGCTTGCAGGCCCCTGGTTGTGTGCAAATGGGTGGCCGCCCTGTTGATGGAGATTTGGCCTTTATTTTTAGGCCCTTTCTGATGTAATCTCCTTTTCACAAACAAACAAACATAAAAATAAACCTCATTCAGTCCCCAAAGCTTTCCATGTTGGAAGCTGGCATTTCTACAAGCCTGAAGGGAGAGGGAAACTTTGTGCCTTTCAGAAGAAAGTCTGACTTTGAGGAACACATTTGACCAGCATCTCTTTCAAGTCTGTCTTCCCGGATATTAACAGCCCCTTTTTCCCCAAACATAGAAATAATACATTCTAAATACATCAACCTGTTTTCTACAAAAGCTTCTTATGTATTGTAAGGTTTAAAGTACCCTGATTTGGTAATAAATAAGTAGCATGTTTTTATTTTTTAAATAAACACCCCCCTAGAATTTATAAATCCAAGGGAGTATTTTGCTCCTCAAATAAATCTCTTTGAGACTCTGTAAGAGAGGCCTGTTTTAATGATGTGATCACTCAACACTCAATGGGATTTTTCTTCCAGAATTGCCTTAGAACTGCATTAATAACAGATATCCCAAGGTGATTTTAATCATTGCTCTGCTCTTCGGTCAAACTGGATTTACTTCATTCTTTGATGACTTTATTTCCCCAACGTGGCTCTGGAAAAGTCTAACAATTTCTTTTTTTTTTTTTTTTTTTGAGGCAGAGTTTCGCTCTGTCATCCAGGCTGCAGTGCAGTGGCACGATCTTGGCTCACTGCAAGCTCCGCTTCCCTGGTTCATGCCATTCTCCTGTCTCAGCCTCCGGAGTAGCTGGGACTACAGGTGCCCACCACCATGCCCAGCTAATTTTTTGTATTTTTAGTTGAGACGGGGTTTCGCCGTGTTAGCCAGGATGGTCTCGATCTCCTGACCTTGTGATCCGCCTGCCTTGGCCTCCCAAAGTGCTGGGATTACAGGCTTGAGCCACCGTGCTCGGCCAACAATTTCTGATATTCAAATTATCCTAAGAGAATTAATGCAGGAACAGAAAACCAAATACCACATGTTCTCACTTATAAGTGGGAGCTAAGTGTTGAGTACACATGGATATAAAGATGGGAGTAATAGACATGGGGAACTACTAGAGCGGGGAGGCTGGGAAGGGGCGAGGGTTGAAAAACTACCTATTGGATCCTATACCTGGGTGATGGGATCATTTGTACACCAAACCTCAGCAACACACAACTTACCCATGTAACAAACCTGCACGTGTACCCCCTGAGACTAATATAAAAGTTGAACAAAAAAATAGGAAATGTTTCTAAATAGAACATTTCTCTAGATTTTTCTAGAGAAAGATCCTGAGGACTCATTGTTCAGTGAGTTGTCCTAAATCCCTTTTTGGAATGGTGTTGGGGGATGGGGAAGGACAGGTAAGTAGAATGACAGCTGTTTACATTGATGGTGCTGGTCTTTTGAGTTCATCTGGAGATAAAGTTCTAGCCCCATTAAATAATCAAGCAACCTGGCATCATTACTGAACCTCCTGTGCTTCAGTTTCATCAGCTGTGAAATGGGGACAAGAACATCTCATGATTGTTTCATGATTATTTCCAGAATGTCTGTAAAGCACATGGTACACAGTAGATATTTTAAATGGTAAACTATTATGATTTAATGAAGACATTGCCTGATGTCTTTTCATTTCATCATTTCCTTGAACTTTTTCCTGAATACCTGTTAAATACAGAACAGATACAAACCAAGTAAAATCTTGGCCTCTGACGTTTGAGACTCGCATTCATTTGTGCACAGAGCCAACGAATGTTTATGGAGCTCCTGCTCTATTCTGGGCCCTTCTAGGTCCACGTGCTAGGAGGGTTCAGAGCAGAGGAATCCCATTGCAGACACCCACACATTTGCATCTGGAGTTGACAAAGTCAGCCAGGTGGGGTGGCTACAGCAGGCTTATACCTGTAGAGGGGATAAGGCCCTTCAGGTGAGCCCACTGAGGAACAGAACTTCTGGGGGTTACTAAAATACCTCCTCAGCCAGGGACGCTGCCACTCACTTCAGTCCCTCAAGTTAGGGGGAAGGAGGCTGGAGGCTGTCACCTGTCACAGGCAGGTAAGCCTGACAAGTGGACATGGGCCTTTTCTTTTTTTGAGACAGAGTCTCTCTCTGTTGCCCAGGCTGGAGTGTAGTGGTGTGATCTTGGCTTACTGCGACCTCCACCCCCCCGAGAATCGCTGAGGCAATTCTCCTGCCTCAGCCTCCAGAGGAACTGGGACTACAGGCACGCACCACCGTGCCCAGCTAATTTTTATATTTTTAGTAGAGATGGGGTTTCACCATTTTGGCCAGGCTGGTCTTGAACTCCTGACCTAAAGTGATCCTCCTGCCTTGGCTTCCCAAAGTACTAGGATTACAGGTGTGAGCCACTGTGCCTGGCCAATGTGGGCCTTTTCTAAATTGAGATTTGGGGTGCAGTAAGTTGTTTGCCTTCATTGGAGGTTTGCAAGTGCAGCCGAAGGGAGCCCTGGTTCTGTGCCAGCCTCTTTTTTATTTTATTTTATTCATTTATTTATTTATTTTGGAGATGAAGTTTTGCTCTTTTTGCCCAGGCTGGAGTGCAATGACATGATCTCAGCTCACTGCAACCTCTGCCTCCCGGGTTCAAGTGATTCTCCTGCCTCAGCACCCAAGTAGCTGGGATTACAGGCGTCCACCACCACGCCTGGCTAATTTTTGTATTTTTAGTAGAGACAGGGTTTCACCATGTTGGCCAGGCTGGTCTCAAACTCCAGACCTCAGGTGATCTGCCCACCTCAGGCTCCCAAAGTGCTGGGATTACAGGCATGAGCCACCGTGCTTGGCCCACCAGCCTCTTTTTTAAACCATTATTAAGTTCTCTCTTTTCAGGCAGGTGTCTGCTGGGGTTCTGACAGATATTTCCTCTGACCCATATGATGAATTGTGTCCAAGGGTAATAGATCAAGGAGAGAAACAAACCCACACACCAACAAAAGGAAAGAAACATCTTGTAGTTTATCAGATTTAAAGATGTCTCAGTTGTGTCTCATGGGTATGTTTTCCTTGATTTTCACAGGGATCCCATGAGCTTGGCAGGAGTGTGTGATCTCACTGCATAGGTACAGACACAGCACTAATGGAGGCTGAGCACAGATGGCAGAACTGGAGACAAGCTCCCGGGAACCCAGGTCCCTGGGAGGTGGCCCTGGCCTGTGGGGTGAGTCTGTATTTCTCTCTGCATCAGAAGCTCCTCCTTGGAAATGTGGCTGTTGTGATGCTGTTTGCCTTTTTGGTTCCAATTCTCTGGTTACTCTTCACAACTTCCCTATGCTGAGATGTCTAGCTGTCTCAGTTCTGCTTTCAGGACAGAAGAGAAGGGCTTGTTGGCCCAGCTTGGGCCAGAGTTTTAAGGGGAAGGAGGATGAGTCTGGGGTATAATATTGGGGCCACAAGAAGCTGAGTAGGATAAAGATGAGACCCAGAAGGACAGCAAGGGGTCTCGGGTATTAGGAGGGAACCCTTCTACACATCTTAGCTGGGCCTGTGTGTGTGTGTGTGTGTGTGTGTGTGTGTGTGTGTGTGTGCGCGTGTGTGTGCATGTGCATACACTCACAGAGCTTCTGCTGCTGTTGCTAGGGTATATTATTCCCTCACAGACAAATCCCAAGTCCAGTCAGAAGACATTTGTGAGCTCCTTGGAGTTCCAGATCCAGGACAGGTTAGCTCAAAAGCAGAGTTGGTTTGTTCAATGCGCTCCTCCTTGTTTACTTCTACAGGAGGAGGCTTTCCTTGAGCTATGGAAAAAGGAGAAACAGGGCCCAGGTTCTGCTCGGGCCTCCCCTTCTCATGGGGTAATAGACCAGCTGGAAGCAGGTAGAAGCCACTCCAGTCTTATGAAGGGCGCCTTGTTTCTCGGTGTTGCAGAAGATCCCTGACCCAGGGAGTCAGAAGGCCCGGGTTGAGGGCCTGCCCTGTCCCCCTGCCTTCCTGCACTTGGGAAGGGCCTTACACCCTTCTGCATGTCAGTGTCTTGCTCTTCCATGGACATCATAACCCTTGTCCTAGCTCCCAGTTCTGAGGATCCAATAAAGCAATGGAGGATTAGCAAAGACACTGAGAAAATCAAGCCTTTCTCATTCAGCATCATAGGTTTCACTCTATGAACAAACAGAATAGAAGCTCAGCTTTTCTTCCCTCAGTGATGATGCCAGAATTGATCATATTTGCTCCTGGATTTGAGACTGGTGTACTTGAGCATTGGAAGCTGAACAAGACTTTCCTATGTGACTTGGGTCGTATTTGCTTCAGTAACTATCCTGCTCTCCCTACACCTCCGCATGCCTGTCCTCATCCAGAGTGTCTGTCATTGGTTTTAACCCTTCAGAATAGCTGCCTGGTGCTCCAAGGTGACATGATGGGTGTGCAACCCTCCTTGCTCGCTGATAACTTGCTTGCTGAGTTTTTCTAGGATGGGTACTCATTAACGCTTTCTAACCATCTTGCAAAGGAAGAAGTCTGAAGCAGGGTGTTGATTGTGATGGGGTTTGATGCATAACTTGTGTGAACAATTACAGAAGTGACAAGTTGTTTTCTTTCCTCTTTTCTTAAAATGGCTAATTTGGGCAAAGAAGAAAAAAAAAATCCAAGTCTCTAAGATTTGAAAGAGTGCTTGCCCGGTCTTCCTCCTGGAGGAGCAAATGAGAGAAGTGAAGTATTGCCACCCATCTGCTGGGTTGAATGAGAACCTTGGCAGGCTGCCATGTCTTGAATGTCCCTTGGGCCCAAGTGACTGAGACTTATTAGGGTAAGGTTGGAAGAGAGGGGCTCAGGATGGTCACTATATTTGTAGCTTGTAACAGTCCTAACTGGAAGGTTGACTAAGTTGAAACCATATAATCTCATTCATAAAATGGGGATACTTAAGCTGAATAATTTCTGAGATCCTTTTAGTTTGACTTAGTTTAAATTGTTTGATTTTAAGAGGAGAATGAGAAATTCAAATTTTACACAGGTATTTCTGATCCATTTGGTCTTATATCCACAAGATAGACATATGGACTTCGAAGAACTTCAAAAAAAGAACAGGTTTCTACATTATCTAGTTGATAAGGATAATCTAATATAGTCCCATAATGCACAACCTCAATTATTATATAAACACTTAATGAGAAAATATATGGCTACCAGTGTCTAGACAGGGTCCTGCTCTTTTCCTGTTTGCAATAAAGCTGAGAAGAATTCATATACATAAGAAAAAGAACACATGGAAAATTGATTAAATGCCAAAGCAGAAGTAAAAAATGGTATGAGACTCTAGAGGAATGAACGGAAGCATTTGACTTGCAAGAATGAGGAAGCTGACTCAGAAGATGGGCCTTAGAGAATGAAAATTATTTCTGTTCTATTAGAGAGAATGGAGGAAGTGATTCCAGGCAGAGGGAGCATGCGAGCAAAAACAGGGAGGCCTGGAAACACATGACTTATTCAGGTCCCAGTGAGGCATAAGCAGAATGAAGGGGTTGGGTGATGAAAATACTGGCAAGGAGTTAAATATTAATCAGATTATGGAGACCTTGAAGGTCAGGTAAATACAGACACATAGGCACTAGGGGAATTACTTGTTTATATCTGTATTTAATTATACATGATTATTACCAAGTGGCATTATTAGCAAGAGGAATTGATTTGGGTGAGACTGGAGGCAGAGGCCAGTCAGAGAGATCTGTTGTTTTGGGAGAGTTATACTGTGGGCCCAAGCTGGGGGAGGCTTGAGCATGTGTAGAGGGCTTCAGAGTCTGTTACGCCTTCCTGTACAGCTGTTACTATCATAACTGGTCCACCAAGTCATGCCAGTAGAAATGTAGTATGAGTAATTCCATTTACAATGAGGAAAATGAGGCTGAAAGTGGCTGAATGACTTTTCCAAGGTCACCCAAGAACTTGATCCATCGTCAAATGTATTGTCCACCAAGCAATGGAAAGCAGGGGAAGGGACATCTGCACCCCCGCCAGCATCATCCAACCCTTCTCTATGTCTGGCCTGAATGGCAACGATAGTTTCCCGGGGGGTCTTCTCATGCGCACTCTGCCCGTCTTCCATCTTCACTCCAGCCCCGGCCCATCAGAGCCTCTCCATGAGACAGGACACATTTTTTCAAAACGTTTAGACCCATTACCCTCTTGCTTAAACTCTTCAGCGGTTTGCCATTGCTCCTAGATAAAAGCAAACTTCACTGTCCCTCCAAGACCCTGCATGGCTGGGCCCTGCCTACCTCTTCAGCCTTATCCCTCTTTTGACTTTCATCCCACCAGCTACTTTGAGTGCACCTTCTTCCTTCCACCACTGGGCCTTTGCACAGCCACTCTGTCCAGAATGTTCCTTCCTTCCTTTTGGCCAGGGGACCCCTTATTCACCTTCCAGATCTCAAGTCAAACATTAACTTCTCAAAGATGCTTTCAGCTCGCCCCAACAATGAGATCAAACACTTACTACAGGTTCTCATAGAAGCCTTTGCTTCTCTTCCTTGGCAGTTGATATGGTTGTAATTTTGCAGTGGGGTGTGTGTGTGTGTGTTTGTGTGCGCGTGCATGTGTTTGGTGAATGCCTATTTTCCCCACTAGGACTATAAAGCTCTCAGGTTTCCAGACCTTGAATACTGACTGGCACCGAGTGGGCACATACTATTTGTTGAATAAATGAACAAATAATGGAAGAGACTTTGTTTTTATTATCTACTGTAACCCCCCAGTGACTCGTTTGGTGCTTGGTTACAGTAGGGACCAGCTTAAGGAATGAAGAGGCGATAAAAGGAAGGGAGGGAGCTAGAGAAGAAAAGGAAAAGAGAGGAGAAGATGGGGAAGGGAGGGAAAAGGAGGTGAGGAGAGGAGAAGAGGAAGATTTTCAAGGCTGAAGGGGCTGTGGAAAAGGGAAAGTTATTTTTGCCAAGAGGGAGGGTTAGGGTGACCAAATCATTCCCGTTTGCCTGGGACTTCCCGTTTCTGAAAGTCCTGCATCCCTGGAAATGCCTCAAGATTGCCCTGCATGAGAGCAGACAGAGCAGAACTGGGTGCACAGCAGGGAGCCACTGCAGGCCCCACCTGAAATCTGAACCTCATGGAATCGGCCCACAGATGCAGATCAGCCTGGGCATTTCACCTTGCTTTGGTCTCTAGGTCCTGGTGAACCAGTGTCCCCAAGAACCAGGGAAAGAGATGATGGATACAACAAGAAATGGGTCCCTTGCTACTTGCTTGGGAAATCTGGAAGTGGGTTATTTAATCAAGGGAAAGGGTAGGACTGCATAGGAAGTTGTGTCTGGGGGAATGATATGATCTCCTCATTAAGATGTCCTCCAGCACTGCAGTTTAAAAGGGTACATGGAGCTGTGTGAGATCGTGGATAGCTACTGTCCCCAACTGCCTATCATATAAAGTTATTGTGATGATCAAATGAGATGATGCAGGTACCAGTTGGAGTCTGGGACTTTCTGATGGCCTCAGTAAGTGGTAGATGTGTTGCTGTTGTTACTATTAGTACATGGGGGCAGTCAAGAGGCACCCTTGCCTAGAGGTTCAGAATATGGACTACGGAGTCAGCATATGAGGATTAAACCCTGTCTCTGCCCCTCTCAAGCTGCATAACCTTAGGGAGTTACCTTTTTTTTTTTTTTTTTTGAGACAGAGTCTGTGGAGCCCAGGCTGGAGTGCAGTGGCGCAATCTCTGCTCACTGCAACCTCTGCCTCCCAGGTTCAAGCTATTCTCCTGCCTCAGCCTCCCAAATAGCTGGGATTACAGGTGCACGCCACCATGCCCAGCTAATTTTTGTATTTTTAGTAGAGACGGGGTTTCACCATGTTGGCCAGGCAGGTCTTGAACTCCTGACCTCAGGTGATCTGCCCACCTTGGCCTCCCAAAGTGCTGGGATTACAGGTGTGAGCCACCGCACCAGGCCAGGGAGTTACTGTTTAGCTTGCTTTCCTCACCTGTGAAATGGAGATAATACTAGGACGCACCTCAGAAGGTCCTTGTGAGGATTAAATGAGTGAGTGGACGCAAAGCCTTTGGAACAGTGGCATTGCAAGTGCTCCCATGTACCCATTTTTATGCCTAGTGGTAAACCCTCAGGCTCTGCAGACAGATTGCCTGGGTTCCAATTCCGGGTCTGTGTGATCTTAAGTTAATTTGCCTTTTTGTGTTTAAATTTCCCAGCTATAAAGTGGGAATTAGAATAGTACCGACTTCACAGGGTAGTTCCTAAGATTGAATGATATGATGGATGTAGCACCATAAGTATTAGGCATTATTGTTATTGTTTTCCACTGGTAGATCATCTCCCATGCAGATGACTAGAACCAGCCTTGGGTACAATGCTGACCCTGGGATACTGGGTTTCCCAACCCATGGTCCCCTTTTCTCCCACTTGTGGGGCCCTTTGCATCTCAGGAAATGCTTTCTGATGGACATGTCCACCTTGGCAGGAACTAAGTCTCCGTAGTGTGGTGTGTGCTTCCTGTAGGCAGGAGCACTCTGCCCCTTTGAGGACAGAGAGTGCAGAGCAGGAAGGGGAAGCAGTGCGGGGTCCCTGAACCTGGCGCTGGTGCAGGCTGACAGATTCTCTCTGTGCAAACCCAGCCCAGAAAATACTTATGAAAGGAGTCAATCAAGTTCATTGCTGGTGGGGCTGGAGGGACCTTTTCATCTGCTTTTTAAGGATAGCCTGCCATGCTCCCAGTTTTCTTTTCCCTCTTCCTGCTCTCATCTGACGTTTGGTATCTTCTTACTTCTCTTTGGGTGCCCTTTGGCCTCTGCTGGATGCTCTTGCTGGCCTGAACTTGTCTGGCAGTGTTTCAAGATGGAGGTGAAAACCAGATTTTCCAGGGTTCCCAGACAGAATTTCTGACCTCTCAGGCTTAGCCCTTCTACAGCCACAGCATATGTGAGGCAGAATTTCCAAGGCAGCTCAGATTCCAGATAGACCTTTTGTCTGCATGAGTACTTGACACATGCCTTGATTTGCAGTTCAGAAAATAAGATTCTGTAATTATAGATAGTCTGATTGCTTATCTTATAGATAGGTACTGATGTGTTTCCCAGGCAACTCTTGCCTTTAATAGGTACCTTTGAGGTACCTGGAAGCAGACACCTCATGCAAAAGAGGGTAGGATTTTCTTTTCTTTCTTTCTTTCTTTTTTTTTTTTTTTTTTTTGAGACAGCGTCTTGCTCTGTTGCCCAGGCTGGGGTGCAATGCTGCGATCTTGGCTCACTGCAACCTCTGCCTCCCAGGTTCAAGCAACTCTCCTGCGTGAGCCTCCCAAGTAGCTGGGATTACAGGCACCCACCATCACGCCCAGCTAATTTTTATATTTTTAGTAGAGATGGGGTTTCACCATGTTGGTCAGGCTAGTCTTGAACTCCTGACCCCAGGTGATCCACTCGCCTCGGCCTTCCAAAGTGCTGGGATTTCAGGTGTGAGTCACCACTCCTGGCCAAGATTTTCAAACATAGTGTAGCCTATTGGGAGAAGTAGATTCTGGATTGTGGTGACCTTCAAACTCACAACACTGGTTGAAACATGTTTCAAAAACACTTAGGCTACCTTTCTTTATGTGGACCAGGCCATTATAGCCTCAACAAGTTCCACATTTATGCTGCTGTTTATATCTCTCTTAGGCTCTTTTAATTTTATCCCTCCTGTTCTAGCTACTGATGTATTTATCTTTCGATTTTCCCCACTGGATGCAAGGTCTTTGAGGGCTTGATGAGATTGTAGTTCTTTTTACATATGGTCATCCACCTGTCTATCAATTTTTGTGGAATCACATCACCTTAGACTGTGAGGAACCATAAAGATATTCCATTCCAATGATGCCATTAGACATCATAACCATAGCGGAATGATATGTATGTATGGATGGATGGATGGATGAATGGGTTAGTGTGGAGATGGATAAATGAGTGGCTGGATAGATTGATGGATTGGATGATGAATGAATGGGCAGGTGAATAGGATGGATGGATGGGTGAGTAGATGGATTGATTGATAAATTGATGGTTTGGAAGATGAATAGACAATTGTGTGGGTGGATGAGTAGGTGGGCAAGTGAATAAATGGATTGTTGAATTTGAAGATGAATTAGATGGTGGATGAAGGGAGAGATGGATGAATAAGTGAGTGGGTAGATGGATAGAATGATGGAAGGATGGATTATGGATAGATAGGTAGCTGGATGGTTAGGTGGCATGATCTCCCCTACTATGGGAGAGAAAGAATGTTCACGGAGAGGTTTTTGGGCTGCCTGCTTCTATTGTATCACCCACACCACTGCCCCAACAACTTGTTAATGAAGGGAAGTCCTGGGGGGGATTGAGTGATAAGAGCATGATCTCTGAAATTAGATTGCCTGGGTTAAGTGCTGACTCTATTTAACCTCTCTAAGGCTCAGTTTTCTCATGTATGAGGGGTGAGGCTTTTTCACTGGAAAATGTGTATGCTAGCTCTGGGCAGATTTTTGCTTTTTCAGATAAAAAGTCAGTGACCTTATTCCAGGGATAGATGTTCTGATTTTGGTCAGGCCCTTCTGAATGTTTATGACATTGAACCCTGTCCCTGCTGCAAGGCCCAACACCCAAGGTGATTCATTTCTTTCTATATCAGGAAGCAAAGGGCCACAGAATATATTCATTTTGCCAACACAATGTCGTTTTTCATACAAGGAAGTCTTTAGGGATGTTTGAACCACTGAGTTAAATAAGAAAGTGAATTAGAGATGGGGCTGAATGAGTGGGAAAAGCATTTCCACTGTTGTTCTCAAATATAAGGCAAAAACACTGTTGACTTTGCCATAGCACTGCCATCCCCAGGCACGGTCTCCTTTTCTTTGAGTGGATTACTTGGTGTTGGGTGATTGTAGGAACCGAGACCCTCTGCTTCCTCTTACCTACAATGTGCCTTTGAGCCTGACCTTGAAGAAGCTTATTTCTCTTGGTGCTGATCATTATCTGCATTAGTGTGAATGCTGCATGATATGTACAAGTCATGTCTTGTACTAAATGCTTTGTATGCATTTAGCCATTTGACATACTGTATATTTTATGTAGATATTTGTTACCTTTCTGCACTCACCAAAAGGATGAAGATTTTTAAGTCTGTTTTGTTCACTGCTGTAACCCCAGAAGCTAGAACGGTGCCGACACTTCATAAGTATCTAGTACATATTTAGTAAGTAATTACGTGAGTTATCTATTTCTCAGGAGGAACCTATGAGGTGAATATTATCCTTCCTGCCTCACAGATGGGGAAACTAAGACTCAGATCTTGGATAATTTTGAGGATATTTTCTTTTTTGGGGCCACCATCTGAGACTCATAGGTAAAGAAATATGCTGAAATGAATCATTTCACAAGGAAAATATGAAGAAAATAACATTGATTTAGCTCAGTTTTGCTTTTGGAAGGCAGTTATATGGACTCTATCATGGACTTGCTTCTCTGAATGGTATGCTTAATCCTCGTTTCCCATTCGCATTTGTGTTAGGGAGAAATTATCCTTATGGGCCCTGAGGCACGGATGGGAGGGAGCAGACCATGAGGACACACTTACCAGGAAGCAGGTCTTTATGCAAATGTTCTCTCAGTTCCTCCTCACCCTAACCTGGTTATCATTCCATCTCTCAGGTGAAAACACCAAGTCTGAGGCCAAGAGCAGAGCTGGCATTTCCCAGGCTACATGATGAAGATGAAGCTGCCTATCTTTTCTGCTTCCCATTTTTTTTTCTTTTTCTTATTTATTTATTTTATTTATTTATTTTTTGAGACAGAGTCTCACTCTATTACCCAGGCTGGAGTGCAGTGATGTGATCTTAGCTCACTGCAACCTGTGCCCCCGCGTTCAAGTCATTTTCATGCCTCTGCTTCCCAGGTGGCTGGGACTACAGGCACATGACACCACGGCTAATTTTTTTTTTTTTAATGGAGTCTTGCTCTGTCGCCCAGGCTGGAGTGCAATGGTGCGGTCTTGGCTCACTGTAACCTCCACCTCCCGGATTCAAGTGATTCTCCAGCCTCAGCCTCCCAAGTGGCGGGATTAAAGGTGTGTGCCACCATGCCTGGCTAATTTTTATATTTTTAGTAGAGACGTGGTTTCACCATGTTGACCAGGTGTTCTGAAACTCCTGGTTTCAAGGGATTCACCTGCCTCAGTCCCCCAAAGTGCTGGGATTATGGGCGTGAGCCACCTCAACCGGCCTGCTTCCCTTTCTCCCTCTCCCCCTCCCCCTATGCCTCCCCCCCGCTTCCCCTCCCTCTCCCTCTCCCTCTTTTTTTTGAGATGGAGTCTTGCTCTGTCGCCAGGCTGGAGTGCAGTGGCGTGATCTCAACTCACTGCAACCTCTGCCTCCCAGGTTCAAGTGATTCTCCTGCCTCAGCCTTCCAAGTAGCTGGGATTACAGGTGTGTACCACCATGCCCAGGTACCCATTTCTTTATGAGGTTATTCACATGCTCAGCTCTTTGGCAGAGGAGTCTTTGTCACTGTTGTATCTCCAGTGCCCAGCAGAGCATCAGGTATGCAGTAGGTGCTTAACAAATGTCAGCTGAGTTGATGAAATTTCCTCAAAGCAAATTCACAGGCACATCCTATTTTAAAACAAGGAGTTGAGACTCCTTGTTCCCGCCTTTCTGTTGAGAATTCATTGTGCAATCTGACCAGGCAGGAAGTGAAATGGGGATTGTTGTGGGTTTTGTCCGCTGACAGCAAGGCCCAGATGGTGACTAATTGGCCATTATTTATTTTACTCGTATGCAGCATTTTCGGTTTTCTGTCTCCCTTTGATTGATTGGGTGGCTCCGGGCTGCAGGTGGGTCCATTTTATGCTTGGTTGGTGAGTCCCACAAAGGCCCATTAAATCAATTAAGTTGGCCGGTGTGAGAAAATCTGGGAGGGGGCAGGGAATCTGCCTGGGTTTGCTTGTCAGATAAATCCTTCCGGATCACGGGGCTGCCACGGGAGTGGCTTCCACCACACCATCTCCTGTCCTGGGTGTTGTGGGGAGATGAGTCTGGATCCTACCTGGATTCTGCCTCCAAGGTGAGCACCATCAAGTGGAGATGGGACCTCTACACATCACTGAGAACCAGGGACAAGGTGTGAAGTGCTGTAGGAGCAGTGCTGAGAAAACACTCTGACAGTTTAGAGAAGGGAGTGGAGACACCTGTTGGGGCTTGGGGTGCAGTGGTGGTGAGTACAGGGTGATAAGGAAGATTTTCTGGAAGAGATGGTGTTTGACCCGGAAGGTTGGTGGGATTGGATATGCAGAGAAGATGGGAAAAGCACTCCAGGAAGCAGGTGTTTCCTAAGCCATGGCAGAGTTTGGGAAGTGTAGAGTGTAAGTTAAAGAGCAAGTAGCTCCTCCTGGCTGAAGCAAAAGGCACATGGAAGGAAAAAACTTACGTGTGAAGTGAAATCTTTGGAATAGGTTTTAGGAAGCCCAAATGCTAGGCTGGGAGGAAGGTAGGTGCAGTGGCAGAGAGTCCTGGCTTTGGAGTCTGACCTTCTGGATTGGATATGTGGCTTGCTAGCTAAGGGACCCTGGGCAGCTGCCTTGCTAGGCATCAAAGCACATAGAACTTGCCTTCTCTTTGATCCTATTGTGAAGCTGCAACAAGGATTCAAATAATCCATGGAAAGCACTTTGCTTGGGTGCCTGGTAAGGATTTCATAGATGGAAACCGCTGTATTTTTTTGTTTTTGTTATTATTAGACAGTGAAATTTCCTGAAAGCTTATGTTGAGATATTTTGGAAAGGAAGGTGGGTGAAAAAATAATCTAAGAATCTACTTTGGAATTATCCCAAAAGGTCTGGGATCTTTTTTTCACCTGTCTTGTGAGCATCTTTTTATTTATTTATTATTTTTGAAACAGAATCTCACTCTGTCACCCTGACTGGAGTGCAGTGGCACAATCATAGCTCACTGTATCCTCAAACCCCCCAGGCTCAAGAGATCCTCCCACCTCAGTTTCCCAAGTAGCTGAAACTACAGGTGGTGCCACTGCACTCAGCTAATGTTGCTTGCTATGTTGCCCAGGTTGGCCTTGAACTCCTTGCCTCAAATGTTCCTCCTGCCTTGGCCTCCCAAAATGCTGGGATTACAAGCATGTGCCACTGCACCTGGCTATGAGCATTTTTATTAATGATGAGTTGTTTATTTTGGCTGCTTCAAGGGCATAAAACAATTTATCCCAAGTCATAGTCAACCATTGTGTGGGAGGTCATATTGAATTTGACTTTTAAATAACTAGAGAGTTTAGGTAGGAAGAACAGCTCAGTTCCAAGTTCGCTTTAAGATTTATTGAGCATTGGATGGACCAGGCAAGATGGCTGAATAGGAAGAGCTCTGGTCTGCAGCTCCCAGTGAGACCAGCACAGAAGGCGGGTGATTTCTGCATTTCCAACTGAGGTGCTTGGTTGATCTCATTGGGACTGGTTAGACAGGGGGTACAGCCCATGGAGGGTGAGCAGAAGCAGGGTCGCCTCACCCAGGAAGTGCAAGGGGTCGAGGAACTCCCTCCCGTAGCCAAGGGAAGCCATGAGGGATTGTGCCATGAGGGACGGTGCTATCTGGCCCAGATACTACGGTTTTCCCATGGTCTTCGCAACTCACAGACCAGGAGATTCCCTCAGGTGCCTACACCACCAGGGCCCTGGGTTTCAAGCACAAAACTAGGCGGCTATTTTGGCAGACCCCGAACTAGCTGCAGGAGTTTTTTTTCATACCCCAGTGGCGCCTGGAACACCAGTGAGACAGAACCCCGTTCACTACCCTGGAAAGGGGGCTGAAGCGAGGGAGCTGACTGGTCTTGCTCAGTGGATCCTACCCCCATGGAGCCCAACAAACTAAGATCCACTGGCTTGAAATTCTCGCTGCCAGCACAGCATTCTGAAGTCGACCTGGGACACGTGAGCTTGCTGGGGGATGGGGCATCTGCCATTACTGAGGCTTGAGTAGGCGGTTTTCCCCTCACAGTGTAAACAAAGCCACTGGGAAGTTCGAACTGGGTGCAGAACCAACCCACTACAGCGCAGCAAAGCCGCTGTAGCCAGACTGTCTCTCTAGATGCCTCCTCTCTGGGCAGGGCATCTCTGAAAGAAAGGCAGCAGCCCCAGTCAGGGGCTTATAGATAAAACTCCTGTCTCCCTGAGACAGAGCACCTGGGGGAAGGGGCGGCTGTGGGCGCAGCTTCAGCAGACTTAAACATTCCTGCCTGTCAGCTCTGAAGACAGCAGCAGATCTCCCAGCACAGCCCTCGAGCTCTGCTAAGGAACAGATTTCCTCCTCAAATGGGTCCCTGACACCCGTGGCTCCTGACCGGGAGACACATCCCCAGGGGGGTCGACAGACACCTCTTACGAAAGAGCTCTGGCTGGCATCTGGTGGGTGCCCCTCTGGGATGAAGCTTCCAGAGGAAGGAGCAGACAGCAATATTTGCTGTTCTACAGCCTCTGCTGGTGATACCCAGGCAAACAGGGCCTGGAGTAGACCTCCAACAAACTCCAGCAGACCTGAAGAAGAGGGGCCTGTTAGAAGGAAAACTAACAAACAGAAAACAATAGCATCAACATCAACAAAAAGGATGCCCACACCAAAACCCCATCCAAAGGTCACCAACCTCAAAGATCAAAGGTAGATAAATCCACAAAGATAAGGAAAAACCAGTGCAAAAAGGCGGAAAATTCCAAAAACCAGAATGCCTCTTCTCCTCCAAAGGATCACAACTCCTCACCAGCAAGGGAACAAAACTAGACAGAGAATGAGTTTGATGAATTGACAGAAGTAGGCTTCAGAAGGTGGGTAATAACAAACTCCTCTGAGCAAAAGGAGCATGTTCTAACCCAATGCAAGGAAGCTAAGAACCTTGATAAAAGGCTACAGTAACTGCTAACTAGAATAACCAGTATACAGAAGAACATAAATTACCTGATGGAGCTGAAAAACACAGCACGAGAACTTTGTGAAGCATACACAAGTGTCAATAGCTGAATCGATCAAGCAGAAGAAACGATATCAGAGATTGAATAAAGTGTGAAGACAAGATTAGAAAAAAAAGAATGAAAAGGAATGAACAAAGCCTCCAAGAAACATGGGACTATGTGAAAAGACCAAACCTATGTTTGGTTGGTGTACCCGAAAGTGACGGGGAGAATGGAATCAAGTTGGAAAACACACTTCAGGATATTATCCAGGAGAACTTTCCCAACCTAGCAAGATAGGCCAACATTCAAATTCAGGAAATACAAAGAACACCACAGAGATACTCCTCAAGAAGAGCAACCCCAAGACACATAATCGTCAGATTCACTGAGGTTGAAATGAAGGAAAAAATGTTGAGGGTAGCCAGAGAGAAAGGTCGGGTTACCCACAAAGGGAAGCCCATCAGATTAACAGTGGGTCTCTCAGCAGAAACTCTACAAGCCAGAAGAGAGTAGGGGCCAATATTCAACATTCTTAAAGAAAAGAATTTTCAACCCAGAATTTCATATCTAGTCAAACTAAGCTTCATAAGCAAAAGAGAAATAAAATCCTTTACAGACAAGAAAATGCTGAGGGATTTTGTCACCACCACGCCTGCCTTAACAAGAGCTCCTGAAGGAAGCACTAAACATGGAAAGGAAAAACCAGTACCAGCCACTGCAAAAACATACCAAAATGTAAAGATCATCGACACTATAAAGAAACTACATCAACTAATGGGTAAAATAACCAGCTAGCATCATGACAGGATCAAACTGACATATAAAAATATTAACCTTAAATGTAAATGGGCTAAATGCCCCAATTAAAAGACAGACTGGCAAATTGGATAGAGTTAAGACCCATTGGTGTGCTGTATTCAGGAGACCCATCTCAGGTGCAAAGATACACATAGGCTCAAAATAAAGAAACGGAGAAATATTTACCAAGCAAATGGAAAGGAAAAAAAAAAGCAGGGGTTGCAATTCTAGTCTCTGATAAAACAGACTTTAAGCCAACAAAGATCAAAAAAGACAAAGAAGAGGATTACATAATGGTAAAGGGATCAATGCAACAGGAAGAGTTAATACCCTAAATATATATGTACCCAATACAGGAGCATCCGGATTCATAAAGCAAGTTCTTAGAGACCTACAAAGAGACTTAGACTCCCACACAATAATACTGGGAGACTTTAACTCCCCACTGTCAATATTAGACAGATCAATGAGACAGAAAATTAACAATGATATTCAGGACTTGAACTCAGCTCTGGACCAAGCAGACCTAATAGACATCTACAAAACTCTTCACCCCAAATCAACAGAATATACATTCTTCTCAGCACCACATAGCACTTATTCTAAAATTGACCACATAATTGGAAGTAAAACACTCCTCAGCAAATGCAAAAGAACGGAAATCATAACCGTCTCTCAGACCACAATGCAATCAAATTAGGACTCAGGATTAAGAAACTCACTCAAAACCGCACGACTACATGGAAACTGAGCAACCTGTTCCTGAATGACTACTGGGCAAATAACGAAATTAAGGGAGAAATAAATAAGTTCTTTGAAACCAATGAGAACAAAGACACAATGTACCAGAATCTCTGGGACACAGCTAAAAAAGTGTTTAGAGGGAAATTGATAGCACTAAATGCCCACAAGAGAAAGTAGGAAAGATCTAAGATCGACACCCTAACATCACAGTTAAAAGAACTAGAGAAGAAAGAGCAAACAAATGCAAAAGCTAGCAGAAGACAAGAAATAACTAAGATCAGAGCAGAACTGAAGGAGATAGAGAGATGAGAAACCCTTCAAAAAATCAGTGGATCTAGGAGCTGGTTTTTTGAAAAGATTAACAAAGTAGACCACTAGCCAGATTAATAAAGAAGAAAAGAGAGAAGAATCAAATAGACACAATAAAAAGTGATAAAGGGGATATCACCCCGATCCCACAGAAATACAAACTACCATCAGTGAATACTATAAACAACTCCATGCAAATAAACTAGAAAATCTAGAAGAAATGGATAAATTCCTGGTCACATACACCCTCCCAAGTCTAAGCCAGAAAGAAGTCAAATCCCTGAATAAACCAATAACAAGTTCTGAAATTGAGGCAGTAATTAATAGCCTACCAACCAAAAAAAGCCCAGGACCAGATGGATTCACAGCCAAATTCTACCAGAAGTACAAAGAGGAGCTGGTACCATTCCTTCTGAAATTATTCCAAACAATAGAAAAAGAGAGACTCCTCCCTAACTCATTTTATGAGGCCAGGATCATCCTGACATCAAAACCTGGCAGAGACACAGCAAAAAAAGAAGACTTCAGGCCAATATCACTGATGAACATCGGTGCAAAAATCCTCAGTGAAATACTGGCAAACCGAATCCAGCAGCACATTAAAAAGCTTTTCCACCATGATCAGGTTGGCTTTATCCCTGGGATGCAAGGCTGGTTCAACACACACAAATCAATAAATGTAATCCATCACATAAACAGAACCAATGAAAAAACCGCATGATTATATCGATAGATGCAGAAAAGGCCTTCGATAAAATTCAACACCCCTTCATGCTAAAAACACTCAATAAACCAGGTATTGATGGGGAACATATCTTAAAATAATAAGAGCTATTTATGACAAACCCACAGCCAATATCATACTGAATGGGCAAAAGCTGGAAGCATTCCCTTTGAAAACCGGCATAAGACAAGGATGCCCTCTCTCACCATTCCTATTCAACATAGTATTGGAAGTTCTGGCCAGGGCAATCAGGCAACAGAAGGAAATAAATGTTACTCAAATAGGAAGAGAGGAAGTCAAACTGTCTTTGTTTGCAGATGACATGATTGTATAGTTAGAAAACTCCATCGTCTCAGCCCCAGATCTCCTTAAGCTGATAAGCAATTTCAGCAAAGTCTCAGGATACAAAATCAATGTGCAAAAATCACAAACATTCCTATACACCAATGATAGACAAACAGAGAGCCAAATCATGAGTGAACTCCCATTCACAATTGCTACAAAGAGAATGAAATACCTAGGAATACAACTTACAAGGGCTGTGAAAGACCTCTTCAAGGTTAACTACAAACCATTGCTCAGGGAAATAAGAGAGGACAGAAACAAATGGAAAAACATTCCACACTTGTGGATAGGAACAACAAATATTATGAAAATGGCCATACTGCCCAAAGTAATTTACAAATTCAATGCTATTCCCATCAAGCTACCATTGACTTTCATCACCGAATTAGAAGAAACTACTTTAAATTTCATATGGAAGAAAAAAAGAGCCTGTATAGCCAAGACAATCCTAGGCAAAAAGAACAAAGCTAGAGGCATCATGCTACCTGACTTCAAACTATACTGCAAAGCTACAGTAACCAAAACATCATGGTATTGGTACCAACACAGATATATAGATGAATGGAACAGAACAGAGGCCTCAGAAATAACACCACACATCTACAGCCATCTGATCTTTGACAAGCCTGACAAAAACAAGCAATGGGGAAAGGATTCCCTATTTAATAAATGGTGTTGGGAAAACTGACTAGCCATATGCAGAAAACTGAAACTGGACCCTTTCCTTACACCTTATACAAAATTAACTCAAGATGGAATAAAGATTTAAATTTAAGACCTAAAACCATAAAAACCCTAGAAGAAAACCTAGGGAATACCATTCAGGGCACAGGCATGGGCAAAGACTTCATGACTAAAACACCAAAAGCAATTGCAACAAAAGCCAAAATTGACAAATGGGATCTAATTAAACTAAAGAGCTTCTGCACAGCAAAAGCAAGTATCATCAGAGTGAACAGGAAACCTACAGAATGGGAGAAAATGTTTGCAATGTATCCATCTGACAAAGGGCTAATATCCAGAATCTACAAGGAACTTAAATTTACAAGAAAAAAACAACCCCATCAAAAAGTGGGTGAAGGATATGAACAGACAATTCTCAAAAGAAGACATTTATGTGGCCAACAAACATATGAAAAAATGCTCATCATCACTGGTCATTAGAGAAATGCAAATCAAAACCACAATGAGATATCATCTCACGCCAGTTAGAATGGCGATCATTAAAAAGTGAGGAAACAACAGATGCTGGAGAGGATGTGGAAAAATAGGAATGCTTTTACACTGTTGGTGGGAGTGTAAATTAGTTCAACCATTGTGTAAGACACTATGGTGATTCCTCAGGGATCTAGAACCATAAATACCATTTGATCCAGCAATCTCATTACTGGGTATATACCCAAAGCATTATAAATCATTCTATGAAGACACATGCACATGTATGTTTATTGCAACACTATTCACAATAGCAAAGACTTGGAACCAACCCAAATGGCCATCAATGATAGGCTGGATAAAGAAAATGTGGCATGTATACACCATGGAATACTATGCAGCCATAAAAAATGATGAGTTCATGTCCTTTGCAGGGACATAGACGAAGCTGAAAACCATCATTCTCAGCAGACTAACACAGGAACAGAAAAAAAAATACCGCATGTTCTCATTCATAAGTGGGAGTTGAACAATGAGAACTTATGGGCACAGGGAGGGGAATGTCACATACTGGGGCCTGTTGGGGGATGGAGGGCAAGGGGAGGGATAGCATTAGGAGAAAGACCTAATGTAGATGACGGGTTGCTGGGTACAGCAAACCAACATGGCACATGTATACCTATGTAACAAACCTCCATGTTCTGCACTTGTATCCCAGAACTTAAAGTATATATATAAAAAAGGATTTATTGAGTACTGCATATGTGCCAAATAGTAAGTCAAGCAGTGACAATACAAAGATCAGTGGCTCATGGTCTCTGCCCCCAAGTATCTTAACTGGGTAGAGAACACTGACATGAAAATAAACAGAAAACATGGTAGCTTTGGTAAAATAAATTTGTATAGGTTCACAATTTTGGAAATAACTCTAGATAAAATACTTACTATGACCTGGTGACAGCATACCTAGGTCCACATTTGTAAAAGTAAAACATATCCCTTTCATAGTTAAATCAGTAAATTCAAAAATATGGAGTTACGGCAATGAAAGCAATAGAATTATGAATCTTTTCTTTCTTTCTTTCTTTCTTTCTTTCTTTCTTTCTTTCTTTCTTTCTTTTTTTTTTTTTTTGACAGATTCTAACTCTGTTACCCAGGCTGGAGTGCAGTGGTGCGATCTCGGCTCACTGCAACTTCCGCCTCCTGGGTTCAAGCGATTCTCCTTCCTCAGCCTCCCAAGTCGCTGGGATTACAGGTGCCCACCACCACACCTGGCTAATTTTTGTATTTTTAGTAGAGACAGGGTTTCACCATGTTGACCAGGCTATTCTCGAACTCCTGACCTCAGGCAATCTGCCCGCCTCAGCCTCCCAAAGTGCTGGGATTACAAGCGTGAGCTACCGTGCCCGGACAGAACTATAAATCTTATAGAGCAAGACACTCTCGAGTTTTGTTCTGTTCTGAGCACCTATCATTCAATTCTAGGAATTCTGGAGACACTTGAGACACCACGGGGTGGACAGGTTGACAAGCAATTGAATACTCCCTGCACACTCAGACATAATGATTCACTTAGAGAGGGAAGGAGCAGACATTGTCTTATTGCCTCCTCTGAGCCTGGCACTGTATGTGCACAGCATTGTACATAGGCCATCTCCTTTGTCATTCAACAATAACCCTATGGAATGGAAATTATTATCCTCATTTTATAGACAAAGTAACAGAACCAGAGGAGCTAAGCAATTTTCCAAAGGTCACAGAGCTGATAAGTGGCAGAGCCAGGGTTGGGACACAGGTGTGTTCAAAGCCCTTTCTGCTTTTACATTCCAGACTCTCTAATACACATGCTTTCAGTTGGCAAGGAACAATTTTTAATCAATCTAATGAAGATGCATTGCACTCTCACAAAGAAACGTTCCCTTTGAGATGAGTCATTGATCATCCACTGTATGTGAGGAGGGAAGGTGGAGGTGGCAGTTGCTTTTCTTTTCCACAGAGTCTGTCTCGATTTATCCCCTGTTTCTGACTGCCCGGCACCCCAGCTAGGCCCCTTCTCTAATCCTGGCTGCTTCTGGGACAGTCTCCCTCTAAGCAGTACTGAGGAGGGCTTCAGTTCCATGGCAGAGTTGCTCCCCATCCCTGGGCCAGCCAGCATTTGCCATACCGCTGGAGAGACATCTGACCCAGCACAGTGCAGATGCTGACTGGCTCTGTGGTGGGCAGTCTAGCAGTTCCCTGTCTCCTGAGATCCACACAAGTCGGAATTGACTAAAAACTGGATGTGGCAGTAAGAAAAATAAAGGCAATCATGCTGCACACTTACATCATTTTATAGCTTAGAGTGAGCTTTCTCATGCCTTCGTAAGGGTAGCCAGGCACTGTATTAATCCTCACAACAGCATTACAAGGTAAGTGCTCTTATCATTCCTATTTTACTGAAGATGTAACTGAAGCACAGAGAGACTACAGGGTTTACCCAAGGTCACAAAGATGAAAAGTGGCAAAACTAGGACTCAAATGCAGCCTGGCTCCAAAAGTCAACACAATCATTAAAGGACACTACCCTTTGTTGGGTCAGATAGTATCACCCACGTGGACCCTTCTAGCTCCACTTGCCCGTGACTTTGTTGATCTGTGAAGTTCTCCATCAGGTTAGACGTGTCTATACACACTGGAAACTGACTGGGTAGTTACAGGAAGGGAGAGGGCACAATGAGAAGAGGCACCTTTGGATCTGGAGTGGGAGTGAAATGAAGTAAGGGAAAGCTCTGTCCTCTCAGATGGAGAGCCAAGGTGATGTGAGCGGGCCATAGTAGGCATTTCCAGTTGCCAAAAGGATCGAGTGGGCACAGGACATTCTTTCAACCAAATGCAAATGAAAAATATTTTTACAGATGAAGCAAAGGAAATTACATTTCCTATAGACTCATAGCCTGCTCACTCACAGGTCTCTTTTTTTTTTTATGGGTGTTACTTGCATGGATAGTAGAGGGCAGAAGAAAAGGCACAAGTTAAACTTCTTTTCTCCATGTATGAGTCGGGATCCTTGAAATTAAATTCATTTCTGCTCCTTGAGTCATGAGCTGAATGCTATGCACCTGGCACGTTTGCTGGTGGGTATAAATAGTCTAGTGGGGTGGGGGTGGGGCGCTCTGCTGAATTAGTGTCTCCCAACCCTTCTTCTGCTGAGGACACTCCAAACCACACCTTTCCAGCAGCTTTACCCCAGCCTCTCTCAAACGCGTTCTATTCAGCTATTTGAAACTTTTCCTAATCCTGTAGTTCATGAACAACTGTAGAGTGAACATTTAGTGAATGTTTAGAATGGTTCTGTGACGATGCATACAATTGTAAGGCTTGTCACACATCCCCCAGAAGCTTACCATTTGGTGGAGATAAACACATAGGACAATTAGTAAATGCGACACCGATGACCTTCTGCTCTCACCAAGGATAATGTCCTTATCTTAGCTTTCTTTTTGATAATGCTAACTCCAGCACTTTTCTCTTGGGCCTTCATAAGATTGTCATATTCTAGTTTTCCTCTTTTCTCTTTTTCTCCTATCTTTCATTCCTCCTCCCCAAATTAGGTTTCCAAGTGCCAATTCTTATCTATCTGTTTATTCTCTTGAGTCAGGTTTCTAGTTCCAATGAAGTAATTTGTATTACACTAACCTGCCCCACATAATGATGAGACCATTTTTTTTTTTTTCTTGAGATGGAGTTTTGCCCTGTTGCCCAGGCTGGAGTGCAGTGATGCGATCTTGACTCACTGCAACCTCTGCCTCCCGGGTTCAAGCGATTCTCCTGCCTCAGCCTCCTGAGTAGTTGGGATTACAGGCATGTGCCACCATGCCTGGCTAATTTTTGTATTTTTAGTAAAGACGGGGTTTTGCCATGTTGGCCAGGCTGGTCTCGAACTCCTGACCTCAGGTGATCCACCCACTTTGGCCTCCCAAAGTGCCGGGATTACAGGCATGAGCCACTGCACCCAGGGAGACTGAATATTTAAAAACACATTTGAAAGCTTTGGAGAACAATCAACACAGTCAGGAAGCCCAGGAGCTATGATCCTTGAGAGACGGGCAGCAAATCAAATGAACTCCACATCTGCCACATGTAATTACGCTCTGAGGATGTTTTTTTCATTCTCAGCAAGGGGACTAAAGCCCAAGCAGAAAGCATCAACCCCCCTCCCCCTGCCCTACCGTGCTAAGTAGACAGAGGTCTCCTCAGTGTTGGGGACTGCCAGAGAGGAGAGAACCACAGAGAAGTGGGTCCCCAAATATGCAAAAGGATTCCCTGAAGGCATCAGATGATTTCTCAGTTGCACATGTGCAGAGTGAGATCCCAAGATTTCCAGAAGAATATAGCAGCAGGGAGGCTGAAGACGTGAGCAGAGATTTCAGCCACGTACAGTGCTGAGGAGATAGCATTGTCTTACCAAGATAGATGAGGCTTGGTAAACAACACCTTGAGATGTCAGTTAAGACCTCACGAGGCCCAAGGCATAGGAGTAAGGGCTGTACCCTAGAGCAGTTCTCTCAGAGTAATCACTATGCTCTAAGAGTAAGAGAAGAATTAAAATAGATCAGCAGTAACAAAGCCTACAATGGAACCTGGACAGGCTAAATGTGGTCTACTGGCTCTTTATCTGCTTGAAGAAAAACCTTAATCTTCCTTGGAGAAAAACAACATCATCTAGAGCCTCTACAAGTTTTGGTTCACAATGTCAGGCATCCAATCAAAAATTATAGATCGTCTAAAAACTGAACCACATGTCCAAACCCCAAGAGGAAAAAAGAGATAACAGAAGTAGACATACAGGAGATTCAGAAAATGATCAGGTAGAGCTTTCAAATAACTACATTTTTGATGATTCTGCTTTGGAAAAATCACAGCAACAAATATTTCCCTAAGAACATACAAATTATAACTATAGTCAATAGCTGTGCCTGAAGTCCATCTGCTTCTCATGTAGACTGTTAGGCACAGAAACCATATTTGTAATTGGAAGTAAACTGCCATATGTTTCATATGGAATATATAGTAAATTGCAAGATCTATAAAACGGGATGAACAGAGAAAGTCCTTTAGAAAATGAGATGGGACACACTCCAGGTCTAATCAGATACAACTGTACACAAAGCATCCATAAATTGACAAGAAGTGGAGCTCGCCAATTTAGAGAAGACTTGAAATATAGGAGAAAAATCTCTGCTGGCTCTTTTTTTAAAAAACAATCTTGAGAAGGCTCATCTTGTCTCTAGTCTTTAATCATGACTTTAAGGTAGGTGGTTCCCAACTCTTTACCATTTCCAGAAATTCAGGCCTGATTTTCCAGCTTTCTGATGTGCGTGTGCACCTGTGTGGCCCCTTGAACTCTCGTACTCAGTATGCCCTACACTGAGCTAATCACTGTGTCTCCTAGACTTGCTTGCCCTTCTTTCTGTTAAGGGCACCACCATTTTCCCTCATTTCTAGGCTTAGGGCTGTAATCATATTTGGCTCCTTCTTCTTCCCTAAAATCTCCTATAATTAATTTTTCTCCTCCCTATTCCCAATCCTAGGTAGGTCTTGGTGTGCCTCTTACCTGGGCCATAGACATTGTCTCTTTTTAAAAATGGAGACATAATTCACACACTATATTTAAAGATTACAATTCAGTAGCTTTAGTATATTCATAAAGATGAGTGATTATCACCAATATATATTTCTATATATGGCCTCTGTAGGGAGGCTGAGATATGGGGAAAACAAAGTCACCAGGGTAATAAGGTGGGTGAGGGGAGTTGAGGACCCTTCATGGTTGGCTTTCCAAGCAGGGAGGGCCAGGACACAAAAGCCCCAGCATCCTGTTGTAATGTTGAACTTACATCTTGGTGGCACTTTTCATCTTTTTAAATTGAAGACTCGTGGCACACTGTGAGGCAGACAAGTCAAGTGTTATTACACCCACTTGAAAGAAGAAGAAACAGGGTCCCACTGAGAGGTGCCAAGATTTCTCCAAGTTTACATGACTGGTTCTTGCAGCTCTGGTCTGAGCTTTGGCCCACGCTCTCTCCACTGGGCCACATCTTTTCCAGAGTAAAGAGATAATGTTGTACTCTATCTTGGGGGATGTAAATACATAAATTAGAGAGGATCTGGATGTGAAGCTGGCTCATTTCTTTTAAACTGTTTCTCAAGCATAGACTAAACACTGAACTTGGACTTGGCTATTTGAGTTCAGTTCTGCTATTTATCAGTTATGTGATCTTGAGGATGTCATTGAACATTCTGGAGACTCAGTTTTCTCACCTGTAAAATTGAAATGATAATACTTATCTCCCAAATTTGCTGTGAGGATTAAATCAGATAACACCTACTTAATGCTATGAAAACTGTTAAGTATTAGATGAATAGAGGTTGTTATGCTTTTTCTTTGACAGTAATGGATTCTGCAGATGGGGTTACAGGACTGTTCTTATGCAAGGGCTGTCTCAAGCTACTGAAAATATTTATTCACTTGCTCATTTATCTCTTCAACAAATAATTATCCAGAGCAAATTATATGCTGTTCTAGAGTGATGAATAAGATGGGAAATCAATCAGATAAAGTCCCTGTTGTCACTGAGCTTATATTCTTAGGAGAAGACAAATCTAAACTGGTAGACAAATAATTTCAAACAGTGATAAGTGCTATGAAGGAACTAAACATGGGAATGTAATAGTGACAGCAGGGGGTGGGTCCTTCAGGCAGGCTTGTTGGGGCAACAAAACCAGCTAAGACCCCGAGTTTTTCTCCATCCCCTGGTAGTTTCTCACCTAGATGAATTCCTGGAAAATTCTGCAGAATGAGTTCTTACAGATTTCGTTTGATCATAAAGATTGCTGTTCTGTTCTGTTCTTCACTTCCCTGGCTCTCCAGCCAGAATCAGCACAGAATACTTTGCTCTGATGAGTCTGTAGAATTTGGGGGAAGGGGCAGAGTGAGGCTCAGGCAAAGCGAGCTGATCCAGCCTGTGGTAAATTGATTTCTCTCTCAATATTCAGTCACAGCATCTCCTTTTGCATTCCAGTGCACACCGGATTTCACAAATTGGGACTAGTTCTGAATCATCACATTTTGCCCCTCTGAGTTCTATGAAGGTCTCTTGACCAGGCTTCTGAACTGAATTCCAGGGCAGCCCTTGGAGTATGGCAAACTGGGAGGGCAGGAGATGGGCATTTGGACGTCTCTTTTAATTTTGAAGCTGTTTGATAGTTAGAAGTTTGTGGTATGATGGAAGTGCATGTTTGTTTACATTTTCAATGCTTTCCTGTGCAAATATAAGCATCTCTCTGGTGGCTCTTGGTCCCAGTGAATGAGACCTTGGTCCAGTGTGCACTGTGTCCAGACTGCCTGCTCAGTGCTCCACAACAAAAGCTGCAGCTAGGTCAGCACCATCCTGACCCTGCCTGAAGGGGGCAGATTACATGGCCTCACTTAGTATGTCTGCTCTCAGTGGTGCAATGGGACCTTGCACCTGGCGGCAGCTCAAATTCCAAGTACTGTTTAGGGTTTTTTTTTTTCCTTCAATTCAGTCAATCAATCAATTTTTTTTTGTTTTTGAGGCGGAGTTTTGCTCTTGTTGCCCAGGCTTAAGTGCAATGGTGAGAAATGGTGAGATCTCGGCTCACCGCAACCTCCGTCTCCCGAGTTCAAGCGATTCTCCTACCTCAGCCTCTCGAGTAGCTGGGATTACAGGAGTGCCCCATCACACCCGGCTAATTTTTGTATTTTTAGTAGAGATGGGGTGTCTCCATGTTGGTCAGGCTGGTCTCGAACTCCTGACCTCAGGTGATCCACCCACCTCGGCCTCCCAAAGTGCTAGGATTACAGGTGTGAGCCACCGTGTCTGGCCGAGGTTGATGTTTTGATAGGAATTGCATTGAATCTGTAGATTGCTTTGGGCACTATGGTCATTTTCAGGATATTGATTCTTCCAATCCATGATTCTGCTATCCATTCTTCCAAATGGATGCTTTTCCATTTGTTTGTGTCATCTATGATTTCTTTCATCAGTGTTTTGTAGTTCTCCTTGTAGAGATCTTTAACCTCCTTGGTTAAGTATATTCCTAGGTATTTTATTATTTTTTTTTGTAGCTATTGTAGAAGTGATTGAGTTTTTGATTTGATTCTCAGCTTGGTCATTGTTGGTATATAACAGTGCTAGTGATCTATGTACATTGATTTTGTAACCTGAGACTTTACTGAATTCATTTACCAAATATAGGAGTCTTTTGGAGGAGTCTTTAGGGTTTTCTAGGTATAAGATCATTATCATTGGCAAACAGAGATAATTTGACTTCCTCTTTTCCAATTTTGATGCCCTTTATTTGTTTCTCTTGCCTGATTGCTCTGGCTAGGACTTCTAGTACTATGTTGAATAGATGTGGTGAAAGTGGGCATTCTTGTCCTGTTCCAGTTCTTAGAGGGAATGCTTTCAACTTTCCCCTGTTCAAATTGATGTTGGCTGTGGGTTTTTCATAGATGACTTTTATTATTTGGAGGTATATTCCTTCTATGCCTAGTTTGTTGAGGGTTTTTGTCATAAAAGGATGCTGTCATTTTCACAGAATTAGAAAAAACAGCTCTAAAATTAGTATGGAAACAAAAAAGAGCCTGACTAGCCAAAGCAAATTGTAAACAAAAAGAACAAATCTAGAGGCATCACATCACCTGATTTCAAATTATACTACAAGGCTATCGTAACCAAAACAGCAGGGTACTGATATAAAAGTAGACACATAGACCAGTGGAGCAAAACAGAGAACCCAGAAATAAAGCCAAATACTTATAACCAGCTGATCTTCGACAAAGCAGACAAAAACTTACACTGGGGATAGGAGACCATATTCAATAAGTGGTGCTGAGAAAACTGGCAAGCTGCACGTAGAAGAATGAAACTGGATCTCTGTCTCTCACCATATACAAAAATCAACCCGAGATGGATCAAAGCCTTAAATCTAAGACCGGAAACCATTCAAATTTTAAAAGAAAACCTAGGAAAAACTCTTCTGAACATTAGCCTAGGCAAAGAATTTATGACTAAGACCCCAAAGACAAATGCAATGAAAATAAAAATTAAAAATGGAAACTAATTAAACTAAAAAGCTTCTGAATAAACAGAAAACCTATAAAATGGAAGAAAATATTTGCGAAGTGTATATCTAACAAAGGACTAATATCCAGAATCTACAAGGAACCCAAACAAATCAGCAAGAAAAAAAAATAATACCACCAAAAAGTGGGCAAATAGCTGGGGATGGTGGCTCATGCCTGTAATCCCAGCACTTTGGGAGGCCAAGGTGAACAGATTGTTTGAGCTCAGGAGTTTGAGAACAGCTTGGGCAACATGGCAGAACTCTGTTTCTACAAAAACTATAAAAATTAACCAGGTGTGATGGCACGCACCTGTAGTCCCAGCTACTCAGGAGGCTGAAGCGGGAGGATCACCTGAGCCCAGCGGGTTGAGGTTGCAGTGAGCTGAGATTGTACTGCACTCCAGCCTGGGTGACAGAGCAAGACTCTGTCTCAAAAAAAAAAAAAAAAAAAGGGGGGGGGGGTGCAAATTATATGAACAGACATTTCTCAGAAGAAGAGGACATACAAATGGCCAACAAACATATGAAAAAATGCTCAACATCACTAATCATCAGGGAAATGCAAATTAAAACCACAAATTGCCACCACACCCCAGCTAGAATAGCCATTATTAAAAAGTCAAAAAACAATAGATGTTGGTGCAGATGTGGTGAAAAAGGAATGTTTATACACTGCTGGTGGGAATGTAGATTAGTGCAACCTCTATGGAAAACAGTATGGAGATTTCTCCAAGAATTAAAAGTAGATCTACCATTTAATCTACCAGCAATCCCACTACTAGATAATCTACCCAAAAGAAAAGAAGTCATTATATCAAAAAGAAACTTGCACGAGTATGTTTATTGCAGCACAATTTACAATTGCAAAGACGTAGAATCAACCCAAGTGCCCATTAACTGATGACTAGATTAAAAAAATGTGATATATATACACCACGGAATACTACTTAGCCATAAAAAAGGATGAAATATGTCTTTTTCAGTAACTTGGATGGATCTGGAGGTCATTATTCTAAGTGAAGTAACTCAGGAACAGAAAACCAAATACCTCATGTTCTCGCTTATTAGTGGGAGCTAAGCTGGTACTCAAAGGCATGCAGAGTGGTATAATGGACACTGGAGTGGGAAGGGTGGGAGGGAGATAAGGGATAAAAAATTACCTATCAGGCACAATGTACACTATTCAGGTTTAAAAGCCCAGACTTCACCACTGTACAGTTGATCCATGTAACTAAAAACCACTTGTACTACTAAAGCTATTGAATTAAAAAAAAAAAAATTAAATAGGCCAGGCGCGGTGGCTCACGCCTATAATCCCAGCACTTTGAGAGGCCAAGGCGGGCGGATCACAAGGTCAGGAGATCGAGACCATCCTAGCTAACATGGTGAAACCCTGTCTCTACTAAAAACACAAAAAATTAGCCAGGCATGGTGGGGGGCGCCTGTAGTCCCAGCTACTCGGAAGGCTGAGGCAGGAGAATGGCGTGAACCTGGGAGGTGGAGCTTGCAGTGAGCCGAGATCGCACCACTGCACTCCAGCCTGGGCGACAGAGCAAGACTTCATCTCAAAAAAAAAAAAAAAAAAAAAAAAAAAAAAAAAAAAAATTTCAAATAAACCTACTCTTGACTAGGCATAGAGGTTCATGCCTGCAATCCCAGCACTTTGGGAGGCCGAGGCTGGCAGATCACCTGAGGTAAGGAGTTCAAGACCAGTCTGGCCAACATGGTGAAACCCCGTCTCTACTAAAAATACAAAAAAATTAGCCAGGCATGGTGGCATGCTCCTGTAGTCCCAGCTACTTTGGAGGCTGAGGCAGGAGACTCACTTCAACCCGGGAGGCGGAGGTTGCAGTGAGCTGAGATTGTGCCACTGCACAACAGCCTGGGTGACAAAGTGAGACTCTGTCTCAAAAACGAAACAAAACAAAAGAAACAAATAAACCTACTCTTGTAGTAAAAGTGTGATACATCAAAACACCAATCAATCAATCTATACTTTGCTTCTCACCTGGTGGAAGCCACTATCATCTCTTTCCTGTACTATTGCAACAGCCTCCTAAATGTTAGTTACATCATGTTTCTCTTCGACACAAAATCTCCCAGAGACTCCCGACTTTGCTCAGAGTAAGAGATAAAGGCCTTTCAATGACTCATCTGTTGTTTCTTGTCCTCCACTCCCTTCTACTTTCTCCAAGCTCACTCTGCTCCAGCCACTCTGACCTCAGGTCCTAGACCCTGCTTACCTCAGGGCCTTTGCACTGTATCACTCCTCCCTCCGATGTCCATGTGATTGTCTCCTTACCTCTTTCATGCCTTCACTAAAATATCACCTCACTGATCAGTTTGGTCTGTTTTATTCACTGAAGTGCTCTAATCACTTGGAAGCATGCACTCAGTAAATATTTTTCAATGAACAAATAAATGAAGGAAAGAAGGACTTGGCAATGTGGTGTGGGGAAACAGGAAACAGTGGAAGCATGAAATCTTTTCTTTGCCACTGTCCCATTCCCTTTACTTGTGTCTCTTTCAGTGCTGACCTTGTGTTAAGGGCAGGATGTCTGCCTGATTCTCCTGGCACCCTGGACAGTATATTGCATATGTTCTATCTCTAGCACTTAGCACTGAAAGGTGCCTAATACATGATGGTCTGATGAAAGAAGGATCTGAGTCTTGCAGACACATGTTGTGACAGTTTGAGGGGGTGGTGGTGATGACTGCAGACTGTAACAATTAGAGAAACAGAAAGGAACTTGCAAGCTGGGCACTGAATCTGGAAGATGGGGAACAGAAAGAGAATTCCAGTCAGAGGACAAAGTCAGCAGAGGACTGGAAGCTGGAATGCTAGGGGCACCTTTGGATTGTGGTTTCCTCTGAAGCTGGGCGAGAATGGCCATGCTTTTTATGCTCTCTGGCTCCTGCACTCTTGCCCTGGGATGGGGGTGTGACAGTTTGTCCATCTTCGGTGTCTGGATTCTCTGTTCTTTGGGTTCACATCCCTCCCAACTCTATGCCCCAGGGCTTGCCCATGGACCCTGTGCAATGGGCCAGGTATTACGTTATCACTCATTGATCCAGCACGCTGGCAAACTGGAAGCTCATCTGATATGTGGCAACCCCTTCTCCACGTAGCCAGACATTCCTGACCCACTGTCCCATGTCTTGTGAGAATCTACAGGCCACCCCATCCTCAGTTCCAAAGTGAACAGCGTTACTTCCTTAGACGCCAGGCTGCGTCCTTGGGAATTTGCATGTTTCTATTTCTCCCACTGGGCTGTGAGTCCCTGGAGGGCAGAGTTGGAGTCATATTTGTATCATTTATATCTTTTAGGTGGCTCATAAATACACTAAATAAATGTGTCTTGGTTTGAGTGAGTCACTGAATGAATTCCTGAGTGGATGCTGTTCAGACAGGTGGGGCTGGCCCCAGAACGGTGCTCTAGCTGACCATGCAGGGACCACGGGTGCTGCTGTGAGTGATGCACTTTCCCAGGAAGACAGTAAGGATATTTAGCATTTACTATGCGCCAGGCCTTGTGCCAAGCGTTTCTCATACTACAGTTTGTTTACTCCTCAGAACCATCCTGTGAGGAAGGTTCCGTTAGAGTCTCCATATTTATGCTCCTGTGGGATCCTCCCAACCCCACTAGACTGTTTTAAGCTCCATGAACAAAACCTCCACAGCCTTTAGGTCTCAGCCTGTGTCATCTTTTTGGAGAAACCTTCATTGACGCCTTTATCTAAAGCATCCTTTCCTGCCATTGTCCATGATCACAGCAAAGCATCTGTTTCCTTCTAACCACTTATTACAAAGTGTAGCTGTCCTATTGATTTATTTTTTCCCTTTTCCTAAAATTTCCAACTCCCTTTCCTCTGAATGGTAGCTGTACAAGGGCAATGGCCTTGGCTCTGTTGCTAACCATCGTATCTCTAGGGCTTAGCAAAATGGCTGGTGCGTAATAGGCACACAACAAATGTCTGCTGAATGAATGATTCTGACCTAATCGTTTTGTATCTTATGCAGTGCCTGTGAAATTGTAAGGACTCCATACTTCCTGTTGCTTCAGAGAGATGCTTTAGTATTTCTCTTTCTTGGTCTAGCTCTTTTAACTTTCAAAAATATTTTCACAGGTGTCTTTTTCACAAATGTTCTGTGAGCCTGGTTATTTTTTATTCAAAAACTATATATATAACACCTACTCTATGCCAGTAGGCGTTCTGAGCACTTTACAAATGTTAACTCATTTTATCTTCATTACAACCCTGTGAGGTCAGTACTATCGTTATCCCCATTTTACAGATGAGCAAACTAAGGCACAGCAAGGTTAAATAATTTGCCCAAGATCACATGGCCAACAAATAGCTGAGCTAGAATTGAAACCCAGGCCGCCTGGCTCTGAAGTCCATGCTCTTATGGTATAGTGTTTCTTTCCAGTTCACAAAGGAAGAAATGAGTAGGGAAGAGAAAATGGAGAATTACTATTGATAGAACTCCAACTAGATTCCAGGTACTTTGCTAAGTAATCTCAATTAAGCTTCAAAATTGGATATCATCCCATTTTTGTAGATTGCAAAACTATGACTCAAAGAGATAAAGTAACTTGCCTAAGGTTATACAGATAGTGACAGAGTCGAGATTCAAACTCCAATCTTTTTCATTGTGAAGTCCCGTAGTTCCCTTTCTCCAAGCCAAATGGCAGCTAATAAAAGCAGGCTCAGAATTAGAACCTCAGCTCCTCTCCTGGAAGCCTCCTGCTTGTTACACAAGACTGGGATGCAGTCTCCATGATTTTGTTGCAATGGAAAAGCAGTTTCTCACAGCCAATATGATTCTTATTTGCATTCCTGCTTCGCATTGGTCAGGCCATGCCACATGATGGAACCAGCACTTGGTGAGACATCAGAGCAGCTTGCTCAGCCTCTCTAAACCTCACTTTCCTTGTTTGTGAAATGAGGACACTAATAGTTGTGTTTCCTACCTTAGCAGGCTATTGCAAAAATCTAATGACAATATGTTCACGAGAAGGATTTGAAGACTGTAAAAGTCTGTGAAGGAAACATGTGGCCGTGTTGTGCTTGAAGATCAAACTCTGAGGAATGAAGGACAAAAACTTGGCAGAGCCTGATGCTGTGGGAGTTTTGAGTGATTTCTCTGCAGGTGTGTCCTTGACTCAACTTCTGCTTCCAAGTCATGGTTTCTACGTCCATTTCTTTCCCATTGGCTTTTCTATCCTGGAGATGCTTAGCAAAGCAAAGCAAAGCAAAGCAAAGCAAAAAAAAAAAAAAAAAAAAAAAAAAAATTGTCATTAATGTATCCATCTGCCCAGTTTTTCATTATATAGAGCATTAAACATATAGAGTATCCTAGTTACTGGGGATAATACACAGTGCCCAAAATAATGAACTCCCATTATCATAGTCCTAATGGGAGAGATAGGCTGCTCTCTGTGTGTGTGCATGTGTGCGTGTGTGTGTGTGTGTATGTGTATCATGGAGCACTTGAAAATAATAGTAATTTACCTACATTTTCTTACTTTATCCTTATATAATAGAAATCTGACAATGAAGGGATTATACCTCCATTTTACAGATCAGGAAACTGAGGCTTTGAGGAATAAAACAGCTTAACTAAAGCCCAGTGCTCAGAAAGTATGGGGTCAGGATTCATTCTCAATGATAACTTCCAAGTCCAAATCTCATCCCAGTGATTGTACTAAACTGTATGAATACAGCTGCTTCAAACTCCCTTTTTTTCTGGTGGTTTTCATAGACTCTGCTGGGTTTATCAAACACAAGAAAGCTATGGGCATCAGACATAGTATAGAAAAGGTTGCCTGGGACTGGCTCAGGAATAGACATTAGAAGCTGGCATGAACTGAAATGGAAATGACATTGGCCTGTAATGGAGCAAAGTCCAACCCACAGTCATGGATGAGTGATGTTTGGAAAGTAGCATTAGAAAGCAGTTAGCATGTTGGTGATTTTAAAAGCTAAGCTTTTAAGGAATCTGAAATCTTTTTTGCCTTATTTTATTGTACTTGCCAAACTTCTGGAATAATTTTATGAATAGTAATAGTGAAAAACTTTTTTCTTGCTCCAGAAATTACAGGGAATACTTTGAATATTTTGTCAGTACTTTTCTTAAGGATCTGTAGACACCTTTATTAGATTTAGGAAATTCTCTTATAGTCCAAGTTTCCTAAGACTTTTCTTTCTTTCTTTCTTTCTTTCTTTCTTTCTTTCTTTCTTTCTTTCTTTCTTTCTTTCTTTCTTTCTTTCTTTTTTTCTTTCTTTCTTTCTTTCTCTTTTTCTTTCTTTCTTTCTTTCTCTTTCTTTCTTTTTTCTTCCTTCTTTCTTTCTTTCTTTCTTTCTTTTTCTTTCTTTTTCTTTCTTTCTCTCTTCTCTCTCTCTTTCTTTCTCTTTTTTTGCGATGGAGTCTTGCTCTGTTGCCCAGACTGGAGTGCGGTGGCAGGATCTCAGCTCACAGCAACCTCCACCTCCCAGGTTCAAGTGATTTTCATGCCTTAGCTGCATGAGTAGCTGGGATTACAGATGCGTGCCACCACGCCCAGCTAATTTTTGTATTTTTAGTAGAGACGGGGTTTCACCATGTTGGCCAGGCTGGTCTCGAACTCCTGACCTCAGGTGATCTGCCCACCTTGGCCTCCTAAAGTGCTGGGATTACAGGCGTGAGCCACTGCTCCTGGCTGGCTCCAAGAGTTTCATTTTTTATTTTTTAAATCACCAACATGTATGGAATTTTGTTGAATGCTTTTCAGTATGAGGAAAGTATCTTTTGTTTGTTTATTCTTAATCTGTTCATATAGTGAATTGCATTTTCAGATTTTTCTAATGTTTCACCATGTTTGCATAATTGGAATAAACTTGGCCATGATGTAGTAATTATTTTTATACCTTTATACAATTTTATACATGATAAGACTTGTTAGGGCTTTTGTATGTCTGCTTGTGAGATTGACCTGTACTTTTTGTCTGCTTTTAGCATCAGGTTATAATGTCCTCTTTTTCTATTCTTTACATGGTTTTGAATAAGATTGGAATTATATGTGTCTAAGTCTTCCAGAGATGCTAAGCAGTACGCTAGCATGCTGGGCCACTCTTGGTCTTTAAAAGCTGAAAGTGTTAGTATTTTATTCTCACTTGCTTTTTTTTTTTTTTTTTTTTTTTTTTTGAGACAGAGTCTCACTCTGTTGCCCAGGCTGGAGTGCAGTGGTGTGATCTTGGCTCACTGCAACCTCTGCCGCCCGGGGTCAGGTGATTCTCCTGACTCAGCCTCCCAGGTAGCTGAGATTACAGGTACCCACCACCACACCTGGGTAATTTTTGTATTTTTAGTAGAGACGGGGTTTCACCACGTTGGCCAGGCTGGTCTTGAACTCCTGACCTCAGGTGATCCGCCTGCCTTGGCCTCCCAAAGTGTTGGGATTACAGGTGTGAGCCACTGTGCCTGGCCCTCACCTGCTTTTATGGAGGCTCCCTCTGCTTCCTGTGCAGAGCTGATTCCACTACGGCTGGAGCAGACGCTAAAAACAATAAAATGTGTTAAATAGATAAGGGACTAATTGACAGGGAGGATGGGAATAGAGAAATTCTCAGCCTGCAGTCTGTTGCTGTGTGGCTGTCTTTGGGAGAATGTTTTAACTAAACTCCTTTATACCCATTTGACTAAATCCTGAAGGTCACAGAGAATGTCCTCCTGGTGGCTCCAGAGGAAGAAGGCTGAGACGGATTGCATTTACCTATTTTTACTGTTGTGAAATCTTATCAGTTTCAACCTGATACCAAACCCTAAATAGTCTCTTCTCTGACATTTATTTCAGAGGCTTTTTACAGATTTCCTAATCTCATCCCAAGCTCTGCAGCTGACACATTTGGGGGATTTATTAATACCCTAAAATCCTTGTGCCTTGATGCAAATCTCATCCCCCTTCTTCCTTCCCCAACTCTCTGAGTCCCTGCTGATTCTTCAAAGTCACTAATCAGGGATGAGGAGGTGGAGGTGGTGATAAAGGCTTGCGGCTGGTTAGAGAACTAGGTGCAAGGGAAAATAATTACCTATCGGGTCACTCTGTCCGCAAACTACCCTTTGAAATTCTGTTTCTATGAACTGACATAATAAGTTGTTTGGTTTTTTTTTTTTTTTATCAGTCATCTTGAACTGAAAAGAGGAATGACTTCATGTAGGATTATAAATAGTTATGGAGAGGCTGACCTAGAAGAGAAATCATTACTTATGTGGCTAACGGTAGTTGTCAGGAGAAATTAATAGGAAAAAGAGATTAAACAGTCCTGCAAAAAGGGGGATGTTTCCTGAAAACTGCTCAGAAAGGGCTTGGAAGGGCCTCAGACACCCTGTGGGGACCTTGATAAAGTTCACTGTCCTTTTTGTTCTACCACCCAGTGTTGGTACCCCAGGCTGGGGGCAGGTGTGAGTGGGTGCTCACGTTTGAATTATCCTCCCCCCGCCCTCCCCCCAGCCATACTTCACATTCCTTGTTTCAGAATCTCAGTGGAAGGAGAGGGTAACAGGAATATTAGGGCTACTCTTCTGTCTTTATGACTCCAGTTATGAAGAGAGGTTTAGATAAACTCATCGAGGAAATCTGGTGCTAGGAAAGGGTCATGAATTCTAAGAGCTAGACAACATCTTAGAGCAGAGGTTCTCGAAGGGTGGTGAAGAGGCCCCGACGGGGTGGAGTCTGAAACTTCTCAGGAGGTCCATGCTTTTTCCTTTTTTTTTTTTTTTTTTTGAGATGGAGTCTCGCTCTGTCACCCAGGCTGGAGTGCAGTGGCGCCATCTCAGCTTACTGCAACTTCTGCCTCTCAGGTTCAAGCAATTCTCCTGCCTCAGCCTCCCGAGTAGCTGGGATTACAGGCACACACCACCATGCCCGGCTAATTTTTTGTATTTTTAGTAGAGATGGGGTTTCGCCATCTTGGCCAGGCTGTCTCGAACTCTTGACCTAATGATCCGCCCACCTCAGCCTCCCAAAGTGCTGGGATTACATGTGTGAGCCACCGTGCCCGGCCGAAACCTACTTTCTTTCTTTCTTTTTTTTTTTTTTTTTGAGATGGAGTCTCGCTCTTTCGCCCAGGCCGGACTGCAGTGGCGCTGTCTCGGCTCACTGCAAGCTCCACCTCCCGGGGTCACGCCATTCTCCTGCCTCAGCCTTCTGAGTAGCTGGTATTACAGGCACCCGCCACCGCGCCCAGCTAAATTTTTGTGTTTTTAGTAGAGAAGGGGTTTCACCGTGTTAGCCAAGATGGTCTCGAGCTCCTGACCTCGTGATCCGCCCGCCTCAGCCTCCCAAAGTGCTGGGATTACAGGCGTGAGCCACCGCGCCCGGCTTGAAACCTACTTTCATAATAACACTAAGATAGTAATTGCCCTCTTGCCTTATTTATGTATGTATGTGTTTGTTTGTTCATTTATTTATTTATTTTAACTGTGTTGACATCTGCACTGATACAGCAAAGGCCATGTGCATACAGCTGCTGGCACAAATGTGGTACAAATACAAGATGGTGGGACCAAACTATTAGTCAGTGTATTCTTCACTGCCATGTATAAACATAATACATATTCAGGGACATGGAAGCAGCTGGAGGCCATTATCCTAAGCAAACTAACACAGGAACAAAAAACCAAATACTGCGTGTTTTCACTTATAAGTGGGAGCTGAATGAGGAGAACGCATGGACACGTGGTGGGGGAAAAACACATGCTGGATGCTGTCAGAGGGTGAATGGGGAGGAGGGAGAGCATCAGGAAGAATAGTTAATGGATCCTGGGCTTCATACCTAGCTCATGGAATGATCCGTGCAGCAAACCACCATGACACGTTTACCTATATAACAAACCTGTGCATCCTCCACATGTACTCCTGAACTTAAAATAAAGAATTTACTCGAGTGTTCTTGATGAAGCAGTTAAAAACTTAATTTTATTAAATCTTGACTTTTTGAGTACACCCTTTTTCTTCTTTCTTTCCCTCTTTTAGACAAGGTCTTGCTCTGTTGCCTAGCTGGAGTGCAGTGGCACGATCTTAATTGGCTGCAAACTTCGCCTCCTGGGCTCAAAAGATTCTCCTGCCTCAGCTTCCCAAGTAGCTGGGACTACAGGTACATGCCACCATGCCTGGCTAATTTTTGTATTTTTTTGTAGAGGCAGGGTTTCACCATGTTGGCCAGGCTGGTCTCGAACTCCTGACCTCAAGTGATCCACCCCCCTTGGCCTCCCAAAGTGCTGGGATTACAGGCATGAGCCACCGTGCCCGGCCCCATTTATGTGTGGTGAAAGGGAAACTATGGTGCCCATCAAACACTTCTGCTGCATACTAATGCAAAACAGTTGTCTAGAAGAAATGCAATTGTGCTATTGTTTGAGTTTTTCAGGAAACACTATTGGTTTTTCTTTTTAAGCAAATGACTGACAAACCACGGTTACTCATACTTGAATATTTGGCAGATAGTTTCTCAAAAATGAATGAAGTGACTCTGTTATTTCAAGGAAACTTACTGACAGTATTTGTTTAAGTGATATAATTTGCATTTTGAGTGAAAATTAGCATTTTGAAACTGTTCTGTCATTCTGAGCCTGAACAGCCTCCAGTAGTAACACTTTTCTGCTGCGACTGATTGTGGTATTAACAAATGTGATTATTTTTATTATTATATAATGAATTATATTAACATTGGGACGATCTATATAATCCAGCGAACCATGTATTTCCAAATGATCGAGGTATGATATTACAAAATCCATACGTGGGCAAAAGATTCACTCAAAGTGTAAGATAAATCAATGGACTTTAATGTAGCAGAGTTTAAGAAGTTCACTGAGGGCTGGGCATGGTGGCTCATGCCTGTAATCCCAGCACTTTGGGTGGCTGAGGCAGGCGGATCACAAGCTCAGGAGTTAGAGACCAGCATGGCCAATATGGTGAAACCCCGTCTCTACTAAAACTACAGAAATTAGCTGGGCGTGGTGGTGGGCACCTGTAATCCGAGCTGCTTGGGAGGCTGAGGCAGGAGAATGGCTTGAACCCGGGAGGCGGAGGTTGCAGTGAGCCGAGATTGCACCACTGCACTCCAGCCTGGGTGACAGAGTGAGACTCCGCCTCAGAAAAAAAGAAAAAAGAAAAGAAAAAGAGAAGTTCACTGAAATTTCAGATTCTATATTATCATCAATCTTTAAGACACTACCATTTGCCAAGTTAGGTACAGTATCAAACAAGAAGATCCACAATGATCTGAAAAAGCTTTTGAAATCCGCCCTCCTCTCTTCCAAACCACATATTTGTGTGAGGCAGGAATTTCTTCTTATACTCCAACTAGACTAGTTATTACACCAGATTGAATGCAGACACAAATATGAGACTCTAGCTGCCTTCTGTTAAGCCAGACATTAAAGAGATTTGTAAAAATATAAAACAATGTTACTCTTCTCTCTAAATTATTTTGAGTTGTAAATACAGATTTTTTCATAATGTTATTTAATATATAATGGGTTTATTATTGTTGCTTTAGATGAATTGATAATAAGTATTCTGAACTTTTTTAGTTTTAATTTCTAAATATGGTAAATATCAAGGGGAACATCACACACCAGGGCCTGTTGTGGGGTGGGGGGAGGGGGGAGGGATAGCATTAGGAGATACACCTAACGTAAATGACGAGTTAATGGGTGCAGCACACCAACATGGCACATATATACATATGTAACAAACCTGCATGTTGTGCACATGTACCCTAGAACTTAAAGTATAATAATAAAAAAAGAAAAAAAAGAATAATAGAAAAAAAGAAAAATAAATAAATATAGCTCATATAACCAAAAAGAATGTAAAGACCTCGTTAATTTTTTGTTTGTTTTTTCTTCAACTTCTAAGTTCAGGGGTACATGTGCAGGATGTGCAGGTTTGTTTCATAGGTAAACGTGTGCCATGGTGGTTTGCTGCACCTATCACCCCATCACCCAGGTATTAAGCCCAGTGAAAGAACTCACTAATTTTTAATAGTATAAGGGAGTCTTGCGATGAAAAATTTGAGAATCAGCCTGGGCATTATGGCTCATATCTGTAATCCCAGCATTTTGGGAGGCTGAAGCAGGAAGATCACTTGAAGCCAGGAGTTTAATACCAGCTTGGGCAACATAGCAAGATTCTGTCTCTAAAAAAAATAAACAAAAATAAGAAAATTCGTTGGGCATGGTGACCCACCCCTGTAGTCCTAGCTACTTGGGAGGCTGAGGTGGGATGATTGCTTGAGCCCAGGAGTTTGAGACTGCAGTGAACTATGATTACACCATTGACTCCACTCCGGGCGACACAACCAGCGACCTTGTCTCTGAAAAAAAAAAAAAAAAAAAAAAAAAACTTGAGAACCACTGACCAAGAGAGTTAAATTGCCCTTGGGCGAGCTGTTAAACAATGGTCCACTAAGTCTTTGAAAGGACACACTGTCTTTCACCACATTTTCAAGTTTTGGGTAATTTTTCTTAGCGCTTTTATCCATTCTAATAGATAGAGTTATCTATTGAGTGAGTTTTTATGCATTATTAAAATTGGGTCTTCATAAACTAAAAGTAATTTTGACTCAGAATTTTGAGTACACCTAAGAAACTGAGGTGTCATTTCCCAAGACAAAAGTCCCAATATGCACGCATACACGCGGATATTTGGAGTTCTGTTGGAAAGCAGAAATTAAACGGTATGTAAGTTGTGAAATCTTTTACACTTCTTAAAAGGACAAAGTAAAGTATATGGAAAAACTGCTTATGTAGAGGGAGACAGGGTATCACAGGTGCTAGGTAAGTAGCTGAGCCTGAGATTAAATTCCAGCTCTCTCCACTTGCTATTTGTTTAATCTCAGGAAAGTTAATTAACCTCTCTAATTCTCAGTTCCCTGAGACTAATAATACTTACCTCTCAGGGTTGTAGTTAGGATTTAAGGGTAAGTAGGTGTAAAACGTGTTATAGAATGCTAGGCACAAGATGAGCCCTTAATGATCATTCTTTTCATTATCTTTGTTACCATATAAAGCGTAACCCCTTGTATTAATTTTCTGCTGCAGCTGGTGCATATTGTTACTACATACTTAGTGACTTAAAATGACAGAAATGTATTCCCTTACAGTTCTGGAGGGCAGAAGTCTGAAATGTGTCTTGTGGGGCTAAATTCAATATGTTGGCAGGACTGGTTCCTGCTCTAGGCTCCTGGGGAGAATCTGTATCTTGCCTCTTCCAATAGTGACACTCCCAGTGGCTGCTGGCATTCACTTGCTGTGGGTACATCACTCCCCTCTCTGCATCAGTCATCACATCAACTTCTCCTCTGCTGTAGTCCAGTGTCCCTCTTGCCTCCCTCCCACGGGGCCATGTGTGATTACATTTAGGGCTCACTTGGATAATCCAGGACCATCTCCCCATCTCAAGGCCCTAACTTAATCACACCTGCAAAGTCCCTTTTGCTATATAGGGTAACATTCCCAGGTTCCAGGGTTTAGGACATAGATATTTTGGGGGACCATTATTCAGCCTCCTAGACCCTCTCATTTTACAGTGAGAAAACTGAGTCTCCTCAGAGGTGAGGATATTTGCAGAGAAGGTGATGCGGCTAATCTAGAGTGAGAAAAGGCCGGATCTCTACCTCCACTCCCACCGATCCCTGATTTGGAAACTGCCTGAGGCCCCTGATCTCCTGGGCTGGGCCTTTTTTTCCGAACTCCCCTGCGCCCCCTCCCAGAGCTGCCACTGCACGCAGAAATCCAGGGCATCATTGCCATCATATTCCACAAATTCATGGACACAATGCATGATTTCTGCCTTGAATTGTGCAACATGGTATCTCTCCCTTCTCAGTGATCAGGGATTGAGAGTCATACATCTATTTCTACAGTTTTGCGGGCATCAAAGTCACTTCATGTCCAGAGTGAAGATTGATCATGGTATGGTTTGTATCCAGGTGCCTAACATAAGACCAAATGACCCAAGGCTTGGCCTGTCTACAGCATCCTCATAATATGAATAATATCCAGGGGATTCAAGATTAAGAAAGATCTTAATCTTTCTTAAGAGTTCCTTTGTTCCAGCTACATATTTCTAGCCATTATAGCTCATTCCATCTCATCCCACCACCCAACAGGCTCACCCCCAGGCTGTTTATGTTCCATGGTTCCAGGGATCCATTGACCATGGGGCCTCTGCCTATCAGGGTGTGGCAGGGTGGACCATGAATGGGTTCCTGGGAGAGACAGCAAAGAGAGTTTTGCAGCTGACAATGAAATGCTGTCAAGATTTGAGACTCTTGAATAAGAAGCAAGCAAAAGCCCTCTTTCCCAAGCCCATTTTCCTAAGGAAGATCTTTTATAGTGGGTTTAATGGTACTCTGCAGCAAGATCCAGCCTTGTCCTTATCCCTGGAACCTGAGAATATTACTATATATGACACAGGAGCGACTATTACCTTAATAGTAGCAGATGTGATTAAGGATCTTGAGTTGGGGGAGATTATCCAGGATTATCTAGGTGGGTCCTAAATGCCTTTACAAGTGATTTTATAAGAACGATGCAAAGGGGCCGGGTGCGGTGGCTCACGCCTGTAATCCCAGCACTTTGGGAGGCTGAGGTGGGCGGATCACTTGAGGTCAAGAGTCTGAGACCAGCCTGGCCAACATGGTGAAACCCTGTCACTACTAAAAATACAAAAATTAGGTGGGCGTGGTGGCGGGTGCCTGTAATCTCAGCTACTTGGGAGGCTGAGGCAGGAGAATCATTTGAACTCGGGAGGCAGAGATTGCAGTGAGCCGAGATTGTGTCATGGCACTCCAGCCTGGGTGAAAGAGCAAGACTCCGTCTCAAAAAAAAGAAAAAAAATAAAGAGGCAAAGGAAGAGGAGGGGACAGGGACACCCAGAAGAGAAGGCCATGTGAAGTCACAGGCAGAGATTGGAGTGAAGTGACTAAAAACCAAGGAACACCAAAGAATGCCTACAGGAGCTGGAAGAGGAGGGGAAAATATTTTTCCATGAACCCTTCTAAGGGAGTGAGGCCCTGCTGACACCTTGATTTCAGACTTCTGTCCTCTAGAACTGTGAGAGAAACAAATTTCTGTAGTATTAAGCCATCCAGTTTGGGATAAATTGTTACAGCAGCCTCTAGGAAACAAATACATCTTTGATGGGCCGTGACAGGCACACTAGCAGATTATATGACAACAACAGTAATAACAACTAGTATTTTGTTGAACATCCATTCTCCAGCAAGCACTGCACTAAGCACCTAGTGCATCATTTCAATCAGTTACACAATCACTTCATCAGACAAGCATCATTGTCATGCACCATTTGTAGGCAAGGAAGCTGCAACTTAGGAAACTGGGCTACACAGCTAGCAAGGGAAGGAGCTGGGATGAGACCCAGGGTCTGTCTGATTCTGTTGGGTATCATCAGTAACCTTCAGAATTACTCCAAGTACAGCCCATTTCATTGAGAACAGGAGTAAGGGAAAAAGAGCAGAGCAGAGCAGAGGGCACCAGCTGCTGGCAGAGAGAGGTCCAGCCTTCCTGGGAGCACTTTGGCAGCTGCTCAGAGAATGTGTGAGCTACCCTCAAACCCTGCCAGGGGAAGGGTGGAGCTTGGCAGATGTGTGTGGAGGGGACAAAGGGGTGTTGGGGCTCAGAAATGCTCTTGGTCACTATTCAGAGCCAAAGACCATTTCATGGTGGTTCTCACTACCTGCACCTTCCGCCTAGACTGGCAAGGCAGCCAGGAAGCAGTGTTTCATGCAGTGTGGACATCAGAGGCTGGTGTTGGTCTGGTGGGTCCTCTAAGACAGTCTAAGGAGAGTCTGTCCAGATCCCTGGGAAGGAAGGCCTTGCTTGTCAAGTCATCGCTATTACATTACCTTATGCACTTGGAGGGAATTTTTATTTTCTCCCCAGGGACCAGTTTCTTTTTGATCTTACACGTCTGCTAAGGTCTATGAACTCAGCTCTTGAAGCCAGTGCAAGCTCAAAGGAAGGGAAAAAGCCAAGCAGATACCTCTCCTACACCAAGCTCAATTTAACATAGTTGGGGACAGCCTGGGTAGGCTGAGCTTCATGAGATTTCAGATCTTTGGTATTATTATACAATTGTTTTAGGAGCAAATAGGGATGGGCTCCACTGGAGATCAGGCATGTGCAAGTAATTATTTGGGATAAGAAACTTGTTGCATTTGGTGTAGCAGAAACAGAGGGAGGACAAACAGACTCCACCAGCAATTCTTTATTCATTATTCTGGGCTGTTAAAAAGCTATTCAAAGACCCTAATCTTTTTCTGTAGCCCATGGCTAAGGGTATTTACAAGGAACAAAATTAATAAGGTGAAAGGACAACATTTATTCAGCACCTTCTGTATGCCAGGTGTTTTGCATGTGGTATTTAACTTAATTTTCAAAACAATCCTGGAATAAAAATATTATTTCTCACATCTTTTCTTTTCTTTTCTTTCCTTTTTTTTTTTTTCTTTTTTTTTTTTTTTTTGAGAAGCAATCCCGCTCTGTTGCTCAGGCTAGAGTGCAATGGCACGATCTCAGCTCACTGCAACCTCTGCCTCTCGGGTTCAAGCGATTCTTGTGCCTCAGCCTCCCGAGTAGCTGGCACTACAGGTGCCCGCCACCACACCTGGCTAATTTTTGAAGTTTTAGTAGAGATGGGGTTTTGCCATGTTGGCCAGGCTGGTCTTGAACTCCTAACCTCAAATGATCCACCTGCCTTGGCTTCCCAAAGTATTGGGATTACAGGCGTGAGCCACCATGCCTGGCCTTCTCACATCTTTTCAAATAAAAAAAGCTAAAGCTCATTGAAGTTAGGTCACCTTACTTGCCACGTAGGGTTAGTAAAATGGCAAAACTAGAATTCCACAATCCATACTATTTTCACCACACCAGGCAAAATAAATGAACACTATGATGGAACTGGTAAGTACCATGAAGGAAATACACCAGGGAGATATGATGAAGCATGATGGGGAGAGGGAGGAATGCTCAGGTAAAGGGGTCAGAGCAGCAACAGAGAGGCTGATATGTGTGACCCTCACATGTACCAAAGGGATGTCTTGCAAATATCTGAATGAAACACATTGCATACAATTACATATGTAAATTCAAAAACATATTTTTCTTTGCTATTTTTGTTAGATCTAAGGGTGCACACTGATTTCTGAGCCAAAATGTCTCCAGAGTAACCCCTCTCAACTGAATGATGGATTAACTGGCAGTGGCTATTGAAAAATAACAGGCATTTTTGCAGGATTACACCATTTCCTCGGGGAGTGGGCCATTCTTCAATTGAACAAGTATTTAGTGAGTTTGTTGATAACCTCACACTCTCAGTGGCAGAAGGGTCATGGAGAGGTAGTGGCCCATAGGGGACACAAAAGTGTTAATAGAGGATAATGGGTGCCGTGACCACCTTCTGCCTGGACCCTTCTAGACAGTCTCCATGAGCTCACTGACCCTTCACACTCTAGTGCAATGTGCTTCAAAGTGGGGTCCACGGATCAGGGCCAGTCCACCAAATATTTCTTACCCAATTGGGAGGAGGTACAGAGTCCAAGAGTAAGTGCTTAGGGACATTTAGAGCAATTTAACATTACCACGACATTTTTTGTTGTGTTTTACAAAATATTAATCACAACAGATTAGAAATTATAATATTTGGTCTTTCACCACAGATAGTTGGAGAAGTCCATCTGGTATCATTAGAATGAACTTTCTAGCATGCAAATCTGGTCATGCATAAAGCCTTTTGATCTACCAAAAATAACAATGTTTGGATGTACATCTATAATTATATAAATATATGTGTTCCATTTAGATATTTTTAAGTCTCCCTGACTCATGTTTATTATATATGTGAAGGTCACATTGTTGGTTAGTCATAGTGTTAATATGTTTATTTTCCACAGAATGTTAAATACTTCTATTTTCTATATTTTTTAATGAGAAAAAATATCCAAAATCCTTAGCAGGCAAGCCAGGCCCTTGATGATCTAATCCCAACACCCCCCTTCCCTCGAGCCTCCTTCTCACCATTCTCTTTCATGACTCTGTGCCTTGTCTAGAATGTTTACTCTGCTGAAAAGCCTCTTCCCTATCTTAGCCTGGTAAAGTCTTTTTAACCCGGCTCAAGCGTTATTTCCTTCTTTAAACCCTGACCTCCTACTCAGCTTTAGTCACTCCTTATTCTGTGCTCTCATAGGACATTGTAGACCTGGGCCATAAGACTCAGCAGTATTGTAGTTATCTGTCTGTTCCCCATCGCACATCCTTTCCCGTCCTGTGCACCTGATGGGAAACCTCTCATGCTTTGAGACTCAGAACAAAGATTACCTCTTCCCTGAAGTCTTTCCATACCACATACAGTTTTAACAGCTTTCTCCTTGGTATTGCTATTATACATTGAACATGTATGGTTCACTCATTTATTCAACACAAATTTATGTTTTATTGAGCACCTACTATGTGCAAGATCCCAAAAGGACAGAAAGCTCACATTTTAGAGGTTTTTTTTTTTAAGCAAATAAACAGTAAACACAATCATTTCAGGTGGTTATAAGTACTGTGAAGGAAATACATCAGGGTGATATGACGAAGTATGATGGGGACAGAGAGGACTGCTCAAATGAAGGGGTCAGGGAAGCAACAGAGAGAATGACATGTGAGCCTGAAGGGTAAGGAGCCAAGCATTGTAAGAACAGGTACAAGTGTGCTCTAGGCAGAAGGAAGAGCAAGTGCAAAGGCCCGTGGGTGGGAACACATTTGCCATATTCCAGGGATACAGGAAAGCCAGTGGGTCTGGGGCAGGGTGAGCAAGGAGGGGAATGATAGGAGATGAGATGAGATCAGATTGGGAGGCACAGGCCATAAGTCTAGGACTTTTCAGGCCATGGCAAGATTACATTTTATTTTAAATGCAGTGGAATCCGCTTGAAGATTTAAGCAAAGGAACGATACAATCTGGTTTTTACCTTTCAAAGACCATTCTGATTGATATGTCAGGGATCAATCCTGAAACACCACTTGAGAGGTGAAAAACCACCTCTCAGTGGTTCAGTTGAGAAGCGATGGTGGCCTGGACAGGATAGTAGTGCTGGACATGGGGAGAAGGAAGGAAGGATTGATATGTCAGGGATCAATCCTGAAACACCACTTGAGAGGTGAAAAACCACTTCTCAGTGGTTCAGTTGAGAAGCGATGGTGGCCTGAACAGGATAGTAGTGCTGGACATGGGGAGAAGGAAAGGTTCAGGTCACGTTTTGAAAGTTGGACAGACAGAATAGGTGATGGCTTGGAAGGTGCACCATAATACTACAGCATGTAAGTGTAGGAATGGTAGAGTTTTTATTGGCCCTGAATCTGGGATTTAGTGAATGGTCCAGACAAAATATCTCTGATAAAAATTTCCGCTAGGGAAGCAATGTGAATTTGATTGTGTGCTAGCAGAAGTGTAGGCATTAGCATCTGAATCTGCAGACATTTTCTGATCCAACACTGCCCTTATGTTAGAGAAAGCAAATATTGGCTTGTTGGTGGAAAAGTGTCCAAATTCTAAGTCTAAGATAAAGCCCTGCACCTCACCCCAGAGACCACTCTCTTGCCTGGCAGCGAACCAATGAGCAGCCCCATTTGAACGTCATAGGTCTATCCCAATATCGGCCAAACAAAGGTATCCAGAAGACAAAATGGCAGGTCTCTGGACAAAGAAAGGGCACAACAGCCAAGGGTTCACTTTGTTGCTTGGTCCTCTGTTTTTTTCCCAGCATTTCAGAACTCCTTAGAAATCTGAGTGAATCAGGATTTGAATCAGCATGACTCCACAGTCCATATGAGAACCTCAGGGACATTAATTGTGACTGTACTCATTAGCATAAATGGCAGGTGAATCTGGTGTGCATAAATGGCAGGTGAATCTGGTGTCAATCACACTTCACCTTCCTTTGTCCAGGGAGGAGCTGGCCACAGCTCTAGCAATAGCAATAGTAATAGCTTCAGAAATGTGAGCCATTCTAATAAATCAGACTTTACTTTTTAAATTGGGGCAGGAAAAAAAAAAGAAGCTTAGCTGATGACGGTCATAATGGGCAGTATGACAAGTGCCAATTTTCTTTCTTAAATGATGTTTTAAAAAGCCTTCTTTCAACAAAAGTCATCAGCATCGTATTCATTGCAGAGGACATTTTTGGAATACTGATGTATGTTAATTAGCAAGCATATATTTTACACCTGCTGGAAGCTAGGTCTGGGGGTGGGGAAGGAATAGAGAGATGAATAAGATGTAAAAAGTTCCCTGGCAAAGGTCAGTTATTCAACTGATAGATCCTTGGTTGAGGCAGATCTGAAGAAAATGGTTGTAAAACAGGGGTAAGTGTGGTCAAACCTTGAATAATTGTTGTAAACAAAAGGCCCTAGAAACAGAGAAAGAACCCAACTGCTTGTATGATATGGAGGCAGTGTAATGAGCATTAGCTTTGGGGCCAAGTAGATTGGGTTAGAATTATACCACCCACCAGCGTTTTTATCTTGGGCAAGCCGGACTAACTTCTCTGAGCCTCAGTGTTCTCATCCACGAAATAGAGAAGGATGCTTATCTCCAGAGTTATGTAGTGAAAATAAGTGATATGAAGTATATGAAGTGTCCAAAGACCTAATACATAGTTGGTGTTCAATGAATGTTGAAAATGGTAACATAGATGGTAGGTAGAAAATGTTGAAATAGATTCTTAGTGTGTGGATTGCTCTATTATAATTTCTTTTCCCTTTCTGATGAAAAGTTACCATATTCTGGGGTATCTTAGACTCCCTAGGGAAGAGGAGGTTCTAATATTATCTGTGCTTAAATATACCAGATAAACTGATGCAATGTGATGGGTAAATGGCTAATTAGATAAGATACTGGGCCTGGGAAAGAATCACTAGCTTCAGAATAAATAGTGGCTAGAAGGAAAGCAGGTGTAGGTTTTAGGGCTTGATATCCAGGAGAATTAGGCTAGAGGCCCATATTGTAAGGGGCAAAGGGATAGTAGAGACCCTCTAATTCAATCTCTTCTTAGTACAGTTAAAGATACTGAAACCTAAAGAGGTTGAGTCACTATTCCAAGACCCTCTGAGGAAGAGCCAAGGCTGCAGTGTGAGCCTGTGAACTCTGTGTTCTTCCATTTCCTGTTCCTTGTTTCCTGGAGATCTGAAAGCAGATGGCAGTGCACGAGTCAGAAATACTGAGCTTGGAAAGTCAGAGAAGAATCTAATTTCTGAGCTCAACTCCTCTGCTTCAATATGGGAAACCACCACTTAACATTCCGTTAGAGAAACATGCTGTAGCAGTCAGAACCCACTGGTTAGGAACCAAGGCAGAAAGAGAGAAGTCAGGTCAACAATGCTTGGGTCAATGTGCTCGCTTGAGCATCTTTAGCTGATTCTAGATAATTGGTTAGTTGGTTGACTTAAACCTGTCCCAAAGGTGGCCCCTGGAAAATGAAGTTTAGATACTGAAAATCTCTCAGGATAATTTAGAGAAATAAAGGAGAAATTAAAATTGTAGACAGAAAAATGGAGTATTACATAAAAGCTACCTAACTACTCCCTAAACATATTTTCTGAGAGAACTAAAAAAAGAAACTCCTTTCTCCAAGCCTTGGGTAATACATTGGCAAAGAAAGAACCAGCATCATTGAAAAATGCTGGAGGGGCTATTTGTGAAAACCAGGGATAATGATAGAAGATACTGAAGTTGAATGGCCTTCCTGATGTCATCAAGGATCTGGATGGCATTGGTCACATAGCTTCACTCAACCACTGGAGGCAATAGGTGTGGCGACCAGAGTAAGCAGACATGCAGGGGTGGCAATCCCAGTGCTCTGGGCTTTGGTGGTGGTGAATTTATCATGGAGTCCCAAGGGTGAAAATAGATAGGCAAATCATGAAGGTTCTACTTGAAACCTTAAAATTGAACACAAAACAAAACAAAACAAAAAAACCCAAACAAATTTTAAAACTCTCTTTTTCTGCCTGTAATCCCAGCACTTTGGGAGGCTGAGGATGGCAGATCACTTCAGGTCAGGGGTTTGAGACCATCCTGGCCAACGTGATGAAACCCCATCTCTATTAAAAATACAAAAATTAGACGGACATGGTGGCAGGCACTGTAATCCCAGCTACTCGGGTGGCCGAGGCATGGGAGGCGCAGTTTGCAGTGAGCCAAGATTGCGCCACTACACTCCAGCCTGGGTGACAGAGTGAGACCCCCATCAGAAACAAACTACAACAACAACAAAAACACCTCTCCTTTTCTGGGAACTAGAGCTCATACTTGAGCCATCAAGTCATCAAAAGAGAATAGAGTCAGTTCACAAAGCTAGAGAACTGAGAACACTTAGAATGAGTGGAAGATTGAGTACCCTGAGGAAGACCCTCCAAAATCATCTCAAGTATGTAAGCACATCTTCCCTCCAGCCTTCTGAAAGGGTCCTGCAGTCATTTACCAGGGTAATTTTATTCTGAGGAAAGAAGTTACACAGATTTTTAGGGTTCATGATGCCGACTTTGAGCTATCCTTAATTCATGGGGACTTAGCACACTACTGTGGGCCAATAATCAGAGTAATGCCAGCCTCTAAAATGAAGTGCAGCATTCCTTGCCTGCTGTATCCATACCCTTGTGGAATCCCTTCTGCTTGAATGTGGGCTGGGTTTATTTGGTCTAGTAAATGAAATATGGCAGAACTTAGGGAATGTCACTTCCAAGATTGGGTTATAAAAAGATTTTTTTCTTTTTTTTGGACCTTGGGTTCTCTTTCACACTCTCTTGAATTGCTCAGCTGGGGGAAGAAAGCTCCCATGTTGTGAGGCATAAAAAGGCCCACATGTCAAAGAACTACAGCCTGCCAGCGACCACGTGACTGAGCTTGGAGGTGGATCATCCCTCAGGGAAGCCTTGAGATGACAGCAGGCTGGGAGGGATGCTCAGCCAGGACCATGCAGCCATGCTGCTCCGGCATTCCTGAACCACAGATGCTGTGAGATGGTAAGTGCTGTTCTCAGCTATTAAGTTTTGGGTAACTTGAGACGTAGCTATAGATAACTAATACCCAGTGTCGGGTGATCCACTCTATTTTTATTGTAGGCTGCTTTGCAACAGACTCACTAGAGCCTTCAGCTCACCCTGTGGTTATTTCTCTAGTCCTGTAGTGTCTGATGGAATCATAGAGGCTCAGCTTGGTAGAATTCCATAGTAGAATTCCATATTGCCCCTGGGACCCATAAATAAAGGCTACTATTGCAGAAGAGAGAAAATGAAAGCTCCCCCTCCCTGCCAGAAAAGTAAATCAAGAGCAGCCACCCTTTCCTGAGGGAACTGCAGAAATGTGTGGCATCACCAAAGACTTGAAATATATATGAGTGGTTATTTCTGTATATCACTATATTTAGTTGGTACAGAAAGATACTTGGAGGTTAAAAAATAGCAGTGGACTATCAAAAGCTTAATCAGGAAGAGACTTCTATTGCAGTCACTGATCCAAGTTGTGATTTCCTTATTGAAGCAAATTGACAAAGTCCCAAAACCTCAAAAGCCCGTGGTCCCTAATATACAACTATTAATTTGCAAAATGCTTTTTCAGCTATCCCAATGAGAAGACAAAAACAAGAAGCAGTTTGCTTTTACCTAGAGGAGGCAACAGTACATCTTCACCATTTTGCTTCAAAGTTATGTCAACTCTGGCTCTGCCATAACTTAGTACATAGGAGACTTTCTCATCTTATCATTTTGCAGGGTATCCTGTGAGTCTGTTATATTGATGACATATTGTGGATAGTCTGGAGAGCAGAAGGAGCAGGTTCACTTGTATCTTGCCAAGACATGTGTGCCAGAAGGTGCTGATACCTCAGGGAAGTTTCTGGGTGTTAGTGGAATACTCTTTCTGAAACAATATCTTAGTTCATAATAAGCTGCTTAAGTAGCAAGGTGCTGCATGGCCAGGTACATCGTCCCCTCTTACTCATGGTTTTACTTTGTGAAGTTTCAGTTGCCTATGGACAACTGCAATCTGAAAATATTAAATGGAAACCTCCAGAAATAAATAACTCATTTGTTTTAAGTTGCACTCCATTCTGAGTACTCTACAAAATCTTGCTCTGTCCTATTCCATCCTGCCCGGGACACAAATCTTCCATTTGTCAAGCATATTAACGCTGTGTATGCTACTGTTTGTTAGTCACTTAGCAGCCATCTTGGTTATTAGATCAAACAAACAAAATACATAGGGTTTGGTACTATCTACAGTTTCAGACATCCACTGGGGGTCTTGGAATGTATCCCTTACTGATAAGGCAGGGGGACTACTCTGTTAAGTTTCTCCCATGGCCCAGAAACAAGCTGAGAGCTGTTATTTGCCTAAGAAACATGGTTTTATTCTAAAACCAGGGGCCTCTGCTATGATTCTCCTATGAGGGCTTACTGCAGTTCCCAAAGAGCCTTACGATATTAATTCTAATAACACTGGTACTTCCAACCTACTTCATCAATTGGGTTATGTATTAGGGTTCTCTAGAGGGACAGGACTAATAGCACAGATGTATATATGAAAGGGCCAGCCTGACCAACATGGTGAAACCTCATCTCTACTAAAAATACAAAAATTAGCTGGGCGTGGTGGCGCATGCTTGTAATCCCAGCTACTCGGGAGGCTGAGACAGGAAAATCGCTTGAACCCAGGAGGCAGAGGTTGCAGTGAGCCAGGATTGTGCCACTGCACTCCAGCCTGGGTGACAGAGCGAGATTCCGTCTGAAAAAAGAAAAAAAGAAAAAGGGAGTTTATTAAGGAGTATTGACTCACATGATCACAAGGTAAAGTTTCACAATAGGTTGTCTGCAAACTGAGGAGCAAGGAAGCCGTCCCAAAAACCTCAAAAGTAGGAATGCTGACAGTACAGCCTTTAGCTTGTGGCCAAAGGCCCAAGAGCCCCTGGCAAACCAGTAGTGTAGGTCCAAGAGTCCAAAAGCTGAAAAATTTGGAGTCCAGTGCTTGAGGGCAGGAAGCCTCCAGCACAGGAAAAAGATGGAGGCCAGAAGACTCAGGCCAGTCTAGTCCTTCCACGTTCTTTGTCTGCTTTTATCCTAGCCGTGCTGGCAGCTGATTAGATGGTGCCCACCCAGCTTGAAGCGGGGGTCTGCCTCTTCCAGTCCACTGACTCAAATGTTAATCTCCTTTAGCAACTCCCTCACAGAAACACCCAGGGACAATACTTTGCATCCTTCAATCCCATCAAGTTGAGACTCAGTGTTAACCATCAAAGATTATAAGAGCTGAAAGTCTGAGCTGCTTGAATGGTGCCATCTAGGAGAATATTTCTTGCTTTAAATATCAGGGTAATATCAGCCTTTTAGGTCACCAGATAAATAAATTTGGGGCGCACAATCAAATATGGTACTTCTCAAATCCAAAGAAGCTTGTAAAGCCTATTTTTCTGTCACTGTTAATGTGCCCCAAATCACATATCTAACAAATGGAACCAGGTTTCAAAGCCAGGTCAATTTGGTATAATAGGAGCACAAATTTTCAGTAAGGCAGGCCCAAGGTCAAATTCAAGGTATCCCACAGTATCAGTTTCCTATTGACATCATAAAAAATTATCACAAACTTAGTGGCTTAAAACAATACGAATTAATATTCTTGTAGTTATATAGGTTAAAAGTCTGGTGCAGATCTCACTGGGCTAAAATCATGGTGTCAGCAGGGCTCTGCTCCTTCTGGAGAAGCTAGAGAAGAATCTGTTTCCTTCTGTCCAGGTTCCAGAGGCTGCCTGTATTCCCTGGCTCATGGCTCCTTCCTCATCTTTAAAGCCAGCAATGTTACCTCTCTCTGACCATTCTTCTATATCTTCTACATCTCCCTCTGCCTCTCCTCTCCTGCCTCCCTCTTCCACTTTTAAGGACCCTCCTGCTTACACTGGGCCTATAAAGATCAACCAGGGGATCTCCCAATTTTAAGGTCAGCTGATTAGCAACCTTAATTCCGTCGGCAATTTTAATTCTCTTTAGCCATGGAATCTAAGATAGTCACAGCTTCTGGGGATTAGGACATGGACATTTGAAGGCAGGCACAGTGGGCTCAGTCTGTAATCCCAGCACTTTGGGAGGCCGAGGTGGGTGGATCACCTGAGGTCAGGAGTTCGAGACCAGCCTGGCAAACATGGTGAGACCCCATCTCTACAAAAAATACAAAAATTAGCCAGGCGTGGTGGTGCACATCTGTAATCCCAGCTACTTGGGAGGCTGAGGGATGAGAATCACTTGAACCCTGGAGGCGGAGGTTGCAGTGAGCTGAGATTGCATCACTGTACTCCAGCCTGGGTGACAGAGAGACTGTCTCAAAAAAAAAAAAAAAAAAAAAGACATGAGCATTTGAGAAGCGGCATTGTTTCATTTACCATGCCCACCTATTAGGTGAATTACCTTAGGCAAATTACTTAAATCTTTAATCCTGAGCTTCCTCTTTGTAAAGTAGGAATAATAATAGCCAGGTCACTGAGATGCTATTAAATGAGATAAATGCATGTATGTCAAGCACATAGCACAGCACCTAGCACATGATAAATGCTCAGTCTTTGTAGTATTCTCTTTCCTTTCTCAAAAATAAACAAATACACAATGTAGAACTCCCAAGCCTGTGTCCTGGACCACAGTGCCCTTAAATGATGCTTACAGCTCCCCCTGGCATTCCTCGCAGAGGGAGGAGACAGTAAAGGCTCAGAGCCACGCCCACTGCCTGCTCTGTCACTGGGTGATGTGGGTCCTTTCTGTACTCTGGGACAACCCATGCTCATCACTCTTGAGGTTTTTGGCACTTGGCAGTGATTGTCCTGAGAAGGAAGTGCTCTCCTGGTATTTCCAGGGGGACAAATGAATCACTGAGTGTGGCCTTGGCAAGTGGTTCATTCTTCTATGAATGGTGACAGATACCCAAAAGGGAACAGCACTCAATGCCCAGAGACTGGCTTTGGATACAAACAAAAACAGTAGTGATATTTACTGTTCCGGACACCCCCCTATTTCTGATGTCACTTGAGGCTTACAACTTTGGGAAGTGGGTTGGGAAGGCATCACCACCAGGCCACTGGGGAAATTAAGGCAGGCAGAGTGAATTGCTTGGCCATGATGACACAGCTTATTATCAGTCCTGGTATTCCAACTTCCACACCTGGGGTTCTGCACTACTCCAGGCCCTTGCCTTAGCCTTCTCAGCCAACAGAATGGTGAAAGGGAATGAAATGGCCTCATTTGGGTTTCATCTTACCTTCTCTGGTTTGCCTCCTCCTCTGCTCCCACATCCAGTGAGGAGCCTTGCCACAGGGCAGCTCCTGGCTGTGCATGTGGGCAGGGCTGTTCCTCCTTTGCCAGGGTCCTACGCCTGTCACTACCACTGACTTGGTACTTAATCACACTCAGCCTCACACTGTTGGCTGTCCCGTGTTTGACTCCGATTTCTCCCGATTCATGGTTTGAGTTGAATTTGTAAAAAGAGGAGAGAAGTGGCTGATGCTCTATTTCCATGGTCCTCACCAGGGGCAGAATCTTCCCCTCCACTGAGAAAACATTTGAAAGTTGCATGGGGCATTTTGGTATAGTACAGTGGCTAGGGGAGCCATTAACATTCCGTGGGTGTGTGTGTGTGTTGGGGGGTAACCATCCTGACACGTGCAGGACAGTTTACACACTGCATAGCCGTGAGAACATCTCATCCAAATGTCAATAGCACCTCCACTGAGAAACACTGTTGTGATTGGAGAATCAGCCCTTGCAAAATTAGAACGACCTCTATTGGATGATCATTGTGGCTTATCTTGTAACTCTTCCTTGGGTAAAAAAAGCCACTCAAGGTAAAAAGGAGCTTTCTGCCACCCACCCTCCCCATGAAATGGCCGATTCCACAGCTTATTGGTGAGTCTCAGGGTGTTTACAGACAGAGCCAGGGCTGGGGGTTCCGTGGCAAAACACAGAACAGCACAGACTCCAAAGCCATACAACCTGGGTTGATATTGTGGCTCTGCCATTTACTAGTTGATCTTGGGCAGAGTATTTAGTCTCTCTGTGCCGCAGTTTTCACTATTTGTAAAGTAGGGGCAATTGTAGCAACCACTCTGTTTTGTTGTGCCTCGCACATGGTAAGAGTCTAATAAATGTTAGATATTATTTTTTTACAATCACTACCATCTGTGGGACCTAGGGCAGTGTACTTCTTGGCTCTATGCCTCAGTTTCCTCACATGTAAATGGGGGATAATAATACCTACTTCAAAATGTTTTCGGAAGATCAAACGAGAACAAACATGTAAAGAGTCAAGTAGAATACATGATGCTCATAAGAGCCTCATGAAGGTATTACCCCCATTTATCTTACAGGTCAGAAAACTGAGGCACAAAGAGGTTAAGTAACTTGGCCAAAGATACAACGCTAGTAAGAGGAAGAGTGTAATTTGATCCAAAGCTGTCTGGCTCTAGATTCAGTGTGCCCGGCCATTATAACCATTACAACCATTCGCTGCTGTTCATTAGCAAGCAGCTAGAACAACACGTGGCAGGTCGTGGGCACGCAGTAAATGTTAGCTCTTACTAATGGATGGCAGAAGCTGGCTCTGTTTGCTCAACACACACCTCTGAGGGTTATAGCCAGAGCCACAGACACATAGGAGCAGCCACCCTTGGTTGGCGAAGAGACAGTTCTGACCTTTAGCCACTGGTGTGGACACTCCATCCAGGCAGTGTCAGGATTCCCAGACTCCCTGCAGAGAGACCGTGCTGTGCGAGGGAATCAGGAAACTGAGAATCCGGTCTTTGTTCTGTTGCCTCTGGTCACTCACAGGGCTGTGGCTTTCCTTGGGAGAAGGAGGGAGGTGTCCAAAGATGTTACAACAATGATGGGAGGCTGGAGGTGGGAGCATGCCTTGGCGTCCCACCGTCTCTGTTAATGGGAACATTCCCCTGGTTGTTGTCACATGACTTGTGACAGCACTAGTTGGGGCAAAGCTCCTGGACTGTGCACAAGCGGGAGCGAGTTTCTGCAATAAAAAGAGAATCAACATGACACAGGGGTGCCCTTGCTAGGCCAGGCAGCATAGCATGGAGGAATGGAAGCTGATGCCGGGTGGGTGGCTGAGCTTCTCCTCTTGCCATCACCCTCCCAGCCGTGTCATTCTAGGTCTGCCCCTCAGCCTCTCTGAAGCTTATGTCTGTAACCACAAAGTAGGGATGAAAATCCCTTACCTGTCTCTTCACACACTTGTATTAAGCTTGACTATGGTAAAGTAGTAATGACCACTTAGTCACTGCTTATTACGTGTGGAACGCTGTGTGCTTTATAGACATAGCTTTATAGACATAGCTATAGACATAGCAGATTGCATCTCCATAACATCCCCGGGAGGCAGCTATCATTATTCCTGTTTTGTGAAGCTGGATGCTGACTCTCAGAGCCCATTTAGCCCATGCATGTACAATCTGCCCAAAACTTGGGCTCTGAATCACTCCATTGTGGGTGTCCAAAGAGGCAAGGAGAGAGCACTACCATCTGTTAAGCACCTACTATGTGTGAGAAAGTCCACATTCCTGGTCTTAGTCTGGCCCCACATCACCCACGATGAGGCCCTTTGAAGAGTGGAGGGGGTGGGGAGGGACGATGGTTGTTGGATTAAGGCAGTGCTGTGGTCAAGATGGCCCACTTAGACGTGAGGTCGGGTCCCAACTCATGCGTGCAAAGAACACACTCCAACAAGACGTCTAGCTTCACTGAGCCTCAGTTTCTTCTTCTATCAAATGGGGTGGATAAAGCTACGTCCCTCAAAATTTGCTGAGAGATGAAACAGGTAAAGTATGTCCCACTGTGCCTGGCTCATGGCAGCTTCTACATAAATGGTGGCTATTAATAGCTCTAATTACGAGTTTCTAGTGGCTGAGCATTGAGGAGATAAGAAGGGGCTTAGTTTTCCTTGCTCTTCAGTCCCTCCCATTCCTTTCCCAAATACGAGATTTATATCTCCTTTTGCACCCACTAATATGCCCCAGCCACAATGGCCTGTTATCACGTCCTAGGGATGACACAGTCCTGAGGCCAGATCCTTTTGTCACCTGCTGCTGGGGACTAGGATCAGCTCGCTGATGCAGATTGTCCTGGGAGGTTTCCATAACAAAGTTGGGCCGGGGAGCAGGAATTCCCTCTACTCCTGAGGGGTGGCTGGTTCAGCTGGAGACGTCCTTGTTCTCAAACTTCAGCAGGCTTCAGAATCGCCTGGAAGGCTGGTTAGGCCACCGATGGCTGGGCCCCACCCCAGTATTTCTGATTCAAGAGGTCTGGGGTGGGGCATTTCTAACAAGCTCCAGAGCTTCTGCTCTTCTCACTAAGCTATGTTGACTCTTAAAAGAATGGAAATATATTTAATTAACATTACTGAAGTGGTGTCGTGGCAAAAATCTGTCACTCCTGCTGGTCCAGGGACCACACTTTGAGAACCACTGAGCTAGAGAAACGGGAAGGGCAGAACTGGATGGATGTGGCCCCTTCCTGTGAATTTCTCTTTCTTGGAGAGAGTGTTTGTTTGTTTTTTCTCTGAGTCATCTAATGAATCTTCATGATTTCTGTTACTAAATGTCACTGTTGAGTAGCCTGATTTGAAATGGGGTATGAGGCAGTCCTGGAAACACAGCCCCATCTGAAGTCGGGGTGGGGTTAGGGGTCCCAGGCCTCAGTTAGGGAGTGGGCTCCTTGTCCACACAGGCTTCAGGGCTGATGCTGTCTTCTTGCCTCAGCTGGCATGCGTTGGCCTCCCAGGGCCCGGCAGGGCTTTCTTCACAGCTGGGCTGACTCATCTACCAGGGCAAGCCAGGGCCACAGGCACTTGCTGACAATCTGGGGTAATTTGACACTAGACTCAAACAGACACCTTGAAGAATGGACTGCCTTTTTTTGGCAGGATGCAGTGACCTGTGACTGCTACGTGAAGGCCTGGGCACTGCTGAGGTCTGGACAGAGGTAGCCTGATGATCTGGCCAGGTGCTCAGCTCTCTGCAGTTGGCTCACTTCCTGCTGTCCTCTGTGCTTGGCATTTGACAGCAACTTGTCAACTCAGCATCAGATTTCAATGCTGTCCTGATTTTCCATTCTTCTGTTACCTCCTGTCTTGGGCTCACCACAGACTCAGCAACTTGACTTAACTTGGTGTTTCTGGATGTCTTCTGTAGAAATAGCTCTGACTCACTGGCCCTCCATCACCCCCTCATCCTGTAAGCCAATCAGCATGGGAAGACAGTGGGGTTTTTCCATGTACCTCTTTGGCTGCCTTATTGTTGATATCAAGCCACTTCAGCAATAGAGATTCATTTCATAAGAGAACTATGTGATGTTCCAGTAATGTCAGAGCAAGGAAAGCTTTCCATTCATGTGGATCAGAGTTAAGGAAGAAGACGAAATGGAATCGTGGCCTCCTGTCATTTGTGGCAGGCCCCTACACCCCTGCCCCTGAAGTTCTGAGCACAGCCCATGATCTGTCAGGAGAACAGCAGGGATCTGCTTCTGGCAGGATTCTGCTCTGTGGAATCACAGATAAGCGGTTCCTATTTTTCTTCCAACACTGCAGAGAAATGACAAAATCCAGGGCCAGAATTTTCATGAATTAAATAGAGTTGGAATGGATCTGAGAGCTCGTTGGGCCAAGGGGTGGCAAATGCATTTTATTTGTGCCAATAGCAATTGTTTGGGAGGGGCTGGATAAAGCTCTACATTAGAAGCCTACTTTGAGCTCAGGCAGAAATGGTACCCTGGTCTTACAGTCACATCTGTCTTGGGCATAGGATGAGAAAGTGGTCACATATTGCCATCACTGACCCAGCTCTGTTCTCTCCATTTATGGAACAGGAAGCTAGGTCCCAGTGAATGAAAGGTCTTTCCCAGTTCCTACAACTTGTTAGTGGTAAATTTAGAAATAGAATCTAGGTTTTCTGGCCTTATTTCAGTAACATTAATTCAATACATTTTCTTTCTTTCTTTCTTTCTTTTTTTTTTTTCTTGAGATGGAGTCTCACTCCCGTTGCACAGGCTGGAGTGTGGTGGTGCAATCTCAGCTCACTGCAACCTCCACCTCCCGGGTTCAAACGATTCTCAGCTTCCCGAGTAGGTGGGATTACAGGCATGCGCTACCATGCCTGGCTAATTTTTATATTTTTAGTAGAGACGGGATTTCGCCATGTTGTCCATGCTGGTATAGAACTCCTGACCTCAGGTGATCTACCCGCCTCGGCCTCCCAAAGTGCTAGGATTACAAGCGTGAGACACTGTGCCTGGCCAACATTTTCATTCTCATTGGAATAGATGCTTTGAAAACAATTGAGTCTGAGTTCAAATCCTTAATCCATCATTTACCAGCTGTGTGACCTTGAGCATGTCACTTAATGTCTCTGTGCTTCTGTTTCCTCATTTATTAGATGGAATAAACACACCCATTTTACTATTGGGAGGATCGAATGTGATCATGGTATGTGTAGCTTGGGGCCTCACCTAAATATTCAATGTATTTTTTTTTTCCAACAGCAAATGACATGCATTATTAAGATGACAGTCTTGGGGACAGTTTGCACACCACAGTGATGGTATAATTGTGTAATTGTAGATCTAGCTTCCTCTCCTGTGAACTAACAGTTTGGGACCAGATTACCTTGAATTTTCCTCTAGCTCTAAAATTTCTATGATTGTAAATAAATGACTTTAATAGATTTTTCTTTAGCTGTTTCTATGAGCTGGTACTTGGTAAAGGAGCCCTGGAGGGTTTTCTGGAGTCAAACAAGGGTCTTTCCAGGTGCAAAGGGCATATTCAGGATTCTAATCTCTTCTATGCTGTGCAACTGATGGTCTGAGACCTCTGCATTGCGGTAAAACGAATTTTCTTCTCAGCCTTTCAAGGGCAGGAAGTGGTCTGAGTTATCAATGTCCCAGCACCCTGCATGAGCCTAGGATATGGAAGGTGGCTGACTTCACCTCTAGGGCTTGAGAAAAGCAGTCCAAGGCTCATCCATGGCCAGGGACTTGGAATTTACAAGGCCTAGGACTGAATGAGCTTGTGACTCTGGGCCCCTGGCCCAGTCACTTCCTCTTGCAGCCTGTTGATCATTCCATGCATTAAATCCGGAAGCTGCTAGGTTACGCTCTGTCCTGGCGGGGTGTGGCTAAATAGGCAGTGAGGAAATGCTGCAGCCTCTTTCACAGGGGACTGGATGGGGCCGTAACACATCGAACAGCTGTACCTCCTCTGAAAAGCCATTTCAGGTGAACCAAAGCATTCTGCCCCTACGAGGAAGAAAGGGAGGCAGTGAGGAGAGAATCAGGCCCAAAGAGCTGGGCCCAAGTGACATTTATAAATAGGAACATGGAAACTCACGGAAGAAGCCAAGCAAGGTAAAGGAGAGTGGGCAAGTCTCAGTGAGACCATTTAAGACATAAACAGCTAAGGAGAGTCTTTGAGGGCCATTATGTAACTGTTTTCCCGAACCCAGATCATAGGAGCAATTTGTAGCTGGAAAGAGAAGCATCGGAAGCTTTGGTGCTTACCTTTGTTCATTCATTTATTCAGGCACTATTCACAGCCTCGTGTGCCCCAGACTCTGCTAGCATAGGAGAAAGGACCATAACAAAGGCATTGTCTCTGTTTCCAAGATTCCAGAAATGTAACCAGGGAGGAAGGCATATAAATAGCTTGCAGAAGCAACTGTAATTATCACAGTGCCATGGCATCCACTGTTGTGTTAAATCGGGTTTCTCTTGGTGGATGTTCATTGTGGTGTCTGCCTGGAACTTGTCCGCTTCTCGGTGGAAATGCAGCCACCTTCTTTTAGGAGTATTGTTCCTCATCCCGTCCCCCTCTGAGTAAGCGCTGTCTGTCTGCACTCCTCTGACCCTAGTGATAGTTAGGAGAATGGCTAATGACCACAGTCAGGGCAATCAGAGTTCTTTCCTGGGATTCCTGTAAATGGACCTTGGGAAAGAAGAGCTTTTATTTTTTTCTGTTTTTCTTGGAAAGTGAAGCTATAAGGGAAGGCCAAGTGCTGTAGAGACCAGTCTCCTGCCTCAGAAAGATCAGCAGTTGAGGCTGGGTGCGGTGGCTCATGCCTGTAATCCTAACACTTTGGGAGGCCAAGGCGGGTGAGTCACCTGAGGTCAGGAGTTCAAGGCCAGCCTGCTCAAGATGGTGAAACCCCGTCTCTACTAAAAATACAAAAATTAGCCAGGCATGGTGGTGCACACCTGCAATCCCAGCTACTCCGGAGGCTGAGGCAGGAGAATTGCTTGAACCTGGGAGGCAGAATTTGCAGTGAGCCAAGACTGTGCCACTGCACTCCAGCCTGGGTGACAGAGACTCTGTCTTTAAAAAAAAAAAAAGTGGACAGTTAAGAAAATAAAAGGGATAGCCAGAGAAGCAGAGATAAGACACACACACACACACACTCACACACACATACACACACACTCACACACATACACACACTCACACACATACACACACTCACACAACATACACACACTCTCACACACATACATGCATATGCACACACGCACATACACACACTCACACACATACACACACTCACACACATGCACACACAAACACTCACACATACACACACTCATACACACACACACACACACAATGCAAGAGGGAGAAAATGAGAGGGAGAGAAAAGCAGATAGTTGAGGGCCTTTGAGTCCCTGGTCTTACTCTCTGCCGTACTTCTGCAGTTTACAAACACCAGCTACTCACTTCCCTTTTTGTGTTTTTGCTCAAATTCAGTGTCTGTTGCTTACCATTAAGCGTCCCATCTAATAACAATATAGCCCCTACCAAGAAGAGAGGGAAGGGAACTGGCATTCCTACCTACTAAGGACCAAGCATTTTTTAGGCACTTTGCAAACTGCCTGACTTAATTCTCTAAACAACAAGTGAGGTAGGGCTCAGCAGCCCCTTTTGATATTTCAAACAGTAAGAGAAGTTAAACAGCTTGCTCAAAGCACAGCAGTAGGAGTGAAGCAGAAGCAGGAAGTGGTATCATGCCCTGGGGTTATAGAGGTCAATCGAGAGATGCTGTCTAGGCCTTCAGGTAGTTCACAGGATTAAGCACATAGTCACAAAGAAAAATGTATTAGGTTGGTGCAGAAGTAACTGCGGCTTTTGCAACCACTTTTTTTTTTTTTTTTTTTGGAGCTGCAGTTTCATTATTGTTGACCAGGCTGGCATGGTCTCAGCTCATTGCAGCCTCCACCTTCTGGGTTCAAGCAATTCTCCTGCCTCAGCCTCCCAAGTAGCTGGGATTACAGGCACCCGCCACCATTCCTGGCTAATTTTTTTGTATTTTTAGTAGAGATGGGGTTTCACCATGTTAGTCAGGCTGGTCTCAAATTCCTAACCTCAGGTGATCTGCCCGCCTTGGCCTCCCAAAGTGCTGGGATTACAGGCATGAGCCACCGCACCCGGCCTCACAACCACTTTTAATGGCAAAAACCACAATGACTTTTGCACCAGCCTAAACTCTGGCAATCAGTTTTGAAAATAAAGAGGAAGGAGGTAGAGGAAAATCCCGACTTAAACCGAAGACTAAAGGATGGGAAGGAGCTGTGGGCAGGAGGGAGGAGGGGCGTGGATAGCCAGTGGACAGAACAGAGGCTGGGAGGCAGGAGAGGCCAAGGCATTTTTGGCAGGGAGCGGGGACACAGTCGGGGGAGGCTGTTGCAGTGATGCAATGACGGCACTGAAGTAGAGGACACGGATGTCAGGAGCAATGGAGGGATTTGAGGGAAGTGGCGGGGGGACTTGGCAGGACTCAGTCACAGCTTGGACATGGTACAGAAAAGGAAGCAAGGCTGGCTTCCTGGTTCAGAGAAGTAAAGAAAGATTTCCATGTCTGGGCTGACAGAGTGGGACAAAAAAGTGGACGCTTTCCAGGGGTACTGAGTCTGTTTGGGATGCGGAACGGTGAGACGGAAGAAGAGAAAGAAATGTACTTGTCATTTTAATTACCATTGGGGGTTCGGCTCACTTGGTGCAGTGGGTAAGAAAGCCAAAATTAAATGCAGTGAAATTTGTCCTGAAAATGGAATTCCTCAGCAGGTTAGAGAACCCTGTGCTAATAGCAATGGCTTTGACAATAGCTCCCATGAGGCCTGTCTTAGAGCACAATGCTTTGCACACTTCTGAGGCACTCAGTGTCTTTTAATTTTTAAGGAGGAAGGAAGAAAAGCAGAAAAAGAGAGACAAATACTGTATTCTAATTCTCAAAACTATACTTCAGTCAGCCAGCCAGGATCCTACACTGAGAACCCAAGTTTGTAGCAGAGCAAAGCCACTATATCTGCCTTCTCAGGACCTTCTTCCTCTTTTGGAGACAGGGTCTACTGCCAAGGCTAAAGTGTAGTGGTGCTAGCATAGCTCACTGCAGCCTCAACCTCCTGGGCTCATGTGATCCTCCTGCCTCAGCCTCCTGAGTATCTAGGACTATAGGCGCATGCCATCAAGCCTCGCTAATTTTAAAATATTTTTTATAGAGAAAGGGTCTTATTATGTTGTCCAGGCTGGCCTTGAACTCCTAGGCTCAAGTGACCGCCCCCTGCCCGCCTTGACCTCTTAAAGTATTAAGATTACAGGCGTGAGCCACCAAGCTTGGCCAAGGACCTTCTTAAAAGCTACTTTGATAATTGCAGCAATTAGCTTTGACATTGTTTTACTTCTTCAAGTAATAACAGAAAATACTTTATTCAACTGTTCAACCTTGGTAATGGTGTGAATTGAGTGTGGTACAGCCACACTGGTGTGTCCTTCACAACACTGGGGGACACTGTTCACAGACACAACAATGTGTTTGTGTCCTGGGAGTGGCGTGTGCTTGACCAGCAGGATTTGACAGTGGTCTTGCATGAGAGGACCTTAGCTCAACTTCAAACTTGGTTTCTTCATGGTTGTGTGACTCTCTGAATGAGTCCCTTCATCTCTCTGGACCTTAGTTCTATTGGCTGAAAATGGGGAAGCAAAATTGGACCAGATCAATGTTTCCAAAAGCATGTTTGCTAGAACGATCAATTCTATAGGCTATTTTTAGGTGTTATTTGATAAAACAGGTTCCAAGGTCAAAAAGCACTGGATTAAAATAAGTTAATATAGTGTGGCCTTTTTGTAAAGAAACTGTAAGATACAGATCTACAGAAACTATAAGATATGGATAAGTGATAGAAAACACTTAATGTGGAATTAAAATTGCAGAGTTTGACATTTTTGACCAGGAATTTTTCTTTTTTAAACTGGTCCTGCTCTAGCTGGAAGGCTGCATGTCATTTTATGACTGGAGTAGCTATATATATATGTATATATATATATATAACTTTTTCAACTACAAAAGACTGTAAATTGATTATAGTGAAATTGGAAAATGCAGATCAGTGAAAAGAAAATTTAAAACCACTTAGGGAAAACAAATATTTATAAAATGCTTCATTTCAAATGTAAAAACTAAAGTTACCCACTACCCTATAGAAATCCACAGTGATAACATTTTGTGTATTTCCTTCCAGACATTTTTTTCCCTCTACATGTGTCAGCACTTCCCAGATGTGATGATGGTATTTGAAAGAGCATGATCTGGAAATCCTGAGCCGTGCTGCCACAAGAAAATGGATGCACAGAGGACAAGGCCAGGCAGCGCAGGTCTTCATTACACTGAGACTTTGCCTGAGTCCCATGGTGCCCCAGTGCCCTGGCCTGGGCACATCAGCACTGCCTTCTGTCCAGGCCCCATGAGTCTCAGATGGTGGACCCTGGTGACGGAAGGCTGGGTAGATGCCATGGACCTTTCCATAGGTCATAGCCACAGCTGAGCACTTGGTGTCTTACTACTCAGTGGAGAGGAGAAGTGTGCTGAAGGGTGGTAAGAGAGTGTGTCCAGGGGCCCAGACCAGAGTGGGCCATGCCTCATCTAGAGAGCAAGCATCTTCCAGAAAGGAGAGCCCTTGGGTCCTTTTACAGAAGCAATCAGAAAAACATCGGGAATCTCCCAGAAGACTGAATGTAAGAGGACGAAGGGTCCGGGCACAGTGGCTCATTCCTGTAATCCCAGAACTTTGGGAGACTGAGGTGAGTGGATCACTTGAGGTCAGGAGTTCGAGACCAGCCTGAACAACATGGTGAAACCCCATCTCTACTAAAAATACAATATTAGCTGGGCATAGTGGCGCATGCCTGTAATCCCAGCTACTCAGGAGGCTGAGGCAGGAGAATCGCTTGAACCCAGGAGGAGGAGGTTGCAGTGAGCCGAGATTGCATCACCGCATTCCAGCCTGGGCAACAAAGCAAGACTTCATCACACACACACACACACACACACACACACACACACACACACAAACGAAACAACAACAACAACAAAACCAAAAAAAAAGAAAAAGAAAAGTCAGGTCTGGGGAGCTGAAGTGGCTGACAGAGGAGGAGGAGAATTATCTGCAGTGCTTCCCAAATTCAGGACACTCACCCAGTGCATCTCAAAGCCTGAGTCCTCATATCTCTTCTGGGGAAAGGAGAGAAAGAATTGCTGGTGGATTCTGCTGTGTTTTGCCTTGAGGTCATTATGGGCAAAATTTCACACCTATAAGGCCCATTGCTGAGGAGGGAGTGGACCTCTGTGATTCCTCTTGAGCAAAGGAATAAACATCCTAAGTTTGTGAGTAAAGCGTCCATCACATTCTCTGGAGCCATCACTGCTGTTTGGAGAGGTGGGAGTTGAGAGAGGCCATTACTGGGCAGAACCTGAGTTTTCACTTGAAGATTCGTCCCTTATGAATCCAGCCCCTAGAAAACAGAGCAGCCAGCAGGCCTGTGACATTTCAGTTTGGCTATAAAAACTACAGGTTAATAATAAAACTCTTTTCTGGTTTTAAAATTATATTCACGTGCATCAGCTCACATTTCTGAAAAAGCACTTAGGACAGCACCTGAGGCAACTTAAGCATCATATAAATGTTGGTTTTGTGGTCATTCTTGTTTTATAATTATTATTATTTGTATCCTCACCCTGGTAGGCAGACAAGGCCATAGTCAATATTATAGTCGTTTTATGGATAATAAAAAATGGGAGAGGAATTAAGTAACCTATTTAAATTCATATAATAAACAAATGGCAGAGCCAGGACTTGAAGCCAGGTTTTTAGGCTGCACATCTCAGCTTTAACAAATGACAGAACACCTGCTCTCACATGTGGCTTTATTTGTCACCTAACCACCCTCTTAGGCAGGTAGGCACTGGGGGCAGTGCTCATGAGCTAGGCTTTTCAGCAAGAACCAGACATGGATATGTATTGGTTCTGTCACTTACCAGCCCTGTGACCTGGAGCTGGTTTTTTAACCTCTCTGGGCCCCACAATTTTCACTGGTAGATGGAGTAACAGTAGTGCTGACATCCAGGGCTGTGGATGAGGATTGGGGAAGATATTTTGATATGAGTCTAGTGCTCAGCACACAATGGCAGTGATTATAATCACAATATGGTCATTTTTCAGATGAGAAAACTAGCTCAGAGAACAAATGTGATTTTCTAAAGATTTGGGTTTCCTTGCTCCTAATTCCTAGTTCCTGCCACCACTGAAATCAGGACCGTAGATGTTGCTCTCAGCATGACCATTAGTTTAGACAGCTGTAGGTAATCAGAGCCAAGCAATGCCCTCCCAAATACAACAATCACACACAGAAAAACATGGAACCCTTCTGCAGATGCCTTCCTTCACTAGCCCTAACCTCACTCTAGTGTCATCTTTATTTGGTTCAAGCCCTACCCAGTATTTCTGTCTTCACCTGGATTTAAATGCTCCTGTGATCACACATAAGCTTTCATGCATCTATGTCTCGTTTCTATAATCATTACAGTGTAAGTGAACATATAATAGCTGCTTCTTCAGACCACACTTCCTCTCGGCAGTGCCTACCACAATCATGGTAGGTATTGACTCTATGTCTAGTGGCCCCACCTTTCCTCTGTAGCCCAAGCCACATATCTTTGTTGCTTCCTTTTACTTCTTTGCTAGTCACAGTTTGTAGTTGCAGACAACAGAGTCCATTTCCATTTCTGAAAGAAAGATTTTTCCTTCTTTTTTCTTCTTCTCTCTCTTTTCTTCTCACTCACAGAATTATTCGAAGGGTAGACATCTGAGCTCTAGACTAAGCTCCCAGGTCCACATGTAGATTTGTCCCATTCACGTCGATGCAGTTGTCCCTGAGATGAGAAACCACACAGCTTTTGCCGTCCCCTGTACCAGCAAAATGGATGCCCCCTGTCCAGCCTGTGTCCCTGCATAGGTTACTTCTGGATGGAATTCTCATACTGGTGCATCTGGCTAGTTGAATCAGGCACATTTCTGCCCCCAAGCTGTGAGGGAGGCTGGGAAATGTAGGTTTTGTTTCTGCTCTGGGAAGGCAAGGGTAACACTGATGGAAACTATCCACGAGTTAATGGAGCATTTAAAGTATTTGGGGGACACAGAGCAAAGACAAGGTGTATAATCCATCTTCAGCATCCACATGTAATTGGTAAGCAAATTTCAGCAGTTCTAAATATGAACACTTCTGGGATTCATCTACTTCTCTCTACCCCACTGCAGTCCTTTGGCTCAGTGCTTCTCACATGGACAATGGCAACAGCTTGTAAGTAGTCTCTCTGGCTCAGTCCCCTTTCTGCCCTATCTCACGTATGTTTTGTAGCCAGTGTTACTCCTTTGCTTAAAATCCTCAAAGCTCCTGGTTGCTTTCAGAAGTGAGTTTAAACTTATAATTATGGCTTTTAAAATCCTTTGGAATCTCAGGCCGGGGGTGGTGGCTCACGTCTGTAATCCCAGCACTTTGGGAGGCTGAAGCGGGTGGATCACCTGAGGTCAGTAGTTCGAGACCAGCCTGGCCAACATGGTGAAACCCCGTATCCACTAAAAATACAAAGATTAGTTAGGCGTGGTGGTGGGTGCCTGTAATCACAGCTAATTGGGAGGCTGAGACAGGAGAATCACTTGAACCCGGGAGTTGGAGGTTGCAGTGAGCTGAGATCGCACCTCTGCACTCGAGCCTGGGTGACAGAGCCAGATTCTGTCTCAAAAATAATAAATTAAAATTTAAAAATCCTTCAGAATCTGGAAGATACTTCTCCAGGCCTTTCCACGTGCTGTTCCATCTGCCTGGGGGGCAATTTTGATGACTGTGTACCATTTCATCATAAAGGGACCAAACGTTATTTAATCAAGCTGTTACTATTAGAAATCATATTGACTTAAAATATGTGCTCTTTTAAAAAATGTTGCAATAAACATTCTTTTAGCCAAATATTTTGAAATGTTATTAGGGTAGACTCTAAAAAATAGAATGGGAAGTACTAGCTAGAGCATCAAGGCAAGAGAACTACAAAACACTGCTGAAAGAAATCATAAATGACACAAACAAATGGAAAAATATTCCATGCTCACAGATTGAAAGAATCAATATCATTAAAATGGCCATACTGCCCAAAGCAATTTACAGATTCAACACTATTCCTATCAACTTACCAATGTCATTTTTCACAGAAGTAGAATAAACTGTTCTAAAATTCATATGGAACCAAGAAAGAACCGAATAGCCAAGGCAATCCTAAACAAAAAGAACAAAGCCTGAGGCATCAAATTACCCAAAATTAAACTGTACCAAAGCTACGGTAACCAAAACAACATGGCACTGGTACAAAAATAGACACATAGACTAATGAAACAGAATAGAGAAGCCAGAAATAAAGCCACATACCTTCAACCGTCTGATCTTCAACAAAGTCAACAATAACAAGCAATGGAGAAAGGACTCTCTATTTCATAAATGGTGCTGGGATAGCTGGCTAGCCATATGCAGAAGAATAAAAAGTAGATCTCTAACTTTCACCATGTACAAAAATTAGCTCAAGATGGATTAAAGATTTTATTTTATTTTATTTTTTTGAGACTGAGTCTCACCCTGGCACCCAGGCTGGAGTGCAGTTGCACAATCTCAGCTCACTGCAACCTCCACCTCCTGGGTTCAAGCAATTCTTCTGCCTTAGCCTCCCGAGTAGCTGAGATTACAGGCGCCTGCCACCATGTCCAGCTAATTTTTGTATTTTTAGTAGAGACAGGGTTTCACTATGTTGGTCAGGCTGGTCTCAAACTCCTGACCTCAGGTGATCTGCCCACCTTGGCCTCCCAAAATGTTGGGATTACAGATGTGAGCCACCGCACCTGGCCAGATTAAAGATTTTAAATGTAAGACCTCAAACTATAAGAATCTTAAAAGAAAACCTAGGAAACACCATTCTGAACACTGGCATTGGGAAATAATTTGTGGCTAAGTCCTTAAAAGCAATTGCAATAAAACCAAGAATTGACAAGCGGGACCTAATTAAACTAAAGAGTTTTGCACAGGAAAAGAAACTATCAATAGAGTAAAAGACAACGTGCAGAATGGGAGAAAATATCTGCAAACTCTGCATCTGATAAAGGTCTAATACCCAAAACCTATAAGGAACCTAAACAATTCAACAAGCAAAAAACAAATAACCCCATTAAAAAGTGGGCAAAAGACATGAACAGACACTTTTTAAAGGAAGACATTCAAGTGGCCACCAAACATATAAAGAAATGCTTAACATCACTAATCATCAGAGAAATGCAAATCAAAACCACAATGAGATACCATCTCACACCAATCAGAATGGCTAAGATTTAAAAGTCAAAAACAACAACAACAGATACCAGTGAGGCTGTGGAGAAAAGGAAACACTTAAACACTGTTGGTGGGAATGTAAATTATTTCAGTCGCTGTGGAAAGCAGTTAGGATATTTCTCAAAGAACTTATACCAGAACTCTTAATACCGTTTGACCCAGCAATCCCATTACTGGGTATATATCCAAAAGAAAATAAACCATTCTACCCAAAAGACACATGCGCTTGTATTTTCATCGCAGCACTATTCACAATAGTGAAGACATGGAATCAACTTAAGTTCCCATCAATGGTGGATTGAATAAAGAAAATGTGGCACATATACACCATGGAATACTGTGCAGCCATATAAAGAATGAAATCGTGTCCTTTGCAGCAACATGGATGCAACTAATTCCTAAGCAAATTAATGCAGGAACAGAAAATCAAATACCACATGTTCTTACTTATAAGTGGTAGCTAAACATTAGGTACTTAGGAACATAAAGATGGCAACAATAGACACTGGGGACTAGTAAAGGGGGTTTGGCAGGAGGGGGGAAGGATTAAAAAACTGTTGGGTACTATGCTCACTACCTGGGTGATAAGGTCAGTTGTACCCCAAGCCTCAGCATCACACGATATACCCATGTAACAAACCTGTACACGTACCCACTGAATCTAAAATAAAAATTGGAATTATTGTTATTATTATTATTGAGACGGAGTTTTGCTCTTGTTGCCCAGGCTGGAGTGCAGTGGCTCGATCTCAGCTCACTGCCGCCTCCGCGCCCTGGGTTCAAGCAATTCTCCTGCCTTAGCCTCCCAGATAGCTGGGATTACAGATGCCCGTCACCACACCCAGCTAATTTTTGTAAAATATTGGAATTATTTTTTAAAAATAGAAACGTTGGGTCAGAAACTATAATTCTTTTCCTAAGATGTATGAAATTTATCTTTTTGTGCCTTTTAGTGAATTCTCTTATAGATTTCCTGAAGGTTGAGATTATGTCTTGTCTATCCATCCCACCAACCAACCAATCAATCAATCAATCAATTAATCAATACTTATTGAGGCACAGTACTGGGAACTGAAAACACTGTGTGAGAAGAATCAACAAAGTTCCTGCCTTTAAAGTAGGAGATAACTGGACGATCACAAGACAATGACAGTGGGTATTAGCTTCAAAGTTACTTTCCCTGAGAAGCTTTTCCAGATAGTGTGGTCTAGATCAGATCCCCCTATTGAATGCTTACTTTCTATTTTTAAAAATCTTTTTATTTTGACCCAATCTAAAACTTGTAGCAAAGTTGCAAGAATAATTAAATAATTCTTGTATATTCTTTATCCAGATTCCCCAGGTATTTGCATTTTTCTTCATTTGATTTCTCTTTCACTAGACACACATACACACAAACACAAACACACACATTATTTTATTTCTAAAATATTTGAAAGTTACAAACATGGTGTCCTTTTACCCCTACATGTTTTAGTATGTATTTTCTAAAAACAAGGATTATTCTCTTACAGAATCACAGTAAAATTATCAATTTATGAACATTATAATGGACAGAACACTATTATCTAATGTATAGCTCTTATTCGTATTCCTATCTGGTATCTATTTCTCTGTCTATCTTTTCACCAATTGTCCCAATACTCCCCTTTATAGAAAGAGTAAGTCCTGGATGATGTGTTGTATTCAGTTTCATGTCTCTTTGACCTCCTTTCATCTTGAATAGTTCTAGTTCTTCCTTTGTCATTAATGACATTGACATTTTTGAAGAGTATGAGTCATTTAGCATAATGCCCCTCAGTGTGACTTGAGTTTCTCAGATGATTAGATTCAGGTTATGGATTTTTGGCAGGAATATTATAAAAGTACATTGTGCTCATTTTAGTGAATGATTTCAGGAGGCACACAATGTTCGTCTCTCTCATTACTGAGGATGTTAACTTTGGTTAAGGTGATGTTATTTTCTTCACTATAAAGTTACTATTTTCCCCTTTATAATTAATTATTATCTCTTGACAGAGAGCCTTTGAGGCTATATAAATACCTTCTTAATTATTAAATTTTTCACCCACTAGTTTTAACATCCATATCAATGGATGCTTTAATCAATTATTATTATGATAGTTGCCAAGTGATGGTTTTCTATTTCCATCATTCCTTCTACATTTATTTGTTGGTGTTCTAATTTAAGAAAGAGAGTTTCCTTCTCCCATATTATCCATGTATCAGTATGGACTCATGGGTTCTTTTTTGTTTGTTTTTTTTTGTTTGTTTTGAGACGAAGTCTTGCTCTGTCACGGGGGCTGGGGTACAGTGGTGTGATCTCGGCTCACTGCAGCCTCCACCTCCTGGGTTCAAGAAATTCTCCTGCCTCAGCCTCCCGAGTAGCTGGGACTACAGGTACATGTCACCATGCCTGGCTAATTTTTGTATTTTTAGTAGAGATGAGTTTTCACCATGTTGGCCACGATGGTCTTGATCTCCTTACCTTGTGATCCGCCCGCCTCAGTGGATTGCAGGTGTGAGCCATCGTACCTGGCCAGGTTCTTACTTTATTGTATGGTTTAATAATTCACTACTATTGCTGTTTATTGTGATGCTCAAATTGTCCCAGAAATGGCCTGTAGTAGCCTCTTCAAGCTGTCTTCTATGTTCTTTTGACAAGTTTCCATCATTCTTCAAGGACTTCCTTACTTCCTGGCACACCAAGATGTTTTAGGCTGACATCAGCAGCATGATGGGAGCATCAGGACAGCCTTTCTCGAAACTCTTCATGGTCTTTGGTTCTCTCCCCTGTTTCCTCCATCCCTGCTCTGGGGAAAGATGTCCTAGGAATTTGAAGAGTGCACAAAATGAGGCTTAAGGTTCCTGACTCTTTGGCCAGTGATCTACCAGCCAGCAATCTGTGTCATCCAAGAGTCCCTGGATCCAGGGACATGTTGCTTCCCCACCTGTCCTCCCCTTGATACCTGGATTTTTAAAGGCATTGACTTGCCTCCACCTCAGATTTCTCTTCTCTGTGAGCATTCCCAGTTCCCAGACTTGGGCTGGGTATTGGTTTGATTTGAATTTAAGGAAAGTAATTGCCAAATTACTGAATAGTATATCTTTTGTGGCGATGGTTGTATTCTGAACAACAGAGTAAAGGCAATGTTTGGACTGTGGAATCCTGGCTCTGCCATTTTCTAGCTCTGTGTTTTTGGGCAAGATGTTTAACCTCCCTAAGTCTTAGTCTTCTCATTTGTAAAATGAGGATAGTAAACATCCATTTTGAAAAGACATTGTGAAGAAATATCCAATAATGCTTTGGAAAATAGTACCTGGTACCTGGTGTTATTAAATACTGGCTTCCCCTCTCTCCCAGTATCCCTTTATCAGATCTTGTTGAAGGACTCTGACTGGCCTTGCATGGGTCTATAAACTCATCTCTTAGCCTGGAGAATGCTGTATTCTGATTAGATGAGCCTGGATCATTTGTCTACCTCTTTGGGGATAGGGTGGGAATAGGGTGAAGTGTGCTTGGTTCCACCTGATCCACATGGAATGTACTCAAACAGGAAAGAAGGGGGAGGGGTGAAAGGTGAACAAACAGATGTCCATGCAGCTCTTAACCCTCACCTGTCCTTCTTGATGACCCCTCTGTTTCTGACTTATTCCTTCCCCCCATTTCCCACCATTATTAAAACTTCCAAGCTCAGCATTTCATTCAAATGGGTCTGATATCTGAATGTTCAATAAATATGCATTGATTGAATAAATAAGTAATGGCTTTTTTTCTTACTCCATCTGGGGAATTTTTAATCCCTGCAGGAAGCCTCCTTATAGGTCTGAAAGGACAAGTGAAGAAATCTAGAACTCGAAGAGCTATAGAGAGGGTCACCCAACAGGAGCCAAGGCCTTGGGTGGAGGAATGCAATCAACTTTAGGCAACCCTGTGGGGCCATGCTTTAGGGAATAAACACCCAACCTCATTCTTCTTCCACCTGCTAATCTCCTCTTGATGCCTCTCCCTGGCCAAACACAACCCGAAGCCAGAGGGCAAAGCAGCCTGCTAATGTAGTCCATCTGGGTCAGCTTCCTGGGGGCACAGAGCAGGTGGGAGAAGTAGCCAACAGATCTGAGGAGGAAACAAATTATCCAGTATACCCTTGTATCTTTAGCACCAAGGCATGGTGTTATCAGTGAACTGATTAATTCATTAATTTGCCTGATAATTCTTGAGCTTATGTGTTACCTCTTAGAAGCATTCCCTGATGTGCCCAGCCAGAGCTTTTCTCTCTTTGCTCATTACCCCTTTTTATTTTTTATTTTTCTATTTTTTTTTGAGACAGAGTTTCACTCTGTCACCCAGGCTGGAGTGCAGTGGTGCCATTTCAGCTCACTGCAACCTCTGCCTCCTGGGTTCAAGTGATTCTCCTGCCTCAGCCTCCCGAGTAGCTGGGACTACAGGCATGCGCCACCACGCCCAGCTCATTATTATTATTATTATTATTTTGTATTTTTAGTAGAGATGGGGTTTCGCCATGTTGGCCAGGCTGGTCTCAGACTCCTGACCTCAGGTAATCCGCCCACCTCGGTCTCCCAAAATGCTTGGATTATAGGCGTTAGCCACCACACCTGGCCTCATTTCCCCTTTTAAACACTTCCTGAGAGTTACCATAGGCATCTCTCACACATCTGTCTCCTCCCTGAGGCCCCTCTGAGCTCCCTAAAGCAGGGGCTTGTTTGAATTCATCTGAGCACCTCCAAAACTGAGCACAGGAGGCTGACTCAGAGCAGTGTTTAGAATGTGCTCTGAAAGTGAACAGCCATGTGGATGATTCATTGAATTGAGCTGATGCAAAAGACCTTGCCTGAGATGGTCCAGTTGTCAGCCCATAGAAGGGGGGTGGTGGAGCATGTTCTTTGCACAGTGGCTGCGTAGGTGTTAGGGCCTTATGCGAGACTGCAGGGGGACTGTGGGATTGAGGGATTGTGGCTGACTATGGCAGACAATTGAAGTATGACCCAGTCCTGGAGCCCCTTGCTGAGAGTTAGCAGACCACCGTTGTAGTTCTAGCTGCTACATGTGAGAGATAGTCCATCTTGGTAGTTAACAGGATGAGTATTGGAGTCAGGCTACCTGGTCTCAAATCCTGGCTGTGTGACCTCAGGCAAAATCCTTAACCCATCTACAAAATGGGGATGATAAGTTAACCTGGTAAAATTATTATAAGGACTAAGAGAGTTAATTCACATAAGGTTCTAGGGACAGCATTTAGCCTTTACTTGTAGATATATTCATTTACTTACTATAACTTCCAATTTACAGATGGGAAAGCCGAGGCACAGAGAGGTTAAATAAATCATCCATGTTCACACAGCCACTAAGTGGTAGGGCCAGAATTTAAGCACACACCATTTGGCCCTTAGTGACCTTCCTGAACCATTGCACCATTTGGCTTTGCTCCATGTGGGCAAGTCCTTAAAGAATATTATTATAGGACCTGGGAGCTGGAAGAAAGGAGAAGCTCAAAATGGAAAGTTCTATAATAATAAGTATAAGGATAATGGTGTTTTATAGATCAGCAAGATCTGATGGCAAGAACAAATTTCAATTCCCATTTTTCTAAGTGTCTTCTCCTTAAACAAGATAATGCAGATAAATCCATAATAATTAGCTCACTTTCCTTAGACTGGGTCCTGGAAATAAATAAACTAATGAAAAGGCCTTCATCTCTGATGTTACAACCTTGGGCAATGGACCGGTGAGGGTCAGGCACTAATTTTGATGTACAGGATGCGGTGGGAGGAAGAACTGTCTAAGACTTTGCTACCCAAATTCTGCTCCTTAGACCAGCAGTGAAGACTCACCTGGGAGCTTGTTGGAAATGCAGAATCGCTTTCCTCAACCCAGACCTATTGAATCTGAATCTGTATTCAACGTTGAAACAATTTTTAACAAAGCAATTCATATGCACATTAAAATTTGAAACACTATTACTGATGCTTGAGTCCTACATATCCCCACCCCACCCTCTCCCCCCAAGTCAGAAATTCTTAAGTAATTGGCCTGGGCATTAAGATTTTTCAAAACTCCCCATCTTCCAACATGGGGATTCCAAAATGCAGCAAAGTTTGAGAACCGCTGTTCTAAGGAGATGAGCCCTAGAGAAGGGAGCAGCTATAGCTGGCATACTGTCCTCCTGTTGAGACAGACTTCAGACTCTACCCAAGTGCTCTGATTTTAATTGCAGCTGCTCAGGACAGCCTAGTCCTAGTCCAGCAGGAGCCACAAAGTGCCTTCTGCCACTAGCCACAGCCATTTTACAAAATGCCTGGGCCACAAAGCTGCTTTGCCGTGAACCCTGGGCAGAAATTAAGAGTGGAAGGATGAGTATTATAACTTCCTTCTACTACTTCTATTATTCATTATGCCCAGTCAATGGGTCTAATTTTTATTTTTAAAAGCTTCCTTCCTATTGAGGAATTTGGCTGATTCATGGAGATATGTTTGGCAGCATTGAGATAAGTTTTGGGCTGGAATTTAGGAAACCACGAATTCTTCCAGAAAAGGTCAGAGGAAAAGTTACTTTCTGTTGTGAAATTAAATAATTCAAACCTAAAGCTGGCGGAACTTTAAATTATGTTGAGCCTTGAGAGCAATGCGGCCATGTGACCTGAGTCATATAGCATGCAGCTGCAACTTCTGGTTTTTCCTGTAAATGATTCGGAAGGACCGAATGGTGCCAGAGTTAAGACCTTTCCAGGCCATTACCCCTCCTTATGGAATGTTAAAGGAACCTTCCTTGGCATGCAACAAGCTGTAACCAATCAAATCACTGTAACATGTACTGACCTTGCATGGAAAATGTTGTAACCCTATTACACTTCTCTGTCTCTGCCTTATAAGTGAAACCTTAACTTCTCCACTTTGGAGCACTGACCCCATTCCTTTGGAGTCTATGTTTCCCAAGTGGCTATCCTCAAGCTTTGTGCTGAAATAAACTCAATACTTCATCATATTTTCTGAATTTCATTATTTGAGGGTGACACTTCAATAACACATTAGTGGCGAAAATTTTCTTCACTTCTTTTTTTTGAGGTAGGTTTGATTATGAATTGAACATGGAAATTGGACCTAAGAGAGAGAGAGAGACAGGCCTCACTGAGTGGAGTTAAAGAGCATATAAGTCTACAAAGCCGAGAGATTCAGGGACCAGCCACATATTTGCCACTGAATACATCTGAAAACAGCCAACCTACGTGCTTACTCTGTGCTAACCTTCATTCTAAGGGCTGTGCAAGGATGACTTAATCCTCATAATAGCCCTATAATGTGGAAACTGTTGTCATACCCACTTTACAGAGATTATCATCAAGGCTTAGAAGAGTTACGTGACTTGCTCAGGGTTGCTCGGCTTGTAACTGCTGGAGCTGGCCTTCCAAATCAGGCCTCCCAACGGACTCCCAAGCCCGCTGCCTCTGATATACCACACTTTCTACTGAGAAGTAGCATGCTGGAATTCTAAGAAGGTGTCATTTTAGTTCTGAAACAACGGAGGAAGAATTTTACAAAGAGGCCAGATGGAAAGAGAGTTGGATAAAGGAATAATATGAAAGCACTCTTCAGTCTGGGCAACATTTGGAAGAGGTTACACTGCAACTTAATTTAGGCGAGTCTTTTTCTGGGGACAAGGAAATGTCCTTGTGGTCAACTCAGTAGAATTTCATTTTAACAGAGCCAGTGGATTCTCAGGTTTCTGAGAACAAGCACGCCACTGCTTTTTGTCATTAGCATGTAACTGCTGTTCAAGTCAAACTGGTATTTAGTGACTATGAAGTAGCAAAGGAAATCTGAGACGAAAATGCAAACAAATCTGCTTGCATGCTGCGGTCACCGTCTTTTGCAAGTTTATTCAACCAGTGTTCATTGAGTGGGTGCCTTGTGCCACATCCTGTGCTTCACAGATTACAGTAGCCCACTTATCCTTGAGGAGTGGGCATAGTACCCCAGTCTAGAGATGGGAGCACTGAGGTTCAATGAAGATCTGAAATAGGTCTCAGGCTGACTCCAGAGCTTGTCCTCTTTACTGTATATCCTCTTGACGTTATAGTCCAAGGGATCTCCCTTTATAGTCCAAAGGAATCTTTCTTGGCATGTAACAAGCACAATCTTAAACTTCTTAAGCTTCAGATGTACCTGGGGTGTTGATTAACAGGCAGATTCCTGGGCCCTACTTCAAGTGAATCTGATTCTAGAAGTCTGGAGTTGGAGCCCCAGAAACTGCATGTTCAATCCTAACCCCCAATTTAGTGGTCTGAAGACTGAACTTAGTGAGTGCTATGTCAGTACTTCTCCCAGCCCCAGTCCCTGCCATAAGAAATTCACAGCTCAATCAGAGGAGGCAGACACACAATGGATTATTACAACACAAACGTGTAATCTCTAAAAAGAGGATAGGTCCTAGGATGTTCAGGCATCTGTTGTCCAGGTAGAAAGAAACAGCTGTTGGTGGGAGCAAGGCATGGCACGAAGGGGAGCAGAGCTACAGCCCTTTCCCCAGAACGCCTGTGACAGCAGACACTCCCTTTATAAACTCAGGCTTCATGCCCTTGCAGCTAGCACCACCCCACCCAAACACCACACACACACACACACACACACACACACACACACACACACACACACACAGACACACACACAGACACACACACACACACACACACACACTCTGCACCTCTCATTAATAATCAAGTCCCGTTGGCCAGAGCTTCCAAACGCTCTGAAATCTATGCATTTTTCTCGTCCTCACTGGTATTACTGTAGTGCAATCCACCACCACTCCCCTCTACCATGCAATAGCCTTCTAAAGGCACCCATCCTTGCTCCCCTCTAATTATTTTCTACAGTATCCAGGGTGATCTTTTGAAAATGTAAATCAGATTTACACATCACCCCCACCCCCATTTTAAGCTTCTCTATAGACTAAAGCCCAGATCATTATGTGTCTTGGTCTGCAAGCCTTTTCCCCATCTGGTGCTGCTTGCTGGGCAACTGCGAGGCTCACCTCCCTTATCCCTAGCACTCCATGGTCCTCATGCAAAGCCATGTGCAATTCTTCAAACCTGTTCTTTCTGCCTAGCTTTTCCATAGACTGCTCCCTCTGCCTGGAATGCCCTCCCCACCTCCGTCTGGGTAACGCTCAGAGTGCAGGGCTCTGCTCAGATGCTACTTCAGGAAGCCTTGTGACCCCTCGTACCATGTGAATTGAGTGCCCCTTGTCTGTCTCTCACAGTCCTGCCCATTTCTTCTCCGTGCACTCTGCACCCAGCACCCTGTATTTTGACTGCTTATTGCTCTCTCTTCTCCACTGGACTATAAACCCCATGAGGATAAGGGCTCACTTATCTTGACCTCCCTGTGTGTCTGAGTCATGCACAGTGCTGTGCTCAGGATGGGCTCGTGCCATATTGTTTGGGTGAAGGAATGGACAGTGGTGGGTGATGAGTGTCATCAGTCCTGGTAATTTGGTCTCAAAGACCCTTCCAGCCTTGTTCCCAAGGGCCCCTTACTATTTACTTTCATCTTGGACCTGGAGGACTTGATTCCATTGGTCCAGAAATGAACATTTTTGACAAGTTCTGTCACTTGATGCTAATGTAGGTGATTGCTGAATCTTTTCTTTTCTATTTTTGAGATGGATTCTCTCTCTGTTGCCCAGCCTGGAGTGCAGTGGCATGATATCGGCTCACTGCAACCTCCGCCTCCTGGGTTCAAGCGATTCTCCTTCCTCAGCCTGCCAAGTAGCTGAGACTACAGGCGTGCACCACCATGCCCAACTAATTTTTGTATTTTTAGTAGAGATGGGGTTTCACCATGTTGGCCAGGGGCTGGTCTCAAACTCCTGACCTCAGGTGATCCTCCTGCCTCGGCCTCCCAAAGTGCTGGGATTATAGGCGTGAACCACTGCCCCCAGTCCCTGAATCTTACTTGGAGAAATTCTGCTGGGTCATTTTCAGGCAGGGCTGAGGGGTGCGGGGACTCTCTGAGGGGTGGGGGGACTCTCTGAGGGGTGGGGGGACTCTCTGAGGGGTGGGGCTTGTCTTCTCTCTGTAAGGGGGACAAATGTCTTACCATGGGGGTAGAAGAAAAGAGCATAAAAGAGGGCAGAGCCAGTTCCTGTGGGCCTGTCCTATTTAACAACAACATAATGACAGCTAATATTATAGGATGCACGTTATGCACTAGGCCTCACACTAAGTGCTGTTTGTGGATTATCTCATTTGATCTTTCCAACCACCTGCTGAGTTGAGTACTATTATTCCCATTCTACACACATTGAAACTGACAATTAGAAATTGTAAGTTAAGCTGCCAGTGACCGGCAGATCTTAAATTCGGTCACTCCATGACTTTTCCTAGAATGTAGGGATGCAAGGTGCAGTGATTTCGGACTAGAAATGGATCTAAGGAAAATAAAGTTTCAGTTGGAAGTGAAAAGGAGAAAAAAGGTGGGATGAGAAGAAAAGAACTAAGAGGTAGAATTCCAAGCTCATTAACAGCTGGTCCTTCTGATGTTCCCAGCTGTAAGATGCCATTACTACATGGTAAGCCCTGGAAATCAAATTAGTGTGTCTCAGCCCAACCAGCCTAAGACCATCAGGGACAACCACGTAGTCTGACAGAATCAAATTTATTGACACATTGTAATGAGGGAGATCACACACCACAGAATCACGGAGAGTCTCACCAAACAAAGGAAGACGGAGTTATCATAGGAATTGGGGAAAGTATGGAGGTCAGGGAGAGCTGAAATGAAGCAGAGTTTTTATAAGCACAAAACAAATCAAGGCTGTGTATAAAGGGACCATCAGTTCTGAACAGCAAAGTGGAGGCAGGCTGCTGTTTCCCTGGAAACTACCAAGTGAAGGTAGACATGAAATGTGTCTAGAAACTCCTTATCTGAAACTCTGTAATGGAGTTGGAAATCGATGCTGCTTTTTTGTGTCAAAGTGACTTGGATTCTCCAGGCCAGAGTGGGCTATCTCATTCTTACTGAAATGATTTCAGATGGTGATGTTTCTAATAGTCTATGATTTTAGAGCACAAAGTCCCTCAGTGAGTAAGAAGTAACAGTCACAGAGAAGGGTTTGCTATGACATGTTGTGGCTCCTGGGGAGAAATATTGTCTCCTATCCACGCAGCTGTTGAATGTATTTGTGCCGGCATTCTTCTCTGTCTTATCTTTTTCTGTTGTCTTAATTGCCTTATTCTGCCTAATCCGTGTTTAGTCTGATGAATGGCTAGGCAGAATTTTTAAATTTATATTTAATTTTTAACATGTATCTTTTTATTCCCACAAATCTCATTTTAAAATCGACAAATAAAAATTATACATATTTATGGTGTACAACATGTTTCAAAATATGTACACATTGTGGAATGGCTAAATTGAACTAATTAGCACATGCATTAACCCCATACCATTTATTTGTGACAAGGACACTTAAAATCTACTTTCTTCACAATTTTCAAGTATGAAATACATTGTTCTTAACTATAGTCACCATACTGTACGATAGATCTCTTAAACTTTTCCTCCTGTGTAACTGAAACTTTTGTATTCTTTGACCAAATCTCTGCAATCCCTTAGGCAGATTTTTACTTTCTCATTCTTGGCTAATTTTTATTTTCTTCGGGCTCACATGTGTATTGGTTTCCTGTAGCTGTTGTAACAAAGTACCACCAACTGGGTGGCTTAAAATAGTAGAAAGACACTGTCTCATGGTTCTAGAGGCCAGAAGACCAGCATCAAGGTGTTGGTAGGGTTGGTTCCCTGTGGGAGAGTCTTCTATCTATTCTCTCTTTCAGTTTCTAGTGGCAGCTGCCAGTCCTTGATGTTCCTTTTCTTGTAGATGCTTCACTCCAATCTCTGCCTCTATCTTTGCGTGGTGTTCTCCCAGTGTCTGTCTTCACATGAGGTCTTCTTTCAAGGACACCAGTCTTATTCAATTAATTAGGGGCTCACACTACTCCAGGATGACCTTATTTCAATTTAGCTAATTACATTGCAAATACTTTATTTCCAAATAAGGTCACATTCTGAGTCCTGAAGGTTAGGACCTCAACATAAGCTTTTTGGAGGGACACAATTTAACTTTTAACAATGAGGAACAAAACACATTTGTTTCTAGGCCAGGGCCTAATGAGAATTAGTGCCTTGTCGCTACTCAAGTGTGGTCCACAGACAGGCAGCTTCTCCTCACCTGGGAGTGTACTAGAAATGCAGAATCTGGGATCCTGCTCCAGTCCAATGCATCAGAACCTATATTTCGACATTATCCCCATGTGATTTGTCTGCACATTAAAGTATGCAAAATAGAGTTAGTGCAGAAGCTTATTGCCCAATAGCAGCCCTGGGGACACTGCCAGTTTAAAATCTATTGGTTATTAGGAATTAAGATCCTGAAAGAAACCACCCCAGCCAGATGTGGTGGTGCATGCCTGTAGTTCCAGCTATTCAGGAGGAAGAGGTGGGAGAATTGGCTTGAACCCAAGAGTTCAGCCTGAGCCATATAGCAAGATCCCATCTCTAAAACAAACCAAAACAAAAACAACTCTTTGAAGAAACCAGCAACTGTAACAGTGGGACACAGCTAAAGAGGAGAGATTGGATTTGGGTTGTAGGTCTGCTGAGGCCTTAGGGAGGGCTGATGGGGAAGGAAGAGGAGGGAGCAGAACTGGGGCTGCTGGAATTACCCCAGCTGTTTCCAAACAGTGCAGACGTCACATAAGCACTGTAGGCCTCACTTTCCTCATCTGTAAAGTGGGCTAATACCTCCTATCCCAGTGACTGGTGTGAGAATTAAGTGTGAAATGGCAAGGGTAAATGCAAAATGAATAGCAGTTGAAGACACACAGATTGGGTCCAGCCTGAAAGAGGCAGCTGGGAAGGGGAGGCAGCTCATTCTGTCATGTCTTCATTCATTCCACATTTAGTACCTCCTCTGTGCCTGACGCTATAGTAACAGGAGTAAGTCCTCCTGTGACTCATGGTTATATGGAGGAGAAAATGAGCAAGTTTCTGAGCACTAACAATGGAAGCTGACTCAGGAACTTCTCACAGTGTGGCCCATGGGTATCAGATGGGGCACTCTGGGCCCCAGCTTGCAACAGGCAGGCTAATTCCAGGCTTTACTGCATGGTTTTACGCTCCTCTGCCTCCTTTCTTCTCATCAGTTTGGTTCCAAAAAAATGGTGGATGTGAGTCTGTAGCTGTCAGATTTAGGTGAGTCTAGCCAGTTAAAAACAACAAGGCCCAGCACTTGAGAGGCCGAGGCGGGTGGATCATGAGGTCAGGAGATTGAGACCATCCTGGCTAACATGGTGAAATCCCATCTCTACTAAAAATACAAAAAAGAAAAATTAGCCAGGCGTAGTGGCGGGCACCTGTAATCCCAGCTACTCAGGAGGCTGAGGCAGAAGAATGGTGTGAACCCGGGAGATGGAGCTTGCAGTGGGCCAAGATCACGCCACTGCACTCCAGCCTGGGCGATAGAGCTAGACTCCGTCTCAAAAAACAAACAAACAAACAAACAAACAACAACAACAAAAAAAAAAACAAGGCAGCTTCCATTCTGGAGAACGTAATGGATAGATTGTCTCATTTAAGTTTCCAGGCAAAACTTTGAGGGGTAGTAGGGGTATACCAAACTGATGTCAGCAAACCTAGCAAACCTAGGTCTGAATGCAGGATGACTTGGATAAGCTGCTTAACTCTGAGTTTCCTAATTATTTTTATTTTTATTTATTTATTTATTTTTGAGACAGAGTCTCAATCTGTCACCCAGGCTGGAGTGCAGTGGCGTGATCTCGGCTCACTACAATCTCCACCTCCCAGGTTCAAGAGATTCTCCTGCCTCAGCCTCCTGAGTAGCTGGGATTACAGGCCCCCACCACCACATCTGGCTAATTTTTGTATTTTTAGTAGAGATGGGGCTTTCACCATGTTGCCCAGGCTGGTCTCAAACTGCTGACCTCAAGTGATCTACCTGCCTCTGCCTCCTAAAGTGCTAGGATTACAGGTAAGAGCCACGGCACCTGGCCTCCTCCTTATTTTTAAGTGGGATAATAATGGTACCTACCACACAGTGCCTGGCACATGTTGATAATGTTAGTCTTTTGTAGAATTGAATCTTTCAAGTGTCAGTGGCAAGTGGACCTCCTGCTGCCTTTCCCTCTAGGAGACACTAGGTGCTACCCTGACTCTGAAAGAGACACCCTCTGCTCCCCACAAGTTCTCAGATGCCGGGTAGGCTTCCCAGAGCCCCTACAATGATTTAGCATAGGCTTTACTGAATTGTAGAAGAGAAAGAAGAAATTCGACATTCTATTTCCGAGTAATGAGCAAATTGCCATTTCTTAACGTTATTTCTAAGCCATTATGAAGAATTCAACAATCAGCGCTAATGAAGAGAAATAAATACCACATGGGAAGAACCCTGGGCACCAGCTTCAAACTTGTTCTGAATTTGGGCTCTGGGAATAATCTAATTTCCTGAAAAATGTTGCCTTTTTTTCTTTCTGTCTCTCACCTGCTCTCCAGTGGAGATGGTAAGAAAGGTTAAATGAGAAAGAAGGAGATTCAAGTTGTGATCAAAGCAATTGGAAGACTTTCCATTATTTTGCTTTAGTTTTCATCATAGAACTTCTCAATTTTTCAATAATTACAGTTTGTTTTTTCTGCTTTCTCCCTGCACTATAATCAAAGCTGCATGAGACTAGCAACTTTGTTTGATTCACCCTGGCACCCAGCACAGTGTCTGGCACATAAAAGCACATGCTCAATGAATGTGGGTTGAATGCATAAATGAATGATATACTCAAGAAGTTGCTCTAAACCCTGATTATAATTCAACAATACTGTGGGCTTTTCAAAAAAATTCAAGTTTCCAGATTCTTCATCCCAGAAATTGATTCAGAAATTCTGGCGTGGGTCCCCAAAAAGAGCATTTTTAAATATCTGTTTATATCTCTGGAAGGATCCATGAGAAATTAGTAACATCAGTTGCTTATAGGGAGGGGAATGGGGCAGATGGGGGCCACAGATAATAGGGAGACTTTTAACTGAATCTCCCTCTGTGTTTTTAAAAAACGTGAGTAATATATTATGTACTCTTAAAAGAAAAAAAATTTAAACTAAAGAATAAAAAATGTTTAGTCCAGGTGATATGCAGCCAGGATTGAAAATTCCCATTACAGACAAGTTGCTATTTCAAAGAGGAGCTGGGATTGGACAGCACGATTGAGAGGTGGGCCCCTGCTCAGCTTGAGTAATGGGCTGTCACTTAGGCAGGCTGGGAGGAGAATTTACTCTACAGGACATTGCTAGGTCCTGTAATCAACTGGGGAGAATGAGAGGGAGCCGTTGTCTGTTATTTATTTATTTATTTATTTATCTTTAGATGGATTCTCTCTCTGTCACCCAGGCTAGAGTGCAATGGCGCAATCTCAGCTCACTGCAACATCTGCCTCCAGGGTTCAAGTGATTCTCGTGCCTCAGCCTCCCAAATAGCTGGGATTACAGGTGTGTGCCACCACACCAGGCTAATTTTTGTATTTTTAGTAGAGACAGGGGTTTTCCATGTTGGCCAGGCTTGTCTCAAACTCCTGACCTCAGGTGATCCTCCCCTCTCAGCCTCCCAAAGTGCTGGAATTACAGACGAGAGCCACCGTGCCCAACCAGTTTTCTGTTATACCAGGTGTTCAGGAACCTCAAATCCTGTGTTTGAGTTAAAAAGAAAAGAAATTTCCTGTGTGCCGAGATAACCAAGTGCTCAACAAGAAGCCAACATGTCCATCCTTAATTAGTAATCAAAGTCTTACAAAAAAATCAAATCAATTTTTTTTATCAGATTGGCAAAGATTACAAGAATAATAGCTAGCCTTGGGGGAGGTATGGAGAAACAGAGTCTTACATACTACTTGTAGGAGAAGAGTGCTACAGCCTTTTGGGAGAGCAATTTTGCAATTCAGGCCAAAACCCTTAAAGGTATTTACATGACACCTTTTGCTGTGCCGAACCTTTATTAACCTCATTAGGGAAGACACCAGGTTCAAGAGGCCAGAAACCCAGCAAACAAGACATAGGGTTTTATTAGCGGCTTACATACAGGGGAGAGAGTCCAGTGGCACCGGGCTGGACAAGATATCCACCTTATATCCAGGCCAGTGGTGGCAGGCTGGGCAGGAAAAACACAACGGCCTGCAAACAGCGTGTAGTTTATATAGCATTTTCAGTTAACAGCTTCCCCTTAACGACCTCCACCTGGCAACTTTCAGGTACCCCCCCCCCCCCCCCCCCCCCCCCCCCGCCGCCCAAACTCAGGGCCTCAATCCTTCCTTATGGCCCATGTTCAACGGGACGGGACGGGACGGGACGGGGACTCAGATGTTTCTCATAAACAAGGAATGAATCTCTGGGTTGGCCACTCCTGGATTCCCTAGCTTGAAACACACATTCAGGTGCGTCTGCCATACAGGTTTATTCTAATTGTATGCTTAAATTATTACTCTCAGGGGCTTTTACCCTGCACCTTAGTAATGGTGTAGTAATTCTTGGATTTAGTAATTCGGCATTTAGCCCATGGAAGTTGAATGGTTTGGTTCTGTGTTCCCACCTACATCTCATCTTGAATTGCAATCCCAATTATAATCCCCAGGTCCAGGAAGGGACCTGTTGGAAGGTGGTTGAATCACAGGGGCGGTTCCCGCAAGCTGTTCTCGTGATAGTGAGTGAATTCTCACGAGAGCTGATGGTTCTATAAATGGCGGTTTCCCCAGCTCGCTCTTGCCTGCTGCTACGTGAGACGTGTACGCTTCTGTTTCACCTTCCGCTGTGATTCTAAGTTTCCTGAAGCCGGCTACCCTGCTTCCTGTTAAGCCTGTGGAACTGTGAGTCAATTAAACCTCTTTGCTTTATAATTAGCTAGTGTTAGGTGGTACTCTTTATAGCAATGTGAAAACGGACTAATACAGAAGAAGTATTCAGCCAAGTGAGCAAATTAATATACGTAAAGGTCTTTATATCATAGTATTTATAATAGTGATTATGTTGGTTAGAAACTGTAAACAATATAAAAGCCAACCAATATAGGATCATTTAAATTATGGTATAGTCATCTGTCCCTTACTATTCATGGAGGGAATTGGTGCCAGGACCCCCCAACAGAAGCGAAAATCTGAGGATGCTCAGGTCCTTTATATAAAATGGCACAATATTTGCATATAACCTACTACACACAGTTTCCCATACCTTAAATCGTCTCTAGATTACTTGTAATACATAATTCAATGTAAATGCTATGTAAATAGTTGTTAACACTATATTTTAAAATTTGTATTTTTATTGTTGCATTTTTTTTTCAAATATTTTCCAGTATTGATTCCATAGATACAGAACCCTCAGATATGGAGGGCAGACTGTACATCCACACAAATAGAATGCCTTGCCACCAGCAGAAATGTGAAAAGAACAGCATGACTTAACATTAGACATGACAGGCATACTCAAAGACACAACTTAGGGCAGAGTGTGATGCTATTTTTGTAAAACAAATATATATATACCTAGTTAAAAATCCTCCTTACCAAGTGGGAACGTGAGAAAGGCTGGGAATATCTGTCTATCTTATATACTTTTTTTTTTTTTTTTACTTGCTGTTTATAAAGTGCCTAATATTGTGCCTGGCACGAATCCAATACTCAGTAATCTGAGTTCTCTTCTCCTTTTCTAATAATTCTTTTGCTTCCTGCCTCTCCCTCTGCTTTCCCTAGTGGGGTGCAGTGACCTCAGTTTTCCTCTGTGTCACCCTATCCAAGGCTGTCCATTTGGACTGAGTCCCCGAGTCCCAAGTTCTCTTTCCAGGTGTCCTCAGTTTTTTATCTTCAGTTACTCATCTGGAGGAAAGGAAGCTGTGGGTTTAAAGCTAATCCCTGAGCATGGCAGGGGAAGAGTTCTGAGTTTGGGAATCTGAATCTTTTTTTTTTTTTTTTTTTTTTGAGATGGAGTCTCACTCTGTTGCCCAGGCTGGAGTGCACTGGCATGATCTTGGCTCACTGCAACCTCCATCTCCCAGGTTCAAGCGATTCTCCTGCCTGAGCCTCCCGAGTAGCTGTGATTACAGGCGCCTGCCACCACTCCTGGCTAATTTTTGTATTTTTTTTTTAATAGAGATGGGGTTTCACCATGTTGGCCAGGCTGGTCTCGAACTCTTGACCTCGTGATCCGCCTGCCTCAGCCTCCCAAAGTGCTGGGATTACAGGTGTGAGACACCGCGCCTGGCCTCAGGTAATCTGAAATTCTGAGCTCCAGTTAACATTGGGCAGGCTTTGTTTTGCAAACAACAAAATAAACCCTTGCTATTTCAAGCAATAAAGGGATTTATTTAGAGATATTCAGTAGGTCCCAATCTGAGGAAGCTCAGAGAGCTCTGAAGTGATATAGTCAGGATAGGTGCCATGGGAGCTGCTGCGGCACTGCCACCATCACCATTATCACTACCCTGACACAAGCCTCACTGGGACCAGACTGAGTATCCACCATTGCAGTGCCCACAAAAGTGGATACCTCTGCTAATATACTTGCTTTCCCAGCGTGAGGGCACCTCCTTAGATAATTCATTTTTCATCAGATCTTGTGTGAATCTAACTGGTGTGAACTAAGTCACGTGTGCAATGACCTGTAAAGCAATCTAGGATTGTGAGTTCTGGGAATGGCAGGGCTCATAATGTGAAACATTACCAAAGGGTAGACAAGGGGTTGAGAGGTTTGGGGGCCATGATGGCAAATGTATATGCCCAGTCTCTCTGTTGACATTTGTTAATTGTGCCAATGTGAGCCAGATTCCTCTGAACTGTAGTGTTTTCATCTATAAAATGATCAAAACCTGGTGGGGGAGGTGGTCATGGGATGAAGAATCTATTTCCTTTGCATCTGGATTCTAACTATTAAAGTGCAGTCCAAGAAACCAGACGGGATTCAGTGGCAATTTTGAAAGTGCCAGCTGAAAAGTGATCAAGAACCCCAAGTGCAGAGCTCTCCCTGGAAAATTCTAGGTTGGAGAATGGGGTGGGGCTCCATACCTCTCTTCCAGAAATGAATACACCCAGTCCCAGAGCTGGGCAACTTCAGGTGGAAGAGCTAGAGAGTAGCTGGCCTTGTGGATGCAGGAATCAGGAAATGTGAGCTAGCATTGCACCTGGACACCCGATGTGACCAGGAGGTCATGCTGATTTCCAGAAATCCCTCCAAGTCTTCACTGTGGCAGCTCAGCTGCAGCAACGCAGTGGCAGAGCTGGAGGTTGCATTACTGTATGCGCACATCTTCCTGTGCTTGGCACTGTAGGTGTGTGAGCGGTGAAGGAGAAATAGTTTGAAACAAGGCCAGGAGCAACCAGAAGTTACTCTGGGTTAAATTATTCTAGCCATTAAATGTATAAAATTGTAAGTGGTATATTTGGTTTTCATTAATATCTAGTCAAAATGGAAGTATTCTGCTGTCAGGAATAAATTATATAACTAAATGTATACAATTTTAAATGCACCTTACTTTTTCCTTTTACTGATGAGAATTGGACAAAAAATTATGAAATTTTCTGTTTGTAGGACCCAAATCTACAATAGTACTTCAAGGAATGAGTCCATTTTGGCATGAAGTCTCATGTTTTATGTACTCCAAAATACCAGATTAGCCTTTAGCATATCTGACACAACATGTTCCGAGGAAATCTAATAATTTCAGATAAAATATCCTGAAGCAACAAGTGCATGTTTAAGGGATTGGGTACTGGTTATCCTGAGATGCCCACCATCGCTACTAAGGGTCCCCTTTATTTTGAGAGTTTAGACAACTCAATGTGATGAAATATAATTCAATGTATTCCAGTTCAGCCAATGTGAAATAGAGCAATAATGTAGGGTGGTCACTAGTTCAGAATTAGGGAATAAGGCACCTGGAGAGTTCCTGACTTCAGGGACCTGGACTGAAATGCTTTGGAAACAAATGCAAGTCACTGTTGTTTTTGTTAGCTTGTTGTGCAGCAAGATAGTCGGTGGTGAAATCTAAGAGGGTGCTGAGAAATGCTGTGAAGAAAGCCCTCTCTCTCCTAACCAGGCTCAACCCCTGTTATCCTGCACTCACTCTGTGTGACTGTCATTGCAGCCCAACTGTGACTTGAGCTCATTATAGTTTGACACTAATTGTGGCATGGAACAGAAGACCAGGAATAAATAAGGACGGGGCTAAGTGCACGTGTGTGTGTGTGTGTGTGTGTGTGTGTATGTGCACATGTGTGTGCTTGTATTCCTGTATCTACATAAGACCAGTAGTTAATGAAACAACAAATAATGCTTTCAATCTATTCACTTTGATTAGAAACTATCAATTTCTGATGGGTGACAGATGCTTCTTTAGGAAACAAGCCCAAGAATTCCAGAAAAATTAAATGAGCTCTTGAATGACAGAAGAAACCTGGTGTTAGAGCTGCTCTTCCAACTCTCCAATCCTGTGCCTCTGATTTCACCTGGTACTCCAGGCCCTGGCCACTGTCTACCACATTACAATGATATATCACACCTACCATGTCTCTCGTCTACATGGGGTGGACTCTTTCAAGCCTCCATTTTTAGCTTTTCCCACTGCCCCTCCTACTGCTTAGGAATTTAATACTAATATAATTAATTGCCCTCAAAATGAGTCTCACAAGTAACAAAATAATGGTAATTTTTGAAAAGTGATATGCCACTATTACCTCGCCGGATTTTTAATATTAATATTAATATTGAAGGCACAGAGCGCTGCTGGTATAGCATAATTTGCTATAATTTTTCTGGATCTCTGAAGAGCAATTGGTTGCATTTTTTTAGAAGCTTTAAAATGTACATATCCAGCAGCGTTGTGTCCAGAAACTTAGCCTAAGGAAATAATTAAGAATATGACAAATATTTAGCTACTGAGATATTCACTTCAGTGTTATTCATAGTAGAAGAAATCTGTTGGAGGTAGGGAGGACTCTGTACATCTAATCAGATAACTGATTTAGTCAAAGCAATGCATATCAGTGTAATGGAATGATGTACAACCATTAAAATGATAATATGAGCTATATTTGCATGAAAAGGCATTCCACTGAAAGCAGGTTGTAAAACAAGATGGCAGTTTTGCTTCCAGGAAAATGGAGATGTGTTTCTATTTTTTCCATTGAGTATAACCAAATACCCTGGACGTAATATATAAAACAAATATTAGAAGACCCTGGAAGGTAGAGAGAAGATGGCAGGCTGGAGAGGAACTCAGGACCCAAAGAATAACACCATGATGAGTCCCTCTTTTTGTTATTTTGTTTGGCTTTCTTTGTTTTGCCTTTGTTTTATCCCAGAGTTGAGCTGATAAAGACAGCAATTCGGAAATATCACTGGGCAGAGACATTAAAAGCCCCAAGAGAAACCTGCTCTATCCAAACAGCAGCAACCTAGCAAGACAGAAAACTTAGACAATAACTCCTCTACCTCAGCTGAACAACACAAAATAAACTGCAAATCCAACCTCATCAGCAAAGTCCAGGTGAGGAGCCTAGAGTTCCACACTAACCAAATTCAATACAGGTGCCCCAACAGCCCCACCAGGATGGTGTCAGAAAAGCCCAAGTAGGAGGTTTTGTTTCCACTTTATAGTTAAGGATACCAAAACTAAAAGGCATGAAGAAGTTTGATTCTTCACAGCAACTACCAAGTCTCACAGCAGGTACAATTTCTGTGCTGCTAAACCCCCTTTCTCTGTGCGCTGTGGTGAAGCCTGTACTATTTTGCTGGCCTTTGCTGAGTTTCTCAGGGAGAGAGGAGTGAAGTCTTCAGAGGTAGCAGCAGGGTGGGGCTGGAGAAAAAGGCTTTGCACATTTCCACAGCTTTCTCTCCCAGCATGAATGAATCATTCCCTGTTTATGGTCCTCTGTGCCCACATAGCTCTTCTTCTCACATAGAAGAGATTGCTTTCAGTAAGATAACCACTATCAATTGCGTATACCTCAGTGTGTATTTGTCACTAAGTTTTCTCATCCATGGGTATCTGGAAAGGAAACCATGATTATGCTTGTATTATGGAGGACTGTGCCTTTCATTATAGGTGTTGGGATGTGCAGAGAGAGGAGGAGCAGATTGAGGTGGTACTTCTTGAATTTCTAGAATCACTTGCTCCTAGATTGCCCTGGTTCAAGGGAACTAGCTGCCAAGTGAATTCAGAAAGCTATTTAAGGCAGGAGGAGGACTGCTCCAGGGCGTAGCAACTCTGCCTCTTTATGGGAGAGGTTAATTCTGTTGGTAATTCCTATTAGGTTTACAGGTGTAGCTCCTTGCTAAAGTAAGATGATATTAGCCATTTTACTTAAGGACCAAAGATAGATTACTATGAGGGATATCTTTTTTTAAAAGCTTTTCTTTTAATTAAAATAATAAAACTCTTTGTAAAATAAATAATATATTTCCAGTCTTAGCTCTAACATGTAAGAGCTTGGAAGTCATCACTCTAGTTCTTACAAGAAAAAAGCTAAACAAACTGAAAATCAGTACCTTTTATCAGGCTTACCAGGAGATTGAGGTCACAAAGCAAACAGCCACTCTGAAATCTGGAGAGATAGGTACATCCAGAGAGTCACAGCAAAAATTTGTTTACCTGGAACAGATGCGTCTGGAATGATAAGCTGAAAGAACCCTTAAATGATAGTACTGACTAATTTCTGGAGGCTGGGTGTGGACTAGCTTGAGAGTCATAAATTCCTGGGGGCCACAGTCTTGTGGGAGATACATTTTCATGGGTTTTACTTCCAGGAACCCTACCAGCATCTCATGATGAGGACCCAGGAATTATCCCCTGTGGCTTCGGTGGGGCTAAGGGAAAATAACCATTTTGAAAAGTTCACGGATTATCCTCCATAACAAAAACCTAACCAGCAAAAGAAAAGACTTCACCAGACCCTTATTCCACTGGAGAGAAGGGCATTTGCCAGAGCCCAGAACCCTTCAGCCTTCCTGTTTTACTCAAGGTAGTGGGAGGAGGGGGAGCTAAGATACTTGTGAAGGTCACAGCCAGGGACACAGGCCTACCAAACGACAAGATTTAATAATAAAATTAGAGGATGGAACCACTCCATACATTTTTTGTGCCCGCCTTATTTTTCTTCACTCAACATTATTAGGGACATTCTTCTATGTAGGTCAATTTCTGAGTAGGTTCTGATGGAAGGATGTGGGGACACCTAGTCCAGCTAGGAGGTTGCCCTGGAACAGTATTGATGGCTACACATAGCCAGAGAAAAACAATTCTAGGAAAACACAAACTACCAGTAGAGGAGGATGCCCTCCACTCTTCAGAGGTTCAGGATTGGGTGAGGCAGAGGATGAATAGAACTGTGATCAAGGCAGGAAGGCTGAGTCTGAAGGCTTTGAGCATGGTGCCTTGGGATAAATTAATTCACGTATCTGAGGCTTATTGAGCAGGTTTTCATTTCTCAATGCACAAACTCTGTGATGCACTGGTAACAGCATGTATATGTAACATTCTCCTTAAGGGAGCCCTGGCCTCTGCCTGATGCCTGCAGTGACAGGCAGTGAGGGGAAGGTGAGGCCTCCCTAGGAATTCAGTAAGCTGTCTCTAGCATTGGTGGTGCAGTGGCATTGCTGGACGGAGCAGTGAAAACAACAGAGGCCAAGAAGGCTGATGGCTGTCATGACAAGGAGCAGTGAGTACCACTGGGGAATGGGAGTACAGCAAGGGGCTAGGAAACTGAAGTTGAATTAACAAAGGGAGGAGGGTTTTGGAGCCAAGTAGTTTAAAATAATTACTCCAGCCCTCAGTGGGTATACAAAAGGGTCATGCTCAGATGAGAATAAAGCGTTTGCTCCTCAGTTTCCTCTGAAGCACCAAAGCTACCTCCAGCTTTGGAAAAGGTGTTTTCCGTGGGAGTGGGCAAAATCACAGTGGGTTCGGACCAGTTGCGATTCCATGACATTGCCAGGAGAAAAACAAAATATTCAGCTCTCTCAGCAGGGGGACCTCAGCACCCACATAGTAATGGAGGGGCAGGACGCAAACATACCATATCTACATAGTATATAGGTAAACGCAGAGTCTGGGTAATTAGTAGTCTCAGGTTTCCTGGAAGGATCATGCTTTTTGATTCAGTTGGTTGTCTGGGAAATAGTCCAAATCTTTCTTTGCCAAACTCAGGGGTGGTAGAAACAGAATTAGCATGCCATCCGTATTTTTCAAAGAAGTGATGGAAATGGATTTTCAGTAAGATTTCTGAACCAATTTTTAAATTCATATTTTAGACTTTTACTTGGAGCTGTAGAAGAAGTGCATTCACTCCTGAGAGAGTGACAGTGTTTTTTAAAAAACCTCAAACCCAAATTGGAGTCTCTTGTTTTAATTCTAATTCTGGCACATCACCAACAACCACTGGATGTGCCAACCCAAGGATTTTTTTTTTGAAAGGAGTTTTTAGTTCTGAAGCATGTGGTTCTACTTGTGGCAGATCTAAAAATGTTGAATAATGAACAAGAATTTAGTTTTGGGAAACCTAAATGTGTTGACTGCAGAACATTTTTAGAAAAGAATCCTGATGCATTTAAACAGGCACCTGCTGGGATTGGGAAAATCCCCTCTCCTCTGCCAGGTGGAAGAAAAAAATTATTAATAAGACAATACTATATCAGTAATTTATAGAATTTGCACCTACTATAAGCCAAGCACTTGAGGATTATTATTTATAATCTTTATGTGATAGGATGTTAAAAGGAGGCTTTTTAAGCGAGTTTCTTTTTTTCTTTTTTCTTTTTGAGACGGAGTCTTGTTCTGTCACCCCGGCTGGAGTGCAGTGGCACCATCTCAGCTCACTGTAACCTCTGCCTCCTGGGTTCAAGCGATTCTCCTGCCTCAGCCTCCTGAGTAGCTGGGATTACAGGCATGCACCACCATGCCCTGCTAATGTTTGTATTTTTAGTAGAGGAGGGGTTTCACCATGTTGGCCGGACTAGTCTCGAGCTCCTGACCTCAGGTGATCTGCCTGCCTTGGCCTCCCACAGTGCTGGGATTACAGGCATGAGCCACTGCCTGTTTTCCTACTAAAGCATCAGTATTATGGTTTTTTGTTTTGTTTTGAGTGATTCTTTTTTCTTTATTATTTTTAGTTCTGGGGTACATGTATAGGATGTGCAGGTTTGTGACATAGGCAAACGTGCCATCATGGTTTACTGCACCTATCAACCCATTACATAGGTATTAAGCCCAGTAGGCTGGTTTTTGAGGATGGTGAATGTGAGCAAGACCTCCCTCATGCAGGCTTTACAACGACAATGAAGACGAATGTGTTTTGTCTTTTGGCGCCTTTACCTGGTTTAACGTCATGATAGGTGGAGAGAAGATTGGTGGAGAGAGTAGGGATGCTACCTTCCTGCCTCAAGCCGAGTGAGGAGTGCTTTGGGAGACTTGCCTAGACCTTGCCATGTCTTCCCTGTAGCCTTGACCATCAGCCAGGGCCAGAGGGTGTGGTCATTACTAAGCAAAAACTGTCCTATTTCCATACTTCCACCTCTGCTCCCGTGTTCTCCTCCTAGCCAGGCAGATCCTAAATAGCAGCCCCAGTCAGAGGACAATGAACAGTGAGAGTAGGGAGCAGAAAGACGGACCTCCTCTTCCCCCCTGCCCATTCACCAAAGCAGGCCTGAGCTTGGAGGTGGGAAGGCTTAAAGCTAAGTCAAGTTAAGAGTTTGGGTCATTAAAAGGAATTGGACTTCTATTCATTTATTTACTTTTATTATATATTTATATATTTTTAGACCAAGTCTTGCCCAGTCACCAAGGCTGGAGTACAGTGGCACAATCATGGCTCACTGCAGCCTCGACCTCCTAGGCTCAAACAGTTCTCCTGCCTTAGCCTCCCAAGTAGCTGGGACTACAGGTGTGTGCCACCACACTCAGCTAATTTTTTATTTCTTTTTGTAGAGACAGGGTCTTGCTGTGTTGCCCAGGCTGGTCTTGAACTCCTGGTCTGAAGTGATCCTACTGCTTTGGTCTCCCAAAGTGCTGGGATTACAGGCAGGAGTCACCGGGCCTGGCCAGAAATGAAATTTTAAATTGCTGGATTGTGACTGTGTTTGCAACCTAAAGGCTGTCAACTGCCCAAGTCTGAGCAGAACAGGCTGGTGCATTTGTCATTCACAGACACTGGGAGACTACCCCCTTCCCCATATAGTCTCTCCGTTCTCATCTCCACCACAGGAATAAAGTTTCAAGGGACGTAAGCGTAAAAACTAAAGCGTGTTTCAGCCCAATGCACCATCATGCTTGTTCAATAACCAGTTACATTAACAGCACCACCAACTACATGGGGATTATTTTCCCCATTTTATAGATGGGAAAATAAAGGTTAGAGAAATTAAATAGTGGAGCTGGAAATCAGATTCAGGTTTGTCTTTTAAGTCTGCAGTATGCCACCCTACTTTTGGTTATTGCACCAAAAAGAGTAAAGGTTATGCTAAAGATTAGAAATGAGAAAGAAACAGATTTTTAAGAAGGAAAAATAAGTTTTTCTAATAATTTATTTTAGATATTGTCGATACTTTTAGACCACTTTGACAGTTTATTTAAAAGGTAGAAGTAACTTTTTTCCCAAAAAGCCAGGAGTATTTTATTTGTATGAAACTACACAAGAGTATATTTTTCCCTCTGTACCTGCACACCCCAGGACAGTACATAGCACTGGGCCCCTTCCATCCCAAGAGTCTATCATTCTACATGAAAATTTAAACTTCTAAGTCAGAGAAATAAAGAGCTGAGTCTGCTTTAGCAAATAATTCACTGCAGGCTTTATTTATAAATAACAAGAGTACCAAGTGAATTTTGCATTTCATTTAATTTACACAACTTGGAAGGTAGAAGGACTTTTTAGGATTCCATCAATTTCTAGAATCTCAGCGTTTACCTGTAATCAATTTCACTCAACTTTGTATGAATGACAATCTCCTGGCCAAAAGCATGCCCAAAGGAAATTGGAGGAGCTGTACTAAGTTTTCCACCCTTTCCTACTTAACCATGATTTTGCTTTTCTATTTTCTATTGCTTGGGTGAGAACTATCACTCGACACTTGCCCTAATATCTGAAAAAGACATGCCTTGGTTTGCTGCTCTGTTGTCTTCAGTGGGGGCTCTGGAGCTAGCCCAACTTCCCAACCAAGCCTGCTCTCACCCACCCACTGCCCCACTATGCCACCCTAGCCCTGGAGTTCCTTCCCATCCCCAGCTTTGCCTGATGAAATCCTACTCTTCCAGGCATGAACATTCCTGTCTCCATGAAGCTTTTACTTGCCCCCCATAAAAACAAATGGCATCTTCTACAGGGCTCCCTGTGCACAGCCACTCAGCACCTTCCCACCTACTGCTTGTACTGGAGTTAGCTGTCTGCTCTCAGCCTTCCCTGCTGAGAGTGAGCCTCTCAGGAAGAGGCTGTGCCCTATTCTATTTGTCTTTGAGGTTCCATCTCCTCTACTGTGCCAGCATCTGATATGAATGAAAGTCTGTTGAATGAGTGAATAAATGGGTGGATAGATAGATGAATAATAAGGGAGTGAGGCTGAGCCACACTAACCACCCTTCTTGAGAGTCTACCTGTGCCAGGTGCTTTATGTACACAACTACCTGGAATTCTTACAGGAACCATGGATAGTTCCCATTTCACAGAACAGGAGTCTCCAGAGGCTATCTCCTCACTCTGTCCACTGGATTAGGCTGCCTCTTGTGACTCTTCATGGGAACCAAATGAAAGGTTGGCTGCCCGTGAAGGGGCGTTGGAGGGGAGAATGGGGAGATGGGATGGGGATGGGAGGGATGTCATCTGCCTGAGTCTCACGTGACCCAAAGCATACCCTGTCATGCCCCACGTCAGCATTAGCAAGCATAGCTCTGTCCTGCAAATGCAAATGCTAAAATTAGTTTAGCTTCATTCTCCAAAGGACATCTTTCCCCCTCCCTGCAGTGAATGCATTTACATAATTTTATTCTGAGAGGAAATAATCACTCAGCTTTTTAAAAAATGAGCCTCTTTAAGTATGTCTTTTTACCCTCTTCTCCCATCTTTTGCAAGCTGAATAGCAGTTCTGCTATATGATCTGCATTCTTTTTTCAGCATTGGTAGACATAACAGATCTCAACAACGTGGGGAGGCAGGTAAAGCAGTGCTGGAAAGGTCAGGGAAGCCAGGCTGTAAGAGCAAAAGAAAAGCAGGAGCCCCTTTGCTGATGGCCACACCCCTCCTTTCCTAATCCAGTTGGCACCCAAGTTAGACCACCTGGCATCAAAGCTGGTTCAAAACAATCTTTTAAAGGAAGAAAACTATGCAGGCGGGAGTCATACAGTGTAAGACACCCTGGGTCTATACGCAGACAGGGCAGGTCCCTTTGCTGATTCCTAACTGAACTTTTCCATCTGGAAAGTGGGGATAATAATACAGAACCTGCTCAAGTGACCTCAATGTGCCACTGTTCAGTTCGTCTGATTTTTGGTAAGGAGGTTGGTTGGTTTAGGATCCCATGAGGTTGGGGACATGGTTAAGACAACAAGATGAGGGTTCCCAATTGACCACGGAAAGGCTCTCTTATCTTGAGTTTGGAGGCTGGTTGACCTTCCCAGTGTGTTACTAGGTCAATCAACGTGTTATCTCTTTTGTTGTACTTTAAACCTCATTGTGACAGGGGCTGGTTTTCTATATAAATCAGATACTCCACATATGCAGGGACTTTGGATTCTGGTTTTTCTTTGCTAGACTATGCTTATCCAGTTGCAGGAGTTGTGTGTTTCTCTGGCCAGGCTCCTGAGAGTATAGCAGGTGCTCTTAAGGTAATTGTCTGGGGGTAATCCCTCCTCTCCAGGCGCATGCTCAGTCCTTATGCATAGGTCCCTGTGCCCTGGTCAATACTATGTAAATGCCAAGGCTCCCTTTTCCCATTAGGTAATATAATTTTTCCAAGAGTGTCTACCTGACCCATGCTGAGACAATTGAATTTCTTTTCTGGAATTTGGACTTTGGAAGAGAGAAGCAAAGACTGGGATTCACACATATAGCTGTGCTGCCAACAAAGGCCAGCAAAACATTGTTGAGTTTACTCAACCACTTGACACATGCAAAATATTCGATAAAGGTTTACTTTATTATTATTGATATTCTTTATAATCCTTCCAGCAATCCTGCCATGTAACTATTTTCTCATTCTAAGAATCAGATGAAGAGCTCAGAGATTCAAAATTCACCCCAAGGCAGAGTAACAGAACTAGAACCCAAATGCTGCTCAGTTTGCTTGCAAAGTCCCTGCTCTTGCCATTGCACTCTGAGCCTTGTTTACTGGTAGCATCATGACCCACCTTTACAGTGCAACTAAAAATAAGAAGTATGCTCACAGATTAGCTTTGAGTGATAAAATGCAGGCACAAAAGAGCATATACTGTATGTTTTTAAGTTCAAAAACTAGCCAAACTTTACTATGATAATAGAAGTCCAGTTGTTACCTTCGTGAGGGGAAGGGGAGAAGGCACAAAGGGACGTTTCTGAGATACTGGTGATATTCTGTACCTTGATTTGAATGCTGGCTACACAGGAATATTTACTTTGTAAAAATTTGTTGAGTTGTGTACTTAAGATTTGTGCATGTTATTGCTCTTGTGTTTGTTATATATCAATAAAAAATAAGAAAGGAAGAAATGAGAAATAAACTGAATTTAGGGAGGAAAACTGCCCCCTTTCTCTCACCCTTCTTATTAACCAGACTGTTTTTACTCATTTTAATAAATTCAATAGAAAACATGATAGCTTTATTCATTTTCCTGTATCTTTTTCAGACTTAATTCTTAAACATCTCTCTCATATATATGTAAATATACATTATACATATAAATATAATTGCAGTCATCTGCTAGATGCCAAGTTTTCTATTTCTGTCGTTATTGATTACTACTAAATAAAGACAGAAGTAGTAATGTTAAGCTTTTTACAGCATAATTATCAACTAAATAGCAATTGAATTTGTTTTCCTGAATCCTGCCTTCATATTTTCAATGATCCAACTTGTTTTCTTGTCTTGTAAGGCCAGAAAGCTGTAATGACTCTTAATACTCTAGAAATTAACAACCATTATTATTTTAGCCCACTTATTATGTTTAATATATTTAATGAAATTTTTACTAAAGTATAATACACATAAAGCCACACAAATCCTAAGTGAGAACTTAATGAATTATCCCAAAGTGAGAAGTCCTAGCCAGAGCAATCAGGCAAGAGAAAGAAATAAAAGGCATCCAAATAGGAAAAGAAGTCAAATTATCTCTCTTCACTGATGATATAATTCTATATGTGGAAAACCCTAACAACTCCACAAAAAGGCTCCTAGAGGTGAGAAATGACCTCAGTAAAGTTTCAGGATACAACAATGTATAAAAATCATTAGCATTTCTATACACCAATAATACTCAAGCTGAGAGAAAAATCAGGGATATAACCCAATTTACAATAGCCACACACACATAAAATATCTTGGAATACATCTAACCAAGGAGGTGAAAGATATCTACAAGGAGAAGTACAAAACACTGCTGAAGGAAGTCATAGATGACACAAACAAGTGGAAAAACATCCCACACTCATGGATTAGAGAATAAATATCATTAAAATGGCCATACTGCCCAAAGCAATTTATAGATTCAGTGCTATTCCTATCAGCTATTTCTATCAGAAAATGACCACCAACATCATTTTTCACAGAATTAGAAAAAACTATTCTAAAACTCATATGGGATCAAAAAGGAGCCTGACTAGCCAAGCAATTTTAAGCAAGAAGAACAAAGCTGGAAGCATCACACTACCTGACTTCAAACTATCCTACAAGACTACAGAAACCAAAACGGCATGGTGCTGGTACAAAAGTAGACACATAAACTAATGGAACAGAATAGAGAACCCCAAATTTGCATACCTACAACCATCTGCTCTTTAACAAAGTTGACAATACCAAGAAGTAAGGAAAGGACTCCCTATTCCATAAATGGTTCTGGGATAGCTGGCTAGCAGAAGAATGAAACTGAACCTCTACCTTTCATCATATTTTAAAATTAACTTAAGATGGATTAAAGACTTAAGTGTAACACCTACAACTGTAAAAACCCTGCAAGATAAACTAGGAAATAACATTCCGGACATATGTCCCAGCAAAGATTTTATAATGAAGATATCAAAAGCAATAGCAACAAAAACAAAAATTGACAAATAGGACCTAATTAAACTACATAGCTTCTGCACAGCAAAATAAACTATCAACAGAGTAAACAGACAACCTACAGAATAGAAGAAAATATTCACAAACTATGCATCTGACAAAGGTCTATCCAGAATCTATAAGGAACTTAAACAATTCAACAAGAAACAATCCCTTTAAAAAGTGGGCAAAAGACATGAACAGATACTTCTCAAAAGAAGACATATTTGGCCAACAAATATATGAAAAAATGCTCAACAGCATTAATCATTATAGAAATGCAAATCAAAACCACAGTGAGTTTACCGTCTCACACCAGTCAGTATGGCTGGTATTTTTTTAAAAACTAAGATGTTGGCAAGACTGCAGAGAAGAGGGAGCACTTAGAAACTGTGGGTGGGAATGTAAATTAGTTCAGCCAATGTAGAAAGCAGTTTGGAGATTTCTCAAAGAACTTAAAGCAGAAGGGCCATTCAATCCAGCAATCCCACTACTGGGTATAAACCCAAAGGAAAATAAATCATTCTACCAAAAAGATACATGCACTCATCTTTCATTGCAGCACTATTTACAATAGCAAAGACATGGAATCAACCTACATGCCCATCAACAGTGGACTGGATAAAGAAAATGTGGTACATATACACCATGGAATACTATGCAGCCATAAAAATGAATGAAATCATGTCTCTTGCAGCAACGTGGATGCAGCTAGAGGCCGTTATCCTAAGCAAATTAATGCAGAAAGAAAAAACCAAATACCCCATTTTCTCACTTATAAGTGGGAGCTGAATATTGCGTACTCATGGACATAAAGATGGGAACAGCAGACACTGGGGACTACTAGAGGGAGGAGGGTAGGATGGGAGTGAGGGTTGCAAAACTACCTACCTGGTATATGCTCACTACCTGGGTGACAGCGTCATTTGCATACCAAACCTCAGTGATGTGCAATTTACTTACCCATGTAACAAACTTATACATGTACCGCATGAACCTAAACAGTTGGGAAAAAAATTATACCAAAGTGAGCATACTTGTGTAACCACTACTGAGGTCAAGAAAGGGAATATTTCTAGCCCCCCCAGAAGCCCTCTTTGTCCCCCTTCCCAAACACTACCCTCTACTTCTCCCCGAGGCAGTCACACCAGAGATTAGTCCAATGTATTAGAACACTATATTGAGAACTGAAACCTGCAATCACAGTACACTGTCTGCATTAAGGTGATTTTATCATTCCAAACAATTCTTGCTCAGGAAAATAAAGTTATAGGTAATCTTATTGTTTGTTTCAGGTACTTCCCCTAGATTCATTTATCCAGACAATCAGCCACTCTTCCAGACATCATCAACCCCTTCTCAGGACAAAGACTAGGCTCATAAAATGAAGAGCCTGTGTAAGATTGCTGCTTTCCCTTCCTTAAATGTTTGGTGGAATTTACCAGTGAAATCATCTGTTCTTTGTGGGAACATTTTTCGTTATGGATTCGATTTCTTAAATAACTAATAGCAGTATTTGAGTCATCCATTTCTTCTCTTGTTGCTTTCAGTCAGTTGTGTTTTCCAAAGAATTTGTCCAGTTGAAGTTACTGGTGTAAAGTAGTTTATTACATTGCCTTATTCACTGTCTGTACAATGGGAACTTATATCTCCTCTTTTATTTCTAACATTAACAATTTTGTTTTCTCTGTATTTTCTTTATTACTTTTGGCCTTGTTCACTTTTCTATTGCTTTCATTTCAATGATCTCTGATCATCTCTTTATTTCCTTCCTTGTAGATTGAGTTTTCTTTTCCTATTTTTTTAAGGTAGAAATTTAGATCATTGATTTTAAAAGCTTCCCTTTTTTCTCATATCAGTATTTAAAGCTGTAAATTTCCTTTTTAGCTGTATCCCACACATTTTGACATGTTTTTTAAATCAGTCAGTCAAAAACATCTTATATTTTACTATTAACACATGGCTTGTTTGGAAGTATGTTTCCTATTGCCAAGTACTTGGAGGATTTTCTAGAAGACTGATTGTTATTAATTTCAATTTCAATTTGGCCAAGAGCATAGTAACATTTTAATCTTTTAATATGTATTGAGACTTATTTTATGAAAAAGCATGTGGTGTATCTTGGTGACTATTCCTCATACCTTGGAAAATAATCTGTATTCTGCTGTTGTCAGTTGGGTATAAATTATGCAAATGTCAATTAATTAAAATTGGTTGATAGTATCGATAGTAGTTGCTCATTCTTCCACTAACTACCAAAAGAGGAGGTTATAGTTTTCAACTATTATTGTCATTTCTCTATTTTTTCTTTTAGTTTTGGTCAGTTTTTGCTTAATGAACCTTTGTGATTTGTGTGCATATTTATTTTGAATTGTTCTTTTTTTTGATGAATTGACACTTTCAGTATTTAGGAATTAGGAAATTAGTTTTTAGGCCAGGCGCAGTGGCTCACACCTGTAATCCCATCACTTGGATCACCTGAGGTCAGGAGTTCGAAACCAGCCTGGCCAATGTGGTGAAACCCCGTCTCTATTAAAAACACAAAAAATTAGCCGGCATGGTTGTGCACACCTGTAATCCCAGCTACTCAGGAGGCTGAGGCAGGAGAATCGCTTGAACCTGGGAGATGGAGGTTGCAGTGAGCTGAGATTGTGCCACTGCACTCCAGCCTGGGCAACAGGGCAAGACTCTGTCTCAAAGAAAAAAAAAATTAGTTTTTAAAAAGTTAGAAAATAAAGTCCCCCTTTATCTCTAGTAATACTCTTTATCTTGATACCTACTTTGATCATTTTTTTCAATAATTAAGGTTTGACTCTGTCACCGAGGCTGGGGTGCAGTGGCACACTCATAGCTCACTGAAGCCTTGACCTCTCCGGTGCAAGCAAACCTCCCACCTCGGCCTTCCAAGTAGCTGGGACTACAGGCACACGCACCCACAACCAGCCAATTTGTAAATTTTTTGTAGAGACGAGATCTCCCTATATTGCCCAGGCTGGCATTGAAATCCTAGGCTCAAGTAATCCACCTGCCTCTGCCTCCCAAAGTTGTGGGATTATAGGAGTGAGCCACCATGCCCTGGCAAATTTTATTATATAGCTATAATTACAGTGCTTGTTTGTCAAAATGAAAACAGAAGAAAAATAACAAAACTGTTGATTATCAATCATGTATTAAAAGTAGTAAGAGGTTCCATAACACCAAATAGACTAGTTCTAATGTTTTCCCTAAGATAAATTTAGCAGCTCTAGCTTCTTCAGTGTTTATCAAAATACAAAAGAACAAAGTAGAAGTCGTCTTTATTGATGGCAGATCAGACCCCCTGCAGGCTGAGAGAGAGCAAGTTACATCACACATGGAGATGGGGTGCTCCTGAGGGGATGTGGGTTTAGATGGGCAGCTTGCCCAGCTTGCACGTGTTACTGCCATTGAGGCCCCAGACACCTCGCTCGTGTGTCTGAGCAAGTGTGAATGCTGGGGATGAAGGGCCCATTTTGGCCTCATGCTGACTAAGGGACAGTGGGGCCCTGCATCCCCCGAGCTGGCCACAGCAGGTGGGCAGGTGGGGTTGTCGGCCTGGGGGAGAGTGAGATGGCCATGAGCTCCAAGCCCAGCACCTAGTAACCTTGGGAGCACAGGGACAAGCACAAGGCTGTGGAACACAGGGTGACCCATGGACAAGTGAGTTGTGGGGATCTCTATTGTGACCATGCGGAACTGACTGTGGGCTGCCACTCCACTTCCTCACATTCCTGAGGGGAACGACTGAGCTGGCAACTCAAACTGCATACCTAGGCTAGGCAGGTCTCTCTCCTTCCCATGTGGTCAGATTTTCTTGGCTTGGATTTTTAACTGTTTTTTTTTAAAATGCACTGAGTTCTGGTTAAAAACCACCCACCTGGCCAGGCACGATGGCTCATGCCTGTAATCCCAGCACTTTGAGAGGCCGAGGAGGGTGGATAACGAGGTCAAGAGATTGAGACCATCCTGGCCAACATGGCAAAACCCCGTCTCTACTAAAAATACAAAAATTAGCCAGGCGTGATGGCTCGCGCCTGTAGTCCCAGCTACTCAGAAGGCTGAGGCAGGAGAATCACTTAAACCTGGGAGGCAGAGGTTGCAGTGAACTGAGATTGCACTACTACACTCCAGCCTGGCGACAGAGTAAGACTCCATCTCAAAAACAAAACAAAACAAACAAAAAAGCCAACCAACCACCAAAATGGATCTCAACACATCTCAAAAGCCAGGGGCACACCCTGCGCTCCCCACACAGTGACTCCTGGAGGCCAGATGCCCATGGGCCTACATCACTCCCCAGCTCTGAACAGTGAGTTGATTTTACTTTTTACAATAAAAGCTGAGTAATATTGCATAGGAGTACCAGAAACTGCCATATTGGAAATAAAAACTATTTACATTAAATAAAAAGACTGGCCGAAGTCTGTGTCTTCCACATTTACAGCACGGTGAGATGCACATGGTGACTCAACCACAGAGGCAGCTTCTGGCACTCACACCATGAACTACACATTTGCTACATGAGAGTAAAGTGGAAGGCAAGAGGAGGAGTGAGAGGATCGGGGTTCGTGTTCACTTCTGGTTTGGGAGCTGCTGGGACAGCAGTCCAGTCCTTCACAGAGCCCGTCGCCGCTGATGGTGCGGGTAGCCTGAATATACCAGTTCCTGTGGTGTAGGGAGTGAGCCCCAACGTGTCTGTGATCCCGGCTGCATTCTTGGTGTTGGGGAGGCCCCGCTTGTTGGAGGACTGCATCCCAAGATTGACCCCAGCTAGCATCCTCATGAGCCCCTCCTGGGCCTCGTCCATGAGCTCTCTGTCATTGCAGTCCACCACGAGGATCAGGCCTTGTGTGCACTGGAAGTAGTGGCCTTGTCCTGGCCACCCACATCCCACAGGCTGAAGCTGATGTTCTTGTACTCCGCATTCTCCACGCTGAAGTCTAAGGTGGGGACGGTGGTCATAATCTCGCCCAACTTCAGCTTGTACAGGATTGGCGTCTTCCTTGCAGCATCCAGGCCCACCATGATGATGGGCACTTCTTTTGTGCCAAAAAAGCCCTTTAAGAAGTTGGTGAAGATGTCCCCCATGCTTGCGAGTGGGTGGAAGGACACTGGCCAGGGACACCTCAGTGGCAGCTCCCCCAGCCAGGCATTGGTTCCGCTCCCTACTTTGGTCTTAATAGAAACACAACAGTTCTCTTATGCTTATTTTTTCATAAAATCTTTTCTATCCTTTTGCTTTCAAATTATCTGTGCTCTTGTGTTTAAAGCGCATCTCTTATAGACAGCATATAATTGGATCTTGGCCTTTTAAAATCTAGTTTGACAATATCTGCCTTTTAATTACAGTGTTGTTTGGTCCATTTTTATTTAATATAATTAGTCACATGGCCGAGTTTAAGTTTAACGTTTTGCAATTTGTTTTCTCTTTGTCACATTTGTTTTTTGTTTCATTGTTGGACCTTCCAAAACTAAGCAAAGAGAGGATCACCTTAATCAAATCAGGGATTAAATTATTAGAAGCCTCAGTCCTTGGGAGGGATGTTCTAGTTCCTAGTTGCTGTTACACCTAAGTATCAGCCTTTCATGTTTTCCAACTAACAGTCTTGAATATTTTCCCAAGCTGCTCCTTTTTGGAGAGCCGTGAGCCTTATTTTATTTCTCTCCAGTCCTGTGAGAATCCCCAAAACTCTACTCAGCTTCCCGGAAGCTCAGCTTTTGCTTTTGGAATCAGCAGCCAAATTGAGCAGTAAAGGAGCTGCACTTCCCTGGCTTTACTGGATCTTGTCCTGTAAGCTCTTTGCCTTGGTAACTTTCTAATGCTTTCATGGGCATTCTTCATATTTTGTTTAGGTTTTTTTTTTTTTTTTTTTTTTTTTTATCATCTTCAGCAGGATGGTTGGTCCAAAACAACCTAGTCAGTATTGCTGGAAGCAAAACTCATCATTATCATATGTTATTATTTACAGAAAAAACAATTCATAGATGTCATGGCCTCATCTGGTAATCTAGCCTGTATAACTTAACTGCTATGTAACTTGGATAAGTCATTGCCCTGCCCTGAGACCTGAGTTCCAACACTGGCCAAACACTCACAAACATTTGGTCTTTTGTATGTTTTTTGGGATCTTGCAGGGGTTAACTCCAAAAATAATTTTGTTTTGGTAGTTGTTTTTTTTTTAATTCTATGAAATTAACCTGCATTATTAGTGATTATGTAATTAAAGTTCTGAGGCAGGTAACAATTTTTATTAACCGGAAGCGTCAATTCGTTTGATGTAATCACAGCGTGTTATCAATAGCAAAACTTAATTTTGCTTTGTGCCCATATTTCTCCCTAAATATTATTTATTTGCATTTAACTTATTTTAGCTTAACAGAGATTTACCCAACCCTCTAGTGACATTTTCAGGACATGATTTTAAATGACACCTGTTATCCAGTCCCATCACTTTGTCTTATTTATGTTGTTGTTTCCTCAGGATTGGAACAAGTGACACGTCATGATTGATTTATTTATTTGTAAAGAGTTTGGTTTAGGGAGCATTGCATTGGAAATATACAAGTAAATTTGGTTTCAAGCATCCTGATCTGTTTTTCACTCGATGAACTGAGATTTTGATTCCTTTTTAATAAAAAAGCGGGGAATGTCATGTAAGAAAGCACCCAATGAAAGCAGAACCCAGAAGGAAGGGTGAGGTGGGAGAAGCTGGCTGAGAGAGAGAAGATGTCGAAAAACTTTGGGAGATCAAGTTTGTCATGGAAAGGGCAACGGGCTGGGAGCTAGAAGACCTGGGTCCTAGTCTCAGGGCTTCTGGCTGTCAGACTTTGGATAGGTCACTTCTGCCAATGGGAAGCTCAGGAAGGTAAGGGTAGAGAGAGCAGTTCTGAGCAAAGTCCATGTCCAAGGGAGGTGGAGGGTCTCTTTACCCAGTTAATTCTGAGGGTTTCCAAACAGTAGATATCCCAGGCCTTCCTTGCATGTACTCTAGGATCAATCTACCAGTAACTTCCTATCTCTAGCCCTCAGTTTCTGCATGTATAAAATAAGGAAATTGAAATCAGTAATCTTTAAGGCCTCTTATAAGCCCCAGAATTTCAAGACTTTGAAAGGAGATTTTAAGATCTTACCCAGCTTTAGAAGTTTGGAGGACCTTTGAAATTGATGCAAAATGTTGTGTGTCATGTGTGCATACAGATGTGCATTTTTCTGGGGAGAGGGTTCTTAATGTCATCATTAGGTTCCAGTATGTTCCATGAATGCAAAAATATGAAGAAACCAATGGAAAATTAATCTTAGTAATTTAATTATAATACTCTAACAAGCATCTTATTGAATAGCTTCTGAGTGTTCATATGGGCACATAGATGAATAAGATGCAGTTCATGCCTTTGAGGAATGGTTAGTCAACACATCGTCAACAGGAGTTGTATTGGTTCTCCTGGGATGTGTTGAATTGGGTCAAGAAATTCTGGGTCCTAGTCCTAGTTCCTGTAATATTTGGCTGTGACACTGACCTTCAGTTTGCTCAACCAAGAAATAGATTTAATAAAACATATTTTGCTCCCTCCTTAAAGTGGTTCATTCGATCTATAGGTTAGAGCCGTGTTAGTTACAAGGGATACAGCTGTGAATGAAACTGAGTCTGCCCCATGGAACATAGATCAGTTGGTAAGCTATGGATTTGATTTTCCTGGGATAAATGTTACAGTGTGGGTGAGAAGTGAGAAATAGATACTGTTATTCACCTCAGACAGGAGCCTGAATAAATGGCTTTATTTTCTATCCTCCTCTTCTTTTTATATTAAATTGAACTCAGAGAATAAAAAAGCATCTAGACCACCCATTTGCCCACTATGCTTCCTGAATACAGAGAGATAGCAGAGATGGGAACTGTGAGGTCTCTCTAAGGGACAGCCATATGTATTTTGCAAAGTGTTCTCTGGGCTTTAGGAGATAACGTTGGTTGGAGGATGCTGGTGGCAGCTGCTGGGAACTGAAAAGGATTGAGAGTATATAATGATACTCCCAAAATGATGGGTTGAGCATGGGATAAATGGCATTATTTCAAAAGCACATAGAAATAATAACTATATTACTAAATATTTAACAGCCTTCTAAAATAATATAGGGGCATCTCTATAGGCTAGAAACAGAGAAAGAAAACAGTAAACCATCAGCAGTGTGTATATTAGGGACAGACACTTAAATGAATATATTTAATAGTCTATATGAGATAAAAGAATGAATAAAATTCATTGATTTTTGAACAAGGACAGTGATTATGAAGGAAGAACAAGCAGTTAATTTGTTATTTTAACAAGTGCAACATTCTGAAGATTATAGAAGAGTAAATCTGTAAACTCTAAGGTTAATTATTAAAAGATAAAGAGGTAGAAAAGTTGAAAGTAAAGATAAGTAGAGGGGACAGAGCAAGAAGATACAACATAGGGGTTAAAAAAGATAAAATAAGGTGCTGGAAAATGACATGTGAAAATTTACTGCCTGAGATATTCCCAGAACTGAGGAAAGACTTGAGCTCTCAGAACAAAAAAAAAGATCTACAAAATGGAATTCAAAACAAAACAAAACAAAATCAAACCTGGGCACAATGTAGCACTGCTTCAGAATAAGCTCCGAAAGGGAAACCTAACAGCTACCATAGAGGAAAAGCAGATTACCTCCAAAGGGGTACAATCAGTGCCATCAACTTCTCAGGAGCCACATCAGATGCCATGAGACAATAAAGAACCAGCCTCAAAGTGCTGAAGATATGTATCTTTGAAGCTGAAATTCCATATCTAGCCAAGTCTGTGTTTTAACAAGCCTTCTAGGAGATCCTGAGGCATGCTGAAGTTTGAGAACCACTAGGCTGCAGCATGCTCTCCACAGACATCTAAGGGAGGACTTTTCCATTCTCAATGACTCACTACTAACTCCTTTGCTCCTGCAAATGCCTGGAACTTGGCTTGCCAAATTCTGCTCACTTTTGCCAACACCTGGAGTGGGTGGCATAACAGGGATATATCTTAACCTAAACGAGTGAAATCACAAGGGGGTTGAGTTTCAGACATTCGTAAGGTAGGTTGGAGTGGGACAAGGAGGGGCTGAGATAAGAGGCGTTATTTGGGGATCCAGATGGCTTTCCAGCAGCCACCTACATTATATGGGATGTCGCTTACTTGGGAAACAGACTTGGTCTGTGGGGAAGTGAGTCATCCTCATCTTCCCTCAGCCTCAGTACTCTAGAAGTGGAGGCTTCTCTGGCTGAGCGTGTGTCTGTGTGTTTAATGATTTCTTTGCACCAAGCCAGAGGTTGAAAGAAAGTTTGCAATAAATGTATATAAAGGGCGTGAGACCTACTTGCTTGGTTTTCAAAAGGTTTATTTTCATTCTTTCTGGGAGATGCCCTGAAGAAACTCTTTAGAGATCTTTCCTGCCAGCTAGTTCAGGTATTTACTGTCTGGCTTTTCTAGCTCTGAGTCCAGTTTTCTGCCTGAAGGACTTTTGTCATTTTTGAAGTGTTTATTTTTCCCTTTGGGTAAAAGTGAAGAAAAAATGTGACTTTCTATCAGTTAGCAGTGGAGAAGTGGTTTGAAGCTTTGCTTTTCAAACACAGTGGTGATCAGAGTTGTCTCATAGGGACCCAGAGCCCGGAACTAAGAGGAGTGGGTGGAAGATGGTCTGGAAGCCTGCAGCATCACTGTGTACTGTGCCTTGGGCTCAGTCCGAGGTTAGATTGTCTTACTCATCTGACAAAGAAATGCGTTTTGGATGCAGGGACGAATGAATAAGTGTTCTTATTTTCTGGTTGATTTGGTTTCTGTTTCCTGGCACCTAAGGCAAAATGATCAGTCCCTTGATAAATACTTTAAAATCTTTGTATAGCATCCTATAGCATGCAGAGCGCTTCTATGCTCACTGTTTTTGACTGAGCCTCCCAGGGGCACTCTGAAACTTGGATAAAAAGTGTCACCCAGTTCCGCCTTTGGGACAAAGAAGCTGAATCTTGGGAATGTTTAAAAGTATACATTCAGGAAGGTGCTGAATCTGGACCAAGAGTCTGTCTCTTTAGATTTTCTCCTCACTTAGGCAGGTAATGGAGCAAATTCATCTACCTTCCATTCAGGGCAGGGGAAGGAGAGAGTTTACTAGAAAACCATCACCATGAGAGTGATAAGGTCCTTGCTGCTATGGAGAGAATGAATTATCTGGTCCCTGCTTGGCCCCTTGTGTCATTACCAACTGGTAACAACCTGGAGGCAAGGGGAATAAAGAATTTGTCATCTCAGTCTCCAACATTAATTCCTTGAAAGGGGTCTGAATACAATAGAGAAAATTGTATTTTCAGCCATGCTTGCTCAAAAAGTAACGCTATTTAAATCAAGGGCATAACATTAAATCACAATTACAATTCGATGAAAGTACCTGGAGAGGAAAAGGATAATGTAGTGTGGGTTTGGGGTGAATCAAGATTAAATAGTCACTGTTGATTATGATAAAGAAGGAGAGAGTAGTGAAATAGTTACTTCTGGAAAATTGCGATGCTACCACTGGGTATCCAAAGGCTACACAGGGTAAATTTGGAATCCGTTTTTCATTTTCCTTACTAGTTGTTCTGCACTGGTTAATAAATATAACTTTGCCTCTCACCCCCATCTGGGGTACAGGAGAAAGTGATCAAAGGATCACATTTTAAAAATGGGTTTTATTATTTAAATGACTGGTCTTCTCTTTTTATTACTATTGTTTGAAAACAGCTGAGATCTTTTTTTTCTGATTACCATGCTACAGATGTTTATTGCAGAAAGTTTGGAAAAAACAGAAAAGCATAAAGAATGTAAAAATCACCTGTAGTTCTACCACGCGAACAGCAGTAATATTAAGGTGGTATTGTATTTACATCTAAAATTTCATCCCCACACCCATACACAATCCGCTAATTATCCCAGTTCTCATCAGCCTAGGGTGGCTACTAAAGCCACATTAGGGAGAAGTCTTTCTTTTCTTCTCTTTATACCCTGTCCTCTCTTTGGAGGGACACATTGCCAAGGCTTAAGGAAGGTGGTGAACAGTGCATCCTGATTTGCTAGGGACTTTCTGGTTTTAGCATGAAAAACTCTACATCTTGGGAACACCTCAGTTCTAGGCAAACTGGGATGGCAAGTTTACCTCTAACTCCTCCTCCCACCGCATCAGCAGAAAGCAAGACTGATTCGGTCCTGGAGAGCTGGTGGGAGGCTGGCACTTGGCGGCCATGTTGCTCTGTTGAACAAGGCTAATGTGCTAAGGTCACTGCTCATTCTTCTCAGGGCTCTTGCTTCCTGTTGGGTCTGTGCCCAGGCACAGTGAGTCTCCTGAGCTCACCATTCCCTGCCTGCCTCAGCAGCACCTAAAGCAAAAAGGCAAAGCAGTGGATTGGTTAATAAGTTAGTCCTGCTATGCTGGTCCATCTACCTTCCATTCAGGGCAGGAGAGGGAGACAGTTGACTAGAAAACCATGACCTTGAGAATGATAGGGTCTTTGCTGATATTGAGAAAATAAATTCTCTGGTCCCTGTTTGGCTCATCAAGCCTGTTGCCAGCTGATTACAACCTGGAGGCGAGGGGGAATGGGTATTTGTCGTCCCATCTCCAACATGCAAGTGCCTTGATGCGCAGATCCCTTTAAAGCAATGAGAAAACTAAGGGTTTTTGATGTGGATGCTAGGTTGAGTTCTAGTGTAATATAGCTCATTGTAGTATTATCAGACATGAGCTGAATGCTTTGTATATTGTGAATTGAAACATATGAGAGAAATTTTTATTTGCTGGGGAGACTGATTAGAAAATCAGTGAATTTGGGTAGTAATGGCTTGTGATTCTTGCAACAAGCTGGTGGATTTCCTAAGGGCAGGGTATGACTTGAGTTGGTGGCTCTGGCTCAGTGAAGGCTGAATCAAGGTCAAACAAAGATGAGGCCTCTCACTGGAACCAGCTTTGGCAGTCATGGAGCAGGTGTGCTAGTGTACTATCTTCCCTCTGCTCGCTTTTGCCTCTGTAGCTCCACCATCCTCCCTTTTCCCACACTTTATCTAGACACCCGGCACCAGCCCTTGAGGAACTCTTCAAGCCCTAACCATGCTTCCCATCAAAACTGACCGTCCTGAGGTCCCTTCCCTCAGGGGGTGGTACAAACAGCAATGACGAATCGAGCCTGCCCATCTGGGTGAATTTAGTGTCTTGGCAGCTCCTTCTGCCTATGCCCAAGGTCCCCACCCTCCTCTAAGAGCCTGGCACTGATACTTTCTGAATAGGAGTTTTACTGCGTTCTGACTCCCATCTTCACTTTGTCTCTTCTTCCTCTTTCTGATTTTCCCACGTTCTATCCTGTCTCCTTCTCTGCCTGGGAACTTCAGAGTCAAGGTTGAGTTGGATGGTCTTCCTGACTGGTTTTGGTCTCTACCCAAATTTCTATGAGTTTTATTTTTTATTTATTTATTTTTTTAAACTACCCCACATCTCTTGATTCCTGCCCAATCTTCAAGCGTTCTAAACCACCAAGGCCAACAGCACCTGAGAAACCAGCAGAAGCCCATCTCTGGCAGCCGTACCAGCCGGCCCATACTCAGAGCAGAGAGCAAGGAATTTGCTTGGTTCCCAAGACAACCATCACAGATCTAGAGGGGGAAGCTGTTCAGTGACAGAGCAATGGGTTTCTCTACTGATTCCTTTCACTGGGGTTCTTGTGGCTTAAGAGATGGGCCCCAAAGGGAGGTTAGATATGGAGCCAGCATATTAGATCACACAATGACTGGAATTTGTTCTGTCTCTCTGCAACACAGAAAGCAGTTTCACAGCCATAATCTCTATGCTCACACCAAAGGCCTATGGGAGGGACAGCCATGGGCAGGAGGCTGATGCAGGCAAAAGAGCATCAGCTGTGAAGCCTGGCTGTTCAGGCTTCAAATTCTGACCCAGTGAGTCACTAGCAGAGTAACCTTGGACAGCTACTAAACCTCTCATCTAAATTGAGGAAAATGCCTTTCTCACAGGGTTAGGAAGATTAAATTATGTAATGCATTAATACACTCATCAGGGTATGTGGCCTATTAAATAATAGGTGTTACTACTGTGTCTTTTTTTAAAGTTTATTGTGGGATCAGAATATTGACAGAGCTGTATCGTTAAGAGCAGTATTCCCCTTGCTAAAACTAATAGGCAGCCCAAGCCTGGCTCCATCCAACCACCTCTTCCAATGCTCTTTAACTGGTGGTGCTTTATGACACCAAGCAATAGATGATGATTATTGTTTCCACTGAATACAGTAAGTTCCTTGATTGGTTTAACATACATAGACTGCCTGAGAGAATAAAAACATCACCATATAATAGGTTAATGGTGAATTAAGGTCTTCGTAGTTGTGGCGGGAGAAAAGGGTTGGCTGCTGGAAACAGTATGGTACCCTGGAGGCTGCATATGTACACACTTAAGAATTCACATCACCTTTAGCAGAAGATTAGAATTCAATGGATATGAATGCTTATGCAGAATCTTCTCTCCCCCCGACATAAATTTCACAAGGAATCTCCTCCATTACTTGATCTTCTAGGGGCTGTTCAGGGCACTTGTGTCCCCGTTTGAAAGTGTAACTACTTTTCTTGAAGGTGCTATTAAATGTTTTCATTGGCTGTGGTTGTGCAAAGTCATTTTGGAAAGGAAGCTCCGTGGAACTGAGGTTGGTCCTGCTTTGTTTGACGCTGGAGGTCAGCGACCCACAGTGGTGGTCATGGATGCACTGGGAGGTGGTGGAGGAGTGCCGCGTCTTCTAGTGGTTGTTCAGTTCTTCTGACAAGTCTGCCAGATCTGCAGAAATGTCTTTGTCCCTTAGCGAAAACAGTTCATAATAAGGAGGATCAAACATTTCTTGGAACCCGGTTTTATGAAAAGCAGTTTTGCAAGCCATGACCTTTTCTTGAGGCTGTTTCACTTGTACTAAAACAGAAATAATGAGAAAGACCAAGACAATCTCTGAAGTAATGCCAATAACTGTCCCATGAGTTTCAGTGATTTGTTCAGATAGTCCTGCCTTTTCTCTTTTCTTTACAATGATTTTCATCCCAAGGGTATACACAATTTTGGACACCATTACAGACTAAAGGATTATTGATGCACATGTTGCTATGGCAAAAGACAGTGCTGCCTGTGCAGGGAGCTGATGATCCAGCAATTTTACTTTTAGCTATATACTCCAAAGAATGGAAAGCAGGAATTCAGTTACTTGCACACCAAAGTTCACAGCAGCATTACGCACAATAGCCAGAAGGTGGGAACAGACAAAATGCCTTTTGATGGGTGGGTGGATAAACAGTATGTGTTATGCTCAACAAAGGAAGTAAAGAGAATTTGAGCTAAGCCGACTACCTTCATCTGCCCACATTTGTATCACGCCTATTCCTGTTTTAAGCATTCCATCATTGGCCACAGTGCTGCGAAACTTGGCCTTCAGGTTTTCAATAGAACTGCTTTCATCGTAGACTGCAACAATGTCTCTCTTGGATTCATTTGAGTGCTCCATTGGATAATCTAGGAACCTCAAATCCTAGCTTTTGGAGTGGCTTTCATGGTCCAGATGCAATCAACGGCTTGGCCAGGTTTTGTTTTCTCTTCTTGTTGTACCTGACTAGAGTGCACTATTCCATCGGCTCCCAAGAGCTGAAACCCACAATCTCCTAGGTAAGTAAAGTCTGGATCTGGAATAAATGAATATTAGTTCTTTTCATCAGAACTAAACTTAATCCACATGAATCTCCCTGTTGATCTGATTAATGGAGGGTTTTTCATGCCGCAGTAATAATCTATAAGGGGAGAGAAACCAAATGGCCCATCTGGAACTTCCAAGGGATCAAACCGACACTCAAATGATGGCTCTATATAATAATGTTCATCGAAGCTCGATTCTTTCACGTGGAGCAGCGTCCAAAATGTAGATACGCTCCTTGTTTGGTGGATATGAGACAGGATAATTTGGTGAAGCAAAATGACCTCATTGCTGGTTTGAATCCAAATGTCATACTGGATTGCAGGAATGTGCTTGATTCCAACATTTTGTCCATCTTTGAGGGCCGAGCAGAGCCCCTCCAGGGCCATGTTCCCTAGCTGCCCGGCGCTTCGCGAGGGGCTGAGGCTGCGGCGCCATGCCCGAGGGGCGCCATCTCCTGCCCCTACACACACCCCCCATCCCCCTCCCCGACAGGCGCCACCTCCTGCTCTGCAGCACCTGGTCCCACATACAGCCAGGGGTAGGGGGGCAGAGGAGTGCGGTTGTGCTGTGTGGGATCACTGAAGTGTTACCACTATATTTCAGATAAAGAAACTGAATCCTTAACATGTGAGTCATTTGTACAAGGTCATATGGCCAAATCGTAGCTAAGCTGGAACTCAAACCCTGCCTACTGATGTCTTACAACCATAAAAGAGGAAGGGAGAGAGGAAACTATGTGTCTTAAGCTTCTGAAAATAGCTGTCAGTTTCCAGAAGATTATCATGCCATACCCAAGCCACAGGTCTAGGTTTTAATATCCTTTATTGAGCACTCACTGTATGCCAAGAATTTAACTTTATTATCACATTCTTCATGGTTCACCTATAAGTTTGGGGCTATTACCCCCATCTTTCTATCTCAGAAGGAAGGTTAAATGTTTGAACTTGGATTTAAATCCAGTTCTGCGATGTTAATGGCTTGTTCTTAATCACTGTGCATGGCCTCTCCTTATGGCTCACATGCTCTAGTCCTTGCAGGGGTTGTGATACAAAGCAGGAAAATAATACTAAACTTGGAAAGAGGCAGAAACCTGGTGTTACAGGTGGAGACAGGAGGCCTAGGGGAAGTGGAAAAAGCAGCTTTGGTAGGATTTGACCCTGGGGAGGACACACTCCTGACCTTCCTTTTTCTTCTTTTTTTTTTTTTTAAATAGAGTCTCACTCAGTTGCCCAGGCTACAGTGCAGTGGTGCAATCATAGCTCACTGCAGTCTCAAATTCATAGGCTCAAGCAATCCTCCTGCCTCAGCCTTCTAAAGAGCTGGGACTGCAAGTGCTCACACCACCACCCCTGGCAATTTTTTTTTTTTTTTTGTAGAGATGGGGTCTTGCAGTGCTGCCCAGACTGCTCTCAAACTTCCTGGCCTCAAGCGATCCTCCTGCCTAAGCCTCCCAAAGCTCTGGGATTACAGGTGTGAGTCACTGGGCCTGGCCCTTCCTCCTTCCTGTGTGCTTGTTCCTGATACATTCTTTTCTGCAGTCCCTGGTTTAAAAGATCCAGGCTTGAATCAAGTGCCAAAATATGGCTGCCAATGCTGGGAGTCTGTGAGCCAGAACCCCAATCTGATGAGAGTGATTTGAGCTAAAGCTCGACCACAGTTCCACAGCACTATCTTGTCAGTTAGGCTGCTTGGATGTCACCCTTGCCATTATCCTTCATTTTTTCCAAAGCAGCATTTCCCCATAAGGAATGACACAGACAACACCAGGGAATTGAAGAGTCAGTTGCCACTTGTTTTTGCATATCTATTCATAGAAGAAAGAATGTCAGGACAGTGACAAATCTTGGGCTTTGTCATCAGAGAACGGGGGTGGATTCTGGCTCTGCCACCACTTATTAGCTGTGTGACTTTGTAAAATTTACCTAACCTCTCTGACCATCTGTAAAATAGGAATAATTAGGGAGGAGGGGCCTGTGCCGAGGAAGACTGCACCAGTGATACCACCATCATCCATCATATCCCAGGATCTGATTCTTGCCTTGGAAAGCCCAGAGATGCACAATTGTCAGTGCTCAGGTGATGAGACCTTCCAGACTGTCTCAAGCTGAGTAAAATGTACACCCGAGTGAGGCAAACACCAGAATCCTGCTTGATTTACTTTACAGTGAAAAATAGTTCTGTCACATGGAGCAGAATGCTTGCGTTAGCATGACTAGTCTGTTTGCTCCTGTCAACAACTCACTTGGGAGGTCAAACCTTCAATGGACAGTTGCTTTGATACATATAAAGCAGAGAAGGCAGACTTTGGATAATTTTGGGATAAGATCACTGGAGTAATTTAAAATTTGCTTTGAGGGCCTACTCTATGCCTGTTATAGGCTTGTGTCCCCCGCAAAAAGGTTCATGCTTTGAAGCCCTAACCCCATGTACCTGAGGATGTGACTGTATTTGGAGATGGGGCTTTTAAATAGGAAATTAAGTTAAAGTGGGGTTGTTAGGGTGGGCCCTGTCCAGTCTGACTGCTGTCCTTATAAAAAGAGATTTGGTCACAGAGACGCATAGAGGGAAGATGGTATAAAGACACAGAAGACGACCATCCACCAGCTAAGGAGAGAGGCCTCAGGAGAAACCAACTCTGACAATACCTTGATCTTGGACTTCAGCCTCCAGAGCTGTGAGGATATACATCTGTTGTTTAAGCCCCCAAGTCTGTGGTATTTTGCTGTGGCAGTCCTACTAAATCATACACAAGGCAGCATGGTATAGGAGAATCTCTCAAAAAAGGTCTTCCAATCAGCAGCAGTAGTCACACCTGGGGAGTGTTTCTAAAAACAAGGAGGGGGCCAGGTGCGGTGGCTCATACCTGTAATCCCGGCACTTTGGGAGGCTGAGGTGGGTGATTGCTTGAGGTCAGGAGTTCGAGACCAGCCTGGCCAACATGGTGAAACCCCCGTCTCTACTACAAATACAAAAAATTAGCTGGGTGTGGTGACAGGCACCTGTAATCTCAGCTACTCGGGAGGCAGAGGCAAGAGAATCGCTTGAACCCGGGAGGTGGAGGTTGCAGTGAGACGAGATCACGCCACTGCACTCCAGTCTGGGAGACAGAGAGACTCGGTCTTAAAAAAATAAAAAGGAAGGGTGGGCACCAAAAGTTTGACCAGTATCAAAGGGTCAGTCCCCAGCAGGGAAGGCCGGGTGTGAGTAAAGCTCAGGCGTCCCCGTGGGTTTGTCTCTGTGCCCAACCCCAGTGATTGACTATGCTGAATCCTCCAGGGAGCGTGGGAATGTCAAAGAGCTGTTCCACTTGAAATCTCTTCAGGACCATGGGATGAAGCAGGCCTCTCCCGGGGCCCTCCCGGAGCACACAGTGAGTGTGGAGAGAGGCATTGTCACCCTAGCTGGTTCCCAGCCTGGCTCTGGCACAGAGGAGTGCTTAGCTATTGTAGAAAGTGTGGCAGCCTTGGGAAATGGCAACGGTTCCAGCTGAAAACACAGGCTTTAAGTCACTTTGCTGAAAATCAATCTGCTGAAAGCTAATTTACTAAAAGCCCATTCACCAAATGACCTAGTTGTTGAATTATTTCGGAGTTTTTATGAGGCTTTTGTGTCATTGTGCCTGCCTCTGCCCTGCCTCTGCATAAATCAGATTATATATGAGTGGTGCTGATGTGCTGGGGGAGAGGGGAATGTTCTTAAACGTAGGCTACTGCAGTCTCTATTTTTGTAGACGTCTATCCTGCCTCAGCTCCTGAATCTGGCCAGTCTCTGCCTCTTACCTACTATTTTGACTCAAATGAGGATATTTTCCTTTAAAAGCAATTTAATCTCTTCTGTATTTTTGTAGGTATGTGCTTTGGCATTCTGTAAAGTTAGGATTGCTGTTGGCTGCAAGCCACAAAAAACCGGACTAACAAGTTAGAAGGTTTTTTTTTTCCTTGTAACTAGAAGTCTGAATGAAGCAGTGCAGAGCTAAAGCTTTCTCATACTTCTTGGTGTGCTGTCATTGACCTTGGCTTCAGCCCTCATGTGGAAAGGTGGCTGCTGCACCTCCACGCATCACATCTATATTCCAGGCAGGAATCAAGGGACAGGACAAAGGGCAAGCAAGAGCCCGACTACTCCTCATGTCAGAGAAACCAGAGCTTTTCAAAGCCCCAGCCAGCATACTTCTTACTGGCTGTCACTGGCCAACACTTGTCACCCCAGTCTGTGCTTCTGCCCACATACCTATTCCCACTGCTGTATCTGGAGGTGAAATGATGTTGGGTGAACTACCCAAGGCCTGGTTTAAGGTTTTATTTAAAAGCAATGTTTTACTCCCTGAGTGAGAGAATAGGACTTTTTAAGCAGCTGAAATCTATAGAACACATTGGGTCATAAGAATCTATGAAATGGGGTTATTACTGTCACTGTAATCTCATTTCTACCCATCAGTTGATGAGGTCTGAGGAAACTCAGTATACAGAGGTGAATAAGACATGATAAGCATGAATTCTAGAGCCAGATAAAATGTGTTCTGGATTACAGGAGAGATCAAACAAGGTGTACTAGGGTTTGGAAGAAAGAAAGGAAGCCCCTCCTGGTGTAGAGGGTTAACATGAGCAGAGTGTCATGTACCTCTAATGCTTATTTTTAAAATTTACATCACTGCAGATTTATTTCTATTTAGTGGTCACCTTTGCTACCTCTACATGCCTGGATTCTAATTCCTAAGCCTCTAGCTGAGCTTCCTGAATGCCAAAGGAAGAAAAAAGCCCCTTGAGTATTTCCTGACAGCCCCAGGTGGGCTCTTAGGAGCAGTAAGTGACTCAGAAAAACCATAAGAAAGATTCACCACAATCTGATTTTTGTTATTTTACTGAAAATCAGTTGGCTTACAGTTAGCAAGCAGTATTGTTAAATCATCATAAACATCACAAAGACTAGCACAGGCAGAAAATTGGATAGTTCTTTAGGGAGAAAATAGTCTATTTCCAGTTACAATGCAATAGCTATTGGGAACAAAGAGAGAAGATGGTTTTAAAACCAAATAGAACTTTCTTATAATTAGCTGTGGAGCCCTAATTTCTTGATCTGTACATTGGGAATAATTATAGCCACATGTAGAAAGCATTATTGTTATTCACCAACATCCGGTTCTCCTCTGCTCTGAGCACAGGGGTCACTGTAGTTCCCTGCTCACTTGAAGTTGGGCATGTCCATCTAACTTGTTCTGGCCAATGAAATGCCAAGTCTTCCAAGTAGAAGGATTTAATAGTGTTGTAGTCTTATCACACTATTTTCCCTGACCCAGGAATTGTGGAATTAGTGTTGATAGGGAGGGTCCATATGATCAAAACAGCCTAGAATCCCAGCCAACATGTAGAGTGTTCCTCAGACTCAGAGCCAAATCTCTGAGTAAGAAATAAACTGCTAAGAAAAGGAAAAACCTCTAAGATTCGAGGGGGGGATGTTTATTACTACAGTATGGCTTGTTACTACAGTATATCCTAGCCTATTCTGACTATAGACATCACAGAGATTAACATTATAGAAGATCTCCCATAGGAAATTATCTAGAAAAATAGTATACCTGCTGCAATAAAGATCTGACAATATTAGTATTATGTATTAATGAAGTACAGAAAAACACTTAGTAAGGATATTAACAAAAGGTGCTGGGAAAAAAAAATAGATAGTCAAAAGCAAAGGAATGAAGTTGGGCTCTTATCAAACACTCTATACAAAAATTAACTCAAAATCAAAGACCGAAACGTAACAGCTAAAACTATAAAACTCTTAGAAGAAAACTTAGGAGAAAAGCTTCATGACATTAGATTTGGTAATGATTTTTTGGATATGACACTGAAGGCCCAAGCAACAAAAGAAGAAATAGACAAATTGGAGTTCATGAAAATTTTAAATTGGTATATAAAATGACTATCAACAGAGTAAACAGGCAACCATGGAATGAGAGAAAATATTTGCAAGTCACCTGTCTGATAAGGGATTAATATCCAGAATATACAGGAAACTCCTAAACTCAACAGCAGCAACAATAAAAATCTGATTAAAAATAGACAAAAGACAAACAGGAATTTATCCGAAGAAGATATACAAATGGCCAATAAGTACATGAAAAGACACTCAATGTCACTAACCATTAGGGAGAGCAAATTCAAAACCACAAGATAGCACTTCACACCCACCACCTACTGAAAAAGTTGTATCAAAAAAAAACTCCAAAAATAACAAATATTGGTAAGGATTGGATAAATTGGAACACTTCTGGATTGGAGCACTGCTGGTTGGAATATAAAGTAGTGTAGCCACTATGGAAAACAGTATGATAGTTTCTCAAAAAGTTAAAAATCAAATTACCATATGGCTCAGCAAATACACTTCTGGAAATGTACCCAAAAGAATTGAAAGCAAGGTGATAATAGATGGGATGTTGTCCCCTCTAAATCTCATGTTGAAATGTAATCCCCAATTTTGGAGGTGGGGTCTGGTGGGAAGAGTTTGGGTCATAGGGGCGAATCCCTCATGACTTAGGGCTGTCTTCAAGATAGTGAGTTCTCCTGAGATCTGGTTGGTTGAAAGTGTGTGACATCGTCCCCATCATTCTCTCTTGCTCCTGTTCTTGCCATGTGAGATGCCTGCTCCTGCTTCACCTTCCGCCATGATTGTAAGCAGCTCAAGGCCTCACAGAAGCTAAGAACATGCTAGCGCCATACTTCAGGTATAGCCCACAAAACCATGAGCTAATTAAACCTCTTTACATTTTTTTTTTCTTGTTTCCAGTGGGGTTGGATTTTTTAAATTTTTTTTAGGTTCAGGGGTACATGTGCAGGTTTGTTATATAGGTAAATTGTGTGTCACAAGGGTTTGGTGTACAGATCATTTCATCACCCCAGTAATAAGCATAATACCCAATAGGTAGTTTTTTAAATTCTCTCCCTCCTCCCCACTCAAGTAGGCCCCAGTGTCTGTTATTCCCTTCTTAGCGTCCATGTGTATTCAATGTTTAGCTCCCACTTATAAATGAGAACATGCGGTATTTGGTTTTCTGTTCCTGTGCTAGTTCACTTATGATAATGGATTCCAGCTCCATCCATGTTGCTGCGAATGACGTGATCACATTTTTTTTATGGCTGCATAGTATTCCGTGGTGTATGTGTACCATATTTTCTTTATCCAGTCTACAATTGATGGGCATTAATGTTGATTCCATGTTTTTGCTATTGTGAATAGTGCTGCAGTGAACATACGCATACATGTGTCTTCATGATAGAATGATTTATATTCCTTTGAGTATATACCCAATTACGGGATTGCTAGGTCGTATGGTACTTCTGCTTTAAGTTCTTTGAGAAATCGTCACACTACTTTCCACAATGGCTGAACTAACTTACATTTTCACCAGCAGTGTATAAGCATCCCTTTTCTTTGCAACCATGCCAATGTCTGTCATTTTTTGCCTTTTTCATAATTGCCAGTCTGACTGGTGTGAGATAGTATCTCATTGTGGTTTTGATTTGCATTTCTATAACGGTTAATGATGTTGAGCATTATTTTTCATATGCTGGTTGGCCTTGTGTATGTCTTCTTTTGAAAAGTTTCTGTTCATGTCCTATGTCCACTTTTTAATGGGGTTTTCTCTTATAAATTTAAGCTCCTAATAGATTCTGAGTATTCGCCCTTTGTCAGATGCATGGTTTGCAAATATTTTCTCTGATTCCGTAGGTTGTCTCTTTACTCCGTTGATAGTTTCCTTTCAACAGAATAAAAGGAAACTAAGGTGCAGAAACTCCTTAGTTTGATTAGGTCCCATTTGTCAATTTTTGTTTTTGTTGCAATTGCTTTGGCATCTTTGTTATAAAATCTTTGCCAAGGCCTATGTCCAGAATGATATATCCTAGGTTATCTTGCAGGGTTTTTATAGTTGTAGGTTTTACACTTAAGTCTTTGATTTTTGTATATGTTGTAAGGAAGGAGTCCAACTTCAGTCTGCTGCATATGTCTAGCCAGTTTTCCCAGCACGATTCATTGAATAGAGAATCTTTTCCCTGTTGCATATTATTGTCAACTTTGTTGAGGATCAAATGGTTGTAGGTGTGTGGCTTTGTTTCTGGTCTCTATATTCTGCTCCATTGGTCCGTGTGTCTGTTTTTTGTACCAGTACCATGCTGTTTGGTTACTGTAGGCTTGTAGTATAGTTTGAAGTCAGGTAATGTGATGCCTCTAGCTATGTTCTTTTTGCTTAGGATTCCCTTGAATACAAGCTCTTTTTTGGTTCCATATGAATTTTAAGATTATTTTTCTAACTCTGTAAAGAATGTCACTGGTAGTTTGATAGGAATAGCATTGAATCTGTATATTGCTGTGGGCCATATGGCTATTCTTACAATATTGCTTCTTCCTGTCCATGAGCATGAAGTATTTTTCCATTTGTTTGTGTCATCCCTGATTTCTTTGAGCAGTATTTTATAATTCTTATTGCAGATATCTTTCACCCTCCCTGGTTAGCTGTATTCCAAGGTATTTTATTCTTTATGTGGCTATTGTGAATGAGATTGCATTCTTGATCTGGCTATCAGCTTGAATGTTGTTGGTATATAGACATGTTACTAATTTTTGTATGTTGACTTTGTATCCTAAAACTTAGCTGAACTTATTAAATCTAGGAGCTTTTGGGCAGAAACTATGGGGTATTTTAAGTAAGAATCATGTCATCTGCAAGCAGAGATAGTTTGACTTCCTCTGTTCCTATTTGGATGACTTTTATTTCTTCCTCTTGTCTGATTGCTCTGGCTAGGACTTCCGGTACTATGTTGAATAGGAGTTGTGAGAGTGGAAATCCTCGTCTTGTTCTAGTTCTCAAGGGGAATGCTTCCAACTTTTCCCCGGGGTATGATTTCAGCTGTGAATTTTTCATAAATGGCTCTTATTTTGAGGTATGTTCCTTCAATGCCTAGTTTGAATGTTTTTAGCATACAGGGATGTTGAATTTTATTTAAGCTTTTCCTGCATCTATTGATATGATCATGTGGTTTTTGTTTTTAGATCTGTTTATGTGATGAATTACATTTATTGATTTGCATGTATTGGACCAACCTTGCATTCCAGGGATAAAGCTTATTTGTATGTGGTGGGTTAGCTTTTTGATATGCTGCTGGATTCAGTTTGCTAGTATTTTGTTGAGGATTTTTGCATCTATGTTCATTGGGGTTATGGGCCTGAATTTTTCTTTTTTTGTTGCATTTCTGCCAGGTTTGGGTATCAAGATGATGCTGGCCTCATGAAATGTGTTAGGAAGGAGTCCCTTCTCAATTTTTTGGAATAGTTTTAGTAGAAATGGTACCAGGTCTTGTTTATATATCTGGTAAAATTTGTCTGTAAATCCTTCTGGTCCTGGGGTTTTTCTGGTTGGTAGGCTTTTTATTACTGATTCAATTTTGGAACTCATTGGTCTGTACAATAATTCAATTTCTTCCTGCTTCAATCTTGGGAGATTATATGTTTCTGGGAATTTATCCATTTTTTCTAGGTTTTCTAGTTTGTATGCATAGAGGTATTTGTAGTAGTCTCAGAGTTTTTTTGTATTTTTGTGGGGTTGGTTGCAAATGTCTCCTTTGTCATTTCTGATTATGTTTATTTAGATCTTTACTTTCTTTGTTAGTCTAGCTAGTGGTCTGTAAATCTTATTTATTCTTTCCAGAAACAAACTCCTGGATTTGTTGATCATTTGTATGGTTTTTCATGTCTCAGTTTTCTATAGTTCAGCTCTAATTTTGGTTACTTATTGTCTTCTCACAGTTTCAGGGTTGTTTTGCTCTTGTTTTTCTAGTTCCTTTAGGTGAAATGTTGGTTGTTAATTTGAGATCTTTCTAACTTTTTGATGTGGACATTTAACATTATAAACATCCTTCTTAACATTGCCTTAGCTATGTCCTAGAGATTCTGGTATGTTTTATCTTTGCTCTCACTAGTTTCAAAGAATTTCTTGATTTCTACCTTAATTTCATTGTTTAACCAAAAGTCGTTTGGGAGCAGATTGTTTACTTTCCATGAAATTGTATGGTTCTGTGTGATTTTCTTAGTATTGATTTCTATTTTTGTTGTGCTGTGGTCTGAGAGTGTTCGGTATGATTTTGGGTTTTTTTGAATTTTCTGAGATTGTTTTATGGCTGTTGTGTGGTCAATTTTAGAGTGTGTTCTATATGCAGAGTACAAGAATGTATATTCTGTTGGTTTTGGGAAAAGAGTTCTGTAGATGTCTGTTAGGCCCATTTGGTCAAATGTTGAGTTCAGGTCCTGAATATCTTTGTTTGATGCCTCAACAATCTGTCAAATACTCTCAGTGATGGGTTGAAGTCTCTCACTATTATTGTATGGTTATTTAGGTTTCTTCATACATCTCTAAGAATTTGCTTTATGAATATAGGGGCTCCTGTGTTGGGTGCATATATACTTAGCATAGTTAGGTGGTCTTGTTGAATTGAACCCTTCACCACTATGTAATGTCTTTGTCTTTTTTGATCATTGTTGGTTTAATCTGTTTGGTCTGAAATTAGAATAGCAACTCCTGCTTTTTTTTTTCCTGTTTTCTGTTTGCTTGGTGCATTTTTCTCCATCCCTTTACCTTGAGCCTATGGGTTGTGTTGCATGTGTTGTGAGTCTCTTATAGATAGCATAGAATTGGGTCCTGCTTCTTTATCCAACTCGCTACTCCATGCCTTTTAATTGGGGCATTTATTAATAGCTTGTTTATAGTCAAGGTTAATATTGATATGTACAGGTTTTATTCTGTCATCATGTTGTTAGCTGGTTATTATATCAACTTGCTTGTGTGGTTGCTTTATAGTGTCAATGGTCTATGTACTTAAGTGTGTTTTCTTGGTAGCCAGTAACAATCTTTGCTTTCCATATTTAGAACTCCCTTAAGGACCTCTTGTAAGACAAATCTGGTGGTAACAAATTCTCTTAGTATTTGCTTGTCTGAGAGTGATCTTATTTCTCCTTTTCTTATGAAGCTTAGTTTGGCCAGATATGAAATTTTTTGTTGGAATTTCTTTTCTGTAACAATGCTGCATATAGGCCCCTAATCTCATCTGGCTTATAGGATTTCTACTGAAAGGTCTGCTGTTAGCTCGATGGGATTTCCTCTGTAGGTGACTTGTCCCTTTTCTCTAGCTTCCTTTAATATTTTTTTCTTTCACTTCAACCTTGAATAATCTGATGTCCATGTATCTTGGGGATGGCCATATTGTATAGCATCTCACAGGGGTTCTCTGCATTTCCTGAATGTTGGCCTCTCTAGCAAGGTTAGGGACATTTTCATGGATGCTATCCTCAGATATGTTTTCCAAGTTGCTTGCTTTCTCACCCTCTTTTTCAGGGATACCAATGAATCATAGATTTGGTCTCTTTATGTAATCCCATATATCTAGTAGGATTTGTTTATTCTTTATTGGTTTTCCCTTAATTTTGTCTGACTGAGTTATTTTGGAGAATTCATCTTTGAGCTCTGAGATTCTTTCTTCAGCTTGGTCAAGTCTGCTGTTAATACTTGCAACTGTATGATAAAGTTCTTGAACTGAGTTTTTCAGCTCTAGTAATTCAAGTTGTTCTTTCTTAAAATGGCCATTTTGTCTTTTATCTCCTGTATTGTTTTATTGTATTCCTTAGATTCCTTGGATTGGTTTTTTACTTTCTCCTGAATGTCCATCTTCCTTCCTATCCATCTTCTTCAATTTCTGACATTTCAGCCATTTCAACCTGGTTAAGAACCATTGCTGGGGAACTACTGCTATTTGGAGGCAAGAAGACACCATGGCTTTTTGAGTTGCCAGAGTTCTTGCACTGGTTCTTTCTTATCTGCATGGGCTGATGCTTCTATCTTTGAAGTTGCTGTCCTTTGTATGGGTTTTTTTAATGTTCTTTGATGCCTTTGGGGGTTTGATTGTGGTATAAGGTGGGTTCAGTCAATTGGTTTTGAGTCTAGTCCACTGCTGAGTCTTGGAACCCCCTCTAATTAGTGTCACGTTTCTTTTTTGGGGGGTTCTGGTCCATGGGGCTCCCTCAAGTAGAGGCTGCAATTGGCAGACAGGCTGTATGCCTGCTGGGTCAGCCCTAATTGTCTGTCTGAGTGCTTCCCAGGGAAACACAGTGTTGCACCCACCTGCAGAGTTCAGACAGAAGTGGGACTGTGGGCTGCAAGCTGTAGTGAGTGTGGCCTGTCTGGCTGCAATAGGTGGGGATAGCTGGAGTTGCCTGTCTTGTCATTTAGGTATTTCTGGGATAACAGGAGGCTGTTCCTCTCAGGAAATTCAGTCAGAAGTAGGACTCCTGAGCTGGGAGCACTAGCAGGTGTGGTTCACCTGGCTATGAGAGGTAGAGGTAGGTGGAGTCACTGAACCCACTGTTTGGCTGCCTCCCAGAACAACAGGAGGCTGTATCTGCTGGCTACATTCAGACAGAAGCAATACCACTTGGTTGGAAGCTCTAGCAGCCCTTGCCCACCTGGCTACCAATGGCAGGGGTGGCCCATCCTGCCATCCAGGTGCTTCCCAGGACAACAGGAGGCTGCACCTGCCAGCTGAGTTCACACAGAAGTGGGACCACTGGGCTAGAAGTCCTAACAGCCATTGCCTGCCTGGCCACCAGGGGTAGGTGAGGCCACCCACTCTGCCATCCGGGTGCTTCCTAGAATGACAAGAGGCTGTGCCTGCAACTGAGTTCAAGTGGAAGTGAGATCACTGGGCTGGAATCTCTAGCAGGCGTTGCCCTCCTGGGCTACCAGTGGCAGGAGTGGGTAGGGTCACCCACTGGCTGAGTTCACACAGAAGTAGTCTGCTGGGCTGGAAGTTGGTGCTGAGCCTTGTCTGGTGAGAGTGGGCAGAGCAATCCTACTGCTCCCAGGCACTGTGACTGCAGCCCCTACTGGGGCCATGACACCAGTGCTGGTCTGCTGCAGACGTCAAGACTTGTAGAGGTCCCCTTAGACTCAAAAGTTTCTCCTGCAAAACATCCAAGTGGCTCTCTGTCTCAGTTTAGAAGTGTGGTTGGAGAGGTTGTGTTAGGGTGCCAGGGGGATTCTCCTATTCCCAGTTTTTCATAGATCCCTGTGAAGAATGTGAATCCCTCAGGAGGCTCTCACTCACTCACCCTTTCCCATGATGGAGAGGTTCTTCCAGTTCTGCAATGAGCCCAGACAGGCTGGTGCCCAGCTTCCCTCCTCTCTGCTCTCTGTGTTCCCTGGCTGCTTTGATGGATCCTGATGTGTTTGTCAGATGATCAGCCTGCAGAGTCAGCATTGACTAGCCCTTTCGTTTCCTCTCCATGACAGCAGCACACATGAGCTGCTTCTAGTCTGCCATCTTGACCCAACTCCCCTAAACTTCTTTTCTTTATAAGTTACCCAGTCTCGGGAATTTCTTCATTGTAATGCAAGAACAGACTATCACACAGTGTCTGGAGGAGATATTTGTATACCTATGTTTATAGCCACATTAATTACAATGGCAAAAAGGTGAAAGCAATTCAAGTGCCCATGAATGGATAAACAAAATGTGGTGTTTTTATTTTATTCAGCTTTTAAAAGGAGAGAAATTCTGACACATGCTACAACATAGATGAACCTTTGAAGACAGTATACTAAGTGAAATACACCAATCACAAAAGAACAAATACTGTATTAGTCGAATTCATACAGAAAGTAGAATGGTGATTTCCAGGGGCTAGGGGGAGGGAGAAATGGGGGGTTATGGGTACAAAGTTTCAGTCTTACAATATGAAAAAAGTTCCAGAGATAGATGGCAATGATGGTTGCCTGATAATGTGAATGTACTTAATGTCACAGAACTGTACATGGCCAAGTACAGTGGCTCACATCTGTAATCCCAGCACTTAGGGACGCAGAGTCAGGAGGATAGCCTGAGCCCAGGAATTCAAGACCTGCCCAGGCAATATAGCGAGACCCCATTCTCCATGAAAAGAAAAGGAAAAAACAAAACAAAACTGTACTTGTAAAAGTAGTTAAATTGGTAAATTTTGTGTTATGTATATTATACCAAAATTAAAAGTAAATTTTAAAAAGTTAAAGGTGAAATTTAAGAGAAGCTCAGGAAATAAAAGAGAACTTTTACTTGAAGATTCTAACTGCTTGGCTTGGTCCATCAATGCAGAGGTGCCTCCTGACATGAAATTCTCCATGGGCTTTAGCTCTAACTTGAAGAGAAATGTCATCACAAAGGGGCCTAGTGTTACCTGGTCCTTTATTGAGCTGAGGTGAAGCAACTCAGACAAGGTACTGGAAGAAAGTGACTCCATTTCTGTAAGGTCAAGGAAAGCTTCTTTGTGTCAGCTGGGATTTGATTCAGCTGTGTATAACACCAACACCCCCAAATAACTTTGGCTTTAGAAAGATAGGGGTTTATTTGGCTTTTGCATAGAAAAATCCAGAGACAGACCAACTAGAAATGGCTTGGCGACTTTACAATCGATGTGACCCCAGCTATCACACCACAATTCAGATGGGATGAAGGAGGAAGAAGAAATGCATGGAGAGCCTGCCACTGAGTGAACTCCCTTTAATGAGATTTCCTAAAAGCCCTCCCCAGTGATCTCTGCTTACATAACCTTGGCTACCCCTAATAGCAAGAGATTGGAAATACGTGCCTTTAGTTTAGCACATTCTCCCCCAACTACAGCTGGGATTCTACTTCCAAGAAGGATGGAGAAATGGATGTTTATTTTGCAGCTAGCAGTGTCTGGGGTGATCGATACCTCCTTCTTGGTCTGTTTCTTCACACAACTAATTTCCAAGTTGTATGCCCGGCTGTGGGGAGCTCAGTTAAATGTCTGTACTCCGGAGTTTGTTTTCTGCACTGAGAATGGGGAGATTCTCACTAGAAGATGTGTCAAATGTGGAAAAAAAAGTATTTAAAGGTCTAGGGTAGCATGAATGAGAGATGCCCATTATATTCTCTAACCATCAAATGATGTGGTTCAAGTAAAAAGGGAGGCTCAAAACATGATAGTGTTGTGTAAAACATTTGAGATGTTTCAGGGGTGCTAGATCAACCCCTAAACTCATGAATGAACCTCAAAAAATCACTGAGGAATTTTCTGCCTGGAGGCAACCCTACCCACCTTAAATAAACCATCAGGCAGCCTCTTAGGAAGGAAAGCGCAAAGGAGTAGAAAGGAGGCCTGGGCTTGGGTCTTAGGTCTGTTCCAAATGAACGGGTGATCTGGAGGTTCCTGTAGCTGTTTCCTCTCTACAAAATGGGATTCTTGGGAGAATTCCTGAGGAACTGTATGTATTACTTTGTAATCTATAAGAGCACTGAAGGAATATTAGTTTGTTGCTTAGATAGTAAGCGATTATTAATTTAAATTCCTATGATATAGAAGACAATACACTAGACACTTTATATAATAATGTTCCTCTACTTCTGTCCCCAGTCATCACATGCCCAACCCACACAATCCTGTAAGATGGGTGTTATCTTCATTTTATGCATCAGGAACATGAGATTCAGAGCCATTGAATAACTCCCTCCAGGTCATGCAGCTAGTAAGTGGCTACGCCTAAGTTTCAGTGGCATTCTCTCCATTTCCAAAGCCCATTTTCTTTGTGCTAGTACAATGATGCAGAAACCACACAATGCTTCAGAAAAATGTACTTTTCTCAAATTGCCCTTTGTAAACTAGGGAGAACAAAGAACGTAAAGAAACTACTGCTGCGTTAAAGAAAAGCTGAACTTAAGAGTTTATGTGGCTCTCCTGAGGCTGGGATGTGGGAAGAAGTGGCAGAGTCCTGTCACATCTGCTCAGAAAGCACCTCATCCACTGTGCTTTCCAGGATTTAATCAGTCAGGGAAGGACAGGAGGGATCCTGTCCTTTTGTTTCTGAGATAATTGTCACTTGAGAGGTTGAACAGCAAATGAAAACATCTTGTTCTGAGAGAAAAGTGTCTGTGGAGCCTTCCCTTTCACATACCATAATCATCCCACCAACTTTCAAAGCTCTGCTGAATTGACTTCCAAACTGAGCTGAACTACCATGCCTGGGAGATATTCAATGTGGTAGTCGAATAGTATCTCCCTCTGCCAAAAAAAAAAAAAAAAAAAGCCCATGTCCTAATCCTAAAACCTGTGAATGGTCCTTTATATGACAAAGTGTCTCCTTTGCAAATGTGATTAAGGACCTTGTAATGGGGGAAATTATCCTGGATTATAGAGTGGGGGGCAATATTATCACATGGGCCTTAAAAGAAATAACAACTTAAGCCAGACATGGTGGCTCACGCCTGTAATCCCAGCACTTGGGAGGCCAAGACGGGCAGATCACTTGAGGTCAGCAGTTCAAGACCAGCCTGGCCAATATGGTGACACAACATCTCTACCAAAAATACAAAAATTAGCCGGGCATGGTGGCTGTTGCCTGTAATTCCAGCTACCCAGGAGGCTGAGACAGAATTGCTTGAGCCTGGGATGTGGAGGTTGCAGTGAGCCAAGATCACACCACTGCACTCCAGTGTGATCTGCACTGGGCAACAGAGTGAGACTCTGTCTCAAAATAAATAAATAAAACAAAATAATTTAAAATATTAGACGCATTAAAAAAAAAAGCAAGAACTTTTTCAGGTGTAGTCAGAGTGAGATGTGACTACAGAAGAAAGGCACAGAGAGATGCTGGAATGTTGCTGGCTTTGAAAATGGAGAAAGGGGGCCCACAGCCAAGGAATGTAGGCCGTCTCTAGAAGCTGAAAAAGGCCAGGAAGCAGCCTCTCCCCTAAAGCCTCCAGAGGGAAGGCAGCCCTGCCAGCATCATGAGTTTAGCTCAGTGAGACCCATGGTGGACTTCTGACCCACAGAACTGTAAGACAGTAAATCTGTATTGCTTTAGTCGACTGAGTTTGTTGTAATCCGTTACAGAAAGCAATAGAAAACTAATGCATTCAGGATAATTACTGGTTGAAAAGTTTCTTAGTCTGTGTAGCAGAACATTTCTAAAAGGTCTGATCCTTTTTTCTCACTGTCCATTTCCAATTAAGCCCCATACCCTGTTGATTCTGCCTGTAGAAGTGATACCTGTGACCTAAGCTACTACCTATGAGGACTGGCTTTGTGCCAGGCTCTTGCTATACGCTTTCCATACATTTTCTTCAATCTTTACACCAACGTTTGCCAAGCAGGTAATACCTTCTTTTTATCAAATGAGGAAATTGAGACTCTGGGAGGCTAAGTGACCCGCCCAGGTAGAAATGGTGGAGCCAGCATCCAAACTCCCTTGTCCTCTCTGGCAGGCACCTCTGGGAGGAACGTCATCAAGATTCTGGAATCTGGCTTTTCCTTTCCATCCTCGCAGCCATGGTCCTGGCATAGGTTCTTATATCCTGCTGAAGTGGCATCGACGTCGTTTGTCTGGGGTAATACCCGAGGTTCATTGCCTCATACCAAGGAAATTAAGAATGCAGACACACAAGGAGTGAGTTTAAGAGCAGAAGTTTAATAGGCAAAAGAGAAAATCTCCTTTGTGCAGAGGGAAGAGGTTTGGAATGGATCTTCCGGTTCCCAGTGCGATGAGGTTGGTTTTATAGATGAGCTTGAGGCAGTGTCTGATTTACATAGGGCACAGAGGATTGGTTGGACCAGATGTTCCATTTACATAGTGCACAAAGAAGCTGACCGCTCCACCCTAATCTCTTATTATGCAGATGGGTTCTCTACCTGGCTGGCGCCATGTTACCTGCTTGTTTACTGCACACATGATGACAAAGAAAAGGTGGGAGCCTCCATGTTGAACATACCTGGCTTCCAGGTAGTCCTTTTCTATTGGCATAGCTGCCGGCATTTACCTATGTAAGCTTCCAGCTTGCTTATCTATGTTTGCAGCTTGATTCTTCAGGCTGCTTTCTGTTAGAAAATTATTTTGGGGGCTGCTTTTTATTAAAAGCGACTTCCACTGAGAACTCTCTTACGCTCACTATCTGCCTAAATAATTTCTTTTTGGCTCCTTTATCACTGCCAGGGTTATGTCTTGTGATTCCTAGGATGTCTCTCTCCCACCTCAATTGTCCCTGACAATTTGTTTTGCACAGAAGGCTGAACAACTTGTCGAATTCATAGACCTGTTCTTGCCACTTCTCTGCTTAAACCCTCCCAGCGTTCACCACTTTATGTTGCATAAATCCAACCTTCTTAGCATGGCATTCAAAGCCCTTCACAATCCAGCTCTGAGTTCAATCCACCCCTTCAAACTCTCCATGCTACAGACCCATCAACGTGTTAGTCTTGCACCAGAATATGCCATGGACTTTTCCTCACCATTTATATGAACCTCCTCATATGACTAGGAAACTGTGGATCAGAGATGAGAAGGTAGCCACCTTAGGTCACATAGTTTGTATGAAACAGAGTCAACACTAGATCCAAGTTCCCCATTAGACCACACTGGAGCCTTAAAGATAGAATCTCTGATCCCTCCGCTTCCCTCATCTACTGCCATTACTGAGTGAACATAGCCACTCTCTTGTCTGAAGGGCTACTAATCTGTTCTCCATATGGAATGGAAATCTAAGTTTACCTCTCCATTGCTTAAAATTCTTCAATAGCTATCCATTGCCCTTAAAATAAAGACCCAAACCCTTAAGGATATGGCCCCTGCGTGACTTTCCAGCTCCATCTCAGGACCCTCTGACTCTCACTATGATGCCGTCATTCAGACTTCTCTATGTGCCTTGCACCCTCTCACCACGGGGCCTTTGCACATGCCATCTTCTGTCTGGGAGCTCTTCCTTCTCTCCATCTCTTCTTCTGTCATCTCCGTTAAGCCATCCCTTCCCCAGGATGCCTCTCTGATGCCAGACTGGGTACAGGCCCCCTGGAAGGTGTTCTTTCTCTGCTTCCAGTATTTTGTTTCTGTTTAGTCCATCAGTCTGTAATGATCTATGTGTGTGATTGTTTTATGTCTTCTCTCCATCAAGCTCTGTGTTCCATGAGTTTGAGCAAGGACTTTAACTGTTCACTTTTGTATCCCCAGTGCCGATTACAGCACCTGGAATGGATGGAACTCAATAATTATCTGTTAAATGAAAAAGCACCAAATGGCCCCAGCTGTTAAGTAGATCTTGTAATTTCCATGTATGTGTCTTATAAAGGAGAGAGCAAGAGAGGTACCAAATGTTTCAACCTACAGAACTGGATATCCCATCCTGTGGGTTGTTTGTTGTTTTTGTTGTTGTTGTTGTTATTGCTGGTATTAATTTTGTTTTGCTTTGTTTGGGGGAAAAAGATTCAAATGTTGTAAAATACATAAATAAAACCTTTCTGAAACAGATTTAAACTGTAAGAAAACTCTAAGCTGTCAAATGAATAAATTTAAATTAATCTTATTTAAGAACACAAGTAGGAACTCATGACAACTTCTCGGGAAATGGGTTTAAAAAAAAAAACACTAATATCTTTAGCACCAGGGCTGCACAATTAGGCACAGAACATTATTTTATTTAATTTTTACATGCAGGATAGGCATGTAATATACTATGTATAGAATACCAGACATAGCTGATTCCAAAATTATCATTGCTTTCCACTTCTTCTCACACATTTCTTAAGATGCCATCTGATCCAAAAGTGTTTCAAATACTGCTCCAGGCTTTTAGCATTTGGATGTCTTTTGACATCAAAGGAGAGTTAATGAGCTCTGTTTGACTAAGAAGGATTTTCAACTTTAGCTTTTTATTATGAACTTGAAAAATGCACATTTTGTCAAGAGTTTACCTGTCATCTTCCTGTCCACAATCCAGCAGAAAGTATAATAAATACCTTACTTTCAAATTTATCCTAAAATAATTCTCTTCTCCTTGTCAACATCACCAGAGGTGTATTCATACTTTTTCCTAAACCTCATCCGTGAAATACATTCCTTATCTGGTACCTTTCTTGGATGACCCATAATTTGAAGATAAAATATCTTGGGGAGCTACTGGAGTGAAAGATCCATGGAGGTAGGCTGACATGTTTGTCTTATCTCTGCCGTATCCCCACTGCCCAGAACATAGGAGACACTCGATGAATATTTTTAAATGGACACATAAGTTTATTAAACTTTTACATGAAAAATAATACCTTTTTATTTTAGAAGTTTTAGGAGAAACAGAAAGACAAGAAGTAAAAAAGATGATACTACTTAAAGATAATCGTTAACATTTTGGTATATTCTTCCTGACATTTTTCGCTATGCGTGTATATATATTTTCTTTTTACAATATGCTATACCTACAGTTTTCTAACCTGTATATTTTCTTACTTACAATGTATTCAATGTATATATTATATGCCATCAAATGTTTTTAACTACATCATTAATTATGGCTGTGTAATATTGCACAGTAAGAATGAATGACAGTTTCTGTAACCAATCCCACTAGAAAACATTGCCAATGCAGTAAATGTTCCATTTCAGCATTTGGGAAAAACAGGGCATTATGGTTACTAGTTGAGTGAGCATCTAGGGCCAGAATTCAGTGAAAAAGACTTCTTAAGTCCAGAATCACACAGAACATTTTTTAGCCTTTCTTGGATGGACTAGGAACATTCTAAAAATGACTTTCTGTGTAGTAGTAAATGTTACCCTTTAGAAGAGTTACATCTGTGCTAGGCTATCAAACAAAACAGTAGGCCTGGTGTTTCTGGTGTCAAGAGGGGAACTACAACCTAGCCTCTTAATACCAACACATGGCTCTTGCTGATAGAAAAAAGAGATGGTTGCCATATTGATTTGCATATGAGGCTGAAAATTGTACATGGGAATTGAGACGAAATATTCCAATTCGTCTGTTTGCTTATTTTATCTGAGAAAACCTGCCCCTCATTTTAAGTCCCTGCCTTAGGTAGGGTGGCAGATTTAGATTGTGTGATGAAGAGCAGAGGTTTACTTTCAAGAAAAACTGACCCCGTTTGACAAGTGCGTAGGATATCATTTCTAAGACTGGTTTTGAAATTAGTTTGTGCTTAAGCAGCTGGGTGTGGTGGCTCCTGCCTGTAATCCTAGCACTTTGAGAGGCCGAGGTGGACAGACCACTTGAGGCCAGGAGTTCAAGACTAGCCTGGCCAACCTGGTGAAACCCCATCTCTACTAAAAATACAAAAAAATATATTAGCCAGGTGTGGTGGCGAGTGCCTGTAATCCCAGCTACTCGGGAGGCTGAGGCATGAGAATTGCTTGAACCCAGGAGGCGGAGATTGCAGTGAGCCGAGATTGTGCCACTATACTCCAGCCTGGGTGAAGAGTAAGACACTGTCTGAAATAAAATAAAAATTTGTGCTTAAGATTCATGATAAAACCTGGTACATATGGTGGTCAGGCTAAGTGCTGAATAGTGCCAGGGATGGCCATTTGTATCATGGTCTATGGGAACACCATACTTGGTGGAGCTTGTATATCTGACAAAAGAAAGAGAATTCCTACTGGTGGCATGGAGCTGCCCCTGACCCATCCACACAATTATATTTCATATATCTTACAACACATTATAAAGTTCCCATCTGGAAATTGCCACAGAGTGTAAATCAAAATAGGTTTCTCCAGAACCAACTACTACTATTGAACATGTTCTGCAAGTGGTGACTTTAATAGAAAATCCACAACATCTCATCTCTAGATGGAAATTTCATCAATAAGGTATTTTAGATGATTTATGTGACATTGTCTGCAAGCCTGTTTCACAGCCTAAGTGAATGTGTTCTGTAAACTATAAGGATTACACAAGGTTATGATATATGGGACAGGTTCAATATCTAGTAATTTGCTATAATATTTTCAGTTTGTTTGCTCTAAAATTTTATCTTTATTTTTATATTTTTCCAATATAGAGTCTTGCTGTGTCACCAAGGCTGGAGTGCAGTGGCACAATCTCGGCTCACTGCAACCTCTGCCTCCCAAGTGGCTGGGATTACAGGTGCGTGCCACCATGCCCGATAATTTTTGTATTTTTAGTATAGAAGCTGTTTCACTATGTTGGCCAGGCTGGTCTTGAACTCCTGGCCTCAAGTGATCCACCTGCCTCAGCCTCCCAAAGTGCTGGGATTATAGGCGTGAGCCACCACAACTGGCCTAAAAATTTATTTAAGATAAAATACTTCTAATAAAATCTCTGACCCAGAACTAAACTTCTCAGAATATAACCAATTACATAAAGAAAACATTGATCTAAGTCAATTTGAGGTCATTGTTGATTACCATGAGGTGAAAGTGCCTTATTTCATGCTGCCCAAGGGATAAAACATGCCTTACAAGTTTGAAACTTGGAGGCAGGGGTTGGAGCAGGGAGGAAATGTTTCTTTTCCATCTCTTCCAAGAAGGGTTGATCTGTCCCCTTAGCACTCAGCACAGTGCCATGCATGGGACATGTTCTTAGATGCTCCCAGATAAGGAAGAGAGGATTAGTATATGGCGAGGATCTGGGTCCTCCATGATCCTCTATGAGCCCACAACGATCCTTCGGCTGATGGCTCCTGGCAAGGTGTAGATGAAAAGGACGAGGAAGATGATGAGGATGATGAGAATGAAAGCAATGATGATGTACTTTTTGTAATTCTTCCAGATGAGGTAGTACAGGCACTTAAAGGGGCTCATGAACCACGAAAAGGAGGTGTCTGGGCGGCTGAGGGGGAAGGAAGAGAAAATCAAAAAGGGGGCATCCTGTCAACACTCAGAATGCTTAAGACCCCAGGAAGTGTTTCCGACTCCCACTTTCTGAGGACCCATAGGGAGAGCCCTGAAAATGGGAGAAGAGCATGTTGCCTGAAGCAGGAGCAGCCTGACATTTATATGATGAGGATTCCTGTATCATGGTTAAAGGTTGGTGTGGAGCAGAGAGCGAGAGTCCAGTTAGAACCCAGCCCAAGGCCCCACCACCCTCCATCTGTCCAACCTGCCAGCTCAAATCCCACCTTTTCTATGAAGTCTTTCCTGACAGCCTCAGGCCCCAATGATTCCCTTCACTTCAAGTTCCTAACTCATTCATCGCTTGACTCACCCCCTTTTGAAACTACGGAGTCTTCTACGCTCTGACAACTATTTTATGAATGTGTTATTTTCCCCAAATAGATCGAAAGCTCCTGGAAGGCATACTTTATGTCTTATATGTCTTATATTTAGCTTTTTCTTCGAAAAGCTACACAGGTTGGAAAGCACCAATTGACTGCCTCCTGGCTTCCCAGTTCTCCCACAGGGCTGCTCTAAAGAAATGCCATTATCAGACACCAGCAAGGACTGCAAAGGCCCCTTCCCATTTCTGATGTTCCCACTAGCAACTCCACTCACTTGGGCTTGGCCAGGGGCTCTGGCTCCTTTCGGGCTTTTCCAACAGGATTTTTCTCAGCTTCTTCTGCTGTAACTAGGTGGAACTCAGCTTCAACCTTGCCCTGCAAAAAGATGCAAAACCTTTTGTTTCCAGTCACAAAGACCCACTGAGCCAATGGCAACCTTCTAGAAGTGTTACCAAGTTGGAGAATTCCAGAAAGTATTTTGATTATCCCGCTGCTTTATTTTGATAAATGTTGTTGCTTTTTTTGGTCCTGGGAGAAGCCATTTTTATGATGAACAGTAAAAGCCTAGGAATGATGTTATTTCAAGATTTGTGGAAGGAAAGGGTCCCATGTGTCCACACAGACACACAAGCTCCGTCACATGTACTACTCTTCTTGTAAACACTTGACATCTGAAAAAATATTACAGTAATTAGAAAGGGGACTGATTACTTGGGTGGCAGACCCTTTTGAATCCGATACAGTCTGTCTTCTCTGTCAGTTCTCAAGAGGAAACTGGTGACAGTGGCCCCACATTTGCTGAATGGCTTTTTTTCTGTCACTCTTCATTCTTTTGGTTGTCCCCACTAGTTATTGTAGGGTTATCCTTTTATTATAGCACTCCCTCCCTCTTCCTGTTCCCTCAATAAGAGATGGCCTATTTTATTTGAAAATTGTGAGTAATGTGTTTCTTTAGAGCACTATGCCATAGTTTCTGTCAGGGATGTATGTCTTGATTTATCAAAGGGTGAGATAGGACCCCCGCAAAAGTTAAGAGCCATTTTCTCTTGTTCACGCCTTCATTCGGCACTTTTGGGGATCCTTTGTATGCCACACACTGTTCTAGGCACTAGAGCCTTAACAATGATTGATTAAGAAAAACAGAATTTCTGATCTCCTGGAGCTCCTATTCTTGGTGACAGAGACGCTCATTTCTCCTGCCTCTTGGTTTTATGCATTGAAATTCAAGGTGATAGGAGGGAGGCAGAGCTGGTAGGAGTGAAGCATTTTATTACACACGATTGCTGATAAAGCTTCTTCCTCTGAATCACACATGGACTGGGCATTACTTGACTTCGGAGGTATGATTGATTTCTTACCCCAATACAAAAATCTGAGATTCTGCTGAGGCAGTGGTCTTGTGTTAACTTACCCATTCACCCTAAAAAGATCAGGACTCATTCACAAGTAGGTTTGGTTGCTGGCAGCCATTATAATATAATCATGGGAGATATAAGAAATATATAGAATACATGGGGTAAGGTTGAGGGATAGAGAGGGAGTGGCAGGGCTGTCTGAATTAGTAAAGAAGTGCAGTGGACTTTTATTACAGGTAAAATCATGAGTTAAAGTCTAGATGGTCTCATTCATCCTTTGAACTGGAACTCTGGCCCAACTCAGAGTAGCATTAAATGTCCTATGACCTAGAAATGTTTCATGAAAACATGTATATATGTAGTCTTTCATTCCCATTGAGAAATCTTAGCCCCATAGGCAATGACTTGCACATATAGGCATTCAGAAAATATTTGAAAACTGTGGGAAAAAATATAAAGCTTCTATTGATTTTAATTCTTCCTTTACACATCCATCAATAGTGGAGTGATAATAATATATCTAACTGTAATTGCAATGCTTTACGGATCACTCACTTTGTCCCAGGTTTGTTTATTCTATTAGTCTATCAATCATAGCAATAAGCAAGGTAGGTCTCCCTTATGTAGATGAAGAAATGAAATCACAGAGATCAAGTAACTTTTCCAAGGTCACACAGGCAACAAGCCAACCAACTGGAATTTGAACCCAGGTCTGTATGATACCAAAGCTCATACTCTTTCCATTATAGCAGGCTGCCTCCCAACTTATTCATCTAATTGCCAGAAAATTGGACTAGAAGGTTTTTAAGAGCCTGCCTAGCTCTAACATGAGATGATTCCATAATTGTCTTCATAATCACCATCCAATGGTATTCGTCTTCTTGAGTCTCAGTTTTCTCATCTGTCAAATGGCCAGATGTTTTCTAGGGCTATCTGGCTCTAACTTCTGGCATTGATGAAAGGCAGAGTTAAGGACTTGATGGCTGGGAGAGACTCAAGAAATAAGTCCAAAACTCATGGAAAAATGGTCTCCAATGTACAAAACAGTCTTATTTCCAGAGATCATTCACAGGTAACTTAAGCTCTGCTGAGCAGTATGTTATACACTAAGAACTTCATCCAGTTCTTCTAATTTGAAGTAGAGTCAGCTTAAGAGGAGCTAACCGATTGCTAGGATCCAGAATGCTTGGAAGAGAGAATAGAAATCAACAGAGAATAAGTTAGGGCCACAGTAAGAGGATTGCAGCTGCCCCTTTGTTCTCTACTCTTAATAAACTCAGCTCTGGCACTTTATAACTTGCATGGTGTTTCATGCATGCCCTTTTTGGCTATAGCACTTTATAACTTGCATGGTGTTTCATGCACGCCCTTTTTGGCTATGGCACTTTATAACTTGCATGGTGTTTCATGCATGCCCTTTTTGGCTATGGCACTTTATAACTTGCATGGTGTTTCATGCATGCCCTTTTTGGCTATCGCACTTTATAACTTGCATGGTGTTTCATGCATACCCTTTTTGGCTATCGCACTTTATAACTTGCATGGTGTTTCATGCATGCCCTTTTTGGCTATGGCACTTTATAACTTGCATGGTGTTTCATGCATGCCCTTTTTGGCTAGCTGACAAAGTAGATGGCGTTTTTATTACCATTTTACAGCCAAGGAAACCAAGGCTTGGTGATATTTGCTAACTGATGTTACAAAACCAGGATTTGCACCAAGGTCCTTTGATGCCAAACTCCATTCCTCTGCTACTTTACATGTCTAAGTGACAACTTGTTCTGGAAGAAAAAAAGTAGGCTACTTATTTAATAATGAATAAATGTGCTGTTTCTGAAATATTCAAGAGGAACCCTGTAATTGCTGTCATTGCTCTGGCATTAGTATATGCTTTTGATCTCTATCTGTGGGTTGGCTTTGGATAGCTTAATATTATAGCATAGCATGGCATGGCATAGCATAGCACAACACATATAGCAAATAGTCAAGTGAATAGGACTTGTGAATAGACAGATCTGCATTTGAAGCCAGGCTCTACAATTTACTAGCTGTGTGATCTTGGGTAAGTCACCTGCTCTCTTTAAGTCTCACTGTACTGAGGCTATTAACAGCATGTACCCTATACGGTTGCTTTGAAAAATAAATGAAATAACACATATGCAGTGCTTAGCCTAGGGCCTGTTAAAGGAAAGCCTTTAACTATGGTAGTTGTTAACTTCAACACTGTTTCATCAATAGAAACATGCAGTTTAACAGAAAACATCTTCTGCCCATAGAGAAAGTACCAGAAAAGTCCCACAGGCCCAGATTCCTATAGGAAAATCAATGCAAAGAAAAAGGAGGCAGAGAATATTAAATTACTTCTGTCCTAGAGATAGGTGTCATTTGTTATCATCATGAAGAGCCTTGCGCCAGCTCCACCACCCTGCTAGAACGGTCGCAATGCATCTATCGGGCATTGGGAAGGCTGCAGGGGAAAGGTGTTTACTGACAGCTTCGATAAATGCCGCTGCTCTGGGTATCGTTCTTCACAGAGGTTTCCTGTCCTGTTTCAACCATCAGCATTCAGCTCAGCACCAAGGAGAGGTCATAAGCTAATAATATCCTCTAAATGTAATTTAAAATCAGAGCTAATAAAAATAGACAGTTCAAGAGACTATCTAGTAGCCTAATGATATCCGTGGATGGGAGACAATAAAAAAAGCTCCTTGAGAAGACTGGATTTGTCATACCACATATATAATGTGCCAAACTGCACCATGCCTACAGAAGGGATGCCTTCAGAGGCTGAGAAGTGATTGCATTTGGAATGGACATGCCTTCAGCAATGATTATTCCTTATTAAAACACACCCCTGACTGGAATTACATGAGGCATTCTCATATGCTAATGGAGGAAAGTATGCTGACAAAATCTTTTAGGAAAAGGAATATATATATATATATATATATATATATATATATATATACGCACACACACACTGCATATATATGTATACATGTATTTAAGTGTATATATAGTTACATCCACATACATGCATGTACATACATATATAAGATCATGTATGACCACAAAAATACACATGTAGTTATATACAAATATATACATGCATACAACTACATGTGTGTATTGTATGTCATATATAATCTTATATGCTGAATGTAGGAATTCCATTTCTGGATAGCTAAGTTAAGGAAATAATTCAAAACTCAGAAAAAGTCTTATGTACAAAGCATAGTCATTTTTCTTTTGGATGTTCAAATTGTCCTATTTGCCCCACTGAGATATCCCAGACTCATTTTGGATTTTATCTGCCCTAGACCTGGAGTCAGCCATTTCCCCAAAAATCCCTGATTTTTGTTTCTTTGGTTGGTTGGTTTTTAGTAGGAGCTGATGTATAGAAACCAGGATCTACGTGCTAGGAGTCTTCTTTGCTACTGGGTGATTTTACTTCTAGATTCTTCAGTGGATGGAGCTTACAACATATTTGTTAAAAATCCATGAATCTATAGTGATAACAATAACAACAAAAAAAGCAAGGGAAAAATCATTAGAGATGACTCTTATACCAACTCTGAATTCTAAAATTTGGTTATTAAGTGATATAATTATGTATTTGTCCTATCTTTTTGGGGGGTGGGGGAGGAGGGTGACTGATTTATTTCCAACTGATGAGGGAAAGCTCTTTTTAACAGATAAATGCCAACCAATAAATGGAGAAAAAATGATAGTAGATAGGTAAATAGATCGATCAATAGCTTAGACAGACAGATGTAAGGAAGGGTTAGAAAAATTTTTATAAAACCAATGAAATAATTAAGATTGCCAGTAGTTATTAAAGCCTTTGGGTAGAGCAGAACAGGAATTCCCCACACCACCACGTTACCCTTTGCTAACGGCAGAGGGGAAAATGTGCCTTTACAGTGAAGAAATCTTGTATTTACCAACATAGTCAAGTGAGCAAACACAGCATCACTAATAGTGAGCCATCTGATAGCATGTGCCTCCTGGCATGATCCGCTATGGAGTAAACAGTATCACATATTAAACAACTTGATAAATGCTGTTGTATCTAACTTACACTTCACGGGAAATACAGAGGATAGAGAATAAGATAAGCAATATGATGAGAAAACAACCAGATAAAGCAAGCCTAGTCTCATCAAATAGTCAACATGAGGGGAAAATGTCAGAAGATTGTTTTAACATAGACCAAAGAGATATAATAATGCAAAGCAGTACATAAACCATGATTGAGTCTTGTTTTGAAAAGGAAACAGCTATATAAGACATTTTGGGGGCAATAGGGCATTCTTTTTCTAGATGGAGACATGAATATGGTGTGGATATCAGATTATATTAGGGAATCATTATTTACTTATATGTGGTGACAGCATTGTGGTTATGTAGGACACTGTCTATATTCCTGAGAGATGCATGCTGAGGTATTTAGGGGTAGAGTGACAGAATGTCTACAGCTTAAATTGTTCAGTCAAAAAATAGGCATATATACATACAAATACTCAAATATACTTCATATATCAATGGAGTATACCCAAATATATTGACAAAATAAATATGGCAAAATATTAGCAAGTGTTGAATCTTGGTGGTGGATCTATGGCTGATCATTGTTCCATTTCAACTTTTCTGTGTGCTCAAATTTTTTAAATGAATAAATGTTGAGGACAAACACAATAATTAAACTGGCATTTTTATTTTGAGAATATAAAGAGTTAATAATATTGCTAGTATAATGTAGGGGAATGCTCATTAGAAAACTGAGTGGAACAAAATGAAGAGGCACTATTTTAAGTATGGAATGATTACTATTATGTAAAGGGAACTAAAATTTATGCATAGAGAAAATATTAGGAATAACCAAACCATTAGCAAGTTTTCTTTAGATGGTATACATATGTGTGCTATTTTTTCTACCTTTTTGTGCTTTTCAAATTTCCTATACATTCACATTATACACCCTATCTTAAAAATCTTTATATAAAAATATCTCCCTTGTCTGCTCTTGTCTGATCTTGCTAAATACTATTTAAATGATCTATCTACCACCATCCCCAGCTAAGTTGTGAACTTCAGGATGCTAAGAATTTATCTTATTCACTGTTGAAACTTTAGAACATAACATATAAGTATGTAGCCATAATAGATGCTGACAGCTGTTTTTCACATCAAACTGGAAGCATAGAAACCTCCCTTAGAGTTTTGGTTGTTGATGTACCAGGGATAGAATTTACCTTGGCTGCCTGTCCATTTGTGGGATTAACTTGTAAAATAAATGTTTTAATCTTTGTCTCTTAAAAGAGTGATTTCTTAAAGGTTGCTTTGAGTAGGATGACTTGGGATAAGGCATATAAATTGCATAGTGCAATGTGCTTCACGAAGAACATGGTCGTAGATATTCCCTTTCTTTCTCCCAAGGGTCCCCATTCCTCAGCAATCCCGTGGAGCTGTTTTTCATTTACTGTGAGGAAAGCCACATTCCACATTCCACACTAGAAGCTGTGTGATCTAAATGTCTAAATGATACTGCTGGGGGGACACTGATAAGCAGCTTTAAAAATAAATCTGGCAGGTGGCAGTGGCCATAAACAAACCCTCTCTCGCCTGCCAGCAACTAAAACCAGACAGCCATGTTTGAATGCTGGCTTCAAAGAACGGGAGGAGAGTGCACACGGAGTTGGAATTAGAGAATGTCTAGGCTGGACATGCATGTTGGAGGCACCCAGTCTAACCTAGTGATTTTATACACATGGAAACAGAAGTGCCCCCAGGTATGGCAGGAGTTTTCCATTACACCATTTACTCTGGACCACCTAACTTGCTACCCTATTAGGAGAAAGTTATTTTCTTAATATGGTTATTGGTTACTTAAGGGGGAAAGAGTGTCAGAGGCATTTGAACCAGAGCAACTCCATCTTGAATAGGAGCTGGGTACAATGGAGCTGAGACCTACTGGGCTGCATTCCCGACGGTTAAGGCATTCTAAGTCACAGTATGAGATTGGAGGTCAGCACAAGATACAGGTCATAAAGACCTTCCTGATAAAACAGGTTGCAGTAAAGAAGCCGGCCAAAACCCACCGACCAGAGAACAAGAGTGACCTCTGGTCATCCTCACTGCTACACTCCCACCGGCGAGTGCCATGATAGTTTACAAATGCCACGGTAATGTCAGGAAGTTACCCTATATGGTCTAAAAAGAGAAGGCATGAATCCACCCCTGTTTAGCATATCATCAAGAAATAACCATAAAAATGAGCAACTAGCAGCCCTTGGGGCTGCTCGGTCTATGGAGTAGCCATTCTTTTATTCCTTTACTTTCTTAATAAACTTGCTTTCTCTTTACAGACTTGCCCTGAATTCCTTCTTGCCCAAGATGCAAGAGCCCTCTCTTGGGGTCTGGGCTGGGACCCCTTTCCTATAACAAGAGGACAAGGGTAGCTGGAATACATCCCTTCTGCAGGCCAAAGCAGGGCTTTCAGGACCAGGTTCCACGCTGCTCAGCCAAGGCTCTGACCATGGGCCACTGGTATGCATGAAGATGAAGTCAATTCTTATTTTCCCTTTAGGAGGTGTAAGGGCAACAAATAAAAATTAAAAATGAGAGGCTTAGTTCTCCCTGTTGAAAATGGGAAGAGATTTCCTTCCCCCTTTTCTTTTCTCTTAGAGCATTTACTTTAGAAAAGTTGTAAGTACTTTCTCTTCTCTCTGTAACGTATATAAATTGTTTTGAAAGCTGACAGGCCTTTTGTCTTTAACACCCAGGAATGTTTTTTTCAAGGATCTGAGAACCATCTCCTTCAAATGTAAACATCGAGAGAATAGCACCCTATACCCCAGTTTCTGTGGGAGGGTAGGAGGCTAACTTTGGTGAGCACTTTGCTCCAAGTTGCACAACTACCTCCTGTCATAAAGATTTGAGAAGACTGATTAAACGACACTGCTGGAGGGGAGGGGGGGCACTGATAACAGCTTTAAAAATAAATATGTTTAAAAAATCTCTGGCAGGTGGCATAAAGATTTGAGAAGTTTGCTTTTCCTTTGGATAAAACTAATCAAGTAACATAAATGGTCATCTCGATGACCATGTGAATCTAGAACAATGTGTGACAAATGGTGCTGTGAATTCCTCCTGAGAACTAGTTATATTTTCTCCTGAAAATATGTATGTAATGGGTGATTGCTGCTCAGCTATATAAAAGGAGGAAATTTCTGTCTTTGCAATCTCTTAACGGGTTGCTTTTAGTGACTACTCAATGATAAAACTTTACTAGCTTTTGAGTTGGGAGACTTTGTTTTAAATTGTATTTCCCCCAGAAATATCACCTCAGACTTCACCTCTGTGGTGAAGATGGCTGGTAACCCCAGGACAGTTTGGATGTCCCTTCTGTTTCTATGGCTCTTTGACAGAAAATGAAGTATGGCACAGTGGTTAGGACTCAAGAGTGTAGAAGTGAACTGCTTGTGTTTGAATCTCATCCTTCCTGACTAGCTGTGTGCTATGAGGCAAGTTACTTAAGCTTGCTGTGCCTCAGCTTCCTTCTCTATAAAATTGGGATTGATTATATATTTTTTCAGGGGGTTTTAGCAGATAAATGAATTAGTATACATTCAGTGTTTAGTGCTGTGGAAATGAACAAAGATCACCAAGATAAGAACAAACAGAGGCTATTTATTTAGAGCTACCATCACTTAGGTAGAGAGGAAGATACAAGAAAAGGGAAGTCATTGGATGTGTTCTGACTGAAAGGTGCTCGTGTGGGGAAACTGGAAGCAGGCTAAGTAGGGGGCCGTCATATGTGATTAGTTAGGGGAACATATATTAGGGAAGCCTGCAGTCATTGCCCAAGCTCTGATGGTTTGGGGCTGGTTGCTGCAGAGGTTGTAGCTTTATTGTCACGTGTGGTCTGACCACTGCTGTTTGTATGTTCAGTCTTTCAGAACTGGTTCTGGTAGTCAGTTCATATTAGCAACGCTTGTTACTACCACAGTCAGAGCAGTTGCCGGTTGCTTCTCTTGTCTGTCTTCCCCTCAAGATAGCAGCTTCTTGGGGGCAAGAGTTGCATCCTATTCATCTCTGTATTCAGGATATCCTACCAAAGCCCTGCCCAGGGGAGGCTTTCTGTAACTGTTGAAAAATGAACTGCTGAAGGAGCAACATGATCATCTAGACTCAGGAAAAAACTATGTTGATAGAAATGAAGAGCATTTAATTAGAAGCTCCTATCCTTACTACAGAAAGTGATACAGGAGTTAAGAAGAAATCACTTAGACAGCTAGTAAGGGTATGGGAGTCCTCGGTAAGGCCTTTCTCTTTAACGAAAAGCAGCCCCAAATCATTTTCTAACAAAGAGCAGCCTGTAAAGTCGAACTGCAGACATAAGCAAGCTGGGAGTTTGCACGGGTGAATGCTGGCAGGGACTAGGGACTAGACATGTTCAAGAAGGCGGCTCCATCTTCCCTTCTGTCAGCCACGTGTACAGTAAAGAACTGATAAGATGGTGCCAATCAACTGGAAAGCCTATTTGAATAATAAGATTAGGGTGGAGCAACCAGCCTTTCCTGGGCCCTATGTAAACGTCATACCTGATTGAACCAATCTGTGAGCCCTCTGTAAATCAGACACCGCCTTCTCCAGCCTGCCTGTAAAATCTGCTGCAGTCCGCAGCCTCACCACTTTATTGGACGTGTATCTCTCTCTCAAGGAGCTCCTCTCCTTTCTTCTATTAAACTTTCTACTCCTTAACCCATCCACACGTGTCCATATCCTGAATTTTTTCTCAGCATGAGACAACAAACCCCCAGACAACGTAGCCATTTCAAATCTTTAAAACAATCTCCTGTGAAAATTCATCATCATGGCCAATTCTTCAGGAGAATCATTTATAAAGTAGTTAAGAGTATGTTGCTAGAGGTTCTATTCTTCCCCCCTCCCTCCCTTTTTCTTTTCTTTCCTTTTTTCTATAGAGACAGGGACTCCCTATGTTGCCCAGGCTGGAATGCAAAGGCGTGATCATAGCTCACTGCAACCTTGAACTCCTGGGCTCAAGGGATCCTATTTCCTCAGCCTCCTGAGTAGCTAGGACTACACGTAGGTACCACCATGCCTGGCAAATTTTAAAAATTTTTTGTAGAGACGGGGTCTCATTGTGTTGCCCAGGCTGGTCTCAAATTCTGGGGCTCAAGATGTCCGTCTACTCCAAAGTGCTGGGATTACAGGTATGAGCCACCACACCCAGCCCCATCTTTTTTCTTACATTTACCAAAAGTGTAACCCCTAAGGATTAGATGTTAAAATTGACTAAGATATTTAGGTATTTTGAGTTTGAGGCGTTTCCCTCATCCTGGGGCCCAGAAGGAGATGGGAACAGGGAATGGTCAAAACAGTTTATTGCTGAGTAATGGCTCAAGCGAAAATCTGACATTTATTGAACACTTAGAATCTGTGTGCCTGGAACATACTATCTCATTTCAGGGTTACGACAGCTCATGAGGTGTACATACTTTAATTTTCTCAATCTTTACAGCTAAGAAAGCTGAGGCTCATAGTAAAGTTCAGACAGCTGGTAAATAATAGAGCCAGACTTTGAACCCAAGATGGTTTTTCTTATTAAAGGATGGAATCCAGGAGTCAGTATTTGTTGTTATTATAAACAAGGTCTCACTGTGTTGCCCAGGGTAGACTTGAGCTCCTGGGCTCCAGGGATCCTCGTGCCTCGGCACCCCAAGTAGCTGAGACTACAGGTGCATGCCACTGTGCTTGGCCCCAGTTAGCTTTGAATGCATTGCTTATCTGCTGACCTGGGGCTGTTCTAGGGTGGAATCCACCCCTCTCATTATTACTGATCACAATCCCTAGGACAATCCAGAAAGCTTTTAAAACTTTTAACACAGACATGCATTTTTTGATGCACGGAAATCCTCTGTGGGATCTTAAATTATAAAATGTGCATGTCCTCATAAAAGAGGCTTCTCTTTTATGCTAGGACTATAAGAGGTGATCTGGCCTTAGTGGCTCTGTTAGTTCTTCCCTCATGAGACCAAAGACAAAGAGGGATCTTCAAATGGACCCTCCGAAGCACAAAAGCAGAAAAACTCTGCATTGAGTCAATCAAACCAGACAGTAAATTTCCCACATAAATGTCTCACTTAAGGCCCAGTCATTACAAAACTATTCAACAAATGAATTTAAATCACTATAATAACCTGACATACCTAGGCTCTGGCAAGGCAAGGACAGCATGGAGAGAAGGTAAAAAATCATGGAAATTGCCACTACTCTGGTACCTAGCAGGTGGGGCTCAGATCATAAGCTCAAATGCTTCTACGGATCTTAACACAGTCTAGGAAAACAGACTGCCACAGCCCAAATGTTCATCCATTCGCCACTGTGTAATCTATCTAAATCTTTTGATCCCCTTGCCATTAAAATCTACCTGTCTTCTGTCATTTCTTTATTCCTCTCTGGCTTGTAAGCTGACACTTAGATAATCATATAAATCAATGTGTACTAATGTGTTCATTTTTAAAGAACATTTACTGAGCACTTATGTGCTCAGTACACTGAGTAAACAGAAGGAAACCTTATAATCTCTTGGCCGGGCGCGGTGGCTCATGCCTGTAATCCCAGCACTTTGAGAGGCTGAGGCGGGCGGATCACAAGGTCAGGAGATCGAGACCATCCTGGCTAACATGGTGAAACCCCATCTCTACTAAAAATACAAAAAATTAGCTGGGCTTGGTGGCGGGCGCCTGTAGTCCCAGCTACTAGGGAGGCTGAGACAGGAGAATGGCGTGAACCCGGGAGGTGGAGCTTGCAGTGAGCAGAGATTGCACCACTGCACTCCAGCCTGGGCGACAGAGCGAGACTCTGTCTCAAAAAAAAAAAAAAAAAAAAAAGAAAACCTTATAATCTCTTATACTAGGGTCAATTAATTATTCTTGAATTAATTGATTCATTCAATAAATATTTGAGTATTATGTGCTACGTACCACATTAGACACTGAAAATTAGGAAAGGGAACAGAAAGCAAAAACATACTTTTTGGACTCAAATTGCTGACAGTAGAAGAACCATGAAGTCCATGGACAAGTTCAAATCAGTGTGTCAAGAGATACATGTAGGGAAGTAGAAGGTAAGCCCACCCAGGCTGAGGATACCCAGGAAGGCTTCTCAGAGGGGCAACTGCTAAAAATAATCTCCAAATATTTAAGGACTAGGAGTTTTCTCAGAGAAAGGGGCTAAGGCAATCCAGGCAGAAGGACCAGTCCACAGACCAGACAAGCAAGAGTCCGGGAAGGGTTCAGGATGGTTGAGAGGGGAGCAGTGAGAGATGAAACTGTGGAGGTTTCTAGAGAATCTACACTAACCTGCTTCTCATTCACTCAACAATCCACATTCATCTACTTCTGTCTTTGCCATTCCACTAACATTGCTTTTAAACAATTGAGATATAATTCATATATCATAACGTCCACTCTGTTTTTTTTTTTTTTTTTTTTTTTTTTTTTTTTTGAGACAGAGTCTCACTCTGTCGCCCAGGCTGGAGTGCAGTGGCACGATCTCGGCTCACTGCAAGCTCCGCCTCCTGGGTTCACACCATTCTTCTGCCTCAGCATCCTGAGTAGCTGGGACTACAGGCACCCGCCACCACGCCCAGCTAATTTTTTGTATTTTTAGTAGAGACGGGGTTTCACCAAGTTCACTCTTTTAAATTATACAATTACATAGATTTTAATCTGTTCACAAAATTGTACTGGCATCGCCACTATTTGATTTCAGAACTTCTTTTTTAATCACCCCAAAAAGAAACTCCATACCAGTTGCTCCCCATTCCCCTTCTACCCTACCCCAGTCCCTGGCAACTACTCATCTATTTTCTATGGATTTGCCTATTCTGAGCATTTCACATAAATGAAATCAGACCAGTATGTGGTCTTTCAAGACAGGCTTCTTTCACTTAGCATAACATTTGCAAGGTTCATCCATGTTGTTGCACGTATCAGTATTTCATTCCTTTTCATGACTGAATAATATTCCACTGTATGGATATACTACATTTTAAAAATGGACTCATCAGCTGATGGACATTTGAGTGTTTCTGCTTTGGGGCTATTATGAATAATGCTGCTATGGACATTCACAATGCTGCTTTTTAAAAGGTCACCGGGAACCTCCATGCCGTTAAGTCCAATGGGCACATCTTTGTGGCTTCTTCTTTAAACTCTCAGGAGCACTTGACACAGTAACCAAGTGCCCTTCTCCAAAGAGCCTCCTCTCTGAGTTCCTATTTCAGCACATTTTTACTCTTTTTTCTTACATCTCTGCCTAGTCCTCTCTCTCCAATTTTGACCCTCTTCTGACCATTGTCTACACAGCATTAAGGGGATGTGTTTCCTAGGTGAGGCAGATCCCCTCCCTGCTGGAAACCATGCAATGGCTTTCCTTTGAGAATGAAGTCCAAGCTTTTCACCATAGTCTCGAGGCCTGTGTGATCAGGCTCTGGTGTCCTCCCCACTTCACCAGCACTGCCCTCATGCATCACACGCCAGTTATGGGAGGTTTTTGTTCATTGGGGTTTTAGTTTATCCAAAGCACTAAACTCATTCCTACCTCAGGCCATTCGCCTGTGGAATTTGCTCTGTGGGAAATGCTCTTCCTCCTGTGGCTCACTACATTTCATTCATCAAGTTTCAACTTAGTTTCACAGGCACAGAAAGGCCTTTCCCTGCCACCATAGTGAGTAGAAATCCCTGCATTGGGTAAGCTTTGATTCAGTGCTTTGTCTTCTGCCCAGCCTTTGTTCTGAGTCATTGCTTTCTTGGAGTATGTGTGAGTAGCTAGCTGTGGTTTTGCATGTATATGTCTGCATGTCTGAACTTGACTTTAGACTGTAAGCTCTATGATAACAGAGACCTTGTCTGTATTACTCATGTCTTATTCCCAGGGCCTATCATTTAATAGAAGCTCAGTAAATATTTGTTGGATGAAATGAAGAAATAAGTAAATGACATGGAAAATGAAGAGTAATTAGGATTAAATAACAGGAGTCTGTATATATCTCTCAAAATCTAAAGGGATATAAAATATAATAGCTGCTATTATATGATCATGCATCTAAATTTACTGCTTATTAATATACAGAAATTAGAATGATGTCAAAGGATAAGAGTTTGGACTTCTGGGCCTGGCAGTCCCCATTTGTCAACCTCGTACTGTGCTCAGGAATTTTGATCAGAGGGTTGTTAGCCTTCTACCAGGAGCCACTTTATGCCTCCATACTGTACTCATCATGGTTCTTTCACTTGGAATAGATATCTTCTCTTTTTCATCTATAAAATGCCTTTTCATTGTCCTTTGTCCTGTTTGAACCCTCAACTCCATCAGGACAATTGCATCCCTCCCACCTCTCCATTCCTTCCCTGCATTTCACACCTTGGTTATTCCACGCATGATTGGATGTTGAACTGTTTGTCCCTCTCACTGGACTCTGAGCTGGCTGAGAGCAGAGGCCATGACTCATTCATTTCTGGTTTCATTCTTGCATCCAACAAATATTGATTGCCCATAACCAAGCCCAGAGGCTGGCATGTAGTAAACCCTCATTAACTACTTGAGGGGGAATGGAACTGGCTGGAGCCTCTCCAGCAACCTCACCAATCAAGGGGATCCAATTAAGAATGGATAGAAGAGACAAACTCTCAGAAAATACAATAGAACTAGACACCATGAGGTCAGACCAGCAGCTCCCATTTACCCAGTGAGGTACTAGGGGAATCCCTGCCTCACACCCACTGGATCCTCAGAGCAGAGACAGAAAGAGAAATGGGTCTCTATCCAGACCTGCTACCGGAAAAATCCTGTCCTAGGTGTGCTTTTGCCACAAGGCACTAGAAGCAGAGGGCAGAATGCACTCATCCCAAGGGGAGGCTAGCAGCAGAAAAAAGACCCTGCTATCAGTCTCAGTACCTTTTTCCAACCTCGCTAAGTCATCCCTGCTGGCTTACAGAGGATCAGTGAAGGAGGTGAAAGAACAGGAAGAAGAAACTGTCTTCCCAATATTTGTGAAAGGTCAAAAATTCCTCCAAGCACATACCACACAATCTGACATGCATTGGCAGGAAGTGGACAATTCGGGAAAAGGGATAAATGGCTTCTCCTGCTGTCACCTTCTTTTAAAAGGATGGATCACTTTTTAAATCATGTCTTACATTTGAGGATGAAGGCATAAGGTAATTGCATTGAAATTGTACATTACTCAGGACTTTATGCATAATCTTAAGAAATGTTGAAAAAAAATTAATGCCAGGCGCATAAGTTCAGGCCAAAAGGATAGAAAATCACCTCAACATAGATAGCTAAGTCTTCTTGCATTTATAAAGCTTTAAAAATTCTTGCTTCTTAGCAGAACCTCTGCATGAAGGGTTCATGTCATTTCAAGGCATTTTACTTGAAGTTCACAAAATGACTCAGTGGAAAAGCATGATGCCCCCAACTTCCCCCATCTCCTCCACCTCCCATAGCTGTCACTTACTGTGAGTTCTTTGCTTTTAGAAAAAGGCCACCAGCCACGCACACGTTTTTGCTGGAATATAGAGATCTTGGTCTCCTCACTTGCATTTTCAAACTTGGCAAGATCACAGGCTTTGGCAGACTTAGCTGCTCGAGGGAAACTGTTGAGGTTCATTTCCAGGGTGCCTGTGGAGAGATGACCCTAACAGTTAGGGAAGCATTTTCTAAAAGTAACAGAAGAGCTTCTCAATCACCATCCTCATTCATTCATTCACCCTTCACTTCCTACTCATTCAATCAGTACCATATTGGATCACAACTATGTGCTAGGTATTGGGAGTACAAATAGGACTGAGCCACGTTTGGTGCCATCAAAAGATTAATCACATGGTAGCAGGTAGAAGACAAAGGAAGAGCTTGTTTTAACTCTTAAGTTAACAATACTTAACTTGCAAGCCTCAGCTGCAGGTAGCTTCACTGCTGACCACCTCCTCTGCTCCCTAAGCCTGGATTATTGGCTTCAGCCTTCCCCTGCTTTAGCACTGACAACCCCATGAGAGCCTCCTCACCCCACTTCACCTCTCTCTTGGTGTCCACTAAACCCCTCCAGGTCGGACACTAGTCTTATTGTCTTTGTATCTACTCTCCAGGACAGGAAGTGAACCTTAGTGGGTTCCCAACACTGTTTTTCCAACGAGGGAACACAAGGCAGAGTAAGAGATTGCCATGAGTTCTATATCTCTTTAACCATTTTTTCCTATTATAAATTAACATTTGTTAAATATGGAAAATTCAGAGCATATATACATGGGCAAAAACATGAGAATGGAAAAATTTTTCATAATTTCATCCCTAAAATGTTGACCACTGCTCTGTGTATTGGTGCTTAGCCCTCTCTCTATGACTATCCCTTTCTCCTATACATATAAACGTAGTTTACAGAAATGAGATTTTTCTCTTTTCACTTAATGTATCCTGTACAACTTTCCAATTCATTAGATATTCCCATATTTTTAATGTTTGCAGGACTATCACTTGAGTGTGTAAGCCAAAAATAAAATTTTAAGCCCCCCAACCATCTGAATAGACTCCTCCTCTCCACCAAAGGCATTCTAAAATTAACGTGAAAAGCTAGTTCAGGCCATTGATGGGAAGGGGGAGTCAGATATGCCTCATTACTGTTAACATCAACAAAGACCTTAAGACTCATAGAACAGACTCTTCAAGTCTGATAATCTATCTTCTCTAAAGTCTGTTACGTTGAGGCTTCATATGCATGAAAAAACCTTGGTCTTCACAACCCCTTATCATAACCTAGACATTCCTTTCTATTGATTCCAGGTTTTTAGACAATAACCAATTTCCAATTGGAAAATCTTTGAATCTGCCTACGAACTGGAAGCCCCCACTTCCAGTTGTCGCTAACATACATCTTACATGTATTGATTGATGTCTTATATCTCCCTAAAATGTATAAAACCAAGTTGAGGCCTGACCACTTTGGACACATGTCATCAAGACCTCCTGAGGTTATATCACAGGCATGTCCTTATTCTTGGCAAAATAAACTTCTAAATTGAGACTTGTCTCAGATACATTTTGGCTTACAAATGCTTACTATGTGTGAGGCACTACGGAGTGCTCTTTAATTGTGTTACAACAATTACAGCTCCGCCCCTCTCTGAAGTATGTAATATTACTACCCTCATTTTACAACTGAGACACAGAGCAGACCAGTAATTAGCTCAAAGTTTAATGACTTTTTAGTGATAGATCAACTTAAGTCTTTTAGAATATGTAGTGGTCCATCATGTGGATGTACCATCACTCATTTAACCATTCCCTATTAATGGCTATTTGGGATGTTTCCAGGTTTTTGCTATCATAGATAGTGCTGAAATTATTAGTCTTGTAACTAAATCAGACCAAGCTCTCCAAAAGCTGAGACAAAACCCTTAACATTAATATGTGCTTGATGAAGCCACTGGCTTACCCAGGAAGTCATCTGAGGACAGCCTTTCAAAATCCCAAACCTGCAGCACCAACACAGCAGGAGTCTTACACTCCATCTTCTCTAAAGAGAAGATGTTCTCCCTCTTGGTAATGACCATTTGCTTCTCAGCTGGGAGATACTGAAAGGGAAACAGGAAGCGCCAGTTGAAGTTGCCCTCTCCAGTCAGGGAGTTGTAATGCACATCTGTCTCCTGCTTGTCATCCTCCAAGCCCTTTAACCACCTAAAAATAGATTCAAAATAATTTAAACACTCAGAGTACATTCTCCAGGCATCAGTATAATCATAAGTGATTTAGCTTATTTCAATGTGGTCACAGAGCATAGTTTAAAAATCATTATAATTAGATTCAGTTGGAAGTTTCCATTTTAACTTGAAAGAATAAAATAGGGGTCAGAGGGTCTGCCATAATAGAAAAATGGCTCATTTCAAGGCAGGGTTGGGGAAGGGTCTTCAATTGCTTGTGTAGATCTGAAGCCCCATGCAATCAAGATAGAAAATTCAGGAAATAGGAAGTGAAAATGTAATCTGAATCTCTGTCACCCTGGGAACCCTCTTTGTAAGGGATGCCACCTCTATACTTGAGTGTTAGAACAAGATTACCCACTACACTGAGGACTCTGAAATTGGGCTGCTGTAGACCTGTGCTGTCAGGCATGCACTGGGCTGGTATAGGCTTGGGTTGTCAGACCTATGCCATCAGACTATAATTGGTCCCCTCCTCCCTGGTTCTAGGCCTAGAAAGCCCAGCAGGCCTGGATTGGTGTGGCATGGAGGGTGGGAGGGCTGCCTGCACCCATCTGGATTCCAACTCTGACTGTATCACTTACTATGCAGACATAGGTAAGTTATCTAACCTCCCTGTGCCTTTGTTTCATCTGTACACTGGAAGCAATTATAGCACCTAGTTTATAAGGTTGTTCTGAAAAATCACATGAGATGATGCCTAAATGTACCTTGGACATTCCAAATTACCTATCATGTTCTTTCGTCTTAGTATTATCTGGTCTTCCTCCTCCATCCCCAGCATAACGTAAGTTACAATTAGTACATTTATCCCTACTACTTGGTCCATGGTGAATTAATTGAGAAAATAAGTACTTTTTATTCAAACTAGTTGATAATTTCAAACCGTGTGCTTTCTGAAAGCAGACATCCTTCCTTCCCAGGGCAGGGAGGAGGGGAGTGAAGGCCTTTCTCTTCACAGAGGAGTGTCACCACTCAGGGTATGGGCCCAATTATTTAGCTAAAGATGGTGTTCACTCAACCAATACATTTGTGATGTCTGTTCTGAGGCAATGAGAGAGCTTGACGCCAGGGGAGTGTTAGGGAGCAGAGATGGTCCTTGCTTCATGGAGTCATAGTCATAGGGGAAAGGGGAGAGAGGGATATGAGTGAGTGGCAGAAGTCACTAGAGAGAGATGTGCAAAGGCCCCGTGGAAGAAGAAATAAGGATGCAGCCTTAGAAGGTCTTTCTTCTTAGTTCTTCTTGCAGAGAGCAAGGGGGCATGTGGTATGAAATGAGGCTGGAGAGAGAGAGAGGCAGGGGCTAGTTATTTGGGATATTTTAGGATGTATTAAGGACTTGAATCTGTTCAGAGAAAATGAGATGTCATTGAAGGGTTTTAAGTACAGGACTGACATGATCAGATTGTGTTTTGAAAAGCTCATGTTTAAACATAGAGAGCAAACTATTGGAGGGCAAGAATGAATATGGGGAGGCCAATTTGGATGGCATTGGTATTGCTGTGGTCCACCTAGCAAGAGATGATGGAGGAAAAGACAATGGTGGGATGTGGCGAAGATGGAGAGGATGAACAGTGCTGATGGCCACTTGGGAGGTGAAATGGACAAGCTCTGACAGCACATTAGAAATGGGGAAGTCAGTGAGCAAAGGGTCTGTAGATTTGGGGTTCTCAACCCAATGGATGATGGTGCCAGTCACTGAGATAAGAAACCGTAGAGAAGAAACAGTGTTGTAGGATTGTTTTGGTTTTAGACTTGTTCAGTTTGAGGTGCTGCTTTTGAGGAATCTACACATCGGGAACAGGAGTTGTCAAGAATGAAAATTAAAAGGTGACAACTGAAGCCATTGGTTATTTGAACTACTTGATTCAACTGAAGTGTTAGTTGAAAATGGCAGAGAGACAAAATAGTGGGAGATGAGAAGTTGGCCCAGGACAATGCTATGAGCTATTTAACTGCTAGACGGCAGAAAATGAGCTTTCAAAGGACACGGACAAGAAGTGATCAAGAGGATAAGAGAAAAAACAGATACATGTGTTGCTACAGAAGTTAAGGCAAGAAGGTGTTTCAAAAAGAAGAGATGCTTAGATGTGACAAATGCTCCTCAGACAAATGCAATAAGGACTAATTTTTTAAAACATAAGACCATTAGATTTAGCAAAATGGAGAGCACTGTCGCTTTGGTGGCATATTGGGGAGAAAGCCAGACTGGAGTTGACTGAGAAGCGAGTGGGAGGGAAGGAGACAGAGAGTGAACAAACATCGCCTTCATCACATTTTCCAGAAGGTCAGCTTCTGGAAGTCTCAACCCGAACTCTCCCAGAATCCTTCCATATTTCAAGCCATGGTAAAATACCTATTTACAGGATACATTAATCTTTCCTAAACTGGTGATGAGATAGCAATTTCAGAGGCTCTTAAGTCTGTTTGTTAAAATCTTATTCATTTTGTGTCATGCTCCTTCTATTACTCCTTTGTAAAACTTTAACTCACTTCTATATTTTTATTGTGAAAAAAATGAGAATTTTGAACCACCAGATGTGGTATGACTGCAAATCATTGATAACGTACATTCTGGAGACAGAATACTTCCTGTTAGGGGAAGGCAAAGAGATATTAGCATAAGGCTGAGAGAGGTTTTAGTTAAGGTACAGATTTAAATCACCTGTTTTCTGATGCTATACCACCTCATCCCCCTCCCTGACTAGTGGCCAAAAGGAAGCAGAGCCAAGATGTAAAAGAGATATAAAATGCTTCCCTGGGTCTTAGGTTGTATCTGTTTTTAATCAATACCACCAGCAAACAGGAAGGTCTAAATTTTAGCTTTCCCATTAGCTTCACAATCTGTTCAACATATTAATCTTTCATTAACAGCACCACATCACTCTGCTTCCTTTTGTTTAAAGGTAGATATCTGACAAATGTCACTGAATAAGTTTAGGTATCCAACGTTTAACTGAAAGATGTATATGTAATAAGATTTCCTCATAAAAATATTTTTATAAGCTAATAATTTTTAGCAAAATGACCAAATAAGACAAATATTAGACAAAGAAGGTGGCCTTAAAAGTAAGATGGCTCACTTTGTGGGCTGTGGGTTTAGTATCCTCCATGAGGCATAGATTTAGTTAGGGTTTAAAAAGGTGAGGAGGGAAGGAAATGGGAGGTTGGAGTTTGTTGATAACCTTACCCTTTCACATAAATATCACTTGATTTTTGGCCTGTGAAGATATTCTCATCCTCTAAAATGACATCTTCAGTGTTCCAGATGGTCACTCTCAATTCGTATCTGGGATGGGAGAAGGAAGCATTAGGTCGATGACCTTGAAAGCTGAGTCAGTTGGTGTCTGTGTGGTTCTAGCATTGCCTTTGGTCTATAAGTTTCCTAAAGTTTGCCAAGTTCAGAAATATCAACACTTAGGGGCTTGGTTCTGTCAGAACCAAGTATCCTAGCTGGAGACCTTAGAACCATCAAGGACATGAATTCCTATGAGCAGGTCTTCCTTCTCTTAACCAGCATTTTTCAGATGAGGAAGTGGAAACTCAGAAGCCCCTCCCTTAAGACAGGGGCCACCACCAGCTCCTGAAAAACTGGCCGGGTGGATAGTGAGGTATGATGATCAGGTAACCTGTCAGACACCAGATAAAATGTCATGATTCTTTCATCTGCTACCCTGGTCTCTTCCCCTGAAGCTGGGGCTACAGCTGACATACCCTTTGGGTCGCCTTGGAGAGATGTCAACAGGAGGTCCAGGTTGAGGCATATCCTTGGGAAACATGTCCACCCACATCTGCAGGCGGCCCTTGTTAAGAAAAAAAATATCTTCTTTAGCTTTGGGAGGGGGCTAGGGGACATGGGTAATTGATAATTCATGGTTTTATAAGATCCCTTTAGTAGAAATAGGTGTTAAGTGTAGCTTGGTAGTTTTATAGATGTATATTTAGCGTATCTGTTGACAAAAAAAGTATGTATGTATGTATATATATATATATATATATATCTTTAGGAATTAGAGCATAAATTAAGAGTAGGTGAAGGGTGAGCAAACCTTTATTGAGCATCAACTAGGGGGTAGACATAATGCTATCTATACACTTGACACACATTATCTTATGAACTCTTGCAACATCTCCACCAGGTAGATGTTACTATTTCTGTTTGACAGAGGAAAAAACATTTTGCCCATGCTTAATAGACAATATGTAGCAGAGTCCGGATTCAACCCTTGTGTTGACCCCAGAGACCTTGCTCTTTCTGCAAACTCCTAAGGATTAAAAAGATAATCCCAACTGTCACAAGTATGCTTCAATGTACCTTTACCTTCATTATCTCTGTTAATGTTCACCCCAGCCAGGATTCTGTTCTATACATAAAGAAACTAAGCTCAGATAAGTCAACAAAGTGTATCTGAAGTTCTGTGGCTAACAGTGGCAGAACAGAGCCTCCCATTCATTGCCTTGAACTCCATACATCAGATTTTACCGTGGTACAAGAGATTTAAGAGCCCATGTGAGGAGAAGCCCTGTGGATTCCATGCTAAGCTCTGTTGTATACATTCTAAGAATGCTGTCAGCTTAGGCAAGAAAGGAGTAAGGGATATGGGTTGGGATGATGGGGCAGGGGTGGATTTTATAAGAATGAGGTGGGACTCCACTAGAGCATGAAGAAGATGCAGGATTTGGATGAGGAAGGGCCTTTGGCTAGAAAATAATGGCTCTTCAGAGGAAGAGAAAATGTAAGCAAAGGTTTAGCATTTGGGAAGAAAATCAATTGAATAGAGAAAAGCAGGATGATTTATTTTCTAAAGACACATTAATATTCATCCTTAATCAAAAAGCCACATCTGACCAGCCAAGTGAAGGATCCTAGTAACCAGATGATTTCAAACACCTGGCAGTGAATTTCAGGAAACAATCATAAGCTTCTACATCTGATAATGGTTTACCCTCTCAACGCGGTCGTCCACACGTGCAATCACTAGGTCTATATCCCAATAACTCTGGGATAGCAGGGTAAGTGTTTCTGACCCATTATAATCAAACTCACATGATTTTCCCCTCACACAGTGAGTGAGTCCAGAGCTGGGACAGAAGCTGGCTCGGGGTGTGAACCTGGCATGGGCCAGGGATGCAAATTGCCTGGGCTAAATTCCATCTCTACTACTACTCATCTCTATTACTCCCCAGCTGAGTAATTCAGAGCAAATTAATTGAGCTCTCTGAACTTCAATTTCCTCATTGTAAAAGTGAGGATCATAATAAGCCCATCATGAGGCTGCATTAAGGAATAAGAGGAAGGTGTCACTCCGTTGTTTAGGAAAATCATGGTGTGTGTTCCTTGTACCAGCTTGATTATTAACAGTGCCCGCGTTCACTCCCAAATGGCCCCAGTTTGGATAAACAATTCTATGGTCATCCTAAATAGTTGAGATAATTTACGTAAAGGTCCTAGTACACGGAAGGCTCTTCACAAAGTTTATCTTGTCTTCCCTTCTGACTCCTAGCCCAGCTCTCTAGGTATTTTTTCCACACAGCTTCTTCTTGCCAGTTCTTTAAGGTAACCTACCACCTATTGCTTCTCTGGGAAAATTGTGTGTTTGTGTGTGTTATTACTAGGCTGTGTGGTTACAGATAGATTTTGGACAAAGTCCTGGGCATACCCAATGGGTTAAGTTTTTCAAATGTCCAATATTCTTCCAAAAGACTTTGGTAACTCAAATCATAAAAAGCAGTACTAAGTTGAACACTGACTCCAGGGCAGGGCTTCTCAAATTCAGCATTATTGACATTTTAGGCTGGATAATTCCCTGTTGGAGGGAAGCTGTCTTGTGTTTTCTAGGATGTTTAATTTAGCAGCATCCTTGGCCTCTACCCACTATATGCCAGTAGCAACCCCACCTACTTGTGACAACACAAAATGATTCCAGACATTGCTAAATGTACCTGAGGGAAGGTCAAAATTGTTCCTGGATGAAAACCATTACTCTACAGTACACAAGATTAACTTTTAGGGCCAGAATAGTCTTGCCCACTACCTGCTCCATTCCTGGCTTATCCTTGTGGTACAGTGGCCGAGTTTCTATGTGTTCAGGAACCAGCCTACACCCGACTTCCGGGATATCCTCCCAAGAGTGTAAAACCTTGAGGGCCAGGTGTTCATAAGACTCCACTGTCTCATCTGCAGGAAAGAAAGACAAACTTGTCAGATGTGTGTTCCTGCAAGGAGACAGTGATGGGCTGCCACATGCATTTTTAAACACTTACAGGCTTATTTAAATGTACCAAGGGGCTGGGTGCAGTGGTTCACACCTGTAATCCCAGCACTTTGGGAGGCCAAGGTGGGTAGATCACTTGAGGTCAGGAGTTCAAGATGAGCCTGGCCAAAATGGTGAAACCCTTTCTCTACTAAAAATACAAAAAATTAGCCAGGTGTGGTGGCGGGTGCCTGTAATCCCAGCTACTCAGGAGGCTGAGGCAGGAGAATCGCTTGAACCTGGGAGGCAGAGGTTGCAGTGAGCTGAGATCGCGCCACTGCACTCCAGCCTGGGTGACAGAGCAGGGACTCTGTCTCAAAATAAATAAATAAATAAATTTCCTAAGGAACAGGGAAAGAAAAACCGAAAAAGAAAAAAGTAAGGATGGAAAGAGGTGGAGAGATAGAAGGGAAGGGGAAAGAGATGGAAAGTTTAGAGAGAGGGAAATAAGACTAGTTCACAAGAGGACCCAGAGAGCAGTCTTGGTCCTGGAGTAGGGGCTCCACCCACCTCCTAAAGATCTACAGATCATAAACATGGCTTCAAGGTACTGGAGAGGGTACATTTTTGAAGGTGCAAAACTGTTTGCTAACATACTGTGAGAGGACCTGGAAAATCAGGGTGGCCCTAAGTGAGGTGGTGAGATGGGCACAATGTCCATCCATAGGGACGTCTTTTGTCTTCTCACGGTTGCTTTAGATTTCTCTCCTACCAACACCCACCCACAGGAAATGTGCTCTCATCTGCCATTCTATCAAATAAGGTTATTCATGATAAAAACTACAGGTGGAAATGATACGCGCAAAACAAGACAAAAATTGTTGAATAAAACATTGACAAAGTTTAGAATGGCCTAATTTGATATAGGAAAATTGAACTTGTCTTTAAAAAAAAGGGGCCACAGTGCCCCATTTTACAGGGTGTGATCGTGATTATACATTGCATGCCTGTATAAAAATGTTTTATTTATCCCATAAATATAAATACCTATTATGTACCCACAAAAATTAAAATAATAAAAATAATTAAAGTAATAAAAATAAAGGGGCCACAAAAAAATCTCCCAATAGCAATAATTACAATCAGTAAAAGTTGATAGAGACAAACAAGAAATCAATGAATAAATCTTTGTTAATCTTATGAACATGATTTCAGACTTCTAGTGGGCAAAAAAGTGGTAATTGTTTAATCATGTAGAATATTGACCAAAGAACTAAGTTGGCTTAATAGAGTATATTGTGAATAAATATTTTTCTCAATATATCATTAATGTCCTATCTAAATATCAATAATCTGCATGTAAGAACCTTCAATGGGTTTCTGGGCTTGAAATAACAAGGTAAAGGAAATCTTGGTATCAAAGTGGTAGGGGTCAACATAGTGTCAAACCATCCTATGTATGGTTCAGTACTTTTGATGCAGTGACCTCATGCCCTTGGCTCATTGCATCAAAAGTACTGAACCATACATAGGACACTTTAAAGCATCAAAGGCATGAGCAAGTGATATGGTTTGGGTCTGTGTCCCTGCCTAAATCTCATGTCGAACTGTAATCCCCAGTGTTGGAGGTAGGGACTGGTGGGAAGGTGACTGGATCATGGGGGCAGTTTCTCACAGATGGTTTAGCACAATCCCCCTAGTGCTGTTCTCGTGATAGACTTCTCACAAGATCTGATTGTTTAAAAATGTGTAGCACTGCCAGGCGTGGTGGCTCACACCTGTAATCCCAGCACTTTGGAAGGCCAAGGCGGGCAGATCACCTGAGGTCAGGAGTTCAAGACCAGCCTGGCCAACATGGTGAAACCCCGACTCTACTAAAAATACAAAAATTAGTCAGGTATGGTGGCGCATGCCTGTAATCCCAGCTACCCGGGAGGTGGAGGTTGCAGTGAGCCTAGATCATGCCACTGCACTCCAGCCTGGGTGACAGAATGAGACTCCATCTCAAAAAAAAAAAAAAAAAAAAAGGGTAGCACTTCCCCGCTTTCTCTCTTCGTCCTGCTCTGGCCATGTGAGTGCCATGCTGGCTCCCTGTTTGCCTTCCACCATGACTGCAAGTTTCCTGAGGCCTCCCCAGAAGCCAAGCGGATGCTACCATGCTTCCTATAGAGCCTGCAGAACTGTGAGCCAATTAAACACCTTTTCTTTATAAATTACACAGTCTCAGGCATTTCTTCACAGCAATGCAAGAACAGACCAACACAGTGTGACAGTATGAGAATTCTTCTGTATAATTAAATTAAATGTGATTTTTTTTCCCCTCACCCTAAATGTATGGAAGCCTCTCTGGGATCTTTGTGTTATGTCCCAGGATGTTCATGTGGAAAATCTACGACTTGGTGTTAAAATAGGATAGTTATTGGTATAACATTTATGGGGGTAATTTGGGTTATGTTCAATTATTTATGCTATATAATATTCACTTCAAGAATATTGCCCACCTTCTGATGCAACAATTCTACTTCTGTGACCTGTACTATAGAAATATCAGAAACACACAAAAATATGTATAAGGAAGTTCATTATAGCATTGTCACTACAAAAAAAAGAATACAATGTGAGTAAATGGCATAACCGTAAAAAGGCATATCATCACTGATCATTTCAAAGAACAAAGGAGAATCATTATAATCTATTGGAAATTTTAAAAGCTGGGCACAAAACTCTGTGTTTATTTATAATTCTGTAAAAATGTGATATATTTTCAAGTCACAGACAAGTGCAAGAAAATATGCCAGCAAGCAGCATGGTTGTATCTGAACTTGGGGATTATAAGTGATATTCATTATTCTCCTTACTTTTCCACATTTTCTACTATAAGCATGCATTACTTTTTTTTTTTTTTTTTTTTTAAGACTTGAGTCCCACTCTGTTGTTCAGGCTGGAGTGCAGTGGCACAATCTCTGGTCACTGCAACCTCCACCTCTTGAGCTCAAGTGATTCTCGTGCCTCAGCCTCCCCAGTAGCTGGGATTACAGGCATCTGCCACCACGCATGGCTACTTTTTGTATTTTTAGTAGAGATGGGGTTTCACCATGTTGGCCAGGCTGCTCTTGAACTCCTGACCTCAAGTGATCCGCCCGCCTCAGCCTCCCATAGTGCTGGGATTACAGACGTGAGCCACTGTGCCTGGCCACATTACTTTTATAATTAGATGTCCCATAGCCAAAAATATCACTAGAATCAGGATTTTCAAAAGAAGAGCAACACCAGCAGGATATTTTGCAGGGAGTTACCAGTGTCCTCTTCAGTGAAGATAGTTTTTCCAGAAAAGACTTGGTTTCCTATCTGTATTTTCCCAGGGTGAAAGTAGGGTCCATCCAGCTTGTTGTCTTTGCAGAGCTTAGTGAGGATTTCGGTGGGTTTGGACGTGTCTCTCCAGGCATTGTATCCTTCTCTGAAAAGTGGAGGGAGAACACACTTTGAGGTCCTCACTTAAAGAACCACCCAGTATGATCTGTGCAGTTTCTTTCAGATTTAACTTGCTATTCTGTGTATCTGGGGTTAGGGGGTTTGTTTTCTCTCTTTTCTGGCCAAACACAGCTTGCCTGAAAGGCAAGACTTCTGAGTAGCTTAACAGAAAAATCCTTTGAAGGTAGTTTTGTTTTTGTTTAAGTAATGTACTTTTCATTTTTTTTAAATTGAAGTGAAATTCACATAACAAAATTGACCATTTAAAAGTTGACCAATTTAGTAGCATTTAGGATATTCACAATGAGGTATAACCATCACCTTTATCTAGTTCCAAAAAGTTTCATCATCCCAAAAGAAAACCCTGTACCCAGAAAGCAGTTACTCCTCTTTCCCACCCCTCAGAGGCTTTGGCAATCACCAATCTCCTTTCTGTCTCTATGCATTTCTTTGCAGGTTATATTTGTTTAGTTTTATTAAGTCCCTAGGAGAACAGCCACTCGGCTGCTGCTTATTCCAAGTTTCAAGGTCTCTGCTTCGTCCCTCCCTTCTCCCTACCCCACCACCCCACCAAAATCATAGTATATATCCATGTCACAGATAGAGTCTTGATGTGTTGTTTCTCTAATCAGTGATAAGTTTTTAAATCTCCCCAACCTATTCTTTCCTTAAAAACTAGCTGTTTGGTTAAAATTATTAACTTGCAATGCAGCACTCCCTACAAGCCAGGACCAAGATAAGCTTGATGTCTCTGCTCATTGGGACACTGAGTTCATCAGAATTTAAACAAATCAACATGGCTTATAAAATGGAGCTATCAAGTAGTTTTCCCACATTATGCCAAAGAATCCTGAAAAGGTCATCCAAGCCAGTTCCAGAGCCACACACAGGCCTTCCCAGAAATAGGCATGCTTGTCTTGTTTTAAAAACTTTTCAGTGAATAAAGATTGCAAGTCCCCAGACAACTATACTGCTACCTGGCAGGTCAGCCAGGAAATTCTTCTGAACAAAAGATGCACCATTTGCCTGTGGCTTCCTTCCCCAATTTCAGAGTGAGAACAGCTAATCACTGTCTGAATGGAATTCTCTCAGGCACTTGGAAAGCTATGTAAATCCCCCAAGAGGCATATGGTTCCACTAGGGACTGAAAACTAAACAGGCTCTCTAGGCTTAGGGAAGAATAGACCAGAAAGAGAGACTGTATGAAATCATTCCATGAAGGATATAGGCGCTCAGAGTCTGTTACGGTGTAAATTGGCACAACCCTCTGGAGGGCCATTGTGACATATGTATTAAAAGTCCCAAAATGTGCATTCCTGTTAATGGAGCAGTCTACCTTGATGCATAAATGTTAAGTCAATTATCAGAGAGGTGTGCAGTGGCTTTTGTATGAGAATATTCATAGCAACAATATTTATAACAGAATAAAGAAAAATACAAATGCCCTAAAATTCAGGAAGGCAAATTGGTTTTACCATCTTATAATGCCTATGATTGAATTCTACAGATATATTGAAATAATGATTATAAAGAATATCTAATGACATAAAATGCTTGAGATATAAGGATAAGTACAACAAGCAGGTTACAAAACTGCGTGGATAGTAGAGTCTGGTTAGGGAGAAAATAGCATGGAACATATTGAAAATGAAATACTACACAAGAACTTTTACATGAGTGGAATAATTTGAGAGTTATTTTGTACTTTGTGTTTTCTAATTTCAATGAGTGTGTCATATTTAATAAAAATATTTTTAAAATTATGCCATACTCTTAAAGCTATCAGATACAGCATGCTTTAAAAAAATAAAGCTGGTAGTCTATATTTTAAAATTAAGCAGCATTCAAAATATTTGTAAAAAGTGGGAGTTTGGGGGAGGGAGACAGAGGAACACCAAATTGAAATTATACACACAAGATCAGGTGAGCAATCACAGTACCTGGTTTTAACATGATATTAAGTAAAGAGGCACTAAAGAGGGTAAGAAAGACAGTCTTGAATTGCCTATGCCACTCCTCCCCCATTCCCTGGCAGTGGCCCTGTAGCATGGAGAGAGGATCTGTGCACTTAGGGAAGGAAGAACACAATAATTGTGGGACTTCGGATTGGAACTCAGTGCTACCCTGTCACAGCAGAAAGAAACACCAGACACAACTCAGAACTCAGCTGGTGCCCATGCAAGGAGCATTTAGACCAGCCCTAGCTACAGGCAAATTGTCCATCCCAGCTGTTGGAACCTGAGTTGAGTTTCAGCAAGCTCCGCCACCGCAGGCTAAAGCACTCTGGGGTCCTAAATAAACATGAAAGACAGTCTTGGCCACAGGGACTGAAATTCCTGTGCAAATCCTACTGCTATGCTGAGCTCGGAGCCAGTGGACTTGGGGTGCACATGACATAGTGAAATACCAGCTGGGGCAGCCATGGGAGTGCTCGCACCACCTCTCCCCTAATCCCAGGCAGCACAGTTCAGAGGCCCAGGACAGACTCCTTCCTTCTGCTTGAGGAGAGGAAGAGCAAAGAGGATTTTGTCTTGCACCTTGAATACCAGCTCAGCTACAGTAAATACAGCACAAGGCAGAGTCTTGAGGCCTCCATTCCAAGCCCCAGCTCCCAGACATTTCTAGACATAACCTGGGCCAGAAGGGAACGTGATGCCTTGAGGGGAAGAACCCAGACATAGCAGGATTTATTTCCTACTGACTAAAGAGCCCTTGGGTTTTGAATAATCAGCAGTGAGAGCCAGGTAGTACTTGCCATGGGCCTTGGGTTAAACTCAGAGCAGTGCTGGCTTCAGGTGTGACCCAGCACATTTTCAGCTATGGTAGTGATAGGAAGAGATTGCTTCTGCTTGACGAAAGGACAGGGAAGAGCAAAGGGGACTTTGTCTTGCAGCTTGGGCACCAGCCCAGCCATCGTGGAGTAGAGAACCAAGTGGGTTCCTGGGGACCCTGATTCTAGACCTTGGCCCCAGATGGCATTTTTGGACCTGCCCTAAGCCAGAGGGCAGCCCACTGCCCTGAAAGGAGAGACACAAGCCAGGCAGCATTTGCCACAGTGAACACTGGCAGTAGCCAGGCAGTACTCACCATGGGACTGGGGCAGTGGTGGCCATGGGGAGAGACCCCTCTGCTTGAGGAAAGGGGAAGGACTTTATCTTGTGGTTTGGGTGCCAGTTCAGCCACAGTAGAATAGAGCAGCAGGTAGATTCCTAAGGTTCCTAACTCCAGCCCTTGGCTCCCAGATGGCATCTCCAGACCCATCTGGAGCTAGAGGCCTGGGGGGAAGGACAGAAGTCTGGCTGGATTTGCCACCCATTGACTGAAGAGCCCCTGGGCTTTGAGTGAACACAGGTGGTAGCCAGGCAGCGGTCACTGCAGGCCTTGGGCAAGACCTAGTGCTGTGTTTGTGGCCACATGGCTGTGTGTGTCACCCCTCCCCCAGCTCCAGGAAGCTGAGCACAGAAAGATAAACCCCATTTGTTTGGGGAAAAGAAAGGAGAAAAAGAGTCTCTGCCTGTAATCCAGGGAATTCTCCTGGATCTTACCCAAGACCACCCAGGCAATATCTCTACAAGTCTGCAGGAGCCACAGTATTACTGTGCTTAGTGTCCCCTAATGCAGATATGGCTGCAGTGACCAAATATTTAGATTATAATACCCAAGTCCCTTCAAATATTTGGAAAGCCTTCCCAAAAAGGATGGGTACAAACAAGCGCAGACTGCAAAGACTACAATAAATACCTAACTCTTCAATGCCCAGACACTGATGAACATCCACAAGCATCAGGGCCATCCGGGAAAACATTATCTCACCAAAAGAACTAAATAAGGCACCAGTGACCAATCCAGGAGAGACAGAGAGATGTTTCCTTTCATACAGAGAATTCAAAATAGTTGCATTAAGGAAGCTCAACAAAATTCAAGATAACACAAAGAAGGAATTCAGAATCCTATCCGATAAATTTAACAAAGAGAGTAAAATGATTAAAAGGAATCAAATTCTAGAACTGAAAAATGCAACAGACATACTGAAGAATGCACCAGTCTCTTAACAGCAGAATTAATCAAGCAGAAGAATTAGTGAGCTTGAAGATAGACTATTTGAAAATACACAGTCAGAGGAAACAAACAAAGAATTGAAAAGAATGAAGCATGCCTACAAGATCTAGAAAACAGCCTCCAAGAGGCAAATCTAAGAGTTACTGGCCTTAAAGAGGAGGTAGAGAGAGAGAGAGAGATCAGAGTAGAAAGTTTATTCAAAGAGATAATAAGAAACCAAGAGAAAGATATCAATATTCAAGTACAAGAAGGTTATAGAACACCAAGCAGATTTAATCCAAATAAGACTACCTCAAGACATTTAATAATCAAACTCCCAAAGGTCAAGGATAACTTAGGGATCCCAAAAGCAGCGAGAGAAAAGAAATAACATACAAAGGAGTTCCAATATGTCTGGCAGCAGACTTCTCAGTGGAAACCTTATAGGCCAGGAGAGAGTAGCATGACACATTTAAAGTACTGAAGGAAAAAAAACTTTTAGCTTAGAATAGCATATCTAGGAAAAGTATTCTTTAAATATGAAGGAGAAATAAAGACTTTCCCAGACAAACTCTGAGGGATTTCATCAACACCAGACCTGTCCTATAAGAAATGCTAAAAGAAGTTTTTTAATCTGAGAGAAAAAGGATGTTAATGATCAATAAGAAATTATATGAAGGTGGGAAGCTCACTGGTAACAGTAAGTACACAGAAAAACACAATGTTATAACACTAAGTGTGGTATATTAGTTATTCATATCTTAAGTGGAAAGATGAACATATGAACCAACCAAAAATAACTACAACAACTTTTAAAGACATAGTATAATAAGATATAAGTAGAAACAACAGAAAGTTAAAAAGCAGGGAGATGAAGTGAAAATATAGAGTTTTCATCAGTTTTATTTTTGCTTTTTTTTTTTGTTTGTTTATGCAGTTAGTGTTATCAGCTTAAAATCATGGGCTATATTATTTTCAAGCCTCATGGTAACTTCAAATAAAAACACATACAACAGATACACAAAAAATAAAAAAGCAAGAAATTAAAACATACCACCAGAGAAAATCACCTTCACTAAAAGGAAGACAAGAAGGAAGAGTAGACAGCAAAAACAATCAAAAAACAAATTTTAAAATGGAAGAATTCCTTACTTAACAATAACATTGAATATAAACGGACTAACCTCTCCAATCAAAAGACACAGTGGCTGAATGGATAAAAACACAAGACCCAATACTCCGTTGCCTACAAAAAAACATACTTTACCTATAAAGATACACATAGACTAAAAATAAAGGATTAAAAAAGATCTAACATGCAAATGGAATATAAAAAAGGAGTAGGTATACTGATTATAAAACAACATAGATTTCAAGACAAGAACTATAAAAGGAGGCAAAGAAGGTCATTATATAATGATAAAGGGGTCAATTCAGCAACAGGATATAACAGTTGCATACACACACACCCAACCGTGGAGCACCCAGATATAAAGCAAAGAGCTAAAGAGAGAGATACACCCCAATACAATAATAGCTGGAGATTTCAACACCCAATTTTCAGCACTGGGCAGGTCATCCAGACAGGACACCAACCAAGAAACACTGGACATAATCGACCCTATAGACCAAATGGACCTGATAGATGTTTACAGAACATTTCATCCAACAGCTGCAGAATACACATTCTTCTCCTTAGCACATGGAACATTCTCAAAGACAGACCACACGTTAGGCCACAAAACAAGTCTTTAAAATTTTTTTTAAATTGAAATTATATTAAGTATCTTCTCTGGCCACAATGGAATAAAACTCAAAATCGATAACAAGAGAATTTTGGAAACTATACAAACACATGGAAATTAAACAATATGCTCCTGAATGGCCAGTGGGACAATGAAGAAATTAAGAAAGAAATTTAGAAATTTCTTGAAACAAATGAAAATGGAAACATACCAACAACACTTATGGGACACAATGAAAGTAGTACTAAGAAGAAAGTTTATAGCAATAAGCACCCACATCAAAAAAGTAGAAAAACTTCAAATAAATAATGTAACAATATATCTTAATGAATTAGAAAATCAAGAGTGAACCAAACCCAAAATTAGTAGAAAAAGAGATAAGATTAACAAAATGAAAAGTTGGTTTTTCAAAAAGATAAACAAAATTGGCAACTCTTTAGCTAGGCTAAGAAAAATGGGAGACCTCCTAAATAAATAAAATTACAGACAATAAAGAAGACATTACAACCAATACTGCAGAAATTCAAATGATTATTAGAGGCTACTAATGATATGTTAGAAATAAATTGGAAAATTTGGAAATTAGCAAATAAATTGGAAAACCTAGAAGAAATGAGTGAATTCCTAGAAACATACAACCTACCAAGATTGAACCATGGAGAAGTTCAAAACCTGAATAGATCAATAACAAGTAATGAAATTGAAGCTGTAATAAAAAGTCTCCTAGCAAAGAAAAGCCCAGGATCCAAAGCTTCACTGCTGATTTTTACCAAACATTTAAAGAAGAACTAATACCAATCTGAAAAACAAAGAAAAAGGATATACTTCCAAAGTCATTTTACAAGGCCAGTATTACCCTGAAAGCAAAACCAAAGACACATCACAAAATGAAAACTATAGGCAAATATCCCTGATGAACACTGATGCAAAAGTGTTCAAGAAAAATTTTCAACAAAATACTAGCAAACCAAATTCAACATCATGTTAAAATGATCATTCATCATGATCAGGTGGAATTTATTCCAGGGATGTAATGATCATTTGACATACACAATCAATCAGTGTGATACATCATTATCAACAGAATGAAGGACACAAACCATATGATCATTTCAATTGACACTTAAAAAGCATTTGATGAAATTCAATATTCCTTCATAATTTAAGAAACCCTCAAAAAACTTGAGTATAGAAGGGACATAGCTCAACACAATAAAAAACATACACAACAGACCCACAGCTAGGATCATACTGAATGGGGAAAACGGAAAGCCTTTCCTCTAAGATCTGAAACAAAACAAGGATGCCCACTTTCACCACTGTTATTCAACATAGAACTGGAAATCCTAGCTAGAGCAATCAGATAAGACAAAGAAATAAAGGGCATCCAAATTGGAAAGAAAGAAGTTACCCTTGTGGGTAGATAATATGATCTTATATTTAAAAAAAAAAAAACTAAAGATTCCACAAGAAAACCGTTAGAACTGATAAATTCAGTAAAGTTGCAGGATACAAAATCAAGGTACAAAAATCAGTAGCATTTCTGTATGCCAACAGTGAACAATGTGAAAAAGAAATAAAGAAAGCAATCCCATTTACAATAGCTACAAATAAAATACCTAGGAATAAACTTCAAGAGAGAAAAGATCTCTACAATGAAAACTATAAAACATTGGTGCAAGAAATTGAAGAGGATACAAAAAACCACAGACATATTCCATGTTCATGGATTGGAAGAATCAGTACTGTTAAAATGTCCATAGTACCCAAAGCAACCTACAGATTCAGTGAAATCTCTATCAAAATACCAATGACATTCTTCATAGAAATAGAAAAAACAATCTTACATTTACGTGGGACCACAAAAGACACAGAATAGCCAAAGCTATATTCTAAGTGAAAAGAACAGAACTGGAGGAATCACATTACCTGACTTCAAATTATGCTACAGAGCTATAGTAACCAGAAGAGCATGGTATTGGCACAACAACAGACACATAAATCTTTTTTTTTTCTTGTCTTTTTATAGTTCTTTTCTTGAAATCTATGTTTGGAACAGAATAGAGAACCCAGAAATAAATCTATTCATCCACAGTGAACTCATTTTCAACAAAGATGCCAAAAAGATATATCAGAGAAAGGACAGTCTCTTCAATAAATGGTGCTGGGAAAACTGGATATCCATATGCAGAAGAATGAAAGTAGATCCCTGTGTCTCATCATATGCAAAAATAAAATCAACATGAATTAAAGACATTAGGTTAAGAAAAATAAACCAGGCACAGAAAGACAAACTTTGCATGTTCTCACTTAAACACTTGAACTCATGGAGATAGAGAGTGGATGATGGTTAATGAGTACAAAAATATAGTTAGATAGAATAAGATACAGTATCTGATAGCACAACAGGGCAACTATAATCAATAATTTATTGTCTATTTTAAAATAACTAAGAGAGTATAATTTGATGTTTATAATATAAAGAAAGGATAAATATTTGAGGTGATAGATATCCCATTTACCCTGATGTGATTGTTATGCATTATATTCCTGTATCAAAATATGTCATATACCCCATATATATGTATACATGTCATATACCCCATATGTGTGTGTATATAATATATACACACACACATACACATTTATGTACCCATGAAAATTAAAGATACATTTGAAAAAAGAGTGAAAGTTGGGTCAGTTCTTCCTTCATTTGTAAAATGCGGATAACGCCTCAAAGGGTGGTTCACAAAACTCAATGAGATACTCCATGTAAAGTGCTTTGTTATCGAAAGTACATGAGTGTTATAATTAGCTTGGACGCTGGCATTTGTATTATATTAATTATTCTTCTAGCATTATTCTTCACCAGGGAAACTCTATTTCAAGGCACATCTGACTGAGTGAACACATACATTTAGCTCTTGACTCTTGAAGAACCTGCCCTTGGTTCTCAATCAGAGCTGCCTCCCCAGTCACGATGACTCTCAAATGCACTGAACAGAGTTTCCCCAAGCCAGCTCTGCTGATGTGGAGCCCATTTGAGACGTTAAAGCTGAGCCTGGTCTGGCCTTCCTAGAGATGGACAACTGGGATGCAGAGTCTGGAGCCCTAAAGGCTACAACAGCTTCAGAATACCAAGTGTCTCCCGGGGAGAAAGAACTTACATCTCATACTGGCTCTGCAAGCCACAGATGGCTCGGTGTTTGCTGTAGAAGCGGTTCTCCAGGTCGATCTTGGTCTCACCAATAAGGTCATCTGTGCCAATCATGTCATGGTCATAGATCAGGATGGAGAGCAGGGACTCTTTTGGGAATGTGGCTTGGATCTCAAATGACCTGCGGTCCAAGCAGAGACTTCAAGAGTCAGTTAACATTTGGTGACACAGGGAACCATTCCCAGCTTCACTTTTAGCTAGCCCGCTATTCATGTGAACTCATTAAACACTCAGCAACTCAGTTAATACTTAGCAGATATTTGTTTGGTTTAATTTTTCATTGCAGTACAAACAATTTTCAACTCTGTTATCAATTTCAAATAGCCAATAATCTCCCCTTTTCATGGGCCACATCTTGTAGTCTTCAACTAGGGTGACAGCACGATGGAGAGGAAAAACTTTGGATTTTGGTTTCAGACAGGACTGATTTTTAATTTTGGTTTTGAATCTGCAATTTCCTGATTGTAAAACTTTGGGAAAGTTATTTAATTCCTCTTAGCCTCCATATTATAAATGAGTATATATGTCTTCTTTATAATTTAGCATGGGGTTTAAATGCAATATTGTTTCTATAAAACACGTATTTTACTTTCAGGCGTTCAACTGGTGCCCAATACATTGCCATTCCCCTTCCCCTCCATTGTTGCTTTATCAACAAGTACCAGCTACATTTATTTTAAATGAAAACCTTATCAAGGATGAAAAATTATAAAAACATAGAATTGCAAGACCAAAGCGTTGTCTCTACAAGACTATGAGCCCCTTGAGAATAGGGACCTGCCCTTTTTTTTTTTTTTTTTTTTGGTCTCTGCATTGCTGGAGCCTGCACTTGACCTGCAGAAAGTACACACAAAATAAATGTTTCCGTGAACTGTAAGAGATCTCAGAAATCACCATATCCAATCCCTTCATTTTATAGATAAATTGAAATCTAGAGAACACTAGCAACTTGCCCAAGATCATCAATCAGGCCAATCTGAGATAAGTGCCAGGTTCCTAATTCCTAGCTCGGTGCTCCTTCCATGAAACCACACCAACGCAAGGTGTCTCAAGGAACATTAATGCTGTCTGATTTTCTGTGATGATAAATTACCCAATGCTACTGCATTGGGACTGGTACTTGAAAATTAACTGCGTTATAGGGAAATGCCTTCCTGAAAACAAAATCAAGGACACAGCAGTATTCTCCAGCTGTGTAGACTGTCTGCTCTGGTACAGGATGAACTGGGCTGGGAGCGATAGACAAAGAGGAGGGGGAGGAAGGAGAATGCGAGCCCATTATTTCCCTGCATGTCCACAGGGCTGTCTGGGCTGCTGCCCTCATGGTCAGATCCACTTAACCCTGACACTTACTCCCCAGTGAAGCAGGCACAGCAACTGCAGCATGCCCAAGCCAATTAACCCTCCTCAGAGAGAGAAAAGCAGAGACGCTGGACAGCTCCAGTGACTGTAACTGACAGAAGTGGCTGTAGCAGGCCAGGGATATGGTTGTGTGGGAAAGAAATCCATATGTCTTCCATCTGAAGGCATAGTATTTCCTGCCTGAGCTCCAAGATTTACATTCTAAACTGTAATTGATACTCTGCAGGTGCATCACAAGGAAGCCTCCAGCCATGTGCCCCTGAGCCATCACCATTACTGTCACTGAAAGGACTTATTAAGGGCTTAACTGCTGCTGGCAACCATGACAGAAGACTTAATCACCCTGGCCCATCTCCCCAAGCTGTGGGTCCGTATATTAATGTCACCTAAATTTTAAATGGAGCTGTCAATAAAAGTTACCAAAAACAGGGCCGGGAGCGGTGGCTCACGACTATAATCCCAGCACTTTGGGAGGCCGAGGCAGGTGGATCACTCGAGGCCAGGAGTTCGAGACAAGCCTGGCCAACATGGTGAAACCCTGTCTCTACTAAAAATACAAAAATTAGCCCGGCGTGGTGGCAGGCGTCTGTAGTCCCAGCTACTTGGGAGGCTGAGGCAGGAGAACAGCTTGAACCCAGCAGGTGGAGGTTGCAGTGAGCCAAGATCGCGCCACTGCACTCCAGCCTGGGCGACAAGAGCAAAACTCCATCTTGAAAAAAAAAGTTACCAAAAACAGCCCACTATGGTTGAACTTCCAGTTACCCAGGGAAAAATTAGCCTTATACCAACTTGTGTCAATGAGGTACTATCCCTAGATGCAAGGGTGGTTTGGGAAAACAGAATGCATCATGAAATGGGCCAAAACTGAGACGGTGAAAGCATGAAGAGCCTCTGAGCTTCAGAGGAACAATGTTCCATTGTTCATTTGGTCATTCATTCATTCTTTAATTTATTCATTCGTTCATTCAGCATTTATTATGTGTCTACTATGTGCCAGGCACTGCGATTTTTAAGAGATAAGTAAAACAATTTCTTTCCAGTGGGGAAGGCAAATAAGAATATGGCTAAATCAGGTGGCAGGAGCTCCAACAGAGTTATGGGGAGGGTGTTACTAGTACACCTGTCTGGGGAGGGGTGACAACAGAAGGTTTCACAGGGATGACTCTTTGGCTGAGCCTTGAATGCAGATGGGAATTCTCCCTGCTCCAGATCTGCAGAACTTCTAATCTTAGCCATTTTCCCAACCAGGTCAAGCTCTCCGATTACACAGACTCAAAGGCCCCTGTACCTCTCCCTTATAGCATTCATCATACAGGCAATTTTATATCTGCCTGATTTTTCTTTTTTTGTATTCCCTGCCTCCTCCATAAGGGTGTAGGTTCCATGGAAACAGGGTCATGCACCCTGTATACCTCTCCAGTAGCTGGCACATAGTGTGCCACCAAAATGACGACCTGATTGGAAAGAAAAAAACATTTGCAATCTACTCACAGGGTGACGGTCAGTTTCATGTGTCTACTTGACTATAGTCTCCAGTTATTCAATCAAACGCTAATCCAGGTGTTGCTATGGTGGCATTTTTTTAGATGTAATTAACATCCACAATTAGTTGACTTTAATTGAAGAAGATTCTCCTTGATAATCTAAGTAGGCTTTAACCAGTAGAAAAAGCTTAAGAGCAAAAACAATAATCTCATAATAAAGAGCAAAAGCAGTATATATTGCTATGGGTTGAATTGTGTCTCCACCAAAAGATAAGTTGAAGCTCCAGATCCAGCACCTCAAAATCTGACCATATTTGGAAGTGAGGTCTTAATAGAGGTAAATCAAGATATAATGAGGTCATTAGGATGGGCTGTAATGCAATATGACTGGTGTCTTTGTAAAGAGGAAAACTTGGCACAGAGACAGATGTGCACAGAGGGAAGATGATGTGGAGAGATGCAGGGAGCAGGCCATGTGGAGATGAAGGCTGATATTGTAGCAATGCATCTACCAGCCAGGGAGCACCAGGGATTGCCAGCAGATCACCAGAAGCTGGGAGGGAGGCAGGGAGGCAGGGAATAGAGGCTCCCTTGCAGCCCACAGAAGGAAGCATCCCAGAACATCATACTTTCAGTATCCCAAACTGTGAGAATGAATTTCTGTTGTTTCGGCCACCCAGTTTATGGTACTTTGTTAAGGAAGCCCTGGGAAATTCTCTGTCTCTCCTCTGCTAGGTCCCTTCCTGTGGTGGAACCCGGATTGATACCCATAGTTCCTGCCACATCACGTCCTCCCTACACTCTGGACTTTGCAGGGCAAAGAACACCCATCCCTTCCCACCCATCCCATCCCACCTGGGATGCCTTCCCAGGGTCTTCACAGGACTTGCAGCAGCCTATTGTAATCACGCATTTATTTGATGCTCTCTCAATATTCATGGGCACCTTGAAGGTACAGACTGTGGCTTGATCCTCACTGTGTCCCAGCACTTAGCAGTGTGCCTGACACATGGTGGATTCCCAGTAATTGTGAGGAATAAATGAAGTTCTGCAGGTGGACAAGAAAAGAAAAGGCATGTCATGGTGAGGGCATAGCAAGGACAAAGTCCTGCAGATGTGAATGAGTAAGGGGAGGTCGAGCTGGTTTATTAACCCATTAGGATCTCATCATTTTGCTTTATGGTTAATTATCAAGGTGGTGGAGACAATGGCAAACATTCTGGGAAACTATAAGAGCCATGAGGAAGAAACTGTCAAAGCCTACAGACATGCATCATATCAAGATGACGTGGAGATAGGGCCCCATTAAATCCCACTGACAACTGACTGGCATTTTGTTCATCTGGCCACCCACCCACCCATCCATCCATCCATCCATCTGTTCATTCCACAAATGCATATTGAGCACCTGCTCTGTGCCAGGCCCTGTCCTAGGTGCTAGGGATGTGGCATTAACCAGACTAGACTAAGTCCCTGCTCAAATACTTCTTACATTCTAGTGGGGAGATGGGAGATGGCCAATAAACCCATAAACATCTAATCCATGTCAGAGGCTACGAAGAAAGGTAAAGCAACGCAAGATACCAGGGCACCAGGGGTTGGAGGCTGTGACACCCTCACACCGATACTGAGGCACTGAAGTTATGAGGAAGGATTCCGCAGACCCTGGCTCAAGCACAAGAACCCTCTTCTCTTCCTGCTGGAACATTGTGGGATTGTGCTGGAAACTTTTGTTCCTAAGTAAAAATTAAACACATATCCAACTAAACATCCACATCTGGAGAGCTTTTGGATGAGGTGCTGCAATGTCAGAGGCAGGAGGGAACACTGACTTCATCGTCCTCTTCTCGTTTGCCATGGCCATATAGCACGGATAGTAAAACAAGTCTAGTTCATGGCACTGTGGTGAAAGTAGCTCATAAAAAGTGCCTGCCAAGCGGTTGTCACACTGAAGCACTAGTTACATAAGTGGCAGGTGACGATAAAGGTCATCACTGGATGAGGGAAGAAAGGGTGTTTCCCCAGCACTGTCATTCTCATTAATCTGGACAGGCAAGATCATTTATTGCCCTCATTTCCTCAGGAGCAATAAAATGTAAGAGGCTAGTGCTGATTAAATGTCAGAGGCTCCAAAGTGATCACAGATGTGTAAATGAATTTAAATGGAGCCAATGGAGATTTTATGCCATGTTCCTGTTTACTCAAGATAAAAGAAATTAAACACACTAAAGATGTATCCATTGCTACAATAATTACTAAGGTGGGGAGCAAGGGAGCTAATGTGTTCTGAGTGTCAGTTGTGTGCTGGCATAGGCAATGTGATGTGCTAGGTGCTTTACATTTAATCATCTAAAGGAATATGAGAGTCAGGTGTCACTGTTGCTGCTTTGCAGGTCAGGAAAACTAGGAACAGAGAGGTTAAGCCATCTGCATAAGGTTGTAGAGCTGGTATGTAGCAGAGTGAAACCCAGGCCACCTTGATTCCAGAGTGAATGACAGACAGGTGCACAAACTCAAACAGGGAACACCAATGCTTAGCACATCATATTGGAGGATCAGTGAGCATGGCAGGATTGCTGTGAGCTGGTGAATGCCTAGTCCCCTTACACAAATGCAATAGCTTTTAACACTTTACAGGAAAACAAAGCACAACTTGAGGACAAAGTTCAACTCTTTGACCTCAGGGGTCACCTCAAATGAACCACAGAATAATATGATAGAAAAATCCCTTTAGTAGGAGACAAAAGACTAAACTTCTGGCCCATTATTCTCCAATTGTGTCATCTGAACTTGAATATGTTTCTTAACCTCCCTAGACCTTGGCTGCCTTGTTTATAAAAAGGAAATCTCTGCTCTGTTCAAAAGCACAAGGCCGAATCCAATGACCCTGCAAGATGCCTATTAAATCTAAAATCCAGAAAATTGTAATTAGAAAGCTGTGAGTATATATTTCTCTACTTAAGTTCACAAAAAAAGAAAAAGAAAAAAATTACAGTAAAGAAAGCTATGGGTAAGAAGATCACCAAGTACCACCAAATTCCTCAGGGGACCATGAAAGAATTCAACCCTGCTCCATGGACGTAGGTTTGGTTGGTTATTACCAAGAGCAGAAGCCAGTATTTAACCTCCTGGAACCATTTCACCCAGGAACACAAACATACACGCACTATCCCCACAGAAACACAGCAGGAGCAAATGCAGAAAGGACAATAAAACACAGCCCAGATGGCCACTGACCTTCCAAATACTGGGTTCAGTTGTTTAGGGATGTATTTATCCCGGTCTTTGATTTCTGTCTTGCCAAGCTTGATCACAATGTAGGGATCTGATTTGCCATCTGGATCAGCTGGACTAAGATTAAATGCCTGGAAAGGAAAAAGAAAATGTCTTTGGTTCAATAGCTCTCAACATTGGTTGTACACTGGGATTACCTTGGTGCTTTCAAAAATGCTAATGCCTGACTTCTGTCTCTAGATAGTCTGATTTAACGGGCCAGGGCTTTGGGCTTTTGAAAAACTCCCTAGATAATTCTAGTGTGCAGCCAAGGTTAAGAGCCACTACTTTAGCATCTACATTTTGCTGCTAAAAAGAAAAATTATTGGCTTTGCCCAAGTGCAACTTTCTCTGGAGTCATCTCCTCAGTGGAAAGAAGCTCTTGGCACAGAAAAATGAGAAAAATGCCGGACCAGGAGGCAGAAGGCATGAGTTTGAGTTCTAGTTCTACAGTCACGCACCGCTTAATGATGTCTTGGTCAAGGACTGACCACATGTACGATGGCAGTCCTATAAAATTATAATGGAGCTGAAAAATTCCTATGATCTAGTGACATATCTGTTGCAGCATTGTAGTGCAACACATTACTCGCATGTTTGTGGTGATGCTATAAACAAACCTACTGTGCTAACAGTCATATAAAAGTATACAATCATGTATAGTATATAATACTTGACAATGACAATAAATAATGATGTTACTGGTTTATGTATTTACTATACTTTTTAGTCTTTAGAGTGTACTTTTTCTATTTATTAAAAAAAGTTAACTGTAAAACATCCATAGGCAGGTCCATCAGAAGGCATCCAGAAAAAGGTGTTATTATAAGTGATGACAGCTCCATGCGTGTTAGTGCCCTTGAAGACCTTCCAGTGGGACAAGATGGGGAGGTAGAACACAGTGATATTGATGATCCTGACCCTGTGTAGGCCTAGGCTAACGTGTGTGTGTTTGTTTTAGTTTTTAACAACAAAGTTTAAAAAATAAAACAATTTTAAAATAGAAAAAAGCTAATCGACTAAGGATATCAAGAACATATTTGTGTACAGCTGAACAACGTGTTTGTGTTTTAAGCTAAATGTTGTTTTGACCAGCGTCAAAAGTTAAAAACTTAAAAGTTTATAAAGTAAAAAAGTTATAGTAAGCTAATTTATTATTGAATAAGGAAAAATGTGTGTTATAAATTTAGTGTAGCCTAAGTGTACAGTGTTTCTAAACTCCACAGTAGCAGACAGTAACATCCTAGGCCTTCACATTCACTCACCACTCAGTGACTCACCCAGAGCAACTTCCAGTCTGGCAAGCTCCATTCATGGTAAGTGCCCTAGACAGGTGTACCATTTTTTTCAAATCTTTTATACTGTATTTTTACTGTACCTTTCTATGTTTAGATACACAAATACCATTGTGTTAAAATTGCCTACAGTAGTCTATACAGTAATGTGCTACACAGGTTTATAGCATAGGAGTGCAATAGGCTATACTATCGTGTAGGAGGCCATACCATCTAGGTTTGTGTAAATACAGTATGACACTTGCACAGCACTGAAACAGCCTAACAACACATTTCTCAGAACGTATTCCCTTCGTTAAAAGATATATGACTATATTTCTTCTTTTTCTTTTTTTTTTTTTTTTAGACAGTATCTTGCTCTGTCACCTAGGCTAAAGTACAGTGGTGCAGTCTTGGCTCACTGCAACTTATGCCTCCCAGGCTCAAGTGATCCTCCCACCTCAGCCTCCCAAGTAGCTGGAACTACAGGCATGAGCCACCACGCCCCACTAATTTTTGTATCAGAGATGGGGTTTCACCATGTTGCCCAGGCTGGTCTCAAACTCCTGAGCTCAAGCAATCTGCCCACCTTGGCCTCCCAAAGTGCTGGGATTACAGGCATGAGCCACTGCACCTGGCCTGACTACATTTCTAAGTAGTGTGTGATATTGGGCAAATCATGTCATCTCTCTGAGATCTATCTGTAAAATCATGGTCTGGACCTGAAGGCCCTTCCCAGAACTAATGGTCTCTGAATCCATGACCCTATGACTCTTGCATTTAGCACTGACCAGTTGAATGATGATCTTTTCTGAGAGTAAAGTCTGATTCTAGACAACCTAGGCCTTAAACTGTCAAAAGCAAATACTTTCTAAGGAAAGGCCAGAGTAGGAGGATGGTAAGAAATGGTATCAAAAAGATGGAGAAACTCTGCAGCAATGAAAGCTGAGAAACAATTCCATATTTAGGACTCTATCCTGTAGATAGAATAAGGTGAGCCTATAAAGCTGTATGTTCAAGGATGTTCACTAGAACACTGTTTAATAGCCAAAAATTATAAGCAACCTATTTGTTGATTACTTGGGAAGAAACACAATGCAAAACAGTCCTTCCCATTTCTTCTTGTCACATCAGCCAATTTTAATTCTTTACAAAGCAGTTATCTGTGACACAAATCCTGTTAATTTATCCGTTCCTTTGTTTATTTTATATCTTCTTAATTCCCACATCACTCTCAACTAGTATGTAATCTCCATGAGAGCAATGGCACTGTTTATCTTGTTCATTACTTTACCTCTAGGACATAGAACAGGGTCTTAATATTTGTTGAATAAATGAATACATTTATTCAAGAAAATGCTATACAGCTACTAAAAGGAATGAAGACCTATACATACTAATCTAGAAAAAAATGGCCAACCTATCTTGTAAACTAAGGAAAAAAAGAGGTGGGGAAATTTGATTTATTTCTTTATGCGAGTTTTAAGTAGTATTTTTTTTACTTGTTAGTGTTCTTTTAATTAAAAGGTTTGAGAATTCATTTAATTATTAGTACGAGAGCAAACCACACATAATCAAACTACTAGAAATATCAATGAAAAGTATTGACTGTCCATAACTGTAGTGAATTTACCTAGGACTGCCATCTTCTGACTCCCTGTTTGTTCAAGTCCCTCCTGTCGTCAAGTTCCAGCCCAAGGCCTCCGTCCCCCATGCTACCTCCTGGACAGAAACCTGATCTGTTTATCTGGCCTTTGCCTAGAAGATAGTAAACACATAAAAGGTGTGCAGTAGATATTTTCTGAATGAATACATGAATAAGGAGACAGATCTTTCTCCAATCTCTGTAGTTCACAGAAATTCTTCCCTCTCCTTCCTACTGTTCATACTATTTCTGGATTCCCCAAACTGTATCTTAGAGAACTATAGCTCTGTAAGATTTTCTGCAGGGGAAAAAAGGTATGAGGCAAAAGTTTAGAAAATGCTGTTCAAGATTACTAAATAGGTTTGTTTGCTTCTGAAATTCTCAGAGCCTTGAATGTGCTAATGAGCTTTGTGAGTCTCAAAGCCTGGAGAAGGAAATACACGCTACTTCTCAAATTTATTTGAACATACGTTCTGTTTGCTAAGGAGTGCCTGTTTCTCCCAAAACCCAAGTGACTTCCTGAACAAAATTTTGAAAAGGTTAGTCTAAAGCATCCTGAGGCATCCTGAGGGTGGTGTTTCATGTTGACTACCCAACATTGTCAGTGACTCTAAGTTCTTCTCATCTTTCCAACTACACTGTGACTTCCCTGAAGGCAGAGACTATGTTCTTTTCATCACAACATCCCTGGCACATGGTGGTTGTGGGGAAGATGCAGAGGATGATGAAGGAAACCTGAGAACTGCATGATGGAAGAATATTTATTTCTCCCTTAGCATTAAAGGATAATTCATTTTTATTTTGTGTTACATTTATGTTCCTTTGAAAGAATGTAGGCAATGGAAGCAAACGGTTGATATAAAATAAGAGCATTATAATAAAATAATACAATTACAAAAACCACATCCAAGGTCAGGAGATTAAAACAAATCCATGAACCATTGGGGTTCATACAGTTGCTTTGATGGAGCATTAAATTTGGCCCTGAGCTTCCTGCTAATGAGGCCGAAAAGTTTCATAGTCAAAGTTTTGTGCTGTCATTATCAGAAAGAGGGAAGCTTAGAGGAGTTAACATCTTTCTTGGAAATACACTCAAAGTGAAATTTTCTACTGCAATAGTGCAGAGGCATGGCTGTGAGGAGAATTTCACAGTAACAGCTGCCCTGTTCTGCCTTGGTCCTTCCCCCCGTCTTTCCTGTAGTTTCCTGCTTCCCTCCTATTTGGTTCCCTCTCCTGCCGTAGGCAACCATAGGGAGCAGATAAAACTACACAGACGGAACAGTCCTATATGCTCAGAAAAGCCATAACATGTCTGTTTTGCCAGCCTAACTTCATACCCCTATATGTTGAACCCCTAACTCCTAAGGTGACTGTAGTTGGAGACACAGCTTTAGGGAGGTAATTAAGGTTAAATGAGGTCATAGTGGTGCTGCTCTAATATGACAGGGCTAGTGTCTTTATAGGAAAAGGAGGAGATATCAGAGCTCGCACTCTCCCTATATACACGTGCACAGAGGAAAGGCTGTGTGAGGACACAGCAAGAAGGCAGCCATCCACAAACCAGCAAGAGAGGCCTCACAAGACACCAACCCTGGTAGCAACTTGATTATAGACTTATGGCATTCAAAACTGTGGGAAAGTAAATTTCTGTTGTTTAAGCCTCCCAGTCTGCCATATATTTTGTTATGGCAGCCTGAGCAGATAAATACACCCCCTCAGAGCAAACAAGAATGGCTCACCGCGACAATGTATACTCTGATCAGCACTGTGACAGGGTGATTGGGCGGAATCCCTTGCTGGATTCTCAGCTGCCCGCTGTCCTCAGAGCTAGAATCCTGGGGGCTTTTGTAGATGCAGAAGGAGCCCTGGAACCACAAAACGCAACCCATTGAAATGAGATGGTCATATGTCCCACCAAAACCCACAGAGAGCACTGTGCTGGGAAAATGGGCACAGCTTGGGAATTTGCAGGACCTGGTTTGGTGCTAAACTTGCCAGTTGGGTGTCCTTGGGCAATTTATGTAGCCTGCTTGCATCTGAGCTTCTTCATGGTACACCAGTGAATTGGCATTGTACATTAACAACCCCCTCACAGGACTGTTATATGAAGAACAGAACAGATGGGACACGAAGTGCCTTTTACATGTGGGGTGCGGTGCTAGTGCTTCCCCATTATCTCATTCAATCCTGACTGCAGTATTCCTATTTCCAGACAGCAACTGAGGCTTAGGGAAGTGAAGCACTTTGTTCCAGATCATGCAGCTGGTTAATACTATAACTAGAATTTGAATCCAGATGGGCAAACTGTAATGCCTGTGCTATTTCCAACATAGCATGCTGCATAGAAAGGGCCCAGCTTGTAGTATGTTTATAGTGAATGCTGGCTACTACTTTGTGATGTTCACACTGTAAGTCTGCCAGATGAAGGGCTTGTGTTGCTTGATTAGTTTAATCGTCCAACTGGTAGGCTTGCATAAATCACACATTTGGTATGCCGGAGGGGAGAGAACAAAGTAAAGTTCAGTGTTCCTTTCAGGTAATGACTCTGTCTCCTTATTTTTCACCAGACTGAGCTCCAATCCACTGGTCACAAACCAAAAATATCTTAAAAGACTGGGGCTAGGTTTTGTGGAGTTCTAGAGAGGGACTTGAGTAAAAATTAAGGATTTTCCCTACACACATCCCACACCACAATTCCATTAACAGAATCGAGTCATAGCTGACATTTATGGACAGGGAGAGCCAAATAAAAGGATTAAAAATGGAACCTGCCTTAAATTTTCCTATGACTCGGTCTCCATCAAGACCATGGTCATCTTCCGTAGACTTGCCTCTGAAGAGCTCAAAAGTTTTCACCCAGTCTTCAAAATTGTTGAATTCACTCTCGAGATCACCGTCATATATCTTTAGGGAAAAGGGAGAAGATTGTGCTAAGAGGAAGGAAAGCCCAGGATTGATTTAATGAGAAATGCCAAGATTCTCCAAAACCAGCCTTGATATATGCCCCTTGGGAAAATCTGAGGCCACTGGTAATTTATCTTCAGTGAGATAAGGAACGTGGATTGGCTCAGCACTCCTGAAACTACTACTATGAAATGTTCTGATGAACTTTTAAATTCCAAAAAGTATAGGTAAATTTAAAAAATTGTAATATATAAGTATAGATACAACAAACCTTTTAGAGCTAGTTGATGCCATTGGTTGTTGGATATAGACTATAATACTTTGAGGAGATTCAAATCAATAATGTTCATTAAATATCTAATTCTGAACACATATAAGGCGATGGAATATTTGTTTTTATTGTAATGCATATAGACATGAAATTTCCAGGTGGAAAATTATATATATGCTTTGGAAATGCAAAATTGAGTTGAGTTTTAGGTTTGGTAGTATAATTTACTTATTCAACTTTCCTATATAAATTGCTTACCCAAGTTGGTTATCTATATATATAATTTTCACCCTTCAAATTTTCATAGCCATCAATATATCTCTAGCTAATACCCTCTAACTAATGTTAAGATTGGCCTAATGGAGCTGACTTTAGTTGGAGTTAAATCTCCTGTTACCTTGAGTGTGTACACATTTGCATGATGATGACAAGCACCTAGAGATGGGCCAAGGGGAGCTCAAATGCTGTAGATTACTTTGTAAGGTCCACATTAAACAATTTAAGTTACACCCCTTCTCAATATGAGGGTATAGGAAATGGAAAATGAACAAGCTTCCTGTCTTGGCTTAAATGCACATCAAAGTTTACTTCTCTACATCGGTGACAATGAAGACAAAATATCAAACAAAGGCATGACTAGGGTTGACCAAAGCACTGACAGAACCTCATTGCTGAGCATCCCTCCCCATCCATGGCAGAGATGCCTGTGTCCCCACATACCTGCAAGATGGCCAGGTTGGGGATTCCATCATCTTTGGGTTTCTTCTTGAGCATTTTGTCTTTCTTCTTCTTTGGCCCATCTTCTATATCTACCACTACCTCATCTGGCTTTGCCTCTGTGGATATTCAGCAGAAATTAGGTTTCTCATGGCGGTTGAGATGAGAAGGAACAAAGCCAAGCTCCTTCTTTCCTTTTGCTGACATGTCCTATGTTGTGACCCTTCAGAAATAGTAACTTGTGGCCAGGCACGGTGGCTCACGCCTGTAATCCCAGCACTTTGGGAGGCTGAGGCAGGCAGATCACAAGGTCAGGAGATCGAGACCATCCTGGCTAACACGGTGAAACCCCGTCTCTATTAAAAATACAAAAAATTAGCCAGGCATGGTGGCGGGCGCCTGTAGTCCCAGCTACTCGGGAGGCTGAGGCAGGAGAATAGTGTGAACCTGGGAGGCGGAGCTTGGAGTGAGCCAAGATTGCACCACTGCACTCCAGCCTGGGCGACAGAGCAAGACTCCGTCTCGGAAAAAAAAAAAAAAAAGAAATAGTAACTTGTGACCCTTCTTTTTAAAAAGAAATAGTAACTTTTTGCTGTAGGATTGTTACATACAGTCTGTACACTGCCTGACTGCAGGGCACCCCATGCACATATAAATCCAGCGTCAGTGGATCCCCTAGGGCTGAGCAATAGGAATAGGGCAATGGCCCTAATCTATGGGCCAGTGGGTTACAGTACATGTAAGAACTCATTAAACTAGGCACAGAGAGAATAAATAATTTGCCCATTCACCCAACTAGCAAAGAACAGACTCAGAACTTGGACTGACTCCAAAGCTTTTTGGAGTCACACTCTGTCAGATCCATTAAGGGAATTGAGATACATCTAGTTCAATATGAGGCTCAAATATCCTAAGGGTCTTGCGCAAAGTTGTTAGGGGGATTACTCAGTAATTTTTTAGCAGTAGGCTCTGCAGGGGAGAAACCACCTGATACGGACTGTAGCTCTGTTATTTTCTAGCTGTGTAATGTTGGACAGATTACTTGACCTCCTTGTACCTCTCTTTCATCATTTGCAAGGTGAAGATACTATTTCCTATGACATGGGGTTGGTCTTAGAATTACATGTGCTAATTAGGAGTGGTCTGAGGAACTGAGCCTGGCTCTAGTTTTTCCACTTCTATCATCGTCAAATGAAACAACATTGGCTGCTTAACGTTACAGTTGTATTTAGGCTGAGACTTACTGTTGGCTTGAATTGAGTTTGTGGTCATTTGAAATCTGACTTTCTGCCAAACAAGATCTATCCAATCCTGTAGACTGAGTTTTGGAACTCACCTCTAACAAAGTTTATCATGTTGATTTTGGCCAGTCATCCAGATTGCTTCTATTTTTATTCTACGGTTTCTACATTAAGACTGTCAACATAGGAACTTGAGCCAAAGGGTCCATTCCAGCACTGAGCTGAATTCAGAAGAACTGAGATCTGGTTCCAGCCCAGCACCAAGAGCTACATGACCACATTTTAAAGTGCTGTCATCTTCCTGAGATTGTTTCTAAACTCGGGAAAGGAGGGAGTTGAGCTCTAATACACCTCCCGTGGCTTCCATTTTACAATTTTCTCGTAACGATGGCCCTATTCTATGGACAAATGTCCCCAGAATAACTGCTTACCTGTATTGCCTTTTTTTCCCTTGGGATTTCTCTCCTTTGCCTTTGAAAAAGGAGACAATATTATTGACACCACAATACTTGATTTATTAATTGACTGCTAACAATTATCTCAGCCCTCTGCATTCCCAGAGACACTATTTTAAAAGAGTATTCAAACAGTCTGTAAGCAGTCCCCCAAAATGAAGCCGCACTGTAAAGATCTGGGGGTTAAGCCCAATAGGATGCCCTATCCTAAAAAAGAGGTATCCGCACTTCCAAGAAAAGTATGATCAAGCTATAGACATCTTTGTCCCTTATATGCAGTACCCTCTCAGCCACGAGGCAAGCAAACTATCTCCCCAATATTTTTCCACCTCCCTGGAGCATCTCCCTCATCTGCACCATGAGTTGTGTCTGTTGGCGTTTCTGGTCTTTGGGATGGTACCATAGGTTGGGGAGGTTAGCAGAGAAAGGGGAAAGGGCTGAGTTCTCACAGGAAGTGATAGTGTCCATTGCAGCAAAAGGAGGGAGGTTGCAGGCAGGGACTAACATTTGCTTTTTCGGTATATATCAATATTTGAGAAATAGTCCTAGATGCAACCATAGCCTTTCCAAACTAAAGAAGCAGAAGTGCATTCAATTAAATACAACATCGGAGTAATTTTTCTTCCCTTTTGTACTCAGGGAAATCTTACCATATCCAGTTGCCGAGCTTTTGCCGGACTCTCCAGGCCTACTCCCCACTGTCTCTCCAGCTTCATAACTAGATCTGTCTCATTCCATGGACATGAGGCCCTGCTCTTGCTATGTAAACCCACTTATAATACCATTTCCTAAGGCCAAGACCTCTGCCTTTGATAATTTCCCATGTGAACTTAGAATCCTGCTGAAGACTTGGGGTCCTTAGACTAGGGTATCTCCTGAGGCCTCAGTCATTGATGCCCACCTATCCAGAGACCCCATTTCTCCCTGCTGGACCCCCCTGAGTCTGGCTGTGGGGGCAGATCCTCCAGATACCATGCTAGACTGAACATCCTTCCAGTATTTACAGCAGAGCTTATGTCCTAGGGCCAGCTCCAGCCAAAAAGTAGGAATTTTGTAATTCCGTATCTCTGGTTCTTCCAGGCTTTTTACCTTTCTGCAGTTAACAGAACCACACCTGAGTAGGGTCTATGTATAGTGGCATTTAAAAGGAGGTTATGTAGGACTTAGGGTAGGAGAAGGTGCTGTGTTTCCTTATTGAATCTCTTAACTGCCACAGGTAGGGGAGACTCTACCTTCTGGGCTTTCTTCAGGGAGGCATAATACTTAGACCACCAGTCAATCACGTTTTCAGCAGATTCATCTGCTATGGTCCTCTTTCTCCTCTTAGTGGACCTCCGGGAAGGCTTCCTGGGATCCTGGCAAGGGATGAGGGAATGGGTTATTAGTTCAACCTCATTTGGCTGCATGCTGATGGTCAACTGGCTTGTGAGGAAGAAAACATTTAGGTGTCCACTGGAAAACACACAGAGGTATCCACTGGTTTTGTGATAGCAGCTCTCTGTATCACTTCCACAAATGAAAGTTCAAGAATCTATTCATTCATTCACTCATTCATTTAGCATTTATTGAGCATACGTGAGATACTGGTTTTGACATTAAGGATGTGTGGAGAATTAGACACAATCCTACTCTGGATACAGTACAGGAGCTAGGCATGCAACAAATGAGAACTACACTACATGATGCAATGCAATATAGCAGAAAAGGCATTAGCTTCATACTGACCTGGGTTATAAATCATTAAGCAATTAATATAAATGTTGTAATTCTCAGTTTCCTCAACTAGGGACAATAATACCCACAACTGTTCTGAGGATTAAGTACATAATTTAGGCAATTCTTTGGTGTCATTTCTGATTTGAATGGGTACAAGTAAATGACTTCTATCACATAATTGATGGGGTGGCAGGAGAGGGAGTGATAGACGTGTGGCAGAAAGGTGGCATTCATGGAAGAAGACGGGTGTCCTGCTGGAGCCTATGGATGCAGCACTCATCATGCATTCATCTTCCATTCACTCGCCAAGTCATCTCTTAAGTTGTACTATGACCCAGGCACTCTATCGAGTGCGGGGGTATAGAGATGTTGAAAAATTATCTCTTCTCTGCTGAGGCTCACAATTTTATGATTAATCTGAGATGAACACTGAATGATGAACACTGAATCCGAGAAGTCAACAGAAAGTCACAGGTGCAATGCTAGGGGAATGCAGCAAACCTGGTAAGGCGTCACAGAGGGTCGCTGACCATGGATGAAATGAGAGCAGCCCGTGCAAATGTCCATGCATCTATCTCACTTTTCCACTCTTCTTTTTATCTCAGCCTTTACCATTTGCTGGGCAGGCTGTTCCTTAAGAGCTGCTTTTTTTTTTTTTTTTTTTTTGAGATGGAGGCTCGCTCTGTTGCCCAGACTGGAATGCAGTAGCATGATCTCGGCTCACTGCAGCCTCCGCCTCCCAGGCTCAAGTGATTCTCCTGCCTCAGCCTCTGGAGTAGCTGGGATTACAGGTGAGTGCCACCACACCTGGCTAATTTTTTGTATTTTTTTTTTTAGTAGAGATGGAGTTACAGCATGTTGGCCAGGCTGGTCTTGAACTCCTGGCCTCGAGTGATCTACTCACCTCGGCCTCCCAAAGTGCTAGGATTACAGGTGTGAGCCACCATGCCCGGCCCCTTAAGACATTCTTAAAATGGCCTTCTCTTTTAATTCAATTGATACACCAAGATTTTTCACTCAAATATATAATTTAGAAAGATTAACTATATCCTTGTTTTGTGGTTCTTTGTGTACTTGTCAATCTCTCCTTCCAGAACCGTCACTAACTGTTTTCCTCCTCTTTGGAATCCAAAAGATGCATCTTCTTGGTCCCATATGATCTTGTACAAAGTAGGACCTAAATATTTGTGGAACACACTTGGAGGAAGAAACCCATGGCCTTTCCAAGCTAATGAATTAAGAAGAGTTTCCGTTCCATTAAATATTACTGTCACATTTGACCAGCACTTTAATTTCATGCACATTAACCTTCTGATCCTATAACAAAGCTGTGAAGTGGGTAACAGTATCCTCATTTTACAAAGGATGAACCGATACTCAGAAATGTGAAGCTGCTTGCCCATGGTCACACTGCAAGCAACTTCATATTGTCTGAGACCTGCAATGCAAACTCCAATGAGCCTTGTAAATATAGAGAGGGATTTTAGTCTGACCTTAGGTTTTCCATCTTTTGGTGGCTCCTGGGCTACAGGTGTGTGTTCAGGCTCCAGCATCGGGGATGAGTCAGGGACGTCAACCAGGATGGCCGGCTGGGCCTGGGCAGAGTCGGGCACCACTGTGGGAGGTGGCTCAACATCCACATAAATGTGATCTGCTGGGGGATCCTGGGAGGAGCTGTGGGCTCCAGAGGACTCAGTGGCTGTTAGCGAATCTGAAATATCTGAAATGAAAGCACATCAGGTCAGGGAGCTGGGCTGCATCACAGGGTGGTCGTTTCAGGGACCTAATACTAGGAATCAGACAGATTCGGATTCAAATACGTCAGGTTGCTAATATTTCTGAACCTCATTTTCTTATGTATAAAATGACAGTAAAAATACCCATCTCACTAGGAGGATGAAATAAGACCACGATGTAAGGCATCTGGCACATAATGGGTCATCAATAAATGGTTGTATTTGTTATTGATTCCTCAAAGTAATTTTAATCAATTGTGGTCATTGGGATTATGAAAATCAAGGTTTAGGGTGCAGATTCTGTGTCTAGGGGGATTGTCCCCCTGCTGTGTGTTAATCTGGGGAGGCTTTGGAGCTCCAGAGAGCCATGAAGCCGCCAACTGTAGGCAGAACTCTGGGCACAAAAGTACATGTGCTTGGCAGGGAGCAGGGGTATGTCCAGAGTTCATGAGATTCTTAACTGGGCTTCTGATGCCATAGAAAGGTTATAATGCTGTCCTTCACTGCCAATGGTCCTCATCTCTCCGTTTTATGCTGTAGGAGTCAGCACTCAGGAACATTTCCCAGTTCGGTACCCCCATGGCTGCCACAGACTCCTGAGTTTCTCTCTCCCCATTTGCTGACTTTCCAACAGCAAATTCAACCCAACAAACTCTTATGGGTATCTACTCCATACTGGGCATAGACACAAAGAAACCAGTGAGACAGACTAGAAATCTCAGAAATGGACAGGGGATGTATGACAACTTGGTTTATGAGAAAGATGGCAGTACAAATCATTGGGAAAACGAATGATAGGTTAGTAGACCCTTTGGGGGAAAACGGTGCTCTATGTGGAGAAAACTGCAGCTGAATCTCCACTTAAAATCATATATAAATGCAGATGATTAAAGATCTAAATGAGAAAGCTAAAACTATAAAGCTAGCAGAATATAAGATAATATCTTTGTGACCAAGGGGTGAGAAAGCGTTCCTTAAACAAGACTAAAAATATAAACTATAAAGTTTAAAACATGGAGGGGTCTGAGTATATCTCAATTAAGGATTTCTGCTCATAGATAGGAATTATAGACAAGGTTAGTAGTTATCATACTAGGAAAAGATATGAACAATATCTACAATCTACAGGATTTTAACATCTAGAAAATACAAAGAATTTGTGAATCAAAAAGAAAATTAAAGCACATAAAATATGGGCAAAGGACATGAACTGGCATCACAGAAGGAAGATTAATATGGCAGCAAGGGTATGAAGGGTGTGCAAACAGTAGCAAGCAGAGAAATACAAGTTAAAATAAAAATTAGATACTAATTTGTGTCCACAGGGTAGCAAAAAACTAAAACCAAACCAAAGCAAAACAAAAATCTAGAAAGTTGGATAATAGCAGGTGCTGCTGAAGAGGAGAAAAATGGGGTTCCAAATGCAGAACTGGCAGTATAGACTGATGTAGACTGGTGTAGATCAGTGCAGCTCTCTGGAGTGGCCCCTGGCGCTAATTAATGAAAATACATGTGCGTATTTACTGGGACCTAGTCATCTCACCCCTGGGTGTACATTCCAGAGAAATTCCCACATAGCGTCTTCCCTCAGGGAACACACACAGGGATATTCATTGCAGCACTGATCATGGAAAGGGGAGTTGAGGTAGTCAATGGGTCTAATATGAGAGGAAAGGAAAAGTAAATTGTAGATGCAGCGAGTAATAGTAACAGGCTAATGTACACACAGCAATATGGATAGAGCTTAAAACAGAGAATTGAGTGAAAAGAATAGGAAAACAAATGAAAATTATAGCATCATATTATTTAGGTAGATTAAATCGACTTAAATTTGACAAGGATGCTGGCGTAAGGCCTGCAGTGGGGAGGGCACTGGGATTAGAGATAAGGAATAAGGAGGACAGTGGATAGAATGAGAGAATCTTTGAATAGACCAGTGATGATTGTAGAGCATGGAACTGAGACGTGCAATGAACTCAACTTTGTGCACCTGAGATCCAAAATTGAACAAACTAAAACAACATCAAGCACAGAGCCAAGTAAAATGTCAGCATGGAGGCAGGAAGGAGCTTAAGTCATATTCAAGGAAGGCATGTTAGAGTTACTGACCCAATGTGAGTCAAAGTAAGAATGTGGGAGCCAAAGAAAGCAGAGGCCCCTGCAGGAGCAAGCTCATCAGAAAGATCCACCCAGCCACTTGGCTGTGGGGCATCCTCTTTGAGCCAATCCCACAGCAGGCACTCTGCAGGCACCATGACTTTATAGTTACAGCTACAAAATCTAAGAGCAGCTTCTCACCGTGCCCAGGCTGGGTTCCATCCACCTGTGTGATGGGGGCAAGGGGCTCTCTGAGTTTACACAAAAACTGCTTCAAGTAGTTGATGGTGTAGGTGCCCACAAGGGTACTCCTCCCAAAAGCTCTCCAGTCCACCACGCAGATGCTCAGTGGCGGGTGCAGAAGCTCGTTCTCAGGCAGTTCCTGCAGAGAGAGGATGAGATGAAGAAGGGGCCTGGTGACCCTTCCATGGGCAGACCCAAAGCCAGCTGGGCATCCAGTCTCCCTTGTCTCTGCCTTGCCATTCTGTCCCTCCTGGCCAGTCCTGCAGATTGCCAAAACTCTGGAGCAGTGTCTTCCCGAGCCAGGGAGTAATTCACCCAAATAGGAAGTCTGCCTTAGTAACAATTTGTCGCAGGTTTAAATTACAAAACCTCTCACCTCTGCACTCTCTCTGACAGTCATTTTCAGACCTCTTTATTTTGTCATTATCTGCCAACAGAACTCTCATCTCCAAAGACAGCTTATCCAGGCCCATTATATAAAAGAGATGAAAGTCGAGCCATTTAATACAGAGCTGAGAGTGAAGGGACAGTGCCCCAGCCACCTGTTTTCCCTGGTGGCCCCCGAGACTCAATGCAGCCTGATACAAAAGGTTTGCAAACACCATGCACATTCTTCCATTGTAGGCTTTGCTAACTGGGGATATATGTCCAGTGGAGCAGGCTGGGTTGGGCAAAGCAATTTTTTCTTTGCAATTAGTTTCAAATCGAAGCACAAAAATGTATGCTGAAATATTGAAATAAATAAAAGCACAGATGTCAAAAAAAATCACTTCAGAAGCATAAATTCACATGTAAACTCCTGACATTCTAAGTACAAATACTTTTTTAAAAACGTAGCCATTAAAATAAATCTTATTACAGTATTTTCTAGGCCAGTGGTTCTCAAATTTTATCATATATCAGAATTACCTGGAAACCTCGTTAAACCAGAAACATCTGGCCTTCCCTGCAATAGTTTCTAACTCAGAACAGCCGGGCCTGAGAATGAGCATTTCTAACAAGTTCTCAGGTGATGCTGATGCTGATGAATTGGGGACCACACTTTGGGAACCACTGTTATAGGAAAAAGTTTGTCAACCTGCTTTGATTGCTGTATGATCCACACTGGAAACGTTTCAAAACAAAACAACAACAACAAAAGTCTATTTTATCTCATTCTGAAATTCTGGCTTTTCACTAAATTAATTCTTTCTCGCAGCTAGTGGACATCTGAAACCCTAAAACATCTCATCTGTGCAAAAAAGAGGAATGAGCCAGGTCGGGAGAGTGAGAAGCTCGCACCACTTCGAAAGCGTCTGCCTGGATGCTGAAGTTCGGGTTGTTCTTGTAGCTCTGGATCACGCAGGACTTCACACCTTGTCCTCCGCACTCAATGAGAGCCTGAGGCCGATCCACAGAGAGGAGCTGCACCTTCTTCATTTCCCGAACTCCCCAGAAGAGAACCTGAGGAAAAGACCAGCAGAGCCATCACCACAGATCCACGGAGGAGCCCCACACCTGCCCTGGCTCTGTGTGGAAAAGTTAGACCTGCTCCCTGAGAACCACGCTGTGTTCCTCCAGGAAAGAACTGCACAGCTTTTTGAGGGCTCATTCTTTTTCTCTAGGTCTCCCGCCCATTCCATATCACCTCTCCTACAATTCAGGTGGGGCCACTGCCCTTGAGTGCCAAAGAACAACTCAGCTCCTCCGCTGACCCGTACCTCCACTCGGTATTTGCTCAGCACCGGCCGAATGTTGGCAGGAACCGGGTAGATCTGGGTGATGTCTGGTGGCTCAACGGGTGGGAGGCCTTGCAGCCCAGAAGGAGGAACCTACCGCACAAGGCAAGTATGAGTTAGATGCTGGAGAGACACAGGGAAGGCAACAGTGCCACACAACCACCTCATCAGTAAGATGTTCACTGTTTTGCCAACAAAAGTAATGTTTCCAGCTTAAAATACAAGGACCATGCATTTTACCATATTTAATTATTTATTAATTGATAAATGCAGTCATTTACAAGGGTAACCAACATTTAGCGAGCACTTAAGATGTACCACAAGGCTAATAACACAGAGCTCACAGTATAGAGGGGAGAGAGAAAAACAAATACGGAAGATGGTCTTTACAACTTAATAAAATTACACAAGAACCACAGCAGGGTAGTGGAGAAGGAGCTTCTATCAGTTTCCAAACATTTGAGTCTTAATGATCCCCACTCCCTTCGGACTTGTCAAGATCTCCAGAAAAGCCATTATGCACTACTACTGCTACTAATACTAATACTACTACTACAATAAAAGGATGTACATTTAATCCAACAGAGACTGCATCCTAATCAGTGAAGCAGAAAATGAAATGTTTTGAAGGCAGATGAAAACTTGTCTCTTCTTGTGCACTTGGGGTTAATGAAACTTCAGGACAATTTCAGCTTTGCTGAAATTTCACACAAAGGACTTACAGAGTTCTACTGAGAAAAGGGTCTTTTTCACTGTGTAGGCCATCCCACACTGCCCTCAAAACCTGGTTCGACACATACATCTTTCAAGAAGGTTTCCCCAAAGAAAACAAAAAATAAAAGAAGCTTTTTCTGACCCTGTCCCAGCTGCTTCTACCATTCAATGCCTTTTGAATGCAACATGTCCTTTATGCAGATTTTGTGCAGAAATAGAGGACTGAGTCCAGAAATAAGGCTCTGCTGTGTGACCCTGCACAAGTAAATTTCCATCTCTGAGCCTCAGATATTGGGCCAGATGACCCATCAAGCTCCTTGGGAATCATATGTTCTATTAAACATTGCTTTGGAGCAGGTGGTTCTCCTTACTGGGGCTGTTTGTCTGCCTGAACAATTTACAGGGACTTGGCCAATAGGAAGTCTTTATTTACTTCATTCTCCAAGCCCCTCCATGTACAGTGAGTTCTTGATAGATGTTTACCGGTTGACTGACATATTAGTCCACATGCTCCGTGTGCTAGAAAAAGCCTAACTGTGCATCAAAATCTGCAAAATGCAAATATATCACCATTCTGTTTTCACAGACATATTCTCGTTGGCAACAGCAGATGTGGTTAAGCTAATTACAAGAAAGCTCAGAAAAAGGAGAGCAGACACTGCAAATGCGCAATAGGCTTAAGGTAATGAAGCTGCAGGATACACCAGCCCAGATCAAGAAGCTGGTAAATAATGAGGATGGCAATGCCCAATACTGCCTGGCAGTGATGAGGTGAGCAATTTAGCCTGCGAGCATCACCTCACTGGGAAAGTTAATAGCCCCCCAGGCTTTAAAGGGAAAGCCACGAAACAGCTGTGATGGTGGCATAGGAGGGGCTGCCTCTAGATGTGCTTTTTAAAAAGCATCATATGTTTTATCCTGGGGCTCCTGAAGTGTCTTGGGAAATGGCCAAAGAAGTTTTGCTTTGTAAGTGCCTGAAAAATGCTGTTAAGAGCTCAACACAGCCCTTAAAGAATCCTATAACATTGTGGCAATTAAATGACTTTGCTACCAGCAAGATTAAGCTTTTTCCTGTGAAATGGGTTGGTTGCTGGCCTATAAAACCATATGCTATGCAGTTACTCAGCACATAGGCCAGGGAAAAACAAGCGATTGTTATAAAGACAAAATAGTAAGAAATGGTGGTGAGCAGGATGGGTAGTTGGTCTGAAAGCCAGACTGCTCTAATATCCCCATGGAAGTAAAATATCAGGACCTCAAAGTAGGTCCAGCTTCAGTTCCAGGACAAGGGTGAACCAGTGTGGCACACAGGGTACAAAAGTTAAGGAGGCACTCACTCTTAGGGTCATGCATGACCCTAGTCCCAGCCCTGCCCATCTGAAAAATCACTGATGCTCAGAAGCCTTTCTCCTTTCTGTCTCCCTCAGCCCATAATTTATATTTCTATTATTTCTCATCTTTAGTACAGTGGTTACTTGGGCTCTATCACTTACTAGCTCACTACATATTTTTATGTAGAAATGTCTAGCATGCAATAAAATATGGCATGCACAGAGATAAGACAATGTGATTAACAAGAAGAAACTAAGCGAAGAAAGACTCAGAGGATTCAGATAATGTGGTAATCAGACATGAACTTTAAAGTAACAATGCTTAATCTGTTCAGTAAGAAACCAGATAAAAAATTTCAATAGATAAATGAAATCTATAATAAAAAAAGAAATGGAAATTCTATAGCTGAAAATTTAGTCACTGGAAAGAAGAACTTAGTGAATAGGTTTTAAAAAAGAGGCAGGAGAAATGAGCTGGAAGATAGGCCATGTTATGGATAAAATAAAGCTCAGAGAGACAAAATGATAGACAATGCATAAAAGAAGAGGCACAGAGTATCTGATTAAAAGGTCTAATATACATGTAATTGGAATCACAGAGGACAGGCAAAAAGAGGTGAGGCAAGGAAAGGAGAAAAGGGAGAGAAGAGAAAAGAGGAGGAATAGAACAGGACAGAAGCAATCTTTGAATAGATAAAGGCTGACAATTTTCCAAAACTAATTTAAAACATCAAGCCAGGGTTTTAAAAGCTCTATAAAATCCGACAAGATGAAAACAAAACTGTGCTTTATTACAACATAGTAAAACTGCTAAAAACCAAAAATAAAGAAAAATACCTTAAAAACAATCAGATGAGGGAAAAAAATAAAGATCACTTTTTAAGGAGCAACAATAAGAATGATAACCAACCTCTCAAAAGAGAAAGCACAGCCCAAACAATGGAATAATACCTTCAGCTGAAAGAAAATTGTTTCCAACCCAGGCAAACAAAACAAAACAAAAAAACCTAAGAGGAAATTTAATGGGCACAGCGTCAAATAGTGAGATTATGGCAAAGCCAGAACCACTAGAAGAGGTAAGTGTGAACTCTGGGATAAAGTTGGTGACTTGAGGAGATCGTCTTGAGGGCTTGAGCAGGGTCTCTATCTACTGGAAGGTTTTTTGTTTTTGTTTTTTTGTTTTTTTGAGACAGTCTCACTCTGTCACCCAGGCTGGAGTGCAGAGGTGCGATCCCTGCTCACTGCAACCTCCGCCTCCCAGGTTCAAGCAATTCTCCTGCCTCAGCCTCCTGAGTAGCTGGGATTACAATTGCACGCCACCGCGCCCAGCTAATTTTGTATTTTTAGTAGAGACGGGGTATCACCATGTTAACCAGTCTGGTCTCGAACTTCCGACCTCAGGTGATCCACCCACCTCTGCCTCCAAAGGGTGCTCATTACAGGTGTGAGCCACTGTGCCTGGCCTGGAAGTTCTTAATAATATGTAAGGATCAGCCTGCTTTCCCTCCCTGAACCCTCATTAAGCCTATTTTAGGGTGGATGCCTTCTGCAAAGTCTTCATTAGCAGGTCAATAATCAGTTAATGACACTTTACCTTTAAAACAGGGAGAAAGATCACACAGAGATGCTGCCTGAAGCTAATTAAATCATCTAACTCAGACCTCTAATAAGAAGACTTAATGAGTGCCAAGCATCAGAGAATATCTCATTTTTTAAGCCAATAGAACTTAGGTTAAATCTATACCACATAGACAAAGAAGATTAAAAACAAATGAAAAAATTAGAGAACATTCACATGATGGTAAGAGAAAGAGTCCTAGAAAGTTGAATGAAAAGGAAGAATGGATTCTAAACAGGCAGAGTTAACACATAAATCCATGGAGGCTGCACAGTGCACAACCGTAGGGGAGGCCAGCCACATAGACCAAATAGCAGTGGCCCCTTTTGGGGGTGTGTAGTGCACTAACCCTGTAGGTAGGCTGAGATATTTCTAGGAATTGGGAAGTGTGTTGGGCAGAATAATGACTCCCAAAGATGTTCATATCCTAATCCTCAGAACCTGTAAGTATGTTACCTTAAATGGCAAAAAGGGATGTGGCAGATGTGATTAAATTAAGGCTCTTGGAATGAGGAGTTTATCTTGGTTTATCTGGGTGGGCCCCATGTATTCTTGAGGGTCCTTATGAGGCAGCAGCAGGAGAGTCAGAGTAGGAAGAGATGTGATAATGGAAGTAGACGGGAGGCTCGGGGGAGAAAGAGACAATGAGAGAGAGAGACTTGAAGAAGCTGTCTGGCTGGCTTGAAGGTAAAGGAAGGGCCACCAGCCAAGGAATGCAGGCCATCCCTAGAAACCAGAATAGACAAGGAAACAGATTTCCCCCTAGAGCCTCCAGAAGGAACACAGACCTGCTGATGCCCCGATGAGGGACCCTTTCAAACATCTAACCTGCAGAACTGTAAGATAATAAATTGGGTTGTCTTAAGCCACCATGTCTGTGGTCATTTGTTAGAGCAGCAATAGGAAACCAACACAGGAAGCAAAACATTCTAAGAAAGGGAGGTGGACTTTCCAGAAGGACAACATTCAAGCAGCAGAGGAGAGGAAAACTGTAATAGGAGAGAGAGGGTTCTGAAAACAAGAGAAACATTATAAAAGTAGGGGAAACGAGTGTTCTAAGTATGGAGAATGGAAAAGAAGGCCAAAGTGTGAATAACAACAGATAGTTCTGATTGCAGAAGGGGACATCGCTCTGAGGGGCCCAGGGAATGGCCCAACAGTTGAAATCTGGCTTACACACAGAATTCCATGAATGTTTGTTCATTGAATGAGTAAACAGATGCATTTTTTTTTTCAAGACAGGGTCTTGCTCTATCACCCAGGCTGGAGTGCAGTAGCATGATCATAGTTCACTGCAGCCTCCACCACCACGCCCAGCTAATTTTTTATTTTTTGTAGAGATGTGGTCTCGCCATATCGCCTAGGCTGGTCTTAAACTCCTGGACTCAAACGATCCTCCTGCCTCAGCTTCCTAAAGTGCTGGGATTACAGGCGTGAACCACCAGGCTCAGACAAAATATTTTACTGTGAGTCTATGATGTGTAAAATGTTGTGGGCTTTTCTGTGTGATGTGGAGATAAACCTCACATGTCAAATCTCATCAGTTGATCCAAAAGACTCTACCTTTAAGATATATGCAGAGCCCACCTCTCTTCCTTTCCATGGCTACACTGATTAAAGGTGCCTTTATCTCCAATCTGAGTAACTTTAAGAGTCTCCCAACGGGCCTTTCTGCTTCTCTCCTTGCCCCTTCGGAATACACTGGATCTGGCATCTTCGCGTTGCAACATTAAGTCATTGTGCCGAGAGTCCTCTCTTGGTTTCCCATCTCTCCCAGAATAAAAGCCAAAGTCCTTACCAGGCCCCATGTGATCTTTTCCCACTGGCCTCATCGCCTTCCCGCTTCCTGTCATTTGTCCATTCCAGCCACATTGACCTCCTTGAGCATGCCGGGCATAGTGAGGCTTCAGGGTCTGGAATTTGCTCTTCCCTCCGCATCTAAAGGCTCTTTGCCCAGTTAGTTGCATGGTTGCCCAGTTAACCATGCAGCTAAAATGTGAGGCTACAAAAGTAGTCTGAGGACAAATTTCAGGACAGCTTAATAGCCAGGCTACAGAAATGTGACGGTCTCCTATGGGGCAGATTTCCTCTTCAGGGAATATTAACACTTATCGTGAAAAAATGTTTTGTGGTCTAATACCTTTGGGAAATATCAAGTTTTGAAAAAGAAGTTAAAAAAAAAGTTCTTTGTTGCAGGACTTCTCAGTTTCTTTACCATGGTAACTGGCATTTCAGATCCCCAAAACAGATGTGATATAAAGCATTTCTCAAGCTTTCTTGTCACTGTATTTGGAGGGAGTGATGTTCCAAAAAAAACCAGACTTTGAGAATGTTCCTGGTGGTAAGAAGTAAGAGCCACTGAAGATTTCTGGAGAGAGGGGTGGTAACACCAACTAGTGTTCTGGAAGGAATGTGGAGGATGGAGTGAACAGGAAAAGTAAAGAAGGCCAGTAGCCCAGCAGGGAGGCCAATGTAACGTTCAGATGAGCACTAAAAGAACCCATGGGAACAGGGGATGGGAACCATTCAAGGAACAATCTGCAGGGCGGGCCTGGCTGTGGATAAAGACATGGTGTAAAGAATTAAGGCTTACTGAATTTTCAAGCTGGAGTGTCTGGGAGAACAACGGGGCTATGAGTCAGGATAGGGAGGACGGGGGCAGCTAACTTGGATAGAGGAGGGAAGTAAAAATAATGAATTCAGTCTGGTGCATAGGAGAACAAAGGTATTATATCCTTCATGTGTTTTTGAGACAGGGTCTCTTGCTCTCCTGCCCAGGCTGGAATGCAGTGATGTGATCATGATGTCACTGCAGCCTCGACCTCCCAGGCTCAAGTAATCCTCCCGCCTCCACCTCCTGAGTAGCTGGCACCATGAGCATGTGCCATCACACCCGGCTGAATTTTTATGTTTTGTAGAGACGGGGATCCCACTATGTTGCTGAGGCTAGTCTCAAATTCCTGGGCTCAAGTGATCCTCCCCGCCTCTAAATCCTTCTGAGCAAGGGCAGTTTCAGTAATGGAGATAGAGAAACTGATGCCAGACATCCACAAATGAAAACTGAGAACAGCTGGTAACAAATGAAGGCATTTTCCAGCCCCTGTCTTCTCAGTATGTATGAGATCCACATGCTAAGACAGTCATGCTGGTGATCAAATTACTTTTTGAACAAGTGATCAAAAGAGAAGAAGTCCTAATGAAATCCTAATGAATTGTATCTCAGGCTACTTACCTCTGACAGTGCTTACTTTATTAAGTCGGCTGTCAGGAAGCAGCAGGGCCTCTCACCAGTGTGCCCAGCTCAGGGCTCAGCCCACTCCAAATACAGTGACAAGAAAGCTTGAGAAATGCTGTCAACCTCAGGAGGGAGGATGAGAGGTGGGGCTACAGAACCCAGACAGCTGAGCCCACAGAGAGCATTTGGGGATCCACCAGTCCAGCCTTCATTGGCAGATGCAGCCTCTCAGACCCAGAGCACTTATTAGGACAGCATTGTGTAGTGAAAAGAGAGTTGACTGAATCCAATTCAGTTAGCATTGAGCCTCAGCTTTCTCACGTGCAAAATGGGAGTGCTGGACTAGATCTCATTTTCCCAAGTCAGCCATTCCACGACCACCTTTACCACTTGTACATCCCACAACCATTTTTTTTATTCGACACTTTTATTTTTAAAAAGGTAACTTCATCTTGCAAGGTAAAACAAGTACTACTTGACAGAAATGGAAAGTCACTTTAAAAAGAAAACCAATGAAACAAAATAGTGTCATTGGAATATGCAATGTGATGCTGTTTTTTTTGTTTGTTTGTTTCTTTGTTTGTTTTTTTGAGACAGAGTCTTGCTCTGTCGCCCAGGCTGGAGTGCAGTGACACGATCTCGGCTCACAGCAACTTCTGCCTCCTGGGTTCAAGTGATTCAGGCGCCTCAGCCTCCGGAGTAGCTGGGATTACAGATGTGCGCCACCACGCCTGGCTACTTTTTGTATTTTTAGTAGGGATAGGGTTTCTCCATGTTGGTCAGGCTGTCTCCAACTCCTGACTTCAGGTGATCCGTGCTCCTCGGCCTCCCAAAGTGCTGGGATTACAGGTGTGAGCCACCACACCTGGCCAATGTGAAGCATTTCTTTAACTTTCTCTTTACTGTATTTGGAGGGACTGGTGTTCCAAGAGGTAGACTTTGGGAAATGTTCCCATAGGTGTCACTGATCTCTTTAGGAAGGGACTGTGCCTGAAACCTGTGCTATCTCTTATTAAAAAGGGAGGTTTCAAGTTGAGAGATATTCGAGACACATGAACATCAAAAGTGGCTTTCTTCTACAAGTAGTTAGAAGGATAAAACATGGCAAAACTCCCTTCATATCAATCCAACACTATTTAATGCTGGTTTTGACCTAAAATCACTCGTTGAAAGTCTAAAATCAACAGGATTCTCACTTAAGACTGGACCAACAGTTTTGAAGTTTACATTCAGTTCTGATAGTCCATTTTACTGTGCAACACAAATCTATTTGACTAGATCTGGTTCTATTAGAATCCCATTTGGTTTTAAGATTTGTAAGACAAAGATTTTTCTAGTCCTACCCTCCTAGGCTGCAGTCATTGTGGAACTAGAGCCAATGCTTGAATTCCTGCTAATCCATTCCCCCAAGAACTCTCACCCAGCCTCAGCTCCCCTAACAGAGAGCTCACTTTTTCTCCAAGGCAGCCATTCCATCCTCAAAATTTTCTCCCTTACATGGAGCAAAAACTAGACCACACTGAAAGTCTTTGATAAGATGAGCTTAAGAACTCATTACTGTAGCCGTGTGCAACCCCAAGGCTGTAGACCTGGGCAGGGTCTGGGTTTGAATACAAGTGTGTCTAACCCCAAAGCTGCTCCCTTCCTCATTATGCTCCCCAGAATCCCCAGCTCTGGTGGGACTCTCTGGATTCTAGGCTCTCACTCGCCATATTGAGCAAGTAATTACCTTTCTATCCAGCTCAGTTCCTTTACCTGAAATACATGGTAGAATTGGACATCTTGCTTTAATATTCTAAGGCATCATTTTCAGTTTAAATAGCTATTTGTGGAGTGTTTATTCCATGCCAGGCACTTTAGATAGATTGACTATAATCCCCATTTTGCAGGTGAAACCCAGATTAAGTAGCTTACACAGGGCCATACACTAATAAATGGTGAAACTGAGATTTCTACTATGAGGTTGAGGGGCCTGTATCAGAGATTTCTCCCCTTGACCTCCTACTCACTGAGGCACCAGGAGGTGCCTGGTGGTACTTTACCTTTTAGTCAGATCAACACCTCTGTCTTAGGTTGCTTAGGCTGCTATTATATAATAGAATTCTATAGACTGGGTAGTTTAAACAATAAATGTTTATTCTCACAGTTCTGGAGGCTGGGAAGTCCAAGATCAAGGTGTCAGCCGACCTGGCATGACTGGTATCTTCATGCGACCAAGAGAGGGAGAGGTTATCTCTCTTTTGTCTCTTCTTGTCAGGGCATTAATCCCATTGAAAGTCTAAAATCCCAATAAGGATGCTAGCTCTAGCACCTTCATTCTTAACTCATTCTGTTTGTGTTAGGAATGCTTGCCTTCTGGTTTCTATACTAATTGAGTTTTGGCTTTATTTGATGTTTTTTGTTTTGTTTTTAAATTGGGATTTCTGAAAACTAGACTTACCTATATAGACATTGTTATGAACTGAATGTGACTCTCCAAAATTCATACGTTAAAATACCAACCCCAATGTGATGGTATTTGGAAGTGGGGTCTTTAGGAAGTAATGAGGTCATGAGGTCATGAGGGCAAAACGCTCATGAATGGGATTCGTGTCCTGATAAGAAGAGACACAAGAGAGATAACTTCTCTCTCTCTTGGTGGCATGAAGACACCAGTCATGCCAGGTCTGCTGACACCTTGATCTTGGACTTCCCAGCCTCCAGAACTGTGAGAAATAAACATTTATTGTTTAAACTACCCAGTCTATAGAATTCTATTATATAATAGCAGCCTAAGCGCCTAAGATAGAGGTATTGATCTGACTAAAAGGCGAAGTACCACCAGGCGCCTCCTGGTGCCTCAGTGAGTAGGAGGTCAAGGGGAGAAATCTCTGATACAGGCCCCTCAACCTACTCACTTCTTTTCCAGGTTCTCTCCACATCCTGCGTGTTCCTCTCCTAGACTGCTAGACTGCAGGGACTCAGCTTCTCTTCCCAATACCTGCTTCTGCTTTCTGAAAAAGTCTCCCCAGACACACATTCATAAATCCCCCTTGGTCTTAGTGGGAAGGACTAAGATCTCTTTGTCTTTGCAAAACTGTATAGTGTAAGGAGCAAAAGGCCTTAAAGGTCTAAGGTCAACTCAGTTCACCCAGCTGTGTGATAAGTCAGTCAATCACTTTAATCCTAAATTTACTATCTGTAAAATGGGAATCATAATACCTACCTCAGCAGGACTGAGGGAGCTTTAGTGTGATGAAAGGTATACGAGACAACAATCACCACACCGGACACATGGTAAGTGCCCACATGTTTGCTTCCTCTCTGTTTTGTATCCTTTCATGACCTGCATGGAGGCCTGCAAGCTCAGGAATTTGCACACAAGGCTGCTCAAGCATTGTTGGCCAAACCCGCAAGAATATTTCATCCTGAGATTCTGACTTATAAGCTCAGGGTATCTGGGAATAGTCCAAGTCACCTGAGTTCTTAAGCGCACCTCTCAGGTCCCCAGGAGACACATTCAGATGTGGGATTGCAGCGAGGGATCAGGCACAGCTTCATTGAAGTGGCATTTGTGGTGAGGCCACTTCTCTGGCCAGGTAGACCTAATAGATCTCGTGCCACATCTGGTTCACTCACCTGCAGCAGTTCAAATACAGCAAGGAGATCCCCTCCAGAGAGATTCCCACAAAAGATGGGGTGATAGCATAACCTGGGGGGCTCATAGTCCTGGTCAGCCAGCTTCACAACAGGAGCAGCCACTGTGGCACCCAAATATTCTGGCTTCCCCTAAAGAAGAAAAGAAATGAGTTTGTATTTCCTGATCATTAATTACCTGGTTCTGATCCACATCAATGCCATCACCTCCACAAAATAACCTCCACAAAACCATCAGCTTCCATGTCTCACTCTTTTCTCCTGCCAAGCTCCTCTTGCCCATTTCCGTAGGTCTGGGGAGCAGTGGGTTCCACTCATGCTCCTAAAAGGGTCATCCTGGCTGGCCAGGACCCTGTATGATCCTAAAAGGACCTGTATGATCCTAAAAGGGTCATACAGGCGCGGTAGCTCAGGCCTGTAATCCCAGCACTTTAGAAGGCCGTGGCAGGTGTATCATGAGGTCAAGAGATCAAGCCCATCCTGGCCAACATGGTGAAACCCTGTCTCTACTAAAAATACAAAAATTAGTTGGGCATGGTGGTGCACACCTGTAGTCCCAGCTACTTGGGAGGCTGAGGCAGGAGAATCACTTAAACCCGGGATGTGGAGGTTGCAGTAAGCCGAGATCGCACCACTGCACTCCAGCCTGGTGACAGAGAGAGATGTCTCAAAAAAAGAAAAAAGAAAAAAAAAAAGGTGGTGGGGGTGCTCATCCTAGGGGCTTTCTGGCCCAAAGCTATCTTAGGGGCTATCTCTCTCATATATTGAGCTCAGTAGGATATAGTTAAAATCATTATCCAGGGAAGACTGGAAGGGGAAAAGGAAAAATCAGGCGGCAGCAAACATTCCAAAGGATCTGCAGGGCAGGGCATCACTGTGGTTGGGAGCACGAGCTTTGGAGCCAGGCAGACTTCAGTTTGAGCTCTCACATCTGTCACTGTCTAGTTCTATGCCCTTGGGCCAGCTGCTCAACCTCTGAATGCCTCACACCTAAAAAGGATTTAAAAGTAATACCTTTCCATAGGATCATGAGAACTAAAGGAATGTAGTATAGGCTTTGCATAGGGACTGGTATACAAGTGCCCAATACATAGTAATGATGAAGATGATCAATATGTCTAAGTGATGGGGCAGTCCTGCCCTATTTTTCTTGGTAGCAAAAAAGGATATTAAAATATTTTTGTATGTATGTATGTAGGCCATATGTTTCTATAAGAAGTATGCGATGCGATGGCTCTGCTTCCTGCCTCTTTTGCAAGACTGTGTGCACATTCCCCCAGAGGCAGCATGGGGCTGCGCAGTCATTCTGCTGTGCTATTTGTCTCAAGAACTGCTAGAATACAAGCTCCTTGTGGGCAGAGTTGCCTGCACTATTCACTGCTGTGTCCCCTAGCACAGGGCAGATACTCAATGCATGCTGGCTGAGTGAAAGCTGTTGGACCTCTGCCATCCAAGGTCAGTGCCCTTGCTCTTTTTGGCTGAGGCTGGGTTTTAGCAGTCACACTGCTTCATTGTCTCTGGACTCCTGAAGCAATATGTGCAACCCCAGCTGTAGAAGGAAACTTGGTTGAGATGGAAACCAGGCTTTTGTTCAACCACACTTGAAAACAAAGCTGCCTGCTGGTGTCCACTAGTGGAGACAGACCTGTTTTGGGGATGGGTGGAGTTAGGGCAGCTGGCTAGGAAATCAGTGATCTGCCTAACAATTTGTTCATTAACCCAGCTGGGAATGGTTAATTCAAATTAGCCCTGGAAACAAAAGAGTAAACATAGCCCAAGCAACCAATTTTCCAAATATAAACTCATTTATTCCAGAACCAGCAGATTCTTATGAGGCCATTGGGAAATGAGGTAAGGTTCTAGACTGGAAGCATGGGTCCAGCAGATTCTGATTCCATTAATCTGAGCATCACCATATTTTGGGCCCTGTTTAGCTGCAGCGCACAAGGGTGAACAAAAGTTTTTGCATGTCTACATGTATTTCCCTGGGAGCAAAGTGCATATTTTCATATTCCTTTCTCTCCCACATTTCTTTTTCCCTTTAGAGTCAATAATGTCAGCTGAATTTCTCCATAAAGGGCTTGACTTAGGGTTGGGCCAGGAAAAGCCATTACTGAATGGAGATCTGGAAGGGAAATGGAAAGCAATGGGACAGCAAAGGGAAACACAGCCAGCTCAGCAGGTTAGTGTAACAGGACTATGACCTACATACAAACATACAAAAATATTTTAATATCCTTTTTTACTACCAAGAAAAAGAGGGCAGGACTCCCTCATCACTTAAACATATCAATCATCTTCATCATTACTACGTATTGGGCACTTGTATACCAGTCACTATGCAAAGCCTATACAACATTCCTTTAGTCCTCATGATCCTATAGAAAGGTATTATTTTTAACTCTTTTTTAGGCATGAGGCGTTCAGAGGTTGAGCAGCTGGCCCAAGGGCATAGAGCTAGAAAGTAGCAGATGTGAGAGCTCAAACTGAAGTCTGCCTGGCTCCAAAGTTTGTGCTCCTAACCACAATGGTACCCTGCCCTGCAGATCTTTGGAATGTTTGCTGTCACCTGATTTTTCCTAGTAGAGTGTTCAAAGACGCTCTATTGCTATTATTGTTTTCTGCATAGAAAATAAACACTAACAATTGAAAGCATGTTGTTAAGAACAAAATTGAAAAGGTAATGATTTTGTGGTCTTCCCTACAGAGCATCTATACTACATGCTAAATAGTAGAAATCCTCTTCCATAAATATACACATCTATCCCCAATTTATAGATAGGGGAATGGGGCCCAGAGGGAGGGAGTGGCTTGGAGGGCTAGAATGTGGATGTATAGACTGCTACACTAGCCTCCACCACCTGTACAGGCAAAAGTGGGCACAGGGGACCTGGTTCAGCCTCCAACCAACTATGGCTTTAAAGAAGGTATTTGAGCTTTCTGTGTCTGTTTCCTCCTCTAGGAAGCAAGATGGGAACTTCATGGTCTCCAAGGTCTCCGCTCCCCTTCTGTGATGCTCACTTCTTGACTCCCTCCTGACCTTGACCCAAAGACAGGGGCTGTCAGGAGTACTGCGAGGAGGTGGGGAAGCTTTAGGCAGGCTTCCTGGAACTACTGTTTTACTTAATATATTTGTGCTTCTGCAACCTCATGAGGAGGTAGAGATATTAAATAAAGAAACAAACCCTTTCCTTTCATTTTAGACTACCTAATTTAAGAAAAGAATATTTGTGTAAGTTAAAAAAATCCTCCAGTAAGCTTTGGACTCTATCCAAGGGTTCAGCACACAAACGTCTTTGGAGAACAAGAGGTTTGGTTCACATCATAAAAGAAAAGGGATAGAGATTAAAGTGTTGTGAAAGGCGTCGAAGCAACAAGCAAGAGAGAAAGAAACACAGAAAGGCTGAGAAAATACCCATCCATTTCTTTTCAGCCAGGGGAGATCAGTAAAAACCTCCTGTCTCCAAAAAGCATGGACATTTTTATTAAACAGCAATAGGACCTGGAATTAGCTGGAGGCTGGGTACAGTTGCAGGTTGCTTTATACAAGTATCACATTCCTGAAGAAGTGTGTAGACTGACGTTCTGTAAACCAGATCCAATTTTAATTGCCATTTAAATGGAAGTCAGTGAAAAACTCTTTTAGTAAAGCAAATGATCATCACCAATCTTTTTGGTTCTGTGAACTGTTTTCAGAGGTCAAGTTTGCCTCTAGGTACATCTAGTGTTCTCACCACTCACAGCGTCAGGACTTTATTTACTTTAAAATAAAGTGAGTGAGTTCAACGTGGCATTTTTTATGAGGTGTGGTCAGCACTGGCCCAGGGGGACACTCACCACAGCGTCGCTGTCATACAGCTCCACCACCACTAAGGGCGGGGACTCTGCCAGCTCCTTCACATCTCCATGCAGCACCAAATCATTGAACAGCAGCATCTGGTTCCAGGTCGGAGAGAGGGTCTGGGAGATTATCTGGAAGCAGGGACCAAAGAAAAGCAAAAGATCATTCAATTGAGTTATAGGGGCTCTAAGGTTCATTCATCAAATACTTATACAGGGGAAAGAGAACACATCATCATTGTGATTGCTCACCATTCAATATTCAAGTGACTATGTAAACTGAGCAGCTACTATGTACTAAACAATGCTAGGGAACACAAAGACTCCCAACCGTGGAGAAGCGTACATTCTTAAGTTTCATGAGCAGAGCCCCTACATGTTTAACACCCTCTTTGCATACATACTTTCAGCTCAGTCCTCACAGTAGTGCCAATGATAACACTAGCCACTTTTTTGAGCATTTATGGTGTGCTGAATTTCACATGCACTGTCTCATTCAACCCTCACAATAATTCTGGGAGGTAGGTTCAGTTATTTACACACATTTTACAGATCAGGAAACTGAGGCTCACTTGTCCAGAGCCAGCAAGTGGCAGAACTGAGGTTCCACCTGGACCATCTGGCAGCAAAGCCCAGGCAGGCTGCTAACCTCACCCACTCTCGCCATGTAGATGCTAATATTATCCCCATTTTATGAATGAGAACACGGAGGATTGGGGAGATTACATGATTCTTGACTTAGGAGCAAATAAAATTTTGTCATCAAATATCCTGAAGTTGGGTATTTGACCTAATATTCCTTATGTGGAATTCTACTGTTTTGTGGTTATTGACTGAATTAAATAGATCAAGGTTTTCAAAACTGCTCTCACCATTTTGCATGACAACTTTCTTACACTGATAGTAGACTGTACCATTATACAGTTGGAGCAGTCAATGGATACAGAGGATAATAATCTGCATAATTGCCCTCAGACCATGAGCATCTTGCCTAGAAGTGGCTTACAGCCCCCTCCTAGGCCATTTAAGTGGTGCCCTCAGAAGGGAGGGCATATTTGGTCTTGCATTTTCTTCTCTATTTAATTGGATGTTTGGAAACCTGCCAATTTCACACAGCCGAAGACTGGAGTTGTTTGCGGGGCAAGTGGACTCTGCACCTGGGCAGAAGCTATTCCATTAATGCAGGAGACTAGTCCTGGAAAGAGTTCAAAACCACATTTCTTTCTCTTCCAGGCAAATGAGTGATTTCATAGGTGAATGTATCACAGCAGCTGCTGGGTCCAGGGGAAGTTTCTGAACTGTGCCTTTGTCTGTCACTGTTCAATCTAGGAGGAAAGTCTAGAGGGAGACCTGGCCTGGACTCCAAAACTCGTATCAACTGTCATCTCAGCGTTTTACATCGAGTCATTTCTAGTCACAGCATTAAGTCATTTGCCCTGTGGTCACAAAGGAATATTTTTATTGCTCTTCTTTATGTGGGTCATAAAAATATTGTGCATTTTCACAATTTCCTTCTCTTCTTGCTTTTTCACTTTTAGGGTACTTTATGTCTGAGACACAACAAGATTTTAAACGTTTCAGAGAAAATCTAACTTTTCCAATAGGAAATGAATGACTTCAACCAACTAATAACAGAAGTTAAAAAGCTGCAATGCAAAGTTACCCTGTGTCAGTGACATCACAAAGAACCGTGTTTTTATGATGCTTTTCAAAATAGAAATGTGATGTGTCTTGTAGCATGCACTTGACAGCGTAATACCAAAGCAATTTGTGATCTTCACAGCATCTTTCCTATAGAAATATTTCGGTATCTTCTTTGGCACTGGGCTGTAAATACCACTTAATAAGATTCCAGAGACCAGCATTTGTTCATTCACTCATTCATTATATAAATATAGGATTCAGGACCTACAATGTGCTAGGCACAGTATTAGACACTAACACAGCACTCTGTGCATAGCAGATGCTCAATAGCTATTTGCATGAATAAGTGCGTATCGACCTGTCCTTGGAGTTGCTCCCATGAGTAAAAGGACTGCATGACCACCTCCAGGAGGTACTAAAAGGTTCACCCAAACAAACATACATTCTCCTACCTACCTCAGAAAGAAGGTAACTTCGTCCTCATTCAGTGACTGAGCATAAAAATGAGAAGACAACAGACTGCTTTCTCTTTACTATGTTTTGAGAGTTAGTATGGAGAGTGGTGATGATGAATATAGACTCTGGAGCTGCACTGCCTCAGTCGAAATCCACGCTCTTCCATTTATCAGCCATGTGACTTTAAACAAACCTCTCTTTGTGCCTCAATTTCTTTATCTGTGAAATAGGGATGATAACCTTGTACATTCCTTCCAGAGGATAAGATACTCTGCCAAGGTGCCTATAATTCGCCTCATTTCTTAAGGGCTTTCTTAAAGAGTTATGCATTATAACTGAGTTAAATGACATTATCTGGAAGTTATGGTAGCACTTAGCTAACATTTTGATGATGGAGCCAGCTGTCATGGACAGAGTATAGCTTTAGAATCAAATAACTCTGGAGGGAAATTCTAGTTTCATTACCTACCTGATGTTGGACTTGGGCACGTTGGATATTAACCCTCCAAACCTTAGTTTTCCTCATTTAAATGGGGTTAGCACCTACCCTGCGGAGTTATGAGCATTGTCCAAGAATATTAAGTGCTTGGCACACATCAGGTGCTCAATAATTGCTTGTTACCCATCCTACCCGATCCCAGCCCATATTCTTTTATAAATGAGTAAACATTTACTGAACGCCTGCCACATGGCAGCCTTGGTGCACTGGGGTAAGAGACCATTCATGTCCTCAGGACTAAGCCCCAGCCTGGTTGTTGCAAATGGCAGGTTCCGTGCTTCACCCTCTTAAGATTTCCTCCCCTTCTCCTCTAATGCTCCCTCTTAGCCACTTAGTCTGTTTCCCTCTTTCATCCCAGAAGCCTTTCTCTGTCGGAGCTTTCTCTCCTTCCCTTTGTATTTCAATCACAAGATTTCTATGTCCCATATCCCCAGTGATGTTGGGAATGACTGGATTCCCCTCTTTGAAATATTTCATTCCATTAAGTCACTTTATAAAGCACTGGTTTTTCAGGAACAGCCTTCGGAGGCTTTTTCTCCCTGAGCCCCGCGTGGTCAGGTGAGTGCTACCAGCTGAACAGTGGCACTCGGCTATGACTGCAGGGGCCCAGGTTCAGCTTTCCTCATCATTAAAAATACATAAAGGGGGCATGTCACCTGCAGACAAGTCCCTCTGTGTTAGCGCAGAAGTGAAACAGGAGAGGGAAATTGGTACCCTTTCTTATGAAAATGGAAGTGGAGTGGTTAAGCAAAGTGACTCTGGAATTGGACAAACCTGGGTTTCCATCTTGGCTCCACCATCTTCTAGCTATATCGCTTCCGAGCCTTACCTTCCTCATCTGTAGAATGAAGACACTAATAACATCCAGCTTTGGGCTGCAGTGAGATGTAGCAAATGATGCATATAAAATGCTAAGCATTGTGCCCAGCACGTGGGGAGCTTTTAGTAAATAGCAGCTATTATTATTAACAAAAATGAGGTACTTGGCTTAAAATTATGGAGACAGAGTCCAGAACTCAACAGAACCTATTTTCCCTTTCAAATAATTATTTGACAAATAAAAGCCATCTGTTCCTTTGAGATATGGATGTAAATCAAATGAAGATGCTGTATGGAGATACAAAATACAAGGATAATTACACAGCAGACCAAGGATTTAGTCCAAATCCTGTACTTCACTAAGGCCCTGGAACTCCACAGTGTTGTGGCAGGTGGAGGAGGGCTCCAGGGGTCCATCCTATGAGAACTCCCTTGCTGTAGGAAGGAAGCCTCAATTACAACAACAACAAGCAGTCACATAGGCCTTAGTTTTAAGCAAGGTACTGTCCTGGGTATTTTATCCTCTGGAAGGAATGTACAAGGTTATCATCCCTATTTCACAGATAAAGAAATTGAGGCACAAACAGAGGTTTGTTTAGAGTCACACAGCTGATAAATGGAAGAGCGTGGATTTTGACCCAGACAGCGCAGCTCCAGAGTCTATACTCATCATCACCATGCTCTATACTAACTCTCAAAACACAGGAAAGAGAAAGCAGTCTGTTGTCTTCTCATTTTTATGCTCAGTCACTGAATGAGGATGAAGTCACCTTTCTTCTGAGGTGTCTCCTGACTTCTCCCCCAGGTAGAACTAACCCTTTCTCTACCTGGCTCTTGTAGGACTCTGTACAGCCCTGCACCCTGAGGCTTATCATAGTGTAGTGACTCGTGTGTCATGAGGCCTGCATCCATGCCTGGATTGTATATTACACTGGAGCAGAGTCTGGTTCCTCTCATCCTCCAGAGCCCAGCATGTGGCCTGGCAAAAAGCCAGCACCCGACAGGCACTGGTTCAATGAATGTGAGGCTGGTTCACATCACGCTGTCAGTGTGCGAGTCATAAATCAAAATGCAGTCTACTCTATCATCGAGGTCATGGGCTTTGCCCTGGAGAACAATGTTAGCCCTCTCAACATCAGCCAATGTCATGGCCATCATTTATCAATCATTTTATAAACTTAAATATCTGCTTCTTCATGACAGTCCCATCTTAAAATGACAAACCTGAGGTTTAGTGAGTTGTGTTACTTGCCCAAAGACATGCAGCCAAAGAGGAGATGAGCTAGAAAGTAACCTTAGGGCACTGTGTGTGCTAACCCATGGTGCTTAACTCCCTGAGATGGGCAATTCTTTACTGAGTTTTCCTCTTTTCAAACCACAAATCAGAGAACAGAATAAATGTTTAAAGAACAGAATCTAATGAGACAAGCATCCTACTGGATTTTTGCTGATTAGGAATCCTTTCACATTTTAGTACTAGTTGTATAGGATAGGGAGAAAGACAGAGGAAACAGGCACAGACCCATACTATGATTTGCATATTTGTCTTTTCCAAAACTCATGTTGAAATTTAATCCCTAATGTCACAGTATTGAGAGGCGGGACCTTTAAGAGGTGTTTGGGTCATAAAGGATCTGCCTTCACAAATGGATTAATCTATGATTAATAGGCTGTCATGGGAGGGGAACTGGTGGCTTCAGAAGAAGAGGAAGAGAGGCCTGAGCGAGCATATTAGCATGCTCCACCCCCTTGCCACGTGATGCCCTGTGCTGCCTCGGAACCTGCAGGGTCCCACCAGCAAGAAGGCCCTCATCAGATACGGCTCCTCAACTTTGGACCTCCAGCCTCCATAACTGTAAAAAATAATTTCCTTTTCTTTAGAAATTACCCAGTTTCAGGTATTCTGTTATAAGCAATGCTAAATGGATTAAGACAACCCATCTCCCTTAATACTCACAATATCCATTATGAAGTAGTATTTTCCAGAGGAGGGGGACTGTGAAGCATAAAGATGTTAAAAGCATGCGAAGCTCCCCAGCTGGTGAGTGCAAAGTCTAGCGCATCTTGACCACAAAACTGGAAAATGTTTCTCCCCACTGAGACCCCTTCATAATGATTGGATCATAAACCTCCTGCAGGTTGATCTGTGCTGTTTCCTCATTTGCTCCTTCCCCACTGCACTTGGCCTCGTGCCTGGCACTTTAGCCTTCTCCGCCTCATTCCTCTTTTTCTCCCAGCCTTCCTTCGCCTCAGGGACTTGCATCCTTTGCCCTAGGACAATGAATCACACTGAAACAATAGACCTTCCCCACACCAGTCCTTCTGGGCACATATTCGCTTTTCAGTCTGAAACATCTACACACCCAAAGATGCAGGTATTTGCAACATGCCCCCGTTGTTTCTTTCCTGGGATCTTCTGTGGGTCAGTTGCAGGCTGCAGGAAAGAAGCAGGCTGTCTTGGTTACCCTGGTTACCTTTGTTGTCTGGCAGTGAGAAAGGAACGTGACTTTGGCAAAAGGGTCTGAAAGTCCATTGCTGTCAGCTGCGATGAGGCCCCGGGCTTGGTACATGTGAGCCCTCAGCTGAAAAACATGCTGTTCTGTGGACAAATCATGGAAGGGGGCAGGTGTTAGTGGGCTTTTCAAGAACAGTGTGTGCACATGTGTGTCTGTGTGTGATGTCCATCTATGTATCCACAGACAGACAAAAGGAGACCACCAGCCACATCCACCCTCCTCTGAGACAGGAATGGAAGTCCTGAAGAAAGGGAAGAGGTGATATTTATGGGGTACTTTGAACCCAGCCATCTTCCTTGGTGCTTTCACCAGGTTATGTGTCTTATTCTTCACTAAAACCATGCGAAATAGCATGCTCTCCACTTCATAGATGAGGAAAAATGGCCCACAACCAGGTTAAAAGACTTTCAAAAGTTTGCACAATTAACCCATGCCGGAGCATCGATTTTATTTCTGATTCTAAAATCCTCTTCTCTTTCTAAAATATCAAATTTTACTCCCCAGTAATTCTCCTGTTTATACAGGCATGAGTGTGTGCATGTGTGTGCATGTGGGCATGTGTGGGTGTGTGCCTGTGTGTGTGAAAGGGGCTGCTCCACATAGTTTTCACTTCAGTAAACACAATATATGTCTCAAGTCATCCATTGACTCATTTTCCATTCAGCCAGCCAGGGTCATTCTGAGCACCTACTGTGTACAGTCTTGATCTCTGAGGATTCTGTGGTAACAAGACAGTCCCTGCCCCTGGAGAGCTCCTGGGAGAAGGCAGAAGATAAGACAAGCACCCACATCACAGGCAGGGGGTCAGGGATAAGTGTCCTGTGAGAATGCTGGCAAGGAACACAGGGGTAAAGGACAGGAGTGAGCACACTGTGCTGGGATAGGAGGCCTCAGGTTGGGGCAGCTCAGGGTTCAGTGGGGAAACCTCAAGTAAGAGTTGAGTTCATCACAGTCCTTGGTCCATGGTACTTTCTGATCACTGCCCCTTGCAGGGCGCCTCTTGGTTTTTATATTCACTTATCCCTTTTTACTTCTTTACCCACTCCCATTTCACGGACTCCCCCAAAGCCACTGTGTTCAGTGTGTCTGTTTTTGTGCAGACTTGGGGAGTGGTATACAGAAGCTCTTGTGGACTAACTTGAATAACGCTACTTAGTTAAATTAAGGGTACAAATACCCTGTGAACTCCTCCACCCCCTACAATGCCATCCCTACACTTGTCTCACACAGATCCATGTGGGGACTTGTACATGGCTACTACTAATCCTTTATTAGTGTGCCTTTATCTCCTTATTTGTAAAATCGAGGTAATAATAGTTCCTCATAGGGTTATTGAAGAGAACTGAAGGGCTCAGAATGGTGCCTGGCCCATAGGAAGAACTCTAAAAGTGGGGTGAAGAGGCTGGAGTGTTGTTACTATTGCTCATTGCAATGTGAGCCTGTGGTGAGCACCTGGAAGCAACCTGCATGTCCATCACTGGGGTAGTGCAAAGGAAAAATGTCAGGAAGTTCGGGAAAGCAGTTAGGGGCAACGAATTAGAGGTACACGTGGCAAAATGGATGGATCTCAAGAATCTAAGTGCTTAGTGAGATAGGAGACAGTACTATACATGTAAAATAAGAATATGTGCACGCAAAGCAATCATTCACATTCACCAAAGCACATTCAAAGAAAAAGGGGCAGACCATAGCGGAGGTGGTGCTGCCCTTTGAGCAGAGCCCTAAAGGATGGTAACATTTGAGAGACAGAGGTGGAGGTGCCAAGACACTGGAGCAGGATGAGTCAAGACAGGGTCAAAAACACTAGGCCACATGGGGCAAGAATGTAGTCCAGTTTATCTAGAGTCTAGGGACACAGACAGCTGTAGTCGTATCACTGAGGACCTAGGAGGCCTGAACGAGGCAATCGGAAACTCTTGAAAGTCTGTGCACAGGAGCTGGTGCTAGCAGAGCAAAGCCTCAGGACGATAAAACTGAGTCAAGCTAGCCATGGACAGAAGAGGTGTCAGGGAGAAGAACCAACAAGGAGACAACACTGCTCCCTCTAGGCCAGAAGTTTAAGGACCAGAGTTTAGGCACTGGTGGAGGGGATGGAAATGAGGGGGTGGGAGGGACATGGCAGCCCTTGTTGCTATAGGACTTGACCCCTGATTGGCAGGGTGAGGAGGGACAGGAAAGGCAGGGGGTGCCAAAGACAACTCCTTACTTGATTGTCTTGAGGCTCACACACGTTTCTGTCCCTCTACCCTCCACCCCATGCCACTGTCTGGCTGCATGGGGACCAATATGGAGCCTGAGAACACAGCAACCATATCAGACCCACTCTAATCCTGCAAAGGATTTGGAAACTTGAGCTCTGCACACTTCCCAGTTAAGTCCAGGTATTTGCGGTGAAAGTTCTCCACATTCTGTCAAGGCAGGGAGAACCAGAGAAGTGATTGCTTTGGACTCAATTCTAAGTCTGTCCCCACTGTCCCTCTGTCCCCACTGCCACATACACCAATAAACCCTCACAAAACAGGCTGGGCCCTGCTGGCAAGGGAGCCCCTTAAAATGGCAACAGTAAATGATGGAATGTTCAGCAGATGGCACAGGGATTTCCCGACAGGAGTGTTTCTAGAGATGGCCCACGTGTTCCTTAGCATGCTACATAGTTTGGCAAATTTCTCAGCTGACAGTGAACTTGGAAATGGTTCATCCGGTGAAAATGTTCATCAGCTGCCCTTGAAATGGCTAACCCTGTAATTTTAGCAGACCTCCCAATGGCAGCCACACAAGCTGTGCACTGCACAACACCAGGGAGCACCATTTACTCAGTGTGAGTTTTCATTTTTCTGAAACCTTGAGTCTTACTAGTTATGTTCCTGGGACTAATCTAGTCACCCTCCTCACACTTTATTGGTACACCTCTTGTGCTATGGCTTGCTTTTTACTTGTGGTTATGAGAGATGTGTCTGTTATCCCCACTTGAGGGCCAGAATCACCTCTCACTCATCTCTATGTCACCCACTAGTTTTTCCACCATGCCTTACATATATAGGTGCAAACTAATTATTTGCTGAACAGGTATTTTCTGGAGCACAAAATTCTCCAGTAGGTGTGGAAGGCAGCCAAAGCCATCAATGCCAGTGCACAGCAGGAAAAGTTTATTAGGTCACTCTATGAAAACACACTGCAGAGGATCAGAAAGCACTAGGAAAAGTCTTTCCTCTTCTCTGAATTGTTAGTAGCTGGGATAGCAATCACATCCAGGTCCTTGGGTCTCTAGAGATAGTCGATAAAAATAGGAAGCCAAGTGAGGTTCCTATTTTTTCCTATCAAGTTAATGTGGATGTTTTTTACCCAAAGATGAAAACTCTCTCAAGGTATGGTGGAAGACAGTAGAAAGAAAGCAGGGTTTGGAGACATTTTTTTCCCCATCATTTACTAGCTATGTGTCCTTGGGCAATTTTTAAGCATCTTTGCTACATAATTTTCTTCATCTGAAAGATGAAGAGTCTTCCCAGGGTTGATTTGAGAAATCAATGACATCTTATGCATAAAGTGTAAGGCACAATGCTTGGCATGTGGTATTATGCATTTTCCAAAGACAATGCTCTTACGCATTTATATGGGGTACAGAAACCATGAGCTGAACCATTGGATATGTATTTCCAGAACCTTGTATTCTCTGACTATTGAGCAACTTCGATTCCACTGGCAGTCTAAGTTCAACCAACCTCAGAGGAGCCTTGGGCCACAGAGAAGACCTGACTCTACAGACAATTCTCCAGTGTTTCCAACATTGGCTCAACCCAAAACTCAACTTCAGCAGAAATGAAGGTAAAACTGCAGGCTGCTTTATCTGAACTCAGCAGCAAGAGATAACATAAATGGAAGTAATTTGGAAGCAGAAAGCAAAATGCAAGTGTAAGGAATATTTATAATAAAACTCAAAAATGTATCAAAACATAAACATGATGGCACTTACAGAAAATAACTACATAGAAAAAGGATTCCATAAAGCATGCTGAATTTTAAAAGCAGCCGAGCCAAGAACCAAGCTGGAGAAATATAAGTGAACCTACTGATACCAGTCTCCACTGGGTTACTACTAGGAAATGTGAATATCTGCTGTTGATATGTCAAAACTCGAATGCCACATAAAAGTAAAATCTGCCTTAATTCCACAGATCATGTAAGCACAAGAACATATTGACATTCTGACATTTTTTGCTTAAAACGCAAACTCAACCTACATAATCTGCCTACAAAGAAACTCAAATTACTTCCTCTCTATTAACAGAGAAACATAAGTGTTTATTCCAGATGTGTTTAATGATTTTACTCTTTTTAGATGGGACAATGAAAGGTAAGGTAGAACACTTAGAAACTGTACTTTACTTAAGAAGACCAATAAGTTGGCCCTAAAATAATGTGCAAAAAACTCATGCATGCTGCCCTCCTTATTATCTTTTCAGAAGCCCACCTGAGACCTCGAATGACCCTCTTTGCCCAGTGGGGACCCTACCTTGGTAGAGCAGGTTAGATGGGGGGTGATTGGTGCCAGCCCCTTTGGAGGACATTTCTGCTTCATAGCCTACTGGCAAGTTGTCCAAAATGGCACTGGCATGCTTGATGGAGCCCAGCCACAGGTACACGTCGACTTTTGCTTGCACAGACCAACCAGCCGGTCGTTTCCCAGGAGGCTGGAGAAAGGTTACAAAAAAGACTGACTTATTAGTAGGAGATAATTATAGGCCTCCCCTTTTGAGAAAAGAGGTCCTTCCTGGAGACACACCTGGAAGTATGTTCAGAGAGCAGTTCTCAAGAGCTCCTCTTAAATCAAAATAAAGACAATGGCCCCAATTGCCTTGATGCACAACTCCATATCTCCAGAGGAAGATCCAGGTCTAGTGGGACCTAAAGCTTAAACCTGCACTGTGATAAGCTCTTCCAAGCCGTGGGTCATTTAAACTTAATAGGTAGTAGGTGTGTTTATTGCCACCATTTGATAAATGGGGAAACACAGGCTCAGAGAGATAAAGTAAGTTGCCTGTGATGGCTCAGTTTTTAAGTGACAGAGACGAAAGTCAAAAATAAAAGAGATGATTCCAAATTTAGACTCTAGACTCTGAACCCCATAGCCTGACTGTCACTCTGAGCTGAAATCTTCTTCCTGGAACTTCCAACTGTCTGGAGTTCCAACCTGACTTTTTACCTCTTTGTTTCATGTAGAAGAATCCTAGTACTTCTTCCATAAGTCAGGACTCTATGACTTAGAAGAATCTACCTGGCCTGCCATGCACTTTCCTCCTGGCTAAACACCTTCACCGCTTCCTCATGCAGTGTGGTCTCAGATTCCCTTACTGCTCTGCTCTCTCTCTTTTGAATGTGCTCAGATTTGTATTTTTATTTATGTTTGCTTTAATTTCTATGTTTATGTCTGTATGAGTGGGGTAGTATTAGTATGCACAGGGAGTGTGTGCATGTCCACATGTATGTGTGTACATACGCCTGTGTGTGCATGTACTTATGTATATGTGTGTATATGCCTGCATAGGGGTGCATGTATTCTCAGAATCTAAAGACAAAATGTAGGCAGTGTGGCTCCTTTATTTCTCAGTCACCAGGATAAGGGTACTCCCTTACCCCTCTAAGGAGTCCCAGGACCCAGTCTTGGCTGTTGCCAGCAAGGCCATCATTCTGAGAGTAACCTATGGCACTTAGCTGCTACCTCTCAAAATGTTGTCAACTCTTCTTCTAAGTTCCTCTTCCTGGTGTTTCTTAGAATTTCCTGTCAGTAATTTTCTTCTTCTTCTTCTTTTTTTTTTTTAACATCACTTCCTTTCCATTGAGAGTCACAAAATCCTATTATGAAAGGCCACAACTTGCTCTGACAATTTCCAAGGACCCCATGGAGAGTCTCTGAATCCGAAATTGAGCATGGCTGTTTGCCTTTCTATTGTGCTCTGCGGGTTCCACAAATGGATTATGAGCAACTCAGCTTAGCAACTACTGCCAGTGCTGCTAGGCCCTTGCTGAGGGAGTGGGGCCAGAAGACTCAGTCCTGGCCCTCCCTCCAGGGCTCACAAAGAGGCCACTCCACTTGGCCACTTACCTTCACCTACTCAAATGCAAAGACAGAAAGTACTGAGGAAACTGAGAAGTAGCAGCAGTGATTTCCATCCTTCCTTTAGGATTCAAATATTTAGCTGGGCTTTAATGGGCACTTTAGTTGGATCCCAAAAAGAGAGGAAAGCATGTGAACAAAGATTTAGGTAATATGAGCTAATATTTAGCAAGTGCTTACTCTGTGCCAGGAATGATGCTAAGAGCTTTTGGGAAAGAAGTCACAACCAGTAAGCATAAGAGCTAGACAGAGAATGACACAGATGAAGCTGAAGAATCCTGCTCAGTATGTGGAGGAGCTGGGACTGTATTCTTTAAGCAGTAGGATGCCAGTGTTTGTTGAGCTCAAAAAAAAAAATCAAGTAAGTTTATTTTGTTGTTGGTAAAGGCAACCACTCTACAACCTGTAATTTACAAAATTATAAGACAAATCACCCTCAACTTATCACTTCTCTAATAATAATAGCCAAAATGTATTGGGGAATACATTTGTAAAATAAAATTAATACGTATTGAAAGCCTAAGATTATTTTCCTATAATAAAAGCAATCCCTCTGCCATTTGTAGACATCACTAAGACATCAATTCATAAAGAAAGGAATTTTTGTCTGTTGCTTCACTGCCGTGTCCCCAGTGCCTAAAAGAGTTCTTGGCACCCAGGAAGCATGTGGTAAATATAGGTTGAGTGAATATCCTTTATTTACTTTTCTAACAATAATAATATTTAACACATGTTGAGCACTTCTATCATTCTAGGCCCTGGTCTAATGTTTCTCTCTTCACACAGAATGTTCTATTGCCTGCAAGCTATCACCAAATCATAGGTTATCAGGGTTAGAGCCCAGACTCTCAGCCAATGCTCCTCACACACTGCTGTGAGCACATGGATTGCCAGGGCATCTGGTTAAAATGCACACTCAAATTCAACTGGTCTCTGGGAAATTTTGAGAATCTGATTTCTCCTGATGGACGCTAATCCTGCTGGTCTACAGATCTCAGTTTTAAGTATTTGTGCAGCAATGCTCTTAACTTAGTGTGCTACATTGCCCTAAGCAAAGCACATCTGAGATTCTGCAGGGTTTTCTTTTCTTTTTATCCCCCTCCCACCCTGCCCCCATAGAATCACGCTCTGTCACCCAAGCTGGAGTGACGTGGTGCAGTCTCAGCTCACTACAAACTCTGACTCCTGGGCTCAAGCCATCCTCCCACCTCAGCCTCTCAAGTAGCTTGGACCATGAGCAGGCACCACCATGCCCGGATAGTTTTGTATTTATTGATTTTTTGGGAGGTAGAGATGGGGTTTCACCATGTTTCCTAGGGTCATCTCAAACTCCTGGACTAAAGCAATCTGCCCCCCTTTGGCCTCCCAGAGTGCTAGGATTACAGGCAAGAGCCACAGAGCCTGGGCCTGTGTTTCTTTTCTTTTTTTTTGAGACAGTCTTGCTCTGTCACCCAAGCTAGAGTGCAGTGGTGCAATCTCAGCTCACTGCAGCCTCTGCCTCCCGGGTTCAAGTAATTCTCATGCCTCAGCCTCCCAAGTACCTGGGATTGCAGACATATGCCACCACACCCGGCTAATTTTTGGATTTTTAGTAGAGATAGGGTTTCACCATGTTGGCCAGGCTGGTCTTGAGCTCCTGACCTCAGGTGATCCACCCGCCTCGGCCTCCCAAAGTGCTGGGATTATAGGCATGAGCCACCATGCCAGGCTGGCCTTGTGTTTCTTAAAGTAAAACAAAACAATGACAAAAAACATCATTCATTTCTACTGCTACTAAACAATAAATGGGTGTTTAAACTCATGGTTAAAACGAAAGACTCAGCTAATGTCTTGTGAAAGTGTTCCACAAAGACTGTTGCTGCACTCCTAAAGTTAGCAACTTGTACATTTAAAAAAATATATGCAAATTGGAATTGCTGGCAAGATAATGCAGTGTCTCACTTAAGTATCTAAGTTGGATTCATTCAACATTATCGAGCACCTTCCTAGGTGCTTTCAGGAACAGGATCCCATTTTTAATTTCATGTGTACTTTCAGCCTGGTTACATGTCTGCCCCTGCCTTCCCTCAACTGGGGCTCAGAAAACAATACCCCCAAATGAAAGCCTCAGAAGCAAAAGTGTTTCTCTGACCTCCTGCCCTCTTATCTCTCAGTCCCATTCACCCCCAGGTTAGCCATAGAAACTAGAATCTCTCTTCCCTAGTGCAGGTCACAGAAACCAGAACCCCATTTCCCCAAAGCCAGCTATAAAACCTAAAAATATGACTCTAACTTTCCCTCTGCCTTTCTATGTAAAAATTGGCCATAAAGAAATTATCTGACCTATCTTGTGTAACTGTAGCCCATTCCAGAGAGGGTTCTACTCCACATCCAGAAGGAAAGAATGCTACAGAGAGGCCAAGAAGCAGCTAGGCAGACAGGCCTTGCTGTTTCCCCACTCAGTCCACTAGCATTAGATAATACCCTTTTTACTGAATCGTATTTCTACATGTCCATCCATGCTTTGTTGAACCTAAGCATAAAAATGGATGATTTCCCCCTATTTTGGGATCTTCCTTCTAAAGGCTCCCATATATTAATGTGTATATTTAATATATACATTAAATAAATTTGTATGCCTTTTCTCCTATTAATCTACCTTTTGTGAATTGATTTTTCAGCGAAGCTTCAGAGGGCCAAGGGAAAGCTCTCCCTTGGCTCCTACACCTGCTTCCCCACTCTCCTTCCTCTCTCATGTGCCCCTGAAGCTTCACCAACCACAGCAAGGTATTTCCCTCTGAGAATAGCATGGAAAGGTAGGAAAAAAGAAAACACAACAGAGAAAAACAATTAAGAATGCAAAAATGCATCAAAAAGCTGTGATCATCCATATATAAATATTGCATGAGACAGAATACTAAAGGCTCAGTCTCCCCTGTGCCTTCCCCACCTCCCACGGGGTCCTGGTGCAAGACAGCCGGCTCAAAAGGAAGAGGAAGTCTTGGCAAGTGAGAGAAGGAGAGAGAGAGGTAGTAACTCACATGAACTGTGTTGGAGTTGGTCAGTATTAGTGAGAGTGAGGTTTGTTTATGTGGTAGAGGTTTTACTCTGTGGCAGGACAGAGAAAGGTGCTATTTAGCCATCACTTCCTGCTGCATCCTAGGAAAAGCTAGATGGAAAGCTGGAACCTGGAGAACAGGAGATGGACTCCCTGTTGTGGAGAGAAGGTAGGATAGGGATGGCGATGGGAGTGAGGAGTGGACTCAGCCCAGAGCTAACTCAAGGAGAAGAGGAAGGTTGAGCGCCACCCTCTGGGCTCTGAGAGCATCTAGCTCCTTCCTTAGGAAGGGTTTCCTTTCGGTGATGAATTTCCATTTCCACATTTCCAGCCATCAGGAGCACAGTGGGGATAAGACTAAAAGGAGAGGATCGTAAACTTTTGAGTGGTGAGTTGGGCTGAGTTCTGCAAATTCTGTTCCATCATTTTTAGTAGCATCATGAATATGTTTAAATTAGAGAAAAAGGAAGATCATGCAACCCGGGACCGCAAAACCTTCATTGCTGTTACTGATCAATCATTACTTAGCCGTGTGACTACAGATGAGGCACTTTGTTTCCTCTGTATTAATAGTTTCCAGGAAGAGAAGTTTCCTAAAACTTACAAATAGCCATTCTGGATGCATAAGCTTGACAAATGTGGGCTTAAAAAGTTAAAGATGTTTCACATGGTACTGGTACCAAAACAGACATATAGACCAATGGAACAGAATAGAGACCTCAGAAATAACACCACACATCTACAACCATCTGATCTTTGACAAACCTGACACAAACGAGCAATGGGGAAATAATTCCCTATTTAATAAATGGTGCTGGGAAAACTGGCTAGCCATATGCCAAAAACTGAAACTGGACTCCTTCCTTAAACCTTATACAAAAATTAACTCAAGATGGATTAAAGACTTAAATGTAAAACCCAAAACCATAAAAATCCTAGAAGAAAACCTAGGCAATACCATTCAGGACATAGGCATGAGCAAATATTTTATGATGAAAATGCAAAAAGCAACTGCAACAAAAGCAGAAATTGACAAATGAGATCTAATTAAACTAAAGAGCTTCTTCAAAGCAAAAGAAACTCTCATCAGAGCAAACAGGCAATCTACAGAATGGGATAAAATTTTTGCATTCTACCCATCTGACAAAGGTCTAATATCCAGAATTTACAAAGAACTTAAACAAATTTACAAGAAAAAAACAACCCCATTAAAAGGAGGGCAAATGACATAAATAGACACTTCTCAAAAGAAGACATTTATACAGCCAACAAACATGAAAAAACTCAACATCACTGATCTTTAGAGAAATGCAAATCAAAACCACAGTGAGATACCATCTCACACCAGTCAGAAAGGCAATTATAAAAAAGTCAAGAAACAACAGATGCTGGCAAGGCTATGGAGAAATAGGAACACTGTTGGTGGAAGTGTAAATTAGTTCAACCACTGTGGAAGACAGTGTGGCGATTCCTCAAGGATCTAGAACCAGAAATACCATTTGATCCAGCAATCCCACTACTCTCTATATACCCAAAGGATTATAAATCATTCTACTATAAAGACACATGCACACGTATGTTTACTGCAGCACTGTTCACAATAGCAAAGACACAGAACCAACCCAAATGCCCATCGATGATAGACTGGATAAAGAAAACATGGCACATACACTCCATGGAATACTATGCAGCCATAAAAAAGAATGAGATCATGTCCTTTGCAGGAGCATGGATGAAGCTGGAAGCCACCATTCTCAGCAAACTAACACAGGAACAGAAAACCAAACACTGCATGTTCTCATTCATAAGTGGGAGTTGAACAATGAGAACACATGGACAGGAACATCACACACCGGGGCCTGTCAGGGGATGGGGGACAAGGGGAGGGAGACCATTAGGACAAATACCTAATACATGCAAGGCTTAAAACCTAGATGACAGGTTGATAGGTGCAGCAAACCACCATGGCACACGTTAACCTATGTAACAAACCTGCACATTGTGCACATGTATCCCGGAACTTAAAGTAAAATAATAAAATATAAAAAAGTTAAAGCTGTTTCCCAACTGCAGGACTTCTTGGAACCTTCCACTGGTTAATGGGCACTGTGACACTGCAAGAGTTTCCAAGGTTACAACTGCAACTTCTTAAAAGCATTTGAACATGGAACATTTACAGAGCCACTCAAAGAACAGCAGCTCTACAGAATAAAGCTTGAGGAAACTTTAGCTTAGAGAGTTTAGAGATTTACATTCTATGTTCCCCTCCCCACCCCCGCCCACCTTCACTTCCTATTTCCCAGCTAAAAAACTGGAGTGAGTGGCAGATGAGGGAATACTCAGTGTCCCTGGTGCAGCCTTTGCTTTTTCTGATCTTGCTCATTCAGTGAAGAGAAAGGGGCATAAAGAGAGATGGTGGGTGAGAGGGGACTTAAAGTCAGGAGTGAAAATCAAAACAGGAATGAAAATGGTCTCGCTGAATCATCTTATCAAGATATTTTATCAAGTTTATATAACTGGATTCAACAAGATCCAGAAAGCTACTGCCCAGAGCAATTCCAATGGCAAAAGGAAAATACAAATAAAGAAATAAGCTAAGGCTTACAGATGAAGATAATATTCAGATGATGAATGCTCCAGGGCAAAAGTTCTGCATTCTCAACTCTTCTAACCTCTGACTTTATTTGACAGCTGTTCTTTGTTCTAATTTTAAATAGTGCCAGGATACATCAAAATATTTAGAAGTGAGTAACTTTATACCACCTTTCTAGTATTTTTAGCACAGGGCCTTCTGAAGTGTTTTGCTATTTTTAATATAAATATTTCTTGCCTCCTTAGCATTCTTTGAATGGAGAAAGTTAAAGAAAATTCTTGATAATTGTGGTGAATGACTTGGGTGAAAAACTTTGTTTTTCAGTTATAGTTTTACTGGAGTGGGTTTAAAAGCCATTTTAGGCCAGGCACAATGGCTCTCGTCTGTAATCTCAGTGCTTTGGGAGGCCAAGGAAGGCAGAGGAATCACTTGAGGCCAGGAGTTTGAGATAAGCCTGGGTTACATAGTAAGATCACATCTCTATGAGAAATAAAAATTAGCCAGATGTGGTGGCACATGCCTGTCGACCTAGCTATTCAGGAGGCTAAGGTGGGAGGATTGCTTGAGCCTAGGAGTTCAAGGCTACAGTGAGCTGTGATTTTATCACTGCACTCCAGACTTGGCAATAGAATAAGGTGCTGTCTCTAAAACAAAATCATTTTACATACATGACAGAAAATAACACGGAGAGCCTCAGACAACTCGCTGGATATGAGGGGGACAAAATTACAGCAATGTCCTCTGGGAATGTGGATGTCTAGTTGTTCAAATGCCAGCATTTATTGAGTGATTACTCTGTGAGGCACAACTACATGTTCTTTACTTGCATTTATTCACTTTTTCCTCACCATGATCTCCATTTAATGAATGAAAAATAGGATGAACATTCTTTATCCATTTGAAAGTTGAAGAATGTTAAATTGCCCAAGGTCATACAACTAGTATATATTGGCCCTGGAATTCTGTTATGGGTTGAATTGTGGTCCCACAAAATTTTTATGTTGAAGTTCTAATCCCCAACACCCAAAATATGACCTTATTTGGAAATAGGGTCAATGCAGATATAATTAGTTAAGTTAAAATGACATTGTACTGGAGTAGGGTAGGTCCCTAATCCCATATGACTGGAGTCACAAAAATAATATCATATGAAGGGACAGACACAGAGGAAGAATGTCATATGGAGATTGGCGCCATTCTAGTAAAAGCCATGGAACCAACCAGAAGCTAGAAGAGAGGCCTGGAACATGCTCTTCCCTAATACCTTCAAGGGAACATGGCCCTGCCAACACCTTGACCTAGGACTTCTAACCTTCAGAACCATGAGATAATATATCTCTGTTGTTTAAGCCAGTCAGTTTATGCTACTTTGTTACAGTAGCCCTAGTGATCTAATACAAATTCCAGCCCAAATTCACCTTATTTCAAAGTCCATGCTTTAAACCATTATCCCACACTGCTTCTCATGCTTAATAATAGGGCCCTTCTGTCTGCAACATTTAAAAAAAAAAATCACATCTATAGTAAACTCTTGAGGTTAGACAGCATTTAGAGGCTATTTAATTTAGCTACCTGCTGCCATGTTTGTATCAAATAGTTGCCCAGGGTGTGTTAACACCTCTAAGGATGAGGAATGCATTATGGACTTCCATTTAGGAAACTATTTCCCTGTAATGTCTTTGTAGGGCCTGATTTTACCTGCTGGATCTCTCTCTCTCCTATACCTCCCCTCCGTCTATATACTGCCCCACAAACACTGAAACTACATTCTCATGCTGTCAAATCTCCTCAGCTAAGAACTGCTATCTCTTTACCTGTTCCTCTATGGCATGATTTTGAGCCTTTTCACCCTCCCTGAGTTAGTAAAGGAATAATTATTTTATAGCAAGAAACCAGAACTGATATTGGGAGGACAGTCAGCTATGAGTTAGGAAAAGTTAATCAGTCAACTTGTACTCTAGTCAGTTGCTGGTGGGGGTAAAGGCTTTGGACACATTTTTCTCTTATTCATTCATTTCTACTCACTGGAATAAAAATGTATTTGTAGTGGAGGTAAAATACCCAGGGCCTCCAAGCAAAGCTCAAATCTTGAGTTAGAGACAGTAGAATCTGTCCAGAGATACATGTCTATAAGGGCCCACCCAGAAGGCATCTGGGGACTCTGTCTTGATGAAGGGTGCAGGACCCCCCAGTTGAAAATTTTATATTTTTACAATTTAAAGTCACAAGGAATCCTGAACTAGCTGTTCTGTCCTTCTTCTAATTTTCTTTGAAGCTATTTTAAAATACAGATTAACTCATGTGAGAAGATGCCATGGACAAATTACACAAGTGAAAAGGTAATGAGGAAACTGATAGAAAAATGTTCATTCTAAGAATCATAGATGACACAAACAAATGCAAATACCTCCCATGCTCATGGATTGGAAGAATCAATATCATGAAAATAAGCATACTGCCCCAAACAATCAACAGATTCAATGCCCTTCCTATCAAAATACCAACGTCATTTTTTACAGAATTAGAAAAAACTATCCTAAAATTCATATGGAGCCAAAAAAGAGCCCAAATTGCCAAAGCAATCCTAAAGAAAAAGAACAAATCTAGAGGCATCACATTACCTGACTTCAAATTATACAAGGCTATAGTCACCAAAACAACATGGTACTGCTATAAAAGTAGATATATAGGCCAGTGGAATAGAATAGAGAACCTAGAAATGAAGTCAAATATTTATAACCAACTGATCTTCAGCAAACTATACAAAAACACAAATTGGAGAAAGGATGCCTTATCAATAAATGGTACTGGGAAAATGAGATAGCCACATGTAGAAGAATGAACCTGGATCTCTATTTCTCACCATATACAAAAAAATTAACTCAAGATGGATTAAAGACTTAAATCTGAGACCTGAAACCATAAAAACTCTGGAAGAAAACCTAGAAAAAAACTCTTCTGGCAAAGAATTTATGACTAAGACACCAAAAACAAATGCAACAAAAAAATAAATTGTACCTAATTAAACTAAAAAGCTTCTGCACAGCCAAAGAATCATCAGAGTAAACAGAAACCTAGAGAATGGGAGAAAAGATTTGCAAATTATGCATTCCATAAAGGACTAATATCCAGAATCTACAAGGAACTCAAACAAATCAACATAAAAAAATAATTCCATTAAAAACTGCATAAAAGACATGAATAGACACCTCCCAGAAAAAATATACAAATGGCCAACAAACATGAAAAAAATGCTCAGCATCACTAATCATCAAGGAAATGCAAATTAAAACAATGATTGAGATACCACCTTACCCCAGCTAGAATGGCCATTATTAAAAAGTCAAAAAACAATAGATGTTGGCATGGATGCAGCTAAAAAGGAATGCTTTTATACTGCTGATGGGACTGTAAATTAGCACAACCTCTACGGAAAACAGTATGGAGATTTCTCAAAGAACTAAAAATAGATCTACCATTCAACCCAGCAATCCCACTACCCACTATTGGGTATCTACCCAAAGAAAAAGATCAAAAAGACACCAGCACGTATATGTTTATTGTAGCACAATTCAAAATTGCAAAGATATGGAATCAACAACATAAGTGTCCATTGCCTGATGACTGGATTAAGAAAATGTGATATATATACACCATGAAATATGACTCAGTCATAAAAAGAATGAAATAATGTCTTTTGCAGCAACTTGAATTGAGCTGGAGGCCATTACTTATTCTAAGTGAAGTAACTCAAGAATGGAAAACCAAATACTGTATGTTCTCACTTATAAGCAGGAACTAAGCTATGGGTATGAAAAGTCATACAGAGTGGTATAAAGGACACTGAAAACTCAGAAAGGGGGAGGGTGGGATGGGGATGAGGGACAAAAAACTACCTATTCATACATTGTACACTACTCAGGTGACAGTTACACTGAAATTCTGGATTTCACCACTATTCAACTTATCCATGTAATCACAAACCACTTGTAACCCTAAAGCTACTGAAATAAAAAAAAAAAAAAATGGCCAAGTACGGTGGCTCACGCTTGTAATCCCAGCACTTTGGGAGGCCGAGGCAGGCAGATCACAAGGTCAGGAGTTGGAGACCAGCCTGGCCAACATAGTGAAACCCCATCTCTACTAAAAATACAAAAAATTAGCTAGGCATGGTGGTGGGCATCTGTAATCCCAGCTACTTGGGAGGCTGAGGCAGGAGAATCACTTGAATCCGGGAGGCGGAGGTTGCAGTGAGCCGAGGTCACGCCACTGCACTCCAGCCCGGGCGACAGTGCAAGACACTGTCTCAAAAAAAAAAAAAACCTTAAGGTTCATTGTTATTAATACTAGTAATCAAAGAGGTAAAAATTAAAGTAACCCATTAGATTAAAAAAAGAAACTTATGTGTGTCTGGTGATGTAACAGTTAAAAAAACTGAAAAAATTCCACCTAAAGGTGGTCTACTGAATTGCAATTTGAACCAAGAGGCACCAAGGTGTTCTAGTTGTCCTCCTACCTTTGAAAGCACTGGGGAATGGTCAGAGCCATGGACACACACTAGAAAGTCTGAGCCACCCTAGAGAAACAGAAATCTCCCTTCTTTTAGTTAAAATACTGCACACTTACTTTGAGGAAGTGAGTTTTGATCTTGCCGCAGTGTTTGCCCATCTGCCCCGCGACAGGGGAATAGAGGAGGTCTTTGGAGGCGATGCGGGCATAGGCCACTCTCCTGTTGTTGCTGAGCATCCAGATGAAAACGTCAGGGATAGTGTGCTGGGGCTGTGGGAATAGAGGGAGTTGGGATTGAATAGGAATGGGATTTGAAAGGTTGGCATTGAACAAAGGCACTTGCAGAGTTCTGCTATCCTGAAATATTCCCTCTTCGACAAAACAAATGCTGTGACTGACACCATCTAGGCACTGAAACATCTATGCCATCAAGCAAATTAAGTGCAGTTTCCTAGAGAAGAGAAAGCCTTACTTAGGTCATGAGTTAAAAGTGCATACAGCTGGGCGGCAGTGGCTCATGCCTGTAATCCCAGCACTTTGGGAGGCCAAGGCACGTGGATCATGAGGTCAGGAGTTCGAGATCATCCTGGCCAGTATGGTGAAACCACATCTCTACTAAAAAATACAAAAATTAGCTGGGCGTAGTGACACTTGCCTATAGTTTCAGCTACTCAGGAGGCTGAGGCAGAAGAATCGCTTGAACCCAGGAGGCGGAGGAGGTTGCAGTGAGCCGAGATCATGCCACTGCACTCCAGCCTGGGAGACAGAGCAAGACTCCATCTCAAAAAAAAAAATAAATAAATAAAGTGCCTACAAACCCACATGCCAAATTGCTCATATGAGAACATGCAAGCTGGATCTGTGATTTGGCATCTTTGGTAGCCTACTTTTCTCATCTGCAGGACAAACACTTTTGCACAACTTCCCATGGATTTTTTTTCCAATCTTGTAATAATGATTTAGTTTTAAGCACTGCTCAGAGTCAGATAACATTTCCAGAATATTCAAATGAAACAACAAAAACAAAAATCTATGAATGTCTTTGAATGACTTTCCTTACACTTGCTCTTAGGCAAGTATTTCTACAAGGAACTGTGTACCTATAATATGATTGCAAGATATTTTAGTTCCATTTTAAGTGGTTATTCAGCAGGAACTCAGCTAAATTGCACAGGAAATTAGAATTTAAAGTCGAATTAATTAAGATAGGAAGAGTAGAATTCCATGCCAAGTGGCCCATTATGTTATGGGTGTTTGAAATTCACATTTCTGAACAAACAAAACTCTCAAAACAAAAAGGAAGTATATTGTTTTAAACAAGGGTTTGACATTCCTGGACTGGAAGCAGATGCTCTGTCTTTCCAATCCCTAGTGATCAGGTAAAACTAATCCCCAAAGAGGACATCCCTTCTCTCTTCTGAGTGCTTATTCAAATTCCTATGTCTACTGACTGCCTGTCTCACCGAGTAATATGCCTCCAGGGAATGACTGATTTGCAACAAGAACTACAACTTTCAAGAAAAACAGAAGCAGTAAATCTCGCTTCCTGAAATCTTCCCACATCAAACCCTGTTTTAGAAGTTTCTACACATTTGCAAGCTTCAAGAACGAGTGTCAGTATCTGACAGATGCAAATATGAGGGCCGTTTTTAAACAGGTCATTCTAGAAGTCACCAGAAGACACCGTTTACAACTAACTTTAAAATCAGAAGCTGCCATGCCCTTTACTGGGCACGAATTTAAATCCTTTTATAGTTGAAAACCTATCAAAGTTCCTGGGCTTACGTTGACTTCACTTGAGCCCATTAGCGAATGTGCCTTTTATTTTGCTGAATGTTCAGGCTTTGTGAAAAAAAAATGAATAAAGCTGTACTTGTTTGGTTTAATTTAAAAATCTCTTCTCTAAACTAGGAGTGCCTGCGTAGCCCACTAGGGCTGGGGAGAAAAACATTGATTCATATTTCACCCGTACCAACCATTCAAACCTCCCTGGAAGACATTCCATCTAACCTTCCAAATGAGGTTTGCCTTTAGAGTCAGTTACCTCATCAACAAGAAAGCGGATTTTTTCCACAAAGTTTTGGGCTTCGTGAATCATTTCATCAACAGATAACTTTTTCTTCTGCTGCTGAATGATCCCCTTGGCCTCCTTGCACATTGCTTCCTAAAACAAGACAAGAGTCAGTGTGGGTCTTTCGAGAGATCTGGACAACAAGCAGCGTCCTGTTGCTGAAGAGACCTGAAGGTCCTGGTGAGCTCCACACTGAGTCACTCACGTGGACTGTTCCAGGGTCTGCCACCGTGCATGCTGCCTCCTTGGTGGAAATTTCACAGGATTATGGAGGCTGTAATATCATCTCACCTCTGCTTGACAGATGAGAAGCTGAAGCCCAGAAAGGCTACAGGTTTATCAAGGTCACATGGCTTATTAACCAGCACCTGAATCCAAGCTGACATGGTTTGGCTGTGTCCCACCCAAATTTCATCTTGAACTGTAATTCCCATGATCCCCACATATCATAGGAGGGACCCAGTGGGAGGTAATTTAATCATGGAGGCGTTTACCCTTATTTTGTTCTCGTGATAGTGAGTAAGGTTCTCATGAGATCTGATAGTTTTATAAGAAGCTTTTCCCCCTTTTGCTTGGCACTTCTCTTGCCTGCCACCATGTAAGATGTGACTTGCTCCTCCTTGCCTTCCACCATGACTGGAGGCCACCATGGCCTCTTAGCCATGTGGAACTGTGCGTCAATTAAACCTCTTTCCTTTATAATTACCCAGTCTTGGGTATGTCTTTATTAGCAGTGTGAGAACAGACTAACACACAGGCTTTCTGATATTTAACAACAACTGCTATGATAATAGCAGCTTAAGGTGTACTGAGCTGTTCCTCTGTGCCAGGCAACATTCTAACCACTGTATTAATCCTTTGTTACTCCTCATAACAGCCTTATGAGGTAGGTTCTATTTTTCCCATTTTACAGCTGAGGAAGCAGTAACGCAGCTACTGAATGGCAGAGCCAGAGCTGACCCCCAGCTGCATCCAGAGTCTACATGCTTAACCACTGCACTCACCACCTCTTCCCAGAGGTATGGTTGCTGCTTTCAGACCAAGAAGACATCGTATGAGAAATGCTGCCAGAAAGCTCAGTATAAGTGGTTGGAAAACCCAAAAGTGTTTATTTTGATTCATTTGTTCAGCTCACATTTATGTGCTTAGGAAAAAAAAATATTTACAGTGACTTCTAAGGCCCTGTGTGCATTGGCCCTGCCACTGTCTGCTTCATCTTATAATATTCCTTCCTCACTCACTGTGCCTCAGGCACACTGGTCCTCAGAAGCCCTAGAACTTGACAAACTTTGTCCATCCTAAAGCCGGTGTATTAGTCTGTTCTCGTGCTGCTAATAAAGACATATCCAAGACTGGGTAATTTATAAAGGAAAGAGGTTTAATGGAGAACTCACAGTTCTACATGGCTGGGGAGGACTCATGGGGAGAATCATGGGGAAGGCAAGGAGGAGCAAGTCACGTCTTACATGGATGGCAGCAGGCAAATAAACAGAGCTTGTGCAGGGAAACTACCCTTTATAAACCATCAGATCTGATGAGACTTATTCACTATCATGAAAACAGCATGGGAAGACCTGCCCCCATGATTCAATTACCTCCCAGCAGATCCCTCCCACAACACGTGAGAGCTCAAGATGAGATTTGGGTGGGGACACAGCCAAACCATATTAGCTGGTATGCCTGGTGTTTCCTCTTGCTCAAATGTTCTTCCTAGACTCTACATGGCTGGTTTCTTCTCATCTTTCAGGCCTCAACTTAAATGTCACCACTGTATTACATTCCCCCATGTTTTCCTGATCCCAGTGGCTTCTTAGAATTTCCTTTTGAATCACAATCTGTAATAATTTTTATGTATTTTCTGTTTACCTATCTATCTTCTGTCTTAATCATTAATGTGTAAACTTCAGTAGGACAAGGACCTCCTCTGTCTTGTCCTTATTGTATGCTCAGTGTCTAACAGAGCTCCTGGCACATAGGTGTTAAATAAATGTTTATGGAATGAATGAACTACTCAATCTAGAAATTCCTCAAGGACAAGCACTACGTTCTTCTAGCTTTGTTCCCAGCATCTAGAGGAGTGTGTGGCACATAGGAAGCCTCTGCTAATGTTATACACCAGGCACTATGCTTGGAGCCCAGGTCTGGGACAGGGAGAAGAAATAATGCTTTATTTTCCTGAGACATTGACAGTTTGGCGAGGTGAAAACAATACATGGTGAGGTGAAAACAATACATGCACATAATTAAAATGTATGAAGCACTGTGGTGCTAGACAGGGGCAAAGCTGGTTACCTGGAGAATATGACATTTGAGCTGAATTTTAAAATGTGAATAGAATTCATCAGAGAGTAAGAAGACAGAGGGAAGAGTTACATATGAATATACATAATCATCAAGGATTCAAAATTGTCAGAGCATAGATACATAGGAACGAACTAAAGACGGATAAGGTTGGGATGCTAGGTTGGGACCAGATAGTAAATAGCCCAATGTATCATGCAAAAGGGATTTAGATTTTATCCTATGAATGATTGAGATAACCCAGTGATTTTTTTAAACAATAATGATCTAATCAGGCTTGTGTTTTAGAAAGACCATGCTGGTTGTAATACAGAAGATGGATTAGAGGAAGACTTTTGCCATACTCTAGAACAGAGGTGCTAAGAAACTCAGTTTAGACAGTGACTCTGAAGATGAAGAAGTGGAGTTCGTTCCAGAGTCATTAAGAGGCAGAATCTGCAGGACCTAGTATTCAAATGGCTACTTAAGGTGAGAGATAAAGAGCCAATGTTGAAACTTAGCCTTCTTGTTTGAGCAGTAAGTCTAGCTGGCAGTGCCAATGCAGGATGTGGAACAAGTTGAGATAAGGTGATGGGCTCAGAGTTTGGAGTGATGTGAGATAAGCATGGAGATGCCCATTAGGAGGCTGGAAATGCAGGTCTAGAGATGAGGAGGGAGACCTAGGCCACTAAAAAAAGATATTGAAATAATCAGGCCAAGGGCTGTCAGACAATGTGAAGACAGAACTCTGCAGAAAACATGGAGTAGAGGGAAGCTGCAGAGATAGCACTTCAGCCAGAGGTGCTGAGAAAAGCCAGCATAGGAAGAAGGTCTTATTGATGGTGGGAATCTAGCCTCCCTGAAATGTTCCAGAGGACAGAAAAGAAGCATTCTGGGACGAAGGATGGATGAGGAGTTAGGAGACCTGGGTTTTAGTTTTTGGATTACAGTTAACTAGCTGTGATCTTTAGAAAAAGTCATTTAATATCTCTGAGTCCCACTCATACTTTAAAATGTCCCTGAGAAGTCAAGCACTGAGTAATTTTTCTTTGCAGAATTATCCTGGCCTCACATGAAATGTCCCTTGGTGCCCTTGCTGGCACTGACATTTTCAATTGAGATAATCCAGGGCCTGACTTGGTCTGGCAATTCTAGTCACCAGTCACTGAAGAAGAACTGAGCAACTGTTAGGCACCTAGCACATGCAGGTTCCCAGGACACAGAGGGGTAACAACTACTGACCTGCTCTCAAGAAGCGCTTTTAAATTTTAACACAATTCTCAATAGGAGGAACCTGAAGTCAAGGAGCATAGTTATTTCTTTTGATCTCTTGACTTGTGAGTCAGAGGGCCAAGCGAGTCTACCGCCTTTAACAAAATATGAAGGTCAAGAAAATGAGCAAGAGGTCACCTATTCTCCATCAGAGTAGGAAGTAGGACCAGTGGGCTTCTAGTTCATCCTTATAAACCTTCAATAAATGTTCATTTCTTTCCAACTTAACAAATAGTCCCTTTTCACTCTTGTCTCTGCATCCCAAAAATGTATGACCTTTAAACCTCAACCTCATTTGGTCTGTGACCTATGCCTCATCCGTGAGGTTTATTTTTAACTCTGTCCACAAAGTATAAATAGATTTTCACATACCAGCTCCTGCCAGCAGAGCGTAAGTCGCTTCTTATCTAAAGTGGTTTGGTTCAACATCTTGGGCTTTTTTTCTGCTTCAGAGATAAAGGCACTATAAGAAAAGAATAACAATTTTGAAACCTACTTAGTGAAAATCCATTTATATAATTCCAGAGGTTTGCAAATATTGTTTCTGCAATACAGTGGAAAGCTTTTGAAGCCATAAAACCAATATTTTTAATTTAGGATTAAGCAACTATGTATTAACTTTTCCAAGAGACAAAATGATAACTGGAAATGATGCCCAGACCCAACATTAGTTTTGGGGAACAGATTTTTTTTTCCACTTTCTTTCAGTACAATCCATTGTGATTGCTATAAAAATTCATAACAAAACCCACAAAATACTGTTTTCCTTCATCTTACAAATTTAACACACACCAAAAGTTTGCTGAAAAGTTGTATGTAAAACAAATATTTTAGATTCAATACCTAGATGTGTCCCCACCATTTAAAAACAATAGGAAAGACTGAGTAGTAACATTTTTTGGAGGTAAAGTTAAAAATGTGTTAAATAGGAAAATAGTAAAGATTGTGAATGCCATTCAAGAAGAAAAATGTAAATGGACTAAACGCTTGGGGAAATAAGATATTGCCCTCACTAGTGATAACTTAAATGCAAATTAAAATTAATAACATTTTACCTATAAAAATGAATAATATTCAAAGTTGGTGAAGATGTTGGGAGATAGTCACTCTTCTACTCTATGGAAGGTGGGTGTAAATTCTTAGTGTTTTAGAGGCTATTTGATAGCACCTATCAAAATTTAAATTTGATTCAAAATTAAACTAAATTACACTAGAATTCTTACCCTTCAAAAATAATTGAACAATTTGACAAGATTATGTTTACATAATCATATGTATTGTAGCACTGTTCATAGTAGCAAAATAAGTGGGAACAACTTAAATGTCATTAGGGACTAGTTAAATATATCATGACACATACATGCAATTGAATATTCAGGATATCTATTATGTGCACCTGTAGAAAGATGCCTGTGATATTTTGCTGAATGAAAAGGCAACCTGCTGAGCAAATGTGTGATATCATTTGTGAAGGAATATGGTATGAGTGTGGACATGAGGGTGTATGTTCCCAAATGCACAGAAAAAAGTCCAGGAGGACAAATCAAACTCTTCTCACTGGAGAGTAGGTTTGGAGAGAGAATTGAGAAGAAATTTCCTACTTGGTATATTTATTTTTTTTTAATGATGAGCATGATCATTTCAGTGATGAGCACTTCTGATGAAAAAAATCAATTATAAAGGAAACAAAAAGGAAAGTCTAAGATGCCACACCACCCAGCCCAAGGTCCCATACCAGGCTCTACCCACTGGCAGTTGAAAGTCTCACCAGAAATCCTCCTTGGACACACTAGTAATGTTACATTTTCTTTAAATTTTTTAAAAAGAATAAAAAGGATTATATTTTGAGGAGGGAATCTTGTTGCCCCATTCCTGCCTTTTCTTGTGGCAGAAGGAATTCCATTTCACTCTCCAGAATGGATCAGTGCAGGTAGACATAATCACTTCTGATCCCTTTCCTTTCCCCACAGGGAGAAATAATTTGTTTCCTCGTTAACATTGGGGTAAATGACCATAGCACATGTTTCTGTTCATTCTTCATCTTTCAGACCCAACCTGTCTGCTGGCTATGGACATCCTCCCTTACCTTCACATGTCACATGGCAAGTGCCCTCTCCTGGTGAGGGGCAAGGGTGAGATGGAGGGAGAAGCCCTGTTGAGCTGCTTGGCCATGAACAGTTTGGGGGAACAGGAAGCTTGCCTTGACCTCGGGTCCAAGGTGCTTTCTCAAACCTAACTTTTCCAGATATAAAACTAACATTTTTATCTCTGTCTTATCCTAATATTTTTTTCAGTTGGTTGTAAACTTGAAAAAGGGGGAATGATTAGCTATCATCCCAAGTAATCCCCTAACATAGAGAAGTTATTGAGCTTTTAATTTGCTCATAAACAGTTTCTAAAAGTGTGGATTGTGAAGCTTTTAAAAATGCTTAAAGGGAATTGCAGGTGGCACTAAACAGCTCACAGCAGGAGTAATATATATATATATATATATATATATATATATATATATATATATAGCTTTTATAATGAAAAACAAGAAACAAAAACTATTTCTTTTCTTTACTTTTTTTGTGAAGTAAAAATTGTAGAGTAGTTGAGAGACTGGGGAGGCAGAACTTAAAAACCTGAACACCAGAATTCAGCTACTCCCTGCCTCTCATCAGATGAATTTCCACTCCTTTTCCATTAGTTCCATTATGACAAGTTCTCATATTTGCTCAAATCTTAAACTACTTAATTTCAAGGGTTAGTCCAAGTTGTTTCCTTAAAGGGTCAGCAGCCTCTAAGATGGCTCCAGTGAGTCCTACCTCCTGCAATTCATGCCACTGTGTAATCCCCTCCCTTTGAAGGTGGGCTGGGCCTAGTGACTTGCTTCTAACAGAACCGTCAAGAGTGATGGGCTGTCACTTCCAAGACTAGGCATGGGAGACTCTGACTTCTGTCTTGCTAGGATGTTCTGACTCTTTGTGCTTGCTGGCTCTAATGAAGCCAGCTGCTCTGTCATGAGAGGCAGCTTAGAGAGGCTCACGTGGCAAGGCATTGAGGGTGGCCTCCAACCAACAGCTAGTGAGAAATTGAAGTCCTCAGCCCAATGGCCCATGAAAAACTGAATTCTGCAAATAACCACGTGAGTGATCTTGGAAGTGAATCCATCCCATTGGAACCTTGATATGACTGCAGCCAGGGAGAGACTCTGACCCAAAGGACTCAGCTGAGCCACACCTGGACCCCTGACCCACAGAAACAGTGAGATAATAACTATGATGTTAAGCCACTGAGTTTTGGGGAAATTTGTTTCTCAGTAAAAGATAACTATGTACCCTATTTTTTATCTTTTTTTATATTGTCTGCCCTCTAGAATAAGGGTTACTAATTGGTACTCAATATGTTGTATAAAAATTTCATTAAATAGTGTTGGGACACAGAAAACAATTCCCCAAAATACTGAGTGCTTTGAAAATTGCAAGGCCTCAGAAATAAGACTCAGAACCAGGGTTTCTCTCTAACCTTTTCCATGTCTCCCTGTCTCTCTGACCCTCTTTTCCAAAGCACCAAGAGAGACTCTTTAAATTTTCCTATCAGACTAAGAAAGCTTAAATGTGATTGTCTTAAGACTCCCTCCCTAGAGATCTCATCAAATAACCAGGAAAGACCAACCAACAGAGAAGAGACTGGAATCATCTGCCCAGAAAGACTTTTCATCTATTCTTCTAAGGACAGCTCCAAGAGATTACCTGGGGGACTTTGTATAAAAAATAAGACAACCTGTGTTCCTGTGCAGCTTCATCCCTCATCTTTCCCTAAGGTCGGCCTCCCTTCTCCCTGGTCCATTCATTCTTCCTAGTGATTTACTGTCCCTCAAAAGAACTGTCTACATTCTCCATCTCCCCCGTCCCCTCTGAAGAAGGATATATATAAGCTTCTGTACTGCACTGGGTAATTGAGTAATCACTCTGTGATTCTCCCCTGTGCACGTTAATACATTTGCATGCCTTTTCTCCTATTAATCTACTTTTTGTCAGTTGATTTTCAGTGAGCCTTCAGAGAGAGGAGGGAAGGTTTTCCCTCAGCCCCACAATAGTATATTCAAATATACTATTCAGGCTCACTGAATAGTATATTTCACTGAAAATAGTTGATTTTCAGTGAGCCTTCAGAGAAGAGATGTTTTCCCTCAGCCCTACTATGGTATTTTATATATTAATAGCTTATTCTTCTGCCCATCTAAGTGTCAAATAGTTGCTGAGTGTCTACCACATGCACAGCACTATGCTGGTACACTAACACTACTAGCATTTTTCTTGTTTCCTACAGAGTCTCTGTAGTAAGTCTTCCTTTGCTTTTTCCTACCTTTGATTTATGTTTGAGTTGTTACAGTGTCAAGAAGCAATAGTTAGTCCACAAGCACGAGTGAAATTACTGAACAAAATTAAGATGGATACAGCACTCTAAAACACCCATTTGAATGCATGTGAAATCGACGACTTTCTCAAGGTAATTAAAAGCTGAGACCACAGAAGCTCAGCTCCGCCTATGCCGGCTGTCTCTCCCGGTACCTGCTCCGACTGATGAAGTCACTGAGCACTGTTTTCATTTTCTCTTCAGGTGCCTCCTGTGAAATCTTGATCAATTCTCTCACTTCTTCTATACTTTCTTCCTGAAAACAAACCACAGGGGTGGAGAGATGAGGCGGTGGTAATGAGATTGGTAGTAGAGATACTAATTATAATGTACTAGAAATAACAGCTATTTTTTTTTTGTTTTGGCAATGAAGGAGGATTTATCTAGTTTTCTTGTACTTGAATTGGAAAATGCTACTGCATTCTAACTTTGAACTTTTCTTTTAGTAAGTGGAATTGGTCCACATACAAGTCTTCTCCCATACTGTTCAAACTCATTGTTTCTGTTATAGATCCATTCCCTAATGGGTACCATTTATTTAGAATCTACCCTCTGGGGAAACCTAATAACGTGGGAAATAGCTAACAATGTAGAGTAATTAGATATAATTACCCAAAACTTCAAAAGTAATGTTCAAGTCAATTTTTTACATAGGGATATAATCATATTGAATAATCCCTGAAATTAAAGGGTTCCCCATTCTTCTGATTGCATGAGTTTTGGGCCAGATAATGGGACAGATTGTATATGGCAATGGCCCTATGCTTGTATACTTAATAATCACACTTTTCCTTTGGGCCTAAATTCTAGAATTCTATTTAGTGGCCTGGAGGAAAATGGCACCTAAGGGGAAGTATATGTGTTACTACTCCTTTGCTAGAATTTACGAAACTATATTCTCTACCATATCCCAAAGTCTCGTGCCTAGGGACATATGTTCCCCTCTTTACACATTCACTATAATAGGAAACATTGTGGCATAGTTAAGGATTTGGGCTCCAGAGTCAGATTGCCTTGGTTCAAATCCAGGCTCTATCACTTACAAGTGAATTAATCCATTTATGCCCAATTTCTTTATCTGTGGAATGGAATAATAACAGAACCCACCTACAACACTATAGGGGGTATGGATATCTTCAAACAGTGCTTGGTAGTTAGTAAACATTCAGTCATGTCTCTCATGGTGGTTAGCCATGATATGCCAAGCATGGCAGGGATGCCAGCACTGAGAAAGGAATTAGAAATGAATGTCACTATGGCCTCTAGGAAAAAATTCTGATTTGCTTTGTCAAGACTCTTGGAGATAAACGATCTGTTCTGTCTGAAGAGAAGTAAGACCAGCTCAACCAAGACAGTCTGTGACCTCCATGTGCTGTGACCCCAGACTAGGCCTCCTGACCACTTTCAGAGTTTATCTCCATGTTGCCTGGAATCCCCATGGTCAGAGACAATACTTTGTTTTACAAATTGAGAGACAAGGATTATAAAGCAAATGGGACAGAGAAATTTGTTCTTGACTTAGCATAGGTTTTAACGGAACAGGAGGGTCAAGACAAAGATGATCTGGTAAGGCATGTGGGACGGAGTAGAGGGAGCACGGGAGTAGGAGAGAAGAATTTATAAAGGGGAGGTGCAAGATGTCAGAGAAACAGAGGTCCCAGCTTTCTCTCCCTCCTTGGGCTTAGGTGGGAAAATCTAGCATTGATTGGATATTGATTGGCACTGTTTACAGTATAAAATACTTTCAGACATTCAATTCCCTGAATAATTATTTAGTGGCTATCACGTGCCAGGTATTATGCTAAATGCTATAGAAACAGTGGCAAATAGTTATTGAACAAATAAACACACAAATATATTGTAAAGTATGATAAGAGGTCCAAAGGAAAATAACAGGGTGTTGGCCAGGCACAATGGCTCATGCCTATCACCCCAGCAATTTGGGGGCTGAGGCAGGAGGATTGCTTAAGCCCAGGAATTCCAGACCAGCCTGAGTAGCATAGTTACATCTTGTCTCTACCAAAAAAAAAAAAAAAAAAGTCAGGCATGGTGGCATGCATGCACCTGTAGTTCCGACTTCTTGGGATGCTGAGGTGGGAGGGTTGCCTAGGAGTTCCAGGCCAGCCTGGGCAACACAGTGAGACTCTATCTCTACAAAATATTTTAAAAATTAGCCAGGGGTGGTAGTACATGGTCCCAGCTATATGGGAGGCTGAGGCAGGAGGATTACTTGAGCCCAGAAGGTCAAGGCTGCAGTGAGCTGTGATTGTGCCACTGCATTCCAGCCTGAGTGACAAAGCAAGACCCCTTCTCAAAAACAAAACAAAACAAAACAGGGTGTTATGTAAGAAGATAAGGGGGTAGAAGGTGTCAGACTCTTCCCTGAGGAAGTCTGAAACTGAGCCCTGGAATTTGGCTGGGTTATAAGAAGACTGGAGAGGGGAAAAGTAACAGAGGAAAAGGCATGGTGGGTGGCTGCGAAGCTTAAAGGAACTTGGTTTTTTCAACATATTAAAAGGGCACCAGTGTAGTTGGAACAAAGTAAGGGAGGAAGAACTTAGGAAAGATGGGGCTATAGGTTAGGCAGGGCCTGATCTTGTAGGCAGTTGTCCACTATGCCAGGGACTTAGGATTTTTTATTAGTTGAAGCCAGGATCTATCAATTTTGTGAGAAAGTTGTCAACTCCTGCCCTTTGGAGATTAGAAAAACAGCCCATACCTAGATCCTATAACAGCCAGAAGCAGAGCAGGGATTTGAATTCAGGTAGTTTGATTCAAGTCCAGGGATTTTGCAAAATGAGGTCTCATTCCCCTAGATTTGCATAGTAGGATCCACGTGCCCTCCAAATGCAGCATCCTCAATTTATTTGTGTTTGAACTGAGGTCAACATCCTCTACTAGGTGGATTTTAAAAATCCCTTCCCCCACCAGCTTCCCAATTCTCTAATCCATCACCTGTCAGAGTCACCTACCAGGAAGTCTGCCATTTTCTCCAGCATGTTGGACCAGTGCAGCCTGAAGGTCTGGTCTCCCCAAGAGCTGATGAAATAGACACAGGGCTTCTTAGCCTCAAATGGCAAATAGTTGTAATTCCTGTGAAAACAATTAGGTCTGGAAGTTAGCTGGTAATCAGTGTTTTCCAGGCAACCCCAGTCACACGTTAATGTTTTATACGTTCTGGGCAGGACTCGGGAGGCATGATGAAAAAACTATCAAACTTTTAACACCATCTTTGATCTATAATTGGGGACCTGTGAGCAATGAACAATGAACAGTTAGATGGCTACAATGGAGAGGTATTAACAGCTACCATCAGAACCAGAACAAAGCTTAGAAATGATCACTAGAGGGCGGGATTTTTTTAGGCAGGCCTTTTTCAAGAAGGATGGCTTTATTTTTATTTAATTAATTTAATTAAGTAATTAATTTGCTGCCTCGGTCTGCAGCTCCACGACCCTCAAACTAGAACAAGACCTCTCCTCCTCCCTGACTCGCCAGCTTCCGAACCCTTGAACTACAACGACATTGCTCCTGCCTGGATCTGCAGCTCCACGACCCTAAAACCAGAACAAGACCTCTCCTCCACGGGTTGCCAGCTACCAGACCCTCGAATTACAACAACATTGCTGCTGCCTGGGTCTGCAGTTCCACGACCCTCAAACTAGAACAAGACCTCTCCTCCCCGGGTCGCCAGCTTGCAGACCCTCAAACTACGACAACATTGCTCCTCCCTGGGTCTGCAGTTCCACGACCCTCAAACTAGAACAAGACTTCTCCTGCCCGGGTTGCCAGCTACCTGACCTTCGAACTACAACAACATTGCTCCTCCTTGGGTCTGCAGCTCCATGAACCTCAAACTAGAACAAGACCTCTCCTCCCTGGGTCTCCAGCTTCCTGACCCTGGAACTACAACAACATGGCTCCTCGCTGGGTCTGCAGCTCCTCAACTCTCACCCTAGAACAGCAGCACCAGCTCCTTCCTGGACCTCCCGATCAATGACCCTCAGACTTCAAAGGCAGCACCAGTTCCACCCCCAGGCTCCAGCTCCAGCACCCTCAGATCTGAACAGCAGCAGCACCAGCTCCTGTGTGGCTCTTCTGTTTCATGATCCTTAAATTAGAACAGCAGCACCATCTTCTCCCTGGGTCTCCAGCTCTACAAAACTCAAGCTAGAATAGCAGCACCGGCTCCTCTGGGATCTTCAGCTCCACGACCCTGCAACATCAGTGCAGCACCGGCTCCTCCCCTGGGCTCCAGCTCCAGGACCCTCAAACTTGAACAAAAACACCAGCTCCTCCCCAGGCCTCCAGCTCCTTGACCCTCATAAACAATCCCTTCTTATGAAATGTAGCAGTCAGGAAAACTGCAGAGGAAGTAAATAAATAAATGTTTTCCTTTCAAAAAAAAAGTACTTAATTTGTTTTTAAAAGGCAAGGTCTTGCTCCATCACCCAGGCTGGAGTGCAGAAGGAGGATGGTTTTAAATGAGAGAGGGAAAACAGGAAGAAAAGTAACTTTTCCTTTTTAGTCTCTATGTGCCAGGCATATGTGAAAGTCAAGATAATAAATGTATTCCATAGTGGTTGTACCAGTTTACATTCCCAACAGCAGTGTAGAAGTGTTACCTTTTCACTGCATTCATGCCAACATCTATTTTTTTTATTTTTTTGATAATGGTCATTCTTGCAGGAGTAAGGTGGCTTTGTGCATTTTGAGCATTGTGGTCTTGATTTGCATTTGTGCATTTTGATCATTTGTGCATTTTGAGCATTGTGGTTTTGATTTGCATTTCCCTGATCATTAGTGATGTTGAGCATTTTTTCATATGTCTGTTGGTCATTTGTGTGTCTTCTTTTGAGAACTGTCTATTCATGTCCTTAGCCCACTTTTTGATGAGTTTTTTTTCTTGCTAATTTGAGTTCCTTGTAGATTCTAGATATTAATTCTTTGTCAGATGTATAGATTGTGAAGATTTTCTCCCACTCTGTGGGTTGTCTATTTACTCTGCTGTTACTTTTGCTGTGCAAAAGCTCTTTAGTTTAATTAAATCCCTCCTATTTATCTTTGTTTTTGTTGCATTTGCTTTTGGGTTCTTGGTCATACAATCTTTGCCTAAGCCAATGTCTAGAAGGGTTTTTCTGATGTTATCTTCTAGAATTTTTATAGTTTCAGGTCTTAAAGAACTAAAAGTAGAACTACCATTTGATCTGGCAATTCCACTATTGGATATCTACCCAGAGGAAAAGAAGTCATTAAGCAAAAAAGATATGCACACGCATGTTTATAGCAACACAATTTACGATTGGAAAAATGTGGAACTAGCCCAATTGCCCATCAATCAATGAGTGGATAAAGAAACTGTGGTGTGTGTGCGTATATATGATGGGATACTACTCAGCCATAAAAAGGAATGAATTAATGGCATTTGCAGCAACCTGGACATGATTGGAGACTATGATTCTAAGTGACACAACTCAGGAATGGAAAACCAAACATCGTATGCTTTCATTCATAAATGGGAGCTAAGCTATGAGGATGCAAAGGCATAAGAAGGATACAGTGGACTTTGGGGACTCGGAGGGGAAAGGGTAGGAAGGGAGTGAGGGATAAAAGACTACAAATTGGGTTCAGCGTATACTGCTCAGGTGATGGGTGCACCAAAATCTCACAAGTCACTACTAAAGAATTTACTCATGTAACCAAATACCATGTGTTCCACCAAAACCTATGGAAAAAGGCAATTTTAAAAAAGATAACAGATGTAAGTGCATTATATAAGCTGAAATTACTAGAGAAATGTAAAAAAATAATCATACTATCAATGAGGGTAAAGGCCTGTGTCCCAAACTAAACTTTGGCATTTCATGGCTTGCTCATCTAACCACCCTTCCCTCCATCCACTTTTCTTCCATTCTTTTCTTCCATCCATCCATCTGATATTTTTTGTTGCCAGGAATTAATGCTAGTAGGTTACCTGCTTGGCTAAAAATGGCAAGAGGAGGATAGCAAAGTAGCTAAAAGGGGAAGCTGTGGAGCCAGAAGGAATATTTAAAGATGGCAGTTGGAAATGTGAGCATGCTGATAAGAGGCAGTTAACAGTGTGAGAGAGATGACAGAAAAGCAGCAGTTAATTTATAGATTTTAATTCCAAGAAGGAAGTGGGTGGGTGTGGAGGTAGCTAAAGGGGGAGAAATATAACAAAAAGTTGAAGAAGTTCCCTGCCTAATGACAGCTATTGTTTTGACCAGGTTTTCCCCCAAACCCCATGTAATTTTTTCCCAAACACCTGGGACTGTGTGAAGAGAACTGTAGAAGACTAAAGTCCATGGAATGGGTGTGACAGGATGGCATATGGAGGAAGAAGCCTCTAGAAGGTAGGGGGGGGAGAGGGAGAGAGGGAGAGAGAGAAAGAGAGAGAGAGACATTTGTTTTCATTCCAAAAAGCTAAAGAGAACTTCAGCCTGAAAGAATGGATGGTTATTCTTTTTAGCTCTTCCACGCAAATTTCCTCTGAAGGAGACAATAAAATTAGTGAAGGTGCCCCGTGGTCTGCTCTGCAGAAAACAGACCAGCAGGTGTTTACTCAGAAGAGAAGCCACATAAGTTTTTGGCAGAAACTGAGGTTGTTATTACAGCAGGAGAACAAAAACAAGTTTAGAAACCAAACTGCTCTACTTTATCTCTTAAAAAATTATTGCACTAAGAATCCTGCAGATAGATAAATTCCCACCCCAAATTTTGCTTTGTCTCAAGGTTTCTTTGGTTTGGATCATCTCGTGCTAATGATGTTCAAGGCCTTTGTCTGTTTGGTTCTCAGGGACCTCCTAGTCTTAGTGTGTCTACATGGACAAGGATGCTGTGGCTTCTTAGGCAAACTGCAGTGCAGCTGGAGGGCAGCAGATGGCAAGGTGCTGTGCTGTTTGTGGAAAGAGGAGACTGCCAGTCTAAATGGCTGTCCCGATACAGGACCAGCTTTGTGACTTTGGGTCATCACATGATGACCTGTCATTGGATATCTTATTCTCCAGTCCCATTCCGGAGCTCCAGCCTAGTAAATAAGCTGCATGTGAATGCATGTGCTTTGCAACACTGGAAAGCCCAGAACAAATCCAAGGTGACATTTTAATGGGGGCAACAAATAAATTGTGTGTGTTCATATATATGTGCACATGCATGCATATATGTGCACACATGTATAGGGGTTGTTTGTAGACATAGAATTTTCCAACTCAGCTGCTGCCTCCCTGGCTTGCCACTATATAGACAGAGCCTCAATATGGTGACTGAAGAATGTACAGAAAGCCCAACTGTACCAAAAAAAAATACCAGCATGACTTATTTTGATCTCCTTGAGCCAGCAGGACAGCACTGATATGAGGTGCATCCAAGGATGCTTTGAGACCTCTCATCTCCTCCTAAACCCTTCCCTTACCATCTTCCCCTGAAACCCCCACCAATAGTCAACAATGGCTAATCCATCAAGGTAGAGAATGTCTTCACTGCCTGGCCCCAGTGCAAAGATGCAGAGTACCTCTGAGTAGTCTCAGAACAGTCCCCCAGAACTGCAGATCCAGCTGTTCCCTCACTGATGGCCTCAGTTTTGAGAATGAAGTTAAAAGACAGAGGAATTTTGGGTTCTCTCTGGTGTTGTGAAGAACGACAGATAAACAAGTATGGCTTTCAGGGAACGAAAAATTACCCCAAAGAAGGTGATTCTTGGAAGGCCCATGGAAGGACAGGGTTTAGAAAATTCAGGGAATGCTCAAAAACAAGAGGACAAACAGCTAAGACTATTTCAATGGACTCCATTCTGCTTTGTCCTAAATGCTTTCCCTCAATCCCTTAAGCACATTCTCATCCTTTAGGATGTTACTCTTTCTGTGACTTTCCCCAACTCCTTACCTCCTCCCCAGTGGGATTACTCACCTGACTCTGTTCCCATAGTACTCTGTACCCAATCCAGTTATAGTAATTCCTTAACTTATTCAAAAACACTTATGAGCATCTACTGCCATTCACTGGTCACAGAGATGAACAGATATGTGTGTGAATAAGGCATAGTCCCTGGCCTCAACATGCTCCCAGTTTAACAGAGGAGAGAGACAGGTAAAAAGTCTTCAATCAGTGCTTGGGGGAGGTGAGGACAAAGTCTAAATCAGACTGGGGATTCAGGGAATGGAATTGGGCTTTGTCTTGAACCTAGCAGTTCTGAGGAGGGAGATTATTGCCAGGCGTAAGGAAGAGTGTGTTCTAAGGTCCAGAAGCAGCACACAGCAGGACATATTGGGATACTGCCATGGGGCACTGCAGTTTGGAATAGAAGAAAGAATTTGTGGAGTGGCCAGAAATGAAGGTGGAGAAGTAGACTAGGATCAAATCCATAAGCTACGGCCTCCGGAATTAATCCTGAAAGCCACAGGGAGTCAATGAGTGATGTGAATCAGGAGAGTAACTGGTTCTCATAGTTTAGCGAAGGTCTTGAATAAGATTCAAACCAGGTAGGAGGTGTTGTTGCTGTTGTTGTTTTCTAGTAATGTAAGGTGAAGGTGCCAATGGCCAGAATTTTTAAATGGCATATCTGTATATCTATATATGAGAAATACTTAAGAACTGTATTGACTGGCTTCATCACTGAGCAGATGCAGGTAGGAAGGAAAAGAGAACAGTTGACGATTTTTTTTTTTTTTTTGAGACAGAGTCTTCCACTGTCGCCCAGGCTGGAGTGCAGTGGTGCGATCTCTGCTCACTGCAACCTCTGCCTCCCGGGTTCAAGCAATTCTTCTGCCTCAGCCTCTTGAGTAGCTGGGATCACAGGTGCCCGCCACCATGCCCTGCTAATTTTTTGTATTTTTAGTAGAGACAGAGTTTCATTATGTTGGACAGGCTGGTCTTGAACTCCTGACCTCGCGATCCACCCGCCTCGGCCTCCCAAAGTGCTGGGATTACACGCATGAGCCACCTCGCCTGACCAACAGTTGACAATTTTCTTGTCTGTGGCTTGGAGGACTCAGAATGGTGGGCTGAGAGATAGGAAAAATAGGGAAAGAAGAAAAGTTGTCTGTGAAGACAATGAGCCTGGTGAGTAATCTGTGGGACATCCAAGCAGAAGTGCTTAGATCTGCTGCTCAGGAAAGAGGGCTGTCTAGGAAAATAGATTTGGGAGTCCCTGTTATCCTGAGAGTAGTCATGGTTCAGTCCCCAGAGAGTGTCTAGATTGAAAAGAGCAGAGGGACTGAGGAGCGTAGAGATGTAGCTGTGTCAGGGCCATACAACATCTTCATTCTCTTCGCATACAAAATGGGGGAAGAAATATTCTATTATGAGAATCCAGTGAGATCATACATATTTCAAGATCTGGCAATAAAAGACTCTCAGTACACTATCCCTTCTTGTTTGATTGGTGCTTGACACCACTTTCTTTTAAAAAATTCTGTAATTTTACTTCTATTTGCAGGTTGAAACTTTGAATGGATTAAAGGAGATCAGTGAGAGTACATGTAAGTGCCCCCAGCTGTTTTCTGAAATTATCTTTTCTGGTGCCTGACAATTGTTTTTTTTTTTTTTTTTTTTTGAGTCTTTCAGTTTTGCAAATGACTGTGTCAAAAATAAGATAAGAAATGATGTATTCAATAATCCCATCAAATTGAATTTACATAATAGCACAGGACTCAGATGAATATAATAAGAGGATTTGGATTGAAATTGTAAGTTCTGACCTTCCTATCTTACTTTGCTTCAGTTATAGAATAAAGGGTACTTCAGATATGATCACCACCATCATCATTGCTCTGCCCTTAAATGAATTACCTAGATGTATCTGGAGGGTTGTCATGTTGCTAAAGATTCAGTTGAGTGGTACTTACCTTCTTGCTCCTATTTGCACCTTGTTCTCATAGCTGAGATTAAAAAATTATGTTTCTGGCCGGGCACAGTGGCTCAAGCCTGTAATCCCAGCACTTCAGGAGGCCGAGGCAGGAGGATCATGAGATCAGGAGATTGAGACCATCCTGGCCAACACAGTGAAACTCCATCTCTACTAAAAATACAAAAATTAGCCGGGCATGGTGGTGTGTGCCTGTAGTCCCAGATACTCGGGAGGCTGAGGCAGAAGAATCATTGAACCCACGAGGCAGAGGTTGCAGTGAGCTGAGATCGTGCCACTGCACACTGCACTCCAGTCTGGTGACCAAGCAAGACTCCGTCTCAAAAAAAAAAAAAAAAAAAAAAAAAAAAAAGGACATTTCTGATTTTAGTGAAGAACTGAAGAAAACAGTCCTAGAAACTGGACAAAATTCCACCAGCAAAATCCTTGACTGTTCTCCCAGGCTATGTCTCCTACCTGTTCCCTTCTGTCACCAGTGGCTTCTCCGGGTGAGTGGTGGAGGCCATAGGAATGGGAACATCATGGGCCACATCCCCTTGCCCTTCGTGAAGCAGTGGAAGGAGGTCTTCTTCAGCTGATTCAGCTGACTTCTTACTCCCATGATGGGATCCTCCATCAATCAGGTTTCCAAAATTACCTGCAGAGGCAGTAGCAAGGGGAAAGGGGTCAGGTGGTGGTAATCAGAATCAGTCTGCTTGGCATAAAGGATCCAAACTCATGTTCTCCCACAGCAATAAGGTAAGCTCCCATTATGAAGGTAGAAAGAGCAATGATCAGACCAACAAGACTGACAATGATGATGAGCTATCATCTCTATCCATCTTATTTTCTCTTTTGTAATAACTACACAAATGACAAATTAGAAAATACCATCAACTAAAAAAAGAGTCATTAGAAATCACAAAACTGTTATAACCATTTTAAACATTATAGTGTATAACCTTGCAGTGTCCCTGAGAACCTTGCACTATAGAGATGTTGGTAAAGAATCATAGATACGTCATTTTGTAACCTGCCTTTTTCACTAAATATCATGAACACCTTTCCAAACCTGCTTCTTCTGTAAGAGAAGACTTCTTGTCTAAATCCCCAATTAAGGGCGGGGGGTGGGGAGAGAGAGAGAGAAGCAGAGTGGGGAGAGAGGGAAGGAAAACATCATTTTTTCCCCTACAAATAGGGCAGCTTTTGTGCTATAAATATCTTTGTATAGGAATAGATATTCACTGCAGGCATACTGGTGTCATTGATCTTTCCATTTTGTAATCTAATTTCAAATGCTTTAAAAGATTTAGATGAACATTCCTCTCTTTTGGAAGGAGCTCCAAAGCTAGCCATGTTACAGAGTTTGTTGACTGTTCAAATCAAGAAAGGTTCAGGATCAAATGCCCATAATCACAAGGACCTCTTAACTTGGGAAGCCTTCCTAACTTCTTCGTTCCTGACCCCTGCCTTTCCTCTCCAGGCAGGCCAGGTGTCACTACTCTGTCTCCCTGCAATAGTCATTGGTGGTGCCCCACCCAGATCCTCTTTACCAGGAAGGAGCCCCCAAACCCCAGATACTGAGATCACTGCTAATAGCTTACAACAGCCACCTTCCGTACAGAATTGCCTTCTACTAATGGAGTCTGTCTCTCCACAGAAGATTATAAGGCCCCCTTCTTGTGCCTGAAGCCACTCACAGCTTCGTGTGGGGATATAAAAGCCCAGCCCACATGCCTCAAAGTGGGGCCAAGTCTGTGATGCCACTCACTTGAGAGCGCCTCACAGGATCAGGCTGTAGCTGGTCTCCCTGACCTCAGAGACCTGCCCTATGCTCCGTCACCCACTTCTCCTGAGAGCATGCCACCCAAACCTTACATGTATGAGAATCTTCCCAAGTTTCGTTTCTGGGAACCTAAGCTAAACAGGTCCCTAAAGTCACATCATATTCCCATCATTCCTCTACCATCTTGTTTTCAAATAATTTACTTAGATGTCTGCAAATGTCTTGAGAATGAAAATAGTATCTTGCTAATTTTTGTGTCTCCACTGGTCGTGGAATAAACACAGGGAGGGTCTTGATTCATATTTAGTGAATCAGTGACCTCAATGTGTTTCTATGTCCTTAAGAGTCTTTCTCCCAGTTCATTCCAGTTCATTCTTTTCTTCCCTTCTTCATTATTCTTACCTTAGGAATAATACTAAAATACCTGAGAGAGGCATAATAATATCCTAGAAAAAGAAGGAGACTTAGAGTTAGCAGGTTTTGTTTGAGTCCTCTTTTTAAAATTCACCAGCTATATAAGCTGAGGTGGTTGTTTGACCTCTCTGGATATCCACTATGGCTGAAACCATTGAATTTGTGGTAAATCAATCACAAAGGCAGAGCATGAGAGCAGAGAAGCAGGATAATTAGATGGGGTTTTTAATAGTAAAACAGGGAAGAGAATTGAGACAGCTGGGAAGAGTATGGCTAAAGGGATGAAACTTGTAGTCTGAGATGGACAGAGATGAAACTGAAACAGAAGAAAGGATTGGGTATCTTCATGAGTCAAAAGGAAGGTATTATAGTAAGAGACAATGAGAAGAATGGAGGGCAGGGCCAGAGAATAGGCTATTGGAGAGAAGGTCAGAGGTGGGGACACTCCCATATGCAGCTCACTACCTCCCTGTGGATCCCAGTCCACTAAGGGAATTTACTGCCTATGGGCAAGTTCTTCCTTGGATAGACCCCAAATCATCCCATTTTTTCACGTATGACCATGTGTTCTTAGGCCCATCCTAGAGCCCCACCTCATAAGTCTCCTTCCTCTTCTCTGGTCCTTTGATGCTTGAAGCCAGCTGCCAGGTCTCTCTCAGTCCCCACCCAAACCTCTCTTCTTAGAGCTAACCCTCCTGGGTCCCTCTGCCCTCTCTATAAAGATACATGTTCCCAAAATGTATCTCCATTTTCTCGTCATGCAGACAGGAGATTCTTTGTTAGGCTTCCAGCTGTACGGCTTAAAAGGGATGTATTTCATCTCTATTTTTTTCTGCCCTGTTGAAAGAGAGCTTCCTGAATATAAATCATGACCTTCTGTGATGGAATGCTCTTTCTGGGAATGGCTTTCCCAGTTGCATAATAGCCCAAGAAGATTTGGAGAGTTACATAATAACATCTACTGTATGCATGGCACTTTGTATGCCTTAACTCCTTAAACTTTGCAACTCTATGAGGAATTCATTTCACAGATGAAGAAACCGAGACTCAGAGACATTAAGTGAACTCTGGGTAATGCAACCAGGATTAGGAATCCAAGTATGTCTGAATCTAAACCTACAGTCTTAATCACTTTTGTGAAGTATGAAAATAAATCTAGAGGTGGAGCAAGATGGCCAATAGAACCCTGAAGTGATCACCCCCCACAGAAAGACCAAATTAAACAACTCTTCATACAAAATAAGCACCTTCATAAGAACCAGCAATCAGGTGAGTGATCACAGTACCTGGTTTTAACATCATATTAAGGAAAGAAGCACTGAAGAAGGTAGGAAAAACAGTCTTGAATTGCCTAAAGGTGATTCATTCTTCTCCATCCCCTAGCAGTGGCCAAATGGTGTGGAAAGAAAATCTGAGCACTTGGGGATGAAAAAAATGCAGTGATTGTGGGATTTTGCATTGGAATTCAGTGCTGCCTTGTCACAGTGGAAAGCAACACCAGGCAGAACTCAGCCGTCACCCAAGGAGGGAGCATCTAGACCAGACTTAGCCAGAAGCAAATCATCCATCCTAAGTTCCAGCAAGCTTTGCCACTGCAGGCTGAGGTGCTCTGTGGTCCTAAATAAACTTGAAAGGTAGTCTAGGCCACAAGGACTGCAATTTCTGGAAAAGTCCTGGTGCTATGCTGGGCTCAGAGACAGTGGACTTGGGGTGCACATGCCCTAGTGAGACATAAGCTGGGGCAGCCAAGGAATTTTCACTCTTCCCCCAACACTTCATAGCTCTAGGAGGGACTCCTTCCCTCTGCTTGAGGAGGGGAGAGAGGAGAGTAAAGACGACCTTGTCTTTCAACTTGGATACCAGCTCAGAATTAGCACCACACAGAGTTGTAAGATCCACATTTCAGGCCCTAGCCCACAGATGACATTTCTTTTGTTTTGTTTTTGTTTTTGTTTTTGTTTTGAGATGGAGTCTCGCTCTGTGGCCCAGGCTAGAGTGTAGTGGCTTGATCTCAGCTGACTGAAACCTCTGCCTCCCGGGTTCAGGCAATTCTCCGGCCTCAGCCTCCCAAACAGCTGGCATTGCAGCCATGTGCCACCACACCTGGCTAATTTCTGACACCTGGCTAATTTTGTATTTTTAGCAGAGACAGGGTTTCACCACGTTGGCCAGGCTGGTCTCAAACTCCTGACCTCAAGTGATCCACCTGGCTTGGCCTTCCAAAGTGCTGGGATTACAGGTGTGAGCCACCGTGCATGGCCCCCAGATGACATTTCTAAACACACCTTGGAACAGAAGGGAACCCTCTGCCTTGAAAGGAAGAACCCAGTCCTAGCAGAATTAATCATCTGCAGACTAAAGAGCCTTTGGGCCTTGAATAATTAGCAGTGGTAGCCAGGCAGTACTCACCACTGTCCTTGGGTGAGACTCAGCACCATGCTGGCTTCAGGTGTGACCCAACACATTCCCAGCGGTGTTAACTATGGGGAGAAACCCCTTCTGTTTGAGGAAAGGAGAGGAAAGAATAAAGGGGACTTTGTCTCACAGCTGAGATTCCAGCTTGGCCACAATGAGGTAGAACACCAGGCAGGTTCTCAGGGCCCCTGATTTCAGGCCTTCACTCTCCTAGACAGCATTTCTGGACCTGTCTTGGGTCAGAGAGGAGCCCATTGTCACAAAGGGAGGGACCTAAGCCTGGATTCATCATAAGCAGACTAAAGAGCCCTTGGGCCTTGAGTGAACATTGCTAATCGCCAGGCAGTACTTGCTGTGGGGCTAGGGCGGCAGTGGTCATGGGTAGAGACTCAGCTGCTTGAGAAAAGGAGAGAGAAGAGTGGAAAGAATGTTGTCTTGCAACTTGGATGCCAGCTCAGCCGCAGTAGAATAGAAAACCAGGTAGATTTCTAAGGTTTTAGATTCCAAGTCCTGGCTCCCAGATGACATCTCTGGACCCATCTGGGGCCAGGGGTGAACTCATTGCCCTGAAGGAAAGGACAGGCACCTGGCTGGATTAACCACCTGCTGAGGTACAGCCCTTGGTCCTTGACTGAACACAGGCAGTAGCCAGACAGTGGTCATCATGGGCCTTAGGCGAGACCCAGGGATGTGCTGGCTTTGGGTCTGACCCAGCCCAGTCCCAGTGGTGGTAGCAACAGAAGTGCTTGTGTCACCCCTCCCCCAGCTCCAGGCAACTCAGTACAGAGAGAGAGAGAGAGAGAGAGAGAGAGAGAGAGAGAGAGAGAGAGAGAGAGTTTCCCTCTTTTTGAGGGAAACTAAGAGAACAAGTGTCTCTGCCTATTAATCAAGAGAATTCTTTTGGATCTTACCCAAGATCACCAAGGCAGTACCTCTACAACTCTGCAAGAGCCACAGTGTTACTAGGCTTGAAGTTCCCTCTAATTCAGATGCAACTTCAGTAACCAAAGGATTAGATCACAACTCCCAAGTCCCTTCAAATATCTAGAAAGCTTTCCTAAGAAGGATGGGCGCAAACAACCCCAGACTACAAAGACTACAATAAATACCTAACTCTTCAATACCCAAACACCAAATAATATCCACAAGCATCAAGACCATCCAGGAAAACATGAGCTCACCAGGCAAACTAAATAAAGCACTAGTGACCAATTCCAGAAAGGCAGAGATATGTGAGCTTTCAGAGAAATCAAAATAGCTGTATAGAGGAAACTTAATAAAATTCAGGATAACACAGAGAAGCAATTCAGAATACTACCAGACAAATTTAACAAAGAGATTGAATAATTAGAAAGAATCAAGCAGAAATTCTGGAGCTAAAAAATGCAACCAACATACTGAAGAATACATCAGAGTCTCTTAACAGCAGAATTAAGTGGAAAGAATTAGTGAGCTTGAAGACAACCTATTTGAAAATACACAGAGGAAGCAAAAGAAAAAAAGAATAGAAAAGAATAAAACATGCCTATAAGATCTAGAAAATCACCTCTAAAGGGCAAATCTGAGAATTATTGGCCTCAAAGAGGAGGTAGAAAGACAGAGATCAGGGTAGAAAGTTTATTCAAAGGGATAATAATAACAGAGAGCTTCCCAACCCTAGAGAAAGATTTCAATATTCAAGTACAAGGTTATAGAACACCAAGCAGATTTAATCCAAAGAAGACTACCTCAAGACATTTAATAATCAAAGTCCCAAAACTCAAGGATAAAGAACCTAAAAGCAGCAAGAGAAAAGAAATAACATACAAAGAAGCTCCAATACATCTGTCAGGAGACTTCTCAGTGGAAACCTTACAGGCCAGGAGAGAGTGACATGTCATATTCAAAGTGCTAAACAATAACAACAAAAACCCTTTTATCCTAGAATAGTATATTTAGCAAAAATATTCTTTAAACATGAAGGAGAAATGAAGACTTTCACAGACAAATAAATGCTGAGAGATTTCATTGACACTAGACCTATCCTAAAAGACATGCTAAAGGAAGTTTTTCAATTTGAAAGAAAAAGATGTTAATGAGCAACAAGAAATCATCTGAAGGTACAAAACTCACTGGTAATAGTAAGTACACAAAGAAACATAGAACATTATAACACTGTAATTGTGGTGTCTAAATTACTTGTATCTTTAGTAGAAAACTAAAAGACGAACCTATCAAAAACAAATAACTACAACAACTTTAAGACATGGACAGTATACAACAAATACTTAAAAGTGAGTGGATGAAATTAAAGTGTAGAGTTTTTATTCATTTTCTCTTTGCTTTTTTTGCTTCTTTATACAATCAGCGTTATCATAAATTTAAAATATGGGTTACAAGATCGTATTTCAAGCCTTATGATAACCTCAAATCAAAAAACATACAACAGATGCACAAAAAATTAAAAGCAAGAAATTAAAACATGCCAGAGAAAATTGCCTTCAATAAAAGAAAGACAGGAAGGAAGAAAAGGAAGACCATGAAACAACCAGAAAACAAATAACAAAATAGCAGAAGTAAGTCCTTATGTATCAATAATAAAATTGAATGTAAGTGGATAAACTCTCTAATCAAAAAATATACAGTGGCAGAATAAATAAAAACACAAGGTCCAATGATCTGCTGCCTACAAGAAACACACTTCACTTATAAATACACATAGAGACTGAGAAAAATGAAAAAGGATATTCCATGTAAATGGAAACAAACAAAAAACAGGAGTAGATATAATTATATCACATAAAGTAGATTTCAACATAAAAATTATGAAAAGAGACCAAGGAGTCATTTCAGCAGGAGGATATAACAATTGAAAATACAAAGGCACCCAATGCTGAAGCACCCAGATTTATAAAGGAATTATTATTAGAGCTAAAGAGAAAGATAGACCGCAACACAATAATAGCTGGAGACTTCAATACCCTACTTTCAGCACTGGAAAAATCATCCAGACAGAAAATCAACAGAAAAACATTGGACTTAATCTGCACCATGGAACAAATGGACATAATAGATATTTATAGGACATTTCTTCTAATGGCTATAGAATACACATTCTTCTCAGCACATGGATCATTCTCAAGGACAGACCATATGTTAGGCCACAAAACAAGTCTTTAAAAATTCAAAACAATTAAAATTATATCAAGTATATTCTCTGATTACAATAGAATAAGACTAGAAATCAGTAACGCGAGAAATTTTGGAAATTATATGAGCACATATAAACAATATATTCCTGAATGCCAGTGGGTCAATAAAGAAATTAAGAAGGAAATTTAAAAATTTCTTGAAACAAATAATGGAAACACAACATACCAAAACCCATAAGATACAGCAAAAGCAGTACTAAGAGGAATGTTTATAGCAATAAGCACCTACATCAAAAAACTAGAAAAACATCAAATAAACAACCTAACGATGCATCTTAAAGAGTTGAAAAAGCAAGAGCAAACAAATTCAAAATTAGTATAAGGAAAGAAATACAGAGCAGAGCAGAACTAAATGAAATCTAAACAACAACATAAAAACAATACAAAAGATCAACAAAATGAAAAATTGGTTTTTTGAAAAGATAAAATTGACAATCCTGTAGCCAGACTAAAAAAAAAGAGAAGACCCAAATAAATAAAATCAGAGATAAAAAGGAGACATTACAACACATATTGCAAAAATTCAAAGAATCATTAGAGACTGCTATGAACAACTATGTGCCAATACATTGGAAAACCTAGAAGAAATGGATAAATTCTTAGACATAAACAACCTACCAAGATTGAATCATAAAGAAATGCAAAACCTGAACTGGCCAGTAATAAGTAATGTGATCAAAATCATAATAAAAAGTCTCCTCACAAAGAAAAGTCCAGGACCCCATGGCTTCAGTGCTGAAATTCACCAAACATTTAAAGAAAAACACAAGTTTTTTCAAGATGGTGGACTGAAGGCATGGTTACCATGACTCTCCCACTTGGAAAGACAAAATAGTGTGTAGAGATTCATGCTGTGAGCTTTTCTTCAAGAAACAATGCAGGAACTTAACAGGAAAACTTTCTGAAAGAAACTACAGACCCTCTGAAAGAAGCAGTGGGCTGCAGCCTAAACTGTGAGCCAGGCAGAATATTTTAAGTCCCCAGACTGTGAGAAGGAGATAAATTGCCTCTGGGATATACACTCCCACCAGAGAATCTCACAATCCAGGCCATGGAGGAAGACCTTAACCCTAACAAGTGCTAACTTATTTAGGGAGCAAAGAGAAACATAAAAGTAGAAGCAACCACAAGTTATGCATACATTCCCAATCTCCAGTACAGATAGAGGGAAGCCATTCCTGATCCTACCTCACAGGGGACCTTGTAGAAGCCTGCCAGCTAACTCAGGTGATGGTTGCAGGTTTACAGAAGCCCCCAGCTGAGAGGTACAAAATAATCTCAAGTGGGGACAAACTCCCTTGGCCAGAACTGGGGGACAAGTGGGAAACGTGTTGCAGCCACAAGTGCTAGAGCTGGGAGCCTGGGTTTTGCGGGTGAACTGGGAGGTGTGTGGCCTGCAAGCTGCAGTTGCTGTCTCCACCAGGGAAGGCTTATGACCTGGGGCAGTTGTAAGTTCTGAGCAGAGACTGCCTGGAACTTAGCTAGCTGCTGCTGGTGGAATACCGTGGGTGAAAGATATGTCTCGCCAATGTGTAGGAGCTGGGTGGGGCTTACTGCTGCATGCTACCCCCCACTCCTTCTCTGGACTCTTCCGTACAGAAAAGGCAGCTGTGCTCTTTCTTGAAGCATTGCCCCAGTGGTCAGAGAACTGTTTCCCTAACTCCCCATTTGAGCTGCTGCTTGCCCTGCATGTGAAGAGCCAGAGCATGGACTTGACAGGCCCAGACCCAGACCCCACCTGTCTTTGAGCCTCCACCCACACTGATAACATAACACAAAGGACAAAATTTGGAAGCTCTGTGGTTCCACTCATTGCCTGAGATGCCAGAGTACCTCCTCTGGGCAGCATAAGGCAAGCACAAATCCCACCACCACCACTGCAGCTGATACCTTTTTGCAAGCACCACCTCCTGGCTGGAGGCCAACCGACACAGTCTATTACAGCACCTTCAGGTAGAATAACAGCATCCAGGAAGGAGAAAACTTGTGCATGGCCTTAACTAACAGCATTGCTGAGCACCCTGGATAAACAGGAGGTCCTAAGTCTGCCTACATGATCAGCTCATTACTACTACAACCGGCATTTGAGAAAGCCAACACACTAAGGCTATTTATAATCAGAGAATCTCACAGAGTCTACATCACTCCCCTGACCACCCTCATTAGAACTGGTACTGGTAGCCACTGCTGGGAGACTTGAGGACAGACCACATCACTGGATCATTTGTTGGCATTTTCACAAACAAGCCTGGATTGTGGCAGCCCCTCTGGGTGGCTAGACCCAGAAGAACAGCAACATTCACTGTAGTTTGGCTCTCAGGGACTCCTACTCTGAGGGAAAGGGGCAGTGCATCATATTAAGGGAGCACCCTGTGGGACAAAAAAATCCACATAGCAGGCCTTGAGTCCCAGAACTTTCTGCTGGTGGGAAGTTTCTTTTAACAGAGGCTCAGCTGCAGTGCTGGGCTCAGCAGGAAAGTCTGTAACTCTACCCCAAAACAGTCAGGCAGCCCTGGTGCTCATCAAATAAACATTTGGTCTTGGATATACATTCTTCCTTTTTTTTTTTTTTTTTTTGAGACGGAGTCTCGCTCTGTCGCCCAGGCTGGAGTGCAGTGGCGGGATCTCGGCTCACTGCAAGCTCCGCCTCCCGGGTTCACGCCATTCTCCTGCCTCAGCCTCCCAAGTAGCTGGGACTACAGGCGCCCGCCACTACGCCCGGCTAATTTTTTGTATTTTTAGTAGAGACGGGGTTTCACCGTTTTAGCCGGGATGGTCTCGATCTCCTGACCTCGTGATCCGCCCGCCTCGGCCTCCCAAAGTGCTGGGATTACAGGCGTGAGCCACCGCGCCCGGCCGGATATACATTCTTCTTATCAGCACAGGGAACATTCTCCAAGATAGACGATATGATAGGACACAAAACAAATCTCAAACTTTTAAAAATTGAAATCATATCAAGTATCTTCTCAGACCACAGAATAAAACTAGATATCAATTCCAAAAGGAATCCTCAAAACTAAAAATACATGGAAATTAGTCTGCTCCTGAATGATTTTTGGTTTAACAATGAAATCAAGATGGAAATTTAAAAATTCTTTGAAATAAATGATAATAGTGACACAACTTATCAAAACTTCTCAGATACAGCAGAAGCAGTGCTAAGAGGAAGGACTAAATGCCTACATCAAAAAGTCTGATAGATCACAAATTGACAACCCAATGTCGCACCTCAAGGAAGTAGAAAAATAGGAAAAAAACAAAACTCAAAGAGTTAGCAGAAGAAAAGAAATAACAAAGATAAAAGCAAAACTAAATGAAATTGAAACCAAAAATATACAAGATCAATGAAACAAAAAATTGTTTCTTTAAATAGATAAGCAAAATCAATAGACCATTATCTATATTAACCAAGAAAAGAAGAAGATGGAAGATGCAAATAATCTCAATTAGAAATTAAAATGGAGACATTACCACTGATACAACAAAAATACAAAAGATCATTCAAGACTACTATGAATACTTCTATGCACACAAACTAGAAAATCTAGAGGAAATGGATAAATTCCTGGAAATATACAACATTCCTAGATTAAGAAAGGAAGAAATAGAAACCCTGAAGAGACCAATAACAAGCAGTGAGATTGAGTCAGCAATGTAAAAAAAATTGCCAACAACAAAAAAATCCTAGGGCCAGATGGATTCACAGCTGAATTCTACCAGACATTCATAAAAGAGTTAGTACCAATTCTACTGAAACTATTCCAAAAGATTGAGAAAGAGGGAATTATTTCTAACTCATTCTATGAAGCCAATATCACCCTGATTCCAAAACCAGGAAAGGACATAACAAAAAGAGAAAACTACAGAACAATATCCCTGATAAACACAGATGCAAAAATCTTCAACAAAATACTAGCAAACCAAATCCAACAGCACATCAAAAAGAAAATACACCATGATCAAGTGCATTACATTCCAGGGATGCGGGAATGGTTTAATGTATGAAAGTCAATATAAGTGATACATCAAATAAACAGAATTAAAAACCATATGATCATCTCAAAAGATGCAGCAAAAGCATTCAATAAAATACAGCATCATTTTATGATTTAAAAAAAAACCCTCAAAAAAGTAGGCATGGAAGGGACATATCTCAAAATAATAAAAGCCCTACATGAAAAACCCTCAGCCCTCAGCCAACATTATATTGAATGGGGAAAAGTTGAAAGCATTTCCCCTAAGAACTGGAACAAGATAAGGAAGCCCACTTTCACCACTTCTATGCAACTTAATACTGGAAGTCCTAACCAGAGCAATCAGGCAAGAGAAAGAAATAAAGGACATTCAAATTGGAAAAGAAGAAGTCAAACTATTGCAGTTTGCTAATGATATGATGATATACCTAGAAAACCCTAAAGACTCCTCGACTTGATAAACAAATTCATCAAAATCTCAGGTTACAAATCAATGTACACACATCAGTAGCACTGCTATATACCAACAACTTCCAAGTTGAGAATCAAATCAAGAACACAATCCCTTTTACAATAGCTGCAAAAAAGAAAAAAAAAACTAGGAATATACTTAACCAAGGAGGTGAAATATCTCTGCAAGGAGAACTACAAAACACTGCTGAAAGAAATCATAGATGACACAAATGGAAACACATCTCATGCTCATGGATTAGAAAAATCAGTGTTGTGAAAATGACCATACTTCTCAAAGCAATCTACAAATTCAATGCAGTTCCTATCAAAATACCAACATCATTTTTCACAGAATTAGAAACAATCCTAAAATTCATGTAAAACCAAAAAAAGAGCACAAATAGCCAAAGCAATCCTAAGCAAAAAGAACAAATCTGGAAGCATCACATTACCTGACTTCAAGTTATACTGCAAGGATATAGTTACTAAAACAGCATGGTATTGGTATAAAAGCAGATACATAGACCAATAGAACAGAACAGAGAACCCAGAAATAAAGCCAATACTTACCACCAACTGAATTTTGACAAAGCATACAAAACATTAATTTGGAGAAAGAACACCCTATTTAATAAATGGTGCTAGGAAAACTGGATAGCCACACGTAGAAGAATAAAACTGGATCTGTATCGTATACAAAAATCAACTCAAGATGGATCAAGGACTTAAATCTAAGACCAGAAACCACAAAATTCCTAGAAGAAAACATAGAACAATCTATTCACGACACAGTCCTAAGAAAAGAATTTATAACTAAGACCCCAAAAGCAAACACAACAAAAACCAACATAAATAAGTGGGACCTAATTAAACTAAAAAGCTTCCACACAGCAAAAGAAATAATCAGAGTAAACAGACAACCCATAGAATGGGAGAAAACCTTTGCAAACTATGCATCCAACAAAGGACTAATATCCAGAATACCAGGAACTCAAACAAATCAGCAAGAAAACAGATCTCATCAAAAAGTTGGCAAATGACATAAATAGACATTTCTCAAAAGAAGATAATACAAATGGCCAATAAACATATGAAAAAAATGCTCAACATCACTAATGATTAGGGAAATGCAAATTAAAACCACAGTGAGATACCATCCTACCCCAGCCAGAAGGGCCATTATTAAAAAGTCAAAAAACAATAGATGTTGGCGTGAATGTGGTGAAAAGGGAATGCTTACAGACTGCTGGTGGGAATGTAAATCAGTACAATCTCTATGGAAAACCATATGATGATTTCTTTTTATTTTATTTTGTTTTTTTGAGGCAGAGTCTCCTCTGCCACCCAGGCTGGAGTGCAGTGGTGCTATCTCGGCTTACTGCAAGATCCGCCTCCTGGGTTCACACCATTCTCCTGCCTCAGCCTCCCAAGTAGCTGGGACTACAGTCACCCACCACCACACCCAGCTAATTTTTTGTATTTTTAGTAGAGACGGGGTTTCACCATGTTAGCCAGGATGATCTCGATCTCCTGACCTCGTGATCCGCCCACCTCGGCCTCACAAAGTGCTGGGATTACAGGCATGAGCCACCGCGCCCAGCCAGTGATTTCTTAAAGAACTAAAAGTAGATCTACCATTCAATCCAGCAATCCTACTACTGGTTATCTACCCAAAGGAAAAAAGGTCATTATATCATAAAGACTCCTGCATGTTTATGTTTGTTGCAGCACAATTCACAATTGCAAAGATATGGAACTAACCTTAATGCCCATTGACTAATGAGTAGATAAAGAAAATGTGGTATATACACACCATGGAATACTACTTAGCCATAAAAAAGAATAAAATAATGTCTTTTGCAGCAAACTTGGATGGAGCTGGAGGTCATTATTCTAAGTGAAGTAACTCAGGAATGGAAAACCAAATACCATATGTTCTCACTTATAAGCAGGAGCTAAGCTATGGGTATGAAAAGTCATACAGAGTGGTATAATGGACTTTGGAGACTCAGAAGGAAGAGGTATGAGAGGACAAAGGATAAAAAACTATATACTGGGTACAATGTACACTGCTTGGGTGACAGGTGCAGTAAAATCCTAGACTTCATCATGGACTTCACCAAGGATGAATACAATTCATCCACGTTACCGAAAACTATTTGTATTACAAAAGCTACTGATATTTTAAAAATATTTTTAAAAAAGAATTCCAATACAAAAAAATGGAAGAGGAGGGAATACTTCCAAACTCATTCTACAAGGCCAGTATTACCCTGAAACCAAAACCATACAAAGACACAAAAAAGAAAATTACAGGCCAATATCCCTGATCAACACTGATGCAAAAATCCTCAACAAAATCCTAGCAAACCAAATTCAACAACACATTAAAAATATCATTCATCATGACCAAGTGGGATTTGTACCAAGGATGCAAAGATAGTTCAATGTACGCAAATCAATATGATACATCACGTCAACAGAATGGACAAAAACCATATGATCATTCCAATTTATGTTGAAAAAGCATTTGATAAAATTTAACATCCGTTCATGATTAAAAAAACTCTCAAAACACTAAGTACAGAAGGAACATACCTCAATACAATAAAAGCGATATATGACAGACCCACAGCTAGTTTCACACCAAATGGAAAAAAAACTGAAAGCCTTTCCTTTAAGATCTGGAAGAAGAAAAAGATGCCCACTTTCATCCCTATTACTGAACATAATACTGGGAGTCCTAGAGAGAGAAATCAGACAAGAGAAAGAAACAAAGGGCATCCAAATAGGAAATGAAGTAGTCAAATAATCCTTGTTTGCAGATGATATGATCTTATATTTGGAAAAACCTAAATATTCCACCAAAAACCTGTTAGAACTGATAAACAAATTCAGTAAAGTTGCAGGATGCAAAATCAACATTTAAAAATTAGTAGCATTTCTATATGCCAACAGTGAACAATGTGAAAAGGAAATCAAGAAAGTAATCCCATTTACAATAGCCACAAATAAAATAAAATACCTAGGAATAAACTTAATCAAAGAAGTGAAAGATCTCCACAACGAAAACTATAAAACACTGGTTAAAGAAATTGAAGAGGACACAAAAAAAGAGAGACATATTCCATGTTCATGGATTGGAAGAATCAGTATTGTTAAAACATCCACACTACCCAAAGCAATCTACAGATTCAATGCAATCTCTATCAAAATACCAATGACATTCTTCATAGAAATAGAAAAAAATTCTAAAGTTTACATGGAACCACAAGAGACGCAGAATAGCCAAAGCTATTCTAAGCAAAAAGAACAAAACTGGAGGAATCATATTACCTGATTTCAAATTATGCTACAGAGCTGTAGTAACCACAACAGTGTGGTACTGGCATAACAACAGACACATGGACAATGGAACAGAATAGAGAACCCAGAAATAAATCTATTCATCTATACTGAACTCTTTTTTTTTTTGAGACATGCTGTCTGGTTTTTTTGAGTTGCGCTCTGTCGCCCAGGCTGGAGTGCAGTGGCGCAATCTCAGCTCACTGCAACCTCCGCCTCCCGGGTTCAAGTGATTCTCCTGCCTCAGCCTCCCAAGTAGCTGGGATTACAGGCACACACCACCATGCCCGGCTAATTTTTGTATTTTTACTAGAGATGGGATTTCACCATGGTCTCGAACTCCTGACCTCGTGATCCGCCTGCCTCAGCCTCCCAAACTGCTGGGATTACAGGTGTGAGCCACCGCACCCAGCCAGTGAACTCATTTTTTACAAAAGTATCGAGAACATGTGTTGGGAAAAGGACAGTCTCTTCAATAAATGGTGCTGGGAAAACTGGATAGCCATATAAAGAAGAATGAAACTAGACCCCTATGTTCCACCATATACAAAAACCAAATCAAAATGGATTAAAGACTTAAATCTAAGTCCTCAAACTATAAGCTACTACAAGAAAACATTGGGAAAACTCTCCAGGGCATTGATCTGGGCAAAGATTTCTTGAGTAATACACCACAAGCATATGCAACCAAAACAAAAATGGACAAATGGGATCACATCGAGTTAAAAAGCTGATGTACATCAAAGGAAACAATTCATAAAGTGAGGAGACAATCCACAGAACAGGAGAAAATATCTGCATCCTATCTATCTGACAAGGGATTAATAACCAGAAGCTATAAGGAGCTCTAACAACTGTATAGGAAAAAAAAATCCAATAATCTGATTTTAAAATAGGTGAAAGATCTGAATAGCCATTTCTCAAAAAAAGACATACAAATGGCAAACAAGCATATGAAAAGGCGCTTAGCATCATTAACCATCAGAGAAACATAAATCAAACTTCAATGATATATCATTTCACCCCAGTTAAAATGGCTTGTCTCCAAATAACAGGCTAATAACAAATGCTGGTGAGGATGTGGAGAAAAGCGAACCCTCATACACTGTTGATGGGAATGCAAATTAATACAACCACTATGGAGAACAGTTTGACAGTTCCTCAGAAAACTAAAAATAGAACTACCATATGAGCCAGCAATCCCACTGTTGGGTGTATATCCAAAAGAAAGGAAGTCAGTATATCGAAGAGATGTCTGCACTCCTATGTCTGTTACAGCACTATTTACAATAGCTAGGATTTGGAAGCAACCTAAATGTCCATCAACAGATGAATAGATAAAGAAAATGTGATACAGATACACAATGGAGTACTATTCATCCATGAAAAAGAATGAGAACCTGTCATTTCCAGCAACATGGATGGAACAGGAGGTTATCATGTTAAGTGAAACGAGCCAGGCACAGAAAGACAAACTTCACATGTTCTCACTTATCTGGTGGAGAAGCTAAAAATTAAAACAATTAAACTCATTGAGATAGAGAGTGAAATGATGGTTATCAAAGGCTGGGAAGGGTAGTGGGAGGCAGGGGAGAAGTGCAGATGGTTAATGGGTACAAAAATAGAGTTCAATAGAATAAGATCTAGTATTTGATAGCACAACAGGGTGAGTACAGTCAACAACAACTTACTGTACGTTTTTAAGTAACTAAAACAGTGTAATATGGATTGTTGGTAACCAAAGAAAGGATAAATGATTGAGGTGATAGATCCCCTATATACCCTAGTGGGATTTTTACATATTGTATACCTATATCAAAATCTCATGTACCCCATAAATATATACACCTACTGTGTACCCACAAAACTTCAAATTTAAATTTAAAAGAAAATAAATCTATCCCTTATATATTGACAATAGAGTAGACAAGGAATTGTTCATCTCATTCTGAGATGCAAACCTCCACCAGAGTGCTATTATCTTCATGTAAGGCACTAACTCATTTATTCAAGAAATAGATACTAAATCCATGCTATGTGCCTGGCACTGTGCTTATCTGTACTTACCAATAGAAACTTCAAAGCTGATGGGTTTATCTCCAATCTTCCGGTCAATCATGGTAGCTTCAAAAAATGCTCCAAAGAGTAAAAATTCCTCATTTTTTTCTGGTACAATCTACAGAAAGAAAACAAAATTATTAGGCAGAACTGGCTTTTTCTCTCATTAGGAAGCTGACTTTGTGATGCTGGCCTCATCCAGCATAATTTATAAACATTTGGGTCTCTGTTTCAGCCTGAAATGGCACAGCGTTTCCCCCCAAATAAGACATGTATGAATCAGGATCTGCAAACTGCAGATCCAAATTTAGTCATTCATCTAGAATGATGCAGTCTCAACCTTCTGAGCTTCTACCTTAAAACAAAACTCCTTTTATTTTAACATATAAACTTGGTGTGCGTATCTTTCTAGGATGCTGCTGGTGAAACACGGGTTTGGAATTACCTTCTGGAGATTGGGGTTTCAGAAAACAGAAAATCAAAGACAAGAAACAGAATTACAGTATAAAATCCTTAGATTTGAGCACAACTTTATGGCTTACACAGGGTAGTCAGATACGTTATTTGTTCCTCCTTGCAACCTTAAGAGGTCAAAATTTGGATCATTCCCATTTAACAGATAAGGAAACTGAGGGAACTAAAGCTTGAGGTTGTCAAGTAACTTCGCCAAGTATACTCACCACAGACCCAGTGCTCTTTGAACTTGAACATGTATTCACCCAATGCATTAACACTGACCAGAATCAAACTTTACTTCCCCAAATAAGCAAGCCCAGATAAAAACAAATAGCAGATTAGTCACATGTACAAGCATTGGGCAATCATATGTATCCAGGGTGGGCTACATGCAATGTGGTTGCTGCTGTGAAGGGTACACAGGTCCCAGAATCACAGGTGCCTTCATATTAAAAAGGACCTTCGAGTTCATCTACTCCAACCTCCACATTTTACCTGAATAAACTAATGCTCAGAGATACTAAGCAGCTTCCCAAGGTCAAACACAGCAAATTAAAGTCAGCCAAGACTCAAGGCCTGGTTTCCAACAAGGCTGCCTTCTCAAGGAGTCCACAGTCTGGAGGACTAGACTATAACAAGTCATAAGACAGGAGTCATCACAAGGGAATACACAATTATTTGCAAATGTCTCTTATTGACAAGGAAAAGGCTGATGCTTCAGGGAACAGATGTTGCTGGACCCACTGACACAGCATTACATTTCTGAGCTAAGAGGCTGAGTCAACTGGACCCATACATTCTGTGCTTCCTGGTTTTGCAATTGGATTGATTGAACTCTGCAGAAGCAGCCATAAGGACAATCTAAGGAAATAAAGCAATTGTGGCCCCGGGGATCAAGAGCTCCATTGAGTTGAGAGTCCTAGACAGCTGCCTCAGAGAACCAAAGGGTTTCCATATCATTAGGTGAAGGATACTCCCTTCTTTCATACAGAAGCTGCTGTGGTGCCAGTCTTCCTAGGAAATGTTCCTAGTGACCAGAAAATGTCGAACAGGGTGAGGCTCAGTGCTGGATCTTAGTCACTGAGCATACCCTCCTCCTACCACTCTATCCACTGACTATTAACTAGCCTCCTATCTCACCTTCCTGAGGCTGAGTTTACTCTCTAGGAGGAGGTTAAAAACCACAGAGAGAAGTTGGGTGTGGTGGCCTGTAGTGTCAGCTACTCGGAAGGCTGTGGTGGGAAGATCGTTTGAGCCCATGAGTTTGAGACCAGCCTGGGTAACATAGCAAGACTCTGTCGCTAAAAATAAAAACCACAAAACAAGGAATTACTAAGAGACCTGGAGGGAATGTAGGCCATGTAGCCCAGAGAAGAATTTCAGGATCCAGAGTCAGACAAACAAACCCTTCCTCAAATCTCAACCCTTCCATTCCGAGGCTGATTGACTTTAAGCAAATCATGTCTATTCTCTGAGTGTCACGTTCCTCACCTGTGAAATAACCACCATCATTGGGCTTTCAGGGAGGAGAAGGGGCAGAAATGATATCATTCATGTCGAGCACCTAGTAAAAAGCCTATACATATCACCATAAATGGCAGTCAAAATAATTATTTCAGCAGGGCAGAATTGATGTCTTAATTCCACCCATCCTACAAGGTTTAACTCAAATGTCTTTCCATTCTGGAAGCACATCTTGGCTCCTCAAGCTGCTAAAATGATGATAGGTAATGTTTACTGACCTCTTACTATGTGTCAGATATGGTATTAAGAATTTTGCCCACACTATATCCTGAAATTCTCACAACTACAGCAGGAAAGAGGCATTTCTACTTTACTCACTCACAGACAATGACACTGCAGTCTGGTGAGATTAAATCTCTGCCCAAAATTATTAAGCATAACTAAGATTTATTGAGCACTATGTATGAGGCTCTGTTCTGAGCATATTTGCATATATTCATTTATCAAATCCTTAATAAGAGGTTGAGAAGCAAGAGGTTATTCTTGGAAATAAGCATAGGAATGTTAAGTCACTTACTCAGGTTCAAATGCAGGCAATGTTTCCCCAGAGGCCAAGCAGTAACCACTGCACCATACTGCCACAATTTACATCCAGCTCTCTTACTTGGGGGCTTAACATTTTAATAATTATACTTCACTCACTCCAGGAAATAACAGCACTTTATCTGTACCTCCTTAAAGCACTTACCACTTTCTACTTCCTGTTACATTTATATTTCATACCTCTCCTTCTATATCATAAACTCCATGGAGTTAGGCTCTATTTTTATTCTTACCAATATCGAGGATGACATTTAAATAAGAAGCTAGTCAGTGTGTTCACAGAATTTTAAAAATGAACCCATTTTTAGATTGGCTATGATCTGTGAAAATCTGGCACAGGGGAGATAAGCTTTGAGGGGTAATGGGGGTGAGTTGACAAAGCCAGCATCATGGGACCTCTCAACTGTCCAGATGGGCAATGAAGGTACGGCTGCAGCTGGGGAGAGGGGAGATTGGAGCTTGAGAACCAGTTGAAAAAGAAGATGCTGAAAGAAACGGCATCATCATGTTGATGAGGGTGAGCCATGAGCTGTTCAGGTGTGAGGAAGGTTGAAGCCCACTGTGGTGGCTTTAAAATATATCCACAAATTCTTTGCTAATCTTCCCCTCAAAAAATGAAACCTAATTCTCCTCCCTTTGAGGACAGGCTGGACTAAATGATTCATTTCTAACAAACAGAACATAGCAGATATGTCATTGTGTGACTTCTGTGGCCAGGTCATGAAAGACAGTTTCAGTCTTGCTCCCTCTTGGATCTGGAGAAGGCCAGCTGCCATGTCACAGGATCCTCAAGCAGTCTGTAGGAGGATCCACAGAATGAGGATGAGGCCTCCTGCCAAGAGCCAACAAAGAATCACAGTCTCCTGCCATGTGAGGAGCCATCTTCAAAGTGGGTTCTCCAGCCACAGTCAAACCTTCAGATCATGACAGCCCCTGCCCTCGCCTTGATGGAAACTTCATGAGATCCTGAGGCAGAACCACTGAGCCATGCTATTCCCAAATTACTCATCTACAGAGAAAATAAATGTTTGTTGTTTTAAGCTGCCAAGTTTTGAGATATGTTATCATGCAGCCATAGATAACTAATAAATCCAGCAAGATACTGGCCACCAACAAGAAGCCAAGATGAAGAGAGGAGGGAGGGGAAATAAGGGTTTAAATAGTGTCTGAATTTTACCTATTACCTACTACACAATAGCCAAGATACACCCTCCAACAGCCTGTAGACAAATGTACTTTCTACCCCACATAAGTTCCCAACTTCCCTTGCTTTCTGATAGAATCTGCTTCAAGTGTCTTCATCAAAATATCTTAAAGATATTTCGACTTGGATGAAGAAAATATTTTTCTAGCCTCTTTCTACTTGGCAATCCTTGTTTAGAAAAGAATAGACAGCTTCAACCCACAGCAGGAAAAACGACTACAGGGATAGATGGAGATATCAGCTTAGGTAGCTACTAAGCCACCCACAACTTCTGGTGAAATTCAAAGTTAAGTCTCCAAAGTTGGCATGTATTCTCAAGAAACACCCCTAAACACAATCCCATATAGATAATAAGTTCTAACCACAAGAAACTGGCGCACACGTTTTCAGATAATATTTCCCAATACAGTATGTGAGCTCAGAGGAGAGAACTGGGGAGGTCCACTAAGTTTCCAAAGTCACAAACAGATTGGAAAGCTCTGAATAGCTGCTTCCTGGTGGTGGGAGAAAACCATAGCGACACTGACGACAACAACAACAACAAATGCATTGCCTACTTCCTATGTATGTGCTAAGAACTCTGCTAACCATTTTACATGCATTTCCTCATTTAACCCCCAAATATGCCTATGGCAGGGTAATTATTAACTATTTCATTTTGTTGATGGGTAAACTAAAACACAGAGAGGTGTTAGTATCGGAGCCATAACTACAACCAACCCCAAGATTTCCAGCCCTATGCTCCAACCACTCCCCTACACGGTTTCTTAAGATTTATTAGGTCCCAGCAATCAAAACAAATGCCTCTTCCAAGGCTAAGGTGACCTGCTGCTATACCCCTTTGGACTCTCCAGTCTCTCCTAGAAATGAACAGCTCTGGGATTTTGAGCATCACCTCCCTTCCCTACCCGAAATTATCGCCTAGTTGACCGAGCACACTTCCAGAGGCAGAATTAGTCAAGCTAGGAGCTGGAATCTACCTACCTCCGCTACTGACAAAACATGAAGCTCTTTCATTTGCTTAACTGCAAGTTACCATTGATAAACTAAACAGTAGAGAGAATATTCACCATTTGTATTCCTCTTAGAGTCTCAGATCTCTTTCCCATAAGCAGAACCGGGCTGGGAAAGTGCTAACATGCTTCATGGTGAGTAATAAGCATACCCTAGAGTTGTGATTTCCCGCACAGGTTTGGGGTAGGGGAGTAGGTTTCTCAATTTCTTATATCCCAGCTTGTCACCTACTCTTCCTCCTCTTCATTCCTCATCCAAAATTATCTCCCATCCGGAGCTTACTCTAAGCTAACACAACTAAATAAAATTAGGCCACAGATAGAGTTTAATCAATCCCGTACCACCCACTCCCACCAACTCCTCCGGAGCACTTTTATTTCTCTTTACTTGGGTTTCCATGGGAATTGTATTTGGGGGAGTGGGGGATTCAAAGGAATTTATCATAGGCAGATGGCTGTGAAGTGTGCAAGAGGGGGCAGAGGATCAGCCTGAGAACACAGGGCTGGGCCAACACAAATTTTTCAGAGGGAATAAGACATATTCTGACAACACCTTCAGGAACCTGTGGCAGGGGCAGTCCCTGCTCTGGTTCACCTCATAGGTAAAGTACCATAATGCAGTGCCTAGACCTACCTCCGGGGGGACATCGAACGATTCCACCTCCACCTCGGTTGAGTTAGTTTTGTTTGAAGCCTGTTGGGATTTTCCATCTTCAGTTTTGTCAGCCTTGTCTTTACCTTTGGAAGATTTGGAGTCTTTGTCCTTGGAAGGCAACTTGAGCTCCTTCAGGGCCTTGGAAAATTTAGATTCCTGTGCCCGTCCTGAGAGGATTTCCACAGCAATTTCTACCAAGATTCTGCCCCTGAATGACACACCTTCCCCAAAGCCTTCGTTCATTTCCTGGTAGTCATCCATCAGACTGTGGTTCCTGGGCGAGCCATACAGGTTAATCCAGGCAGGCCCAAAGGTGGGCAGAAAGCCTAGAGAGACCCCAGGTTTTAGTTATCTCATTATGTTTTTGCTTTATAAAAGTTGCACACATTCATTTCAAAATGTAGAATATCCAAGAAAGACGAAAGAAAATATTGACAGGATATCCCATGACCAAAAGACAACGATTGCCATCTTGCCATATTTCCTTCTAGTCTTTTTTGCATTCATGTTTACACTTGTTCACAGTTGTACTAATACCATAAATGCCAATCTGCATTCTGTTCTGTTCACTTATTCATCAAATGTTTATTGATTCCCCCATGTTCTCCAGTAGGCTTTATGTTTAGTGCCAGGTACAATGCTAGATACTAAACAGAGCCTGCTGGAGAACAAAGCAGGTATAAACATTAAGCAAATAAATATTTACAGTGCAAACACTATGGAGGAAATACACTTTGTGTTGCAAGAAAAAGTAACAGGCTGATGTAACATAGAGGGGAGTTAGGCAGGCAGAGAAGAGAGAGAGTGTGTGTTCTGGCTAGAGGGAGGAGCATGTGCCAGTTAGAAAGGAGCCTGGAGCTAGAGATGAACTCTGGGAGAGTTTGAAGAGGTAGGTGGGTCTTGGGGCCTTGATAAAAATTTTGGCCTTTATCCTAAAAACTACAGAAATGTTTTAAAGGAATTTAAGCAAAGATGTGACATAATCATATGTCTTAAGATCACTATGGCTGTTACATGAAGGGTTAGAAGGCTAACTGGTTCAAGGACCACTTCATCATCAAAACTGAAGACCAGCGTCTTGAACTAGGGTGAAGGTAGTGGAGACTGACATAGGTAAATGTTTCAAGATATGTTCTGAACATAGAATTTAAAAGACCTGATGATTTGAACTTACTGCTGATGTAAGTATTTTCACTTCTTAATACATAGTGTCTGAGAAAATGCAGTGTCTATGGGAACATCGCTATGGCAACAGCTCGATGACAGGCAGTACAGTCTGGTGGCTCTGAGGCCTGAGTTCAAATCTCAGCTCTGTCATGTTCAAGCTGTGTGACCTTGGGCAGTTTTTAAACTTCCCCATGTTTCAGTTTCCTCACCTCTAAAAGGGAGATGTTAATAGTACCTGCCTCATCTTTAATTTTGAGCCCCAGCTAATCCACTGAGCCAGCCAGGCAGAGGTCAGGTAAAAGAATTTCCGCTCAGTAGATGGCATTTTATTTCTCAAAATTAAAAGAAACTATCAATTGAGTGCTTCACGCAGGCCCTTAGGAAGTGCTAAGAATATAGGCTATTATTATGAAGAAGCAAATATATCATAATCTGCTTAACAATCCCCCAGTGTTGACAATTAGATGTTTCCATGTATGGAAACTATTATCAATAGTTTTATGCCTACACATTTCCTATCCCCTACTCCCATAGACTGGATTCTAGCTCTTCCTTGAGTAGACTTAAATATAAGAATATTGTATTGAAAAGGATAGAAAGATTTTATGGTCCTGATGTCTATATTTTAAATCACTGATGTATATCTTCCTGAATGCCATCAAGATGTTCCTAAAAGGTTGTAAATAAAACATGTTTACATCTAGCTGAGATATTGTATAGATGGGCCGAGGGTGCTTTCTGCATATAGCAATCTTGTGGCAAACACTTCCATAATGTAAAGATTTAGACAAAGGTATTTATTTACTGAGGCCTCTCTATGGTATCTGTTAGGGACATAAAAATGTGTAAATCTTGTTTACTGCTCTTGACATGCCTTTAGTCTAATCAAGTAAAAAATTAAAATAATTACATTAACCATATACAGATGATATGTGATATATTTATTAATGTATATATTTGTACATACATGTATATGTATGTGTGATTATATGTAGATACACATGCATGTGCATGTATGTATGCAAAAAATATGTCAATTAGTATAAATTTGTAGCACAGAGAAAGATTGCCTGGGAATTTAAAGAAGGGAAGGTTTGTTGGGTTTTTCAAAGAATTATCTACTAATTTGGGTTTTGCAAATAAAGAGCCATATAACTGAGTGGAAATTCTTTTACCTGACCTCCACCTGGCTGGCTCAGTGGATTAGCTGAGCTAATCCACCAGCTCTCAGCTCCCACCCTGGCTCAAAGTGTGCACAGTCAGTGCACCTCGCTGCTATTCCTGCGCTCTCAGGCTCCCACCAATGGGTTGAAGACACAATTTTTGTTGGTACCATTTATTTTATGGGCCATACTAAAATATGTAGTAGGCCATATTTGGCCCATAGACCTTAGTTTACCAATCTCTGATTTACTCTAAATGTCTCATTTTTCAATTATGGGAAGACTGACTTCCTCAAGGACACATAGCAGTGTTTGTGGAAGACCCGGGACCAGGAGCAAACCTCCTGGCTCCCAGAGCCTGGCTTCATCCATTGCCCTGAACCAACTCAAACCACAGACCCTACAGTAGCATGGAAAGTGCCTAATACCTGGAAGGTGCTCTAACCCAGGGGCTCCTGACCGCCCAGAGCCATGGACCAGTACCCATCCTGTTAGGAACTGGGCCGCAAGAGATGAGCAGCAGGCAAGTGAGTATTACCACCTAGCTCCGTCTGTCAGATTAGCGGTGGCAATAGATTCTCATAGGAGTACAAACCATACTATGAACTGCACATATGAAGGACCTAGGTTGCATGCTCCTTATGAGGAGACTAATGCCCGATGATCTGAAGTGGAACAGTTTCATCCCAAAACCATCCCCCAACCCATTCATGGAAAAATAGTCTTCCATAAAACTGGTATCTGGTGCCAGAAAGGCTGGGGACTGCTGCTCTAGCCCACCCCTTTTAAAGATGAGGGCTCTAAAGCAAGCATTTTGAGACATTTTTCAAGTCAGATGGATGGGACTTTACCTTTGTCTCCATCCTGTTCGTTGGAGATTTTCTTCAGGTCAATGAAATGGGTTGCCAGGGCTACGTCATTCATGCTGCCTTCATCCCACACCTGGATTTTCACCCTCCGACACAAGGGAGGGAACATTTCCTTGAAGATCACCTGTTCATGCCACACAGGATCAGCACAGTTCTTCTGCACTGTGGTTCGCCCCTAAAAACACAGCCAGGAGGACATGAGTCATGGAAGGGACTGACTGACTACAGAAAACTCTTCAAGCCAGCTGGAAGTATAAAGTGAGTTTTCAAAGATAATGAACCTGCTTCTGACACCCACGAAAATCAGTTACACTCAGCGAACGTGACTGATGACCTGCTCTATGCTGGACACCGTGCCAGGTATCTGAGACAAAGTCACATCACAGCCCCGCCCTCAGGAAGTTCTGATCAGCATATTGGGGAATGGGAGTTCTGTGCAACTCCAGAAATACAGTGGATGTAGTTAGACCATGAGCTCATATTTTGTAGAAGTATGACCTTGTGTGAATCACTCTTCCACTCTGGACCTCAATTTCCTTGTCATAAAATGGAGGTGATGTCTTATATGATCTCCAAGTTCAGCCCAAGTCAAAAATACTTCAGTGTTCACCCCTGCCAAGGGGACACAATCAGGGTAGTTCTGTATTTTAATGGCAGAGATAACATGTGTGTGAGTTGAAGCTTCAAAATCCAGCCAACCAGGGTTAATCTCTGACCACGTACACAGGCCCTGACACCTCCAATGGCTCCTGAGCAGGGAAAAGCGATGTCCAGGCTTACATAAGACAAGGACTAACTGAGGAGATTGTGGAACAGGTCAGGAGGTGGATGGAAATTCTAAGACAAGGACTACCTGGGGAGATTGTGGAACAGGTCAGGAGGTGGGTGGAAATTCTACCGGATGTGGGGACTGAATAAACAGCTCAGAGAAGTAGCCAGGGGTGAGGAAGGATGCCTGTCTGCCTGTATCCTAAACCACAATCCACGCATAGCTCCTTTCCATTTTCTCCAATGAAGAGTGAGTGAGTAACCCTCCCCTATTTCCCTGCCACATCCCGTTGCCTTTTCTTTTTTTTTTTTTTAAAGACAGAGTCTTGCTCTGTCACCCAGGCTGGAGCACAGTGGTACAATCTCTGCTCACTGCAACCTCCGCCTCTCAAGTTCAAGCAATTCTTATGCCTTAGCCACCCAGTAGCTGGGATTACAGGGGTGCACCACCACGCCCACGCCCAGCTAATTTTTTGTGTGTTTTTAGTTGAGACAGGGTTTTGCCATGTTGGCCAGGCTGGTCTTGAGCTCCTGGCCTCAAGTGATTCACCACCTCAGCCTGCCAAAGTGCTGGGATTACAGGTGTGAGCCACCTCGCCTGGCCCCATTGCCTTTTTGTAACAAGCTTTTGCTTTCAAGGCACTTCCTAATTTTTATTAATTTGATTTGATTAAACATATCTTGGATAGAGAGCAGGGCCCTGGCCTAGCAGGCAGTGTTAGTGACAATGGTTCCTCACCATCTGCCCAGCAAAGGAGACCTCCACAAAGGGATCCACCAGGTCCTTACTGTCACCCACAAATGCCTTGGTGACGTTCGCCATGATGCTTGAATTCATTTTGGGCAACCCTTCTGCTTTGTAGAGTCTCACATAGAATCTGGCCCACGGTCTCTCCAGTGGAAACCCATTGGGGATCAAAAGGTTCCTTAGAGGGAGACAAAAACAAATGAAAAAGCTCTCTCAATTGAAGAAACAGAGAGAAAAGACAGGAGCAATTTGGAGGCAGAAAGAAAGATCCCAATATAAGACAAATCTGAAAAGAGTAAGATTCATTGCTGAAATGAGTTTTCTTTATAGTGTAAATGACAGAGAATGGTATGAATAGAGTGAATGCAAACTCGTTCAGGTCCTAGGATAGGATAAATACTGTCTCCCACTCTGAACCTTAAAAGAGGTGCATTTAAGTCTTCCCACATCACAAACCAGTGATTGAAATTATAATTCCTTCAAAGAAAACTCAGCTACATTCAGAAAAATTGGATAAGCTTAGGAATAGCTTATCTATTATGGGTTATTATAGGAAGACAGACAGTTCTTGTCCTAGAACCTGACCTCGTGAAGGAGAGTCATACCTTAATAGGACACATCTTGGTGTCTGATAGAGCAGAATGCCAGGTGACCAAGCTGAGAAGAAGCATGGTTCTCATGTACCCATAAGAAAAGTGGTGAGGGAGGGGAAAGAGATTAAAATTGGACATATCATTTCTATGCACAACCCAGGATGGACCTGTCTTACTTTTCTATTGGCTCCTCGGTGTCAGAAGTTTTAGGGCTGGTCTTCAAGACATCACCTTTTCCCATGACACTGATGTCACATTTCAGGTACCCCTTGGTGCCAGTCCTGATGTCACCAGGGTCTGTGAGCAGGGCCCACTTGTTGCAGAACTGATGACCTGTGAAAGCACCCTGACAGCTCACATCCTTCACAGATGGGCCCAGCAGCCCCACCCCTTTCTCTCCCACACGCCAAGGCCTCCCAGGCTCTCCTCCCTCTGTTGCTCTAGGTGGTAAATCATCTCAGTTTTTTCCAAACCTCATGCTGCTTCCCTCTTCCTTTCCCTCCTCTCCCTTTGCTTCCTACCAGTTCTCCATCTTTTCCCCCAATTTACCATAGATTCTTGGGAAGCCATTGACTTAGTAGAAATCACTGAGACAAGGTTCCATCTTTGATGGAATAGGGGGACATTAATGAAGTGTAGAAGTCACATACGTATTATTTACCCACAGGACATAAACCTGGCTCCTTGGTCTTTTTGTTTGGCCTCACTGTGAGTCAAAACTTCCAAGATGGCTTACATAATCTAGACTTCCGGCTTTTCTTTAAAAATGGTAAATTCTGGCAATACTGGCTTCACATTTCTTTTTTTTTTTTTTTTTTTTTTTGAGACAGAGTCTCGCTGTGATGCCTGGCTGGAGAGCAATGGTAATGCCCAAGCTGGAGAGCAATGGCATGATCTTAGCTCACTGCAACCTCTGCCTCCCTTGTTCAAGCCATTCTCCTGCCACAGCCTTCCAAGTAGCTGGGACTACAGGTGTGCACCATCACGCCCAGCTAATTTTTGTATTTTTAGTAGAGATGGGGCTTCACCATATTGGCCAGGCTGGTCTTGAACTCCTGACCTCAAGTGATCCACCCACCTCGACCTCTCAAAGTGCCAGGATTACAGGTGTGAGCCACTGCACCTGGCCAATGGCTTCACATTTCTACATGGCAGTAAATACCAAAGGCACTGAATAGCCACTGCCCTTGTATATGGAGCACAAGCCTTCCTGTCTCCTTTCCCAGACTCCACTGTTCCTTTATGCCTCACACTCAGGCTGCTGCACGCAGCTATGCTCCCTGTCTGGCCCCCACAGTCACAGGAGTTGGAATCCCTGTTGAAGATAGGGGGCCTTTCATAAAAAGATCTGTGCTGGCTCTTTTACTTACTTGCTCTTGACCTTGAACAAATTACGTTGCTTTTCTGAGTTTCTCTTTCCTACAAATCAGGGATAATAATAAGTACAGCAAATCCTTTGTATAAGGATACAAAATGCTGTAGTCATTTTTATGAGTGAGACTCTTTACTAAGCATTTTGTGTATATTAACTTACTCAATCCTCCAACAAACCTATGAAGGAAGTAGTAAGTTATCTTCATTTCTACAGATGAGGAAACTGAGGCCCAGAGAAGTTAAGTCATTTGCCCAAGGTTGCACAGCTAGGACATAGAGTGGGATTCGAACCCAGGCAATCTGACTCCAGAGTCTGTATTCTTAGTTCCTATATTCCATTGCCTCTCCTGTCCATATCTCGACTGGACAGAATTTGTGTGAGAAAAAAAACTCCCCAGAAGTAGACATATAAAATAATTTTATCATTAGACTGTAAAACATTTGAGGGCAAGAGTTATGTCTCATTCAACTTTGTATAACTGGTGCTCAGTGTTATTGAATGAATGGTCACACAGGTGAGTGAATGAATGGGATGACTCCAGGTGCTATAAACCAAAGACAAGTGAGATACAGATGGGGAGGTGATGTTTTCTTACCAGGTTGGTTGTACACGGTCCCCAGGTCTACTTTGAAAGAGCCAATCAGTACACTTCCTATCAGCTTGTGGTGAAAGACCTGAGGAGAGAGAGAGCAGGGAGTATGGCAGATTTACCTTGAGGATAAGAGGCCTTGACCCTTGTCTAGCTTTGACCCTGTCTGGAGCACAGTGGAGTTTGGCCATCAAACCACAAGGCTGTAAAGGACCTCCAGAAGCCCCTCAACACCTTCATTTCTTGCTCTTAGCAGGATTTTAGCTAATCTTCCATAGAAGGATGCCTGTCAACTCTCAGTGCCTGCAAGCTTCCTTTAACCAAAATAAATCTGAGTACAGCTCACCCTTCAACACCCATCTCTTCCTGCTGAAATTTTCCCTATCTTTCAATACCTAGAACATAAGTCACCTCCGCCATTCAGTCCCCCCAAACTGAAAGTGTTCCTTTTCTCCGCTAAACTCCTGCAACTTTGCTCACAACTTTCTCAGAGAACTCATCACATATTGCCTTGAATCATTTTAGGCATGTACAACGGTGAGAACAAAGGAGGTAATCACCCTCAATATTCTGTCTGATCAGGGCCAGCAGAGGGCCTGGCTTGGTTACAGCAGCCCATTTTCATGCTAATGCTCTCAAGATGAGGAAGTTCTAAAGGAAGGTGCAGAGCTGGTGCCAGGTTGAAAAGCCACAACGTATGAGAAACTGCTGAAGAACCAGGAGAAAAGTTCAATCTGTCACCCATAAAAGAGAAAACTGGCAGGTGTGGAGAAAGGGCAATGGCAACTGAAGTGTCTTTAAATCATGTAAATGCTGTCATGCAGAAGAGAGAGCAAGTCCCCCTCTATGGTTCCCAAATAACAGGATGAGAGATTTCCACTCAATATAAGAACAATGTTTATAACTGTCAGAACTTCCCAGCAATGGAATGAGCTTTCCTAGAGGTAGCGACCTCCCTATCACTGCAAATAATCAAGTTATGCCCCCAAGAACTCCACGTAGTAAAGGAAGAGGAGAAGGATTCTGGCACCAGTTGGAAGTTATACAAGATGTCCTCTGAGCTTCCTTCTAACTATAAAATCCTGTAAGTTCCTTAAGTCAAGGACAGTTTCCTCCTGTCATCCACCCATCACATGGCCTTGTTCACAATAGATATTCAATAAACATTCAGTGAATTAATGAATGACTAATCGAATGACAGATGAACGGAAGGCTTTTGCAGCTTCTAAACAGCTCCTTTTTGCGAAGCAAAAGAAATTCAGTTGACCTCAAGAAATGACAGCCCTCCTCATTTCTCTTTCCACTCTCTCTCCCTAACCTAAATTTTCCATGGGTGTCAGAGAACCAAGGTGAAGTACAGGCAGCCTGACTCAAGTAGAGAAGCTACAGAAGGATGCTCACATAATGTTCACTCCAAAATCCAACATGCTTGCAGTTGCTCATGTGTTTTTCCAAAGGCCTGAGAAAGAACACAAGCCAGTTTCAAGTTCTCTTCTCAGGTTGAGAGTCCCTGTGGGCAAGATGAAATGCAAGAGCCCCAAACAAATCTTTAAATAACACAGGATGCCTCTTAAAGTCATCCATCCAGTGGTTGAGTGCCAGGCAATCCTGGTGTGGTCAAGTGTTAAATCACCAGGACTCTGGGGATGTCTCACACACAGAGTACTGGGAGCCCTGCATGCCTTGGCCACTGAGAAGGGAAGACTGTCTTTGGCACCACCAGGGTGTGTTACAGGCTGGCTGTCCCAATAGCATCTGCTTACAGCAGTCCCCCACTTCTTATCCCATGTCGTATATATTCTGGGCATACTGACTTTCAGTTCATGGACTAACAGAAAAGTTGTGTTAAACATTCCCCTCTCAAGGGAAGATTTTATTTTAAAATCTTTTGTCTCTAAGAGTCTTTTAGGGACACTAAAGTCTTCTCTTCTTCGAAGTTAGAGAAACAGAGATAGGCAATGGTAGCTTTGATCCTCTGTCTAGAAGTCCACATGTCCCACAAACAGTCCTGACCCTGGTCTATGGCACAATATAAAAATCTAGTGATTAACTGTTCATCAGACAATCCTTAGAAGCCTCCTATGGAGCTGATTCCATAAACAGATGGTTGCCTGAGCAATGGAACAAAGTCCTGGGCATTGTCCCAGGTCCTGAAATATCACCTGCACCACTTGTCATCATGCCTGAAATTCAAACCTTAAGATTGTTTGTCTCTGGGTGACTTCTCATTCTTCAAGAGTCACATTCTTCAAGTCTCCTGGGAAGGTTAATGTCATAATTCCACTATTTACCTAGGCCATAATGCAGGACTTTGCTGACAGTCAGCTGTAGTTAAAGGGAACATATTTTATATATCTGTTTAGATATTATATTGAGTCAGTGATAAAGACAGGGAAGAAAATCTTCAAAACAAGTTTTGTCATCCTCACAATTCTGATTACAGCTGACTGTTGAAGAAATCATTCCCTTATTCTCCAGACTTCCTACACTGACACATGAAGTAGGAACTGTATCCTCTTAGAACTGTTTGGAAGAGAGAAACTTACTCTCCAGCCATCCTTCACCACCTTGGGAGAAGCTGTGGTGATCTGTCACGCTGGTAAGGTAGATGCAGTATGTCATCCATTGGTCTCTGTCCCTTTGCTGAATGGTGCAAAGTTTGTAACAATCCCATTTGGCCTGACTTCTCTCTCATTTGGATCAGTCTGGCTTCAACATGGGCACTTCCCCTTCCCATTCCTGTCCTCCATGTAGTGGGCAAAGTTGGATTGGGCCCTTAGATCAGGAAGCTCTGTATCTGCACTTCCCCTGGCAGAGCTGAGGAAGAGTCTATGCAGCAGACTCAATTTCCCAAGGGCAGGTCCTGAGGTCTACACTCAGAGGCAACTTTTGAAAATCCCAATGGCCACCACTTAGTCCAAATCACATCCTCTGATCCAACATTACCATTGATGAGACTGACACTTTTTTCCTGGTACTTGTTCCTATTTCTTTATTCATTACCCAACTAGGAGGAGGAGATGTGATTAATGATCATTAGTGTAGATACCAGCCCAAGAAAGAAACACCTACATTTGCCTGATTTAAAAAAAAACAAACTAAAACTGACAATGCATTAAGATGTCACTTGAAGCACGTGTCTCACATTCCCACACTAGTAAGCTACATGATTCAATCAGTAATAGCTTTACCATAGCTTACCACTTGCTTCCAAGAAGCATAGATCTTCTTAAAGTGGTTTTTCTTCCCAGACACCTCCATACTGGTGATTTCAAGTTCTGCCTGTTGGTTAGACTCACCAACTGACACTTGCCCTCCTGAATCTATTCCCCGCTAAGTATGCTGAGTTGTCCCAGAGAGTCCCCAATGCCCAAAATGTCTCCCACCTCTCCACAACTATTACCACCAATGCTATACTTACGGAGATTTTGATGATCTTGTCAAAAAGATGCACTTGGGGCCCAATGAAGTCGAAGACAAAGTACTGCAAAACAAAAAGTTCATTCTGGTCATCAACCCCAGACTTGCACCTAAGAATCCTGTCCTTGGAGTGGATTTAGATCTTTGTCATTCAAACCAACTGCTGCATGAATATATATACATCATCAATTGATTGTCAATTGTCAATTCTCTTTTTTTTTTTTTTTTTTTGGAGACAGGGTTTTGTTCTGTCGGCTAGGTTGGAGTGCAGTGGCACAATTAGGGCTCACTGCAGCCTCAACCTCCCAGGGCTCAAGTAATCCTCCCATCTCAGCCTCCTGAGTAGCTGGGACTACAGGCCTATACCACCACACCTGGATAATTTTTTTTTTAAATTTTTTGTAGAGACAGGTTCTCACTATGTTGCCCAGGCTGGTCTCAAATGAAAACAATGCTATCAATCACATTCTTGCATAGGATATGTGTCAGTAATCCTCCAAAATGAACATGAGAAATGGAATTGTCAAGTCATAGATTAAGTGCATATAACTTTTGAATAGATAGTATAAATTTTTTCCCCAAATGGGAATTTTATATTCTCACTGGCAACATGAAAATAGCCATCTCTCTATAATCTTATCAACCCTCGATAGTGTCATTTTTTAATTTATAATTATGAGTGAAAATGGTACTTCAGTATGGTTTTAAATTGGAGTGGACTTGACTAAAATCTACTTTTCCCAGGATTTTTCAGTTTCAAACATCCCTGTGAAATTACCAGGATTTACCAGGGAGAGAATACAAAAATCTATGGACATGAGGATTTTTAATATTAAGAACATGATTGAATTTTGGAGTTGGAGAAATTATCTAGACCAGTCCCATGTTTTACAGATAAGACTGAAGACTAAAGAATTTAAAAGATGCTACCCAGATTCCTATTGGTAGTTATTGTTGGGTCTGGGACCAAACCTTAGTTCTCTTGACATTATCACACAAGGGGATCAAGTACTAGATATTTCACCATCTGACTCTTGAGTCAAGATCCTCCCAAACTCAAGGTTGTAAGACTATAAGATGCAGAAAACTGAAGTGGTGTTTTGTCCTGGTTTGTGTGTTTTGGGAACTGAGGGGGACCAGGAAGGCAGGCCTGGGAAGCTGTTTCCTGGATTTTCTTTTTTGAGCTGTAGAGTGGAAGAATGGCCCCTTAGAGATGGACACAGCCACAGTAAGAAAGGAGGAACTGACCAAATGACGATGGCCTGCTTTCAAAGGGCAAAACAGAAAAAGCAAAATGTGGGAACCGAAAAATGTCATCATACATTATAAGAGATCCTCAAAATGGTGGTCCTTAGAGATCAACCAAAGATTCCATTCTGTTCAGTGTCTTCTGTTTAAGAAGACAAGACAATACATACAACATTTCAGGAAATTTCTCATATATATGCTTAAACTTTTTCAGAGTCCTGGTGTTCAAAATTTATGTGGAAAATTCACTTACACAACATTCTTCATTCTCTGAATACACCAGATGCTGTGGCTTCCTTTGGATGGACAAATGAGTTGCAATATTTATTACCTTCTGATGGGTTTCATATGTTTCAGACTCAACTGCCTCACATAGGCTTCCGAGACCTCCTGGCCAACACATATTCTTCTAGCTGGGAAATATTCCCCAGCTCCAACTAATGGGTTCCTTCAGCATCTGATGAACTTTAGGCTTGAATATTTAGGTCAAGAGTTGTAACAAAGGTTTTTAGATCAACTTTTGTGTTTCTATGTGATTTTTCTACCGGTTACACTTGGGCCCAGTTTAACGTCATTTAGATCCAGGACTTGTATGCATAATTATTATAATTAATAAATCTGTAGAGCTTTGCAGTTTTAAAGCATTTTCATATATTATCTCATATTACATCCATGCCAAAAGCTCTTCTGGGGGTAGAGCGTGGAACAAGAAGGGAAAATGTACTGACATTTCATTTATAGTCAGAGGCGCAGAGGCAGAAATGATGAAGAGGAAAGGAGTCATTAGCTCCAATGGGATTTGGGTATTTTCTGTTGATTTCATTATCCATGCTCTCCCTACCTTCCTTTTAAATGACCATTCTCATTAAGATAATAAGATTTTTTTTTTTTTCCTGAGACAACGTCTTGCTTTGTTGCCCAGGCTGGAGTGCAGTTGCGAAATCTCGGCTCACTGCAACCTCCACCTCCCAGGTTCAAGCAATTCTCCTGCCTCAGCCTCCTGACTAGATGGGATTACAGGCACATGCCACCACACCCAGTTAATTTTTGTATTTTTAGTAGAGATGGGGTTTCACCACGTTGGTCAGGCTGGTCTCAAACTCCTGACCTCGTGATCTGCCCACCTCGGCCTCCCAAAGTGTTGGGATTACAGGTGTGAGCCACTGCATCTGGCCAAGATAATAAGAATTAAGAGTGCCCTGAATTTTTTGAAATAATTCATTGTGTCAAAGAGCCTACAAGTAAGCAAATGCTCCTGTGCACTGTTCATTTGAGTATAAATTGTTACCTCTTTGGAAGGCAATTAGCGACATGGAAATTTTAAATGCATATACCTTGTGACCCAGTTATACTATTATAAGTAGTAGCAAAAGGTTAAAAGCATTTCATGTTCATTCATGAGAGACTGACTGGTTTAGTATATTATGGCATATCAAGGCAATGAAAAACTCTTCAGCCAGGAAGGCAAAATGGGAATGAGCTGTACCTCCCACAGGGATTTATTTTCAAGATACATTGTTTTGTGAAGAGTCCAGAACAGTGTGTATAGAATGCTACCATTTGGGTACAATATTTCCTTGTATTCTGGTACATGTTTGGAATATCTCTGGAAGGATACGCAAATGCCTAGTGAGAGTGAATGCTTCCAGGGAGAGGACTAGGGCATTGGGGATCAAAGATCAGAGGGAAACACATTACTCTATATCGTTATACTTTTTGTCTCTTTTGCCATATTTTTTCACCAAGTAATTTTTTTTTTTTTTTTTTTTGAGGTGGAGTCTCACTCTGTCACCCAGGCTGGAGTGCAATGGCACGATCTCGGCTCACTGAAAGCTCTGCCTCCTGGGTTCACGCCATTCTTCTGCTGCAGCCTCCCAAGTAGCTGGGACTACAGGCACCTGCCACCACGCCTGGCTAATTTTTTTGTATTTTTAGTAGAGATGGGGTTTCACCATGTTAGCCAGGATGGTCTTGATCTCCTGAGCTCGTGATCCGCACGCCGTGGCCTCCCAAAGTGCTGGGATTACAGGCGTGAGCTACTGCACCCCAACAATATTTTTATTTTAAAAAGAGAATTTAGCATGTACGATATTTAGAAATCTGAGATTTTTCTTTACAATTTCTACACAGCTTAGAAAAATGTAACTTTTACTTTCCAAGGTAGTATGCCTGTTTCAAAAACAATAATTAAGTTTCCAATGTCTCTGCCAGGAAGAAGAATATGTATCTTCTCCCTAACCGACATTCAATCAATTTATTGACTATAAACCCAGGGCTTATAATGGATGAAAATGAGCTGATAATAAATAAGAAAACGTATGTTGAAAACGTAGCAGTGAATTTAAAATCAGGAGGAATTCCTCGCCTCTCTTTTCCACTACCCTTTTGTGAAAAGCTTTAGGGGGCTGTGTTTGTAAGAAGAATCAGTTTGCCATGGGCTTAACTGGGGGCCAGGGAGGGAGGCAGGAGGGGCACAGCTCTTTGTTTGACTGAAGGATCCTGCAGAATGGTGGTGAAGAGAATCTTAGTGCAAAAGCTGTGGGTGACCTCCATGACTTACTTCATTATAAAATGGGCTGTTGGTTCCTTCCTTCACTGTGCTTTGCTTCTTCTCATCCCCAATCTCAATGGTCACAACTGGGTCAATGTTCTCACCCACCAGCTGGCGAGCCTCGGTGATGGTTATGGCAATCTGCAACACAAAGCAGTGTGGACACCATTCCGGACACCGCCATCCATGCACACAGGAAGCACTGGGGGAGGCTGGGCAGGAAGAGCCAATCACTTACTTGATAATTTTGGGATCTGACCTCCCCATCATGGATCTTAGTCAACAGTTTTGATCTATTAAAAGAAAGTTTAATATGTTTGTTTCATCAAGGAAGAATATCCATAAGTCATGATAATATTCTCCAAAGTATTTCTAAGTCCTTTCATTTAATATTATTACATATTCTGTCTACATCTCTGGGGGAGATAAGTATAAGCGGACAAATGACTTGACCTCTGAGTTTTCTCATCCTAAAAATGGAGCTTGTAATAGCATTTCTGAGATGATTGCTAGAATTAAATGATATAGTGCATATAAAGGTTTAACTCAGTACCTGGCAAGAATAAATGTCAGCTCTTTTTATATGATTATCAGTATTTTTTAAAATTTTAAACAAAATGAGAAACTGAGATGCCTCAGCAAATCAGTGGCAGAGCTGGGTCTAAATAAGGAACTCCCAGTCTCCTGCCTGATTCCATACACAGGACCATTCTGCCATGTCTAATAGATATAATCATAATTGCTTTGAAATAATTGGTAAAGGAAAAAATTGAAGGGAATGACTAAAGATACCATCTCCATGAAATTTCACATTCCAGGGGATTTCATTTATCTGGACTATCACAAGTAATTGAAAACATGTGCAACACCTGGGCATTTAGAGATGGATAACAACAGAAAGAGATGAAGAATTCCTGTTGTCATAGAAGCTGAAATCAGTGGCAAATGAACTGAGCTTGAGTTCCTGTTGCATTTTATCCCCTTGGTTACTAACAATACCATGTTGCATTTGACTTCATCCCATTTCTGCTGATTATAATTGAGTCCAATAGAGAACTGATTAAGTTAGTAAAAATCTCTGGGCATTGGAGTCAGACTGATCTGAGTTAGAATATTGTTCTCCCCAATTTTGGACTTTAGTTTTAATTTCTGCAACTGAAAGTAAAAATAAGAATTCCTACCACATAGGGTTACTCTGAGGACCCAAGGAGACAATGCAGGTAAGAAAGGGTAAATATCATTTAATTGGTTCATCAATAAGATGGCAAATTTGTACTGATTATTTATTATGTGAAAGCCCAGTGCCAGATTCAGGGGAAAAACAAAAATGAGTAAGCCATCTTCCTGGTCCTTGAGAAGTAACAATCTATCATCCATGGGAGAGAAGACAGAAGTATATTTAAAAAGAACTAGTAGGCAAGTGTAAAATGTGTCATAGGGTAAAGAAAATATGACAGAAGAGCTGTTGAGAAAAAAAGTCTTGAGGACCAGGGTACACAACAAAGATTTCACTGCAGAGGTTGGATTTGAATTGAGCATTGGTGGGTGGATAGAATTTCAATTGCTGGAGAATGTTCTGACCAAGGAAAAAGAAAAAGGCTGTTATTCCTTCCTTCTCTTTCTCCTGCCTTCCTCCACTCAATGCTATCACCCTTGTAAAATGAATAGGAAGAAATATCTTGAGTATTAAAAAATGACTGAAATCCCTATTCAGAGACTAGGGTAGAGGGGTGGTGGTTGTCAGGGTGCGGCAAAGGAAGGAAGGAGATATTGCAGTGAGTAGGTGTGTACACATTTCATGTCTTCTTTTGAGTGTCAACTTCTGAGTTATCACTTTCTCTAATTCCCACTGCCCTCTAACCCACATATATGTACCCTGCCATCCTGTCACAACCCAGAAACAACAACTCAGGATCAGCCAAGTGGGGAAGCACTAATTTGTTTTATTGATAGTAACAACTTTGAGTGAAAAAGAAAGGGAAGGGCATGAGGAATTATCACAAGTAAGAAATTGACATAAACAAATATGGTAGACTGAAAGCATTGTTAGCCCCAGTCATTGGCTTACTCTGTATCCAAACTTGTTGCCCCGTAACTTTTAGTCTCTCCAACAGAAGGCAGCAGAAATGACTTTTGCCAGTTCAAAGCCTACACCTCAAGAGAACTTCTGTACTTCCACTCTCTTAGAACCCTGCCATTGCTACCATTGGCACAAGCTCAGACTAGCCTGACGGAGGATCTGGTATCATGCAGAGAACAGCCGGTCTCAGCTGAAGCAGTACTAGGCCAGGCTACCACCAGCCAACTCCTAAACTAACCAGCAGAGCTGCCAAATGACTACAGAAACATGAATGATGCATCTGCAACTATCTGGGATCAGCAAAACTATCCAACTAATTCATTAGCAATAATAAATGCTTATTATATTAAGCCACAGATCTGGGGGCTATTTGTTACACATCATTGCTAACTGATCTAGCAAAATGCATGCAGAAGGCCAGCTTGTTTTGACTTTTTGTTGGGTAGCATAAGAACCACCTTCTGATTTGAGACAGACAAGAAGCTAAGATAATGAGCACCTTGATGAATCAAAGAGCAGGTAAGAGACAGCTCCTGCTGTCATTCCTGAACTGTGAGCGACATGAGCACCTTCACTCAGGAGATTTAAGACCAGAAGCTTGTAGAACCATGATCCTGGCCTGATGAAGGCTGAACGGTATCAAGAGGCCAGCACTGCCATAGAGAAAACTGAGCTGACACAGTCTTCCTGCCTTAGACCTTGCCTGCCTGTAGACAGTGACTATGTCTTACTCTCCTCTCTTCTCCCAGCACCTGTAGAGGTGCTTGGCACATAAGAGATGCTCAGCAAATGTGTGTTGACCACCTGCATCCATACTGTACCTTCTCTTTGGAGAAGCTGAGGGGACAGGAAAGATAGAAGCATCATCATGGACCAAATCTCCTCTCGGTCCTTCCTGGTGAGAAGGCTCCTCCTGCAGTGCTTCAGTGTCACCTTGACTATCTGGAGAAGCAAACAAAGGAAGAAAATCCTGTGAAATTGACATGTGGTGGCAATCGAGCCTCTACCTTATGCCAGCCCTGTGGCAGGCACCATAAGTGGTACAAAGAGACTAGAAGACAGACTCTGCCAGCATAAAACTTAACATCTTATTGGCAGAAATGCCAGATACATCCTTCATTTTTCTAAAACTTATGTATCTTCTGTTTCCAAAAAAGAACAGATTTATGTGGATGGGACTGTGAAAAGAAAAATCGGATTGTGAATCTAAAGTGTAAACTAAAAATAAAATCCTAAGCAACCCCCTCCCCCACCCAAGGGGACCCCAGAAAAATCTTAAAAACTGAGTTTCTGGCTGGGCACGGTGGCTCACACCTGTAATCCGAGCACTTTGGGAAGCTGAGGCAAGTGGATCACCTGAGGACAGGAGTTTGAGACCAGCCTGGCCAACATGGTGAAACCCCCTCTCTACTAAAAATACAAAAATTAGCCGGGCATGGTGGCAGACACCTGTAATTCCAGCTACTTGGGAGGCTAAGGCAGGAGCAACGCTTGAACCCAGCGGGACAGATGTTGCAGCTAAGCTGAGATCGCGCCACTTCACTCTAGCCTGGGCAAAAGAGTGAAACTCCATCTCAAAAATCAAAAAATAAAAAACAGAAATAAAACCCTAGGTTTTTGTCAATGATGAGACAGGAGGTCAGGCATACCTCATTATACTTCCTTTTTGTGGTTTAGACACAACAACTGACCAGCATTAAAATAGAGATCATAAGACTGACAGAATGGACCCTGTGGCAATAAGATACCAAATTACAAACAGGACCTAAAGTCATGACAGGCAAAGCTTAAGTCATGCACTCCTATACTTAAAAATAAAACTGTGTTCTAACTGCCACAGGTTTTTCTTTTTCTCTAGCAGCTGCACAAGCACCAGCCTCAAGATAAGCAATAAACGATTTACTGCTTGCCCACCACTGACAGACACTGAATAACTGACTCCCAGCCCCTGTTCTACAAGCTATAACTACAGCTTTAATTAGACAAGAGACTGACTTCAGTGACTTTCTCCTGATAAAAAGACCACAGACAGGCTGGGCACAGTGGTTCATGCCTGTAATCCCAGCACTTTGGAAGGCTGAGGCAGGCAGATCATGAGGTCAAGATATCGAGACCATCCTGGCTAACGTGGTGAAACCCCATCTCTACTAAAAATACAAAAAGTTAGCTGGGCGTGGTGGTGGGCACCTGTAGTCCCAGCTGCTCGGGAGGCTGAGGCAGAAGAATCGCTTGAACCCAGTAGGTGGAGATTGCAGTGAGCCGACATTGTGCCACTGCCCTCCAGCCTAGGGAGACAGAGCGAGACTCCAAGACTCCATCTCAAAAAAAAAAAAAAAAAAGAAAACAAACAAACAAAAAACACAGACCATAGACTCGTTCTGGCTGTTTAAAGAGTCTGCACACTTGAGTGCTTTTGTTTCTTAAAAAGATCTTTTTACATATAGGGCCTAATTCTAATACATTTAAAAATCAAGTCTCCACCCCAAGGTAAATTTGGGTCATATATAACATGCACGTGTGTTCAGTACACATGCATCAAGACCACCTTCTTGAATATTCATAGCTCCTCCTGTAACCTGTAATTACATATATCTGGCTAACCATTTCAGTTTGAATTCCTGTCTTACTCTTCCCTTTCTGGAAGTGTCTGTCTCTGCGCTCTGTGGGAGGCTATGCTTCCCAGACCATCAAAATGGGCACCTGGCAGGCTGTAACCCTTCATAAAAAATAAAGTCTACCTTCTTAATTTATAAATTGTATGATTTAAGTTAACAAAAGACATGTTTCAAGTCATGACCTTGCCGCAATGGAATTTTAGTGCATCATTTATTCTCTGAGCTTCATTAGCAAAATGTGATGTGCGTAAGCATCACCTAGGAAGCTGCTAAAATGCAGATTCTGATTGAGTAGGTCTGGGTGGGGCCCAAGCTTCTACATTTCTTTTTAATTTTTTGGAGACAGGGTCTTACTCTATCGCCCAGGCTGGAGCTGGGACGCAGTGGCAAGATCTCAGCTCACTACAGTTTTGAATTCCCAGGCTCGAGGATCCTCCCACCTCAGCCTCCTGAGTAGCTGTGACTGCAAGCACACTCCACCACAACCGGTGAATTTTTTCTTGTTAATATTTTTTTTAGAGAGACAAAGGGGTCTCACTATGTTGCGCAGGCTGTCTCTAACTCCTGGGCTCAGGCAAATCTCCCACCTTAGCCTCCCAAAGTGCTGGGATCGCAGGCATGAGCCACCGTGCCCAGATAAATTCTGCATTTCTAACAGCTAGATGCCAGACGAGGTTATTCCTGCCGTCTGCAGGTCAATTTTGAGTAGCAATGTGTGATATTCTGAAAAGATAGCCAGTCCTAATCTCTGAAGCCTGTAAATGTTACCTTATTTAGAAAAAAGGTCTTTGCTGATATGATTACATTAAGAGTTTGAGATGAGGTGATCCAGGTGAACCCTAATTGCAATCACATGTATCCTTAAAGGGAGATTTTCCATCGACAGAAAAAAAAAAGGTGGCAATGTGACCATGGAGGCAGAGATTAGACAGATGCTGCCACAACCGGAAGCTAGAATTGGAAGGAGTGGGGCCTGTGATTTTGGCCCAGTGATACTGATTTCCAGCATTTGGCCTCCATAACTGAGAGAGAATACATCTGCCTTCTTCTAAGTCACTGAGTTAGTGGTAGTTTGTGACACACTAGTCTAGGAAGGATAGGTTTCCTGGGAAGCCCTATGAAACAGTACACACGCATTTAGGAAACTTAAATGAATAGATAATAAACATAACCCTTATAACATTTTCCTCTCCACCCTAGATTCTAATTTAATTCATCTGGAATGTTGCTGAATGTTGAGATTGTTGAAATTCCCCAGATGATCCTAGTGTACAGCAAAGCCTGAGAACTGCTTCTCAACCAGACTTTCGGCAAAAACGAGAGTGGCTGAGCCTTCCTAATAAACCGAGAGACTCTGCATGATGTAGCTCAAAGACCTGAATCCAAAAGATTTGGGTTCAAATTCCAGTCCTTCCACTTTCTCGTTCTTTGATTCAGAGAAGTTACTTCTCTCAGCTCCGTTTTCCTCATTTGTAAAACAAGACAAGGTTAACATCATTTACCCCCCTACAGGTTAGGAAAATTAAACAAACTATATAAAGCCCCTAGCTTTATACAGGGTCCATGGTAGATGTTCAAGTCTATGTATTCCCAGTTGGATGACTTGAACAAGTCACCCAGAATTTCTTGGCATTTTTTTCCTTGCCCGTAAGACAAAAGAATTGGGCAAGAAAAGTGATTTTAAAATTTGTTAAAGCAACAGAATCCTTTTATAAATGTAACTTGATATGGAACTTCAGTATATAACACAAGCCTGTTTATATCACACTGTTTTATGTTCCATGGAGTGGAATAGGGACAGTGGCCTCCTGCAGACTCTCATAGCCACCACCTTCAGACACTCCTGAAGCCATGGTTCAGGATCCCAGGGATCCAGGGGACTCACCTTTTAAACCCATCAATTTAATGCTTTCTAAGGTACCTTCCAGCTTTGGTGCATTTTGGTTCGCTGATTTTAAACAGCAAACCACACACAACAGTACTGCATCCAAAGAAACACAGCCATGTTCAGGGAGCTCATGCACCTAGGCCAGGCCTTGTAGGTGCTCAGTAGCTACAGAGAGGATCTCTTCATGAATGGAAGTCTGCTTTTATTACCCATTCACTCAGGAAATGGAGACAAGTACAGCACTGCAGAGCTGCCAGAAGGAATGCCAGTGCCTGGCTGTGCTCCTTGAAGCAGCAAGATAAAATACCTGCTCCCCTCCTTGACTGCAAGGGCCTTCAGGCTGGGGCCTTGCTGTCGAGTTTCAAGCTTCCAGTGAACGTTCAAAGACACGTTATATATGCAAGAAAAGGTGCTAGAGTAGATGCTGAGGATGCAGGAATTAGCAAATCACATATGCCTCCCTCTAGGGGCGTTCATTCTGTACATTCTGTAGGGTGAGACATCGAGGTAGAAAGGCAGTCAGCTAAAGCTTCTTCTACAGCACTCATTCACTAATTTATTGAGTTACTGCTTTGTTCTCTTCAGTCTACTCACCATGGGCATCCAGGGTGACCTTATAAAAACCAGACCGTGTCACTTTTCTTAAAACGCCTCAATGGCTTTCCATTGCACTTAGAATAAATCTGAAGTCCATACACAATCTGCAATTAGGGACCTGCTCCATCTGGTTCTGCCCACGCTTACTGCCTGCGTGGCCCTCTCACCCACTTTATGCGCTCTATCCACAAGGCCCCCTTTCAGTTCCGTCGAATCTCACAAGCTCTCTGCTGCTTGGAATTTTTCACAGGCATCCCTCCCCCTGCACTGCTCTCCTCCCTGCCCATCGCCCAGTGGGCTCCCTCTCATCCTTGAGGTTGTAGCTTAAATGTTACCTCCCCAGAGAATTCTTCTCTGACTGCACTAAGAGACTCCCCAGCAGTCTCCATTTCAGCCCACTGTCTGTTTTGGGTTTTTTTTTAATAGCACTTTACTCAACTTGCAATGCCATTAGTTACCTCAGTCATAGTCCCAATAGGTAACAGATGGTACAATCAGAGTAAGGTGATTTGAGGACGTTTTACAAAGATGTTTATGTAGGAATACCACAAAAGATCTTGCCATCATCTGGGGCTCGCAACAGCCAAGCTGTTGCCACTCCTAGGCACCCCCCAAAATTAGCAGAGAGAGAGAGCAGTTACTGGAACCCCGAAGGAAAGGAAGTCTGGTGGGGTCAGCCTCCCTCCTGTAGGTGAGGGACAGGGTCACCTGGAGCCTGACCCATGCTCCTCCCTCCCACGCCTCCTGCTGGAGCACCCCATTGGCCAGAGCCAGCCCAAAGGCAGAGGGTAAGAGACCTCGGCCATGCCCCCATAGAAGACAGAGAGCAGCTGGCTAAGGGTGGAGAATAGATCCGGAGGGGCAAACAGAAGAGTCCTGAACAGAGCTGTCCTCCCCTCGGACCATCCAGTCTTTGCCATTAGATTCCCAGAATTTAGCCCAGGGCTGACACTTAAGACATTCTACTAATATATTTTGAATAAATGGACAAAGGGATGATTGTGGGAGGTACCCAATAACTATTTGTTGTGTAACTAATCGCTAGGTTAGGGTAGGGTAAAGAGAATTTTAAGAATTTAAGATGTAACTACAATGCCTCAAAATACACAGATGAAAAAGCAAGAGACTTAGAAAGTTTCCAAACATTTCACCCCAAACAGCCCTAACTTTCCAGGCCAGGCCAAGAAGGCAAGACCAAAGTCTCTGTTCTGTGGGCTTTGTTTTTTCAGTCTCCCACAGGGCTGGCCTGTGGACAGCAGGATGGATGCTGTTTACTTTCTAGGAGGGCCCTGATTCCTCCCTGCCCTGTTTGCTTTGTGGGTTGCAGACTTTAAAATGAGCCACAGGAGCAAACTCCTCTGAAATGCCTGTGGTCGACTGCCCTAGGTATCCGCCAGCTTCTCAGGGAGGGCTGTTAACTGGAGGCTGCCCATGGGGTAGGAAACCCAGGCTCTGATGTAAGACTCACCTGGGATCGGGAGCCAGCTTCTCCATTTATTAGCTGTGTGACCTGGGGCAAACCACTCACCTTCTCTGAACCTCTGTTATAAAATGGGGGCAAAAGAATCTACTTTTCAGAGTCATGAATGATGTATGTTAAGAAAAAGCAGCAGAGACTTATTAAATATGTCATAAATACTAGTGTTCACAAGGTCCTAGAGGGAAAGGACTATGCCTTATTCAACTTTGTGTCACAGGGCCTACCACAGTGTTACAGTTTCAAAGACACCAGGAATAACCCCAAAGCCTTTCCACCCACTCCCTGGAAGTTTCATTGAATCAACAAGGACTTTTAAGCTTTAAGCCTTGTCCCCACTGAAAATGCAATGTCCCTCATTTTCTATCCAAGGCTCTTAATCATTATCAATACCTGGGTGTTAATGAGTTTCCATACTTTTCTACCATAAGGATAGGTTCTACCTAAGGGCAAGGAGTGAAGTTAGGTACAACATATGGCTACAGGACATCTGCAGTAGATGGCAGTGAAGCAGGCCTCCCAGGAGACAAGAGGAGTGAAGATTAACGAGACCCACGGTACCATTTTGGTTTAGGAATGGTCCAGAAAACTAGCCTTGAGCTGCTTTTTAATCAAGGCTATGCAGCAGAAGTCTCCAGAGGACCACCCCATCTGTCCACTTGGAAACCACTGATCCAATTTAATTCAATAAACACTGAGGATCTACCCAGTGCTGGGCCTGGCCTCTACTGATGCAGTTCACCCTGTAACTCAAGACTTTGCCCTTTTGGAGAAGGAGGTATCCCATTCTAAGAGCAGAAAGTGAGACAGCCTGGATTTACATCCCAACGCTGTTGCTTCCTGGCTGTGTACCTCCCATGCTCGGGGCCAGCCGGCTTCATGGATATGTGGTCTGTGCAGCCATAAAGGACCCTAAGCTCAGAAGAGCCTCATTGCACTTGGCTTAAGCTCTGCGGTCACCCTCTTGACACTTTTAATAACTTAACAACTGCTGTGCATTTTTATTTTTCACTGGGCCTTGCAAATTCTGCAGCATCTCTTCCACACTTTATTTACTCTCTCTTTATCTCTGTAAACTCACTTGTAAAACTAGGGTGACAATACCTACTGCGAAGATGATGGAGGGATTCAATGAGATGTTGTGTGTGAAGCCTCCCCCACAGTAACTGTGATCCTCTTATTTTCAAAATCTTGCTTGATCTTCCCCACAGCTGTGTGAGATCAGCCCAGCAACCCACATCATTACATTAGATAAAGGAGAAGCTGAGACTCAGAGCCACTCATCCTACGTCACAGGACAAATAAGAACAGAAACAGAGTTTGAACCCTGCTGCTGTTTTCTCACAGGGACCCCTTACATGCCCACTCACCTGTTTGGCCCAGATGACCAAGGGCCTTGGGGGTTGTCTTGGGCCCACACCTGTGACTAGAAGGACCTAAAGGGTCGGGGGCAGCACATTCACACTCCCCCTCGCTCCCATTGAGAGAGAACTGCATTTTCAGCCACGGAGGGGTCACTCTGCGAGACTCTCAGGCCCCAATGGTCAGCACCCCACCCCCAGCCTCACCTTTCGCAGCCTTGTTGGCTAGGATTAACCCCTTCTCTGCCTTATTTCTCTTCTTCTTCACCTTCAGCCCAAACATCCCCTTTCTGAAAAGAAGAAAAAAAAAGAAACAATAAAAACTTTGAGTCATTTAGACGTGTTAGGAGAAGGTAAACACAAAAACACACCGAGCTTCATGAAGCCCACCAGCCTCCTCATCCACCCAGGATGAGGGCAAAAGACAAGTATCAGCAGCACCCAACAAGCTCTCCAGGGAGCTCTGCTTTTGCAGAAACCACAAAAATCCCACCCGAATTGGAATCGTGAGGTCCACCTGGAATTGCACGTAGGCGAGGCAAACTGAATACTAACAACACTAGCTGAAATTTCTATTTCTCCTGGATCACCAGGCACTCTGCTAGGCATAAAAAAGCAGTCACATCATTTATCACCACAGCAACCCTCTCCTGCCCACCTTACAGATGAGGAGCCAAGGCCCAGAGAGGCCGGGCAATGTTTCTAAGGTCACACAGTTCTGAGCATCAGAGCTACCACTGGATCCCAGGCCTGCCTGATTTCAAAGCCCAGGGTCTAACCACTGGGCAGCCAGAGCCTGTCCATTCCCTTCAGCAGAGTAAACACCATCACCAGACCTGGGCTCTCGAGACCAAGGTCAAGAAGGCCTGGAACTTACTGAGGTCTCACCATAAGCGCACAGCTCAGCTGGCACATGACACATGCCCAGAAGGTCCACTGCTATTATTGTTATTGTTAGCCATAAGCAGGAAGCCATTTCCAAGCCTCCTTCTCTCCCCACCCACTGCAACCCCCAGATGGAGTCTTGCTCTGTTGCCCAAGCTGGAGAACAGTGGCGCGATCTCAGCTCACTGCCACCTCCACCTCCCGGGTTCAAGCAATCCTCCTGCCTCAGCCTCCCAAGTAGCTGGGATTACAGGGGCCTGCCACCATGCCCGTAAGCCTCCTTCTCATTACAGGAAGCTCCCTAGTCCATGGTCTCTGACAGACAAGAGCATTCCTAATGCTCTGCCAGCCTCCTACAGAACCCCTTTCTGAGCTGGGGGACTGCTGAGAACAGGGCTCTGGGGCACAGATGGATGAAACTGGGCTGGAGGAAAGTCCTGGCCTTGATGCAGGCAGCCTGGCCAGCCCTGGAGAGAGGAGGGGAAGGAACAAGGAAGTGAACATTTGGAGGCGAAGGGAGGAGACGGCAGCAAAGGCTCAAATCCCATTCAGTGAATATCTGTGGGCCTTGAACGTGAAAAGCAGCGGAACAATCACAGTCTCCCATTTTGCTTATATGTTTAGGACTTAGGATGTGTGGAGTGCAGTGGTTAAGATCAGCCTCCACAGTTGGACTGCCTCAATTCTAATCCCAGTACTATCTCTGCAACTTTGAACAGGTCACTTAGTCTCTCTAAACTTCAGGGTCCTCATGTGTGAAATGAGATAATAAATGGAAAGTATTTAGCACCGTACCTGGAACATACTATTTCCTCAATAAACCTTAATTATTCTTATTGTCCTAAGGGTAGGATTAAGACCAGTGAGTGGAAGGCTCTAGGAGATAGATGTTCACTCAACTCATTCACTTATTCTATTCACTTATTTGCTCACTTATTCAATGTATGTCCTGCTTTTTTTAATTCAGATAAGGAATTAAGGAGCTCCCACATCAGTGCTGTTTGAACAGTGGAGTGAACTACTTTGCAAGGAAATGAGGTTCCAGTTCCTGGAGGCATGCAAGCAGAGGCCTGAGAACCACTGTTAAAGGATGTTGTAGAGAAGACAAGGCATCAGAAGGGGGGACTGGCCCAGGGGAATTCAAGGATCCTTTGAGACCCTGAGATACATTAGGATGGAAAGAATGGACTCTGAAAGCACCCAGATGTGAACAGGACCCCTAACTGCTTGGGCAAGTCCAGTACCTCCCTGATCCTCAGTTTCCTCCTGTGTATAATGGAAAGAACTACTCTACAGGATTGTTAGAATAAAATGAGGTAATGTAGCAAATCATCTAAGACAGCATCTGGGATATAGAAAGTGCTAAATAAGTGCCCTTCTTGGAGGTAGCATTTTCCCCCTTTGATTTGCCATCATCCTCTGATGAGAACATCATCCTAAATCTCCCAGGAATCTCTGGAGAACATACACAAGGAGGACTTCCAATAATAGTTTTCACTATTCTGTTTTCAAAGGGTCGTTCCCAAGCCAGGGACCTAAAGCTAGTACCTTCCCAACCCCGAATCAGCATTTATGGTCCCCAGGTGCCCCCTGCCATGAGCAGTTCAAAGAGGCAGAATCTGATGTTCCTGGGAACGTGGCCATTGGGCTCTGGAGGCTGCTTGAAGCAACTAAATGACTTCCATCCATAAATAGGGAGTTGCTAATAATAAAAGACAGTATCTGCCGAGGGAGACATAAGGTTCCTTTCGGGAGCTGACATCCTCGTCATGGGTAGCCTCAGCGTTCTGAGTTCTCCTGTAGGGAAGCCAGCGCCTGATGCATTGGGGCATGGCTGAAGACGCTGTCATGGGCTGGGGAAGAGGACGAGATGCCCCACCTTGTAGAGACAGGCACCCCTGCCCTTCTGAAGCCAAGAGCTCTGGACCCTGCTGCCCATTGGAGTCGCCTAAGGAAGTTTATAAAAATACTGATATCTCGAACCACCTTCAGAGATCTTTAATTACTCTACGGCAGACCCAGTGTTGAGAAGCAGTGGTCTAGGCGCAGCTCAGGCCTGCTGAAGAGTAAGCCAAATAAACTTCCAGGAATGCCCGAAGGATTTACAACCAGCGCGGCCCTCTTGGGTGGGCTGATGTTAGTATCACAAACACACAAGGTTGTTTGCCTGAAACTGTGAGTCAGTCATCAAGGGCACACCCAGCATGACTCCCAGCATGAAAAGGTTTCTTGATGAAAATTGATTTCTTCTCCACAGCCTTGTGACATGGAGCAGTAAGAGGAGGCATGGCTCACCAGCCCAGAATGATGGTGCCACTGGCAGATTGGGAGGTAGAAAATGAACCCGTGACACAGGGTTCAGCTTGGGCACCTGCCTGAATTCATTGTTAGCTCTAGAATTTGGGGTTGGATACTTAACTCAGATGCATATTTCTTCCCATGTGACACAAGGACATTTCTTACCCAATTCACAGGGTGATATTAAAATAGAAAACAATGTTTGTCAAGTGTAAAGCGTGCTACAAAGTGTCACAATATTCATAACAAGGAAATGTGAGTTTACAATTTTTTTACACCTGTATAAAGCACTCACTATGTGCCAGGAGCATCATTTTATACACATTATCTCCTAGGATCCCCACAGCATACCACGAGGAAGATGATGTTATGCTTGCTGACAAATAAGGGGATTTCAGGGGTTTCCAGACAATGTATTGGGATCAACCATCAAATCAGGAAGACTTACCTGGTAAGCCACTAAGGCAGCTGCCACCACATCCCCAACCACCTCTACTCTGCAGAGAATTCCAGCATGAGAACCCTCCCACTTCACAAAAAGTATAGGGCTTTCTGGTTTAGGATCATAATATCCTCCCAGGGTCATCCCCAAGATAAGGCAAGAGGTACACAGGAACCCTCATACCAACCTGGTCTCCTCAGGGTGAAAGCTACTGCGACTCCGATATCTGTATCCAAACAATAAGAGCATTAAATGAGGCACATGTTAGATTTGCTCAGCACATCTGTTCAGGTGGCATCACTCAGTGTTTAACCACAAGGCCCGCACTGCAGGGAGGCAGCCAGCCTGGCACAAGAAAGAGGGGCTGGACTGCTTGAGTGTGGGTCTCATGTAGGCCACTTTCTAACTGTGTCACTGGAGCTGGCCCTGGGACTTCTCTGAGCTCCAGGCTCCTCTTCTGTTCCTCTTGTTCAGGAAGTGGCCATAAGGTTAGTTCTGCTTTTTCTCACTGGGATGTTACATAGATGACCTTATTGATCCCTCATGCTGAACTATTAAAAGCTGTACACGTAGCTAATGTAATGTCATGTCCACCGCTCGGCAAAGCCAGGATTAGAAAATTGCTCACAGCCAGAGTTGCCACGTGTTCTCCCACTTGTGTCACCAGATTCCCCTTCTGGAATCACCTTCTCCACCTTCACTGCAGAATGGAGGCAGCTCAGGCCAAATGGCCAAACACTAAGTTACTTGTGTCAACAGCATGCCCAGTACTGGCCCATGCTGCTCTCTTCTCTACCTAAGAGGACTCAGGATACAGGTTACCTGTGCACCTCACCTTCCAAACCCAAAGCCATAACACCCAGTACGGGGCTGGGGAGGGCAGGGGGCGGACTTTAGCTGAGAATTTATTTATGTGAAATCATTACAAACTTTAAAAATTATATTTATATATTTGATGAATTCTTTCCATCCAAAGAATAAATTTGTATGTAATGAGGTCTAGCTTAAAAACAAAACAAAATCACAAAATTTTTCCACCATTCAAAGGTTATCTTAAAAGCCTTTGGGTAAATTCCCAGTAGCCTGACGGGAAATATCTTCTTGAGGATGTCCTATCTGGGTCCTCATCTTTCTAAGACTGGGATATATTCATTAACGGCAAACCACTACACATAGAAGCAGTTGTGTTGCAGAATTCAATAGAAATTGTTAAAATATAGACCCATGTGACTACTCTGCCTTGCCATGCCTCTGTAAGTTCTCTCTCTCCATGATTTTCTTATCAAAACTTACCTATTCAATGTTCTATTTCATTAAGGCAATGATGCCCCAACTTTGGCTACACATCTAATCCATATGGGGGTAGCTTTCTAAAACTGTGCCCCACACTTGACCAGATCCCATCCCCTAGGGTGTGATTTCATTGGTCAGTGATGGGACAAAGGCTCGGTGGTTTTTGAGCTCCCCTGGTGATTCTAATGTGCCACAGGTTTACAAACCCTTGTGGTTAAGTAGACAGTACCAATGAGCTATCCTCTCAAAGAGAAATCTAAAGGAAATTTAAAATAATTTCTTAACCAAAAGGAATTATTAAATGTATTAAATTCAGAGCCTTTAGTAGATACATTTGCATAGGCTGCACTTTATAATCCACGTCTACTTCCTTTCCACTCAACCTCAACCCCTACAATTAGCCCACAAAATTGGCTACCTTCTCTATTTATGCACAGGATTAGCTCAGCCTTGGAGGAACAGAATGCTCAGGTTCAGGAGAAAAAGAACAATCCTCTTCTGGATCAAAAATGTCTCAAGCAAGGCTAATGGCCTGAATGGATGGGCCCTGGCTCCCAGTCTCACGGGAGGCAGTTCATTCTTGCATACTGTGTTTTGGAAACCTTTATCTCATTGTGATAGTAGGTGGATGTTTCTGTGTTAGCCCCTAATTTTGTACATTATAGTCCCCTCAAGCATTATAATGAGATTCAAATATCACAACTCAACAAACAGTGATTGAGAATCTTAATATTTCACCTGCAAGAGTCAGCTGAGTCTAGGAAATACACCTCCAAGGATGCTAATTAATTCCTCTTCCTTTGGCTTCTCTGAACCAAGAATGACTCAGGAATAATTCAGAGCCACACTGTGTAAAGCCCATCCCTATTAAGCCAGCCTCTCATAGCCCTTCAGAGAAATGTGCTAAGTGTTCAAGGGCAAAATGGCAAGAGGGCAAGGCTGTAGGACTGCCCCAGGAAAATGGAGGCATTATTCTTGCATGCTTCCTGCCCACCCTGGGGCATGCCAACGGTGCCCACAATAGAAACAATCCTCCAAGGGTTGGGGGATCTTTTTCAGCCTGAGGTCACTGGCCTCCATCTTCTCCTGCTCCTCACCCTCTACAGCTAAGCATCAGCACATCACACATGACCGCGCTATTTAGAGTGCAAGGAAAATAGAGAAACAAATATTGGCAAGTCAAGTCAACAATGCAGTACAGATAGGACTACTAGACGCCCCCACCGCAGCCTAAGACTTCCTCTTGCCTGGGCGCCGAAGAAAATGGTTCGTCTTTCCTATTCCATCTTCTTAATATCCAGGCTAATTAAAGCCCTGCTCTCCACTCTCCTAAACATCAAGAAATCAACCTTTAAGCCAAACATAGACTACAGACCACTTCTCAGCACTTGGAACAAGCAGCTCTTTCTCCCTTTGTCCCAGCATAAATGAATCTTCAAACTCCTATCTTTTTTAGGCTTTCTGCTTTTCCTTTACTCCCCAAACCTTCTTCCTCCCATATATTGCTTGATTATCTTTTGGTGGAATTATTAGAGTACGGCATCATGTTTACATTCCTCACTTGGGAAGGGCTAAGGTCCAAAGCTCTTATTCCCATGTGGTCTTTCTTCCTTTGGGTCTACCTGCCCACAGAACATTTGTATTCTTCTTTCTGCTCTGATGTGCAAGTGGAAGTAACCACTGAGCAGAGCTTCTCCTCCCTGCAGCTGAGTGGGCAAGTCCATATGATTCAGAGGGAAGTATTTGAAAATCAATCTGGACTCTAGTCCAAACAGCTTCCTCCAATTGAGCTTCACCAGCAATTGAGGTAGTATTTTGATCCCTATTTGATGTCTGGGTTTCTTTCTCAATTGGTTTTGAATGTCTAGGGTAAAGAGAAGGGTATGTTTATAACCTCAGGAACACCAATACACTGACCCATAACAGATTTTATTACAAATGGGAATCATTAAACTTCCTAAACTTACTAAGAGAGGATCTATGGAATTCCTCTGAACCTCATTTTTTTTTTGATGCTGTGGACATTGGAAATAGGAGAATGGGTGCTATGTTAAACTAAATTAAATTACTACCTTTGCTGCAGGATTGTCAAAGCCACAATTGTGCACTGTGACTCTCCAAGAGGGTGCTATTCAGACTTTTCCAAATGGATTTGACCACCACATCTTTATCATTAAATATCTGTTAATATCTTCAAGAACACTACTTGGGACTTCAGAGAAGGAGAATCCTGGCAACTTTTAGTGTTCCTTTTCCTTTTGAAGCTTTCCTGAGATGAGCAATGATCAAGTAAGAATGACTGGGGAAACAGAGGAACCCAGGACATCTCTCCCATGCATTCCCTCCTCTGTGTCCACATGGCTCCTGGTGCTAGTGCACACTTCACTGGACTTTCTGCTTCTGTTCTCTCCCTCCTGAAACCTACTCTCTATTCCACAGCCATCTTTGCAAATCAGAGGAACAGAGAATTTTCTGAATCTGACAAACAATATTTACAAAAGTCCTTGAGTCAGTATCATACCAATATCATATATCATATCATATCATCATGTAAGATGTCCTCTGATATTTAAAAAAAAAAAAAGACAAGATGCCTGCTATTTCCCGTCTATTTAACACTGCACTGGAGGCCCTGACCAATTCAATAGTGTCTGTCTAGTTTAATTACTAACTGAATTTAGCAGGATACCTAGAAACAAAGTCAATATATAAAAGTCAGTTGTACCTCTTTATACAAAAACAAAGAATCATAAATTAAAATTAGAAATAAAAGATTTTATAATAGCATCAAAAATTCAAAAACTCAGGAATAAGTCTAAAAAATATAAACAAGACCTATACTCTGGAAATTACAAAATAAGATGAATGAATGAATATTCCATGCTTGTAGATTGGAAAGTGCAACATTAGAAAGAGGTCAAACTTCCCCAATTTGATTTGGAGATTATTTACTACATTTCCTTTGCAAAAATTTTCAATTCATACACTTAAGATTTGTGGGTATGGCTTTTTATGTTCATATGTTATGCTTCAAGATTTAATTTTTAAAAAGCATAGATTTTCAGATTGAAAGCCCTGGCTTTGAGAATCAGTACAGCCACATGCTAATTATGCAACCTTGAGTAAATCCTCAACCTTGCTGTGCCTCAGTTTCTTCATTTGTAAAATGGAGGATAAGTTATGTCTTACAGGACAATCATGGATATCAAATGAAATAATAGAGACAACATACTGTTTGCAAACACTAAAGTGTTATATCCTACACGTTAATTAAATTTAAAAACCAGCTCAACCTATTATGAATGTCTCTTAGGGTTCTCCACACTATAGCCTCAGTTCACCAACACAGCACCTGATCCTCAAACCATGTACTCCAGCCTGATGGACAGCTCCTCCTAAACTCACACACTCTCTTGTCCACGAACCATTGCTCACCGTAGGCCTTCCATTGAAGGGGACTTCTCTGATCTCTACCTAGCAACACCCAAATCTTTCTCCTAGGCCCAACTCAACTGCCTCCTTTGATGTGATGTGTTCTCCAGTTTTGCAATGGAGCAACAAGTCACTCATTCCTCTGGACTCCACTAGCACTTTGTTCTTATCTCTATTATATACTTATCACATGGATCATTACAGCTACTTGAAAAAACATCCTTCTCCTTTATTAGATGCTGAGGTTTTGAAGGCAACAATCATGCCTAGTTTACATATGTACCCTCAGTATCTAACACCATGCCTGGCACACAGCAGGGCTCAATGAATGTTGAATTATGGATAGATGAATGGACAGATGGAGTCTATAGATAGAAAGCTCCACAAGAATTCAATAGAATTTCTTTGGTCCTGTTTAAAAATGAATCATATAACAAGAAAAGAGTTAAACATCATTCCAAGAATGAGAACACAGGCAAAAGATAATAATCCTAATATTCATCTTGGAGCTGGGGAGAAAAAGGAAATTGTTCACTCTGGGGCCTGAAAAACAATTTGTACTCTGTTAATAGAGCAGCAGCTTTGGCTGTCACCCAGCCTCAGTTTCCATCCATTTCTTAAAATCACTTCCTTTTCTAATGCATCCTCCTTTTTCTTTCTCTTCATCATCATACCTTTTTTTTTTTTAGACTGAGTCTTGCTCTGTTGCCCTCCACCTCCCAGGTTCAAGTGATTCTCCTGCCTCAGCCTCCCAAGTAGCTAGGACTACAGGCACGTGCCACCACACCCGGCTAATTTTTTGTGTTTTTAGTAGAGACGGGGTTTCAATATGTTAGCCAGGATGGTCTCTATCTCCTGACCTGGTGATCTGCCCTCCTCGGCCTCCCTAAGTGCTGGGATTACAGCACCTGGCCCCTAAATACCTTTTATTGGTTGGCTATTTCTCTACCACCAGTCTCTTATAGTCATTCAAAAAAAAGTACACAGAGCCTTGTTGTGTTCCAAGCACTGCACTAGGCCCTAGTACACTCTGCCATTTTGATCAAGAAGAGATGAAATAATAAAGTCATTTCCGTGTCTTTGTGCAGAATGACTAGAGAAAAAAAATCGAGCTCAAGTAGGAGTTGGAAAAGTTTCAGTTGTTTGAATTGGGAGAGATTATAATAATTAAGCCCAGGTGTCTGCAACAAGGGTTCAGATGTGGGAGGAAGAGAGGGAAGATTGAGTATGTAACCAGGTGGCCCAATGTGGCCACCACTCCTCCTCTCGTACCTGAGGGGATCCATTTTTATGTTTTACATATTAATGAGTTTGAATAATATGTGAATAAACTTAAGTTTTAAAGTTTGAAAACCACTAATCAAAACCAACCTGTGCAGCCCGGGCACCGTGGCTCACACCTGTAATCCCAGCACTTTGGGAGGCCAAGGCGGGCAGATCGCTTGAGGTCAGGAGTTTGAGACCAGCCTGGCCAACATGGCAAAACCCTGTCTCTACTAAAAATACAAAAAAATTAGCTGGGTGTGGTGGTGTATGCCTATAATCCCAGCTACTCAGGAGACTGAGGCAGGAGAATCACTTGAACCCAGGAGGCCGAGGTTGCAGTGAGCCAAGATCTCCCCACTGCATTCCAGCTTGCATGACAAAGTGAGACTCCATCTCAAAAACAAACAAAACAAACAAAAAACTAACCTGTTCATTAAACAGATAGCAAAATTGAGGTCCAGTCCAGAGAAAAGAAAGAACCAGTTCAAGGTCATAAATCTATTCATTGGAAGAGCTAGTACTTCTGGATGTTCATTTATCCTGTGTTTAGCCACTAGGAATGCTAAAACCTTAGCAAGCATGAACACCCCTACAACGCTTCCTCTCTAAACCTAGGCCCAGTGACCTCTGATAACAGATACACTTTGAATCCCATTCAGTCAAAATTGACTTTTTTCCCAACAGAGTTTTACTTCAGAACTCCGGTATATTACATAAAATGTTCCAAGGGGTTAAAAGTGATAGCCTAATTATTTTTCTGTATATACTAAAGACATATGAAAGGAAGTTCATATCTGTTAAAAGCAAAAGCAGTTCAATGCTGAAAATGAATATGTTATTTCAAATATGACTCGCAAAGAATCTGACTTTCTTTGCATGTTTGAGTTCTTTAATAGCTTCTATAACCAAGAGGAGGAAAAATTTACTTCACTCAAGCTAATTAGTTCCAAGAATAAAAACCTTAATTAGCACAGTCAAATGAAGCTCTATAAATCAGTTAAAATTTGCAATATAATGAGGCAACTCAGTGCAATTGCTCACAAAGAGCTTCCAATCATCCATACCTCAGACATGACTTTAAAAAAAAGTAACCGCCAGAAATTTATTGCTTCAGTTTTCATTGATGTCCTGCATAGAAAAAAATAAACCTGAAGGCTCATCTATCAACCCATGAAATCAAACATAACTTTGAAGGCATTTTGGAGAGGCTTTATAAAAACAACTTATCTTCAGTGAGCCTTTTGTGTGGGATTTACAGGGCCCCCAAAACAACAGAATCCCATCAAACCTTCTCTCCCTCATTGCACAGGCTCTGCTCAGGTTCTTTATAAATTATTTTTGCAGAAGCTGAAGTTGGAGCCTCTTGAACAGGAGGAGGAGTTCAGTCCTGTCAACTTCTCCAGGAGTCACTATCCTCGGGATTTCAGCCTCAGCTCAGGGTCAAGATGTATTAAGTCCCAAATATACAGGGGCTTCCCAGTCTAGTCCTCTCAGTCTCAACTTGGAAACACAAAAGGAGGTCTAAAGTCATGCCTGGTCTCAGGCCTTGAACTCAGGGAACACAATAAAGATTTGCTACTGAAGATGATAAACTCACCAACTGCACAAACAATGAGGAAAGCTTCATTGATCCCCAATCTATGATGGGAGCAAAGTCAGAAGTGGAGAAATCCATATATTGAACTTATACATAAATATGACGCAACACTCCCTGTTCCTGCTGAAAAGCTCAACTTATAGAGAGATATGTGTCACATATGTAAAACAAGGAGAAGGATGGAGCCAAGACCCTGAGTAGATAAACTGTGCCTACAGGTCCTATTCATACAACACTTTACACTCCTCCAAGCACTTTGCCATATATGGAACCCTAGCAGAAGCCCTGTGAGGGAAAGGAGGCTGGTAGTATTTTCACAGCATACTGGGTGAGACACAGGCCCAGGTCTGGTTACCCTGTACCTCATATAGTGTGTGACCTAGAGCAAAATGCGTAACTTCTCTATGCTTGTAATTCCTCATCTGTAAGATGGGTATCAAATAGTACCTACCTCATAGAGTGCTAAGGATTGAGAGTGTGTGTACGTGTATGTGTATTTATTTATATATATATATAACTTACCTCCTGGCATATGAAAGAAAATAGTTACTATTCTTATTTGAAGACAAGAAAACTGAGGCTCTGAGAGGTTAGGCAACTTGCTCAGTTACCCAGCTATGAATTGGCCAAGCTGAGGGCAGAGCCGGGTCTTCTTGTTATTGACTGAATGCTTCTCCTTCTACACCACACTGGGATTGAGCCAATATACTTGTTCACTATATATTTGATAATAAAATGGATGAATTTATGTGTTAAATATATATTAAATATATAATATATATAATAAGATGAATATATTTGTTAAATATATCTAACAAATATATTCATTAATTTTATTATCATTATTCAGGTTGCTCTGGGACAGTCATCATAGCTACCATTCATTGAGCATGTAGAATGAGCCATGCATTGGGCTAAAAGCTCTATATACTTTTTTTCCACTTAATCCTTCCATCAGCCATCTGAATGGGGTGTTTAATCTCTTTTTCAGATAAGGAAATTGTAGTCTAAAAGGTTAAGAAAACTGCCTAAGGTCTCAAGGCTTCAGTAAAACCCTGACCCGTCAGATCTCTACTCTATGTTACCTCCTAGATATCAATCACAGCCACCATTTTTCAAGCACCTAGTCAGAGTAGTGTACCATCCAAATGGTACTTACCAAATGCAGAACACCTCACCTCGGAGAGGTTAGGGAACTTGCCTAGAGCCACACAGCAGTCTGACACCCAAGCCCAGCCCCTTTGCCCTCTGTCTGCATCCTCATCCATGATGGCCCAGGTTTCTAAGGACAAGCAGAAGAGTGGCATCTCCAAGGGCTTCCAGAAGCCCAGGCTGCAGCAAAGGGTGTGGACAGAGTTCGATAATGAGAAGCAGAGCAACAGACCTCACCTCGACCAGCAAGGCTCCTGACTGTGCCCAGAAGCACTCATACTCACCAGCTTCCTGGACCCCAGGAGGTCGGCCCAGCAGGAAGGGCAGCAGCCACCACTGTCTCGGAAGAAGGAAAGCTCCCTTTGGGAATTCAGTGGCTCAGTGGAGCACAGCAGGCTACCTCCCAGGAATGTCCTTTCTGTGTGTGTGCACCTGGCAGCTCCCTATCTCTGTTTGAAATTGAGTGCCCTCTGTTCGGGTTGGCTGCCAGAGCCCGACTCTGATCAGCAAACACAGAAGCTCAGAGCAGATCTTGAGAGGAGGGGCCGCCAATATGTTTTATTTCAAGTCAGGTGCAGGTAATTAGAGGTCGATCAAGACTCAAAAGAGCCCTAGCTCCAGACAGTGTCAATGCCCTGGGTCCAGCCACTATCCAGACATACTTGGATTTTTAATCATGTTCACCACCCCCTGCTCATGTTTTTACTGTTTATTTCACTATCATGGTTAACATTTATTGAGCACTTTACTTTTGGTAAGTTCTAGCTACCTTTACAAGTGTTATCCTATACAAGCTCCACAACAGTCTTCAAAGGCAGTATTGTTATTGTACTCAATGTACAGATGGCAAAACTGAGCCACAGAGAGATTGGTACGTGCTGGGATTTGAACTGAGGCCACCTGGCCCAGAAGCCTGTGCTCTCCAGCCCTCCAGCCTGCTGCCTCCACTCTATGGCATATCTTTGGGACCTGTATTCTGAGGCTATTTCAAAAAGGTCAAGTTTGTCAGGGAGAAAAATGAATAAAATAAGTCATTTGGATGGGTCAAATACCTCTGAAACCACCTGTAGTGAATTGAATAGTGGTTCCCCTAAAGATATATCCACATGTTGAAACCTGTGAGTGTCCCATTATTTACAAAAAGAATCTTTGCAGATATAATTAAGGATCTTGAGAAGACACTCTCCTGGATTACCCAGTGGACCCTAAATCCAATGACAAGTGACCTTTTAAGATACATAAAAGGAGAAGACACAGAGAGGAAGACACTGTGGAGATGGAGGCAGAGATTAGAGTGATGCAGTCACAAGACAAGGAACAAAGGAGCCACCAGAAGCTGGAAGAGCCAAGGAAGGATTCTCCCCCATCGTCTTCATGATCCTGCCAACATTTTTGACTTCAGACTTCTGGCCTCCAGAACTGTGAGAGGATGATGCTGTTTGAAGCAGCCATGTTTGTGGCACATGGCCAAGGCAGTCCCAGGAAAGGAATACACTGCCCCTTGTCCATTCCTCTAGCACGTCTTTATGGTGTCATGGAAAAGGAAATGCTGGGCCCTCTCCATTGTGCACCTTTGTGTTTTAGGTATGGTGCTGGGACAAGAAGAGGACCTGGCGGTGAGGGCTGAGAGGCCACCCCTGTGGGCTGGCAATGGTGTAGGAGCCTCTAAAGTGCAGAGCACTGAGGAAGGAGGCAGCATGAAGTGTGGGGAGGGGTTGGGGAGAAGGTTCTGCAGGTACAGACTAAGCAGTTAAATAGTAGCTCCCAAGGCAGCCTCGTAAACATCCCCAACTGAGCTGCAATCCTCCACTCCCTATGTATCATAAAAAGACATGCAAAGGAAGGGGCCTGGGCTCAGGGGTTCACAGACAGAGTGGGTTCCCTAGCGCATCCCTCCCTCAATTTTCCATCATGATAGAGTTGATTCCACTCGGAATCAAAGATGGTCAGAGTTGTTGAATTCCAACCTCACATGTTACCACTGGGGGAAGTGATTATTTAAAAGATGAGGTGGTCCGAGGGTACACAGCTGATCATGGCACTGCAAGAGCTGGAACCCCTAATCCAGTACCCTTTCAAGGTAGCCAAGCCTCCTTCCCTCGTCTGCTCTGTTCTTTAAATTCTTCACAAAAACAAGATCTCATGGCAACTCTTATCAGAGTTCAATAACTCCACGGAGTCCAAAGCTTTCTAAAGTTCAAACCCCTCTTCCCAGAATTTAAGTTTATTTCTCCTTTTATTTTTCTGCAGAATTGTATCCTTACCATGATCCTGCTGTGTGTGATCCAGATACAGTACACATATCAACAGAAGTCATCTGGCTACACAGTAGACATCCAGTAATAAGGATTATTGATGGCACAGCACAGGAAAATACCAAATGGACCACCCTGTACTCAAATCTCTCTGCTTCCTCTCCTACTGCATCCCTGTGGTTTGCTCTGGCCACACCACCTTCCTTCAGTGACTCGACTGGAACATGCTCCCTCCCTCCAGATCTTTGCACGTGCTCCTCTCTGCTGGAATCCAAATGCCCCTCACATACCTCTTTCTCTGGTTAACACTGTCCCATCCTTCATGGGCCACTTAACATCACATTCTCAGAAAAGTCTTCCCTGACCTCTGTGCTTTCCCCACCAGACTAACCAGGTACCCTGGTTCTATCTAAGCTCTCCAGGTTCCCAGAGCTTTTTCCTTTCATCACTCATCATAGTTTGTAATTTTATTTATGTGATTTTTTTCCATTACTGTTCACTTTCATTATTAGACAAAAAGTTTCATTAGGGCTTGAGTTGGTTTACCCTTATCACCCCAGCACCCAGCATGTAGTAGACATGTGTAATTCATTCCTAGGTTCACACCACAAACGTTTATTGAACAAAATACTGAGCTGGTATAAATAAATATACAAAAAGAAACAGACAAAACTGCCACCCATCAGGAGATTAGAGCCAAACAGAAAAGCTACAGTCAACCTTTTGAGAAATTACCCCATTACAAATCTCCTCCATGCCTTTCCTTCCCCTCTTTCCCTGTGCTTGTTCCTTAAACATTTAGCCCTGACTAGGATGTTCCCAAAGCAGAGAAAGGATGATTTGGTAAAACTTAAAGCATTCAATGCCAACAGCTCTGGGAAATAAGCTTCAGGAGTAGGGGGTGATGCCCTACAATTATCTAGGATAAAGTTTGGGAATTTTCTTTACAATTCAATTAACATCAGAATTATTTTAGAGATGCAAAAGACAGATCATATTACAAAGCAAAAAGATGTGAAACTCTGAGCAGGTGCAGTGGCTCACACCTGTAATCCCAGCACTTTGGGAAGCCAAGGTAGGTGGTTTGCTTGAGGCCAGGAGGTCAAGACCAGCCTGGCCAACATGGCAAAACCCCGTCTCTACTAAAAATACAAAAATTAGCCAGGCTTGGTGGCACGTGCCTGTAGTCCCAGCTACTCAGAAGGCTGAGGCAGGAAAACTGTTTGAACTTGGGAGGCGGAGGTTGCAGTAAGCTGAGATCGCACCATTGCACTCCAACCTGGGTGACGCTGTCTCAAAAAAAAAAGTTCTGTAACTCTTCCCCTAGCCCTCGTCCCTCTTCCAGGAATAATGCCCTTACCATGAACTGCTACACAGGATCCAGATACAAGGGCAGATTATATCAATACAAATCCACCACCACCCTCCCCCATGCTCTGCCTCCTGCCAGAGGGAATGCATTTCAGTGTCTACAATTGTTATCCCACCTACAGCCTTAGTCACAGAGTGTTTCCTTGGAGAACTCACAACAGTTGTTATCGTAATTTAACAAACATTTAATGAGTGCCTATTAGATGCCTAGCACTGTGGTTGTCCTGTGGGAAATCCAGGGCAATGATGAATAAGACACTGCCTTTGGGTCAAGAGCACAGTGCCATGCTAACAGCTGATACACTTGAAAAGCCTTTAGCCACCCCATAATAATCCTATTTCTGGAATGCTTTGTAAGTTGCAAAGAGCTTTCATTTGTAGCTATGTGAGGAAGAAAGGACAGGTCCCCCATTTGATACAGTAACTGTTTAGGTTCCAGAAGCCTTGAGTGACTTATTCTAACAAGGGGTGCAACTGGAAACAGGGGTGGTCATGAAAGTATGCCGCTCAATCTCCAGCTACAGGGAGCACACGCTGACTGACAGCTCCAGCTGCTGAGTCTTCCTGCCGGTCACTGCATCACACTGAGGCCATGCATCCTATGGGCTAAGCACAGCAAGCAAACTAACTCAAGTCCCTTCCTGCAAGACATGAGACTCCTCTAATGGGTGACTTGGGACACAAGACTCCCCAACGACCTGCAGGAAACTTTCTTAGAAGATTCTTTCTAGGCAATTTTCCTTCCCTTCTCTGTCACAGGTGTCAGACCCACAAAGCCTAAAGACCCTTCTTGCTTGTCCTGCTCCTTCCCCTTTATGCTCCCCGAATAAATCTCCAGCACTTCAGTAATGTCATCTTGGAACCTGCTTTTTGGAGGACCTAACAGCACTCTAATCCAGATCTTGGGATTCACAAATAGACCTTCCACTAATAAGGAGGCTCCATTTTGAATTGCATTTTGAAAACACTGGGGTAAACCTGGTCTCCTAGGACTTCTTAGACTTAACAATATGTAATAAAATTTATCAAAAATACAAAAGTACCACAGAATGTCATGGTTCCCAAACTGAATGGACAAGATGTGTTATTTAGCTCACCTCAGTGGAGACTGGAACATTGGTTTTTCACAGGTCACAATTTGAGAAATGCTGCCAAGCCCCATCTTCCAGCAAGTACAAACCTATGCTTCTCTTGGCATTACTACACAGCCTCAAAACTAAGGGTTTGATATTTTCTTCCCTTGCTATGCTCAGATGAATGTGCAATGCAATTGCTGAAAAGCAGGCAAAAAAAGCAAGTGACCCAGGCAACCCTCGAACAGTGTACTCTTCCCTTGAAGAATAAAAAAGTAATTATCTATTATATTAAAGCTTTGTTTGTATTTTTAGAAAATGTGATACTTTTGGATATTTGAAATAGGTGTCATCTCAAGAGACAGGTAAAGGCTGGGCGCCATGGCTCACACCTGCAATCTCAGCACTTTGGGAGGTCAAGGCAGGTAGATAGCTTGAGCTCAGGAGTTTGAGGCCAGCCTGGGCAAAAGGGCAAAACCCCATCTCTACTAAAAACACAAAAAATTATCTGGGTGTGGCAGTAGGCACCTGTAGTCCCAGCTACTCAGGAGGCTGAGGCACAAGAATTGCATAAACCCGGGAGGTGGAGGTTGCAGTGAGCCAAGATCGCACCACTGCACTTGAGCCTGGGTGACAGAATGAGGATCTGTCTCAAAAAAAAAAAAAAAAAAAAAAATTTCAGGTAAATTGTATAAGCTTTTAAACAAGCAATGGATTCTAAGTTATCTACAAGTTTTAGCACTGGACTTATTATTGTGGGCATTACCCAGTAGATCATGTTAAAAATGGTTCCACCAAATGTCAAAAGTCAGTGACTGAACCTCAACTCCCATTCATGATTCAACACCTGAATGAAAAGGGAGTAAATCCAGTGATGCAAGTCATGATGTAGCTTTTCTGTAAATTTTCTGGAGATGCAAAAGCTCAAAATGTGTGAAGCTTAATGGGAATATGCATTCCCATGTACCAAGGAGGTATTCCCCGTGTAAACATAGTTAGGTGAGAGTTATCTGAAAGAGCAAACAAGGGTCACCTTAGGGTCAAGAGACTTAAACTGAGCCTCCTCAGGTTTTCCTTCTTCTCTGTCCTTGAAAAGCACAGTAATGAAAAGGAAGTGTTCTTGGTATGATAGGATGGAGGAACTCATTGCTGTTGATGACCTACAATGTAATAAGCAAACACTTCACTGATCAGGTGTCATTAGCCTTCATAATCTTGGCAGTAAGTAGAACTATTTTTAGATGGAGAAATAAGGCCTAGAGCAATAAAGTTACTGGCACAAAATCAGAGATTACGACTGATGTTTCTTAACATCTCTTAGTACTATGTTTTATGCTGTCATCTCTTGGGGTTTTTTTCTTTCCTATATATCTCTGTATATTGCAACATTTGAACAAGGCCCATCAATTACTTTGATATCAGAAAAAAATATATTTTTCTAAAATAGAAAAAGTGAAGCAAGTTTATTATTTAAATATTTGTTGAAAAGCATATTATAAATCTTGTATTACTGACCAATTATCTATATTCGGCCATGAGTACACACAAAAGAATCAGAAAGAAGTTCCTTTTCTAAAGTTGTTAATATTCTAGATGAGAAAAACAAAAGCAATTTTATATGAAAAAATTAATTCTCACAGATTGTTACTGCCTCCTATCTTCTTTCCAACGTGAGTATCAAGGGTTTTATGAGTATTAGGTGGTCTCGGCTCATCCCTAAACCTGTAGGACTAGACACTCAAAGGCCTTTTCTCAGGGATCAGGCCATTCTCGTACTATGTGACCTCACCCATTGGTCCAGCTAATTGGTCCACAAGCCAACCAGCAGTCTTAGAGGTGATCTTTCATAAAATTTATGATAATATCTAGCTAGATAGATAAAAGAATTTAAGTATTTTAGTACGAGGCCTTTCTTGATGAATGGAAGGTTTTGTATTTGTTAATTGACTTCATCTGTTTCCCTCGTTCAGTGAATTAGGATAGAGTGAGCATTATTAAGTGTTCTTTAACAGGCTGGGCATGGTGGCTCACGCCTGTAATCCCAGCACTCTGGGAGGGCGAGGTGGACGGACCACCTTAACGTCTGGAGTTCGAGACCAGCCTGGCCAACATGGTGAAACCCCGCCTCTACTAAAAATACAAAAATTAGCCGGGCATGGTGGTGGGCACCTGTAATCCCAGCTACTCAGGAGGCTGAGGCAGGAGAATCACTTGAACCCAGGAGGCGGAGGTTGCAGTAGGCCAACATCTTGCCTTTGCACTCCAGTCTGGGCAACAAATGCGACACTCCACATCACAAAAAAAAATGTTCTTTAACAGTTAAGACCCTTGTATGAGGATAACCATTTTAACCAACAATGGTCAGGTAAAAGGAGTGAGAGAATAGATTGCATCTGATCTCTGATCTAGGTATCTAATAAATATAAGCTTTTATCAATTGTCAGTGGCTCCCTCGAGAACTGCTTCAGAAAGTTTTGAAGCTGGGATAGATGATTTGTGTCTGCTATGGGCAAGATAAAAAAGAACAGTGGTGTGTGTATTTGCTGACTCAACTACTGAATATCCCCTGGAGTGTGACTTTTGACAGCATGAATGCTACATATCTGCTTTTGTTGTATTAATAGTTACCCTCTTAACAACTGGAGGACCAGAAAATGCCAGGTGATTGTGTCCAAGTACATGAAATGTTACAGTACCCTTAATTTGCCTTAGAAAATTCAGCACTGTTTACAAAAAAAAAAAAAAAAAAAAAAAACAGGCTGCAATTATCTTTTATCTAAAAATGTCAATGTACTTTCTAAACTGTGAGAGCAATGTCTTAATTAACTCAGCAGATAATATAAAGGACCCTGAAAATCAGGTAAAAAAGTAGGACACCACACTGTCGGGGAGGAATCAGCTGCTCTGCATACCATCCCCAGGATTTAGCCTTCTCGTTGAACTTGTCCCCTGAGCAATGTGGTCTATCTTCTGGTTCTATGCTTGAAACAATGGGTTGGGGGGTTCAGAGCAATTTAAAAGCGTATGGACCGTTCACTTAGGCTGTTGGCATTCCTCCTACAGTAACATCAGATCCCAGGGGACATGCATCTGACCGAGAGGTTATTTTTCTTCCCATCCTAATACGCAGGCTTATTCACTCCTTTCCACACCCTCAGCCAACACTGCACAGCTGTTTGAGAAGCAAGTGAAATGCAAACCATCTAGAAGTTCCCAACCCTAGGAAACGCTTTGGAAAAACATTTTCAGATTTGATTTTTTTTTTTTTTTGCATTAGCCAGTTCGCAGGATTTTAAACTCATCACTTTCTCCATTTTCCTTCTGTTGGTCCCCCTTACTGTGCGTTCCCATCTCTACAGACATGACAGCACCAAAAATTAAAATTAGTGCAAGGCAAACAGAATCTTATAGTTGGTCTATTGCTCTCATCATATTGCTCATGAAGCAGAGTAAAAATCACTGGATAAAATCATTTAACTTGTGGTTTTAATTACCATATGCTTTCTGTCTTCCATCACCATGGATACTGCCAGGAGCTGTGTTGAGCGGGTGTTCAGGAGCTTGCACTTCCCTGAACCCATGTGTCTCCTGATCACCAGCAGGGTCTGCACCCAGAAGCCCCTCAGAGACAGCAGTGATTATCCTATGATACATTTCTAGGCACTTCAGTGATGGATAAGGCTAGTCAAAAACCTGCTGTTTTTGCCAAAATTCAGAGAGGTATTTGCCAGTGTTGAATTTGCACTTTGATTCTCATTCGTATTTTTGTAAACATTTTAATCAGCAGAGCTTAGACGCTTAGTTCAATTTCCTCTCTTAAAATGAACGTGGAATATCTTATTATTCCAGAAACTAAGGAAGTGCTCAAAAACTGATGGAGAAATGTCAAAAGAACATAGCCAAACAGAAGGGGCTCCCTGTGGCAAAATATGAGGCAATTTGATTATCAAAATAAATAAGAGTGGATTATAACATGTTAAATAGATAATCCATAAGCTCATACTGATAATAAAAAGGGAAAGGGGGTTGGAAAGGAAAGGAGAGGAGAAATATATTTTTTTACATAGAGGAAATAAAAGAAAAAAACTTAAGTCACCATTTTACAATCCTTATAGTGATCATTAATTAGCTAAGAATCATCAATGAAGGCTGTATTAGTCCTTTCTATAAAGAACTACCTGAGACTGCGCAATTTATAAAGAAAAGAGATTTAACTGACTCACAGTTCTACAGGCTTAACAGGAAGCATGACTGGAAGGCCTCAGGAAACTTACAATCATGGTAGAAGGGGAAGCAAGCACATCTTACCATGGCGGAGCAGGAAAGAGAGAGTGCAAGGGGTTAAGTGCCACACACTTGTAAACCATCAGATCTCATGAGAACTCAATATCATAGAACATCAAGGGGAAATCCACCCCCATGATCCAATCACCTCCCACCAGGACCCCTCCCCCCCAACACGTGGGGATTATAATTCGAGATGAGATTTGTGTGGCAATACAGAGCCAAACCACATCAGAGGCTAAAACCATTAGATGAAAGGCTGTTGGGGGCAGTCTGGTGGTACCACTTAATCAAATGATCACAGTGATCCACAATAATGAGCCAATTGATAGCACATGCCTCCTCCAGCCATACATTGAGAACATACCATCCAAGTGCTTCTCTAGGAAAAAAAAAAAAATTCAACCTGAATCTACTTATAAAGGAATAATCAAGCAAATATAAATTGAGAAAAAAGTCTGCTAAAATCTCTAAAATGTCAATGCTGACTCTCTAAAAATGTCAAATTAATGAAGACAAAAGCAAAAACTGGGAGAACTGCCCTGTATTAAAGGAGACTAGAAACATTGTGACTAAATGCAACACATGATCCTTGTTTGGATCCTGGACCAAAGACATAAATTCCCTTACCCATAAAGGACACTGTTGGAACAAATGGAGAAATCAGAACATGTGCCATATTAGATAATGGTACTGCATCAAGAGTATCAACAGTTAACCCTGGAGGCGGAGGTTGCAGTGAACTGAGATCGACGTGGCGCCACTGCACTCCAGCAGCCTGGGTGACAGAGTGAGACTTGGTCTCAAAAAAAAGTATCAATAGTATAGTATTATACCAATTTCCTGAGTGGAGTGGAGGGAGTATTGTGGCCAAGAGGATCCCCTTGTTCTTAGGAAATGATGAATAATGAATTATTTGGTGATTATGCATTATGATGTCTATGACTAAATGGTTCAGAAAAAAGCAAGGATATAGAGAAAACAGAAAACAGATGGTGAAATGTTAACTACCATATCAAGGTAAAATGCCTACAGGTGTTTATTACTCTATCTTGAAATGCTTCTGCAGATTCTCAAAATAAATAGAAAATTTTTAAAATAAAACTTCATGAGAAAAAGCTGGAAAAAAAAGCAAGAAAAATGGTGAAACCGGATAGGATTTGGAGAAAGGGAGGCTGGAAATGACCACAGTGCCTTGGTTCTAGATCTGAGTGATAGTTACATGACTTCACTTTGATCGTTTATTGAGCTGTCCATTTTTGTTTCATATACTTTTCCTCATGTTGCTCAATAAGAAACTGATATTCTAAAATCTTGCCTTATTCAATTATTTTCCACATTTTGTTTCATCACCAACACACTCAGACCTGTGCATGTGTGCACATGCACTCACATGTGTGTGCACACATATGCATAAGAGCTGGGTGCTGCTTGCTACGTGCCAGACACTGAGTTATGCACTAGGGGGAAAGTGAAAACCTGATCCCTGTGTCTGGCAGCTTATAGGCTAGTGTGAGGCTACACACACACAGACACACACACACACACACACACAGACACACATATGCTATGATAGAAAGATCAGACTATAGGGGGAAGTGGGTGGGGAGCAGACTTCTCCAAGGGCATGTCAAATAACCATGGCTTTGAAGGATGAGGAGGGTCTGGGCAACAGGACATGTTACTTTCTGCTCTGGTTTGGAACACTGCATTTACAGGATCCATTAATGACTTTGGGGACATCCTTTAGTGATGAGCTTTAGAGCTGTCCAGAGCCCTCCAGCCATGGAGTGGGAACAGCCAGACCTACACCATTTGCTGAAAGATGCTCCTCTTCCTCAGAAAAAGAAACCCTCGGACACACCAGGTGTGGGTCAGGGGAAGGCACTGATTCAATCAAGAAAAACCTGGGGCTCACAGAGGTTGAATGGCTGGTATAAAATCAGGTCATTAGTGGCAGAACCAGGGCCAGAACCCAGCCACATCCTGTTCTTTGATAGTTGACCCTTTTACCTGTCTGTCTCCTCTACTAGCACAGCAATAGCTTGTTTGGTTGGCCTGATTTTGTTTTTGTCTGTAAACTCCTGAAGGGTAGAATTTATACTCTTTTCATCACCAGTAGCCTCATACACATAAGCACAATATTTTGCAAATGCAGGTGCTCAATGAATGTGTTTAATACTCCAACGCCCTAATTACAGATAAAGGAAAAGAAGCCCAGAGAAGCTGTAAGTTGCCCAGGTTCCTATTGTACTTGCTGAAGGATCTAATTCTAGAAACTAGTTCTTCTTTTGCCCAGTCCTCCCCCCACCATTACGCCAATGCATTCCTGCTTTGGCTAATTTGAATGCCACCTTCAGGAAACTACCAGATCCAAATCCCTCCTTCACCGTTGTTAACTTAATTTTTAAAATTAGCTCATCAGTTATTTTTCAAATGAATTTATATTAAAACTTATGTTCTATTTTAAACAGAAAATGAGTAACACATGCCTTAAAAGAAAGTAACTTTAAGAATAAATACGGAGCCTGGCACGGTGGCTCACACCTGTAATCCCAGCACTTTGGGAGGCTGAGTCAGGTGGATCACCTGAGGTCAGGAGTTTCAGACCAGCCTGGCCACCATAATGAAACCCTGTCTCTACTAAAAACACAAAAATTAGCTGGGTGTGGTGGTGTGCACCTGTAATCCCAGCTACTTGGGAGGCTGAGGCAGGAGAATCGCATGAACTCAGGAGGCAGAGGTTGTAGTGAGTCGACATCACGCCACTGCACTCCAGCCTGGGCTATAGAGCGAGACTCCATCTCAAAAATAATAATAATAAAATAAAATAAATACGGTAGGGGAAGAAAGACACTGTTAAATAAACTGCAGCTCTAATAGAAGCTGTTGACTGAGATGGTTCTGAGTAAAAGGCCTATTCTCTCCTTATTCAAAAAAGAATTGGCAAGTTTTAGAGAGCTAGAGCTGTTACAGATAAGATTTCTTTTGCAAAAGCAGAATTGTAAGATATTTTTTAAAATAACTGTTTTTGTACTTCAATATTTAGTTCCATGTCACTGCACTCCCTAAAATTATGGCTTATACCCCCAGCAGGATGTGCCCTGTAATTGGGAAAGAGTTCTCTGCCTATATTTTTGTGTTAAGTGCCTTGACTGTTGAGATTTTAATATTTGCAACAAAAAGAAACAGGCAACAATATTTGATAGCACATAATGAATTGTTGATGATGTCACTTGTAGAGAAATTGGGGATGGAAGAAAACTGCTCAGGCTCTGTTCAATCTCATCCTTGAAAAAGAGAAAACAAACAAAAATACATTGTCTTTGCAGTTCAGTTACTAACAGGTCTTTCCTGCACTGGCCTATTGCAGTGGGTTGGATACTTGGCAGAGGGTTGTGAGGGTTTCTTAACCCATATCCTGCGGTACTTACTAACTGCCCTTTGTCTTTGTAAACCAAAACAATTTGTTTTTCTCACAACAGATGTGTACATAGCAAGTGAATTTCAATGGAACCAAGAGAGGTCCAGACACACTAATCCCAGATGAGATTCCTAGTAAACACCCCTCCTTGATCCCACAAAGAGGAAGTGAAAGAGAAAGAGAGCTGATTCTTCCAGTCTTCTACCAGTCTCCGTGGAAGAAGCTCAGGCTGGGGTAAAACTCATCCATCGACCATGCAGTTTTAGTGGATCTGTTGGTACACAAGACCCTGCCCTGGTTATTGGGCAGATTTACAACTTCCCATTAACATATCATTTTCCCCATGAGATACAATAAGAGATACTGCGGAAAATGCAGGCAGGGCCTCCAGAGCTTCAAAGGGTGTAGGTTTGCTGTTCTTACCCTTATGGCTTTGGGGTCTCTTGACAACTCTAAAGCCTACCACCAAAGGATGTTTCCAAAGTCATTAATGGATCCTGTAAACACCATATTCAAAACCATAGCAGAAAGGGCCTGTCAAGAAGAGTAGAACCCCAGTGGGGTGGAGGTGGGAGTCAGCCATGGGAGTCTCCAGGAAGATGCTCAACCCATGCCTCCTCACAAAGGGAGGTATAGACGTGATCTCCATCCCAAGTCATCAGAGGCCCTCCTCAAACTACAAAGACCAAGACCATGAACAGCAACATCTGCTTATTAAGTCCTACCACGTGCCAGGTACTCTGCCCAGTGTTGTACATGCACCAGCCCATTCCATCCCACAGCAATCCCTGAAGCAGGCACTAGTGTCATCCCTATTTTAAAGATGAGGAACCTGAGCAAGTTAAGCCACTTCTCTGGGGCCACTCATACAAAACGTGGTAGAAATGGAATTTGAACCCAGGCACTCCCTCCCTGAGCACAGGAGATTAGTCACTGTGCTCACCCATCCAAGTCATGAGTGTCCATAGTGCTCACCATTAAGTCCTGCCTCTTCTCTTTCTAAGGCCCAGCTCAAAGGAATGGCTCCTTCCTCTGCCCTCCAAATCCACTACGCATGTGTTTATGTGTATATGTTATGGCACTGTTAATTCATTTATTCATATAACACAAATATATTAAGTATCTTTATAGGCACCAAGAACACATGAGACAAAAAAAAATGTCAGGGAGGGAGGAAGCTGTGGTTATAAAAAATAGAGATAGACAACATGTGGGATCCTTGTGGCAATGGAGCTATTCTGTATCTTGATTGTGGTGGTGGATACACAAACTAATGTGATAAAATTACATAGAACTAAATACACACATTCACATCCACACACATCCATGAGTACAAGTCAAACTGGGGAAATCTGAATAAGATCAGTGGATTCTGTCAATGTCAATATCCTAGCTGTGATATTTTTCTATGTTACCTTTGGGCAAAACTGGTTAAAGGGTACGTGGGACCTGTCTGTATTGTTTTTTACAACTGCATGTTATCTACGTTTCTCAATAATTTACAATTATCTCAATAAAAATTTCAATTCTAAAAAAAAAAAAACAGTGCCATCTAGTAGGAAAATGTACAAGAGCCACAGACCTGAGGCTAGGAACGACTCAGTCATGTACATACTTATCTTACCCACTAGACTGTGGTATCACTAAGGGGGGAACACATGTCTCTTAGAATGCTACAGCCCTAGGGGAAAACAATGAAATAAATTTTCATGTGCTTTCATGTGCTTCCTCTCTCCCCAGTTCTCACACTTGACTTTATTTGGTAGTACTGACCCCTCATGCCAAAGATGTACCCTGATGTCTTCCCTTCCTTGTGTGTTACCCATCAAGGGCAGCCCTCAATACCGTGTCTCCAATCAGGATATAAATGACAGAGTCAGCGGAGAGTAGTAGAATTGGAGGGCAACAGAAAGACCACCGGCCCCAGAAAGAGGAGACCCGCCTCTGTATTGACCAAGTTAATTCTTCCTTGATGCAGACTTCCTCCCTAGAAAAGGGAAGAAACAGTAAGCATGAGCTCTGGCAGCTAAGAGGTGCTAGTGTCCTGGAAAGAAAATAGGATTCTGGAACCAAAAGAGCTGAAGTTAATTCTCAATTCCACTACTTACTGTCTATGTCTCTGTGGATAAATTATTGAACCTCTCCAATTTTTAATGTCTACAAACAGTTATAAAGGCTGTTCTCCTTTCCCCACCTAAATGTGAAAACACTTTGAAACTCCAGAGCACCAAACGAAAGCCCTGCCCAGTTCACTGCTGCATCTCATGCATGTGCATGGGGCAGAGTAGCCACTCAATAAAACGTGTTAAATGAATGAATCAAAGAATCACATAACAGGCCTCAAGTAAGACCATATTCTTTGTTCCAACCATCCCTTAATACACCTCTCAAGCCAAGAACCGGGAACATTCTAGAGGACCTCTAGTCAGGACTTCTTCATAGATCATCTTTTAATCCTCAGGAGACCTCATTCCCAAGGCCATTGGTGAATTCCAAACTCACGGATTCACACTGGTGAGTTCCAAGCTCATAATAATACCTATTTCACTGGTAATTAAGTCACCCCCATTTCCCTTAAAAACACCTTGCCTGGGTGTGCCTCACTTTCTCTAGAAGGCTATTCTCAACAGCATATCAGTTTAAGTAAATGATGACTCCTGTAAGAATGACCTGGCAAATAACCCTATTCTACTGATAACTTTCAACAGTGAAAGGAGATATATATGAAAGAATCCTGTTTCCTTGTTATTATCCTCAGATTCCAGTTGTATCCATTGGATTTCTTAATTGCAAACCACAGAAACCCTCTCTGGCTTAATTAAATAGAAAAAGAATGTGTTAAAGGCTGTGAAACCATTTTCAGATTTTCAAGGAGGCACAGAGAACCAGGCTTGAAGATTACAAAGCCAGGAGCAGTGCTCACCTCACCACAGATAGCCCTGGGGAAACCCCACCTCTGGACACAGACACTACTCATCCACCCCACTGGGAACTGGAGGATGCTGCAGAACCTCTGCTACTCCCCTAAGAAAACAAGCCTATTTGCCCTTCCCCACAGCAGAATGGTTCTACTCTACCTGTTTATTTGTGCCACTAGCTTTACATTCAAAATCTCAAATGCAAGCCATCTGGTTGGTGGAGCCTGTCACATGCCTGCATTCTAGCTGCAAGGGAAGCTAGGAGCAAGTTTAAATTTCCTTTAAAGGAAATTTAAAGGTGCAGAGCAGCCAAAAAGAAAAACAAAGGTCCATTCTACCAATAAAAAACTTCAATAATTTGCCATCAGGCTACAGTAATATTAGTTCATCTAAGTATCATTTTTGCTCCAAAAAAGTTTAACATATTAGAATATTCATCTATGTTACTTTTGTATGCAAAGTTAAGCATTTATTAAGATTTCGTAAGGAAAATATGAGAAGATTTTTTTCCAAATGCCATTCAAAGATAATTTACAAATCAATGAAACCTTCTTATATTCCTGCTGATAAAGAAATTAACATCCTAACTCTTACAATCATTTATAATAATTACATAAACAAAATCATCCATTATTCATGATATGCACATTGCATCCATTTCTGGAAAGAAAAAAAAGCCATGAAAAGAAATCGCCAGACAATAAACACTGTGATATATAAAGTTGCAAGAAGGGATTCAGTAAAGCTTCATAAAGAACAAATCTTGTCAAACTAAACCAATTCAGCTCTCTAACCAAGATAAGTTTAGAACATTGAGAAGAAGCAATAAATGTGATCTATTTTTATTTAGTCAGGGTTTGGCATTCTGTCTTACATAATGTGAACGTCAATAAAGTAAGATAATACCAGCCTGCCCACCCAGCTATTAACTAGAAGTACAACTTCTAAGAAAAACATTAAAGTAAGATTTCTACTAAAACAAATGGTGCTGCTACAAAAAACCAACGTAAAGGTTTTCAAAACTCAGGATAATTATTACAAAATTTGACAAGCCAAAATTCCAATTTAACAAAAACTGAGCTGCTCCTTGGATATTTAAATACAAAATTGTGAATTCTATCAATGTATCCTGGCCACTCAAATGTCCCACGGTTTTCCCAAAGGGTCAGCACAGATTCTACTATTGTTGAGCAGCTTCATTAGAAACCTGGATAGTAGAAAGAAAATTTCTTTCATGAAGCCTCTTGCCTTACCTAGCGATTGCATTTGCTATTGTTACTGACTTGCTGAATCGCTTCAGCCAAATCACGAGTTTGAATAGTTTTTTTCCCAAAATGAGATTGGTCGTTGATTCTTGTTGAGCTATCTGACTCACTTCTAGGCCATAAAACTAGGCTCCCAGGAGACTCATCTTTTTTTTTTTTTTTTTCCTGCCTGCTGACTATCTATGACCCTGGGCAAATTACAAAAGTTCTCTGGGCTCCAGTGTTCTTACTAGCACCAATGTTGGGCCAACTCTATCTCATAGAGTATCATGAGCATTAACTAAATTGATACTTGTAAAGTGCTTAGAACAGTGCCTGGCACATAATAAATGTGAAATAAATCATATGTATTACAAGCCCACCTCTTTTACCCCAAATCTTTGGAGTCCAATATGTTACAAAATTTATAATCTTTCTGATTTTAGGAGAGAGAGAGAGAATTAAGTAGTCTTCCATTAGAGTCTAAGATAATATTTCATAGTAAAATGTAATATTTCTATAGCAAATAGATATATTACTTAGAATATATATTACTTAGACAATAAATAGCTTCACATCAAGTAGTACAGCAAAAGAGTTTGTGCCACACTGAGAGAAAACTTCCAGTTTTCAGAGCTGTATGGATGTTGGAATTGTGAATAAGAGATTGTGGGCCTGAGTTGTGGCTATTCATAGTTTATATTCTGTGCCATTGCCTTATTATATATTCTACCCCCTAAAGTCTTCCAGGTCTCCTGAGTTTCTGATTGATCCCTGTATTCTTTGTATACAACCTTGGCCTAATGTTAGACAAGGTTTGCCTCCCCCACCATAACCTGAACTTACATCCTGCCCGCTCTAGCCTTCCCGGTGACGAACTCCCAGAGCTGGCCGCAGGCCAACCTTTCCCCTATGCACACTCGGGTCCTTGTGCACGGGAGCCAGACAATCTGGCCTGGGGAAACTGCATGGGCCACCTACTTCCAGGCCACGTGGACATAGTCTTTGTCCCAGAATCCAGAGGAAAGTAAGCCACCGGGATTCTTAAACATAATACTAACCTACCCTCAGAAGGCCGTCATGCAAAGAACACTCAATATGACATCACAACAAGATTCTCTTGAACTTCCAGGAATGTATGCCCAGCATCCCAAGTCTGAGAAGCACTCCTAAAGCATGCACTAGGGGACTGCTGCCACCACGTCACCAAATTTGAATATCTAGTCCCATTCTGAGTGTTAATTTACACTGCATTTTTTTATAAATGTTGACTGCCATAATTTATATAGCCATTATAAGAAGTCAGTGAGAACTTTAACGCCTTTTCTGTCATCTCCCAATAAGAAGTGAGCAGGGCTGGTTTCACAGATGTGCCACTTGTGCACTGGGCTCCATGCATAGACAAGCCCCATGCTTGCTTTATTGCTCTGCTCTTACCATCTTGAAATTCATAATCATTGTCAAACAAAGAGTCCCATGTTTTCTTTTGGACTGGGCCCTGCAAATAATGTAGCTGTACATGGAGCTGATGTTTGTAAGCAAAGCATTCTGTTATTTTCAGAAGGACCACTCAAATGTGTCTGGAAAAGACCAAACAACCCCAGACGGCAATGGTCTCCAAGGAAGGGTAGGCACACTCTGGGGTCTGGGCAAGACCGTCCATGGCAGTGCAGGAAGGAAATATTGAAACTTCTATTTATGTACACTTTATCTCATTGTTTATCTCTGTTTTTGAATGTTGCCTCCTGCTATGCTTTCTTCCTTCCATTTCATGGTAATGCCAATTTCACAGAATTGCCAATTTTCAGCTGGGCACACAGCCACCAAAATTACAAAATTGCCTTTCCTAGCATCCATTGCAGCCTGGTGCCTTATAGCTGATATGGCCGTGTGATCATTTTTAGCTGACAGGATGTTGGTCAATATGATGCTGTAACTTCCAGCTCTGTCCTGAAAGACAGGTGTCATGTTGCATCCTGCCAAAATTTTCTTCTATCCTGCTACTTGGAATGTGGATAATTCAGCAAACCATCCTGGGCCTCACAGATGAGTGAAACACTGTCAGGATTTCAGAGCTACAGGGAGGCAGAGGCTGGGTCCCTGGGTTCCCTCATAGAGCAGAGCTGCCACTTTGACCCTAGACTGTCTCCCTCCTAACTATTCCATGAGAGAGAAGTCCATTTCTATCTATTGAAGCCACTGTTTTCAGTGTCCATTACATATCGATAAATCAACATTCTGTCAGTACCTTAATACAAGAATAAAATTTATTAATAACAAATAATTGTAATCAGATGGGCAATCAAAAATTTAGAGATTTCACTTCTAGGAAATTGAATTTTAGATAGCCCATTGAATTTGAGATACATCTGGATCAAGATCACAAGTTTATCTTAGATAAATAAGTGAGCAAACATGAACAACCGGGGAAGCATTCTATTAACATTACACCATCCTCTTGGTTTTGACAGTGACCATGAGAGAACAGGGAGGTGAACAGTACGCAACCAAGTGAAGAGGAAAGTGTGGCTGCTTGCACCATCTAGCAGCCTTTCTTGTTCAGTGCACCTCATTAAAACCACAGAAAATGATTTGTGTGGGTTTTTTTCTCAATTCTCCCAGGAATAGTATGTAACTAGTAGCATTCTAAATGCATAGCAGAGAAAATGTATTATATACGATGGATGCCTCTGAGTGCCAGGGCTTCATCCTCTCGTGGAAGCCTGGTTAAGACAGACAGAGTGTGCCCTGATTAACCGAATATTCCAATTCACTATTTTCACATTCTTTTATTTATTTATTTTTTTTTTTTTGAGATGGAGTTTCAGTCTCGTTACCCGGGCTGAAGTATGATCTCGGCTCACTGCAGCCTCTGCCTCCCGGGTTCAAGCGATTCTCCTGCCTCAGCCTCCCAAGTAGCTGGGATTGCAGGCATCTGCCGCCATGCCCGGCTAATTTTTTGTATTTTTAGTAGAGACTGGGTTTTACCATGTCGGCCAGGCTGGTCTTGAACTCCTGACCTCAGATGATCCACCTCAGCCTCCCAAAGGGCTGGGATTACAGGCGTGAGCCACCGCACCCAGCCATATACTTTTTTTTTTTTTTTTTTTTTTTGATACTGAGTCTCCTCTGTCACCCAAGCTGGAGTGCAGTGGCTCGATCTCAGTTCACTGCAACCTCTGCCTCCCAAGTTCAAGCAATTCTCCTGCCTCAGCCTCTGGAGTAGCTGGGACTACAGGCACCCACCTATATATTTAGTAGAGACGGGGTTCGCCATGTTGGTCAGGCTGGTCTTGAACTTCTGACCTCAGGTGATCCACCTGCCTTGGCCTCCCAAAGTGCTGGGATTACAAGCTTGAGCCACCATGCCCAGCCAGATTTTCACTTTTTTTTTTTTTTTTTTTTTCTTAGTTGGAGTCTCGATCTGTAGTCCAGGCTGGAGCGCGGGGGCGTGATCTCGGCTCACTGCAGCTGCCTCCTGGGTCCCAGTTCAAGCAATTCTCCTGCCTTGGCCTCCCGAGTAGCTGGGATTAAAGCCACGTGCCACCATGCCCAGCTAATTTTTGTATTTTTAGTAGAGATGGTGTTAGTTAGGTTCCTCATCTGTAAAAATGAGGTGATAATAGAATCTACCTTATAGGGCAGTTGGGAGGATTAAATAAAATAACGCATGGGCTTAGCACAGGGCCAGGCATATGTTAAGGGTTCCTTAAGTGTTAGCTGCTATTATTGATATTGTCATCATCATCATCACCAACATCATCACTATGCTTAAATTACTGATTTTAAAAATAACCTAAAATAAATTGGCTACTCTTATGCATAACTTTTTCTGAGAACTCGGGAGTACCTGCAGAATTTTGCAGTGCCCTGGGGAAGCAGCATGACATTGAGTTGAACTATATGAAGTTGCTTAGAGTCAACTGTTTTTGACCCATTCAGATGGCAATTTCATATAGTTCAACAGAATACGTGGAAAAAGCAAGGGCATCAAAGCCAATGGCCGTGCATTGTATCTCATTCTGCAGGTGACATTGACGAAGTTGCTTCATTCGCCTCTCTGTGCCTCTGTCCCATCACCTAGAAAATGGAGTTTGTTTCCTTTCCCTCCAGGATCACAGCTGTGAATATCCATCAGCATCTTGCTGTCTGATTCAGACATTTTCTCTCCACCTTTGGAACCCTTGGAGGAGTTGGTGCAAAACACCTGCTTGGGCCTCTGGCTCAGATAACTTTTCCTCTGTCATTATCACCACGCTGCATAGCAGCTTATTCGGCAGAAATGTGGTGAGCAACAGCCCCTCCATAGTACAGGGAAGGATGTGGCTAGACTGAGAGCAGAGAAGGCAAGACAGAATGGGGGTCTGGGGGGGGGCTGTATAAATCTCAGCTATTGAGTTCTCCGAAGCCAGGGCCAGGCAATGAGATTTAGTGGGAGGGAGGAAAGTGGGGCTTTGGATTACACACTTTGAGTTCAAATCATGGCTCCACCGCTTACTAGCTACACTTTAAAATCTATCTCATTGGGCTGCTGTGACAGTCAATGAGATCAAGGAGAAAAAAGGTGTGCCATCGATTTATAAACCACACCACAATAATTATACACATCAATTATAAGCTACCCACAGACCAAAATGTGAACCTTAAGAGTCCAGAAACATGTCAGTTTCTCTTGGCAAAGGGACGTGGAGGATTTCCAGGTTGGCGGTGCCTACGGGAGCCCACGGCTCTGCTGTATTTCATTTATCACCAGCAGGAGGCGCTGCCTTCTCTCGCTAATGGTCTCTGAGTCCCTGGCACACACATCTTAGTTCCCCCTCACGATGGGCTGCTGGGGCCCTGCACAAAGTCCGGGCCCAGGCAATACTCTGAGAGCCTAAGCCTGCTTCTGACCAGGTTTAGGCCGGAAGAATGGCACACCAGCTTCTCTTGCTGCAACCTGAGGATTCTTTCCTCAGTCGGAGGTTTTTCTTTTTCCTGTTTCCTCCAGTGACTCAGACGGAAATTCTCCTTATCTCTCCAGCCACAGATGTTACCTTCTGTCACGCAGAATAAATGCCCCTGCCCCCAGCAGGCAGTCAGCTGGACAGCCAAGATCCCAAAGCCTCCCACAGCTGCAGCTGAGGTCATGTGAGCCACCAGCCAACGCACACAGATGGCAGCTGCTGGGAGCAGGGCACCGGGTGCATGTTGGCTTGTTTCCAGTTGGCCATGAAAAAGGCTCCTTGCAAGGGGCCTGGAGGCACGGCTCTGAGGGATTTACACTGGAAACCACCTGAGGCAAAGGTTGAAATCATAGTACCTGGGGCGAAAGGAGATAAACTGGCCAGACTGTTTCACAATTCCATACTTCCCTCATGCTGCTGCTTGGCCCAGCCCATCCTGTCAGAAATGGAGAAACAGTGGCTCAAACAGATGAATGAACTTGCCCAAGGTCTCACAGTAGATCAATGGCACGTTACAAGCGGCTTGACAAACACCTTTCAAGTCTCTCAGCCCGAGGGCGGCCTCTACACTAACCCCTTTCCTGATGCCATCATCATCAGTAAGATCCAACCTCCCCACAGCCGCCCTGTGGTGCCCTGACTTGACTTTTACCCAGCCCCAGATACCCCACAGCTTGCATCGGTTGACATGTCTGGCCCTCTGCAAGAGTACAATCCTCACACCCATCAGGATGGCTACTACCCCGCTGTCCCGGCACACACTCAAAAAAAAGGTAAGGTGGGAGAATCACTTGTGACCAGGAGTTTGAGACCATCCTGGGCAACACAGCAAGATCCAGTCTCTACAAAAAAAAAAAAAAAATCCAAAAATTAGCCTGGCATGGTGGTGGACACCTGTAGTCCCAGCTACTCAGGAAGCTGAGGCGGGAAGATCACTTGAGCCCAGAAGTTCAAGGCTGCAGTGAGGCAAGATGGCACGACTGCACTCCAGCCTAGACGACAGAGTAAAATCCTGTCTCTAAAAACTTAAAAAATAAAAATACAGAAAATAACAAGTGGTGACAAAGATATAAAGAAGTTGGAATCCTTGCACAATGTTGGCAGGAACGTAAAATGGTACAGACACTTTAGGAAACAGAATGGCGGTTACTCAAAAAATTAAAAATAGAACTACCACGTGACCCAGCAATACCGGTTCTGGGTATATATCCAAAAGAATAGAAAGCAGAATCTTGAAGAGATATTTGCACACCCATATTTGTAACAGCACTATTGATAATAGCCAAGAAATAGAAGCAACCCAATATCCATCAATGGATGAAAGGATAAACAAAACTGTGATATAGACATATAATGTACTATAACAATGAAGGAAATCTTGTCACATGCCACAACATGGATGAACCTTGAGGACATTATGTTAAGTGAATAAGTTAGGCACGAAAAGACCAATAGTATTTGATTCCACTTATATGAGGTATGAGTAGTATAGGTAGTCACACTCATAGAAACAGAGAAACAGAAAGTAGAACGGTAGTTGCCAGGGGCTGAGAGGAAGGGAAATGGGGAATTGTTTTTCAATGGGTATAGTTTCAGTTTTACAAGATGAAAAAGTTTCAGAGGTCTATTGTACAACAGTGTAAATACATTTAACACAACTGAACTGTACACTTAAAATAGTTACAATGGTAAATTTTATGGTTTTTTACAGTTAAAAATTCCTCAGCAGCAGACCATAAAATCCCTGAGTAGGGAGAGGCCCCACAGGTCACTAAGTGTATCCTCCTATACTAAGCTGGAATGTTTTCTACACAACTGTAGCCCTGCTAAGTGGTCACTCAGGCTAGACGTGGGCCCTCCTGGCCGAGCTCTGGCTCGCAGACATGGTCACTGTGCCATAATCTCCCCTTCCAACTCTTGGGACCACAGAACCAGTCTAATCGCGGTTCTTCATCACAGCCCAGCATAACTCTCAGAATACTGTATTTCTCATTTGGCCTGGACTATGACCCTCAGAGGCTAGATGATGGGGCCATCCAGGGTCAAAGAAGGATCCATGGATTTGCCAGAGGTCAGACACAAGTCACAACCTGCACCACCAGCCTCTCAGGAACTTCGTTTCCCATCCACTTGATTGTCTTGCAAGAGTCCTGATGACCTCTTCGTGGTCCTGATGACCAAGTCCACTTGCTCCAGTGGAGTTAGGGTGAGCCTCAGGGTGGGAAGTGAGTGGAAATGGAGTCTGTCAACCTCAAGAACAAAACCTGCAACCAATATAATCACAGAGTGTCCCAGGCTCAGAAGGGGACTTGAACTTGGGGTGTAATGCTCTGCAGTCACCACCTTGCAATTCTTCATAAGAATTTGAAATTGTGTTTTGTAAGAGAAGTATGATGGGACAGTGTACATGTGCCAGGGGCTTAGGGCCTTCACCCTTGTGTGTTCCTCCTCCTCCTCCCACTGCCTCCTTGCCTCTCCAGGAAAGGTTCTTGGCCACCTGCTCCCCCTTGCTGGCCCAGCTATCTCTGCTGCCTTTCACAGGTGCAGAAGAGTCCAAGTCAGGTGCAGGGACCTTAGGTGATTGATGTGGAGGGGAGCTCCGGGTACCTATGAGAGTCTGCGCTTGCCCCATGAGCATCCCTGTGCTTTAGAGAGAACATGACATTATTAATAAACCCAAATAAAGAGCACCATGACAGATCATGAGAAAGACTGTGGAAAACAGAAAAGACTTTTTTCCTGTCTTTTAAACTTAAGGGGCTCTACGTTTCCATTTTGCACTGAGCCATGCAAATTATATGGCCAACGCTGCCCAAGCACATGGCTTACTGTTCCCAAGGTACTGGACCATGAGCAGAGGTGGCTCCTCCAGCCATTGCAGTGCTGTGCTGTGGCAGGCCCCCCAGGGCAAGCACTGAGGGGCACCTGTATTGCCTACACTGGCAGGACGCTTTTCAAGTACAGGGCCTGCTGCTCAACCAGAGTCCTTCCACAATTGACCTTTATCATATGCCTCCTAGACATCTTTACTTTACATAAAGAGTAAATGCAAAGCAAGTCCTCCCTACAAGGAAGCCCAGCCTGGACCAGTTAAGGAAATAAGCAAACCTAAGGCATGAGAAGAGGTAGCTGGCCCCAGGTGTGGCAAACAGTCTCAAAGGACCAACTCTCCCATTCTCTGCTTTATGCTCTAGCAAGCCTGGACAACAGTGCCCCACTCTCTCTTCTGGCCTCCAGCCTCTCCACTGCTGAGACTTGGGGGCCCCCTCCCTTCCTTCCCAAGGAGTTCTCACTCATCCTTCAAGTCCCCACTCTCCTACGAAGTGTTCTCTTTGCCTGCCAGCACTCTCTGCCCACCCAGAGTTATTGTACTGCCTCCCCTGGGGCAGGATCCCACTGGAGCCATCCACTCTGAATTGCAGTTCCTGTTGACCACTGTATGTCCCCTGCTGGACTGAGAGCCCTTGGATGCCAGGGGCCGGTGTGTTTTCCTCCATACCCCACGCCTGACCCTGAGGGGCACTCTCTAAATGTTTGTTAAACTGAAAGGAATCCAGCCCCAAACTTCGCCTTTACACTGGAATCTCCCAGAAATCCCCTATCTGATGCCGTCCAGGCTATTCTTAAGAACGCCAAAGCAAGGTCAGTTCAATCACTGCTGAAACTGATTCCAACATTCGATGACCACCCCCCCGCCCCTGCCACCACCACCTAACAGCATTCACTCTCAGCTCTCTGCTAAACACTTTCTGCCGTGTTCTTTGATTGTGCCATGAGATTGAAGTCTCAAGACTTCAGCTAAACCTCAACCTCCCACAGCCTACACTTCTCTTGTCCCTTAATAGCCCCTGACACAAATACAAATTAAAGTTTAAAAACTTTTGACCTCTGTCTTCCCATTCCTAGGAATTTGTCCTGAGGATGCGATTGCACATAGACAAAGCTGAATACACAAGGATGATAATTATAGAATTATTACATGGGAACTGTCTCAAATACTTATCAACTGGGGACTAATTAAATAAATTTTGTACACACAATGGAATATCATGCAGTGCGAGTATGTATTTGTTGAATTTTTTTTTTTTTTTTTGAGACAGGTTGTCTCTCTGTCACCCAGGCTGGAGTGCAGTGGCACAATCTCAGTTCCCTGCAACCTCCACCTCCCATGCTCAAGCAATTCTTCCACCTCAGTTTCCTGAGTAGCTGGGACTATGGATGTGCACCACTATGCCTGGCTAATTTTTGTATTTTTATAGAGATGGGGTTTTACCATGTTGCCCAGGCTGGTCTTAAACTCCTGGGCTCAAGCTATCCACTCGCCTTGGCCTCCCAAAGTGCTGGGATTACAGGTGTGAGCCACTAGGCCCGGCCTGTATTTGTTGAATTGAAAAGATGCCCACTTCACAAGACCTAAGCACAAACTTCATTAGTTCAAGGGGAAAATGCAAGAAATGCAAGAAAAGGATTCAACAGAATTCTAGAATGCTATGACAAAAGAAACAAAAGAGAATGTAGTCCATTTTAATGTTAAACTTTTCAGTCATTTTCCCAGTAATAAAACTTCCTGTGTATGTTGATAATGTTCGGAGGAAAAGTAGGTTATAGAACAGCATGAATAATGCGATACAATTTGTGTATAAAAATGTATATATGCATAGAAAGATGCCTGAAGAGAATTTTACATCAAAAAATAAGTATTTCTCTCTGGGAGGTAGTATTTGGGATTAATTTTACTTTTTGTCTTTACACCTTTTCCTGTATTGTCTCACATTTTAATAAAGATTGTGCATTATTTTTACATTCAGCAAAGACTGTAGAGCTATGTTTTTTCTTTGGCGGGAAGGAGATAACATCTGGAACACGGAGGCTTTCAACAAATAGTTAAATGAAAACTGACTCCTAGTCCTTTTGGCCCTATGTGAGATTTAGACAAATGTCATGAATACCTGAAGTGCGGAAGGTCCTTACTGAATGTTAGAGTGCACAGCAATGTCCCAGCCTGTTCTTTGAGTGGATATTATTGATGTACTGGACACCTCGACATCAGTCAAGTCCTCTGCACTTTCAAAAGGCTTTCCCTCTCGATGTCTCATTTGACCTTAAAAATTAGATTTATGGTAAGTTCCCCAAATTGAATCTCCTAAATGTGTGTCTGGTCACCATCAGTCAACACTTCCTGTTTGGCACAGTTATTTATCAGATGGATAAATGAGTGAGTGGGTAAATGGACGGATGAATGGATGGATAAAGGAATGAATTTATATCCCTCTTTTACAGACAAGAAAACTGAGTAGAGGTGAAGCATTGTGCCTAAGGTAATGCAATTACTAAATGATAAAAATCAGTGGGTTGGAATTGCTATTCTCTGCAGTCTTCTAATCAGCTCTCTTTTATCCAAAATGTCCCCAAATCCTGTTTTCTTTAGGAGGAAATACCTCAGCATCACTGACAGACACACTTGGTAAGCAGAGGTGGTAGTCAAAATACCAATGGCATGGGTATCAACCTATCAAAGTGCCCCAGCCGTGGTGCTACTGCAGAGCCCTGGACCTCCTGCTAAACCAGACATTGACGCATTAATTGCTGGATACAAGTGGGTCTTGGCTGTCAGAAGGGCACTCAGTGGGCTCAAGACAGGAGCTGTTCACTTACTGCTATGGAAGTATTTCATTATTTTATCAACTAATATAACCATCCAAATGCACCATGGTTGGATATAAGCCTTGCTAAAAACCTCCACAACACTAAAAGGGTTGCTACCTACATGAGAAATTTTGTTCTCTCTTCACTCAAAGCAGAGCGCTTACTCCAAGAACTATTTATAATGCCACTTAAAACTTGCAATCCAATGAACTCAATCTGCATGACTAGATGGAACTGATTGTCATTATCCTCTTCTAAAAATTATCCTAAGCCTGACTGTGGCAAGAGAGTAGGGCAAACATATGGAGAGAAAAGGATAATTTGCAATGAAGGAGGCAACACCATAAAAGCTCAAAAAATCCATGAGACATTAGCACAGATCAGTGCTAGTCATGAGCCAGCATCCCGAATACATGTTTCTGTTGAAGGGCATCTTTGTTCCAGGTGCCATCCAAGAATCTGGAAGACAGTAAGACTGACCCTGATCTCAATTTGTTTACAGTCCAGGAGGGCAGAGGGACAGATATTCGTTAGCAACTGTTGTATAAAGTGGAAAGCTCCAAGAAGACAGGAGCGCTTTGAGAATTCAAAAGAGGGAGAGTTTACTTCTACCAGAGGAAATCTAGGAGGGCTGCCTGCAGAAGGCAGCTTTGACCCTGGGTCCTCTTTCAGGACAGGCAGCATTTACACTTGGGGATGAAGGAAATGCACCCTCAGAGATCAACACAGGCTCGCCTTGAAGCAAACATTATTGTCCAAGCATTTACCAGCAAAATATGCAAAATGGACATAGGGTATACTTTACTGAACTTGTCATTCTCAAATACATCCTGCCTCTCACTTGCCTGTCTTTACTCACGCTGTCTATACCTTCCACCTGGAACATTCTTCCCTCACCCTGACTCTCACTTCCACATTCAAGAATGTTATTTCCTCTTCATTCTTCTCTTCTCAGTTTAGATGCATATCCTCTAAGAAGACTTCCTTGATCCACCTAAAATGGATTAAGTGCCTCTCCCTGCCTAGGCTCTAACAGTATCCTGAACTTATCGCTATTGTAATACCTGCAACACTCAAATTTTGATTGTCTGTTTCATTATAGATCAAGACTACTAATCTGTAAACGTTCTGAGAGAGGGATCTCGTCTGGTCCATTTTTGTGGACCTAGTGCCTAGTGAAATACCATATTCATAACATGGTCAACAAAAATTTAATTAATGATGAATTGAATTTTAACAGTCAATCAGCCCAATTCTATACTAAATCCTGATTCTGTCCCTTGTCTGAACTCACAGTGTACCCATGTAATTCTACCAAATTACTTTGCAGATGAAAAGAGACCAGTGGAGTCTCTTTTCACTTTAAAAAGTGTCCAGACCCTTTTTATCCTGCCCCAAACCAAATGAAAAGCCAAGGCCACCCCTGAACCACATGACAAACTGCCCCTCACCCCCCTGGCTATCATGGCCATGAAGGCAAAGTTTTAACCCCAGCAGAGCTTCCTAAACAAGTCTGTGAGTGAGGCCAATGGACATCATTCCTGCAAAAGAATTGAAAGACCTCAACTCTCATTTACAAACTGAGATAAGAGTCTTTGAAGCAGAAAGAAATGGGAAGAGGAAGAAAAGAAACCACAAGCTTGGGTTGGCTTTCCAGTTTAGTGCAATTAAATAAGGAAAGGCCCTGTTTGGAAAAAAAGGAAAAAGAAAAAAAAAAAAGCATGTAATACCTTTTATAGTTCAGTTCAAGGAATGAAAATTTTTTTAATATTGAAAACATTAGCAATAATTACCTCCAGTGATAATATGAGTTATGATTAAATTCCTATTAGCTTCTACATTTTCCAAATATTCTAGAGTGAAGATGTATTTACTCATCAGAAGAGGAATAGTTTCTTTTAGATGCGTGGTCAGGCCCAGTTGTCCCTCCTGGCCCACTTTTTCTTACTAACCCTTAAGTCTAAATTAACCCATGAAATTTTTGAGGGGAGACCCTTGCCTCTCCCAGTCCTTTGACTCTGGCCACACCCATAAGCTTTCCTGTTAAGAGAAGGAAATATGTTACTTGGCTTTGGATGGCTTCTCCATTCTTCCTCTTTTTAGCAGCTCCTCTGGGCTAGGAACACAGCAAAATCCTGATGTCTGCCTTTATCCAGATCCTGGTCACAGGCTTCTGAGTTTCTGAGTAATTGAGTGGGTGAGGCTATTTGTGGGGATTGGGGGTTGGGGGTGTGGCTGAATCAACATTCATTGCTGTGCATGGCTGTTTACAAGAATCATGTTACTAAGTGCAATCAAAAGTGCGAAGCAAACTGTCCCACAAAGAGTGGATCAATCTTCCAGGCTTCTTAACCATCCCCACCCACTGACGTATATATATGTCTTTTTCCCCGTCAATGACAGAGCCAAAAGCTAAATGCTTTCAGGCTCAATCTCATATTCTTCTAAAAACATCATTAGAAGAGACCATAAGACCATCTCATGTCAAGGAAAACACACCAATAAGGTCATCCAGTTCTCCTAGAACAGGGATGTCTGATAGAACTTTCTACCATGATGAAAGTATTCTGTTATCTACACTGTCCAATATGGTAGCCACCAATCTATGTGACTACTGAACATTTGAAATGTGGCTAGTGCAACTGATTAAATTTTTTAAAGTTAATTTAGATTTAAATAGCCACACATAGCTAGTGGCTACCATTTTAGAACACTGCAATTTAGAATCCCAAAATGTTAACCCTAAAAAGGACCCAATAAATCATTCAGACCTTTGCAATTGCAAGACCCATTTCTAATACAGAAGATGTATCCAGACCTTTCTCATGTTAACAGAATGTTTAGTGTGTGTTCATTAAGAATGCCATATTGACCAAAATTAGGAAAAATTCAATTGTATTTTAGTTTTTTTTTTTTCAAGAAAATTACGAAGATTACAGTTAGGAATAATTTCATAACACTTTTAATTGCATTTTGTTAATCACAACAGTATCCTCATGCACACATATGATAGACATGTGTGAGGTATTATTTTGCCCAGCCCTCAAACTTGTCCAACACAAGGGTTCCCAGATCCTCTCCAATAACTCCACAGTCCCCACTCATCATGCAATAGTGCAATGTGGAAACCAATGGCTTAGTCCAACCCCTGCTTTTAGAGAGAGAAAAACAAAAACACAGAGCCCAGCAAGGGAGGACACCTGCCCAAATCACATGGCTAATAAACAGTAGAGGTGACCTGACAGCCAGACCAAGCCTCCTTTCACTCTGCCACAAAGCCCAAAGTAAAAAAACACAGCTGGAAATCTGTAAGGGAGAGGCAGCTGGCTATGTTGAAAATGCTCCTATTTTCTTTCTCTTAGGAATTGTGGAAAATAAAAAGAATAGATTTTTGTAAATATCAAATATATATGTGTGTGTGTGAATAAATTATTTAACATATGAACAAATAATTACGTAAGTTTTTCTATGAATGGACTATGGAAAAAAATGGAACTAACCCCATTTGTATTTATTAAATACAAATACTTTCTGTAGTTAGTAGGTATTAAGTAAAATGTAATAACTTTCAAGATTTTTCTGAAGCTTTTATAACTTCCCCAGTCTCTGTGGGTTTTGTTAGCATCTGTGAGTATCCTCCCAGAAACAAGCAATAAAACACAAATTATCTCTTAAAAATAAACCAGGTTTATGGGCACCTTTCAGTGATAGTAATCAAGACACAGAAGAGGGAGCCAAGATGTCATCCTCAGTTATGACAGTTACCACATTCACCTGGTGAAGAGATGGGTCTAACACCCGGTGATCTGACTCCTCTTCTCTTCCGAGATCGCTCAGACCACACTGCCTCCAATACCATACCCTGTATTGCTCTTGGTTGGCAGAAAAGTTTACTGGAGTCAGTGTTGAGGATTTAGGGCAACAGTCTTTCCATTTTAAATGTCTATGCCTTTGGATTCCCATAGCATTTGATTTTCTTTTATTTTTAACCTTGACCACAGTGACTGTGACCCTGGACTCTGGAGTTAAACTGCTGTGGCTTGAATCAAGACTCTAAAATACCTACTAACTACAGAAAGTTTGGTGATTTGCTTTACCTCTCTCAGTCTCAGTTTTTTCATTCGTAAAATGATAAAAATTTACTGCATAGCCATGTTGAAAAATTAAGGCAGATTCTCAAAAATCTCATAGAACAGTGCCTGCCAAAAAAACCTCAATGCTCTCTCGGAGATAGTATTATAATGAATTATATCTGTGAATGTGTATATGTCCCATGTTAGGCTATAAAATTCCTGAGGGCAAAGACTGTTCTTATTTTCTAACCACCCCAAGCCCCTACAGGTGCAAAACCTTATAGGTGCTGTGCAGGTGTATGTGGTGGTTACAAATGTCAGCTTTGGCATCATCAAACATACCAGAGAATGAAGGCTATGATCTTCTTACAATACTTAGTAGGCTTTCTTCTTCTTTTTTTTTAAACATTGACAAGTTTCTTAATGTCCCTGGGTCTCAGTTTCTTCATCTTTTGAATGGGTTATTAGATTAGCTAACTTGCAGTTTAATTGTGAGAATTAAAGGATCCTAGGATGTGATGAGCATTTCATAAAGGCTGGCTGCTGTGAGCATACTAATGTGCTATCCCAGCTCCCACTTTGATGAGTACCACGTAATGTTCATGCCAGAAGTTGCTAAACAAGAATCTAGGGGTTGGTTTTCAGTGCACTCCCTTATTTGCTCACTCCATGCCAAACAGATTCCCTATTGCTAATAGAGGCCAGAGGCTAGTCTACCATAAAACCAGGGTGTGCTATGATAGCAGACTTCACAGCGCACACGCCAGCTGTTCCCCCCAGGAAGGGTAAATTTGCCCTGTAATTCTCTGGAACAAAACCAACAGCCTGTTTGCACAAGAGCATGGAAATTCAAAACCAGAGATGCAGCCTAGTTTAGATGACAGGCTACGGCCCTGAGTCGGGAGCCTTGAGTCTGAGGACTTGATCTCACCAGTAACTAGCTGCATGCTCTCGGACAATCAGTTTCACAACTCCGGGACTCTGTTTCCTTTCCCCTAAAAAGAAGGGCCTAGATTAGGCAATCTCCAAGGATCATTGCAGCTCCTGTGTTTCAGCATCCTAGGATGAGCTCACTAAGTGAACAGGAAGATGGACACAGAATGCAGAGCCAGAAAGACCTAGGTTGAAACTCCTACCTGTTTGCCTTTGATCAAGCTTCTTAATCTCTCTGAAGATTAACAGAGGGTTTCTTGGGTTTCTCATGAGTAAAGTGGGGGTAATAAACATGACTACTGGAGAATTTGAAACAGTGAATGTGAAGCATGACACTGCCTGGGCCATTGTGGATGCTAAGTGGTAGCTGCAGTTATTAGCATTATTACCATTGTCACTATTATTATTATTAATACTATGACCTTTCTTTTAAAATGTTAAGGCCCAAAAACATTTTATTGCATAACTATCATGTGGAATCAAATGGGAATATCAACTCTTCACAAGTAACTTTTTTTGAAATGTGTTAACTTTCTTCTGTGTGTAATTACTATTCCTTTTCCATTTTTTTGTCTTGAATCTTTTCATTTCCAACTCTAGAACTTTACTTCCCTAATAACAAACAATATAGTTAAGTATATGAGGAATTCCATGGACTCCTGCCCAATGATCATCATCACTGTCATCATAATCGTCACTGTCATGATAACCATCACCTTTACAGCTCCATTTTTCAGTACCTGGAGTTCAGCATAATGAGTGACTCACCCTAGACCTCACTGCCCATCCCACTAGGAAGTCATAGGACCTGGACTTCAGGTTAAACTTCTGACTCTAAAGCCCATGATTATTCCACCTGACCATCAATTTCATGCATTAACTCAAGTTTTTCCTGTCATTGCCTTGACTAGTCTTAAGATATGTTTCTTTTAAAGTAACTGCCCTTCTATATATATGGAATTTGAAACACAGCATTTCTTAAAGTTTAACCCTAACTCCTTGGTATACCCAGTTGCATGCCATCTAACTTAATCAGTTTTTCCTCCCACTAGAAGACACTTAAGCAAGTTTTGGAGGACCTCTGTTTTTCACTTCAAACATATCAGGAAGGTTTATTTCAGGTGAATAGAGGCAATGTTTCAGTTAGGTTTTTTGGTCGCAAAAAAAAAGAGCTAACTCAAGTGAGGGATGAAGTATTTTAAGGATTTCCACTGAATGAAATTATGTTGAACAAAAAGAATGTTAAGTTATCACAGGATGTGGCCACACAGAGGATGGGACTGAAAGATGGTTCTTGACCCAAAGCAACTCCGGCAATGCTGAACGAAAAAGGTCCTAGGTCCTCTCCCTAGTGTTCTACCAACTTACCAACTCACCATCTGCCACCTTCTCTGGTGGTCTATCATGTTGCTCCTCTACCCCATTGTCTTCATGCCATTGATTGGATGTCTTACTCTTTCCCCAGTCAAATTCTCTACAGGAGAATATCTCCAGCTCAGCTGATTATCATCATTACTGTTTGAATAGTCTTTTCACATGACGGCATACCCTAGACCACTGATCAGCAGATGAATCTGCTGCTGCCGGGTCAGACATGGCTTAAGGCCTCAAACATGGCTGCCTAGGATGGAAATCTCAGCTAGGACAGTGGATGGGCCCACTTTACTTGGAAAGGGCTGTAAGCCACAGCAGGTGCCATGATTATCACTGCTAACAACAACAAAGTAAATTTTTTCTCTCCAGATGCTGCTACTTATTTCACACCAAGCTAAAAATGGTTTGTCATTTTTATAATTTTTTATGACTCCATATGTTTGCAAAGTCCTGATTGATGAGGAATTTCAGAGTTAACTATGATAACAACAATCAAAATAACTTCCATAGACACAGTCCTTTATGGTGATGACCTCCCTTTCATGTCCTCTGTTTCATTTGATTGCTACATCATCCCCTAGTTGACAAGGACAGCTACATCATCCCCTAGTTGACAAGGACAGCTATCATTGTCACCATTTGACAGAAGAAAAAGCTAACATTTAAGAGAAATAATTGGCCCTAGGCTATAAAACTGGTTAGTGATCCATTTGGGTTTTAGACCTGTTTTCCTAAGTTAATTTCTGAAGGCATAGAAAGCAACCTTTTTCCCCTCAACCTTTATGTGTAGCCAGTCATGAATATGTTTTGAGTCTTAATATACCTCACCAGTCTCCTTCAGTCTATGCTCAGATCCTCATTAGTTCTCACCCTGGATTGTGCGGCATCCTCCTAACTCACCTCTGCCCCCACTCAACAACCTTTTTCATCCCTTCCTCCATAGGCAACCAGAGAGGTCTTTTAGAAACTGTTTTCAACAAGTCATCTCCATGATCCCACGCCCTCACTGCCCACAGAATAAGGCCCAAACTCCTTGGGAGTGTATTGAATGTCTTGGAAGATTTCACTCTATCCACTTTTTTTTTGTCTTATCACACAAACCCCCCACCCCACACACTCATGTCCCCATGCAATGCTGGCTCCCAAGCTTGGCTTGCAGCTTTCTCCCTCTTCATCTTTCTGTAACTCACTGTCTGCAGACTAGAATTAGCCTGTAGATGGATTTGGATCCCACTGTTATAGGGTGGTTGTTTTATCAAATCCATTGACAATGTTTATGAAGATCTCCAGCTTCTCTTGAAAAATTAGTGGATCATGTTAACAGTCAAACTGAGCCTGAGGAGTGGTTAATCCCTTTACATGGGCCATGCCCCTCCAGTTGACTATAATCCTCACTATTCCCTATTGTCTTACGTTCAGCTAGCTTCACTCATAATAGTGATACGCTTGACCCCTTAGACATTTGAATTTGCAATCTTTGCCTTACGTTCTTACCATCCAAAATGTGTTTCGTCATATATTTCTATTGAAATCATAGTCACCTCTCCAACAATCACTCCTCCATAGAGTCTATATTGATTCCCTGAGCTGAAATTAATCTCTTCCCTCTCTGTCCTCCTAAACTTGTTCATTGTTGCCTCTACCTATAGCATCTAAAAGACTTCAAGTCTATCTCCTCCACTAGGTTATGAGCAATCTTATTCATCTGTGTGTTCCCACACTGCCTAAGATATGGTTATCCTTACACTTAGTAAATATCACCAAAAAAAACCTGTTGAATTAAACTTATTTAATTCAATCAACAGTTAAACTTTCCAGTAGAAGCCAACTCATCTGTGATAATATTTTCCCATTTCACATCTAGACTTGAGCTTCTGTCTACTTCTTACTAAAAGTCTTATCTACTGAGGAAACAAACTGTTTTCTAAAGTTCTATTGACTTAAAAATGCAAGCTCTTAAATAAATTATTTTCCAAAGAGTAGCAAGAGCAATAAATTTGCTTTGGCCCTGAATCAATACCACTCCCAATTGCAGAGTATCTTGTAAGAGCCTCACAAGAGAAGAGAGAGAAATACCCAGTCTTCACCCCCAGGTGAGGATTAAATCACTACATCATGTTTATCCACAAACTTCCATTTCCTCAACTAATACGTGTTTCTTACACACATTATTTGCCCAAGATAACCTATTGTTATTTCATGCAAGTTACATTTTTTATGAGTTACTTCCCCATATTTTTGGGTTTTGACATCTCTTATAACCTTTTAATGTTTTTTAACATCCATTTTTCAAGCATCTAACAGTTTATCAGGTATGGTGCTTGGTTCTGGGACGGCAAAAAGAAATACATTTGTTCTCAACTCTGGGAGGTTCACAGACTAAAGTAGAAACAAATACATCACTTAGATACTGTTTATCCAATGCTGTACATAAACAGAGCAAATTTTCGCTACCATATTTGTTGTGAATGTCCCATGTGTGCTGTGTGGTGCAGTATTTGTAAGTTTACTGCCCCTCTGACATCCAGGTTAGGTAGTAGACACTGGTGACTTATTTCTCTGCCCATTGTTTGAACTCCTTCCTATGCTCAGTATTGAGGAGAAATTGGGATTGCTACTCCCCAGAATAAGAAGAATATGGTTAAAACCCAGAGAGCTTCCCTGAAGGCCTCTCATACAATCATGTCCAGTGAGAGGCCCTCAGGGAAGCCTCCTGGGTTTTAACCATATTCTTCTCATACTGGGGAGTAGTAATCCCAATTTCTCCTCGATACTGAGCATAGGAAGGAGGTTTAGATAATGGCCAGAGAAACATGTCACCAATGCCAACTAAAGGTTGTCCAACAAAGGTTATTGGACAACATTTCCAGCCCTATGCAGGCAAAATCACCAAAAGCTTAGACACAGTGAAAGTCAGGGTTGCCCCATCAGATACTGGACCACAACTAGGTGAGTTACTGACTATCAATAAGGAAGCATGGCATGGGCCATAATGGAGGGTGGTGATAGCAGCAGCTATGACCGTGTGATCTGTTGATGGAATGAAGTCATAGCCCCTCCCTGTACCTATGTCTGCTTCCTTTCTGTATTCTGGATGATTTGTGTGTGAGTATGTGTACACAATAACATTCCTCCTTCCTCTTTAGGGTGCCTGATTATTATGATAGGGTGTGCTGGTGGTAGCAAAGTGTATAATCTTGTCAAGAATTTGGCAAACTACAGACTGCAGTCCTAGTACAGTCATCTAGGGACTTTTGTAAATAAAGTTTTATTGGAACACAGCACAACCATTCATTTACACATTGTGTATGGCTGCTGTCATGCAACAGTGACAGACATGAGTAGTCTAGACAACCACTGTGTGGACCACAAAGCTTAAAATAATCACACGGTCCCTTACAGAAAAGTTTGCCAGGCCCTGACTTTGTCCACAGGTTACAGAATATCAATGCTAAGGGAAGAACGAATATCCAAGACGTGAAATTGGACATCATCTCAGTTGGTCTTTCTTTAAAGGGGGGGTTAAAAGGTCTTCAGATGTGTGAGCAATCTTTTTTTTTTTTTTTTCTTCCGGAGATGAAGTCTTGCTCTATTACCCAGCAGGCTAGAGTGCAGTGGCGTGATCTTGGTTCACTGCAACTTCCACCTCCCAGGTTCAAGCAATTCTCCTGCCTCAGCCTCTTGAGTAGCTGGGGCTACAGGCACACACCACCACGCCAAGCTAATTTTTGTATTTTTAGTAGAGATGGGGTTTCTCTGTGTTGGCCGGGCTGGTCTTGAACTCCTGACCACAAGTAATCTGCCTGCCTCAGCCTCCCAAAGTGCTGGGATTACAGGTGTGAGCCACTGCACCCAGCCACAATCATTTTATTATACTAAATGGGAGCAACTTTTTATATCTGTGTTGTTGTTGTCAAACACTAAACATGGGAGAAAGGATGTAGGGTATCTAAAGGAATAAGCCATATTGGATATATGTCACTCACCCAGATTTTTCCTATGTCTGGAAATTATCCACAGTGTGGGTTGGGTGGGAGGCAGAGCCCACGTTCTAGAACAGAGCCTGAAAACACTAGATACTTCTTACTACACCATACCCCTAGAGGTTATGGTGCTGGCATCTAACTGAGAATTGGCCAACTGAAGGTTGGCCAAGATTCAACCAAGGCTTTGAATCTGAAGTTTGTTATGCAAAGAAATGAGCAGAGAATTCATTCCTACAGTTGGGCCAAGGGTCAGTGGAAATACCCAGTATTGGGAGCCACAGGGCTAGTGGCAAAGCCATTTACCCAGGACTGATGGGAGAGGTGGTATCACTGATGACAGCAATGCATAACCTTACCTGCCTGTCTTCATGACTCTGCCTGAATTCTGGCCCCTTGGCTTCTCTTGGTTCCTGTCTGATTTCTGATCCTGTTCTTCAATGCAATATCCCTTCAAAAAACCCCGTATTGCTTTATGTAAGTAGGAATTTTTTGTTGTTGTTTAAACCTAAGACTGCTGCTTTTACAGCAGATAACCAATGTACAACTTAGAAAAAATAATTTTAAGCTGTACAGCAATAATTTAAAATTATACAGCAATGTACAACTCAGAAAAAAATAATAATAGCTACATTTGTTAAGAGATTATCATGTGCCAGGAACCATAATAATCTTTGTATATATATTATCACACGTAATAGTTATAGATAAGGAAACTAAGGTTGGTTTAGACAGATGAAGTACTTTGTTCAAGACTACACACTTGGTAGCACCAGGTTTGTCTGTGCACAAAACCAAGGAATTTAACCACACTAGCAGCATTCCTTTAGGTCCTGTATTCTTCTGCTACAAAAAGTGGGGCTGAGACTATTCACAATAGCAAAAACATGGAATCAATCCAAATTCCCATCAATGATAAACTGGATAAAGAAAATGTGGTACATATACACCATGGGATACTATGCAGCCATAAAAAGGAATGAGATCATGTCCTTTGCAGGGACATGGATGAAGCTGGAAGCCATAATCCTTAGCAAACTAACACAGGAACAGAAAACCAACACCACACGTTCTCACTTAAAACTGGGAGCCGAACAATGAGAACACATTTACACAGAGAACAACGCACACTGTGGCCTGCCAGGGGTGTTGGGGGGAGGGAGAGTATCAGGATAAATAGATAATGCATGTGGGACTTAATATCTAGCTGATGGGTTGATAGTTGCAAACCAACTTGGTACATGTTTACCTGTGTAACAAACCTGCACGTCTTGCACATGTTTCCTGGAACTTAAAATAAAAAAAAATTTAAGTGGGATTGAATTAGTTTCCTAGATCCTAGCTAAAATGAAACTCAATGGCTGGACCAACTATGTCTTCAGGGGTGTGCTGGTAAACCAGCTCTCTAGAAAAAAAGTCCTGAGTTGTAGCATTTGCCAATTTCCATGGTGTAAATATTCCCACCATGGCTGATTTCAAACTACCAAACGTTTAACCACTTGTTCATAAATATCCTGAATGTTTAACAACTGACTCTTGAAAGCTAGTGTGAACTGGCACCAACATACTACTGTACCTGTGCCATTTCTTTCTTGTTTCTCTGTTTGTTGTTTGCCAGTTCAAACACTTTATCTTATGCTCTTGGAATCTCAGAGTGGGGAGAGATCTCAGAGGCCACTTAGACTCACTGTGTAACAGTGGAAGACACCCCTTCAAGTCAACCCTAACTTGGCATCTACCCTCTGCTCAACACTTCCAGTGGCTGGAGCTCACCACCTTCTAAGTATCTTGTATAGGTTGAAATAGTCATTATTGTCCCAAATAACTAAGCTAGTTTTAGGAAGTAGTTGCTTTTACTCTATGTTTTAGAGGTAGACTTTGAGTTGAAGTTCTCTGTCCACATATCTCTGCTGAATATGGCTCTCATAAGTAGTTGCTTGGCCAGGGCTCCACTTTTCCCCCTCACATCAGAAGGGAATTTAGGAGTGGGGGCTGGCGGGTGTGCAGTGTGATTATTTGCTTTGAGATTATTATACACAGAGCTAGTGCTAGATGCTTTCCAACCTTCCCTATAGCCTCAAGCAAGAAGAGACCTGCCTGGGAGTGGTGCTTAGCCCCACACATCACACACACACACACACACACACACACACACACACACACACACAAATATACAGAGTTTATTCTAAAATATGCAAATGCTTCTGTCACTCAGGATTCAGCATCCAGTGCTTTCAAAACAAGACTTATACACCTACATATGCCCCCTAAAGCCAATCACACCCTTTCAGGCCTCAGGGCAACAATTCTACACATCTACTGCCCTGTGTTCTTGAAGTCAAAGACATGCATGTGCCATGCCTTAAAGTCTTCTGTGTTATCACTGCCAGCTTCGGAGGAGGCCTCTGCTTTGAAGTGTGGGGAGGATTTGATTGGCAGAAGTGCTTAGGTAGGAGAAAAGATAAGTTAATTAAATTGTCAAATCCCTCTTCTCAGAGAACATGAGATTCTTGCATAACTATCATTTCCCAACAGTGCCCAGCATCCCTTGTCTTGCTTCCTTTTGTGCTATAATTTGCCTTCCCCAGGGTACTCGGGTTAGGGCGGTATTCCCAGCAGTGGCACATGGCTCCTGAGGAACATTCTACAGTATGAAACGGTCCATATTGCCCTTAAATGTGAACATACGTAAGCGTAGACTTCATATGCCTGACATTGTGCTGATTCTTTACACTGGCAATTAGATGATCATTTCCCATTTAGGAAAAAAAAAAGTGCAGCTCTCTGCCAGCACTCATTTAATTTTACGTAAACATGCTCTTTGAAGCTGAAGAAAATCTGACTGATTTTCAGTGTGGAAATAAAATATGAAAACTGTTCTTGGAGTTATTTCTAAACAGAACTAACATCAGAATTATCTGAATCATCAGAATCATCTATTTCAGAAAAATCAGATTCATCAAGTGAACCTTCAGCCAACAACTGTTTGAGAACGATGTTACGATCATGCGTAGGAATGCTACGTTTTCTAGGATTTGACATTTTCAGCGATTGAGAATTACTATATTTTGTAAATGGAAATACCACTACTAAAAACAGAATGTTGTAAATAGAATGATGTCTTTTGTTTCCAAAGTCGATATACTAGAATGATGCAAACATAATAATAAAAGCAAGATATTTTGTAGCAAAGTTATCTCAGTGTAAATGCTGCAGCCGCAAGCACCAACTGCAAGTATTCTCAGGGCAAATGAGAAATGGGTTAAACATTAAAATTGGCAACAATTTCCTCTTACTAAGATATAATTGCATTTAAAAAAAACAAATTACTAAGCATCATATATGAAGGAAAGATAGTCTTTTTCAGACAAACAAACTCTGAGAGAATTTGCCATTACCAAACAACCACGAGGACTGCTAAAAAGAGCTCTAAATCTTGAAAGAAATTCTGGAAACACAACAAAACAGAACCTCTTTAAAGCATAAATCACACCGGACCTATAAAACAAAAATAGGAGTTAAAAAGCAAAAACAACAACAACAACAAAAAATACACAGGCAACAAAGAGCACGATGAAAGCAAGAGTACCTCACATTTCAATACTAACATTGAATGTAAATGGCCTAAATGTTCCACTTAAAAGATACAGAACCACAGAATGGATAAGAACTCACCAACCATTTGCTGCCGTCAGGAGGCTCACCTAACACATAAGGACTCACATAAACTTAAAGGGGTGAAAATGGACACCAAAAGCGAGCAGGGGTAGCTATTCCTATATCAGACAAATCAAACTTTAAAGAAACAACAGTTAAAAGAGACAAAGAGGGACAGTATATGATGGTAAAAGGCCTTGTGCAACAGGAAAATATCACAATCCTAAACATATACACACCTAACACTGGAGCTGCCAAATTTATAAAACAATTACTATAGACCTAAGAAATGAGATGGACAGCAACACAATAATAGTGGGGGACTTCAATACTCCAATGACAGCACTAGACAGGTCATCAAGACAAAAAGTCAACAAAGAAACAATGAATTTTAACTATATCTTGAAACAAATGGACTTAACAGATATATACAGAAAATTTCATCTAACAACCCCAGAATACACATTCTATTCAACAGCACATGGAACTTTCTCCAAGACAGACCATGTGATAGGCCATAAAATGAGCCTCAATAAATTTAAGAAAATTGAAATTATATCAAGCACTCTCTCAGACCACAGTGGAATAAAACTGGAAATCATCTCCAAAAGTAACCTTCAAAATCATCCAAATATATGGAAATTAAATAATCTGCCCCCAAATGAGCACTGGGTCAAAAACGAAATCAAGATGGAAATTTAAAAATTCTTTGAGTTGGGCTGGGCATGGTGGCTCACACCTGTAATCCCAGTACTTGGGGAGGCTGAGGTGGGGGATAACGAAGTCTGGAGATTGAGACCCTCCTGGCTAACATGGTGAAACCCCATCTCTACTAAAAAATGCAAAAAAATTGGCCAGGCGTGGTGGCGGGCACCTATAGTCCCAGCTACCTGGGAGGCTGAGGCAGGAGAATGGTGTGAAACCGGGAGGTGGAGCTTGCAATGAGCCGAGATCACACCACTGCACTCCAAACTGGGCAACAGAGCGAGGCTCCATCTCAAAAAAAAAAAAAATTCTTCAAACTGAATGACAACAACACAACCTACCAAAACCTCTGGGATACGGCAAAGGCGGTGCTAAGAGGAAAGTTCATGGCCCTACACACCTACATCAAAAAGACTGAAAGTGCACTAACTGACATTCTAAGGTCACACCTCAAGGAACTAGAGAAACAAGAACCAAACCAAACCAAACCCAAACCCAGCAGAAGAAAGGAAATAACCAAGATCAGAGCACAACTAAATGAAGTTGAAACAAAACAAAAAAAGATAAATGAAACAAAAAGCTGGTTCTTTGAAAAATAAATAAAATTGACAGACCGTTAGCAAGATTAACCAAGAAAATCAGAAAATCCAAATAACATCGCTAAGAAACGAAACAGAAGATATTACAATTGACATCACTGAAATACAAAAGATCATTCAAGGCTACTGTGAACAACTTTACACACATAAACTAGAAAGCCTGGAAGAGATGGATTAATTCCTGGAAAAATACAACCCTCCTAGCTTAAATCAGGAAGAATTAGATATCCTGAACAGACCAATAACAAGCAGTGAGATTGAAATGGTAATTTACAAATTACCAACAACAAAAAAAGTCCCGGACCAGATGGATTCACAGCAGAATTATACCAGACATTCAAAGAAGAATTGGTTCTAACCCTTTTGACACTATTCCACAAGATAGAGAAAGAAGTAACCCTCCCTAATTCATTCTATGAAGTCAGCATCACCCTAATACCAAAACCAGGGAAGGACATAACCAAAAGAGAAGACTACAGATCAATATCCTTGATGAACATAGATGCTAAAATCCTTAACAAAATACTAGCTAACCGAATCCAACAACATATCAAAAAGATAATCCACCATGATCAAGTCTGTTTCATACCAGGGATGCAGAGATGGTTTAACATACGCAAGTCAATAAATGTGATACTCCACATAAACAGAATTAAAAACAAGAATCACATGATCATCTCAACAGATGCAGAAAAAGCATTCGACAAAATCCAGTACCACTTTATGATTAAAACTCTCAGCAAAATCGGCATACAAGGGACATACGTTAATGTAATTAAAGCCATCTATGACAAACCCACATATTATGACACATATTATTGATAAGCCAACACAATACTGAATGAAGAAAAGTTGAAAGCATCCCCTCTGAAAACTGGGACAAAACAAGGATGCCCACTCTCACCACTCCTCTTTGGAAGTCCTAGCCAGAGCAGACAAGAGAAAGAAATAAAGGGCATCCAAACCCATAAAAAGGAAGTCAAACTGTCACTGTTTGCTGATGATATGGTCATTTACCTTGAAAACCCTGAAGACTCCTCCAGAAACCTCCTAGAACTGATCAAAGAATTCAGCAGTTTCCAGATACAAGATTAATGTACAAAATCAGTAGCTCTTCTATACACCAACAGCGACCAAGCAGAGAACCAAATCAAGAACTCAACCCCTTTTAGAATAGCTGCAAATATATATATATACTTAGGAAAATACTTAACAAAGGAGTTGAAAGACCTCTATAAGAAAAACTACAAAACAATGCTGAAAGAAATCATAGACCACACAAACAAATGGAAACACATCTCATGCTCATGGATGGGTAGAATCAATATTGTGAAAATGACCATACTACCAAAAGCAATCTACAAATTCAATGCAATCCCCATCAAAATACCACCATCATTCTTCACAGCATTAGAAAAACAATTCTAAAATTCATATGGAACCAAAAAAGAACCCACATAGCCAAAGCAAGACTAAACAAAAAGAACAAATCTGGAGGCATCACACTACCTGATTCCAAACTATACTATAAGGCCATAGTCATCCAAACAGCATAGTACTGGTATAAAAATAGGCACATAGACCAATGGAACAGAATAGAGAACTCGGAAATAAACCCAAATACTTGCAGCCAACTGATCTTTGATAAAGCAAACAAAAAGTGGAGAAAGGACACTTTTTTCAACAAATGGTGCTGGGATAATTGGCTAGCCACATGTAGGAAAATAAAACTGGATCCTCATCTCTCACCTTATACAAAAGTCAACTCAAGGACTTAAACCTAAGACCTGAAACCATAAAAATTCTGGCAGATAACATTGGAAAAACTCTTCTGGACATTGGCTTAGGCAAGGATTTCATGACCAAGAACCCAAAAGCAAATGCGATAAAAACAAATACAAATAGCTGAGACCTAATAAATTAAAGAGCTTTTGCATGGCAAAAGGAACAGTCAGCAGAGTAAACAGACAACCCACAGAGTGGGAGAAAATCTTCACAATCTATACATCTGACAAAGGACTAATAATATCCAGAATCTACAACCAATGCAATCAAATCAGTAAGAAAAAAACAAACAAACAATCCCATCAAAAAGTGGGCTAAGGGCATGAATAGACAATTCTCAAAAAAAGATATACAAATGGCCAACAAACACATGAAAAAATGCTGAAATCACTAATGATCAGGGAATTGCCAATCAAAATTACAATGTGATACCACCTTACTCCTACAAGAATGTCCATAATCAAAAAATCAAAAAACAGTAGATGTTGGCATGGATGTGGTAATCAGGGAACACTTCCACACTTCTGGTGGGAATGTAAACTAGTACAGCCACAATGGAAAACAGTGTGGAGATTTCTTAAAGATCTAAAAGTAGAACTACCATTTGATCCAGCAATCCCAATACTAGGTATCTACCCAGAGGAAAAGACGTCATTATACGCAAAAGATACTTGCACATGCATGTTTATAGCAGCACAATTCACAATTGCAAAATTGTGGAACCAACACAAATGCCCAACAATCAACAACTGGATAAAAAACTGATATATATATATATGTGTGTGTGTGTGTGTGTGTATATATGTATGTATATATATATATACACATATGTATATATATGTGTATATATGTATATATGTACATACGTATATATACACATATATATGTGTATATATAGTATATATGTATATATACTATATATACACATATACGTATATACGTATACACATATATGTACATATATGTATATATATACGTATATATATACATATATATATATATAAAATGGAATACTACTCAGCCATAAAAAGGACTGAATTAACAGCATTTGCAGTGACCTGGATGAGATTGGAGACTATTAACTAAATGAAGTAACTCAGGAATGGAAAACCAAGCATTGTATGTTCTCACTGACATGAGGGAGCTAAGCTATGAGGATGCAAAGGCATAATAATGATATAATGGACTTTGGGGACTTGGAAGAGTAGGAGGGGGCAAGGGATAAAAGACTACAAATATGGTACAGTGTATACTGCTTGGGTGACGGATGCACCAAAATCTCACAAATCACCACTAAAGAACTTACTCATGTAACCAAATACCACCTGTAACCCAATAACTTATGGGAAAACATTAAAATTTTCAACTTTATTTAAATAATTTTTATTCAAAAATTGGATAGTCATTAATTATACTTATTCTTCTAAGTTTTATATTCCTCTAAGTTTAATAGTTTTGAATATTTTACAAGAAAAATCTGTTAAAACATATATAATAACTGATTTTTTATTTTTACACTTAAATTACATTTTGATTAAACTACAGTACATCCAGATTTGCATATTTTGAATACAATTACATTTTATTTTTTTAATCCTTTAAGTCAGAGATGCACAAAATATGCCTCACCACAAGTATCCAGCCTGCCATTTGCTTCTGTAACTAAAGTTAAATTGGAACGGAATCAGCCCATTCTTTTATGTTTTGTCTATGGCTGCTTTTGTGCCTCAACAGCTGAGTTGAGTAGTCATGACAGAGACAAATGTCCCATAAAGCCTAACATATTGATTTTCTGATGCTTTTACAGGCAAACTTTGCCAACATTTGCTTTACTGTCAATAGAACACAAATTACATGAAAATCCTAATTATATCAGTAAAGTTAGTGTTAAAATGAAGAAAACACAATATTTATTGAGTAAATAGCCTGCAATGAATGATGTATTCTTACATTGATTATTCACTGAAACATGGCTGGCCTATCAACAGCACACCTGGACATGCAAAATCATCATTATACTTAACTGTCCTTGAAGTTGTGCCATCTTTCAGTTCTATAAAACTAATTGTCTTACATATATTTCTGTACGTAATTATGTTGTAACTATGTGTCAAGGTATAAAGATAGAATATATTTTACCCAACACTTTGTAGCTTAAGACTTTAAATCTTTACACATGGGGATTCAGGTCTCCATTTGTCAACAGATTCTAGAACCTGCATATGTTACTAGCAGGACTAGCACTCTCCCTACCTTGTCTCACTGTGTAAACAGACTCTTGTGAGGGGAAAAATTGGCCCCATTTTACAGCTGGGGAAACTCAGTCTAGAACAGAGAGGAGATGTTGGGGGAATGTAGAACAGGGGGTAACATAATTGACTCATAATTTGCAAAGAATATCCTGGTTGGTATCCAGAGGGGATAAGGGCAAAAACAAGGGACTGAGTAGGAGTTTACTGCATTATTCCAGGTGAGGACTGAGTGACACCTGGGCTGCAGTGGCAGTTGTGGAGGGGTGGAAAATGATTGTAGATGTATCATGATGAAAGAATCTTTGGAATTTACTCTTTTCACATGTGAGATGTGTGAAAAAGAAAAGAATCAAGGGTGACCAAATAAAGAATTTCGGCCTGAATAATTGACTAGAAAGAGATGCCCACCTCCAAGATGGAGAACACCTTGACAGAATCAGGGTCAGGGCCTGGATTGAGGAGGAGCCAAGATGGGCTTCGGCGAGTTAAGTTTCAGAAGCCTATCCCCTGCCCTAGAATAGCTGCAGGGCAGCCACATTGATATATGAGCCTGAAGTTCAGGAAGAGACTGAGATTAGAGACATGAGTTTGTGAGTTATCAGCATATAGATGGTGTTTAAAGCCATTATTTTCTACCTAGAGACAGATACTATTTTACATAGTGACAACCACAGACATGGTTTATGTGTCTTTAAGAAGGAAGAACAAATCAGGGTTTATGTGTCTTTAAGAAGGAAGAACAAATACTCTAAAGCAAAGTGGGGTAGAAAAGATATCAAGGTGAAGGAAAAAAAATAATAGACGCTTTAAAATGAGAGACTCGCGAACTTTCAGGCAAAAAGAAAAGTTGCAAATCACTACCAAGACATATCCTTCCAAAAATCTTTCCAGAATCAAAGCAGAAGGGCTGGTTCCTTGCAAGAGTCCATGAGAACAGTGTCAAATTTCTTGTGAGTTACACATGCAAATACCGTAAGGAAATAAATTCCATGTGTTCTGCCTTATTTTGCTGTGTTGCAGAGCAGAAACAAGGAAGAAGCCATGCTTTCTCAGATGAACAGGTTAGGAGAACTTGTATTCCAACAGGAACTCCAACAGGAACTGAAAATTCTACTTAGAATGAATAACACATAAAGCAAAGTGTGTTGTTAAAACTGGAATCTGGAAGTTTTGGGGCTGAGTGCATTTCCCTGTGTAACCCACAGCCCTCACCACTCTCCTGTCTATCCCTGGGTTGGCTTCATTTATTTGTTACCTCCTGGGACAAGGCCATGAGCACCCTACCTGGTTTTCTCCTTCCCCGGACAGCACTTGCTCTTCCTAGAGCGGCTGCCTCCAGAACAAGCCCTCTATTTGACCCCAAGGACCCTGACTCTGAACCACACTCACAGACAGCCTGGGCTATGCATGGTATCATCCTATCCTCCCTTTGAACCCGGTATCAATAAGGCCAATAATCCATCCCTATTGTCCCTCCTGTTTATACTGATCTCCTCATCTCTATTTTCTCAGCACAGAACATCAATAACACTCTTTGTAAATTTGACTCTGCGTATCTTGTTACACTGAGCTGAGCAATGGGCGAGACAATAGTTAATGCTGCCTGTGATTTTCTTAAGGTTGATTTCACGGGTGAGATGAACAATTTCTCAGGGCTCTGTCTTCAGCCACTTTCAGCACTCATTTAAATCAAACCCAACCCACTGGACTCCCTACTTTAGTTTTCTCCATTAGCACAAGTTACTCGCTGACTCACAATATATTCAGCTTTGTTTTTTTGTTGAGAGGCAGTATAATGCCGTGGTAAGATCCCAGACTCCAGAACCCAGACAACCCAACTCCGCGACCTACGAGCTGTGGGCAAGTTACTACATTTCTCTGTGTGTCACCTTTCTCATTTGTAAACCAACAGTTCCTTCCTCATGGGGTTGTTATGAAGATTAAATGAATTAATATGTGTAAGCCATATGGAATAGAGATAGAAAGGGAATTACAATGACCTGATGCTTAGACCCTATTCAAGTTTCTCCAAGTGTACCCATGATGTCCTTAACAGCCAAAAGACCTGGTCCAGAATCATACATTGCATTTTGTTGTCACATCTCTCAAGTCTCCTTCAGTTAGCAATGGTTCCTCATCCTGTCCTTGACTTTCATGCTGTCAAAACATTTTTTGAAGATTACAGGTCACTAATGTTGTAAAACATCTCTTAATTTTTATGTGTCTGGTATTTCTTCATTACTTGATACAGGTCATGCATCTTTGGCAGAAATATCATGAAGTGATGATGCAATCTTCTCATTTCATCCTATCAGTTGGCATACAATCTCAGTTTGCCTTATTACTATGTTTACTTTGGTAAAGAAGGAGTCCACCAGGTTCCTGCAGTAGAAGGTTACTCTTTTTTCATTTGTAACGAATATTTCACAGGCAGCTACTTTTAGGCTGTGTAAATACACAGTTTAGCACTTGTTTATATCAATATAGACTCACAGTTTTCTATTTTATTCAGTGGATTGTACTCCATTACTATCATTACCATGGCTATTTGATGCCCAAATTGTGCCCACCTTAGTCAGTGGGAGCCCCTTCCAGCTGGCTTCTGACTCCTTTCAACATATCCCCATCACTTCCAGAGTACCTCCTTCTTTTAGGGGTCATCTTGTACTTTCCCTACCTCAGCCCTAGGATTAGCCATTTCTCCAAGAAGTCCTGGCTCTGTTTAATGGAAACTTGCATTTAGAAACCAAGATCTGGGTGTTAGGTGCTATTGCTATTGGAGTGTCACTGTTCCTAGGCCCTCTCAGTGAACAATGCTAGAGAACATGTACCCGTGTTTTAATGAGCATTTTACAATTGTTTAGTACATGGCATCTTCCAGAGCAATTTCTCATGATTTATCTCACTATAGTTTCATATTGTTACCAAACACCAGGGGTTCAGTATAGGTCCTGCTGCTCACCGCATAGAAAGCCAATCACTGAGACAACAATTATTGCCAAGGAAGAAGGCTTTAATCAGGTGCTGCAGCCAAGAAGATGGGAAATCAGTCACAAATCCATCTTCCTGACCAACTAAAATTAAGGGTTTATATAGTAGGCAAGAAATGTAACTACGATGGGAAAATAGGAACTCGGAAAGGGTAAGGAAGCAATCATGATGAATGAGGGGCGTGGCATTTCATTCTGTGGATGTGATAATCTGGTGAGTTTCAGTTCTTTGATACATTTTGAGAGGCCTGGTATCTCATTGTCTGAATCTGGTACATTTCAAGCTTTAAAACCAGAGGGTCAGTTTCTATGTTTATCAGAAAAAAACTGTCCATGGAGCTATTGGATTGGCTTCAATTCCCCTTTTCTATTTATCAAGTCTTCGATCACTGGAAATCTGGCTGATGATCTTTCTGGCTGCTTCATGCTGAGGAGGGGTGCTGTGGGCAGCTCCATACCAGGGGTGACCATGTGGCCACCTAAGAATCAAAGGTTAATCTAATACTACAGTTTTCTTCTAAAATGCAATCTTTCTCTGTCTAGTCCCCTGCTTCCACCAAAGATAAATCACAGCAAGATGAACCCACCTGCAAAACAGGCTTCAGTCCCACATACTTGGCTTGATTATCCACACTAAATGCAGCAAGAATCATTGTCCATGTAGGTTCTCCTAAATTGGCTTTACTGGAACCTCTCACAAGGCCATTTTAGTCAAAGCTCTGGGAAAATAATCAATTCCTTAACTGTACTCCATTATAAAAGAAAACAGGTTCTTGGTTAAATGTATGCAAATAAACACATTGCCATGAATTAGGAATATTCATAAATAGTTTACAAATTCTGGAGAAATTAAGCAGAGACAAAGAAATATGACTCAAATCCTGTTTACATATGTATACTGTCTACTCAATATATTTAAAACGTATTTCAAAACTATAAATAGTTCAAAAAGTTCTCTAATCTCTGAAAAAGAATCAGCAATATTTCAAACAGAAAAAAGTCATAAAAATTATTTCTGTCCTCCATTAGTTCAGTCCATGCAATCAACTCCTGTTCTGCTTCATATTGGGTTAGCAATCGTTGTAAACATATCAGTCTTTTAATTAGAGTCCTGGAAGTTTTCTCTCTAATCTGGTAGCATAATCTCCAAAGTTGTCCGAAACCTGCTTTCAAGAGTTCTTTCTGTGAACTCCCCCAAAGAAGCAAGCTCTGGACCGTAGCTGATTATAAGTCACTTTTTGAGAAGAATCAAAGCAAAACTACAATTTTGGATAACAAAAGCCTTAGGACAGCCATAACCAATGACCCAGTTGACAAGGAAATTTGGTTGTTTCTGTGGCATACAACAATTTAACATAATAATCATAATTATTACTGACAACATGTATTAAAACATATCAGAATTTTAGGACTCTCACACAATCCTGGAATGCATATTACCACATCTATATAAATATAACCCAAAGTAAGTTAAACACTACCTCAGAACTGACAGTGCTTCCTGCATAATTCTAACCATAACAATAAGCTTAATATGTCTCTCTTGTACTTCAGAAAAACTAATATCCAAACAAAAGTTAGTTTAAGGTTAAAAAGACTAAATTTAGAACTTGAAATTTTGCTGTTGGAAAGTCTGACAAATATCAAAGGTTTAAGACACTTGATACAACAAAATAGAATCACAGGTTATTATAAAATAGTCATTTGTTTAGCCAAAATCACAATACAAAAACATTTACCATTTGATAGGGAGGAGACTCGGTTTCCCAAACAATGAATAGAGATAGCATGAGGCCAACTAAATCTGTCTCTCTGGCCAGGCATGGTGGCTCACGCCTCTAATCCCAGCACTTTGGGAGCCTGAGGTGGGTGGATCACAAGGTCAGGAGTTCGCAACCAGCCTGGCCAATGCAGTGAAACCCCATGTCTACTAAAAATACAAAAAATTAGCTGGGCATGGTGGCGGGCACCTGTAATCCCAGCTACTTGCGGGGCTGAGACACAAGAATCACTTGAACCCAGGAGGCAGGAGTTGCAGTGAGCCAAGATCATGCCATTGCACTCCAGCCAGGGCGACAGTGCGAGACTCCATCTCAAAAAGAAAAAAAAAATCTGTCTTTCCTCCATCCTCTTTTTTCCCATTTACCCAAAAGATAAACAAAAATCTATTATTATCTCTTACATGAAAATGTTTTTCAAAAGAGAAAACCAAATTTTACCTTTGTATGGTGTATTATTAATGTTAAAGCTAATTTTAATAGAGCCTTATAAACAAATCTATCTGATTTTAATCAGTTTGACCATAAGGTAAGATTTCTATAAACCTTTTATAACCTTTTACAACTTTCTACTAAACAGCGATCTAAGCTCCAAGAAAACCCTGTTATTTCGGCACATGGGCCCAGATACTGCCCTTCTATCAGTGTGCTTTTGATATTAATGTTTTAATTAATTATAATTAATTTATAGAAAAACTCTGAACTAATCTTATCCCTCAAAATTGACCCTTACCATCTCATGAGTCCACCTCTTCTGCTATAGTCTCTGGGCTCAGAGGAACTGAATGGTTGTAATTTCTGGCCCTGTGTCTCACAAAAGCAGTTCATTTTGATTGTCACCTTCTCTGGGTCTGAGGACAAGGCTTTGAGTGGTGTCAATGCTCAAGATCTAGAAGTGAGTGCCTTTTTCATACCTGGGAGTCAAAGCCCTGTAATTTAACAGCACAAGGATTTGTTAATGGAATATTGATACTACAAAAAGTCCTATTATTCTAACATGTCACCAACTAAAACACTGTGATTTCCTGTTTGGGAGTTACTGCCTGCAGCACTTCAAAACACTGTATTAAAGTAGGTTACTCATTGCATGTATCTAATTGCTAACATTCTAATGACAGAACTGTGACCAAAAGCATCAAAAATGTAGTAGGTCCTATGCCAAACTTATCAAAGTAAGACAACTTTTCTCTCCATCATTAAAAAAAAGAAGGTAAATGCAAATCTCAGTTTTGGAACTTCAATATGAGAATAAATCTCCTTTTGTTTAAATATTATACGACAAAACAGGACAAAGTAAGAACAAGCACACAGTAATTTCTTTTCAGCTATTTTAAAAGAATATCATCGCACATTTCCAAGATTGGTTTCTAGATACAGTACTGACAATTGATTAAGTAACTTTCGTCACTAAAATCTTCAAACCAGTGCCACGCTTGTACCTATTTTGTTTTCAGATACACACATAAAAGCCCATCAGTGATAAATGGTTTGGGATCAAAGTTCGCTAGAAAGTCTCACTTTTTTTATTGTTACTTAATCCAAGTGAATATCACTTAAATAATGATGAACACAACTAAATTAGTTTGAGAGAAATTCTAATCAATATAATTTCCTTAAGGGCAAGGTGAATCTTTCCTGAACATTAAAACTTTGTACCCATATCACAATTTTTCTTCATTACCTAAAGGAAAAGATCTGAAACCAACTCAAATTATTGATTGCATTGAATTACCTTAGAAATAAACACCATTTAAACATTTTTATTCTCACCTACTTTTTAAATAACAAAATTAATAATATAATATTTCTGCTCAAAACTTGTAAAAATAAGTCTTAATAATTGATACTTAACTATTAGTTATCAATTAATAAATGGTTTTGGAGGCTTGGGGGGATTTTCTTGTTGTTGGTTTTTGTTGTTGTTGTTGTTTAACCAGGAAACTTAAAGCTCCTGTAGCTCTCTAGATCATCAGAGGTAAAAAAAAAAAAAAAAAAAAAAAATCAAATTTTTAATGGCTAGTGTGCTCTATCAATTTTTGCAGGCTTGACAAAGGTAGCTTAGGAATTCTAAATAAACAAAATAAATGATAACTTGTTGGAAATGCATAGGAAACAAAATGATTATTCATAGAGCCAAATAAAAGCCTTCCAATAAAAACTTTAAAACATCAATTATTTATATATATGTATATATAAGTTAATCCCAAAGAACAGCAAATGAATGAAAATTAAAATCAAAAACAAAGAGGAAACCAACCCCCAGTTTTTCTCCTACTCAGTCAACTTTTGAGGCTAAAGTGTTACCCAGAGCCTAAAGAAAACACGATAGATATTATGCTCCCAGTATACAAATTAATGTCTGTAAGTCCACCAATACCACTATACATTTTGTGCCATTAAGAAATTTGCTGTAGGCACATGACCAGTAAGTACTTTAGGGCTAGTATTACCTATGCAGAAGAGTAAATGGAGTATGGAACAAAGAAATGCAAACATTTATGAAATTTGACTCCATGTTAAATCTGACCTCATGCTTAACTATATTAAAAAAGAATCTTTCTCAATTTAACTTCAGCAAGACTAAGAGCTTTAACTATGAGCAATGTTAATTAGCCAAATTTCTCTAATTTTCTTTCTGGTTTTAAAGAATATTTTACTATCTAAACTTTTGTAACTTTGTTTTCTCTGAATGTGCACAAGGATAGACATACAGAGAAACAAGAAAAAAACTACATATGACTTACGCAGACCATCTGTAACATGCTTGGACTGTCTTGTCCTAAATTTTCTTTTCTTTATAACCTTCCTTTCCAAAAACATATCTTCATATTTATAACTTTCATTACATCTCTCCCTCCTCTGCTTCCTGGTTCCTTTCTTCTGTCATAAATAACCTTCTCAAGTCTATAATTTAAATTAACCTTTAGATAACTTCTGAATTAGACACAATTATTTTTCTTACTACAAACACATCTCCTTTTTTATATACAGAATTAAGTATTAACTATAATTTTTTGGTGTATGTATCTAATACTTATTTCTATTCTTTTTCTTTTTTGTATTAACTATAATTCTTATTCCCAGTAACCTTAAATTGTTGTGAAACCCTAGGAAGCAAAAAATCCTGAACTATCAGATGTTAGCATTTTATGGATGAGAATAATTCCACAACCTTTAGAAACATATTTCCCCATATCATAACCCTTTCTTAATTGGAAATGACTCAGGCATCTAATGAGCAGCAACAATAATTTTAAGTTACACAAAAAGTTCACCTAGTGCACTTACTCATTTATATTTTAGTTGTTTTTAGCAGTTTATCTATTTACACATCATTTCCTTGTTATCTGTTTTATAACCTGTGAATATCAGGTATTCATCTAATTAAGAAACTTAAAGTTAACTACATGGGGATTCTCACCAATAATTCAGAAGATTTAGCTGTTTTCATTAAACCAACAACATTAAATTAGTCTTATTTATCAAAAAATTTGCACAAAGATCATTTTATTTTGGCTGGGTTTATGGTTTTATAACCTTCTGTGCCAAACCCTGATATCTCATAATTTCTAGGAAAGACAAACGTAAAACCCATACAAAAATGTATGCGACAATTCTGAAGACATTTCTATGTTTATGTTGTCAATAATTTTAAAACCAGCTTGTTTAGTAAAGATTTACTTAAGTCATGTGAACTTGGCAATGGCTTGGACTTATTTAATTTATGAGACTCTTTTATTTGTAAGCCAATTTGGTAGACAAGACATAGGGCATAGTAAATGTACATACACATAAATGCATCTAGACATGTATATACACACACTCACACAAACATCCAATAGCTTTTGCCTTGGAATTTTAGCCATGAAATAGCAGTACAAACTCACCAGTCTACGAACATGTTCACACAGCTGAACTTTCCTAACCCAAATAGGTGATCCAGGGAAGGCTGTGAATCAAACTTTTGGGTGAAGCAGTTTCCAAGGCAGTTTGATTTTTAAAGGCCAAACCTCCCCAATCTCCAAAGAATACTGGGGCCAAACAGTACCAGAGAAGAAGATCACCTGGAACCTACTGACCAGACCCAACCCTGCTTAGAATAGCAGCATAAATGCCTGAATACATGAAACTCCATCCCACTTTCCCACTCAACAGCAAACTTCAGATTCCAAAGAATATTGGGGACAAAGAGTATTACAAAAGAATATCAGGCCGGGCATGGTGGCTCACACCTGTAATCCCAGCACTTTGGGAGGCTGAGGCAGGTGGATTGCAACAGGCCAGGAGTTCAAGACCAGCCTGGGCAACACAGTGAAGCCCCATCTGTACTAAAACTACAAAAATCAGCCAGGTGTGGTGGTATGCACCTGTAGTCCCAGCTACTCGGGAGGCTAAGGCATGAGAATTTCTTGAACCCAGGAGGTGGAGATTGCAGTGAGCCAAGATCGTGTCACTGCACTCCAACATGGGAGACAGAGTGAGACTCTGTCTCAAAAAAAGAAAAAAAAAGAGAATATCAGTTTACTGAATTAGAATTTCCCAAGACTGTATCAAACATACACACACAATCATCAAAACACAATCCAACTGCTGCAGTAACAAACAAGCCCCAAGAATGTCTAACTTGAAACAGTCAGGGTACTTGTTTCATCAAGACTAAGAGTTTTATGAGCAATGTTAATTAGCCAGATTTCTTTAATTTTCTATCTGATTTTAAAGAATATTTTACTATCTAAACTTTTTCAACTTTCTATTTTATCTGGATCTGCACAAAGACAGAGAAACAGGAAAAAATACATATGACTTACACAGACCATCTATAACATGCTTGCAAACAAAAATTCTTCCAGAATTTCTCAAATTAAGAAGAGCTAATCCCACTCTCTGGGACCCACAAAAGACATTCACTTGCCCAGACACACACACACAACAATTTCAAACAAGCCCCCAAAAGTATCTATACTGAAACAGTCAGGGTGCTTCCCTCTCTTAGTTGGGCTTGTTCAACCTGCAAATGGAAATTCCTTTAAAAATTTCCCAGATTGAGAGGAGCAGACCCCACTGTCAGGGCCCACAAAGGACACTCACCTATCTGGATGCAGATGTCAAATTTCAAAGGCAGTTCTTCCAAGTCAATCGAGAATGCAGTTGGGGCCAGCTGTGGTGGGGCCAGAGAGAGATGGAAACTGACCTCCAGCCAAGATTAAATGGGCAGCTTTTTATGGGGCTTCTGAGACACTCAGCCCATGGCAACCGAGCCAGGAGGGAACCAAATCGGTTCCCAATCAGGGAAACAAAATCTGTTACCAAAACACCGGGGGTTTGGTCTAGGTCCTGCTGCTTGCCACACAGAAAGGCAATTACTGAGACAGCAATTATTGCCAAGAAAGAAGGCTTTACTGGGTGCTGCAGCCAAGGAGGTGGGAGATCAGTCTCAAATCCATCTCCCTAACCAACTAAAATTAGGAGTTTACGTAGCAGGGAAGAAACGTAACTATGTACAGGAAAACAGGAACTCAGGAAAGATAAGGAAGCAATCTGATGAATCACAGCCTGGTGTCTCATTGTATGGATGCGATGATCTGGTGAGTTTCAGTTCTTTGATACCTTTTGAGAGGCTTGGCATCTCATTGTCTGGATCTGGTGAGTTTCGAGCTTTAAGACCAGAAGGGTCCCTTTCTATATTTATTTTAAAAAAAACTGTCTATGGGACTATTGGGTCAGTTTCGATATTTGCATAAATACCTGACACTGGTAGGACCACCATTATTGTCCTCACAGATGAGAAGGCTAAGGCCTATTTATTCAACACATTTATATTAAGTGCCTCCCTAGGATGCTTAACATACCAATGCCTGGCTATATACATATAATAGTGAAGTGGAGTGACCATACAAATTATCATCCAAATCAGGACACATTAGAGAGTGAAAGAGGGGCTGAGACGATTTGAAATTAAGACTGTCTTAGAGAAATTACAATGTATGATCACCCAGGTCTTAGACTATTTTGTGTTGCTACAGCAGAATACCTGAGACTAGGTAATTTAAGAGGTTTATTAGGCTCACACTTCTGCAAGCTGGCAAGTACAAGGGGCATAAGGCTGGTATCTACTCAGCTTCTGGTGATGGCTTTTGTGCTGGGTCAAGACATGTCAGTAGGTCAAAGGGGAACCTGATGCATGTGAGGAGCCAAAGATGAAGCACTTCCATCCTTTATAACAACTCACTCTCTCAGAGAATAATCCACTCTTGTGAGAGCAAGAATTCACTCAACCCCGGGGAGAATGGCACCAAAGGCTCATAAGGGATCTACTCCCATAACCCAAACACCTTCCACTAGGCCACACCTCTCAACACCACAACATTGGGGAGCAAATTTCCACTTGAGTGTAGGTGGGGACAAACCATATCCAAACCATAGCACCCTAAGAGTAAGACATAATTCTTGGCCTCAAAGACATCAGGATTACTGGAGAAGACTTATAAGGAATCGAGCAATTATAATCTAAGTTGATATTGTCCTGATAGGGAAGTACAGAGTGTTAGGTGCACAAAGGAAGTACTCCGAACGCAGTCTCAAGGCAAATGGCAAAGGGAAGACACAGTTTACTCATGTGAAGAAGTATGTAAGAGCCTCTGAGGCAGAGGAACAAAATGCACAGAGTCCCAGAAGTGAGAAAACATCACAATGTTTAGGAGCAAGTGTGTATGAGGTCCAGAATGTAAGTGGGGGAGGAAGGTGATGAAAGATGGGACTGGAGAAGTAGCATGGCTCCATGGCCACATCCTGGCTAAGACCTCATCCTGGGAAATTACTTGCACCTGGGCTCAAGAATGAACATGGGCCACTGCCAGAACCCAGGTCTCCCGCCCCTGGCCCAGGCTTTCTCCATGGCTGTGCATCAGGAAAGTCAGAGCCACATACTGATTACAACCACAGCTGTCTGGCTCCAAAGCCCGCTCTGCCTCTTACTGTGTGACATTGAACAGCTTCCTGTGGCTCAGTTTCCTCATCTGTGAAATAGTAATAATACCTAAATCATAAGGTTATGAGAATAAAATGAGTTAATATATATGAAGAATAATTATATCAGTGTCTGTCACTAGATGCAAACTATATAAATGTTGGCTATTACTACTGCTAGAGGAGAAACAGATGCAGTATTACCTATCATTAACCCCTTTATCAGTGCACAGTGGTCAAATGCATTTCTGAAGCAACAGCTCACTGAGAGAGAATAAGATACAAGACAGCAGTGGAAGCTTTGACAAGGACAGGTGACCAGAAATGCCCCAGAAGGGTGAGGCAAGAAGACAGGTAGACCATTCCTCAGCATGGCAAGAGGGAAAAAGAGAAAATCCACACTGCCATAGCAAGTTATCACAAACAGCATGGCCTAAACCAACAGAAATTGATTCCTTCACAGTTCCGGATGCTGGAAGTCCAAAACTAAGGTGCTGGGAGGGCTGTGTTTCCTCTGAAGGCTCAAGGATGGAATCCCCTCTCCCCTCTTTCTCACTTCTGATGGCTCCATCAGTCCTTGGCATCCTGTGGCTTGCAGGTGCATCACTCCAGTCTCTGCCTCCATCTGCACATGGCCTTCTCCAGATCTGTTGGTTCTTTTCTCTTTTTTTAAGGACACTCTAGTTGGATTTAGGGCTAACCTTAATGCAGGCTGGTGTCATCTTAACTAATTGCATCTGCAATGATTCTATTTTCAAATAGAGTTCCATTCTGAGGCTCTGGGTGGTCACAATTCCACCCACTGCACTGCCCAAACTCTGGGGCTCAGGTGAAAGCATATGCAGATGGAGCAGCAGAGAGGAAATGAGGAGGAAGGGACGGCAAGGCCAGCCAGGGCAGGGATTTCCAAGCTGCCTCACTGCAGGGTCAGCCATTCCCAGCACCAAACCTGGGGGTTCCCTACACTCTGCTTGTGTCCTTGCAAATAGTCCCTTTTCTAAACTTCTCTTCCGATTTGAGCCTGCCATCTTTTTCCTTCTGGGACCCCAGCTAATGCACACATCATTATAGCAGCACCTAGGATCCTCTGGCCCAGAAAAGCTGAAGCAAACTGCCATGAAAGAATTCTAGAATGCTCCACAAGGCCAAAACAGCCTGCACTGTGGATGAGAGCAATTCTGCCTCTGCCTTTCTCTTTCCTCTGTCCTTCCCCAGGCACCTCCCCAGCCAAGTTATGGGACACTGGGGAAGGGCTGTGACTTTGGGGCAGAGGACCTGTGTGGATCTCAGAGCTGCCCCTTGGCAGCTTCGTGGCTGGGAGCAAGCCACTTACTGCCTCACTTTCCTAATCTGCCCCATGGGGATAATTGTAACTCCATCCTAAGATTGGAGGACCATTTAGAGGGATAATATGTCCCACCTTCCCTGATACACCCACCCAGGAGAACACCATTACTCAACTCTGGGGCAGCACACACATGGTGTTCTTTGTGAATGGCACCTAGGCTGCCTAGGCAGAGGTGGCAACACAGCACTGAAGCACAGTGGTGTGATTTGTAGTGCACACAGCCCTCCTTTTCCACTTCTCCAAGAGCTCCAAAGGGCATGCACTGGTCTTTCCCAGTGTATGTATGTCATAGGAGCTCACTTAAAAAATATGAAAAAACCATGTGTATGTCATGCTCTGAATGTGTCCCCCCAAAATTCACAAGTTGAAACTTAATTACCAACATGATTGTATTAAGTAAGTATTGTAACGTGAAGTATTAAGAGGTGAGGTGTTTAAAAGGCGATGAAGTCATGAGAACAGAGCCCTCATGAATGGGACTGATGACTTTATAAAAGAGTTGCAAGAGAGCTGTTTGTCCTTTTTATCCTTCAATCCCTGACACCATGTTCATCCCCTCTGGAGGACGCAGCAAGAAGAAATCATCCCAGAAGCAAAGACTGAACCCTCACCAGACACTGAATCTACCGATGCCTTGTTCTTGGACTTCCCAGCCCCCAGAATTGTGAGAAATAAACTTCTATTGTTTGTAAATTGCCCAGTCTGTAGCATTTTGTTATAGCAGCAGGAATAGCATAAAAGGTTCTGAACAGACGTCAACCTGAATCTACCATTATTTTGTCCTCAAATGTCCCTATCTGTCTCTCAATTCTTATTCAACAAACATCCACTGAGTGTTTACTGTGCATACAAGGCCTTCTGTAAAGTTTCAGAGACTACTTAAAAACCAAGACTTGCTCTCAGCCGATTCCCTGGCCACTAACTAATGCCTAGATTCCTCTAGGCTGTGATGTGCCTGCATGCCAATGCTTTTTTGCCCCCACTTCCTTCTCTTGAGGCAGCCTGTAAAGCTGAATTCAGTTCAACATCCATGGAGCATCTCCTGGAGTCAGCCCTGGGCAAGACACAGGGAATGCAAATGCCACAGCACAGCCCCACCTCTGTGCTCCTGCACTTGCCCATCCTTCTGACCAGAAGGCTCTTCCCTGGCTTCTTACCATTGTTCACACCTTCTCATTATTCATATCTCAGCTCAAATTTACCTCTGGCTTTTTAAGGGTTTTTTTGTTGTAGTGGTGGTGGTGAATTCTTTAATCAGCTTTATTTTTTAGAACAGTTTTAGGTTCACAGCAAACCTGAGAAAAGGTAGAGAGTTCCTACACACCCCCAACCCCCACACATGTATACCCTTCCCCATCATCAATATCCCTGCACCAGAATGGTTCACTTGTTAACAATCAATGAACCTGCATTGGCATGTCATTTTCACCCAGAGTCCATAGTTTTTATTACGGTTCACTCTTGGTGTTGTACATTCTATGGGTATGGATTGATGTATAATGACATTTGTCCACCACAATAGTATCATGCGGAGTTGATTCACTGCCCTAAAAATCCTCCGTACTCTATTCATAACGTTCTTTTAGAAAGGCCTTTGATCACCCTATCTGAAAGGGCCCTCTTCTCATTTCCCTATCATTTGTTTCATATCTATTTTATTTCCTTTAGAATACTTGGCACTATCTCAGTGTTTCTTATTTTTGTATTTTGTTTATTATTTGATACTCCCACTCTATCAGCTCTGTGAAGACATCTTGTCTATCCTGATCAACGGCTGTGTTCTCAATGCCTAGCATATGGTCAGTGCTCAGTAAATATATATGGATGAATAAACCAGATAGATGTGGGCCCTGTTCCCAAAGAGAAATCAAAACCTCTGCACCCAACCAAGTAAGCACATCTCCATCTCGTTCTAACCCTAACTCTATTCTTCACTAATCACTCCGATTTCATCTATGCAGGGGCTGCTAAGACAGGTGGACATCAGGGAGCCAGGCAGCTGAGGTGCTTCATGTAGGTTTGCTCTTTTGGCTCGCTACTTTGCTCTAAACTAAACTAAACAGATCTACTAGATAGTGAATCTATTTCAAAATATTCTTGGGCATCAGGGACTTTATTTAAAAAAAAAAAATGTGGTTTTGTGGGCCGGAGTTCCAGGACATTCCCTTTGGGTTTCAATGTTCTTTAGGCAAATATCACATTCACATCAGATTTTCTTTCTTTGGTTCCCCTAAAGAATCCCTTAAATTAGTTGAAATCTGTAAGCCTTAAATTAAAAGAAGGATGATGCTATTTGATTATAATGCAGTAGTTCAAAAGTGATGATAGAAAGGTTGTGAAACAGTGATTAGCTTTTAGCACCAGGAAGTGAAAGAAATGGTGGATTACAAGCAGCTCAGCCCCTAAATTCTTAGCAGCTTTAGATGAGCTCCATGAATATGCTCAATCAGCCCCACCAAGGAGGAGTCCTGTGACTCCTTTTGCTCTGACACAACTTGAGAAAACAGGACCCGTAATCTACATTATTGCTGGTCTGTCGGGACCTGTGGAAGAAATTGTCTCTTCTCCCCAGTAAGACGAGGCCGACTCAGCTCCTCAGGGACCTTCAGGCTGCCAGGTCAAGGCCCTTATTAAGATGGGCCACACAGGGTCTACGGTATTGAAGCTTTACCCTTTTAATTTCCTTTGTGTGGGTCTAAGGATGGCTGGGTGGTGGCACTAAAGTTTGCTTTTTAAAAACTCATCCCTGAAAAGTCTGCATTCTCTGGACAAAAGGCCCACTTATTTAGAGGAAAAAGAATATTCTCTGAGTTTCACTTTTGGAAATAGGAACTCACTCTTCACTCGGACTAAATATCATATAAGTCAGTACTCAAGAGTCTTAAAGAAAAGTCAAACTTAGAACATCAAAACAAAGAGAAAATGTGCCCATTATTTGCCATAGGTGAATTGGGTACATTCTGCATTCTTGCCTTTCATCCCAACTCCCTAGCACCCCACCATTCTACCCTACCCTCATGAAGATTCATCAGGAAGACAACTACATAGAGAAAAAGCAATTTTTCTTTTTTTAGTGAGGATTTTTTTTAGTTCCTTCATTCACTTTTTAGAAATGTTAATGTATTTTATGAAAAAACAATATTCCCAAGTGAGGAAAAGATATTATTTATATCTCTTAGCATTGAACTCTAATAAACAATCTAAGTAAATAAGCAAAAGATAACTCTCAAATTACTCCCAAGGTGAACAGTCACCATTGCACATGACTTGTCATTGCAACAGACATGATTACTTACAAGAGATCTTTCCCAAGGGGAAGGGTTTGGGGTTAAGCTGCAGGTGACGTGCAATAAAGCTCAGCTTGCACTGCATCAAGTAAAAGGCCAGGGGAGGTTCTAGCCCCCAACTGGATCCTGATATGTGTGTTAGGCAAAGCTCCCAGAATTGCATCATAATTAATTGATCATCAGATATCAGGCAGGAAATCCAGGTTCTCTATTTAAATGATAGGAGCACAGCCATCATCTCACTTTTAAACAAACCAGTGCAAGGAATCAGAGACAATGCTGTGTATTCACCATTCCATTTCCTTTCCCTGGGTACCCAAGAAGGCAGCTTTGCCAACCTCCTTTGTGGTTGAGTTGGGCCTTTGTAGCTGAGTGCCGCAAGGTTGGGGACGTGGGCTGAAGTAATAGAAACCACTTTCAGGCTGTCTGGCCATAAAATACCCTGGGTCAGCTTCCCTGACTTACCTTTTCCTGTCACAAAGCCCAGTGGGTATTGGGTGGTGGGACCACTCAGTGGGAACTGGAGCAAGTAAGTTCTCTTCTCTGCAAAACTGGGAGATCAGCTTCCATCACTGCTTGTCCCGCCTAAAGCTCCTCAAGATATTAACCTCAACTGAATAAACTGGACTTGAAGAAATGGCTGCTGTGGACGGAGGACATAAACAAGGCGCTGCGATAAAGCCAGTTCCTGTGGATTGCCAGTTAAATGTCATGAAAAGAGGCGGCGTTAAATACAGTGGGAGTTAGAAGAAGGCTCGGTTGGTCTGTCTGTTGGTCGATCAGCTGGTCAATCAGTTGATCAGTTGGTTGGTTTGATGAAGGAGAGCATCTGGGAAGAGTGGAGGGAAGTTGGGAACTGGGAGTTGGTCGGGGAAGAGGGGATGCCGACGAGGAATTTCTTGCCAAGAAAATTAATTTAGGGGATGCTTTCTCCGAGAACCTTAGGGATAATCATAATTTTCAAATAGCTTTAAAGTGATATGATCTAAAGCTGTGTTGTAATTCTCTTAAATTACCTCCAATCCTTCAGTAGAGTCTGAATCTTGGAGGCAATGTCATGGTGAACGGGGGACAGCACCATCAGAAGTGCTGCCTGCCCCATGGCAACCTTAACCCATGGTAATAAGGCAGCATCCAATGGACAAACAGCTTCTGAGATCCAAGAGATGCCCAGCAACATGTGCTCCCTGGCAGAGCTGGGAGTGGAGAGAGAGCATTCGACCCTGAGAGATGTGAGGTTAAGCCTCCATTTTCCCAACATATACTTCAGTGAGTGAATGTGTGTGAGTGTGTGTGTGTGTGTATGCGCATGCACAGGTGAGTTTTCCCATAGTAGAGGACAAATACACATATTAGTGGCACTGGGATTATTTTTAAGTGACGTTAAATAATATTGACTCCGGCCAGGCACGGTGGTTCATGCCTGTAATCCCAGCACTTTGGGAGGCCAAGAAGGGCGGATCACGAGGTCAGGAGACGGAGACCATCCTGGCTAACATGGTGAAACCCCGTCTCGACTAAAATACAAAAAATTAGCTGGGCATGGTGGTGGGCGCCTGTAGTCCCAGCTACTCAGGAGGCTGAGGCAGGAGAATCGCTTGAACCTGGGAGGCAGAGCTTGCAGTGAGCCGAGATCGCACCACTGCACTCCAGCCTGGTCAACAGAGTGAGATTCCATCTCAAAAAAATAAATAAAAATAATAATAATATTGAATCTTTTTTTGAGAAAGGGTTTTGCTTTGTTGCCCAAGCTGGAGTGCAGTGGCACAATTATAGCTCACTGAAGCCTCAAACCACTGAGCTCAACTGATCTTCCCGCTTCAGCCTCTGGAGAGCTAGGACTATGGGAGCACGCCATCACACCCAGCTAATTTATTATTTTTAAATTTGTGTAGAGATGGAGCCTTGCTGTGTTTTCCAGCCTGGTCTGGCCTATTGAATCTTACGATAAGAAAATTATTAGGCACTTTCTTTCTCCCTTCCTTGATCCTTGCGGTTACATCAAAGGGAAAGTTTAATTTTGGTTCTACTGTATCCTTAGTGCTTAAACATTTGCTAATCTCACTTTTTAACAGAGAGAAAGTGGCCTCAGGCAAAGAGCCTAGCACAGGCCATGGAATAGAGCTGGAATCTATTAACATTGTTTCATTCTCAATGTTTTCACTAAAAGTGAAAACATTTTTTATAACAAAAATATTGCTTTTCTATTTTTAGCAGTGACAAGGTTTTCTTTTAAAATAAATACAGTTAAATATAAATGTTTATACAAAGGAATAGGAAAAATAGTATTTGGACAAGGCAAAAAAAAGTATTTTATTAATGTACACACAGTTCTTGTTACGTGCCAAGCACGATTCCACATGCCTCATAGATGTTAATTCGTTTATGCTCAGGATAAGGCTCATGGGTAAGGAAACTTACTCAAGGTCACACAGCTAGTGCTGCACAGGGCCTGGAGGGAGCACTAAGGGTAATCCTTCTCCTGAGATATGACTTCTACCTCCAGCCTCTCACAGTAGAAGCGACAAAAGTCAGAAATTATTGAGGTGGAGGACAGTGTTGGCTCCCTGAGAGGTGATGGGTACGTCAGAAGCTTGGGCCACAATGATGAAATTCGGGTGTTAATCAATTGCCCAATATTTAACTTATTCCTACCCAGAGATGACTCCAGCCTCTCCTTACGACTTTGACTCTGTGAACTCCAGGTTACACTTGGCCATGGAAGAGTTAAAAAGTGTATTTGGGAGCAAAAATGTCTCCAATGAGTCCCCCAATTTTCCCTGCCCTAATTCTCAGTAGTCAGCCAGCACAGCACGTGTCTTCCTGCCTCTCCTCTGGCCTGCGTCTGTTCTGGGAGGCTTTGGAACTGGGACATCTCATGTTACTGTACTGCCCCCTTCTTCCAGCTGTTTTTAATTCTAAGACTTGCCCTCTCTGGGAGAGTGACACACGATGACTTAACAATTTTAAGCCTGATTTCTTAAAGGAGACCCTCCATTTTATTAGAATAGAACGTTAAAGCAATCAGAGCATGTGATTGTTCACAATGCCAAAAAGATTTCTATAGAGCTCTCTCCCCAACCCTCACCCCTTTTTTCCTTGTATTTAGAACGATAAATCGACTTCAGTAAAGAACCGCAATAATTTATCAGCTTCTACCATGGCTGGTGATTCTTTTTTCATAGTGATAAAAGCTTTTATAGGGAAGGAAAAAAATCAGTCTCACTGGAGATAATAATTTCATTTTTTTTTTTTTTTTGCAGGGACTGGTAGAGAAACCAAAGTTAAAGGAAGCGTATTTCACATACATATTCCGGTGGATTTTTTGAAAGATATGTTATGGAGAAATCTTGGAAAAATGCTAATCCAAGTCTTGAGAGACGTAGATTCAAGCAAGATGAGGCTACCAGTGAGAGTTCTCAGAGAACGGTTCCCCAAACTGCCTCTCAAAGCAGCAGAGGGGATGACAGCCTTCTCATGCCCACTGCTGAAGGTGTTTGGCCATGTCCCCCACCTCATCTCATTCGATGCCAGTGCTGCCAGCTGCAGGCTCCCAAAGCCCCCACAAATCCTTCTTGCCCAACCTGGGCCCAGAGAACCCAGGCATGTGAGTCCAGGACCTTCACCATTTTATACAGAAAAATAGCATCAACCAGAGAAAATTATTTTGCGATTTTGGAAGCACAGAGGAAATAGGACATGGAAAAATATGATTAACAGAGGAGGGTTGGATAAAACTGTGGTGGTGAACAAAAAGAAGCCTCACAGTTCTAGACAAATCTGATGAATCAGCAATAATTGAAAAATAAATGAAAGGATGATTCTTGAGTGACGTTTGCCAAGTGCTTTCATGTGAATTTCATCATTTTGTCCTATGAGTAAACATTTCTATGGTGTTGTGCTGGGCACCAGCGATACCAGTAGGAGGAGGAAGACCCAGTCCATGCCTACAGAAGTTGCAGACCAGTGTGGGTGAGGAGGGAGCTAGACAGCAAATAGGCAGTTATGAAGCTCTGAGTGCAGGATGCAGAGAAGCACAGAGGAGGGAATGGCCAAGCCAGCCTAGGGGCCTAGCAGGTATGGGGTTAGGTAAGCTTCCCTTAGGAAGTAACATGTACTCTGTGTTTTAAAGAATATGCACAGCTTTCACCCACACAAATGTTGACAGGGACCATTCTCAGTTCTAAGGCTATATCAGTGAACAAGTCCCTGCCCTCATGCAGCATATATTCTAGTTGAGAGAGAGAAAGAGATCATAAACATACACTTATGACATGTCAGCCCCATAAGCACTATGGAAAAAAAAATCAGATTAAAGGGAAGAGAGTGATGGGGTCAAGGTGTAGAAGGGATTGCTTTTTTTCTGTAAGGTGGTTAAGGAAGAACTATTTGAAAACATAAGCTGGGCACAGTGGCTCATGCCTATAATCCCAGCACTTTGGGAGGCCAAAGGGAGAGGATTGCTTGAAGACAGAAATTTGAGACCAACCTGAGCAACGTAGTGAGACCCCATCTCTACAAAACAAAAAACAAAAAAAATGTAGCCAAGTGTGGTGGCACATGCCTGTAGTTCCGGCTACTTGGGAAGCTGTGATGGGAGGATCTCTTGAGCCCAGGAGGTCAAGGCTGCAGTGAGCTGTGATCATGCCACTGCACTCCAGTCTGGGCCACAGAACAAGACTCATCTCAAAAAAAAAAAAGTGACATTTAAATAGATCTGAGTGAAGGAAGAAGCAAGCCACAAAGAGTATCCAGGAAAGGATGAAAATATCTCAGAAAGAGAAATGAGCCAGTGCAAGGCCCTGAGAAAGGAGCTTGCTGAGTGTATTCAAGAAAGAGCAGACAGGTAAGTGGGACTGGGATGTAGAAAGAGAGGGAAGGGTGGCATGACATGGGGTCAGAGAATAGACAAAGGCCAGACTGCAGAGGGCCTTGCAGAGTGTGAACAGATCTTGAGTTGTACTCTGAGTGAAATAATGAGCAACTGAGGGGCTTTTAGAAGCAGAGTGACATGATTTGACTGAAGTTTGTCAAAGATCATTCTGAATTCTGATGGGAGAATACTATAGAGGAGAAGGTATGAAACAGGAGTGAGTTAACAGACCAGAGCCAACAGTGGCTTGGGGCAGAATGGTAGTGACAGATGGTGGACGTGGTTAGCTTCTGGACAGATTCTGAAGGGAGAGCCTGCAGGATTTGCACATAAATTGGAAATGGTATGTATGAAAGAGTGGAGTCAAGGATGACTCCAAAGCTTTTTGCCTGAGAAACTTGAGAAATGGAGTTGTCATTTATTAATATGGGAAAGACATTTAGAAGAGCATATATGGGTGGCACAGGTGGGAAGCCAGAGCCTGCTATGAAGATCTTGATGTTTGAGATGCCTGTTAGAGATGAACAAGGTGATCTGGTATAGGCAGTTGTATATACATATATGGAATTCAGGCGAGAGGCCCAGGGTACAGATATAAAATTGGAAGATGGTATTTAAAATCATGAAATCAGATAAGCCCCTTTAAAGGATAAATACTGATTTAGAAGAAGAAGAAGGCAGACAGGAGGAGGAGCAAGGCTTAAGCCCTGAATGCCTCAACTTTTTAAAGTTGAAAAGGAGACTGAGAAAAAGTGGTGCTGAGATCAAAGGAGAATAGATTCCATGACGTCCCAGAAACTGAAGAGTGAAATCAGAATTGTTAGGATTTAACAGCATGGAAGTCACTGGTGACCTCTTTCAGCAGAGTTGATTCAAGAGAGAATTGGAAAATAGAAAGTGACGACAGTGAGTACAGAAGATATTTGAGGTTTTGGGGCATTTTTTGATTGTTTTTTTTTAGACTGAGTCTCACTCTTATCACCAGGCTGGAGTGCAGTAGTGTCATCTTGGCTCACTGCAACCTCCACCTCCCGGGTTCAAGCGATTCTCCTGCCTCAGCCTTCCAAGTAGCTGGGACTACAGGTGCCCACCATCATGCCCAGCTAATTTTTGTATTTTTAGTGGAGACGGGATTTCACCATGTTGGCCAGGATGGTCTCTATCTCTTGACGTCATGATCTGCCCCCATCAGCCTCCCAAAGTGCTGGGATTACAGGTGTAAGCCACCACACTAGGCCTGAGATTTGCTTTTAAGGAAAGCAGAGAAATGAGATGGTAGCTGGAGGAACATATAGTATCAAAAAAAATAATCTTCCAAGGTGGAAAATATTATGGCACGTTTATACATTTGATCCACTAGAGAGGGAACATTTGATGATTCAGGAGAGAGAAGGTAAACCTGCCAGAGGAATGGCCTTGAGATGCTGATGGAGAAGAACAACTGGAATACAGAGGAGAATACAGAGGGGATTGACTTAGATAATAAGATGTACCAGTCATTTAATTCATTTACAGACAAAGTATAGAAAGAAGAGTGTATGATACATTACAGATGCATTGGTATTGGGAGTTGTATCAGTAGATGTATTGGTAGCGGAGTTGAAGCATGTGAAAGCTCTTTTCTGAGTATTACTATTTTCTATGTAAAATAGGAAGCCAGCTACCGTTTCTTTAGCACTTACTATTAGCAGGGACTGATCTTAGTAGTGCACATGCATGATTCATTTACTCATAATTCTATGAGGTAGTTAATATTATTACTCCCACTTTACAGAGGGTGATTCTGAGGCATGAAGACTGAGGGATAGGTAACGTGACGCAGCTAGTATGTGGCAAAAGCCTGGATGCCATCCTAGGCAGTCTGACCCTATATTCTATGACTTGAGAAAAGAAGGTATGAAATCGTCATCTGGGAAAGTAGAAGAGATAATGGATTAGGGAAATATATCAGTAAGAGCTCACTTGAGATTTGTAGTCATGGAAATAAAACCAGTCAACATGGTGGCATGTTTTTCTCTAGCCTCATTTAGCTGTCTGGGAATAGGCAAAGGATAGATAGAAAGTTTTAATTAACTATGGTTGGAATTTGGCCAGGTGAATACACTAAAGGGAGATAAGAGCAAAAGAGGCAAGGTGGTAATTATAAGATGTTCTACAGAATCTAAACTGATAAGAAGGAAAGTGACAATATGAGTGGCATGAGGGGTAGTGAGAAGACGATCAGACCAAGGTATTATAGGTCCCAGTGTGGTAAATAATTGTTGGATTCAGAGCATTAGAAGACAGAAGCAGAAAGGTCAGAGATTATGATCAGAAAGGAATGTGATACAGAGGGGATACAATTATTGATAATGACAAGATCAGGGTGTGATTGTGGGAGTGGAATGCTGTGGTAGAACAGAAGATGACATGATCATCCATGTAGACAGGGAAGCCACCAGGCATTGCTGGAGAGGGTAATGGTAATCCAGGACCCACATCTTCAAAGAGTGAAAAACAGTGTCCTGGGGTTGGGGGATGTCACCTGCACAGGGTTGCAACAGAGAAGGCTAGCAGATGCTTTAATCTGATGACAAGTACTTCAGAGCTAGAAGGAGAGAGAGAGAGAATGGCTTAAAGCCATCAGTGAGAAGAAAGTAAAACTTTTCCGCTTCAAAGTTCAATAATACGAGATGTTAAGTGGAATAAAAGGCTATCACTGATGAGGCTACAGGAGAAACAGGCTCCTCCATGGAGAAACAGGTTTTCATTACAGCAAGGAGGGAAAGGCCACATTCAGAAAAGAGGATGAAGATGCAGGGGACTGGGATGAGTTCCAAAGAGCACAATGGATGGATTTCAGGAGTTGGGGAGGAGTGAGAGATGATGTCAAATTAAAGGAAGTGTGGAGCCACATGGAGATGAGAGTCCAGGCAAGAAGGAATGATCTGGGTCCTAGTCTGCCTGAGGTGACTGACATCAACAGGGGTCAGGTGCATGGTGGATCTTGATAATCCCCAAAATGGATCATGGTTCTAAGATTGTGAGTGTTAGAGGGAGGGAAGAAATGGAATGTCATGCTTCCCAGGATCACACAAAGCTCTGAAGTCCTGCCTTCACTCCTGCTGACTACAGCCTGGAAGCCAGGCAAGAAGATATCTTAGCAGGATTTTGTGACTCTCTGGGAGACAATGGGGGAAATGAATTCCACACAGAGGGAACATCATGTCCAACATATAGCAGTGTGAATGAGACCAACATTTATGGTGAACCTTGTGTATGTTGTTATAGTTGGAGGACAGAAGTTATATGAAGAGCACTGGATGACAAGGTTTAGGAGGTTTTGAATGGTCAGATTACAGAGGACCTCGTACACATGTCAAGGAGTTGGTAATACCCAGTAGATGTAGGGAACCATGAGAAAATGCTAAATGGGAATTCTCTATCAGGTATGCTTTTTTAAATATAAGTTTTTTTTAGAATGCTCTTAGACTTATAGAAAAATTGCAAAGATAGTACAGAGTTTCTATATTCCCCATGCCCAGAATCCTGTTATTATCTTACATTAGTATGTTACATTTGTCACAATTAATGAACCAATATTGGTATATTAGAAAATTGTATTATAAAATTTATTCAGTTTGTCTTAGTTTTTCATAATGTATTACTTCCGCTCCAGCATCCCATCTAGGGCACCCCATTACATTTAACTACCACCTCTTCTTTGGCACCTCTGGGCCATTTCTCAGACTTCGTTTTTGATGACCTTCGTAGTTTTAAGAAGTACTGATCAGGTGTGTTGTAGAAGTTCCCTCAATTGTGATTTGTCTGATATTTTTCTCACAATGAGACTAGAATGACGGTGATATAGTTTGGATACTTGTCCTCACCCAAATCTCATGTTGAAATGTAATTCCCAATGTTGAGGTGGGGCCTGGTGGGAGGTGATTGGATTATGGGGCGGATCTCTCACGAATGATTTAGTGCCATCTCCTTGGTACTGTCCTCATGATAGTAAATTCTCGAAAGATATGGTTGTTTAAAGTATGTGGCACCTCACTCTCTCTCTCACTCCTGCCATGTGAGACACCTGCTCCCCCTTCACCTTCTGCCATGTTTGGAAGCTTCCTGAGGCCTCTCCAGAAGCAAATACCTGTGTTATACTTCCTGTACAGCCAATTAAACCTCTTTTCTTTATAAGTTACCCAGTCTCAGGTATTTCTTTATAGCAATGCAAGAACAGCCTAATACATATAGGTTTCAGAGGGTAGACCACAGAGGTAAAGTCCTATTCTCATCACATCATATCAAAGATATACTATCAACGTGACTTATCTCTGCTGATATTAACAGTGATCACCTGAATGAGGTAGTGTTTATAAGGGTTCTCCACTTTAAAGTGACTCTTTTCGCTCCCCTTACCATACTGTACTCATTAAATGAAAGCCACTGTGCACACTTCACTCTTAAGGAGTGGGAATCTATGCTTTACCTCCTTGAGGTATCTATACAAATAATTTGGAATTTTTTGAATGGGAGATTTATCTATTCTATTTACTTATATATCAGGATGGACTCTTGGATATTTATTTTATACTTTGGATTATGATAAAATACTACTTTATTCCAACCTTGGTCATGCGAACCTCTTTCAATTGGATCTTTCATCCCATTTACAAACTCTCAACATTATGTGTGGGGGAGGGGAGTGGGCAGGGGGTTGGTGTTTAGCGCTTCCTTTTTGGCACTACAAAGTACTCTGGGTTCCTCTTAGTTTCTGCACCAGTCCTAGAATCAACCGTTTTTTCCTGAAGAGCTCTGGTTTCTTTTATTGAAGAATGGTGTTAGAAACCAAGATCTGAGTGCCAGGTGTGTTTGTTACTACTGGGATGTTATTGTTTCAGGGCCCTTTCAGCTGGCAGCACAAGCAAATATATTTATGCATACTAACCTATGAATACATACACAAATATTTCTGTATGTAACCATCTGTATGGTAAAGTAAACACGAGTTCATACTGATGTCACCAACTCTAATCCGTTACCAAATGGATTATTATAGACTTCTCCTTTTGCTTGTCTATAACCAACCATTCCAAAAGTGAGAAAATGTCTCCTACCATCTGCCATTCATTTACTTAAGTATTCAATTCCTGTATACATATATAGTGGTTTTATAATTAACACATACCTCCATGGGAAACAACTTTATCAACCAAAGTACATTGTTTACATACTTTTGCCTTTAGTCAACATTTTCTTCCCAGCCCTTTCAGTGAGGTTGTTTCATACATTTTTAATACAGGTAGATTATTTTCTCATGTTCTGTGTCCCATCTTGGGATCCTTCAACCTCTTACATGATTATTTAAATTTGTATATATCAAGGTCCACTCTTACTGCTGTAAGGTTCTATGGGTTTTGACAATTATGTGGTGTCATGTATTCACATTACAGAACCAAACAGGATAGTTTCATCACGCTAAAACATTTCCTTTGTTTCACCTATTTAACCATACTGCCTCCCAAGCCCTTGGCAACTGTGACCTATTTATCATCTCTATAATTATGCCTTTTTCAGAATGTTACACAAATAGAATCATACTGTACATAGTCCTTTCAGACTGTCTTTTCACTTGGCAATATGCATTGAAGATGTATACATTTCTTTGTGTAGCTTAACAGTTTAATAGCTCCTTCTTTTTTACCACTGAATAATATTCCATTGCATGAATGTACTACAGCTTTTTTATCCACTCACCTATTGAAAGACATATTGGTTGTTTACTGTTTGAGGTAATAATGAATAAATCTGCTATAAACATTCACGTGCTGGGTTTTCTGTGGACATCGGTTTTCAAATCAGTTGTGCAAATACCTAGAAGCATGATTGCTGAAATATGTTAGGACTATATTTAGCTTTGTGAGAAATTGTCAAATAGTCTTCCAAAGTGGCTATACCACTTACATTTTCATCAGCAACATTTGAGAATTTCTGCTGCTTCACATCTCTATCAGCAATTGGCTTTGTTAGGTTTTTAGATTTAACCATTCTAATAGATGTGTACTAGAATCTCATTTTTGTTTACTTTAAAATTCACTAATGACAAATGACTTTGAGCATCTTTTCATATGCTTACTTGCCATCCAAGTATTTTCTTCTGTATAATGTCTGTGTAGATGTTTTGCCCAACATTGTTTCAGTATTGTTTGTTGAAAAGTCTTCTTTCTCTATCCAATTGCCTTTGCACCTTTGTAAAAGAGCAATTGACTCTTTCTGTGTATTTGTGTAGGTGTATTTCCAGGTTCTCCATGCTGTTCTGTTGATCCACATGTCTACTCTTTCACCAGTACCACACTGTCTTCATTACTGTCACTTTATATTAAGTCTTGAAATCAGGTAGAATGAGCCTTCTAACTTTGCTTCTCTTCAGTATTGTTTGCATTAGTTGAATTCTTTTGCCTTTTTATATAAACTTTAGAATTACTTGTCAATATCTACAAAGTGACTTGCTGAAATTTAAACTGAGATTTTATTAAATATATAAATTAACTTGGGAAGAATTGACATCTTAACAATGTTGAGTTGTCCGATTCATAAATATCTCTTCCTTTATTTAAATTTTAGATTCTTTCATATCTTTAGCTTGAGCTTTAGGGAGTGGGTAGCACCACTCATCCAGTCAGATAATACAGGATGAAATGGATTTGACAGCAAAAAAGTAGAAATTATGAGCTCAGCTTCAGACGTATTTCCTATGTATGAGACAATGGAAGGATCTCCAGATGAAGAAGCCCAGCCAGCATTTGGATATACAGATACAGAGCACAGGGGAAGAGATGTGCTCGGGATACAGATTTGGAAGTCACCTATACGAGGCAATGGTTGAAGCCATGGGTGTGTCCAAGAAAACAAGGGAGATCATATCTGGGCAATAATAAGAATACTGATAATGTCCAACTCTACAATGATATATAACACTAAAATATTAACTCTTGCAAAGGTGAAAAAGAAACTAGTGTAATCCTTTGTTTTTTCTACTTTTAGACCTGGCTCAGAAGCAATTTCTTTCATTATGTCTTTAGGAAAAAATATCCCTTCCTATTACTTCATCTTAGTCACCTTAAGCAAGCACATAGTCTCATCTAGTAGCACATCTAAATTCAGCCCCAAATTAGATCCAGATGCATAACTCAGACTAACCTGATAGATGACAGCTCACAACTCTCCCTACCTGTCTGAACTACTGATTAAATCATTTGTGAATCTCTCTGCAGGGCTATGCTCTTTATTTCTCTATGTGATACCTCTCTTAAAATGTCTGGCAACTCTTTGGTGACTTCCTGCCTGGTGGAACCATTAGGTCAGAATTTGTTTTGCCTCTATAGTGAAAGAAAGAATGAATTACCTTGATGTCCTGAAGTTAAGCAGACAATGGCTCCCACCGGAGTATAAAAATAAAGATGAATATCAGTTCAAGTCAGCAGCCTTTTATTTACTTTTTGCACAAACGTACCAACAGGTCTGCAGGGAGGGCTGCTTGGAGAAGGAAGCAGTGGGGTCACTTGAGGGCACCTTCCAAAGTGTGAGCAGGCAGCAGAAAATCATTTTTCTGGGAATCAATTTCATGGAAAACAACTTGTACTTTAGAATGCATTTTCATTATATAAAGAAATGAGCCATAATTATCATAAATAAAATGATCAGGGAAAATGCTAGTGGGAAATGAAAGAGCTCTCTTGAACTGACTCCATCTAGCAAGAGGCCCGCTTTGAGTCATTGCCCTAGAAATGATGCTATGTTTTTAGGCTTTTGCTTATCATCTGTCTCTTTCTTTGATTCCTCCCTCAATGTCCAAATCACTAATTCCAAACTTCTTACCACCTTTGGATTCTTAAATGTCATGATTTTAATAAGGCAGCAAGCCTTTACCAAATTCTTTTCATTAATCTAAGTAGCCTACTCGCCTGTTTGAAAACTCTGATGAAGTCACCTACCCAGATATGTTCCCACTGTACTGGTACTTTATTCCCATCCAATAAATGAGGGGAGAAGGAGCGGGGAAGGAAGAAAGGAATAAGGAGAAATCTCACAAATACAATGTCGAGGGAAAAAAGCCAGAGACACAAAAAAGTACATGTTCTATGATTCCATGGATGCAAGGCATAAAAATGGGCAAAAAAGAATCTATGCTCCTGAAATTTAGAATAATGGTTTACTCTCTGAGGGAAAGAGGGACTGGTAGAGAGCAGAACAGGACCTCATAGGTGATGCTGATGTTCTGCATCTTGATCTGGATGCTGGTAATGAGAGTGGACCCCACTGGTGGGCATTTAGTAAGTTACACATTTATGACATGTGAACTTTTCTGTAAGTTCATTATGCTTCAATAAAACCACTTAAATAAGAAAAAAAATGCCATCCATCTTCATGAAAACAGCTACGTGCAAATATTAAGGGCAATAACATCCAACATTTAGGAGAGTTCCCCATGTACCAGCTACTATTCTGAGCATTTTGCAGGTAAATCAACTCATTTTTATTCTCAAAACAACCATAGAAGGTAGGTACTAAGAGATTGTTCTCATTTTGTAAATAAAGAAACTGAATCTTAGATAAGTAATTTGCCCAGCATCACACAGATATAATGTACTAGAGTCAGAATTTCAACCCCCCAGAACCAGCATTCTTACTCGCTATTACATCTTGTATCAGAAAAATGAGAACACTGGGGTCAGAGTCAGGCACTGGAATTATTGTCTCAGGTTAAAATATGTGGCCATAGAAGACCATGTTTCCCACCTTGGACTTTGACATCCCTACAAAATCAACAGGTTGAGCTAGTTATTTTTTGTGTGGGACCACATTGTCCCTAGCCAGGGAATGCCAGTGATAACCCAGAAATTGTCCTAAATGAAAATGTCACACCATATACAAAGATCAATTCAAAATGAATAAAAGACTTAAACATAAGACCTGACATTGCAAAGCTACTATAAGAAAACACAGGAGAAAATCTCCACAACATTGGTCTAGGCAACACTTTCTCAGACAGGACCCCAAGAGCACAGGCAACAAAAATAAAAATAGACAAATGAGATTGCATCAAAATAAACATCTTCTGCACTGCAAAAGAAACAATAAAGAGACAACTCACAAATTTGAAGAAAATATTTGCAAACTATACATCTGATAAGGGGCTAATATTCAAAATATATGAGGAACTCAATTCAATAGCATAAAAACAAATAACCTGGTCAGGCGTGGTAGCTCATGTCTGTAATACCAGTACTTTGGGAGGCTGAGGCCAGAGGAGTGCTAGAGGCCAGGAGTTGGAGATCAGCCTGGGCAATAAAGAGAGACCCCATATCTACAGAAAAATTCAAAAATTAGCCAGGTATGGTCACAGGCACCTGTGGTCCTCACTACTCGGGAGGCTGAGGCAGGAGGATCGCTTGAGCTCAAGAGTTTGAGGCTGCAGTGAGCTAGATAGCACCACTGCACTCGAGCCTAATGATGACCAGTGTTGGCAAGGATGTGGAGACAAGGAAACCTTGCTGTGCTGTTGGTGAGAATATAAATTAGCACAGACATTTCAGGAAGTAGCATGATGTTTCCTTAAAACACTAAAAATAGAATTACTGTATGATTCAGCAATCTCATCTCTAGGTATATATCCAAAGAAATTAAAATGGGCATGCCAAGGATATATCTGCACTCCCGTGTTTATTTCATCATTATTCACAATAGCTAAGTTATGAAAGCAACCTCAGTGACCATCAAAGGATGAATGGGTAAAGAAAATGTAGTGTGTATATATATACATATTTTTATATACGTAGTGTATATATATATAAAATATATATACACATGATGGAATACTATACAACCTTAAAAAAATAAGGAAATGCTGACATCTGTGACAACATGGATGGAAAGGAAGGACACCGTGCTAAGTAAAATAAGCAAGGCACAAAAAGACAAATACCGTATAATCTCACCTATATGTGGAATCTAAAAAAGTCGACCTCATAGAAACAGAGCATAAATCATGCTGCTATAAAGACACATGCACACGTATGTTTATTGCGGCATTATTCACAATAGCAAAGACTTGGAACCAACCCAAATGTCCAACAGTGATAGACTGGATTAAGAAAATGTGGGGGGGAGGAGCCAAGATGGCCGAATAGGAACAGCTCCGGTCTACAGCTCCCAGCGTGAGCGACGCAGAAGACGGGTGATTTCTGCATTTCCATCTGAGGTACCGGGTTCATCTCACTAGGGAGTGCCAGACAGTGGGCGCAGGCCAGTGGGTGCGCGCACCGTGCGTGAGCCAAAGCAGGGCGAGGCATTGCCTCACCTGGGAAGCGCAAGTGGTCAGGGAGTTCCCTTTCCGAGTCAAAGAAAGGGGTGACGGACGCACCTGGAAAATCGGGTCACTCCCACCCGAATATTGCGCTTTTCAGACCGGCTTAAAAAACGGCTCACCACGAGACTATATCCCACACCTGGCTCGGAGGGTCCTACGCCCACGGAATCTCGCTGATTGCTAGCACAGCGGTCTGAGATCAAACTGCAAGGTGGCAGCGAGGCTGGGGGAGGGGCGCCCGCCATTGCCCAGGCTTGCTTAGGTAAACAAAGCAGCCTGGAAGCTCAAACTGGGTGGAGCCCACCACAGCTCAAGGAGGTCTGCATGCCTCTGTAGGCTCCACCTCTGGGGGCAGGGCACAGACAAACAAAAAGACAGCAGTAACCTCTGCAGACTTAAATGTCCCTGTCTGACAGCTTTGAAGAGAGCAGTGGTTCTCCCAGCACGCAGCTGGAGATCTGAGAACGGGCAGACTGCCTCCTCAAGTGGGTCCCTGACCCCTGACCCCTGAGCAGCCTAACTGGGAGGCACCCCCCAGCAGGGGCACACTGACACCTCACACTGCAGGGTATTCCAACAGACCTGCAGCTGAGGGTCCTGTCTGTTAGAAGGAAAACTAACAAACAGAAAGGACATCCACACCGAAAACCCATCTGTACATCACCATCATCAAAGACCAAAAGTAGATAAAACCACAAAGATGGGGAAAAAACAGAACAGAAAAACTGGAAACTCTAAAACACAGAGCACCTCTCCTCCTCCAAAGGAACGCAGCTCCTCACCAGCAATGGAACAAAGCTGGATGGAGAATGATTTTGAGGAGCTGAGAGAGGAAGGCTTCAGACGATCAAATTACTCTGAGCTACAGGAGGACATTCAAACCAAAGGCAAAGAAGTTGAAAACTTTGAAAAAAATTTAGAAGAATGTATAACTAGAATACCCAATACAGAGAAATGCTTAAAGGAGATGATGGAGCTGAAAACCAAGGCTTGAGAACTACGTGAAGAATGCAGAAGCCTCAGGAGCCGATGCGATCAACTGGAAGAAAGGGTATCAGCAATGGAAGATGAAATGAATGAAATGAAGCGAGAAGGGAAGTTTAGAGAAAAAAGAATAAAAAGAAATGAGCAAAGCCTCCAAGAAATATGGGACTATGTGAAAAGACCAAATCTACATCTGATTGGTGTACCTGAAAGTGATGCGGAGAATGGAACCAAGTTGGAAAACACTCTGCAGGATATTATCCAGGAGAACTTCCCCAATCTAGCAAGGCAGGCCAACGTTCAGATTCAGGAAATACAGAGAACGCCACAAAGATACTCCTCGAGAAGAGCAACTTTCCAAGACACATAATTGTCAGATTCACCAAAGTTGAAATGAAGGAAAAAATGTTAAGGGCAGCCAGAGAGAAAGGTCGGGTTACCCTCAAAGGGAAGCCCATCAGACTAACAGCGGATCTCTAGGCAGAAACCCTACAAGCCAGAAGAGAGTGGGGGCCAATATTCAACATTCTTAAAGAAAAGAATTTTCAACCCAGAATTTCATATCCAGCCAAACTAAGCTTCATAAGTGAAGGAGAAATAAAATACTTTACAAACAAGCAAATGCTGAGATTTTGTCACCACCAGGCCTGCCCTAAAAGAGCTCCTGAAGGAAGCGCTAAACATGGAAAGGAACAACCGGTACCAGCCGCTGCAAAATCATGCCAAAATGTAAAGACCATCGAGACTAGGAAGAAACTGCATCAACTAACGAGCAAAATAACCAGCTAACATCATAATGACAGGATCAAATTCACACATAACAATATTAACTTTAAATGTAAATGGACTAAATTCTCCAATTAAAAGACACAGACTGGCAAGTTGGATAAAGAGTCAAGACCCATCAGTGTGCTGTACTCAGGAAACCCATCTCACATGCAGAGACACACATAGGCTCAAAATAAAAGGATGGAGGAAGATCTACCAAGCAAATGGAAAATAAAAAAAGGCAGGGGTTGCAATCCTAGTCTCTGATAAAACAGACTTTAAACCAACAAAGATCAAAAGAGACAAAGAAGGCCATTACATAATGGTAAAGGGATCAATTCAACAAGAAGAGCTAACTATCTTAAATATATATGCACCCAATACAGGAGCACCCAGATTCATAAAGCAAGTCCTGAGTGACCTACAAAGAGACTTAGACTCCCACACATTAATAATGGGAGACTTTAACACCCCACTGTCAACATTAGACAGATCAATGAGACAGAAAGTCAACAAGGATACCCAGGAATTGAACTCAGCTCTGCACCAAGTGGACCTAATAGACATCTACAGAACTCTCCACCCCAAATCAACAGAATATACATTTTTTTCAGCACCACACCACACCTATTCCAAAATTGACCACATACTTGGAAGTAAAGCTCTCCTCAGCAAATGTAAAAGAACAGAAATTATAACAAACTATCTCTCAGACCACAGTGCAATCAAACTAGAACTCAGGATTAAGAATCTCACTCAAAGCCGCTCAACTACATGGAAACTGAACAACCTGCTCCTGAATGACTACTGGGTACATAACGAAATGAAGGCAGAAATAAAGATGTTCTTTGAAACCAACGAGAACAAAGACACAACATACCAGAATCTCTGGGATGCATTCAAAGCAGTGTGTAGAGGGAAATTTATAGCACTAAATGCCCACAAGAGAAAGCAGGAAAGATCCAAAATTGACACCCTGACATCACAATTAAAAGAACTAGAAAAGCAAGAGCAAACACATTCAAAAGCTAGCAGAAGGCAAGAAATAACTAAAATCTGAGCAGAACTGAAGGAAATAGAGGCACAAAAAACCCTTCAAAAAATCAATGAATCCAGGAGCTGGTTTTTTGAAAGGATCAACAAAATTGATAGACTGCTAGCAAGACTAATAAAGAAAAAGAGAGAGAAGAATCAAATAGACACAATAAAAAATGATAAAGGGGATATCACCACCGATCCCACCGAAATACAAACTACCATCAGAGAATACTACAAACACCTCTACGCAAATAAACTAGAAAATCTAGAAGAAATGGATACATTCCTCGACACATACACTCTCCCAAGACTAAACCAGGAAGAAGTTGAATCTCTGAATAGACCAATAACAGGAGCTGAAATTGTGGCAATAATCAATAGTTTACCAGCCAAAAAGAGTCCAGGACCAGATGGATTCACAGCCGAATTCTACCAGAGGTACAAGGAGGAACTGGTACCATTCCTTCTGAAACTATTCCAATCAATAGAAAAAGAGGTAATCCTCCCTAACTCATTTTATGAGGCCAGCATCATTCTGATACCAAAGCCAGGCAGAGACACAACCAAAAAAGAGGATTTTGGACCAATATCCTTGATGAACATTGATGCAAAAATCCTCAATAAAATACTGGCAAACCGAATCCAGCAGCACATCAAAAAGCTTATCCACCATGATCAAGTGGGCTTCATCCCTGGGATGCAAGGCTGGTTCACTATACGCAAATCAATAAATGCAATCCAGCATATAAACAGAGCCAAAGACAAAAACCACATGATTATCTCAATAGATGCAGAAAAAGCCTTTGACAAAATTCAACAACCCTTCATGCTAAAAACTCTCAATAAATTAGGTATTGATGGGACGTATTTCAAAATAATAAGAGCTATCTATGACAAACCCACAGCCAATATCATACTGAATGGGCAAAAACTGGAAGCATTCCCTTTGAAAACTGGCACAAGACAGGGATGCCCTCTCTCACCACTCCTATTCAACATAGTGTTGGAAGTTCTGGCCAGGGCAATCAGGCAGGAGAAGGAAATAAAGGGTATTCAATTAGGAAAAGAGGAAGTCAAATTGTCCCTGTTTGCAGACGACATGATTGTTTATCTAGAAAACCCCATCGTCTCAGCCCCAAATCTCCTTAAGCTGATAAGCAACTTCAGCAAAGTCTCAGGATACAAAATCAATGTACAAAAATCACAAGCATTCCTATACACCAACAACAGACAGAGAGCCAAATCATGAGTGAACTCCCATTCACAATTGCTTCAAAGAGAATAAAATACCTAGGAATCCAACTTACAAGGGATGTGAAGGACCTCTTCAAGGAGAACTACAAACCACTGCTCAAGGAAATAAAAGAGGATACAAACAAATGGAAGAACATTCCATGCTCATGGGTAGGAAGAATCAATATCGTGAAAATGGCCATACTGCCCAAGGTAATTTACAGATTCAATGCCATCCCCATCAAGCTACCAATGACTTTCTTCACAGAATTGGAAAAAACTACTTTAAAGTTCATATGGAACCAAAAAAGAGCCCGCATCGCCAAGTCAATCCTAAGCCAAAAGAACAAAGCTGGAGGCATCACACCACCTGACTTCAAACTATACTACAAGGATACAGTAACCAAAACAGCATGGTACTGGTACCAAAACAGAGATATAGATCAATGGAACAGAACAGAGCCCTCAGAAATAACGCCGCATACCTACAACTATCTGATCTTTGACAAACCTGAGAAAAACAAGCAATGGGGAAAGGATTCCCTATTTAATAAATGGTGCTGGGAAAACTGGCTAGCCATACGTAGAAAGCTGAAACTGGATCCCTTCCTTACACCTTATACAAAAATCAATTCAAGATGGATTAAAGATTTAAACGTTAGACCTAAAACCATAAAAACCCTAGAAGAAAACCTAGGCATTACCATTCAGGACATAGGCGTGGGCAAGGACTTCATGTCCAAAACACCAAAAGCAATGGCAACCAAAGCCAAAATTGACAAATGGGATCTAATTAAACTAAAGAGCTTCTGCACAGCAAAAGAAACTACCATCAGAGTGAACAGGCAACCTACAACATGGGAGAAAATTTTCGCAACCTACTCATCTGACAAAGGGCTAATATCCAGAATCTACAATGAACTCAAACAAATTTACAAGAAAAAAACAAACAACCCCATCAAAAAGTGGGCAAGGGACATGAACAGACACTTCTCAAAAGAAGACATTTATGCAGCCAAAAAACACATGAAAAAATGCTCATCATCACTGGCCATCAGAGAAATGCAAATCAAAACCACTATGAGATATCATCTCACACCAGTTAGAATGGCAATCATTAAAAAGTCAGGAAACAACAGGTGCTGGAGAGGATGTGGAGAAATAGGAACACTTTTACACTGTTGGTGGGACTGTAAACTAGTTCAACCATTGTGGAAGTCAGTGTGGCGATTCCTCAGGGATCTAGAAGTAGAAATACCATTTGACCCAGCCATCCCATTACTGGGTATATACCCAAATGACTATAAATCATGCTGCTATAAAGACACATGCACACGTATGTTTATTGCGGCATTATTCACAATAGCAAAGACTTGGAACCAACCCAAATGTCCAACAATGATAGACTGGATTAAGAAAATGTGGCACATATACACCATAGAATACTATGCAGCCATAAAAAATGATGAGTTCATGTCCTTTGTAGGGACATGGATGAAATTGGAAACCATCATTCTCAGTAAACTATCGCAAGAACAAAAAACCAAACACCGCATATTCTCACTCATAGGTGGGAATTGAACAATGAGATCACATGGACACAGGAAGGGGAATATCACACTCTGGGGACTGTGGTGGGGAGGGGGGAGGGGGGAGGGATAGCATTGGGAGATATACCTAATGCTAGATGACGAGTTAGTGGGTGCAGTGCACCAGCATGGCACATGTATACATATGTAACTAACCTGCACAAAGTGCACATGTACCCTAAAACTTAAAGTATAATTAAAAAAATAATAATAATAATAGTAATAATAATAATAAAAATAAATAAATAAATAAATAAAATGTGGCACATATACACCATGGAATACTATGCAGCCATAAAAAATGATGAGTTCATGTCCTTTGTAGGGACATGGATGAAATTGGAAATCATCATTCTCAGTAAACTATCGCAAGAACAAAAAACCAAACACCGCATATTCTCACTCATAGGTGGGAATTGAACAATGAGATCACATGGACACAGGAAGGGGAATATCACACTCTGGGGACTGTTGTGGGGTGGGGGGAAGGGGGAGGGGATAGCATTGGGAGATATACCTAATGCTAGATGACGAGTTAGTGGGTGCAGCGCACCAGCATGGTACATGTATACATATGTAACTAACCTGCACATTGTGCACATGTACCCTAAAACTTAAAGTATTAAAAAAAAAAAAAAAAAGAAACAGAGCAGAAAGGTGGTTACGAGAGGCTGAGATTTGTGGGAGGAGGAGGGATGGGGAAAAGGAGGATATGGATCATAGTGTAGAAAGTTTCAGTTAGACTGGAATTCAAAGTTGCTAAGATAGATTTTTAACATTCTCACCACACACAAAAAAGCGATAAATTGGTGAGGTGATGGATTAGCTTGACTGACTCTTTCCATAATGTACACATAGATCAAAACATCACATTGAAAATAAATAAATAGGCTAGGCATGGTGGCTCATGCCTGTAATCCCAGCACTTTGGGAAGCCAAGGCAGGCAGACTGCTTAAGCTCAGGAGTTTGAGACCAGCCTGTACAATGTGGCAAAACCCCATGTCTACCAAAAAATAAGAAAATTAGCTGGGCGTGGAGGTGCACACCTGTGGTCCCAGCTACTCTGCAGGCTGAGAAAGGAGGATTGCTTGAGTCCAGGAGGCAGAGGTTGCAGTGAGCCCAGATGTGCCACTGCACTCCAGCCTGTGTGACAGAATGAGACTCCGTCTCAAAAAAAAAAATGAATAAATGAATAAATAACATTACATTGTCCTCTACATATATGCACACAATTATTTGTCAATTAAAATTTTTTAAAAACATTTTTTAAAACAGCACCACCTACTTCCAAATGAGTGGTCCCTACAGGGGCAATACCGCCCTGGTGGAAAACTTCTGGCCTAAATGACCTCTACCATCCCTTCCAGAGCTGGCTTTCCACTATCCTAAACTCTGAAGGTTGATCATTGATTGAAAGCTTTGGTGCCAGAGACTGATCCACTGCTTCTCAAGCCGTCTCACCTTCTTCCTGGTCGTCTAGTGAGTCATGTTTCCCAGTCTCCCTTGCAGTTAGTTGTGATTGCATCACTGAGTTGTGGCCAAAGTATATGAAGAGAAGTGACAGATGCCATGCCCATGTCTGGACTGCTAAACCCTTGCATCTGATCTTCCACTTCCTTTCTCTCTTTCCTCATCTGCCAGCAGGTGTTGAAGATGGCACAGTCCCCATCAATCCAGGACCCAACCTCATTCCACTAGTGACTAGACTGCCAGTCAGCAAGAAATAAGCATCTGGCACTTTAAGCCACTGGGATTTCAGGTATATCTGTTACAGCAGCTAGCACTGCCTTAACTAATACATCTTCCAAACACTCACAGCCTCTTAGCATATTGACTTCTGCTGTGTCTAAAAATTTTAGCTAAGATCTCAAAGTTTAAGAGAATAGATAATATTCTCCTATATTCTAAAAACAGCACCAAGAACCTGACAGACGCCATCTCCAGAACTGTCTAGGAGGTGCCAAACTGGCCTTGAGACCCTCACCTCACCATCCTTATCAGCCTATGTAATTGTTCTTAAAGTGTCATTTAAAGGAACCTGGTTAAAGTAGGAGAACCCATCAGAGGAGGGAGTCGCCAGAGAAGAGTGGGGAGCATTTCCTCTCCTGTTTCCCATGAAGGAGGGGAAGGGATGACCCCCAGTCCCTGGCCAAATGAGGAGGGCTCCAAAGACTCTTCAAAAAAATGTGGGGATGCCTGCAGGAAGGGGAACCTGACACCTCACTCACAGGTGAGATGCTAAGTGCCAGGGCCACTCTGGAGTGAAATGTGTTCAGCTTTTGGAGAGTTTATCAGTCCCCAGGAGCTTGAGAACAGACGTGAACATATAAATTAGTTTCTGCTTTTTGTCCAGAAAATTCCGGCAGTAGGAACAGGGTAGAACCTCAGGAAGAGGAGAGAGGGCAGTGGAAGGGCGGTGGCCTCCAAGAACCTGCTGGCTGAGGGGCCTCATGGAGGACAGCCACTGCACCACTGCTGCTGGTACCCACTTCAGAGGCCGGCCACCAGGACGAGCCCATCCATCTGACACACTGTAAGAGCCAGGAACAGGAGGGGTGATAGGAAGAGAGAAAGAGTAGAGCATTCCTAACAGGTTAGTACTGAACTGGGAGGGAAGGAAAAAGTTTTAACTGCATATGATGTTAAAATTTTGATTTACACCAGACTGGATTTTTTTCTGAGATAGTGTCTCACCCTGTTGCCCAGGCTGGAGTGCAGTGGTGTGATCATATCTCATTGTAACCTTGAACTCCTGGGCTCTGGTGATCCCTCTGCCTCAGCCTCCTGAGTAGCTAGGACTACAGGTGCATGCCACAATGTCTGGCTAATTTTTAAAAAATTTTTTTGTAGATATGGAGTCTCTGTCACCCATGCTGGTCTTGAACTCCTGGCCTCAAGTGATCCTCCTGCCTTGGCCTCCCAAAGTGCTGAGATTACAGGCATGAGCCATCGTGCCAAGGCCTGGACTACTTTTTAATAATTAAATATAAATCATGATCACCAAAACAAAACATTCTAATAACTAAAATCACAGAGAACAATGAGATTTTTCTGATTTTTCACAGGGCTGGGAAGAAAAATCCATCAGAGTAAGAGATGGCAGTGGTTGGAAAAAGTAAAGACATTCTCTACTTGTACCCTCTGTGGAGTTCAGACTTTCCATAAATCAGGCACTGTGTCAATGAGGATACCCAGGAGATGAATGGAATCTACTGTCTTTCCCACGCTTGTCAAGGCATCTCATCTGAGCAGTTACCAACATCAGCACAGTGGGGCTGGTCTGCCCCATCTCCATCTGACCCGCCCAGCTTGCCCAGTGATGCATCACACCGCAATAGTGGGACATTTTTTTTCTAACAATGGTTCTACTCCCCTGGTGTAAAAGCAAATAAACGGGAATGGGGTATAACTTGATACTAAATTCTGTGAAAATAATCCATTTGCACTGCACATAGTTAATGTGTGGTGCTAACTTGCTACTCTTCATCCAAGCAGACAGAAGCAGTTGTGCCCTCATATATAGAGGTGCCAGGCAGTCGGGGACATGATGAGGAAGTGTTTCTGAAATCTCTTGTCAAAAGCATTCAACAGGAATGCTAAGAATAATGGCAATGAAACACCACCACACCAAGTAAACAATCGCATTAACTTCATTTTGCAGATGAGGAAATTGAAGCTCAGTGTGATTAAATGACTTACACAAGGGCACGGCTGCTAAGACATGAAAGAGCTTGGAACTGGACCCAAGTTCTTCCTTCTCTCACAGAAAGATATGCTTGCTGAAAGCTCTGCAGATTTGAAGATTGTGTTCTATATGTTAGTATGAGGCCTGGACCCTAATATATATATATATATATATATATATATATATACACATACATATATATATATATATACACACACACATATATACACATATACACATATATACATATATCTCATACACATGTATATACATATATCTCATACACATATGTATATACATATATCTCATACACATATGTATATACATATATCTCATACACATATGTATATACATATATCTCATACACATATGTATATACATATATCTCATACACATATGTATATACATATATCTCATACACATATGTATATACATATATCTCATACACATATGTATATACATATATCTCATATACATATGTATATACATATATCTCATATACATATGTATATACATATATCTCATATACATATGTATATCTGTAATATATATACTACATTAGTTACATATTAGTAATATATACAATATACTAATATAATTAGTAATAATATACATTAGTTATATACATTAATACATAATATATTAGGGTCATATGGGGCTGGCCCATATGACCAGCCCTACTGTGCTGATATATATACACATATATATATATATACACACACACACATATATATACACACACATATATATACACACATACACACATATTACGTATATGTGTGTGTGTGTGTGTGTACATATACACACACACACACACACACATATGGTTTTCACTTTAAAAGTCTCCTTCACATCCGTTCTCTTGCTCCACTCTGTTTACAACTTTGTGGGGTCCAGTGGGAAGACAGCCGGCCCAAGATCATGTTTTTGGTCCATGGCAGAGTCAGGACATAAACCCACACATCCAACTATTGCCCACTCCCTTTTTCCCATTCCATACTAATGCCCTGGATGAGAACTCAGTGGGCTCTAACCAACCCTCTGCTCTACGCCTGCCCTCCATGGCACCAACCTCTATGTATTGTTTAAGTTAGAACCAGAACTTACCAAGGCTACTCAAGGCCCAGAGCAGAGGACACAGCAAAAAATCAAACCAACTCCCTGCCTGCCAGGAGCTCGCAGTTTTAAATGGAATGCCATTTGTGGTTTTGTGGCCACCTACTATCCATTCCAGTCAGGCTCCCCAAACACATAAAAGAACTGAGAGCACGCATCACAGCATCCCTCTCCCATGATGCCTGGAACTGTCCTGGATCCTGAACTGTTTGAGCTAAATTCCAGCCTTTTCATCTGTCCCCTGGGCAACCTTCGATTCCATTTATATGAAATCTCCAAAATAGGTAAATCCGTATGGACAAAATGCAGATTCATTGTGACCCAGGGCCGATTGAAGAGGGAAAGCTGAGAGTAATAGGGTCTCCTTTGGAGCTAAAACTGCTTTAGAACTAGGTAGAGGTGATGATTGTAAGCCATTGTGAATGTACCGAATGCTGCGGAACTGTACACTTTGAAATAGTTATGTTACATGAATTTCACTTCAATAAAAATTTTAACAAACTAGGATACGAGACAGATTATGGTAAGTGTATAGCAGAAGAATAAACGCAGTGCCAGGAAGCCTGGAGAGATTGGCTTTCACTCCCAGTTTCACTCCCACAGTCTCCCGCTATCCCCCACCATGCCTGGCAGTCCCCACAGTCACCTCTGCTCAAGCTGCTTCCTCCTCCCAGAATGGGCTTCTTTCTTTGTTCTGCTGAGAGCCCATCCCCAAGGCTTAGACAAAATGAGAAGGGCCTGTGAAGACACCCTTGGTAATAAAGGGACAGAAGATACCCTTCGGTCCCCTGTTCTATTCACATTCCTGAAATGGGAACACCTCCTCCATTGGCCCTCTGTCCCAATCCCCATCATAGACCACCACACTCAGAAACACAGTGTGATGGACTCTTTTGTGGCAATGAATCTAAGTTTCACATTTGAGTTGACATGCTACACAGCAGAGATCCGAGATGAAGCTGTGACAGCCCAGAAGGAAAGTGACTGTGACTGCAACCACATAATCTCCCAGAACACGCAGACATCTGGGTGTGCACTGTGGGAGGAGCCTTGGATTTCCCCAGAGCTTGGAATGATCTAGAGGGTATCAACACCCTACTGGGGAAAGGAGTAATAAAATGCAGGTAATATTTTTTTCTCATCCTCTCAGTGTTGTCATAAGGATAAAATGCAATAACTTCCTCGAAACAGCTCAGAAAAGCCTAGATCATTTACAAACATAAGGCATTGTTTATGTTATAATTGCCGTGGCATCATGTTGGAGCCGTAACTGTCCTGAGAAACCATCTCACCAGACGTCTTTTCATTTTATAGATGAAGAGACTCAGGACTGACAGGAGCCTGCCAGAAGTCACACAGGCCTTTACTGAAGGGCCAGCACTCAGACGTAAACTTTCTAATCACGGTCCCTGATGCTTCCCTGAGAGCCAGGCCCACAGAAGCCCTGCATCCTTTGCTCCTCAGAGGTGCACCTTCTGCTGCCCTGTCCAGGCTCTGTGGAGTTGCAGGAGACTGGCAGCTCTGCAGAGTCCCTGGGTAGCATCACTGTGGCTTCATCAAGGCCGCGATGTTGTTCCTTCTTACATCGTTCTCAGTGAAAACCAGCCTCTGTGCTTGACACTGTTGGGTTGTCTGCAGCTTTCTGGCCTTTTCCTCCTCCAGGTCTTCATCATAGCCATGAGCATGTCACCTGCATACGTGCAACTTGGATAGGTTCTCTCAAAATATGTTACTCCACGCTTGCCCGTGGTGAGGCGTACCTACCCCTTTTTCTCTACTCATCCACCCTTGTAAAATCTCCCCTGATTAATACAATACCCCAGGAAAAAAGTAACAATTTTTCAACAGCCTTGGGTCCAAATCATCATCTGTATCATTTCCTCATTAAGACCTTTCTAAGAACTGTTGAATAAAAATGATTTCTTCTATTTTAGGCCGGGTACGGTGGCTCACGCCTATAATCCCAGCACTTTGGGAGGCTGAGGTGGGTGGATCGTTTGAGGTCAGAAGTTTGAGACCATCCTGGCCGTCATGGTGAAACCCCGTCTTCTCTAAAAATACAGAAATTAGCCGGGTGTGATGGCAAGCACCTGTAATCCCAGCTATTCTGGAGCCTGAGGCACGAGACTCACTTGAACCTGGGAGGTGGCGGCTGCAGTGAGCCAAGATTGTACCACTGCACTCCAGCCTGGGCTATAGAGTGAGACTGTCTCAAAAAAAGATTTCGTCTATTTTAAAGTCTGAGGGTGGGCACAGTGGCTCACGCACGTAATCCGAGCACTTTGGAAGGCTGAGGCAGGAGGATCGCTTGAGCCCAGGAGTTTGAGACCAACCTGAGCAACATAGCGAGGCCCCGTCTCTACAAAAATAAGAATAAAATTGATCTGATAGGTAGCTAAATAGACACATAGAATACATCTATATCTAATACATATTTCATATATGATATATGATATATAACCTTAGGGATGATTACATTTGCCTCAAAATCCATCTCCAAAAATTACAATGTGGGATTCTGGACTGGCTCCTAGAACAGAAAAAGACATTCGTGGAAAAACTTGTGAAATCCAAATAAAGCGTGGAGCTTAGTTAATAGTAATGCTGCATTTTCAGTTTCTTCATTTTCATAAATGTACCATGGTAATATAAGATGTTACCATTAGGGAAAACTGAGTGAGAAATTTAAGAGAACTCAATTATCTTTGCAACTTTTCTGTAAAATAAAAATTTATGTTTTAAAAGTCTAACAATCTTGTGAGAGGCCCCACATTTTCTATGAGTTCCTGAGGCAACTTCCTCATGCTTTTTGTCTCTATAATCCCCCAAAATTTTACCAGTCTCTCTTCTTTCTCCTCCCTCTGTCTCTGTCAAACACACACACACACACACACACACACACACACACACACACACGCATGCTCACAACATGGAGTTCAAGCAACAAGGTCAACCTGGCTACAGCGACCACTGAGTACCCAATCTGCCAACAGCAGAGACCAATGCTGAGTCCCCAATATATGGCACCATTCCCTGGGGTGACCAGCCAGCTACCTGGAGGCAGGTTGATTACATTGGACTGCTTCCATTGTGGAAGGGAGGGGAAGCATTTTGTCCTTACTGGAATACACATTTGCTCTGGATATGAACTTGCCTTCCCTGCACACAATGCTTCTGTAGAATCTATTATCTATGGACTTACAAAATGCCTTGTCCACCTTCACGATGGTCCACACAGCATTGCTCTGATCAAGGGACTCACTTCACAGCAAATGAAGCGCAGCAGTGGGTTCGTGCTCGTGGAATTCACTGGTCTCACGGTGTTCCCAACCGTTCTAAAGCAGCTGGCTTGACGGAATGGTGGAATGGCCTTTTGAAGTCAGTTACAGGCAACCTCACCAACTAGGTGACAGTACTTTACAGAAGTGGGGCAAGATTCCACAGAAAGCTGTGTATTCTTTGAATCAGCATCCAGTCAGGTGCTAGTCAGGACTCATGGGTCCAGAGATCAAGGGGTAAAAATGGGATGGCACCACTTGCTATTACCCCTAATGACTCACTAGCAAAATTTTTGCCTCTTGTTCCTTTATTATCCTGTTAGCCTAGAGATCTTAGTTCCAAAAAAGAATGCTTCCACTAGCAGATACAACAGTGATTCCATTGCACTGAAAGTTAAGGCCACAGCCAGCCACTTTGGGCTCCTCATACCTCTGAATTGACAGGCAAAGTTTTGGTGTTGTCTAGGGCGACTGATCCTGACTACCAAGGGGAAAATGTGCTACTATTCCACAATGGAGGCAAGAAAGAATATGTCTGGAATACAGGAGATCCCTTAGGGCATCTCTTAGTATTACCATACCCTGTGATTAAAATTTGTGATTAAATTCATGGAAAACTACAATAATCCAATTCACGCAGGACTACTAATGGCCCAGACCCTTCAGGAATGAAGGTTTGGGTCATCCTACCAGGTAAAGAACCTCAACCAGCTGAAAGGTTTGCCAAGTACAAAGGGAATTCAGAATGGGTAGCAGAAGGTAGTTCTAAGTATCAGGTACAACCATGTGCCCAGTTACAGAAATGAGGACTGTTATTGTCATGAGTTTATTTTGTGGTGAACATATTTGTGTACATATATGTACATTGCCTCACACAGAACATTTCGTGACTCTAGAAATTCCCTGGAGATTTGGTGGAGGTTCCAGCGCCCAGTAGACCTACAGCCATCACCATTCCCTCTCCCCTCCTGCTCCCCCGGGGAAATGATCGACATTTCTTGCACTTTCTTATTAAGAATTGTTATGCAAAAACACAAGTTCCCCAAACCTTTTCTTCTAGCACACACTTCCTGGGGGTACTTTAGCAAACAGAAGAATTCCAGGGCCAGTTGAGAACACAAGTATGTTCATAGCGGCTATATTCATAATACGCAAAAGTTGAAAACAACCTAAATATCCAACAGCCATAAAAAGGATAACTAAATTTCAGTATATTTTCACAATGGAATATCACACAGAAACAAAAAAAAACTATGACCATGAGCAACAACATGAACTAGTCTCACAAACTGATGAGGGAAGGAACCAGACACAAGAGTACAAATTGTATCATTCCACATATATGAAACTCAAAGATACACAAAAGGTGATAAAAGTCAAAATAATGGTTGCCTCGGCTGGGCACGGTGGCTCACACCTGTAATACCAGCACTTTGGGAGGCTGAGTTAGATCATGAGGTCAGGAGTTCAAGACCAGCCTGGCCAAGATGGTGAAACCCCATCTCTACTAAAAATACAAAAATTAGCCAGCCATGATGGCAGGCACCTGTAATCCCAGCTGCTCAGGAGACAGAGGCAGAGAGCTGCTTGAACCTGGGAGGCAGAGGTTGCAGTGAGCCGAGATCATGCCACTGCTCTCCAGCCTGGGCAACAGAGCAAGACTCCGTCTCAGAAAAAATAAAAAAACGAAGAATGGTTACCTCTGAGGAGGGACATTAATTAGGAAGAAGCACAAGAGTTTCCTGAGGCTACTGGAAATGTTCATTTCAGACATGTGTAAGCACATACATACACACACACACACACACACACACACACACACATTGTATATGATTCTTCCAATTTCGTGAGGACATCTGAGAAAGGGAAGGGTTGAGGGGCTATTTCATAAATATAGCCCAGCTGGAGCAATGATTTTGCGGGGAAGGGGAACATAGACTCACTAACTAGCCAGGATCCTTTTAGACTATTCTCTCTGTAACTTCTCATTAAAAACACATTTTATCTCAGAATAAATTTCAGTTTATTTCATCCTTTTTCTTGGTGTTTGAAATGGATTGAGAGATCTCAGCAGGTACAAGTTAATTTAGAGGGCTGTATCAGATGGAATATAATTAACTTCTCAGATTTCAAGTTACTCAAATCCCACACATGGGCCTCTTAGTGTCCCACCATTCTTCTCATTCATATTCACAGATGCTGGAGAGGTGGCAGCAAGAATGGAGAATCTGATTGAGCTGTGACCAATTCATGTTCCCTACAGGACACAACAGGTCTGGAAATTTGATTACAGCTCAGTCTTTAGAGACAAATGACATCTGACTGAAAGGCTGAAACCCTTCTTCATGGATTTTTTTATAAAAAGGAACATTTTGGTAGATGACATTGCACCTGCAGAGGTGATAATAACAGGATGCTGAGCTGTGCATAAGTGGCAGGACTTACTGAAGGTGATGCTATTCTGTTTACTTTCTATGCACTGGATGCTCTCACTTTACCTTATTCAATCCTTGCATCAATCTCCGAGGGACTTCTTATTATCCCCATTTTTTCCTGATGAGAAAAGTGAAGCTCAGAATGCTTAGGCAACCTGTTCAAGGTCACTCAGCCAGTATCCTCAAAACTGATGTTCCTCCCTCCATGATTAAAAAGCATGGCTCTGGGAACTGTTATGCCTAGGCTGCTGGTAGGGGCTGTTCCACTGCTGTGATTGTCATTCACGGCATGAAAACTAGAGATGGGTAATTTGGGCTGAACTGAGGAACCCTAAAAAGATTAAAGGAAAAGCTCCAGCATGTAGATATAATTGTGGGTGATCCCCATAGTCTAAAGAACTCATTGAATTGATAGGCTGTGTTCTTGGATGAATACTGAGGCAATCAAGGGTCTAAGTTGCTCCAAGAAACTGGAAACTTAGCTCTTATAAGATGAATTCTTAAAATATGCTAGCCTGTTTTAAAATGAGAGAACTATTCACTACCTCCCACAATAAGGAGTAAGTGAAGATTCCTAAGAATAAAAGCACAGAGGCAAGAAAGAAGGAAATTTTACTAAGCATTTTTATGCTAAAGGAAGCTTACTAGGCATTTTTATGCTGTGCTTTCTAATAACAGTATATCTTTACATCTTTAATACATTATGGTGAGGGAATAGTTCCGGCCCCTCTTTGCAGCTAAGGAAGTCTAAGTTCAGAGAAGTGATGTAATTTGCCCAAAGCCACACTATATGGAAATGCTTGAATTAGTATAATGGAGAGAACACTGAAGTCGGACAGGCCTGAGTTTAAATTCAACCCCAGTAATTCCTTTTTTACTAACACAGAATAACTTACCTATTTGAGCTTCAGTTTTCTGGTCTAATAAATACTTTATCATTTAGGATGCTTTTGGTTACCTGTAATTGAAAACTCAAATGAAAATGGCTTAAATAAGGAAATGTTACTATCTCACAAAGTAAGAAGTTCCAAGCTCAGGTATCTTCAGGCTGAATTGAGTGGGTCTGTGATATCACCAGAGATCCAGGTTATTCCCAGTGCTCTGCTGTGCCATCCTCCGGCAGCCTCCCTGCCCACATGGTTGCAAGATGGCTGCCACAGTTCCAGGTATCACGTTCAGACAGGACAATATCCAAAGAAATGAGAGAGGCCAACTTCTCACATGTCTCTTTTAATCAACAAAGAAAAGCATTTCCCAGAAGCTCAACGTCAGTAGTTTGGTTCTCAAATCCCATTGTCAAGAACTGAGTCACATACTCATGTCCAAACCCATCATGGACAAGGAGAATGGGACAACTCTGGTTCATTTAGACTAATAAGAATTACTTCTGAAATAAATCCACATAGGGAGGGGTAGATTCCCAAACAAAATCAGGTTGTTTTACTCCCAGCAAGGAAGAAGTCTACTGGGTAGACTAACATGAGGGTCTTCTAGACAAGTTGCCTGGTAAAATACAAGACATTCAATTACCTTTGAGTTTCAGATCAGTTTCAGAGACGTAGAACATACTTGTATTAAAAAATGTGTTATTTAGGCCAGATGCAGTGGCTCACACCTGTAATCCTAGCACTTTGGGAAGCCGAGGCAGGCGGATCACCTGAGGTCAGGAGTTTGAGACCAGCCTGGCCAACGTGGCGAAACCCCATCTCTGCTAAAAACACAAAAAAATTAGCTGGGCGTGGTGGTGTGTGCCTGTAATCACAGCACTTGGGAGACTGAGGCAGGAGAGTCACTTGAACCCAGGAGGCCGAGGTTGCAGTGAGCCGAGATCATGCCACTGCACTTCAGAGCAAGACTCCATCTCAAAAAAAAAAAAAAAGTTATTTATTGTTATTTACCTGAAATGCGAATTTAGCTGCACAGCTTGTATCTGTATTTGCTAAATCTAGCTAGCCTACTTCTGGAGCTACTAAGGTAATTAAAGAGGAAAGAAACGTATGGAAAGTAAAATTTTATGTTCTGAAAACAGTGGCCCTCATTATTATTTAAATTTAGGAAAAAGGATGGCAGGGTTCTTTCCAAAAACACAAAGCAAAAGTGTGATGGTGTGGGGCAGTAAGAATGAGGCACAACTGGTGTTTTGTAATAGACTGTTATCTCTGTTCTTTGTTCACTTCTGATCTCAATCAAAAGAAAAGCTTCTTGATTTTTGACAACAATGGTAGCTCTGCTTTGGAATAAATTTAGATATTGCACTTGATACAAGCCGTTTTGAAGAACAATATTCAAGCTTGCAATTTTTTCAAAGTATGTATAAAAGAAAATCTATTATTTTTCATATTCCTAATTGATCAAAAAGATAACTATTTAAAGAAGTAATAGATGTAATTTATTGGGTGATTATGGCATAAACATAAGTAAAATAAATAACAGTAAAGTCATAATAAATGAGAGGGAGGAATTGGGAATACACTATTATAAGCTACTTGAATTATACTTGAAGTGGGGTATAATTTATTTGAAAATACATTTAGCTTAGTTAAAAATGTAAATGGTAAACTCTAGCACAGTCACTAAAATCTTTTTTCTTTTTTTTTTTTTTTTGAGACTGAGTCTCACTCTGTCACCCAGGCTGCAGTGCAATAGCACAATCTTGGCTCACTGCAACCTCCACCTCCCAGGTTCCAGCAAGTCTTGTGCCTCAGCCTCCAAAATAGCTGGGATTACAGGTGCCTATCACATCTGGCTAATTTCTGTATTTTTAGAGAAGACGGGGTTTCATCATGATGGCCAGGATGGTCTCGAACTCCTGGCTTTCAGTGATCCACCTGCCTCAGTCTCCCAAAGTGCTGGGATTACAGGCATGAGGCACTGTGCCCAGCTAAAAAGCTTTATGTCATCATAATTCATATGCTAAGAGAAGAGGCATAAATAAAATCATATAAAATACTCCAGAAAATGCCAAATGGGGGTAAAAGATAAAAAACAAATGCAATGAACAGAAAACAGCTTGAAACATGGTAGATATTAATCCAACTATAGCAATAATTACTCTAAATGTGAAAGGTCTAAATATATCAATTAAAAGACAGATTATCAAAGTGGATAAAAAAGCAAGACCTAGCTGTATATTGCCTACAAGCAACTCACTAAATGTAAAGACTTAAATAGGTTACAAGTAAAGAGAAAAATTATAGCATGCTAACACTGATTTTAAAAAGCTGGAGTAAATATATTAATTTCAGACAAAGTAAATTTCAGAATAATTAAAATTATCAGGAAAAGAAAAGTGACATTACATAATGATAAAAGGGTCAGTTCTCCAAGACATAACAATCTTCAACATGTATGCACATAACAAAAAAGCATCAAAATTCATGAAGCAAAAACTGATAGAACTAAAAAAAATAAATCGACAAATCTACCACATAATAGAAGTGAAGGTTTCAATATTCCTCTGTCAATAATTGATAGATCAAACAGGCAGAAAATCAGTAAGAATATAAATGACATGAACAGCACTAGCCATCAACTTAATCTAATTGACATTTATAGAATACTCCACCACCACCAAGTACACATTCTTCTCATGCTCACACAGAACATTCACTAATATAGACCACATTCTGGGTCATAAAACACACTTACAAATGTAAGAAATAGGCCGGGCATGGTGGCTCACACCTGTAATCCTAGCACTTTGGGAAGCCGAGGCGGGCAGATCACTTGAAGTCAGGAGTTCGAGACCAGCTTGGCCAACATGGTAAAACCCCATCTCTACTAAAAATACAAAAAAAAAAAAAAAAACTAGCCAGACATGGTGACAGGTGCCTGTAATCCCAGCTACTTAGGAGGCTGAGGAAGGAGAATTGCTTGAATCTGGGACGCAGCGGTTGCAGTGAGCAGAGATCACGCCACATTACTCCAGCCTGGGTGACAGAGCAAGACTCTGTCTCAGAAAAAAAAAAATTTAAGAAATAAAATAGAAATTACACAAAATATGTTCTCAGATCACAATGGACTTAAGCTAGAAATCAATAGAAAGATAACTAGAAAATCCCCCAAATTTGAAAATTAACACACTTCTAAATAACCCATGGGTGAAAGAATAAGTCTCAATTTTTAAACTACTTTTGGACTAAATGAAAATGAATATACAACTCATCAAAATTTGGCTACAGAAAAATAAGAATGTATAGCAGTGAATGCTGTATTAGAAAAGAAAAAAGAAATACATTGATAATTCAAGCTTCCACCTTAGCAAACTAGAGGAAGAACAAATTAAGCCTGAAGACAGAAGAAAAGAAATAAAATTATTATGTGTTATAATTCTTAAAAGGTAGTCAAAGGAACAATTTTCTGAAAAGTTACGTCTCAGGGGCATCTTGCATATGTTCTTGAACCAGTCTGTCAGTTATATTCACCTCTCAATGTCCACTACTTTTTCCTTCTCCTCTCCAGCACCCCTCAGCAATGAACTCAAACCAAGAATCTCACATCACCATTTCCCTTGTACCTATCCTGAGAATGCCCAGGCTATAGGCATTATTCTACCAAAACACCCAAGCTCATAGTCTCCACTTCACATCTCTACCTGCCAGTGAAAACTCAAAAGCCTGCTTCTTCCTCTTTCCACTAAAGAACTCATCCCCAGCATGCACATCAACTCACCTGTACTTGCTCTTCCACCTCAGCAAACATGTCCTGACATGTTTGAATGTAAGTTTAGGCTCAAAGAGATAACTTCTACCCTGAAACGTTCTGGTGTGGGGGTCATGTATTCTCACTTATCTCCAAGTTCAATATCATTTTCAAAAACCAAATAATACTAGATAATATTTTTTAACATTTTCTATAAGCCTTGTACAAAGTGGAGGACTTAGAATATATTGTCTAATATTTGAAATAACTATATGAGGTATATATTGTTATCTCCATTACACACACACACACACACACACACACACACACACACACACACAAACCACTGAGGCTTATTAAGGTAAAGTTACATACTCAAGGCATCACAAACATCAATGATGGAGCTGGGACCAGAAACCAGACTTTTCTGACACCAAATTGTATTGTTTCAGAGAACGTGGAGTGCTTGGATTATGTGTCTGGTGAAGCAGTTCTTATGTTGCTATATGTTTTAGATTTGAAAAAATTGTCAAGATTATTCACCATGACAACCAGAGTCAGTACGGGTATTCCTTGTGTTCTCTATGAGAAAAACTGACTGTCAGGAAAACACTGAATGCCTGACTTTCCTTTCCATGGGCTTCTTTATGTCATTCTTGTCAGTTCCTTCTGTGGTTGATCTACAAACATTAGGTTATTTTCTTTCTCACAGTTCTACAAATCTACAGCAAAATCTACAGCAAAAAAAAAAAAAAAAAAAAAAAACCAAGATTTGAGTACTACAGATAAATAATATTTGGCAATACATTTAAACATTGAAATTGTCTGAAACACTTTTATAAAATTTCAACTGACTGAAAACCTCTGCAGCAAGAAACAGCAATTTTAAATATCTCCACAAGTTGTATTAAGCATAGAAAACAAGACTTAACTCTAAACAGAAAAACAAGTTTAAAATCAGTTTATTAAATATAGCTGAAATGATTGTATAGAATGTATTAGATAAAATTATCTCTTACACTAGCCATGTTTTGTGACTTTTAACATCCAAATCATTTGCTGCAAACCTTGACATCCATCGAGCATAAAAGTTTACATTTCAAGAGAATAGAAGATGATCTCTGAAAGAAAACAATCTGATGTCAAGAAAGTTCTTATCTCTTTATATAAAGTGTCAGTAAACATAAAAGAAAAACTGATGAAAAACAGACTGTGCTTGAGTTTAATGACAAGACCTTTGTTCCAACCTAGTTAATTATCAAGTAGATTCTTTAACTTTGTATGTCCTTTCAGCTATGTTAAAGGCCAGAAAAGAATATACAACATAGAACCTAAGGAAACAAAGTACTTTTAGAACCAAGTTACTCGCTTCATTTCTCTGTAATTAAAGGTGAATCCCTTCTCCAAGAGATTCATATTTCTGATTTAATATTTTCCTTTTTTGAGAAAGGAGATTAGCAAGAACATCAGCACAATGATGGAAAAGGAAGTCCCAGCGCTTGTTCCCCTACAGAAATACTGATTTAACAATGATCTACAGAACAAAATAACTTCACAAGAAGTTCAGAATCCAGTTACAAAGTTGCAGCACCCCAGGAAAGAACAAAATCAACAACAGTTGCACTGAAATGAGTAAGCAGAGCAATTTTACTTTACCCACATCAGCCCCTGCCCCAAGAAGATGCAGCTCAGCACTAAGAGCTGTTGCCCTGGTCCACAACTTCTCCCTATGCTAGGGGCAGTGGGGCTGGCAGGTGAAAAATAGGGCGTACATCCAATGCCGTGTGTAGTTTCAAATACTTTCTGAGGGGCTGTTTCCTATCTTGTCTCACCCAGAGCATTGACAGAACTGATGTAGTTTTATGGAGTTGATTAAGAGCAAAGGAAAGGAGGTGTGCATCTTTCTGTACCCAGCACATCTCTACAAGATGAGGAGAAGGTACATAACTAAAGGTTTCTATACAGGGAAACAGGGAGGATAGTGGAGCGTGCCTTCAACGTCCTGGCCCACAGTACAGCAATTAGATACCAGAGGGAGCAAGAGATTATGGGATCACCTGCCAAAAAAAAAACAACCAGTAAGTCCCTCTAATTAAGAATCTACACACACAAGACTAAAGAAGACACAACCATAAAAAAGGTTTGAGAAGCTCCCAGAATCTCCAGCCATGCTCTCACAAAAGTCTTTTTCTATTGAATTCAAAGAGACTGGGAGAAGTGGCTGTTTATTCAAATGCATGGATACCAACACAAATCCATGAGGAACACAAAGAATCAGAGAAACATGACACAATCAAATGACCAAAATAGATTTCTAGTAATTAATCCTAAAGAAATGGAGATCTATAAACTGCCTAAGATTTCAAGATAATTGTCTTAAGCAAACTCAGTGAGTTATAAGTAAACATGGATAGACAACTAAATAACATCAGGAAAATGATATGAAAAAATGAGAATATCAACAAAGAGAAACTATTCTCAAGAAGAAATTTTGGATCTGAAGAATGTAATAACTGAACTGAAAGATTCACTAGAGGACTTCAACAGCAAACCTTATCAAGCAGAAGAAATAATCTATAAACACAAAGACAGATCATTTCATTTAAAATTATCTAGTCAGAAGAGCAAAAAGAAAAAAGAAAAAAAGAGTGAAGAATGCCTAAGGGACTTATGAACATTATCAAGCAAACCAATATAGGTATTGTGGGAGTTCCAAAAGGAGAAAAATGGAGGCAGAAGGCAGAAGTTATATTCAAAGAAATAATCAGAAACTTTATGAATATGAGGATACATACATATATGTATATAACAAATATATTTTCCCAGAATGTAGTCTGTCTTTTTACTCTAAATGGTGTCTTTTATATTAGCAGAAATTTTTAATTTTAAGAAAATCATATTTATAATTCGTATGAAAATTCCCCATTAGTGTTTTTGTACCTGTTTTAAAATATTTGCCTACTTCAAGACCACAAGGAGTCTACTCTGTTTTATTCTAAAAGCTTTATTGTTTTATCTTTCATATCTGCATCTACAATCTATCTGGAATTAATTTTCATGTATAGCATGAGAAAAGGATCAAGATTAATTTTTTCAGCATAGATATGTAATTGACCCAGTACCATTTACTGAAAAAAATCATACTTCCCCCCATTGCACCATAGTGTAATTTTTGTCATAAATCATGTTGCTGTGTATGTGTGGATTTTTTGGTACTCTCTTCTGTTCCATTTTTTTGTCTAACCTTGCAACACTATCTAAACTATCATAATAACTTTAGTTCTGCAGGTCTTATTCTATGGCAAGTTAAGTCCTTTAACTTTGTTTTTCTGCAAGATCACCTCTTTTATTCATGGTTCTTTACTTTTCCATATAAATTTTTAGAATCAACTTGGAAGTTACCACTATCTCCCACTAAAAACAACAAACAATACTGAGACTCTGATTAGAATTTCTCCTACAGAACAATTTTAGAACACTTAACTTACAGTACTAAATCTTATAATCTTTTCATTTATTAAGTCTTAATTTTACCAATAAATATTGTGTAGTTTTCAAACTGTGTATTGTATTTATTCCCAGGTAAACTATTTTCTTCTGTCTGTTGGAGTCTGAGTTCATTTTTTTTTGTTTTGTTTGCTTTGTTGTGTGTAGATGATCTTGTAGTAAATATAAATTCAGCCAATATTTGAATGAGTGATACTAAGTTACTGCATGACTTTTGCTAATAGTCTCCACTTTCTGGGCCCTGATTGCCTGTCTTTAAGTTAATTGACCCACATTATGAGTTCACATCACAGAATATATTTCTTCTTCATAGTTCTTCACATAGTTTCAATTTAACCCTTGTGTAATCATTGGATTACATGTTTTCCCCATTAGACTATATGGCCACTGAGGGAAGCAACATACCTTTCTCACTACTACATCCCCCAGTACCTGACACAATTCCTATAGCAGAGTAGGTACACAACATATATTTACATAAAAAAGAATGACTGTAAAATAAGAGTTTTTTTTTAACTCCCAAGATCACATAAGTGGACCAGTGAAGAAAATATCTAAAAACAGGGTGTTCTGCTATTGAAAAATGCCTTACAGATCATTCTGGTGTCCACCTGTTCAGAAATAATCCCAGTTTAGATGATGCAACAATGGTTGTTCTCAGCAAAGACAGACCAGTGAGCTCTATTTCTGTGGAAATATTAAGTGCCTCATTCTAACATGGAACTTAGCAAACACATTCATGTCTGTTAAAGCAAAAATTTCCTAAGTAAATCTTGTTCCTTAATCCTTTTATTTGTTGAGGAGTCAGACCAAGCTTATAATGTTTTTATGACTTTGAAGTCTGCCCCTGGTCCTATCTCTTGCAAAATATTATATAAAATTCAGTACCTGGCCTTAGGTAATGACTTACCTTAACTCTCACCCTTACAACAGTTGTCAAACCATTTTTGAGATGAAAAAACTGAAGCTCGGAGAAGTTAGGCAACTTAGTTCACATATCCAGAAAATAATAGTGCCAAAATTTGATTGTAGTTCTGTTAGAATCCAATGTCTAAGCTTTTTTTTTCTGCCCACCATACCAGGGTTTCCCAACTGCTTGTTTGTAGATCCTCAAAAATTTATCAAGTTTCTCCAAGAGGTTGTTAAAGGTAATAATACCATGTTTTTTGTTTCTAACTTTAATCAATACAATAATTATCAAAAACATTTCCCTTTAATACAGAATATATTGGAGTGCTTATGTAAGTGAATCAAATGAGCAAGCAACACAATAAGTAGAGATTAGATGAATGTGCCCATGACTCAGTATATTATTCAACTGAACACTGCTAGCCACCACATGGCTTTGATCATAATACAGTTTTAGATTGTTTTTATTCTTAGTCATATATTGCTTCATTTATGCCTCAGTGGATTATTGCAAAGAAGAATGAGAAACACAAATGTTGAAATACAGGAAGTTAATGAGGAGTGTAAAAGGATTATAATTCTGTACATTACCCTCAAAACGATCTGCACAAAGGCTGTAACTCACAATAGTCTCATCAGAACTTGTATTTGGTAAATTTAACTGTCTCAGGGACTTCAAGAAGTGATGTTTTAAAAAATGGAAGGCACAATGATCATCACAATTAACTTGGCTTTTCATTTATTGCAAAGAAGTTCTCTCCATACTCCATATGTTAACATGCAGAGAAGTGTAATGATTTAAATATTCATAATGTAGTTCTTGATATTATATGTAATTGTGAAATCAGTTTGTGTGCCACAAAGAGTGAGGAAGTACCACAAAATACTAGAAGATATCACTACATGAATTTTCCATTTTTCCCTTTGCCTTGGACAAATGAAACCCAAGGAAAGAATAACTATTTGACTAGACTTAGCCAAAAACTTAACTCAGTGGTTTTCAATCCTGGCTGTTCATTAGAATCACCTGGGGAGCTTTTCAAGGCCCAGATGACTGGGCCTTAAGACCAGAGCTTCTAATTCAATTCTCCTAGGGTGGGGTCTGACCACAGGTATTTTTATCTCATTCCATGTGATTCTACTGAATGTGCCTTTACTAAACAAACCCTCTTTAAGTAGACAGCAGCATTCCTTACTAGCAAGTTTATTTTATATCCAAACAGTTTATTCTGAATGTAGTTTAGGAGAAAAGAACACAAGCTGAAAAGCCAGGGGTCCTGGGTCGAAGTCCTGACTTGGCCACTGTGTGATCTCGAGCAAGTCACCTCATTTATTTGGTTGTCAGTATTTGCTCCTTGACATTAGCACTCTGAGGCACTTGGTCTCTAAGATCCCTACTGCCTCTAACATTCAGTTAATTATTAAATGTTATAACTTTTATATTAATAAGTTATAACAATATAACAATCAACAAAGCAGCTTAATATTGTAGAAACAGTTTAAACTTTGAAGTCACATCATGTGGGGTTCAAATTCCAGCCCTGCCAACTTTGTAACTGTGACTTTGGCCTAGTCACCTAACCTCTCTGAATGTACTGAAATGGAGAAAGAATTGCTATATTCAGTGAAATACAGAACTTTGCACATTATATATCTCAACAAATTGTAGCTGTTTTTATTATTGTTTTTAATGTTCTGGTTGTTGACATTTCTGCTGTTATTTTATTATTTATATTTAAATATATTTAGGTTATTTAATATATTTAAATACTATATATTTATTTTACATAGTCAATATATTTGTTTAACATAGATAATATATATAAAATATCTAATATGGTATACTATATATTTAGTATATTTATATTTATGTTATTGTATTATTTCCTTGCATCAAGAAGTGAAAGAAGATTCATTTGGAAAAGAGAGAATAATGTCAAAGGGGTGATTGACTTGACTGTCCCTGATTCCTTGGGTTTCCCATCTAGGCCAGCAGGAGTCTGGCATCACTCACGTGGAGAATGTTTCTGTAAGACAGCTTTTCTCTCCTATGACCTTCATGAATTTGGCTGCCATCAGATCCTGCAGCGGAACTGTCTCAAAGAGAAGCAGTTATAATAACACTGCTACAGAAAATGAGAAAATGGCTTTGAGCCCCCAAGTTTGCAGCAGACATGTTCAAACCTCACCCATCCTGCCTTTCACACCATCTCCAAGCCCCTCTCTCCCAAACACAATGTCTGGGCAAGTATATCGTTTAGAGCATGGGTTCAGCTGTTGTAACAGAAACCGAAAGTAATAGTGGCTTAAACCAGATGAAAATATTTTCTTTCTCTGATTTATAGAACTGTCCAGATGAGACTAATCCTGGACTAGCAGACGGATATCAGAGATCCTGGTTCCTACCCCTTCTTGTCCCATTACCTGCCAGCCACATGCTCCGTCCAGGACAGCTCACTCTGACATTCTCATTCCAGCTAATGGGAACAGGAAATGGGGATGAATGGAGCATAGGTCTCCTTTTGAGGACATAACCCACAAGATGCTAGGTAAATTCTGCTTGCTTTCATTGGCCAGAATTTAGTCACCTGGCCACACCTGGCTACAGAGGAGGCTGGAGAAAATGTAGTCTTTATTCTGAGAAGCCATGTACCCAGCTGAAAACTAAATAGCTACAGAAGCCAGGAAAAGTGGCTATTGATGGACAAATAGCAGTCTCTGCCACATGAGTAAAGACATGGGGTGGCATTCAGGGATGGAGAAGATTCCAGATCACTGCAGATTGAAACAGAGTGGTTTTCTAAGGACATCTGTCCCAGTATACATAACTCTAAAGCACCACTAACTGCTGGGGCGCCATTTTTTCTCTAGAAATTTGGAACATGTCCCAACACAAACACATGGTCCTTATGTCAGAAATACAGAGTGACAGACTCCATTATGCATTAGTCATGTTTATAAACAGGTTTATTTTTTTTTCAGACCACGTCAAAATATCTCTTGCTCAAAACAGTTCTAAAGTGTCCTATTATCTCAGGCATTTCCTTTGTTGCATGAGAGTTCCATGAACACTTGGAGCCAGACAGAATAGTTCTGGAGTCTCAGACTCAAGTCAGGAATTGCATGGCTTTCATGGCAGCCAGAAAAGCTCAGCGGGGCTGGGTCTCGTGTCATTTACTTCAGCTCTGGTGGTGTGAACTAGTTTGGGATTCTCTGAAGTGCTTCGAACCCAACATTTCCCCCACACTCCTGAGCTACCTACCAGTCACAGCAGCTGTATAAGGTCTCTGAACCTCTGCAGAGGCCACATCAGCTGCAGCAAAGACCCCTGGTGCTGTGCCCTCCACCTCCTGCCCTCAAAAATCAGTCAGGCTTAAAACAGTGCCAGGCGCATGGTGAGCATCGTATAAACAATCGCTATGGTTATTATGGTTTTTATTATGACCACTGCTTCCTGAAGAATCTTTAGAGTTTGATTGTGAGTTGCATAAGGGCATAAATTATCTTTTCTCACTCCTTCCTCCTCAGCATCTAATATGGTTCAGGTCTCATATCCAACTCTATTCAACCTATATATATTAAGCCTCTACTATGTGCTAAGTACCAAGCTGGGTAATGGGACATAGTGATGAATAAAAGCCTTGATTTGTGTTGTTACAGAACTTAGAGTTCAGCAGGAGATATTTGTGGAAGGAAAATAACAAAGAGAAGGAAGCGGGGAAGGATGAAATGGAAGAATAAAGGAAAACTTGATTTTTGACTATAAGGGCAGGGAATATCACAGGTATTAAGCAAAGGTATGAAAGTTAAGCGTGGAGAAATTAAAATGCACCTTGACCCCAGGCCACCTTGAAAGCTCTTCTGAGAGAGCCCAGCTCTGGCCCACTGTCCATCAGTGCAGCTTTAGCAAAAATACATCGAGCTACTACTCCTCCTTGCCCCGAGAGCCCAAATGGTTTGAGTGGAAAAGCAGCCCAGCATAAGTACCTGGATGAGGATTAGACCTAAAGCAACCAGAGCCCTGCAGAATAGGAGGAGCAAAAGGCCAGTATTTTACCATAAGAAACACAGAGGTCCAAATATATCCACAGTTCCCTTGTGTCCCGAAAGTCAAGTCAAGTGATTATAGATATGCATATTCCTCCAGCAGTAAATAATACATCAATAAACAAAGGTGAGAGTGGCTCAAAGCAGGTCATTTTTGGGAAGGGACATAGGGTCATCACGTGGGAGGGTATGTTTGGTTAGAGATGAGTAACTGCTGTGATAAGCAATCCCAAAACCTCAGTGGCACAGTCATAGCCCAGTAAGCATTGATAAACACAACAGTGCCTATCTTCATGGAGCTTACCATTTAGCTAGAACTACAAACAAATGAGCATTCACATTTCATTGTGTTCAGTGCTCTCATAGTATATATACAGAATGCTCTGAGCTTACAGAGAAGGGCTCCTAACTCCAACTTGGAGTGATTAAGGAAGGTGTCCTGAGCATCATTTGCCCTGTCTATCTGGTCCCACCCATCGTAAGGTGATTTTCTTCATCTCTCACTTCCATGTTTGTTACAGGTGTAGCCAATTTTTCTAACATGGCCAGCCACAAGTGGTGGCATAACCATAATCCCCTTCCTTAGGAATATGGGAATTAGGATAGAGACAAATCAGGCTCTCTCTCGGTAGATGAGCCTGTAATATGTAAGCCTTGGGAGTGGTTGGGGAAGCAGAGGAAACAAGTTTGGAGGGAGAAGAATCGAACAGGCATACAGAGAGGAGGAAGATTGGAGAACCCTGATCCTAGTTGTCTCTGAGGCTTAATTCCGTCTCTGTTCTCCAGTTCCATCAGAACCCCAGGGTCTTTATAATAAATGCCCTCTCTTTTTAAAAAATGAAATAAAGCCGGTTCCTCTTACAACCAACCAAGACTTCTAATGAATACAAATGCTGAGGACTCGCATCTTAGCGAAGACCTGATGGGGCAGGAGTGGAGAGCCCAGTGATGAGAGGCAGATGGTAACACGAGGCTGAATGACATGTACCTCATAGAAAGATGTTCATAATGTGATTTTAAGTGAAAAAAAAAGCCAAATGCATATAGCATAATAGTATTTATAAAGTAAACCAACCAAAGGAAAAAACAACTTTATGCGCTCAACGAAATTTTGGGAGATACACAATATTGTTTACAATGTAATTCTAGGGAGTGGGGCCGGGTGTTTAAGGGGGCTTTCACCTCCTTATAGTTTCCTGTTTTGTTTGAAATTTTAATGATAAGTATGTATATTATTTTTGTACACTGAGACAGGTGGAGAAGGGTGGAAGAGAATTCCAGCAGAAGAAACAGCACATGCAACTTATATTAGTCACACTGCTATGAAGAAACACCTGAGACTGGGTAATTTATAAAGGAAAGGGGTTTAATTGACTCACAGTTCCACACCGCTGGGGAGCCATCAGGAAACTTACAATCATGACAGAAGGCAAAGAAGAAGCAGGCACCTTCTCCACAAGGCAGCAAGACGAAATAGTTTCGAGCAGGGGAAATGCCGGACGCTTATAACACCATCAGATCTCGTGAGATTCACTCATTATCACGAGAACACCATGGGGGAAACTACCCCCATGATTCAATTGCCTCCACCTGGTCCTGCCCTTGACACATGGGGATTATGTGGATTACAATTAAAGGTGACATTTGGGTGGAGACACAGAGCCAAATCATATCAGCTACCACAGACTATTTTTATTACTAATTTAGCTTCGAGACTCAAGGTGTAAGAGATTTCTGATGTTCTGTAGTCACCATTCCCTCCTGAGACCACAGGCAGAGCATCCTTGGTAATGCAGTGTAGAGGAGATGGGAGGCTCCAAGGAGTTCAGTACGGGGTGAGTGAGAGGACAGAGGATGGCAGGCTTGTGGTTGAGGCGTCTCCTCATGATGCAGTACGCAAGGAAAACAGCAAGGACAGATGGGGTTGACTAGGAGAGAGAAGGAGGCCCCTTGCAAGTCGGGACAGGGGTGATAGGGTGAGATGCTATATTAGGGTCAGGGCATACGGCCAATTCACCTTTCTGTCATCCTAAGCACCCAAGCAATCTTACCCACCGACTCCTCTCCAGCCACATCCTCCTCTTCATTCCCATAGTCACTACTCTAGTTCAAGCCTTCACCACTCACCCTACCCTTTTACAACCTCCATCTCCCTCTATCCTTCTTCCCCCTTGTAATCCCTAAAAACCACTAATCTGTTCTCCATTTTTAAAATTTTGTAACTTCAAGGATATTAATATATAAATGGAACAGTGTAGTATTCCACGATATGGATGTGGCAGTTTGTTTAACCATTGACCCACTAAAGGACATTTGAGTTGTTTCCGGTATGGGGCTGTTATGAATAAAGCTACTATGAACAATAATGTACAAGGTTTTATGTGGGCATGACATTCATTTTTCTGGGATAAATGCTCAAGATTGCAATTGCTGGATCGTGTGGTAAGTGTGTCTTTAGTTTTGGAAGACACTGCCATACTCTTTTCCAGAGCGGCTGTACCACTTTAAATTCCCACCAGTGGCTGGACATGGTAGCTCATGCCTGTAATCCCAGCATTTTGGGAGGCTAAGAATGGGCAGATCACATGAGGCTAGGAGTTTGAGACCAGCTAGCCAACATGGCGAAACCCTGTCTCAACTAAAAATACAAAAATGAGCCATCTGTAATCCCAACTACTCGGGAGGCTGAGGGACAAGAATCACTTGAACCGGGGAAGCAGAAGTTGCCATAAGCCGAGATCATGCCACTTCACTCCAGCCTGGGAAACAGAGTGAGACTCTGTCTCAAAAATAAAATTAAAATAAATTCCTACCGGCAATGTATGCATGATCATTTTCTTGCACCCTTGCCAGCATTTGGTGTTGTCACTATTTTTTATTCTTGTCATTCTAATAGGTGTGGAGTGCTATCTCATTGTGGACTTAACTGTGTCTTACTAATGGCTAATCATGTTGAACATGTTTTCACGCAGGTGCTTACTAAATGTGTAATGGAAAATGGATAGCCCTGCTACTTGGTTGGACCTGGGATAAATGTGCCTTCTTGAAACTCTGCCAGATTTCTTGACCCTTGGATTAATGATGAGAATTGGAAGCAAGGTGAAGAAACAGGGGGAGGCTGCCAAAAAGTAGACACCTAATGATTCCTTACCCATCATCACTAACCCTTCTTTTACACACACACAAAAAAAATGTCTTCTGCTCAAGAGAACCTAAATGATTGATTGGCAACATGGTTGACTGGTTGATTGATTGAAGTTGTTCATTCAAGCTGGAGAATAACTGTAATTGTAGGTTTCAGAACATTCTGATTTTCATATCAAAAAAATCTCCTTTTTCTTGTTTTCTTAAAGCTTTATTTCTATAAGCAGGGGACAGATGCTATATTATCAAGTGAAAAACTACCATTTAAGTAAGAACTCCCAAGAAAGTGAGCAAGAACCCTGTTGCCCAGGGTTATTTGATGCACTCCAGCACTGTGAGGATTGAACTTGGCTCTTTCCCATAGCTCTGGCATTCACAGCAGTTTTAGAAGTAAAGATGAAGACATTTTTAAAAGGCTGCAAAGTATGAACTGCCTTTGGCTTAGACTTCAAAGCAGCTATCCGTCTTGTTGCTATTAATCACTCTTTTAAAGTTCTACACACCCAGCTAATTCACAGAGTAGCCGAGTTGCTTTCTTCAAAAGGGGAAAAGTGCTGGCCTCAGCAGACTGTCCATGTCTGGAATCTGCAGCATGGACGGGGACTCAGAAGCCATCCCCAGATCTGCTGTCGACGGCAGATTCACATCCTCATTAGTACATAGAGCTCATTCCTGTGTTGTGGGCTTCTGTGTGATTTCTCTTCCCTTCTTTATGCTTCTCTTTATATTCCAAGCTACCTGCGATTATTTTCACAATCCTAAAAGATATTTGGGTTTGTTAAATTTGTATCCATGCTCACTTTGCTCCATTTACTAGGATACAATGTAGGACTAGTACATTTTACTGAAGTTTCTAATGACCAGAGATGGAGGCATAAGCACCTAGTTAATGAGAACTGGAGGCTAATATTCCTTGGCATCTGAAAATAGAAAACAGAGCGACTCTTTCCAAAGAGAGAAAGAAATCTGCTTTCCTCATAAAATATTGTTGCCTTTCTACCCAAAGCAATAAACAACAAGCATTTACTAAGAACAAGATTGTTTATTGCTATGTTTTCTAATTTCTTTATGGTAAAGCCTGGGCAATTCAGAATGGTAAAGGAATGTTGGCTTTTAGCAAACTGGATTTCTTTGGGGGATGCGAGCAGGGAACAGGGTCAGCCTGACCTAATAGAACAAGCCCCTGCCTCGAGACGTGGTGCCAGTTCTACAGTGAGGAAATGATAAGGATGCTTAGTCAGGGATAAACCAGACTGCCCAAGGATCCCCTAAAGTAAATTCCCTCAAGTAGGAAACAAAATGTCCACTACACAGTGGCAGCAAGGTTTAAACTGGAATTTGCCTTGAAGAGAGAAAGTTAAAAATTATGGCAGTATTTACAATAACCAAATGACAGAAACAACCCATGAGTCTATCAACAGATGAATGGATAATCAAAATGTGCTATATCCATATAATAGAATATAATTTCACAAAAAAAGCAGTGAAGTATTCAAACATGCTGCAACATGGATCAGCCTTGGAAACAATACATTAACTGAAACAAGTCAGACACAAAAGGCCACACATTGTATTATTCCATTTATATGAAATGTCCAAAATGGGAAAATCCATACAGACAGAAAGTAGTGGTGGCCACAGGTTAGGGGAGGGGAAGACAAGGTGTGACTCTTTAATGAGAATGGGGTCCTTTGGGTGGTGATTAAAATGTTTTGGAACTAGATAAAAGTGATCGTTGCACAACATTGTGAACGTACAAAATGCCACTGAAAATGGTTAGTTTTATGTTATGTGAATATCACCTCAATAACTCAATAATAAAACCAGGTTTATGTTATCTTAAGTTAACAAAATGTGAATTATACAGGCAGCTATTCACTAACTCTTGGAAGGAAAAAGAAATGAACTAAGTGTTGATGGTTGCTTGGGTATAGTTTTCCTGAAAAAAATAAATTGGGTGACGGCAAATGCACCCAGTCATGAGAGTATCTTTATTTAGAGTCTGACTTCACATAATGGATCTGGCTTTTTTCCCATTTTGCAGAAATATTTGTTAAAGAAAGTTATAGGCTCTGGGTACCCCAAAATGTTGAAGCCCTAAACCCCAATGCAACTGTATTTGGAAAAAGGACTCTTAGGGAGGTGTATTAGGGTTCTCTAGAGGGACAGAACTAATAGGCTAGATGTATATATAAAGAGGAGTTTGTTAAGGAGTATTAACTCACGTGATCACAAGGTGAGGTCCCACAATACGCCATCTGCAAGTCAAGGAGCAAGGAGGCCAGTCCGAGTCCCAAAACTGAAGAACTTGGAGTCTGATGTTTGAGGCCAGGAAACATCCCAGCACAGGATATAGATGTAGGCTGGCAGGCTAGGCCAGTCTCGTCTCTTCACGTCCATCTGCCTGCTTTTATTCTGGCTGCACTGGCAGCTGATTAGATGGTGCCCACCCAGATTGAGGGTGGGTCTGCCTTTCCCAGCCCACTGACTCAAATGTTAATCTCCATTGGCAACACCCTCACAGATACATCCAGGAACAATACTTTGCATCTTTCAATCCAATCAAGTTGACACTCAATATTAACCATCACAAGTGGTAATTAAGGACAAATGATGTGATAAGGGTAGGGCATTAATTTGACAGGATTGGTGTCCTTATAAGAAAAGGAGGGGACACTAGAGACATCTCCCTCACCCCTACCACTGCAAAAGGAAATGTCAAGTGAAGACACAGCAAGAAGGTAGCCGTCTTAAAGCCAGGAGGAGAGCCCTCATCCGAAACTGAATTTGCCACCACCTTGATCGTGGACTTCTAGCCCACTGAGCTCTGAGAGAATCAGTTTCTGTTGTTTTTAGTCACCAGTTTATGCTAATTTGGTACAGCAGCCCCACAAAACTAATACGAAGACCATGTTACACCAAGAGGCAATGTGAGCTAAAATAATAGTTTCTAGGAAGACTTTTGATTATGACAAGAGTCATCACACACCAAACCCAGTGATGAAAGAAAAGCTCTGAGGTGTGAAGGTGGCCCAGACCTGTGAGAGGAACATCAAGGGGACAAATGAGGCATCTCTCTCCAAACTATCCCACTGTGCTCTTGCCAGAAGCAGACTCAAGTGGGCAGGATGGCTTTTCCCAGGAGCATTAAATAAAGAGGAAGCCTGCACTCTTTTGATTTCCTCAACATTGTTCATTTATTCTTCAACTATTTCTTGAGTCTTAACCTGCACCAGGCACTGTGGTAGGACTTGGGGCACAAAGGGAAACAAAACACATAGCCTGCCTTGAAAGAACTCATGGTCTCTAAGAATAGATAAGGAAACAGGCAAATGCATTACGGTATGATAAATATAAGGAGACCATAAAGGTAGAGCTCCTGCCTTGAACCTGCACAATCTGGAGGGCTGCCTGGAGGAGTAAGCCAGGTGACAAACACACTGCATCTGTGTGACAACAACTGAAGGGAGGGTGAGAGTTCAAACAGTATGTGAAAAGAGACAGAAACAAGGGATCATGATGTACTCAGGAAACCACAGTGCATTCAGAATGTCTGCAGGACACATTTGAAGGAATTTGCAGGTGGTAGAATCCCAAAGGCTAGATCTGGCCCCTAGCAAGGTTGGGACCTTGTAAATTTGGTTAAGGAGTTTGAAAGGAAAGGAGGTAATTCACTACCATCTGAAGCAGAGTCCCTCTCCCTATAGGAACTGGTGACAGGAAAAAGCAGAGACCACATGAACTCCATTTGGTGAGGGTAGTGACAGAGGCAGGAGCTGCACTAAGTTCCAGCAGCAACCATGGCAGAGGTTCTACCAGCAGCATTCATGGCATTCATGGGTCAATCTGAAGTGTCCATGCCTAGAACTGACGAGTTCTCCAGGCCAGGTCTAAAGCATGATTTAGGGTGGAGTCCTTGACCACGTAGCCTTCAAGCCTGGCTCTGCCCTTTCTGGGGTCTCAGTGAGTTTTGTAATGCTTGGGTTTTTCTTTTGTTTTCCTTTTTCTAAGTCTTCTTACTGTTTAATTTAGCCAGACTTATTTCTGTTTTTTGGAGATTAAAAATCCAAATGGATACATAGCATCAACTTCAATACGTTTCCATGGCAACAGATGCAGACAGCCCCAGTAAGTGGAAGGTGAGGGTGGGACAATCTGGCCACTTAAAAGCATGAGTGGTGTGGGGCCAGGGGCTTATGAGTTAGGCACTGACCATGCCATCCTCTATGCTGTGCCACACTGTTGACACATTCACCCTCAACAAGTAGCTACCTCAAAAAAGCAAGTGAGAGGCGAAGAGGTCTTCCCCCACCCCCAACATCCTTTTCAGCTTCCATCATGACTCAGGCTAAGGACAGATATTAATGCATCAACACAAACACCTACACAATTATATGAAAGGAGGCTTTTAATACATAGAGAAGTATTCTTTCTATGTATCCACATATAAAATAGTAACAGCTAATGTTTATTGAGCACTTGCTGTATGCCAGGCACACTTTTTCCATGTATTTTTCCAATTAATTCTGAAAATAATTTAGAGGAGTCAGGATCTCCATTTGCCAAAAGAAGAAACTGAGAAATGACAGGTTAGGCACTTTGCCCAAGGTCACATGGAGGGTTGGTCAGGGTAGCCTAGAGTATGCATTGGTAACAAACACTTCTAAAATCTCAGTGTATTAGTCTGTTTCACACTGCAGATAAAGACATACCCAAGACTTGGAAGAAAACGAGGTTTAATGGACTTACAGTTCCACATGGCTGGAAAGGCCTCACAATCATGGTGGAAGACAAGGAGGAGCAAGTCACGTCTTACATGGATAGTGGCAGGCAAAGAAAAAAGACAGATTGTGCAGGGAAATTCCACCTTATTAAGCCGTCAGATCTTGTGAGACTTATTCACTATCACGAGAACAGCAAGGGAAAGACCTGTCAATATGATGCAATTACCTCCCACCGGGTCCCTCCCACATGTGAGAATTCAAGATGAGATTTGGCTAGGGACACAGCCAAACCATATCACTCAGTGATTAAAACAACAAAGTTTTCTCACTCATGCTACCCTCCATTCATCACAAGTTGCCAGGGGGCTCTGCTCCACAGCATCCTCACCAGGGACCCAGGCTAATAGATTCTCTGCCATTGCAGCCTCATCTGTGGGAGTGACAGACGAAGGGAATGAGCAAATTGTGCACTGGCTTTTAAGAGACTTCTCCCTGGAAATGACATCATCGCTTTCACTAACATCTCATTGGCTAAAGCAAGTCACATGGCCAGGTCTAACTGCAAGGAGATGGGAAGTAGAGTCCACCATGTGCCAGAAGAGGAGAACTCTTAGTGGGCAGCCCTAATGACTACCACTTGGTGGAACCACAATTTGAACCCAGCCACAATTTTGCTCCACTACCCATGACTCCACTCTCCCTTTCTCTCTTTCTCTCCCCAACTCTCTCCTTTTCATTGTCAATTAACCCTCTGGAGACAAAAGAAATAGAGAATAAAGAAGATTCTATTATTTGGGCCCTTCATCCCACACCACATGTAAATTGGCCTAACTAAATGACTTGCACATTTGTTCTTAGGCTGATGTAAGAATCATTAATATATTGCCACAAATGTCTAACCATCACTCAAACTCTGATTTTAATGCATCTTATTTTCTAAAACCAGCCCCTTAGGGATATGTTGCATAAGTCTTTATAAAAAATTGAATCCCCCCAAGCCCACCAAACCATACAAAGTCATTTTAGGTCATTTATACTTTGTAGCTATTTGCTTGATTGAATTTTCTCTAGAATTTTAAAAAGCAACATTGGCTGCTCAGAATACATTTCTTTGGCATGATTGCATTTTCCAAGCAAAATTCAATCATCTGTTTTAAATCCTTACAAGGTAGTTCTGTTTCAAGGCAAAATGAAAAAGAACACCTTAATTTTAACAACAAAAGTAACTAAATGTAGTTAAAGATGTATGAGATAAATAATGCCAGGGATATACACATCTCACAGGTATCTCACCATGTACCTCTAGGGAACTGAGAATTCTTTAACCTTCTTTCTACAGACAAAGATATTGCAGACAGGCAGATTGCATTTGTGGCCAAGGTTTTGATGATAGATATACCCCCTGTCCAGCTTTCTGTGGCCCAATCTCAAATTGTCTTTCTCAGCCATCATCAGACTGCGATTTTGTAACAGTTGGATTGTAGAGCTACTTTCTTCAGAATAACCACTTTCACTGAGGCGGAAGCAGAGTTCCACTGCAGTTGTGGCTCTGAAGTCCCACTGAAGCCCTGGCTCCGGGCTGCTCCACATGACTTCATGGGGCGTAGTGGCAGCAGCTAGGATTTAGTGATCACACGGACTAGTTTTAAGCATGTACCAGCTGAGCCACTGACCCACTTTGGCAATGGTTTTCTCTTTATTGGAATGAGGGTGTCACCTTCATAGGGTTGTTTCAAGGGTAATTTGGTAACCTAAGTATGGACTCTACCTCGGGAATGACAAACATGTTTCAGTTATTGCCAATTCCAACGTCTAGAGCACTGTATTAAGAAGGATTCTGATGAAACACATCTGGGTTCAAAGAAACGTCTGCTGAACTAGACTGGTGCTAGGGGTAGGATGCTGGTGGCCTAGGAGAGTCTGTGTTCTCTTTTCCTTTTCTCTCCACACTGCTTGAGTATTCATCAGGACCCTCTCACTTCCAGGAGATTTCCACCCAATTTAAAAGCTTAAGTCAAAATGGGGGTTTATCAGAAGGATGCTGGAGTATCTCAGAGAATTGGAGAAGAGCTGCAGGAACCAGGATGGCAAGTCCAGTGACCTCAGGGACAAGAACTGGTAACAAAATCATGGCCAGGAAGTCAGGATGCACTCAGTCCTCCTCTTCCTTCTCCCTTCTCCCCTCCTCTCTTCTCTCCTTTCCCTGGCCCTGCTCTGCTTGGCTTCACATTCACTCTCTGGGCCTCCAGCCCCTCACCTGTAAGTTTTGAGGGATGGTCCCCAGTCAATGATCCTAAGACACTCGACATGCCCTGTGTCAGCCTGAGTTCTCTCCCAGTCCCCTTTCTACCTGTCTCACACAGCCTTCATGGCTGCCCTACTGGACATAGCTGGCCTTTGGAGTAGGTCGCTGCCATTTGTTGATGAGACTGTCCTCATTACTGCTGGAAGTGACCTGGCTTTTCTCAGTGGTGGCTGGCACAGACCTCCCTCCTCTGGCACCAGCCGTCCCTATTGGGCTTGTTTGAGATGCCAGTTATTGTTTCAATGCCGAGCCCTTATGGCTCCCTGAAGCCCAGACAATAGCTGAGATGACTGCCCTTTTCTAGATTGTTGGCATTTGGCAAAGCAATTGTGTATCGTGTGCTTCTCCAAATAATAAGTGACAAGGGCCATTTTTAAGTGACTGCCAAGTCACTGCAGAAGTCACAAGAAAGAGCAACTTAAATAAAGAAGCTGGTAGGACCCAAAGGGTCAGGATCTATGGGTTGACCACCAAAGAACCAGCCTCTGAGTTTTCTTTCCTGGCTGCATTTTGGAGACTGAGACCATCAAACACTGTGCAGCGATGGCAAGAAGGGATAAAAGCTTGGCAGTCAGCCAACGTCACTGGACGCAAAGGGAGATCTCTACTGGTGTACATTATATCCCTGGTTTAACAAGTGCCTTTTTTAGTTTAAATCACTACTGTTTGAGTGACAGAGTGCTAAGATAGTTTCTGTGAATTCCAATACTCCCATAAAAACAAAAAGGGACTCCCTGTCTTCTCAAGGAAAGGGAATAAATCAGCAACTGAAATCACTCATTCGTCCACTTCCACATACTGTTCTAGATGGTGAAGATGAGGCAGAGAGAAAAGAGATTGAAAGCCCTGACCTTGTGAAGCTTACATTCTACCGGGGGAGGCTGACAATCAGCAAGGTGCAGAAGTGAAACACATGCCATGCCAGGCGCGGACAAGTGCTAAGCAGGAGTGGCAGGGCAGTTGCAAGGGGAGGTTTCAGTCAGCGGGTAGCTCTCTAGTTTCCCAGGGCTGCTGGAACAAAGAGCCACAGACTGAGTGGCTCAAGCAACAGAAATTGATCCTCTAAGAGTTCAGAAGGCCAAAAGACTAAAATCAAGGTGTCAGCAGGGTTGGTTCCTTCTGGAGGCTCTGGGGAGAGTCCGTTTGCTCTATGCCTCTGTGTTAGTCCATTTTCATACTGCTAAAAAGAACTGCCTGAGACTGGGTAATTTATAAAGGAAAGAGATTTAACTGACTCACAGTTCTGCATTGCTAAGGAGGCCTCAGAAAACTTACCATCATGGCATGGGAAGCAAGACACCTTCTTCACAAGGCAGCAGGAAGGAGAAGTGCCAAATGAAGGGGGAAGAGCCCCTTATGAGACCTTCGGATCTCATGAGAACTCACTCACTATCACGAGAACAGCATGGAGGAAACTGCCCCCATGATTCAATTACCTCCACCTGGTCTCTCCCTTGACACATAGGGATTATGGGGATTATAATTCAAGATGAAATTTGGGTGGGGACACAACACCTAACCATATCAGCCTCTCTCCTAGCTTCCGAGGTTCCCATAAATCCCTGGCGTTCCTTGGCTCCTGGCAGCACAACTCCACTCTCTGCCTCTGTTGTACACAGGCTTCTTCCCTGTGTCCCTGCGAGTCCTCTCCTTTTCCTATAAGAACACAGTCATTGGATGTAGAGATCACTCTACTCCAGTCTTAACTAATGACATCTGCAAAAACCCCACTTCCAAATAAGGTCACATTCTGAGGTTCCAGATGGACATGAACTGGAGGAAGAGGCAGGATGGGGGTGGGGTGAGGCTACATGACTCTACCCCAATACTGCAACATTTTATTTTGTAAAGACCCAAAGTGAGGAAATAAGCATGGTATCAGCTGGGAGAGAGTATTCTAGGCAGAGAAAAGAGGGAATGCCAAGACTCTGAGTGGGTGGGTGCCTGGCAATCCCTTTGGAAAGGAAGTGAATAAAATAGAGACTCCTCTGGGTTACGCTGTGCAGAGTTGTGGGGATTCGAGGGAGAAGAAAGACTCTACACCTTCCCCATCATCACCACCTCTCCATCTGAAATTAGAAGTAATTTTCAGAATAAATCAGGTAGAAAGAAGAGGCAGAAGATGCTGGGTAGGCCAACAAAATGGCCCACCTTAATCATGCCACCCAAATCCATTCAAGTCACTTTCCAAGAATGTTCCCATGGTATCCCACACACAGTCACTCCCGGGATAGGGCACTTTCCCCTGGAAGTGTGTTCGCTATCAACCTGTCTTATTAAGTCCTGATGTTCTCCAAGTTTCCAGGTGAACTCACCAACAGGTTAACAAGACTGGGGAAAGAGTGGTGGGGAGGTGAAGGGAGTGGGAATATAAATGAATTCTGCTTACTCTTTTGAAAAGAAAAATCTATGCTAGCCTTATGCAAATTGAGAAGTCCCTGATAGAAATGAGGGTTAAAAAGTGAAATACTGGCTGGGCACGGTGGCTCATGTCTGTAAATCCCAGCACTTTGGGAGGCCCAGGCGGGCAGATCACGAGGTCAGGAGATCAAGATCATCCTGGCTAACACGGTGAAATCCCATCTCAACTAAAAATATAAAAAATTAGCCAGGCATGGTGGCACGCGCCTGTAGTCCCAGCTACTCGGGAGGCTGAGGCAGGAGAATCGCTTGAACCCAGGAGGCAGAGATTGCAGTGAGCTGAGATCACATCACTGCACTCCAGCCTGGAGACGAGACTCTGTCTCAAAAACAAAAACAAACAAACAAAAAAAAACAGAAAAAAAAAAAAAGGTGAAATACTGCCACCCACCGGAAGAGAAAAGGCTGCAAACGGAAGGAAGGAAAGAGATGAGGGCTTTCCAAGTTGCTATGACCCCCAGATCTCAAGCTTTCAAGAGAAACATTGGCGCCTTGCCGGAGTCCTCACCCCAATAGGCCAGGGAGTTGGACAGTGACATTTTTTAAACCAGCAATAAGAGATAAAATTAACAAAGAAAATTTAATTGGGTAATTTTGCCCTCTTGGTACTCCAGATTTACAATGGTGTTGCTAGAAGAACAGAGAGCGGGAATAATGTAAAGATACATTTCTATTTCAAACTTCTGCCTAGAATTAAGTGGATGCCTGCCTGGAAAACGAAAACTATGCACTGGTTTATCTCTTAGGCAAAACAGACAAAAACAACAAAACACTTTAAAGAGACTTGGAATTTACAAAGCTCTGTCCCTTTTCTCAGACACTAAGAGAAATAACACACTTGATGATTTAGGCCTAAGAATGAGCCTCATAAGATTTGTTCAGACCGAAGTTCATTATACTTTCATCTGGAGATTTCTGGATTAAGAAAATGAGTGACTCATTCATAGACTTTATTTTAAAATAGAACAACTTTTATTTTATTCTGTTAGGATTAGGATACCACTAATCTTCAAGATCTTTTAAGACAATTTACTTGGCTGGAGCTCATAGAATACGAGGTATATTAATAAAAAAAATTTTCACCAACATTAAAAGTACATTTTCAGAAAATACTTGCTATATTTTTAAAAATCTAACTTAATTTTCCTGACTAAATTCTAACTTTATTTCTGTAAAGTGGAAAAGGCAAGAGATCAAGCTTCACATAGAGTATTCTAAATGGTCTCGGGCGTTGATGTGTGCCTGTGTGTTTGTGTTTTTCTGTATGGGTGGGGAACACTGGGAGAAAAGTGCTGAAATGCACCAAAATGTTCATCTCTGAGCGGCAAAGTTATGGTTGATACTTTCTTTCTCTTTTTTTTCATTTTCCAATTTGTCTATACTGAATGTTAATTATTTCATAGTCAAAAGAACCTGTAACTTAAAAAGCTTTCTAAAAATAAAAAACTTAAAATAATTGTATAGGTGGCTGATGGCAATTTTTAAATATTTGCACATTCCTAATTGCTGAAACAGCCCCAGAATCGAAGGTCAGTTGTTCCCATACATTTTGGTCTAGGGATTCCTTTACCCACAGCTTACAAATTATTGATTATCCCAAAGAGCTTTTGTTGAGTGCGTTATAACCATTGTTATTTACAGCACTAGAAATTAAAACTGAGAAAATGTTAAAATATTTATTTAATTTAGTTAAAAATTACAATAAACCCATTACATCACATTACCTAAACAACATATTTTATGAAAAATAACCATATTTTCCAAAGCAAAAGTAACTTCGTGAGAAGAACAGCATTGTTCTACATCTTTGCAAATCTCTTTAATGTTTGGTTCACTAGAAGACAGCTGGATTCACATCCACTTCTGCATTTCATCTGTTGGGATATGTGATTTTGACTGACATACGTGAAGAACATCTGACCTCATAACAAATATGTATTTGGAAAAGGGAGGAATAATTTAGTAACCCTTTCAGATAACTCTGGATATTACTCTTTTTTTTTTTTTTTTTTTCCGAGACATAATTTTGCTCTTGTTACCTAGGCTGGAGTGCAATCCCGGCTCACTGCAACCTCCACCTCTGGGTTCCAGTGATTCCCCTGCCTCAGCCTCCCGAGTAGCTGGGATTACAGGCATGTGCCACCACACCCAGCTAATTTTGGAATTTTTTTTATTATACTTTAAGTTCTGGGGTACACGTGCAGAACACGCAGTTTTGTTACATAGGTATACACGTGCCAAGGTGGTTTGCTGCACCCATCAACCCATCACCTACATAAGGTATTTCTCTTAATGCTATCCCTCCCTTAGCCCCCCACCACCTGACAGGCCCTGGTGTGTGATGCTCCCCTCCCTGTGTCCATGTGTCCTCATTGTTCAACTCCCACTTATGAGTGAGAACGTGTGGTGTTTGGTTTTCTGTTCTTGTGTTAGTTTGCTCGATAAAGAAAATGTGGCACATATACACCATGGAATACTATACAGCCATAAAAAAGGATGAGTTCATGTCCTTTGCAGGGACATGGATAAAGCTGGAAACCATCATTCTCAGTAATTTTGTATTTTTAGTAGACGGGGTTTCACCATATTGGCCAGGGTGGTCTCAAACTCCTGATCTCAGGTGATCCACCTGCCTCAGCCTCCCAAAGTGTTGAGATTACAGGCGTCAGCCACCATGCCTCCTTTTTCACTACACCACTGTAGGTTCACTACACATGCATGTCTGTCCCAGGCCAAAGGTGAGGTGGAGGGGAAGTCCTACTCACTGCAGTCACAGGGCACCCACGCTGATGAAGCACCCATCATCTTAAATGTTGCCAGTCACCTCCCTAGAGGGAAAGGAGAGTTCTAGAGGATCTCACACTGGCAATTAAATCTTTTGTCCAGAAATGACACTGTTACTTCTGCTCACCAATGACCAGAGGAGGCACTTGGCCACATCTAACTACACAAGACTGGACCTCCTACCATGGCTCAGGAAGGGCAACAACTGGACATAGCTGGCAACTAGTCCTAATGGCCATTGCAGCTGTGTTTCAAATGAATTTTCATAATTATATATGTGTATATACGACTATTAATTGTTGGAAAAGGTACCCAAACAGAAGAGGAGATACGACAAAATTAAAGCCACATCCTTTGCCCTCCCAACTGAATTGAACACCCTCCCCAGAGATAACAATGCTAATGTCCATGAAATCTCTCGGTGCTTACTCTATACCCACAGAGGCATATGGCCCTTTTTGTTTTACTCCAACAACTTTGAGTGGCAGCTTCTTTCTTCAGATATAGAACTTCAGAACTTCTTTCTTGACAATATGTTATAGATATCTTTTCTCACCAGTACTTAATTCTTTAAAAATTGGTCTTGTGTATCTTTATTTAGCCAGTACTCTATCAAAGAAAAAACGAGGCCTGGTGTGGTGGCTTACACCTGTAATCCCAGCACTTAGGGAGGCTGAGGCAGGCGGATCACTTATGGTCAGGAGTTCGAGACCAGCCTGGCCAATATGGTGAAATCATGTCTCTACCAAAAATACAAAAAAATTAGCTGCGCACGCCTGTAATCCAAGCTACTAGGAAAGCTGAGGCAGGAGAATCTCTTGAACCCAGGAGGCGGAGGTTGCAGTGAGCCGAGATCGTGTCACTGCACTCCAGCCTGGGCAATAGAGTGAGACTCTGTCTCAAAAAAAAAAAAAAAAAAAAGTGGCCTTTTTCTTTTGGTTGTTTTTTTTCTGTTATAAACAAAACTGCAATAAACATCTTCCTACACAAATATACACATACATGCAAAGGTCATATTCCCAGGGGGCATATCGTTGTATCAAAGAATATATAGTACACCTTAAATTCTGATATTGTCAAATTTCCTTCCCCAAAAAAGCTGTAATTTGCCCTCCAATTAATGTTGCATATGAAATCCATGCTTTCCAAGGTTGTCACCAGACCTAGGTATTAACAATCTTTTTCATTTTTGTCAGTCTGTCAGGTGGGAAACACTACCTCACAGTAGTTTTAATTTCTTTTATAAGTTATCGTTTTATGTTGGCCATTAATTATTTTCTATGAACTACCTATTCATGTATTTTTCCTATTTTTCTAGAGTCTGGCTTGTCTTTTTTACTTATAAGGGGTGTTTGTATAGTGAGTGTAGTGGACATAGAGATGTGCTCCTTAGATCTCTATTCAAGACCAGACTCACCATCCTGCAGCAACAAGGGTGGTTATCTGGCAACTTTCCACTGTTCATTCCTTCAGGGTTGGCTTCGGCTTTCCAGCCTGGGCCGGTCTTCTCAGGGTAGTTCCCAGCCAATGACTGAGCCAGAGGGAAGAGGATCCAAAGAGAGTAGTAACGAGATGGACACTCTATGTCCAAGCGGAAGACAGAGATGGCCAAGTGGAAGGTAGAGACAGCCCACAGGCATGCCCACCCTCTGATCCCCGATGCTCCATCAAGCACATCCACCACCCCAGTGCCAGTGGTTTCCTCTGAGAGTGGAGCTGCTGTCCCCCGAGGAAAGAGGAGGGAAGGAAGGTGGCGAGCCTATGCTTTCCTTAGGGAGCCCTGAGTGTCCAGAGCCCAGTCATTCTGCCCAGGACAGGACTCCCCTCACAGGCCATCCTAGTAGGAAGCTTATTGGTGTGGCAGGTCCACACCCTGGTCCCACGGCTCTCCCTGCAGACTCTGCTCCTTCCCTCTTCCTTCCCAGGCGCTACTCCCCAGCAAACCTCCCACACTCTTAACTCTGTCTCAACATTTGCTTCCTGGAGAACCCGACCCGTGACAGGAAGAAAATTAGTCCTTGTCATATCTAGAAAATATTTTATCTCAGGTTTAAGATTTTCTTCTGACTCAGTTTATAGAGTTCTGGCAGGCAGGAGGTTTCATTTTTATTTAGTAATAATTACCAGTTTTCTTTTAAATCTTCTGGGATTGGTGTCATCCTTTAAAAAGTCTTTATGCCAAATGTATGGAAAAAAAATCACCTGTTTCCACTTTTATGTTAATATTTTAAAATATTTAAACCTTGATCCCTCTTAAGTTTTTGGTATGAGGATTGAGGCAGAATTCCGCCCCCCTATATTTTTTCCAAATATCTGCCAGTTATCCCCAAATCAGTTACTAAATGATCCACGGACATTCCTGGATACTAATCTGAAATGCCACATTCAGATTCTTGTGTATTAAGTTCTATTTTTTAGTTTTCTGTCTGTATCTGAATAATCTGTCTGTATCTGAATTAGTACCATACTGTTTAATTACTTTAGGCTTATAATACATTTGATTACGCCTGCTGGGATAGATATTTTTAGATTTTTTTACCTTTAAGTCTCCACTGTTTCTTCTTCCAGGTTCAGCTTTAGAATCACTTTGCCAAGTTCCAAAATTTAAAGACGAAAACAAAACAAAACAAAAACTCACTGGTATTCTGAAGGAAATTGTGCTTAATTCATAATATATTTAGGGGGAATTGGTAACTTGACAATATTGAGGCTGCCTATCCAAGAACAGTTATGATTTTCCGTACATTCAGGTTTTCTTTTCTGTCCTTCAGGAGTGCTTTAAGGTGTTCCTCAAGGGTATCTTGCAAATTTCTCACTAAGCTTCTTGTCAGGTGCTGTGATCCGACTGTGTCCCCCCAAAATTCATATGTTGAAACTGTAACCCTCAACTTGATGGTATTAGGAGGTGGGGCCTTCAGAAGGTGATTAGGTCATGAGGGCAGAGCTCTAATGAGTGAGATGGGTGCTCTTAGGAAAGAGGCTTGAGGGAGCTCATTTGACCCCTCCACCCCGTGAGGACACATTGAGGAGATGGCCACCTATGAACTGGGAAACAGGACCCTCTTGTTTCAGACTCTGCCAGAGCCTTGACCATGGACTTCCTAGCCTCCAGAACTGTGAGAGAGAAATGTTTGTTGCTTCTAAGCAGCTGTGGACTTTTGTCTACCTGAACTAAACTGAACAAACTAAGACATCCAGTATTTCACTTTATTTTATATTTATGCATGGGTACATATTTATTGAGGTTTTTGTTCTTAGTATTAAGAAAGATCTTTTACTTTATATTTATACATAATTTTTGCTACTAAGGTAGCTCTTTTCTTTCCTTATATCAATATAACTGGTTGTTGATTACAGATAAGAAAGCTACTTACTGAAGTCTGTTTCTAATGTTTCAGGTAACTTTTGCATCTTCCTAGTATATAAGTATCTGAAAAATTATAATTTTTCCCCATCCTTTTAAATGTGACTACCTCTTATTCTTTTGCCTAATTTCATTAGCTACTAATTCCAATGTTACATGCCTAATAATGGTTTGGTGGGGATACTTGTGCTGTTTATGTCCTGGGAGACTATTGCTTCCAGAAATTCAGAGTTAAAAATGATTCTGCATTGTTTATAGAATAAACTATGTGGTATCCAAGTTTTGCCTTAAAATAATCTAGTGGTGGGGGAAATAGTATCGTTGTGTGTGTGTGTATATTTACACACACACATATATACATATATAAGTGGTCTTTGTTTTGTATATATGCAATGAGGGGCTAAACATGAATCACTGTGGAAACTGGGTGATGGGTGCATGAAGCTTCACTATACTATTCTCCCTTCTTTTGTATATGTTCCCTAACAAAAAGAAATAAAAACATAATGAGGCTGGGAGGATTTCTGCTTTGAAAATGTTTAAGAACTTTCTGCTCTTCTCCTCTTGGCAACCACCCACTAAAACCACAAGGAGAATGAGAAACAGAAACAATCAGTGATAAAACTATGAGGGGTTTGTAACCCAAACCACAGGACACGAAGACAGAAAGCAGATACTTGGAACTGGAAGATGGCTTTGCAGAGCAGAGGAAGAGGAATTTATCAGAAAATAAGAGTTCATTATTAAGAGCATTTAATCCCCTAAATACCACCTCTTTCCCCATCCAGCTAGGATACTAAGGGAAAGCTGAACCAGAGAGGCTGAAATGGAGTGAGGCACAGGACTGGAAAGAGAATAATGACATGCAGGCTTGGGTACAGACTGTGGAGACTTCACTTCCCTCCCCAGATCCCAGAATTTCGTAGCTGTACTTAGAATGCCTAGAAAAGGAAGCTGAAGGCTCCCTCCTTGATGTCTCCCTTAACCTAGGAACAGCACAAATATCCCACATTGTACCATTATTACTGACATGTAACATTGCCTGGACCCATAGAACACCTGCAGATCCTAACAGCTGGGAGCACTAGAAACTAGAAAATATTGTAACCATCCATTAAATGGATGTTATAATTTTAAAAGAACATAGTTATAGCTTAAATGTTTTCACTTCTGAAATGTATCTAAATATCTATATGTAAACGTAACACAATCATTTGTTCATTCTTCTGTTTTAAATTTTTAATTGATTTTTTAGAGCTGAGGTCTCGCTATGTTGCCCAGGCTGGACTCAAACTCCTGGGCACAAAGGAGTTCTATCTTCAGCCTCCTGAGTAGCTGGGACTACAGGTGTATGCCATCATACCTGGTCTCATTCTCCTTTCTACTGACTTTTGGGTTGTTTCCAATGTTTTGCTACAATTACACACAATGCTGCTACTTGCCTCTTAAGACCTTCTTAGGATTAGAACTGCTGGGCCTCAGGATATGCAAATGCTCAACTTTATAAGATTGTGCCAAATTGTTTTCTACAGAGCTTGAATCAACTTATAACTCACCAGTAATAACAATTTATAGCTCTCTCAGCTCCGAGAGTCTCACACATGTGTATATCTGCGGTTCTTAGAGCTATCTTACGGTATATGCTTTGAATCAGTGACCAGCATATGGCGGCTGCCTCTCCAGGTATTCTCCATAGCCGGAATACACAGGCCCAGCAATAGAAATGCGAGTACCCTACAGTGGAAAAACCTAGCAAACACCATCTTACCCAATAAAGAAACATCACCAGTGATACATACTGACATCATGTACCCTAAGATATGTTGTACTGGGGGGAAGGGCACATCACCTTTGTAGTACCCTTTCTGATAAAACGTAGCCTCAGTCTAATCACGAGGAAACATCAGACAAACCCACACTGAAGGATGTCTTACAAAATAACTGACCGGTACTCTTTCTAGTGTCAAGGTCATGAAAGACCGAGAAAATGTTATATTGGAGGAGACTAATGAGACACTGATAACTAAATACATGCGATGTGGTATCCTGGACTGGATCTTGACAACAAAAAGACATTAGTGGGAAAACTGGTAAAAGCCTAATCAAGTGTGCAGTTTAGAAAATACTAGTACCAGGGTTAACTTCTGAGTTTTCATAGACCTGCCATAGTTTACAGAAGGTGTCCACGCTAGGGGAAGCTCAGTGAAGGGTACAGGGAACATCTGACTATCTTTGCCAGTTTCTGTAAATCTGAAATTACTACAAAATAATTAAGTTTTTTGTGGGTTTTTTTTTTTTTTAAGTACAGGAAAGCCACAGCACCAAACCATGGTTGTATTTAAAATTAAGACAGGAACTTTCAGAAAATTAAACACATTTTCATAGTAACTTGATCAATACCACAGTTTATTTGTAAACATGTTATATGTGTCAATAATCAAATTGACAACACTTTATAGATTTCATTGTATAATATTAACATCCTAACAGAAAACGATCCACTGTACTCAGTTACAGTTTGGTATTTTAAAATCCTTAAATACAAATTGTATTTGAAACACTGAACACAAAAAAGAAACATGAATGGCAGAGAAAACTGAAAACAACAAGTAAAAGAAACCAATATTCCGCTCCCCTGAAAAAAAAACATAAAATCATCTGATTACATAATTTAAAAAAGAAACAAAGGAAATCAGATGACATTTTTTGATATAAAGTTGCATTTCTTCAAATCCATTTTAGAGGTGAAATTGTATCAATATTAAATTCTATGTCTTTTTTGATATTTGTTCTTTCTTTCCTCTTGGTTTCTAAAGAATGTTTGCCAGGGTTTAAATTACATTAAGGAAGCGGGAAAAAGAAAGGAAGGAACATGGTAAAAAGCCAAATGAAATTAACTATTTGCAAAATAATTGGACGTAAATTTTTCATGAATCTTCTTTGGCAAATAACAAAGTCTGCATTTTAAATTTACCTTTTTGTTGAAATGGATCAATGCTTGTAAGATTTAAGAGATTACATGAGTTAATGTATAAGTAAAACAAAGCCAAATTCACAAAGCAAGGCGCAAACATCAGCTTTTCACATTTTGCTAAAAGCTCTAAAAATGCACTCTCCCTCCTTAAGAGGACCAGAGGTCTTCAGCTCGGAATCAGATGATTACCCTTGCCTCATTCAACACAAGAAACCAGAGGGGACCCCATGGTTCTTCGGTACTTTCCCTAAAATTCATGATCACTATTAGGTTCTATTTCTTCCTCCTTTCTCTCTCAAAGGAAATATAGCAGCAAATCATTCCCATATTTTAAGCTTTAAATTCACCAACAACTGGGTTCACTGCCAACAACTACAAATGTTCAATTCTGTATTAGTGTACATGTCATTACAGTTGGTTTAGATGGTTAATATAGGAATAAATAAAATAACTACAGTTCAAACAAAGGAAATTAAAATGAGATTAAAGAGCCCCGATCAAAAAAAAAAAATACTTACAACTTTCAGCTGAAAAACTGTAAAAGTTACATACATACATACCTAATGGCACTAGGAATGTACAATATCAATTATTGGAAAAATAAGTGAGTGACTCAGAGTCGTAAGAAATTATTTAATATTAGTATTTTTTCTTTTATAGACAAACATAACATACACATGGTTTCTACCTTCTATAAGACAAAGTAGAAAACTAACCGTTACTGCATTTACCTCAAACACAGCACTGACTGTGCCACAGATAACATGGTCCAAAATATTCAATTCTATAGATAGGCCATGGTATTGAATGCATGGTTAAGTTTTAGGAAAGGCATATATTTCCTGAAGTATGTATGTTAAATACACAAATATCTATAAATAACAAAAAGTTACCAGCAAAAACGTTTAGGTTATAACATTCCCAAACTTCCTAACATTTTAAGTGTTTTAGATATATGTTGTCTGACCAGTTCGTTTGGTTACAGTTTTAAACTAGCAAACCATTACCCTGTAAGAGGAGCTAAACTAAACTATAACACTGCACAAACTTCCCAAGGAAGGTAACTTGAAAAGTCTAAAAAGTGATTCCAATTATTCTAATTAACATTTGAGATGCTAAAAGAATCAATGACTCAAGAAACACTTTGAAGTAATTCCATTTTTCTTTATCATTTTCTAAAAAAGTATTCACATAAATTTAAGATCCAGATTGCTTAAGAGTATGTCTTCAAAGTAGGTTTATCACTAAAGCATTCTGATCCAAAGACATAGTCTTAATGCTTCTAATATGTAATTCTAACCTAAAATCACAATCCTTGGTTTGAAAACATCAAAGCTAAGAAACAAAAAAATAAATCAGGGTGAAAGTGTGCAGCAGCTATAGCTACAAGAGTGGAAAATAAATTCTATTTTTTCCATAAAGACTCTATGAAAATATAAAGCCCAAAGTCAGTGACAACAGAAGTCCACATATAAATGGTGTTTAAAAATAGAAAGTCTTCTAAAGCTTCTCATGAGATGTCAATGAATAGTCATAATCTTAAGACCTTATAAATCAAGGTTAAGTTATACACAACTATGCTGATTTACATACCTTCTACAATGTCCAACTGACATACATAATTTACAGACACCCATAGGAATTCATAATGCCCTATCATATCATCTCTCAATACTGGATGTTTATTGTTTTATAGTTTTACTACTTTAAGTACCAAGAAGCCTTTTCAGAGGAAGAGTTCCATCTCTTCCCTTGATCCCCCAAAGTATAGGTAACAAAATATAAAATTAAACAAGATTTATGTTTGATAAACTAACATATAAAATTACCATTGCAATTTTCATAGTGACTGCTTATAAACATAACAGTCATCATAAAGCCTATAAAGTATATACTTAGTTTTATAAAAGAAATGCAGATTGTCTCAAGGTAAAAAATACAGTGCTGGCTGCTAAAAAGCACTTTGTCGCAATAAGATGTGCAATAATGAGCAAAACTTCAGAAAACATGAATATGTTCCCCAACTTTTAATATTAGTTAAGCAAGAATTGCACTGCAGCAGCAGGATGCTTTTTAGTGGCTGACACTATAAAGCTAACGTTAAGAAAGAAAAAAGGCAGAAAGTGTGAGCAACAAATGGTGTAACCAAATTATTGCAAATGGAGATTAGCAATAAGAAGTGAGGAAGGTGACCGTCCACTCCATTCTGATAAGACACCATCTTTAAATATTAAGTTTTTTGCAGGAAGTGGAACACCCATGTCAGCACACGATGACTGTGAAAGCAAACTTGAAAAACTGGGCTCTGTGTGAATATCCAATATTGAAGCACCTTCCTAAAAGATCAAGAAACAAGAGAAATGATATTCAACACTTTACCAAAACCACTTAATATAACTAATGAGAAAGAGAGACCTTGATTACCTGAGAAGTGTTTATGGATTGCAAAGCAGTACAGGAGATGCAAAGATCTACACTGTGAGCCCAAAGCAATCAATGACAGGTATTAATATGTGCAAAAATGACTAACAACGTTAAACTGTAGTAAGTCCTTTTAAATAGAAATAAGAGGCTACGAGACTGTGGGAAAAGCAAAAGTTCATTTTTACAAGACCTAACCTAACCCCAAAGTATTACCTAACAGAAGAAAAATCTCTAAAAAAAAAAAAAAACTTACAAAGGCCAGGTGCAGTGGCTTGTGCGCCTGTAATCCCAGCACTCTGGGAGGCTGAGGCGGGTGAATCACTTGAGATCAGGAGTTCAAAACGAGCCTGGCCAACATGGTGAAACCTCTTCCTACTAAAAATACAAAAAAATTAGCTGGGTGTGGTGGCACATGCCTGTGATACCAGTTACTCAAGAGGCTGAGGCAGGAGAATGGCTTGAACCCAGGAGGCAAAGGTTGCAGTGAGCCGAGATCGTGCCACTGCACTCCAGCCTGGGCAACACAGCCAGACTCCATCTCGGGGAAAAAACAAAACAAACAAACAAAAAAAACCTTACAAAACACTAAGCACCAGAATAATCCACCTACTCCACGCTTCTCAGATTCATATATTCCGCACAGACCTCCCCCCAGGACTCCATGCTCAAACATCCACCTATCTGACACTTCATTTCAGATGCTTCCCCATGCACTCTATACTCAGTATGCCCATCATTGAACTCTCAAATTTTCCCTCCCCTCTTCCTCCCCAGTCTTCTCTATTTCACACATCCAGCTAATCAAAAAACATAAGAATCATTCATGATCCCTCCCCTCCCTTCCCTCCACAGCCCTAATCTTTTCCTCACATTTAATTCATCATCAAGTTTTATCAACCTATCTCCAAAATATATCCCAAATTAGTTTAATTTATTAATTCACTATGGCCAAGGCCTTCACTGCCACAACAGACAGGCCAGTATTGACAGAATTTTGAAATTTTTCCATTTATTGCATCCTTATAAAATTTCCATTTTTGCCTATTTTTATAAAATAGTCCTTCAGAAATAACCTCTCTCCCCTGTTTAAAAGTCTTTAATCATTTCTCTTTGCACTCAACGTAAAATACTAGTTCTCTAACATATGCCAGAAGGCCCTGCACACCGTGCTCCGGCCCTCTTCTTCAACCTTACCTCTTGCTTCTACCCCTCTTTCATGAAGTTTCTGCCACACTGGGCTTCATTTGTTTCTTTGTTCACTGGACATTTCCCAGACACAGGAAGTACAGACCTAAGCTCTGCCGGAATATTCTTTTCCAACTTTTTGGCTTCAGCTTATATTATCCTGCACCTATTGAAATTAGGTCTACCTGCAGATTTCATCATAGTTGGCTTCTTCAAAGTACTTTTTAAAATCTTTTAGAACTTATATATCTTAATATTTATCTGATTATTGTCTCCCACAACATTCTCTAAGTTCCATTAGTATCTTACACATCACTGTTTCCACAGCACTCAGCAAAGAATCTGGCATAGGTCAGGGTCAAGCATTTACCAACTGAATGAATGAAGTAAAACTCCAAAATATTGATTTCATAACGTTGAATTAGATATTCTGAACAGAAATATTCTATTTTAAAAGTTTACCTATAAATCAAGTCTAGAATATTCTTTCTTTCCTTGGGGATGGGGGAAAAACAAGAAGTCCAGAGCACTGGCCTTCGCTGCCACAACAGACAGCCCATCCCAGCAGTGGAGAATCGCTTTAGTTATTGGGAAGTGCGCTATAACCAAAAACTAACACCTAGCATGGCACACAGCCCATAAAAGACACTTAACACATTTCTGTTGAATAAAGCACTGGCACAGAACAAAGAGATCAAGCTTTGGTCTCCGAAGACCTGGCGAGTGAAATGTGCAAGTCCATTAACTTCTTGAATCTCAATGTCTTCATTTGTACAATAAAATTAATGTTTATTTCATATCTTGCTGCTGTGGTGACTCAAAAACAAACACAGAAGTGTTGTGCATACTTAAAGCTCAGTACAAGTACCATTTGGACTTTTTGGTTTTTGTTACCTGGAATGAGTGAACAAAGTTAAGGACTTGCAGAGAGAGTTTTCTACTGGAATGTAAGAGGTTTTGAAGGCTGAAAAAAAAAAAGGCGAGAAACAGTTTAAAACAAACATAAAGGCAAGAATGAGTTTCTCATAAGAGTTTAATTTTAGCAATTTAAATGCATCTATATATCCTGGCCAATCACAAAACATCTTAAAAAACAATTTCAGTGTTTCTCATCAATGAAATTTTTGCTTGTTTTAATAATAGGGAGTAGTCATGCATTAAAAGTCCATTTTGAAATAAAATACATCGTGTAACTAAAATCAAAGTTATTGTTTTAAAAAAATTCAACTACTATAAACATAAATGTTAAATGAAAGAAAACTTTTCAAATGAAGATTTAGGCACTCTGAGGAATGACAACTATGACACAACCTTTAAACAACCAAAGTAATTGCAAAAGACAACCTGATAACAGATTAAACACACACCAACCTACCTAAATATTTTTCAAATATGTAAGTCAGTAAAAATTATAGTGGTAATCTTTAAAGTTCTATAGTATTTCTATTTTTTACTCATGTATATTACTTTGTTTTTAGAGAATAGATGTTGAAATTGTCAACTGAGTACTCTTCATTTTCTGATAAAAGCTACATTACACCATTTAAATGAATTATTGTCCAACTTCATTTTCTAAAATAAGAAGATCTTGACTTGTGGATTTCACCTCTCCAAGCCACCTATCATGACAATTAGATTCAATTATACTCTTTCCTGCTAACCCAGTTTGTCTCAGAACCTTTACAACATTGCCTCTTAGCAGCTACTCACAATGGATCAGAGCTGGTATATAAGATAAAACCTACATGTCATCTTTAAGGAGTAATACATATCCATTTTAGAAAATGTAGAAAGTGAAGAAAATTTTGCAAAGTCATCATAATTCCACCACAAAAACCAATCACTATTAACAGAATATAACATGAGTGTGTGTATGTTAGGAGTGAGAGAAATGCAGAGAAATTTTCTGTAGACATACATTTTTTAAAATCTAGGTTCATACTCCATATCAGCATGCCCATTTCACCACACCCTCACCTCACCTAGATTACTAAATAAATATAATCAAAACATGTGCCCAAAATGTTTGCCTGTGACTAATTTCTGATCTAGTGAAATTTAATTTTGAAAAATACAGCAAAACCCTTAAACTAGCGATCTCTATTCAATCAACAAATATATACAGAACAATTACTGTGCTCATGTGTGGAATAAAAGTAAGATATGGTAACTATTTGCTGACAGCTTAAAAATTGATATGAAAATATGACAGCGAATATAAACCCTCACCTCTCTTTTCTGCAAAGGCCATGTGCAGCAATTTTCCTACAAACTTTCCGGTTTAATTCGGAACTGAACAGTGGAATTCCAAAGCACAGCTCGAGAGGAACCCAATCTGCTTCTGTTGTGGCACCTAAGAAAGGATACATAAACTTATTTTTTTATCATATATATCTACTTATGTATATATTATATATAACTGACAAGGGTTTCTTAACCTGAAGTTCATAGATTCCTCCTGCCCCACTGATATCCACCAGTGGGCTTGGCAGGGGAGGAAGAAATTGAAGGGGGTCAGTTAATCTCTAAACAGGATAGGCATTTTTAGGGTATAAACATGTGTCTGAGAAGGTACATAGCTTTCATCCAATGTTCAAAGTAGTCATTTGCCCAAAAAAGAGTATTGCAAGATATCTGTAAGATGAGAGAATGAATCAAAACATTTACCACAGGAATAAGATTATTTTCAAGTCATAATTTTATAATACTTGAATTATTTTTCTAAGTATGTAAAAAGGCTTCCTAGAAAACTCTTATTTAAAAGTCGTATGAATAATAAGAATAGACAAATGGCATGCAAATGCCTTAACATAAAAGTTAAACCTCAGAAATTAGTCTAATAAAATTGGAAAAAGTTTTAGCACCATACCAGAGGTTTGCTTTGTTGCTGAATCTATAGTTGCTTCCTCAATGACCATTTCAAATGACTCTGTACTCCCATTTACATCTGAGCCAGAAGCCAAATCAGGTTCTCCTTATAATTAAAGGGCATACACAATATTAGGATTCTAGCAGTTAGCAGAAGCTGCCAATAAATCAGTCCTAACATGGAAAAGACTTCAGACAATAGTAATGATGACAGAAAGAAAATGCATAATCCTTGGCTTAAATAAGTGGTTTTAAACAGGGGAGCAATTTTGATCCCCAAGGGACACGAATGAAGACAGGGATGCTATTCGTATCTATGAATGCTAAACATCTGACCATACACAGGACAATCCTCCACAGAAAAGAATTAGCCAGCTCAAACTGCACATAGTGCTGAGATTGAGAAACCCTGACCTAAAGAAACAAAATTCAAAAAGGAGGACCCAAGTTACTGAAGCCAATTGCACCCCTGTGGAAATATATAGTCTGATTATGTTATTACTCTTCAAAGTTCTTTTCTGACTCATTATCTTTCAGCACAGAAGATCCTCCAAGATCCCTTAGACCTTATCTACTTCTCTACTCTCATCTTCTACTACTGTCCAACAAATCCTTTCTTTTGGCCACAATGAACTACTGTTTTCTAATTCCCCTCTGCCTGAAAGGCTGCCACCCTCCAAAAACACATTATCTTTTGTCTACCTAACTCTTCAATTTTCAAAACTCAAACTTCACCTTCTCTAAGAGGCCTTCTCTGTGCTGTGTTAGCGCTTTATGCAGACCCCATCATAGTCAATAACACCACACTGTATACTGACTCACTCGTCTCCTCTCTAGGGTTTTCATCCTTGGAACAACATTGTCTTTTTTGTTTCTTTTTTTTTTTTTTTTTTTTTTGTAGAGACAGGGTCTTGCTCTATTGCCCGGACTGGTCTCAAACTGCTAGCCTCAAGCAATACTCCTGCTTTAGCCTCCCAGAGGACTGGAATTACAGGCATGAGCCTGTACCTGGCCATGCCTGGCCTGGTCTTATTAAATTGCTCCAGCACCTAAGCAGGTATTCCATAAATGTTTGTGGAATGAATGACATAAAAAAGGAGAGCTGTAGTAGATACGCTTTGAAATGACTGCTTAAGTCATAGCCCTCTTCTCTAGAAAATGCTCCTGCAATATTTGGCAGTCAACTATTTGGCCAAAGACAAATGAGATAGGAGTAAGTACCTATCTCAATGGGAGCCAACCCAATCTACTGGATGGCAAGTAATCAATCACATTTCCTCAGAATTTCAAACTAAGAGGCTCATGGAATACTGTCAATCAATGGGAGATAATGAAAGATCTCCCAGAGTCAATGGATAAGAACTGGCACCACGGCAACCCAAACCACATATATGCCAATATTATGCCAGAGCAGAAACAACTAGTAAGCATGAGAAGGTGATTTGAAAATGGATTTTCAAATTAAAAAAAAAAAAAGTAAGTGATATCTAAGGAAAATTAGCTATTGTCAATATGTAGGACAGACTGGAGATAGAAAGGAGAGGCCAGAAAGGCTAAGCAGGGAATGGTTGCAACAGCACATGTTTAAGGTTTAAAGTTCAAGACCCAGACAAGAAGAGCAGTCACAGAGAATTTAAAATGAAGAGAAAGGGGAAGAAATGGACATGAGAGACTTATCTAAAGCCTAATTCACAGAACTTGGAAACTAACTGAACATAGTGGAAAAAGGAAAGAATGAGACAAAGGTAAGATTTTAGACCTAGATAATTAAGACAATGGTACCTTTTGACAGAAAAAGTTGAAAGGGAAAAACTATTAAGTCAATTTTGGAAACACTTGTATAAAGAGACTTGAGTTTTGAAACCATCACCCTATAAAGCTAACCTAATAAAGCCTAATAAACACAGATATGACAGTAGAGCACCCAAAAGTCCCAAACCATTCTGTACCCCAATCCTATTTTCTTCATTTGAACAACTGACATTTGTCCAAATGATGTTCCAAAATATTTCCTCGTGCTTCAGTGAAAGAATATTGAGTATTCAATAATTCAGCATCCCCACAAAGGTCTGCTGCTTTTCATATATTAACACTGTGTCAAACTCAAAACCAATTATCTTAATCCAAAGAATCCAACTATTGGCTAACCTCTCTCATCAGAAGCATCACTGAGTTTTCTATCTGCAAGTTGGCTGGAAGCATTCAACATGGTGACATATCCACAGAGATGCTGTAAGTCCACTCTGTTCCTTAGTATCTGCAATGCTTTATGAACACCCATATTGACACGAGTGAACTCTACAAACAGAACGGACATCACATTAATGAACAGTTTCTAATAACACAACGCCAACAGCTTAAACATACTTTATTAAACAACTCTTAGAACTACTTTTATACTTTAATACATCATAATTGATTCCAAAAAAGAAATATATAAAGTTGTCATTCTTACTGAAACTAAAGCTAACAATGTACTTGAAATCACATGCCTAAATTATTTATATCTTAACTCAAGTTCTCATAAATATGTGAACTTATAAAAGAGAAAAATGCTCTATATTCAAATATAAAGAAACCTCTTTTTTATAATTCACACAATAATCCCCCAAGGCAAAGGATCTACTAAGCAGTTTTTGAGATTTTGTAAATTTTAAGATCCTGTTGTCACTATCTGCATCTCCAGGTAAACAATTATTTTTTTCCTTAGACTTTATGAAGTATTAGACAGTTGTGTGAATGATAAAAAAGGAGAAACAGAGAAAAGTCTTCCATCTAGGCAGATATCTACTTATTCTCTTTATTCCAAGACAGACTAGTAGTCTTTCAAAAATCCTAAACGGGTCTTATTCTAACAGTTCTTTGTGGATGGCAAAGCACATGACAAAAAACTACCTTTTGCCAACACTCTTTAGTAGCAAAGAACCTAGAACTTAAAAATTTCAAGAATTCATTTCCTGCCATGTTTTCCACCAAACTGTTGACATGAGTAATAATTAAAAAAAAAAAAAAGTCAATAGATACAATTCAAAAGGTACCTCCTTGTAGTTCTGTTTCATCAAATGGAAATGGGACATGGACAGTTTCTCCTATCCCATGCAGACCATGCCCCTAAACATAAACAAAAGTTAAAAGGTATACAAGAAACCTTCATTTCCAATCACTGATATTCAAAAGTAAATAAGATTGTGTCATGTAATGGTATATTCCATATTAATACCTCATCAAAATTCTTTCAACAATTTTCTATTTTTCTTCAGCAAGCAGTGACAATCTTATGTGTATAATAATCTATAAGGCAATGTTTCTCAAATTGAATGTATAGGCCAATGCAAAAAAAGGAGGCCAATTTAACAGGCAAATCAGGTGTTAGCCAAGTGAAGAGTGAATGAGGAGGCCAAGTTTATTCACACAAAGGTTAGCTAGAGTTCTGAGAGGGAAAAGTGGTGGAAGAATCCCCATAATCACATAGCATACCACAGGCTAAGAATGCAAAACTCAAAAACCTGCCCTGAAATAAAATATATTCAGAATTACTTGCTACGATAAATAATTACATATAATTGGAAACAACCAAAATGTCCACCAACAGGGGACTGGTTAACTAAATTAGGAGACATATCTTCAATGGAGGTTCATAAATGAAAGAAAGCTATGACCTGCAATGGAAAGATCTCCAATTGCTAAATGGAAAAGGTAAGGGGCACATCTGTGTGCAGGTACTTGCATATGCATAAAGACACTCTGGAAGGATATAGGAGAAATGAACAGATGAAATTATCTGATTTGGAGGAGAGATGGGGAGTGGAAACTTGATAGGGTTAGCAGGGGAGTGATACTTTTCGACCTATACCTCTTTTTTTTTTTTTTTTTTTTTTTTTTTTTTTAAAACAGAGTCTTGCTCTGTTACTCAGACTGGAGTGCAATGACACAATTTTGGCTCACTGCAATCTCCACCTCCCAGGTTCAAGCAATTCTCCTGCCTCAGCCTCCTGAGTAGCTGAGATTACAGGCGCCCGCCACCACACCCGGCTAACTATTTTTTTGTATTTTTAGTAGAGACTGGATTTCTCCATGTTGGCCAGGCTCATCTTGAACTCCTGACCTCAGGTGATCCACCTGCCTCAGCCTCCCAAAGTACTGGGATTACAGGTGTGAGCCACCGCGCCCAGGCTCTACACCTTTTAATAACGTTTTATTTTTGAATCATGTGAATGTACTATTAGTTCAAAAATTAAATTTAAAAAATCTGAGTCTACCCACTTCACTCTCATGTTACAAATGATAATTCAGTTTCATCTATCACATTCAATTAATATTGTTCATTTGAGTTTTGTTTTAAAGCTTTGCTTATATTTAATTCCAAAATTTGATTTGAATTTGTAGTTGTGTAATAACAAGAAGCATGAAGAACTTAACATTATGTCTACATGTATTTAGAACTGTTACAATAGAAATTTAATACTGAGGATCTCCAAATTCTTCCCTTTAAGAGAGACCCATACATTATTCAAATTCAAGAAACCCTGATATATCCAAAGGAAAGCATACTCTTTTTGTTGTTTCATATAACTATTTAAATATATTTCTGAGAGCTCTCTTTTATTTCCTAAACCTGATGGCTAAAATAAATTATGGTTTTAACCAAAAATCTTAATTTGTAACACGTTTAAATTCCAATAAGGTAAATTTATTTCCATCAAATTTAATTAAAAAGGCATTTTTCTTTAGCAAAAGCAAAACTCCTTAACAAACACTTTAAAAACAGTACTGTCAGCCTGGTGTGGTGGCTCACACCTGTAATCCCAGCACTTTTGGAGGTCAAGGCGGGCAGATCACTTGAGCCCAGGAGTTTGAGACCAGCCTGGGCAACATGGTGAAACCCTGTCTCTATAAAAAATTAGCCAGGCATGGTGGCGTGAGCTTGTAGTCCCAGCTACTCTGGAGGCTAAGGCAGGAGGATCTCTTGTGCCCAGGGGAAGTCGAGGCTGCAGTGAGCTGTGATCATGCCACGGACTTCAGCCTGGGTGACAGAGTGAGACCGTGTCTCAAAACAATAAATAAATAAAAACAGGTACTGTCTGCTGATTTGTTTTTCTATCCATATTTTGCACTAGCCCCCATCCAAAAAAAAAAAAAACCTAACTTAGCTTGATCTACAGAGTACCACCTACAGAAAAGACCTTGGAAACCACCTCTCTCATTTTACTTTATTCAAGAAAGATTTGTTACTATAAATTAAGACAGGGTTTCACTATGTTATCCAAGTTGGTCTCCAACTTCTGGGCTCAAGCAATTCACCTCAGCCTTCCAAAGTGCTGGAATTACAGGCGTGAGCCACTGCACCCAGCCACCCTTCATTTTAAAGGTAAGGAAAACTGAAGCTCGTGGAATCACCCACTGTTCCTTCACTCTACTTCTACTGCCACTACCAACACAATAACGTTTTCTGAGATCTTCCTATGTGCTAAACACAGTGCTCAAGTCATTCTTTTCAAAAACTTTAAAAAGATGGGAACTTTATCTCCAGTTTATAGGTAAAGACACTAAAGTTCAAAAAGGTATTTAACTTGTCTAAGATTACTAGTAAATGATGGAACCAAGATCTGAGTTTAGGCAGTCTGACTTAAGTCCATGTCTAGCCCATTCTATGATGCTATCTCCCACGACCACCCCATACTATATATCTTCCCTGGCTAATTTCATCCTCTCATGGTTTCAACTACCATCTACCACCTGATGCTGACACTTAATCACTCTTGTCTAACCTCTCATTTGAATTTCAGAATATTTCCAATTACCACAGGCACCATATAAACACAACACATCATCTGCCCCATAAATGTGCTCTTCCTCCCGTGTTCCCCAGAGTAGTGGTATCACCACCTCCCATGATATCACTTCCTCCCGTGTTCCCTAGAGTAGTGATATCACCACCTCCTGTGATGTCACTTCCTCCTATGTTCCCTACAGTAGTGGTATCACCACCCTTCTACCTTCACAAGTCAAATACCCCAGAATCTTTCTTCCCTCTTCCCATCTCTCTCAGATATCTGATCAATTCTATTAATTGTATATTTGTAGTAGTTCTTAAATCCATTTTTCCTTTCAATTCTTATTACCATGTCCTTGATCCGGGCTATCTTTATCTCTTATCTAAACTACTACACACAGTCCTAACTGGTCTTCTTGCTTCAGGTGTCTCCCCACTCCCTCCCATTCTCAATATCATCCCAAGGTTGATTCCTGAAACAAATTTGACCATGTTAATCCCTGTTACCCCCCTGTAATTGCTACCATCAATCTACAGGTCAACTTCTCAGTTCCACGGCAGGACACTCAAGGCAGGCGGCACTGCAGGGCCAGCCTACTTCTCCAGACTTGTCTCTGACCACAACCCCCTCACACTCCAACTCACCCCTCAAAAACACTGAACAGCTTATTGACCCTGGCATGTTATGTCACTTCATATTCTTATTTATTTATTCCACAAACACTAACTGGACAACTACTATGACCCAAGCACCGTGCTGGGCACTAGAAAAATAGCAGCAAAGAAAAAAGAAAAAAAAAAAAATCCTTGCCCAGAGATTTAATCATGCTGACCCCTACTACCTCGCTTCTTTTAAGTCATCCTTTTGTATTCAGCCTGGGTCTCACTTTCTCTAAGGAACCTCCCCTAAGCCCTTCTCCTTGCCCCAAGGCTGGACTGGATAGTTCTTTTTAAGTCTTCCACTATATGTAATTCTATTCGATAAACTGAAACTGAGTGCTTATGCAGCTTTTCCCACCATCCTTAAATTCCTTGAAGATGAGGGGCCCTGTCTTATTTGCATATTGATATTAATTAGCGCAAAATATGCACATTCAATTGTTAGATGAACTGACGAAATCTTTACGGAGAACCTATTATGTGCCAGCAAGTGTGCTACACATTTGACACGTACATTTTCATTTCATTCTCTCAATTCTATGAGCATAAACTGCTTACCTTACCACTAGTTGCCATTATTATAAGTGTTTGTTATTATACAATAGATATTGCCATCTCCATTTTATAGGTGGGAAATAAAGTATAAGGTTTATCATGAAAATGTCACACAGCCCAATAAGCACATGCAAAGAAGCTCAACATTATTAGTCTTCGGGAAAATGTAAATCAAAACTATAATGAGATACCATTCCACACCTCCTAAGGTGGTTATCATCAAAAAGCCACATAATATCAAGTGCCCGTGAGAATGTAAAATGATGCAGCCACTTTGCAAGACAGTCTGGCAGTTCCTTAAATGCTTAAACATGGAATTACCATATGACCCAGTAATTCCATCCCTATACATATATAGCCAAGAGAAATAAAAACATATGTCCACAGAAAAACTTGTACACAAATGTTTATGACAGCATTCTTCATAATGGCCAAAAGGTGAAAACAACCCACATGTCCATCAACTGATGGAGGAATAAACAAAATGTGGCATATCCATAAAATGGAACATTATTTGGCCTCAAAAAGGAATGAAGTATTGATACTATGACAACATGATGAACCTTGAAAACATTATGTTAAATGAAGGAAGCCAGTCACAAAAGACCACATATTATATATGATTCCATTCACATAAATGCCCAGATTCGGCAAATCTATAGAGACAACAAGTAGATTAGTGTTGCTTAAGACTAGAGGGAAGGAGATGAGTAGCGGGGAGAAAATAGAAGAGTGATCACTAAAGGATACAAGGTTTCTTTTTAAGGTAATGAAATGTTCTAAAATTGAGTGTGGTGATGGCTGTACATATCTGTGAACACACTAAAACCCACTTAACTGCACAATTTAAATTGGTGAATTGTACAGTATGTGAATTATATACTCAATACAATAGTCCCCTTTTATGTGAGGTTTTGCTTTCCATGGTTTTAGTTATCATCTGTGGTCAACCAAGGTCTGAAAATAGGTGAGTATAGTATAACGAGGTATTTTGAGAGAGACCACATTCATATAACTTATATTACAGTATGCTATTTTCTTATTAGTAATTGTTGTTAATCTCTAGTAAGAGATGTCTAATTTATAAATGAAACTTTATCCCAGGTATTTATATATATATATATACATATAGGAAAACACGTACTATATATAGGGTTGGGTACTACTGGTGGTTTCAGGCAACCCCTGGGGGTCTTGGAACATATTCCCCACAGATGGGGAAACTACTGTAAAGCTATTATTTAAAAAAAAATAAAAAAAATCATGGTCACGCAGCAAGCAGGTGAGGCTGCAATGCAAACCTGGGTCTAACTTCAAAGTTCATGTTATTTCTACCACTCCCACACTGCCAAACGGCCAGGACTAAAATCCATATCTCTGATTTTTTACATTTCAACTTCATAAATTTCAAATGACTGACATTTTATTGCAACTCAATATAGAAAGCTAGAAAAATTATCAACTTTATAATAAAAAGACAAAATTTCAAATAAGATAAATGTACCTGAATTAAAACTGCAGAATGTGTTAAAGCATCATTCAACATCGTGAGCACATTTGAGGTAGGAACTACTCCAGGATCATGACCCCAAGATGTTATTAGCAATCGATCATAACTCTATTGAAAAGAAATTAACAGGTAAAATGGCATTCAGAAATAAGGAAAATATTAAGAAATTATCTAGCATACTGCTCACACACACATAAAAAAACCACCCAAACCTCCCACACATACCTGAAATATATCTGGCAGTTTTCGAAGTCTTGTACCTTTGGACAATAAAAGGGATGGTGGTCCTTGTCCAGTGACATGATAAATGTACAGTTTAAACCAGACAGAGCTGACTTCTGGGATAGCTGGTCCAATATGCTACAATCATAAAACAGTTAAGATAAAGTTAAAATAAAGTGTTACATAAGTGACCGAGAACAGTCTTATAAACAGCAAATCCCTTCACATAAATGTTAACTGCAACTATCCTCAAGAAAATAACTTTAAATGTTTCATTAAAATAGTTTCAATTTTATACTGGAATTAAGAAATTATGTCTTGTCACTGCAATTAAGAGAATGCACTCTGGAGAAGACTGCCTAGTTTGGAATCTTGGTTTTGCCCTTCCAGCCATATCACCTCAGGAAGGTTACTTAAGCTCTCTGTGCCTCATTTTGCTCAATCTATAAAATAGCAATAAAGAATCTACCTCAAGAGGATGTTGTAAGGTTGTTCAAAAAGCTTAAAACAGTACTTGGAATATAATAAGCTCGATATTAAAGTATTAGCTATTATTATCATTAATCACATACAATTTTCACAAGAGGAATCGCCCACCCTTCCATCCATTTTACCATTTATGCAGTAGTTCATGGATTCCTACCATGTCTGGAGGTTGTGTTAAAGAATAGGAGAGGTTCGGTGGTGTGCACAGAGAATTATTTTAAAAAGGTTAGTTAGATGCAAATCTCTTGTTGAATACTAAGGACAAAATTGGTGTGAAGACAGGATGCTCACTGAGGCAGCTAGAACATAGGCAAATTACCTGCGTACAAGAATCCCTTCCTTTCTGCTACATCATTAAACCCTGCATTGTCTAGGAACCCAGGTAAGATGCAGCACTGAAGAACAGCAACATAATCCCCACTCTGAAAATGGCACAGGCCACAACTTCCTTGTTAAGTATACAAATGAATACAACTGATATATATATATTTTTTAAGTAAAAGTCCAGAAGGAATTTTCACATATAAATTATACAGTTAACCAGAGTTCTAGCTTTCAAGCACCATCTTTTCTTTTCGGCTTATTCAGAATCACAGCCCCACTTCGAAGACATTTAACTTTTCCTAATTAAATTTATCTTATCTCTCAAAATGATGCCAGCTTCCTTTCTGGAGCATCCTAAAACATTCTCTTTAAAATATTCTGTACATGAATAAATTTTAATCTAATGTGTCACAAGTCACTAGGTGATACTTATATAAAATATACCAATTACACTCCACAAATTGAACATATCATCTTACAAAGGCATAAAATACAAAATTGCTTTCTATGATTCAGTGATTTTAATAGTTGGTATCTGCAGATAGAGAAGAAAACAAAACTGATGGGACTCATGACACTACCAAGTGGATCTTCCAAGTAGGTCTTTACCTGAGGGGTGCAGCTGCTGACAGGCCGGATTTCATTGGTGAGGGGAGCCATGGAAACAAGCAGCGTGTAATTTTTGTTTAGAACTCTGCTGCAAGTTGCAGGGTCCAAACCAAGAAGGCTTTCACAGCGTAAGAGATCCAGAGGAAAACCTGAGTTATGATCAAGCACACACACAGAATAAAAGACTGAGAGTGTGAAACAAAAATGTTGAAGATGCAATATTGATAACTGACTTAAGATTTTAAATTTTCTTTTTAAGGTAAAGTAACTCTATTAAGAAGTACCAAATTTCCTAGGAGACCACCAAGACACTTTGAGATGCAAAGCTAAAATGTTTTATTCTCTGGTCTAGACAGATAATCATCTACTTCAGGTTACTTTTTACTGCAACAAGATGTACTTGTTTTACCGTACTTCCTCTCTCCATCCAGAGCCACTCTACAACAGTGGCATACCGTTGACCCTTGAACAGAGAAGTTACAGAGGCTGACGCCGTGCACAGTCAAAAATCTGTATATAACTTCAGACTTCCCAATGACTTAACTACTAATAGCCTACTGCTGACTCGAAGCCTTACCAATAATACGAACAGTTAATACATATTTTATATGTTATATGTACTATATGCTATATTCTTACAATAAAACTAGAAAAAAAATCATAAGGAAGAAAAAATATATTACTATTAAGTGGAAGTAGATCATCATAAAGGTCTTCTTCCTCATCTTCACAGTAAATAGGCTGAAGAGGAGGAGGAAGAGGAAGGACTGGGCTTGTTGTCTCCAAGGTGACAGAGGCAGAAGAGGTGGAAGGGGAGGCAGGAGAGGCAGGCATGATGGGTGTAACTTTACACACTGTAAACACACTGTAAGTTCCATCTAACTTTCTTGTTTCTTAATGTATCTAAAAATGTCTCTATACAGTACCAATCCTTCTTCCGCCATCTGCTTTAGCTGCAGTGTCTGTATCATAGAAGAGTGCACATAAGTCAAAAGCAGTCTTGAATAATCAGAATCCTGCCAGACGGTCTAATGTCAATTTATTTTCTGGCACTGCTTTTTCTATGTCTTCCTCATTGTCTGGCACTCATTTGGAAGCACCCATCTCCATCAAGGTGTCTATCTATTAGCTCTTGAATTTCTTCAAGGCCCATATCTTTTTTTATTTATTTATTTTTTTGAGACAGAGTCTCACTCTGTCGACAGGCTGGAGTGCAGTGGCGCCATCTCGGCTCCCTGCAACCTCTGCCTCCCAGGTTCAAGTGATTCTCCTGCCTCAGCCTCCCAAGCTGCTGGGACTACAGGTGCGCGCCACCACACCCAGGTAATTTTTGTATTTTTAGTAGAGACAGGTTTCACCATGTTGGCCAGGATGGTCTCGATCTCCTGACCTCGTTATCTGCCCACCTCGGCCTCCCAAAGCGTTGGGATTACAGGCATGAGTCATCGCGCCCAGCCAAGACCCGTATCTTAAAACACTTCAGGCCAGGCACAGTGCATCATGCCTGTAATCCCAGTACTCTGGGAGGCCGAGGTGGGCAGACCACGAGGTCAGGAGATCGAGACCATCCTGGTCAACATGGCGAAACCCCGTCTCTACTAAAATACAAAAAGTTAGCCAGGCATGGTAGCACGTACCCATAGTCCCAGCTACTCGGGAGGCTGAGGCAGGGGAATCGGTTGACCCGGGAGGCGGAGGTCACAGTGAGCCGAGATTGTGCCACTGCACTCCAGCCTGGCAACAGAGCAAGACTCCATCTCAAAAAAAAAAAAAAAAAGCCCTTCACTCCCTACCTTTTAGCCATATCCAAAATCTCTTTCATTATTTCCTAGATTAGCTCTGTTGTAAATCCTGTGAAGTCAGGTACAACATCTAGACAGTTTTCTCCAGCAGAAATTTATTATTTTAGGCTTGATGGCTTTCACAGCTTTTTCTAAAACAATGATGGTATCTTCAGTGGTGTAATTCTTCCAGACTTTCATGAGGTTCTATTAGAGTTCTCTTCCATAGAGCAGACAATCCTTTCTATAGACTACTGTGTGTAAAAAGCCTTAAAGGTCATTATAACCCCCTGATTTAGAGGCTGAATCAGAGACACGTGTTTGGGGGCAAGTAGATCACTTCAATGCCTTCAGTGTTGAACACATGCGGGTTCTGCGTGGGTTAACCAGGACCACTGTCCAGTACGAAAAGAACTTTAAAAGGCAGTCCCTTACTGGCAAGGTACTTCCTGACTTCAGGGAAAAAACATCAAAGGAACCAGTCCAGAAAAAGTGTTCTTGTTGCCCAGGCCCTTCTGCTGTATAGCCAAAAGACTGGCAGCTGGCATTTATCTTTTCCCTTCAAGGCTCAGCAGCTTTATAGATAAGCGCAGTCCTGACCAGAAACCTGACTACATTTGCACAAAACAGTAGTAAGCCTGCCCCTTCCTGCCTTAAATCCTGGTGCTCATTTCTCTTCCTTACTAATAAATGGCATTTTTTTCCAGAATAGGACACTTTCGCATGCATTAAAGACCTCTTCAGGCAGATATCCTTTCTCCTCAATGATTTTCTTAATGGTATCTGTATCACTCCGTTCTTGCATTGCTATAAAGAAATACCTCCGACTGCGTAATTTATGAAGAAAACAGGTTTAATTGGCTCATGGTTCTGCAGGCTGTACAGGAAGCAGAGTGGCCTCTGCTTCTGAGGAGGCCTTAGGAAGCTGACAATCATGGCAGAAGGTGAAAGGGAAGCAGGCACATCTTAACATGGCCGGAGCAGGAGGAAGAGAGAGATGGGGAAGATGCACACACTTTTACAGATCTCGTGAGAACTCACGATCATGATGACAGCTGTAAAGGGCAGGGGGGCGGGGGGTGGTGTGTTAAACCATGAGAAACTGCCCCCATGATCCAACAACCTCCCTCCAACATTGGAGATTACAATTAGACATGAGATTTGGGTGGGGACACACACACACAGATCAAAACATATTAGCATCTGGGAACTCATCTGCTGCCTCTCGGTCAACAGAAACTGCTTCTCCTGCTATCTTAACATTTTTTAAGCCAAACCTCTTAAAATGATTAAACCATCCTTTGCTAGCATTAAATTCTCCAGCTTAAGAGAATATTAATTATCTTTCATTTGCTTTGTCATAATGACTTTGCTTTTTCTCAAATCATATTAGAGTCTATAGGTATGCCTTTCTTATAGTAATCCTGCACCCACATAAAAGCTGCATTTTCAATATGAGAAAAAGAAAGTATTTTGCAAAAAGCGCAATGTTTTCATGCCTGTTGGCACAGATGTAAAAACAGCTTCATAAGTTTCCTTCTCTTATTTAACAATCGTCTTTTACACTGGATTTACCTATCTTGAAATGATGGGCAACTGCAGCTGCAGATCTCAATCTGCAGTACATACCACGCAATTCAACTTTTTCTTGTAATGTTACTTTTCTCCGCTTCTTGGGAGAATTTCCAGCATCACTAGTGGCTCTCTGTATGGCTCCCCTAGTGTTATTTGAGGTTTATGGTACTGCACTAAATCAATGAAAAATATGAGAGAACCATGAGTGATCACTTTTAACTGCAATAGGCAATTTAACGTAAAGACAAATTGCTCACTCAGAGATGATCAGCGTCACAGGGCATTTTAAGCAGGTACTCAAGTAGATACAACACTTGAGCTCACCACAATAGCAACAAGAGATACCTACAAAATTATTACAGTAGTACCATATGTACTACAGGTAATTCTATGCAGTTATAGCTTAATACTATATCTTTCCATTTATTTACATTTCTCTCAACTGCAATGTCACTGTGTGATCTGTAAATGTGTGCATTAAGTTTTGATATGTTTGAATGTTTTATAATGGATCTGTATATATTTTATGATAATAAATGATAAAATAGACTAGTATCTACATATATTTTATGCATACATGACCTATGTAACTTTTCCTTAACTTCTTTGACATTTCTAGGCTATGAGATTTGTCTGCAAGTTTTTTCAAGTTGTCACAAATTTCCAAAAAAATGTTCCAAAACGTTTACTCATAAAAATTATCCCATAAGTGGACCTGTGCAATTCATAGCCACGTTGTTCACTTGTCAACTGTATAACGAAAGCCAAAGTGTCAGGAGAAGCTATGTGCTTCTCTCCTCCAGTTTCCGATCTCTACAAAGAGAATCATAGCCAAGTCCTCATTTTAGTATAAGGGCAAGAGCTCCTCATTTGGAAATGTGTACCCTAGATTTCTGGTCCGTAGAGCATGAACTCACTCAACATACAACAGATTTTAAGCATTCTTATTCTTAATCCTTTTGAACAATACGAAATCCTATTGCTCTCTAAAAAGAGATATTTAACGTTAAAAGAAACTTCAGAAGAGCAAGGTAGCTATATCCTCCTTCAAGCAAGAATACATCTAAAAATATACATATATACATATAATGGCCTCCTGAAAATGCCTAGAAGCAATGAGCACAACTAACACCAGTATCTTGGTCTCTAATAGCAATCCCCAGTAAAAGACATTAGGCTCCTAGGACAAATGGCTGATTCCAGGACTGAGGCAGAATAAATACACAATAAGATGCTATTGCTTGGCCAGAAAGTAAAGAATTGCTTAGCGGAGAAACCTGGAGGCATGTCATAAGGAGAAAGGAGACAGGAGCAAGCTTAAAGGAAATCCTCATGGCAAAATCTGAGAAAACTGGGGCACGAAAATAATTGAGAGACAATAATGACTAATCGCAGACTACTGAAAAGATAAGAATTCATAAATTCATACAGAGAATACGAGAGAATGCCTGGTCACAACTGCTAAATATGGCAGAACTGCTCAAGTGGGGGAAAAATTACCAATTTCCAACCATCAAAGTACAGAATGGTTCAGGCAAGAACCACCAATGGATTCTAAATCTAGGAGGAAACACTGATGAGGAGTGGGATATCTGCATGGTCTCAAAGTATCTCCCCACCAATTGCTTATCAGTTGTGAGAGAAAAAAAATAGTTGACTATACAGTGGAAAAATCAGACAATGCATTAACTGGGTGATCAAAATTAACATCACCAATGAAGGGTAGATGGAAAGCATGGGGTGTGAGGAAGTAGGATGACAGGGTGAGGTATAGGATAGCAGATCACAGAATGTTTAACCATAACGTCAGCATATTTTCTGGGAGGGGTCCTAAAGGAAGGGCTACATCCTGGCTTAGGTTGAGGGTGAGTCAAAGTTCATGGGGCTGGAAGAAGGAGAGAAGCTTAAACAAGCTTTGGCTAACAAGCATTTTGTTCTGATTGATAATTCAGAACAGGCAGTTCAACTCACTGCTTATGAGGCAAAGAAAGGGAATTTGGTGGATCTGTTTCTGACCTTGTCATAGGTGAACAGAAGGGAGTGGGGAATTCACCTGTGAATCTTATCTAAGTCATACGGGGAAAAAGTGGGTCCTTGCACTAAGCCCCTTCCCAAAACACAAAAGAGTGAAGGGACGTCTTAACCCTCAGGCAAAATTCAACATTATCAATGTCAAGTATAGATAATATTTAATGTATACTACAACAGGGAAAGTAGGAAGTCTAAAGAGTTCATGGTGGTTAGAACACGTTTCTAATAGCTTGACAACTGTGATTGCTTTCCTACAAATGTGGTTTAATTCCTAAACATTTCCACAGTACTAGAATGCCAAATTATAAACAGTGGTTTTTATGTCTGACTTATACTAATCACAGTTAAACAATGTCCTTTTAAAGACAAAGATACCTGGGGGAAAAAAATCATGCTTAGAAAACGAGAAAAAAACAGACCACGCATGACTTTTATTTATAAACAGTACGCCGTGCTATTTAAAACCAAGGGATTAAGGACTCCTAGGACTAAGACACTAGTTCCATGTATAACAGAGTTTGCTTGTATAATATCACAATGCTTTTGCTTTATAGTAGATAACAAGTACTACATGATATACTCAAAGTATAAATTATTAGTGACATAAAAAGAAAATTCTTTTTCCTCAAACAAGACGCTTAAAACACCAATACTAGAGGATTTCTTTTTTTTCTTCTGAGACGGAGTCTCAGTCTGTCACCCAGGCTGGAGTGCAGTGGTGTCATTTCAGCTCACTGCAACCTCAGCCTCCCAGGTTCAAGCAATTCTCCTGCCTCAGCCTCCCGAGCAGCTAAGATTACAGGTGCCTGCCACCACACTTGGCTAATTTTTATATCTTTAGTAAACACGAGTTTTCACCATGTTGGCCATGCTGGTGTTGAACTCCTGACCTCAAGTGAACCGCCTGCCTCGAGCTCCCAAAGTGCTGGGAATACAGGCATGAGCCACCACACCCGGCAGAGAATTTCTTTTCTAAAAAAGAGTAAGGTTCAGTTACCAAGCCCAGTAACTGCAGAAAGCAACATTTCTCAACAGGCTGAGCATGAAGCCTTAATGCCCTAAGATATCCTCTACATAGAACGAATGACCTTTTTCATGCATTGAGAACGGTACTAATGTGCACCATCATTAGAAAAACTGAGAAATAGTCACGCCAATCATTTCCATGTTCTGCAATTCAGATGAGGAGCTAAGCTAAGAAATGCTGGTAGCAAAAATGAAATTTCATAAGTAATTGCAGGTTTGGTCTTAAGGGGAGGCATTCATCAAATTTAACTTTGGAGACCCAGCAATTATTCTAAGCAATTAAATCTCCAACTAGGGTCAGGAACAGTCTAACATTAAACCCACCTTAAAGGTTAGGATTGCACAGGACTATTTTCATAGAGAATAGGTTTAGATTTACCATTTAACTTACTTCATGGTACACTGACTATTCATGGGGAAAAAATTTAGCCCAGCCCAGACTACTAAGCAACAAATGTTTATGGGTAAATGAATACAAAGCTTAGCGTTCAAGAGAAGATAATATAGGGACAGGGCAATGGAAAAAAAAAAATCAACAGACACAGATTCAAGTCTTCCATTCCTGGCTCTTCCATTTACTAATAATATGGGCTTTGATGACTAAAAAACAAGCAGAAGATTTAGCTAATATAAACTCCAATTTCTTTATCTATAATAGGAGTTACACTTCACTGGTCACTAGTACTCTCTAATGTTCTCACATTCTGTGATAGGCAGGAAAGGACAATGTATTTCAAGACAGCTTTAACAGAGTATTTCAAATCATCTAATACATTATCTCCATAAATCACTAAAAAGTCCCAGAAATTCCAGGAGTTTTATATCCAAAGACATCCTCAAGACTGTGCCACTCACCACTGCTTTATCACATGATTTAGTATTTATTAACCAAAAATGGTTATCCATCAACAAATGCCTACCAGTAAGTGCTTAGGACTCTCGGCATTTGGCAATTTAATATTCTCAGTTTTAACTATTTATGAATGATCTCAAAAGCCCCAGTATGTAACAATCTGTAATTCTTCAGATAAGGCATATTAAGGCTGCAGAAGTGAATCACTTGATACCAAGTGAGTCTAGCCTCACTCAAGTAAACTACCCAGCATGTTTGTTCTCACCTATGTGACAGCTTGTTAAGTAACAGCTGAATCCTCCCTCAATTTTTAAAATTGAGCTGAAAAGAAAGCCAGATGCTAGTGAGAGAATAAATGAAAATGGAGATGATTAAGAAACTGATGTTCTTGGCCAGAAAAAATAGTTTTTAGGTAAATGAAACTAATCAAAATTAAACGTTATAGTGGTATTGAGGACCCATGAAGCCCCAAGACACAACTCTTGTGAATGTCTAAGAACTTGAGCCAAGTGCTCATGCAGGGGTGCCCAAGCCTAGCTGAGCACTGGAATCATCTTTTAAAAAACACACATTCCTGAGTGCCATGCCACACCTCAAAACCTACTGAATCCAAATCCCCATCTGGGTAGAAATTCTGACACCATCAATTCAACTAAAGTTTGGGAACCCCCAACTATCACAAAACTGAGAGTGCCCAGTAGGGCAACAGCTCCATTAAAGTTCATCAATACCTTAAAATTGCTGCTACTTCTTTTACTCTTTAAAAAGAATTATCTATTTCCTTTTTAAAAGTAAAATCTTTTGGTAAGTATTGCAGTAGCATTTGAACAGAAGGCTCCTCTTTATTCTTTTCATTATGATGGAATCTTTCATTCTTGAAATTTTATGCTTCCTACATTAACTAAAATTTTGCCCTTGTTCACCCCTCAGAGCTGATGCCTGTTCTAAATTCCATCCAGCTACTTAAATAAATTAACACCAACACTTTTGCAGGTATTGAACAGATTTAAATACTACAAATGTTAGTGGCACATGAGAAAAGTAAAATAAGGTTAAGAAACAGTTAACAAGCAAGAAATTCACAAAACAGGCCTCTAGTTATAAATTCAATATGCTATCTACACAAAATACGTAAGTGATGATTATATAAGTGAGCATGATCTGTTTAATTTCTTAGAAAAAAGTTTCATATGATCATGTCTTCAAAATTAAATATATTTATCATACCATAATTGGGTTGGTCTGGCTGTGCAGTTTGCGCAACTAGATCTTTGTTATGACGCAGAAACAGTATTGTGTTTCTCAGAGTAAGTGCATGATCAAAATATCTCTGTGCTTCTCCTTCACCAGTGCTCTGAACCTAAACCAAGAGAAAATAGATTTTGCAACAAAAATACCACTTTTATGCCATTCACTCTAATAATCATATAATAGAGATATAAGACATTATTCAAAAGTAGTAAATCAAAAATTTGCCCAGGCAATACCGAAACAAGTTATTAACCTCAGTCTTGGTTGAGTTCCCAATTTTACTACATCTATGGAGATAGAAATTACTTCAACTAAGACTAACAATTTTAGCAATTGAATAATGCTAAGTTATAGCATTATATGTTACATGTTCCAAATGATTCAAATAGAGTGCTTAAACAACTCTAAAACCCGTATTCTGCTCCATCTAGGAAAGTACTCCAAGGTCACCAGTTTTACCTATAATTCTCATAACTTTGTTCACAATTCTGTATTACCAGTTACAAGAGACACTGGAGTCTGTGATTCAACATAGCTGTTCACCATTGCTGAACACACAGCTTAAATTCACTCAACAAAGATTTACTTAGTGCCTCCTATGGACTATGACCTCCCTAGGAGATAAGGATAGAGTAATGGACAAAACCCCTGCCTTCACTGGCCTTATAGTTTAATGTATGCTCTTCTGAATAAGTCTGAATAAGTCACCTTTTAATAAGTAGAGACATATATCCCAGAAACAACACAGAAAATGGAATGATAGGTCTACCAACGGGAAAATAACTAAATCAGATTTGCATACATTTAAGAAATCAATCTTAAGATCAAACTACTTAAAAAATAGCTAAGAATCCACTTTAAAAACTAAGCCTCAGACTGAAAGGCTTTCCCAAGAATGACTTTGTGATGAAAAAGAACATAGATTTATGAGTAAAAGAGCAGAAGTCAACTTGCAATTTGCTACATTTGATAAAAGACTAGCTGAGGTGAAAAAAAGATAAAAATCAGAAAACCAGAACTTGAAATGTGCAGTAACATAGTAAGAAATTTATTAGTAGAAGATAATATACAATAAGAAATGGGGTTAACAAATAAAGAAGCATGAAGAAATAAATGGCAGTATAAAGGTAAAAGTAAAAGAGACCAATTAATAGCAAAGGATTATCTCACACATATTTCTGCACTAATAAAAGTAAAAATCCTATGGAGTAGGAGCAGTGAAAAATGTTACAGTCTTTTTTTTTTAAGATATAAAGGAGTTGCAGAATCACCACAAATTCTCTAAACAGTGCATTGAAAATACAAAGTTCATCATAAAGCACAAAAGGCACGAAAAGTATTAGTCAAGGAACAGATTAGGCACACAAACTATTTGAATACAAAGAGGCCAGAATAAAATATCCGAAGAATGAAAAACACCAATAAAGGGCAATCAGATTTATTTAGAGCTAAGGAAAACTAGGGCTGTACTCACGGGGAAAAAGGTGGTTAAGAGCAAATATGGCTGAAGTCTTCAAGATGCTAAAAGGGATAGTGAGAGCGGACATAAATATGATACCCAGGGATATTGTTCCAGATTCAAGGTAAATGGAACAAAAACTTCAAATCAAACTGCTTAAGAGGTGATCTTAGAGAGTCATACCAGAAAAAAAATTGAAAGGCTATTTTAGCAAAAATTCAACTTAAAACATTACAGACTAAAATTTCTATACCCCATTTCTTCATTATCTCAAATTATGTTAAGAATTAGATGAGGTAGACATATCACTTTAAAAATCACAAAATCAATTCACCCACTCAATATGTTTAAGTCTAAATGACTGTAAGAGTACTAATTTGGGGAATGAGGTAGGAACGAGCAAGAATACACTGAAAGCCCATCCAAATCAACAGACTGTATAATTGGCATTCTGTCAAGCAAGGACAGATTCCAAATGCCCTAACATCCCCTTACATGCAATCTACATTTACCTTTTCTAGTTCTATAAGAAAGCTGTCCAGAGACTCATCTGAGAGTTTGCCTACTTCAAACATTGTGACTGCATGACTTTTCAAGTTCTGAAAAAAAGAAACAAAATATTAAAGTTCTACTTCTCCCTTTTTATGCTAAGCATACTATCAAATATTTATATTATCCTTTCAAATATATTTAAACTTAAGGATTGGGGGGTGAGGGGCTAATTCTTCCAATTACAAAAGGACCTTCCCTGAAAGTTATTATACTCCTCTAAGTCAGTTGTGCTTCGGGAATAAATGTAGTACTTTAAAAAAGATATAAAAGCATTAAATTATTTTATATCTAGTATTTATTTTAAACACCTTCATATTTAAACAAGAATTGGGCTTACTGGTGAAAGATTTCCCATCATTAAGAAGGCAGTAAGAGTGGAGTCAAACAGGAATGCGATGCGCTTCGTGTGTCCTGTAGACAGACTCAGGCTGCTTACACTGGCTGTGTCAGCTGAAAAACACCATAATTTAAAATCAAGTAAATGGAAATTATTCTTTGCTTACCATTTGGAGTGAAAGTATTTCATTTCAGCTTTATTTGATAACCAGAAAGTACATAATTTTAAAAAGGCACTATTATAGCCATAAGAAGTTCCAGCCATACCTATTTTGAAGCGCAAAGAATATTAAAAAGCATTTAACCCTAGGCCTTGTCCACTATGCTGTGTTTCCCTTTGGGCTTAGCCTCACTATTCTCTCGGGCTGAAATGGCTTTCCTTCCCTGACCAGCTGGCAGGCTCTTCTTCATTCTTAGCTCAAATAACATCTTCTCTGTGAAGGCTTCCCAAACCTCTCTAGCCAATTAAGGGTCTCTTCCTCTTTGCACCCTACAAGCATTATAATTGGTGCCCGTGTTGTTGTAATTTGTTTGGTCACATTCCCTTCTCTCTCCTTAGACTTAATTCTTAGAAGAAAGGTACCATATTCTTGTCAGTTTTATATACCTAGGACTTAGCACAGTGCCCAAAATATAGTAAAACACTCAAAGACTGCGTATTGAATAAAATCTAAACTAAAATTAGAAGGTAACTGTAAGAGTGTATGTTTGGACATGTGCCGTACCTACAGACAGACTCTATGTTAAACTGAGTTACTGCTAACCTGGATCTTCTTGACTATTTGTATCAGTGTCAGTTGCCGATGAAGCTTCTTGTACAGGACTCCTACTTTCCCCTCCATCCCATGACAAGAGCATCTTCTGTGGATCTAAGGTACTCCTATTAATGAAGAATGCATTTGCTTTTTAAAAATCATATAAATGACCTTACATTAAAATATCTACTGAAGTTAAGACTTAAATTATGAACAATCCATCAAAATTCAGTCTTATATTCAAGCCCAAAATTAAGTCGCAGCCCAAAAATGCTCTGCCTACATACAACAAGGGTTCTTAACTAAGATCCACGGATAGGCTTCAGAAAATTCAAGAACCCTTCAAGATTTTATGTAAAATATTTATTTGCTTTTTTTCTGGGAAAAGCCTTCTTAGTTTTCATTATATTCCAAAAAAGATCTGTAACACACACACAAGATTAAAAATCACTAATATAAAGGGCTCACCTCAACTGACAGGTTGAATAAATAAAATTTCTGGGCCAGGTGCAGTGGCTCACACCTGCAATCCCAACACTTTGGAAGGCCAAGGTGGGTGGATCAGTTGGGGCCAGGAGTTCGACACCAGCCTGGCTAACATGGTGAAACCCCACCTCTAACAGAAACACAAAAAATTAGCTGGGCATGGTGGTGCACACCTATAGTCCCCACTACTCAGGAGGCTGAGGCATGAAAATCGCTTGAAACGGGGAGGTGGAGGTTGCAGTGAGCCGAGATCGCGCCACCGCACTCCAGCCTGGATGACAGAGAGAGACTTTGTCTCAATAAATAAATAAATAAATAAATTTATGTATGTAAAATTAAATGTCTTTTCAAAAGGAAACTCTAATAGCTCATACTGAATAAATTTAAGTTACTTTAATCTGTTTACGGATGGAACATTCTTCCATGATGAATGAAGTTGATCCAAATTAATTACTTGTCCCTTCTTATGGGCAAAGCCCAATCGGCAATACATTGAAACAGCATTCTGAAAGGAATATAAAGGAAACTAATTACCATTTAAAATAAACTAGACATCACAATATTTGTAGAGAAAAAATAGTGTAATAGACTAATAGTGATTCTCAAACATTTTCATCCCGTAACCAGAAACTATTTTCAGTAGACCTGCTCCTCCCTTGAAGTCTTCATAAATGTATAGGAGGGAATGTTTCCAACTCTCTGGCCTTGCCCTCCCTACATCTACCCCTAATGAAGCAGGAGTTGTTGCTTTAACGGACCTCACTACAAGATACTGCTTGGGCTGCTTCTTGCATGAGTGCTCTCTTTTCAGTCCATGTGTTTGAATCCCAATTTAGGGCCCCTTTTCCTGCTCTTTCCTGTCTTTGCAAGTGCCCCTTTACTGTGCACGTTCTCTCAGACAGCTAACAACAATCTCAATGTCTTCGTTTCTCAGTAGCTTATCAAGATAAAAATCTACTAGTAAAATCCACTCAGTTATCACATCACCAGTAAATGAGTATAAAAATAACATACCTTAACCAGGGATAAGTCAATCTCAAGGACATTTGCAAGCTAGAAGATAAAATTAAAATTTATTTTTACATTCTTAGAATTAACAGCACATTACACAGTTGTAATAGACCAATATAATCATAATCAGCAAAATTTTAAGTTATGAATAATTAGAAGACTGAATAAATTTTGAATTCAGAACTTTCTTCTTTCCCTATCTCTAAGATCCTTATAGTACAAATCCATGGAGTGACCATAACAATTTAAGATTCCTTACTCTTTAATTTCGTCTCATTTAAAATAAAATTCCTGGATAGATCAATATAGTCTACAATACTTTAGTACAAAAAGTCATATAAAAAGTTAACCAAACTATAAATTATTAACTTAAATTTTAATATACATTTATAAGAACGTTAAGAATAATGACATTTAAGTGTAATAATGGTATGATCTCCCCACATGGAGATTTTAAAAAGATACTACCATATTAAATAACTTTACTTACTTTACACAAACTTACAATCTTGAGATTATATTTTCATGAGACGTTGTCAAACTTACCTCTGCAACATTTGTGTGCTCATCTATTGAAACAAATATCTTATAGAGTAGAGTTTCAAAATAATCACCTTGCACTCGATTCATTACAAAACCTTCAAGAGGTGGAACTAAAACAAACAGAAGAGATTTTTCTCAGTGGTACAGATTTTATAAAACAAGAAAGTATAATTTACATATCTAATTAAAAAAAGAAACCTCTAACTTAGGGACTGAATGCAGCTTTTGATTTATTTATCCACTCCATAGCAAGTTTTCTGAAACTCTACAATACGTACACAGAGAAGACTCTGAAGGTAGACACGAAATCCACAGAGTTCATTTAATTCACCATGGAACTCAGAGTTACTGAGACAGGTAACTCAGAAATGCTGGATGACATGGACTTGGTAGAAGGGTGAGGGAACAGGGGCTGCTTCAGAATGGGGGAGCCTGCAAAGGGTTTCTGATACATGTGTTTTTGATGCCTCATAGGCAGCAGGGGTGAGTGGGCCAAAGCTGAAAAGCAAATGACTGCAAGAAAGAGTTGCTACGCTATACGAAAACCAGGTGGATGCAAAGTATTGGCTCTGTCTCCCCATCATCCCTACTCCATCCTAAAAATGGAAATTCATCTGCATGACCATCATGTTTACCAGAAGTCACTGGGCTAACTCGTTCTTTGGGGCTTTCTTTTCTGGTATCCTCCCCAGTGGGCCTCAGTGGCAACAGGGTCAAGATCCCCTTTAGCACAGTGGGCAGCCCAACCATCACTCTCCACCTGAATGTTCATTCATACTCACTTCTATCTCTTTGGTCCAAATGTTCTAATCTGATTTACCAAAGTGCTCTGCCCAGCCAATAAAAAACAAGCTCTATGCTTTCCTTTGCCATTCTCCCCTGTGGGTACATTCACCCTGAAAATATCCTGAGAAGGAGGAATGCCTAGGCCATAGTAGCATTTGGGTATCTTTATGTCCCCTGGCCCTAATATCATCTAATTGTACCCAAAAATTTAAATTATTCCTAATAGTGAAAAATAAGACAAAATTCAAATGGTCAAAACTGAGACACTGAAAAACTACAATGTACATACATCTGAGGATAGGTTATTCACTTTACAGATCTGGCTCATGTCATTTTCTAATTTAGTACTACCTATATTTCTAGTCATCTAGGTACTTTTAATGATCAATGGTTTCTTTTTAGAAATATTTTAGAAATCCCGTCTTTGACAACATTAATTATTTCCCTACACTATCAGCTATGTAAATAATAATAGCATTTATTGAATGCTTACTAAGTGCTAGGCTATTACCAAGTACTTTATATATACATTTTCATTTAATCCTCCTAACTCCGTGGGTTGTACAGTAGTATAATTACCCCTATTTTTAAATGTATCTATTTATTTATTTATTTATTGAGACAGGGTCTCACTCTGTCACCTAGGCTGGAATGCAGGGTGGGGATTGTGGCTTACTGCAGCTTCGACCTCCCAGGCTCAAGCAATCCTCTTGCCCCAGTCCCCCAAGTAGCTGGGACTACAGCCACATGCCAACACGCATGACTAATTCTTTTCATTTTTATTTTTGTAGAGAAGGGGTCCCTTTATATTGCCCAGGCTGGTCTCGAACTCCAGGGCTCAAGCAATTCTCATACCTTGGCTTCCCAAAGTACTGGGATTACAGGTGTGAGCCACTGTGCTTGGCCAGTTACCCCCTATTTTGAGAGATAAAGAAACCAAGGCACTATGAGATTAGAAATTTTCCTAGGCCAAAATTTGTATCTAAGCAAAAAGAGTAAGGTGACTCTACATGAAGAAATTTGAAACAGTGCTAGCATTTGTCCAAATGCTATTGGTTATCCAAAGAGAAGAAAAATAAGTTGAACCCTTATTCCACATCAAATATGAAAATAAGTTCCAAACAAACTGCAAATTTAAATATATACGACAAAAGTTCTCAAGAATTTTCAGACTATTTCTATATCCTACAGGTATTCCATTCAAGCATAACAGAAATCAGGAAGCTATAAAAGACACACAAAATACAGTTAGAAAATTTGATGAATAATGGAATAAATTTATTTAATAATAGAGCCTTTCATGATTACTCCCTTAAAAGTATTTCTGATCTCCATTTATATTTATATCACCAACCATAGTGCTTGTTTGTTTTGTTGTTGAAACGTATCTGAAATGCCTCTTTTGAAATCACATTCAGGTATTATTTGTACTGAATTTGATGCCTTCCATGTTGTCAAAACTGTTTTTATGTGTTTATTCTAATTTGGGGAACAGCCAAAGAGGTAACATGGTGACAAGGGTAAGTTTAGCAATTATCATCCCATGGGTCTGTCTGTACCACCAAATACCAGCAGCTACTAAGTGAAGTATGGTAGAACACATCAATGTAATGGGGCAGCCATCCATCTGGCCCTTCTCTGACTGCTTTTTTCAAATGAATTTAGTTTAGCCATAAGTAATATTAAAAGTTACTCTAATGTGAGTCAATGTTCAAACTGACAGTCAAACTGGACTGAAATGAACTAGTCAAAGACTAATCTTTTTATTAATAGGTGGATCTCAAATGAATCAACGTCAGCTTATCTGATGACAGTAGGCACTAGAGTAATACTTTCATATTTTCCAACTGTGACAGGAAATCACGGCCACCTCTGTCTTCAGAAATCATTTCCTTGTCAAATCTTTCTCATTTTAAAACTAGTATTTTGTTACGGCATCAACTATACAAACGCAAATTAGTATTTCCTGTACTTTTTAAGGTATCTTTCCAAGCTTAAAATAGGATGCAGGCCGGGCATGGTGGCTCACGCCTGTAATCCCAGCACTTTGGGAGGCCGAGGCGGGCAGATTGCTTGAGGTCAGGAGTTCAAGACTGGCCTGGCCAAAATGGTGAAACCCTGTCTCTATGGGTTTTACCTGTAGAGTAAATTAGCCAGACGTGATGGTGGGTGCCTATAATCCCAGCTATTCGGGAGACTGAGGCAGGAGAATCGCTTGAACCCAGGAGGCAGAGGTTGCAGTGAGCCAAAATCATGCCACTGCACTCCAGCCTGGGCGATAGAGCTAGAATCCGTCTCAAAAAAAAAAAAAAAAAAAAATTCACATATGCACAAGGTTTAAAATGTGTTATTAAAGAATCACAAACATATGCCAACCCAAAGGTCTGGACACGCTACAGCATGATATCTTGTCAAGATTCAACACTGATATAAAGAAGTATTTCTGTAATAAGCCCTATCACCACTAATTTGTTAATATTAGGGTCATTCTCTGAAATTTTTTGACACTTTATATTTGATTACACAAATATTCAATATCTAAGTATAATAAAACACAAGAACAATAGTTAAAAGATATGCCACAAGACATACTTGTAACATATAACCTGAACATAGTAAGTGCTTCTATAAATTGGTAAGAAATCTAACCTATAGAAAAAAAAGCATCACTCTGTATTCAAGGATATTGAACATATCAGTATTGTAGTGGCAAAAAAACTGGAAATAATCTAAATTACCAGAAATACAAAATGGTTTAATAAATTGATACATCCATAAAGTGTATGACAAATATACAAGGCTCCTAATATTGGTTTAACTTGGAGAAGTAGGTAAAGGAAGAAGGGAAAAGGAAATAGACAAAAAGACTACAGTAACATGAAAAAATAATGCACCAGTATGTTAAGTGAAAATGAGAACATACAATTCTATGAGATTACTGAACACATGTAAAAACAGCTACACACTGAACAAGGATTAAAAGGTAACAAAAATTTATAAAAATATTGATTTGATTTGGGATTGTTAGAAATTTACCTTGGGTTTCTATTATTTTAGTGTAGTATGTACACCAAATACAAAAATGAGAATAAAGAATTTAAGTAAAACCAATGTACTATGTTAAAATGTAATAACGAAGCAATATTTTTCTTGAAATATCCTAACATCTAAGATCCTAGAACGGATGATATGCAATGCTTAGCACCTGATATCCATTCAAAAAACAGTGAAAAATGTTAGCACGGACTTACCTGCTATACAACTGTCATCAGATATTGGTACATCCAGATAAATAAATCCTTTGTTATACAAACCTGAAGAAACAAAAGTACCTTGTTTTAGATGGAACACTACACAACAGTGATTTTTTTAAAAAAACTAATTCCTGGCTTTCTGTAAAGATTCTTACAAATGAATGCTATGTGACGAAAGAAAAAGTAAAATAGAAGAGAAAAAGAATTAAAGTTTTTAAATCTCGGTTTCCTGCATATACTCTGAAGTACAAAATTTTTCTTATCATTCAGTTGCATAAATTTCTAGTGTATGTGACTAATTATAGCCACACTGGAAAACAAAAGACTAAGGTCACATTTCAAACAATAACATGCCTTAGAAACTAGTACTATTTGTACCTACTTGATAAGTAATTGCTAGTAATTATTGATGGTTTAAAACAAGTTTTTATGTTGACAAAAGACCATTTCTACTAACCACTTACTATGTACTACATTGTAATCTAGTGATCCAGAGAGTTGAGGGCCTGAATCGATGATCTTATCAACAGCGCATTTCTCAGGCAAAGTGCATATCTAAGAAAAGCAAAATATTTTTAATTAAGTTCTGTCCAAATTAACTAATTCACAAGTCTCCTGAAATTTATTTATGTTGAAACCAGTGATTACATGTCATTAGCTCAATGAACTACATATTTATCACTCTATAATTCAAACAAAAAACTGTGCACATAGCCATCAATTAAGGTGCCAAAATATGCAACATACCAACAGAATGTAGAGAACAAACTTACTGTAAGTACCAACATTTGCTAGTTAGTAATATTTGTTCCTTGTGATTGAATTGGAATTAGATCCATCTGCCAATTCAGAATCTCTCTAGCCAGAAATTTAGTCAAACTCTACATGAATATTGTCAGTAACAGGAAAGTTCACTAGCTTATTATGATACAGTTTGAGAGTTCCATTAAGAGGTACTTTAGACTGAAGTAAAATTTCTAAGCCTTCCACTCAATGGATTTAGTACGTACCCTGGAGAAAATTAAATGCAGACCAAAAAGAAGCCCACATACTCATTTCCATTGCTTCAGCTACGCATAAATACAACCTGGTCTCTAGGTGCCCTCATTACTCCACCCCTTTCCTCTAAACCAATATCCCTTCTAAGATGTGGTCTGACCACTGGGAATATCAACTCTCTTGATCTTGACACTATCGCCCCATAAAAGCACCTATCACTTCAGTACAACAGTTCTTTGCAGTGATTAAGAGTACAAGTTTCATGGTGAACTGCCAAAAAATCCTGGACCTTTACTACCACTAAGACATGAGCTGTTACTTAATTGTTCTGTGCTCACTTTCCTCATCTGTGAAATGGGGGTACAAATAATACATACCTCTGGGGCTGTTATGAGAATTAAGTAAGACAATATAAAAAGCACTTGTAATAGAGCTTGGCACATCTAGCACACAGCAGGTATTCAAAAGTGTTAGCCAGTATTATTGTTGTAGGTAGCTGTGGCATCATGTTACTTTACACGAAGCTTCTATCTAATTAACATCCCCAGATAACTGTACTTGAACCAAGTCAAGTCTCCCTCACCATTAAAGAGTATCTCAAAAACTCACCAATATTCTAGTCTACTAAGATCATTTTAAATTTTAAATTTAAGTTTCCTTTTCTTCAGGAAAACAATGTTACTTTTTAAAAAATTATAAGCTATAATTAAAAATTGTAAAATAAACTAAAAAATAAAAATTCTATGTTTAACTTTTAAAGATTTCTACCTTGATGTCATCTTCTGTGATATAGCCAGCCTGCACCACCCACCACGCCTCTATGGCAATTTCCACTGGCTTTATTGGTAGAAGATCACGGGCTGTTTTCCTTCTGAAGAATTTCTGCAATGGTACAAACATTTGAGAATTTGCAATCTAAAACTACCACTTTCTTCTTTCATCAATCATATCATAAGATTGTTTCTAATGGACTAAATAAATATCTTCTTAAAATCTTCATGTTTTAAAATCTTAACAATTCTAGATATTAACATATTGTATGAAGAAAGTCATTCTTAAATTGTTTCAAAATAAATTGTTTCAAAACACTAATTGTTAAATCCAGATTTACTTCCACAAACTCAAGTGAAACCCAAGCAGTGAAAAATGCATTTGAAAATGCAAACACTTTTTTCACCCACTAAGTGAACTGTACAAGTAGAATGAGCAAATAAAAAGACTAAGAGAACAAAAATAATTTTTAAAAATAAATGTTTTATGCATTAAAAATTTTAAATAATCATTTATGCTATAACCTAGAGAATACTGAGGAGTTTTTTTTGTATTGTTTCTGTGTTAAGTACATTTTATTTGGTCAAAGACATACAATTCATTATTTCTACCACTTAAAAAAACTAATCAAACTGTGTGATGAGGCCAAAACAATGAAAAAGAAAGTACTAACTTACTTTTGATGATCTACACTGATTCATAAGATCAATATACTGGTTTCTTCCTATGCCAAGAAGCCTTAGACCTGAAAAAAAGAGTCTTTCCTTTAAAAACATTTAACATATCTTGAAATCTCAATATGTTCACAAGCGATTGTAGGAAAAACCCGAGCTTATTTTCATCTTTCAATTACTAGTCAAATATCAATATCAAATTAAAAGGACGTCTTCAACCAAAACATAAATGAAAGCTAAACTTTGGGAGAGATGAATTCAAGATGACACTTCTAACAAAAACATTTTAAAAAAGCAGAAGTCCTGCCAATTTTAGGAAGTCAAAATGTAATTCTCAGCGAAAGCTTCTTAAACAACAGAATTATGACACATTCAAAATATACACTTTGCCAAAGTAAGCATACTAAAACAGCAGCAAGTTAAGTTACTAAAAACTGTATGTCACCCTGCAAAAATACTGTGCACAAGTTTTCCTCCCACATTCAATATACACACAGCCCAAGTATCAGAAAGAACTTCATTCTCTGGAAATATATAGATTAGTCTTATTTTTCTGATTCTACCACTCTCAAATATGCCTCTCTTAGACATTTAGAGTAAATCTTACACATGCATCTGGTATCATCTGATAAAATTCTCACTGATAATGTTGCTTACTGTTCTCATTTTTCACATATTTCAGGTTAAAAACACACATGACAATATTCACAGATGACAGGATGCACAAAGACACAACCTAAACATTACCTTCTTCAGCACAATTAAATACTTACAGTCAGCAGCAGTAAAATTGGGCAATGAATCATAACTTTTCTCACTGTTCATAATATCCTTTTAAAAAGAAAAAAATTTAAATTTGAAATCTAAAATGTCCTTAAATAAAAATGTGTATAAATACAATATTATTACAGCCAATAACAATGATTATTACAGGAAGCAGTAAGATCATAGTTTGGCTACCTAGAGCATACATGCCACCCTGTGGCACTTTCCACACATGTTCCCAACCTAGTAATTAAAGGGCAGATTTTCAGGTCTAGGTTTCTTAAGAGGCTCTCTACGAATCCCAGGCAGCTGCCCCATAACCTCTGCCCTGTGGAAGCTATGTAAGTAATGGCTCCATTAGAGCTCAGGGTTCCAGCCTCTCCACATTTCATACCTGATCCTAGATCTCCACCATGAGAGAAAGCCAAATAATGTGGCACAGCTCCATCAACATGCACTACCAATGAAGACTACAACCACTTAGTGGCCTTTGATCCCACAAGTCCCAATCTGTAGAAGAGCTAAACTTGGTATCCAGCTTTTTCTGCCCCAATCTGTTTCTCCAATAACAAACCCACTGCTTCCTGTGGGGATAAGGCCCGTTTTCTACCGAGGAACTATACCCAATGATAGAATAACAGAAACCAGAATGCAGCAACCATGTGGATGTAACTGAAATGAAAGCTGATAAGTGAAACAAAAACTCCACCTATTTTAGCTCCCAAATTTGTGGACTACACTAGAAAAATAAAGAGACAGCAGTAACTATTCTACTTCCTGATTAGCTGCCACCTTCATTATGCTACCCTGGTTCTTCACTATGCTACCTGGGCTATCGGGCCTCTCGCTTTCCTCCAGTATTTCCTCCAAAAGAGGAACACGGGATGCATGGGACTGCAGAAGCACCCATGAAGGAGGGGCTTCTGGAGATAACGAAGGGAGCAAACAGCAAAGCACACATCGTATGTAGGGCTAACCTCATGTTACCACACGTTCCCAACTCCTTTAGTTCTAGGCTCCTCTCTGCTCTTCAAGCGGCTAGTGAGCCCCAAACAGAAGCACTCAAACATAATTAAGGAGCAAATGAATACTAAATAAATACTGCCAATCTTTAATAAAGCTCACTTGAAAACAGTATATAACTAGTATTAAAGTTATCCAATACAAGCCTAAAAGCTGTCTTTGGAAAAAGGCTAACAACTAAAAGTTAATAATTATAGAAAGAGATTAACAGCCAAGACTACTAACATATTTCTCTTTTCTGGCACCTGTATTATATAATGTTGGGTCTATGTCATCATTCATTCTTTAGACAGTTAGTGAATAGTTAAATACATTAATTTTCTTTTCTTTTCTTTTTTTTCTTTTGAGACAGTCTCACTGTGTCACCCAGGCTGGAGTGCAGTGGCGCTATCTCGGCTCACTGCAACCTCCACCTCCCAGGTTCAAGCGATTCTCCCCCCTCAGCCTCCTGAGTAGCTAGGATTACAGGTGCACACCACCACGGCTGGCTAATTTTTGTACTTTTAGTAGAGACGGGGTTTCACCATGTTGGCCAGGATGGTCTTGATCTCCTGACCTCATGATCCACCCACCTTGGCCTCCCAAAGTGCTGGGATTACAGGCGTGAACCACTGCTCCCAGCCTAAATACATTAATTTTCTCAGAACATAATGTTCAATTCTGTCACCCACATTTTCAACCTTAATCACGTTTTAAAAAGCAATAAATTTTACACAGACTCTGCCAACATAAATGACTGATCAGTACTACAACAGCACAAAGGGTCAATAGCACCTTCAAGACCAGAAGAGAAATAGACAGCTTCCCAATGTAAAAACATCAATAAGGATAAGTACTTGTACAGTGTGGCTCAAACAGTTAACAAGCCACCAATAGTCCTTTTTACACTATAAGTTCTGAAAGAGTGTCCACCGCAGACGACAGCTGAAGAGCTGGTGAACATCTGCAAAAAGTCCCAGACATGTAGTCCCATCCCATTCCCACTGGCTCACCCACACTGTAAACTCACCTCCATAATCCCAGTATAATATGAAAATGGTGTTATCCTCAAGCCTTTCACCATAATATCCGATAGATGGTAAGGGTACAGCATGAGATGATCTCGGCTGTACTTTAGCAGTTCCTCATAGTATCTGCGTTCATCTTTCTTGACATGTTTAACTGCACAAAAGAGGGAAATTCTCCAGTTTTTTTCAGGTTTCTTATAGTTATATATTAACTATGAACACTTTACAAACCAACAGTAATTTAAAAGAAAAGTATGTAAATTACAAGAGAACAAATAAAATATTCTAAGTTGGAACAAAGAAATATATCACATGAAATAGATTTTAGAGTATAGAAGTAAAATGAATAATAGGACAGATTAGTAGAGAATAATTCTTGCCAAATGAGAAAACAAGCATGGAACTACCAGCATGCCCCCCAAAAAGGTACAAAACAGAGCTTTATTGAATTGTATTCTACTACCTTACAAGAGAGCCAAACTGAATGCTCGTTTTCAATGAAGTCAAGTCTATTTTTAAAAATTATTTGCTGCTTTTTTAGTTTTTAAATGTAAAAAGCCCTCTGACTTTCATGGAAAATGTTCATGAAGAAAAACAATGTCAGAAATATTATGCTTAAAATAAGAGTAACAAACAGGAGTGAAAGACTACCAGGGCAACAGAATAGACTAACCAAAATAATCTGATAAATAAACAAATTTTTTTTTAGAAAGAAGAAAAAAAAATCATGGAATGAACTATGTTTAAAATGTGTCCCAATTATTATAAAGTTTTTCATATTATTTGGAAAATTTATGGAGACAACCCAAAGTCAAAAATTACTAAGAACTAATATACTTTTTCTTTTATGGCATATTTTCTTACCTCAGGCAAAAAGAGGACATTTGAATTAAGATTATTTTATAGATAAAATGAGTCCATAAACAGTACTCTAAAAATAATTTTTATCAGAATTAGAATGAAAAATCTACTTGCTAATACAAATTGTTGTTAGGTGGAATGGATCAGTGTAGAGTTTCTTAAAGTCTGTACATGGAATAATCTCAGTACTATGAAATATGTATTGAAAAGAAAGATTTACGAATGTGAAAGAGTAGTGGTCAGTTCCACCCCAATATAAACATGGCTCTACTTACCTAAGTTATTTCTATATCGTAACTGATTGCGGATACTGTACAGGACAACCTGCTTTTCATATTCTCTCTGTGAATTTCCAAGACTCTAGGAGAAATTTCAAAAAGATTTTAAACAACTTCCAAACTGAACAATAGTACTATTTTTTCCCATAACACACTTTAAAACCACGACCCCCATTTTTATCCTGGCATCTCTAATTTGCAGAATTAAATAAAAAATATTTTCTTAAATGTTATTATACTAACTTTCCTGCTACAGTATTCAGAGCAAAAATTCTATGTATTTTCAGTCTGCCTTTCTAAAAGAGTTTACTAAAATTATCCGAAGTATTTAATATCAAATAAAAACCGGTAGGTGAGTGTAACTTCACTTTGGTTAACAAAGAACTAAGTTCTGCTTATAAAGATTTCCTTCCTGACTGCTATATTAAGTGGTTGGATAGATGGTTTCCTGCCCCTACATTTATTTAAATTTAAGAATGGCAACTAAGGACAGATACATCCCTCTTTGATAATTGTAGCTGAGGGTTATAATTATTAAAGATTAGGATTTCTGGAAAATTTACATTTAAATGTACGTAAGATTGTTTCTTAAAAATGCAATCTCCTGTGGCCTCATTAGAAGGCATTTAGACAATTTTAGAATTCGGAGCCATTTTTAATAAGCTAAAGTCTTTCTAGTATGCACTTAGTGTTTTGTTGCAGTGTTCCTGAAAGCAAACAACGTTTGCCTGATTATAGTTAACATTATATTCACTGGGAGACCATAAACTTAATTTAATATATGACTGCTATCCTCCTCCTAATTTCTAGGTATGGTCTTTCCAACACACTATAAAGTGAAATTAGACATCTTAGGAAAGTAATGACAGAAAGATCAGAGGATTTAGTTCATCGTATTTCTTACTCATAGGTAAGCCAAAACCAAAGACAGGTCCCTACATCTTTCACTTAAGGCAATCTTCACAATAAGACAGATGAAACTCACATCTAAGTAAACTGACCCATAACTGGACCCATTGGTAGGTAATATTTTAAGAAAAATAGAACATGATGTGTCCCATTTTAACTGTACAATTATGTGCGGTTGGCCCTTGGACAACACGGGTTTGAACTGCATAGGTCCACTTACACTGGGATTTTCTTCCTCCTCTGCCACCCTGAACAGCAAGACCAACACTTCCTGTATTTCCTCCTCCTCCTCCTCCTCAGCCTACTTGATGTGAAGAGAAGGATGAAGACCTCTGTGATGAGCCATCTCCACTTAATGACTAGAAAATATTATGATTTTCATAATAGCATTTTCTTTTCTCTAGCTTATTGTAGTACAGCATATATTAACAATATATATAACATACAAAATATGTGTTCATCAACTGTGTTATGGCCGAGGCTTCCAGTCAACAGTTATAGGCTATTAGTAGTTAACTTCCGGGGAAGTCAACAGTTATAGGCTATTAGTAGTTAACTTCTGGGGAAGTCAAAAGTTATACATGGATTTTCAACTGCACAGGGGTGCAGCACCCCTAAACCCATGTTGTTCAAGGGTGAGCTTTCTTCCTGCATTTAGCTTAGTTTATCACAGGCTAAGCCAGAACCCACGGTAGAACCAGAATGTATGTGCTTATCTTACTTTCATCTGTCTTAACATTATAAGGGGTTAAGAGTAGATCTCATTGTAGAGAAACTACTCTACCATCCTCTTCGTAGCATCAATGCCAGGGTCGTTGTACTGACAATATTTAGAGGATTCAAAATAGCACACTTTTAAAGGTTTTCTCTGTCTCTACTGCTAAATAAAAGTCTCTTTCTCAGGGAACACAAATACACACACATGCATACTCAAACAAGCACACAATTTTGCTAAAATCTAGCTTGAGGTTTTGCTCTTCTGTTTCAAAATAAGTCTCTTAATACACTACCTATGAAATTTGTAAGCTTTGGCTCTCAGCATTAAGTAATAACTGGTCCTGAACCTATCAATCAATACACGAGTGAACACAAATTTCTAAAACCCACATTAAAAGTTGGCTTTATTCTTCACTGGCCAAGTATGTAATATAAATTGCTTCATTCTGAGATTCTTGGGCTCCCTGGGCTCCCCTCCTACTCCTACCCCACATCTCCCACCATTCAAATTTTAAAACACTGTTGCCACTAGAGAAGGTGACTTTTTAAAAAGAAGAAAAAAAAAGTAATTTTACCCCGAGTCAACTCTAGCCCTGCAGAAATACTGACCAGGTCTGACAAATGAAGTTGGGCTGCATATAAAAGGAACTACATCAGATCAAATGGCGATGTAAGAATAAGACACTAGCTATAAAGCACCCATCACAGATTATGCTAAAAACACAAAGATTTTCTGAAATCTTTGCTCCTACAGACTCCAATCCCAGCATATACATCCCCAAGTACACCCCTGTGCCGCATCAAAAAATTTTTTAAATTGACCCTTCTTGGATGATACAGAAACTTATCATAAGATTTCCCTCAAAATAAAAGGGCTATTAATTATTTTGGATAAAGAATACAAGATAGTGGTAAACTACAGAAAAATCCTGAAATAATGGCCCCATCCACAATTTTTTATATATTTTTTAAAAGTCTATCATGACCCATACCACATTTTTTTAAATGTCCTCTCATCCACATAAAAATGAATTAGCTTAAAATACATTTTTTAAAAATCTAAATCACCTGCCCCTAGCTTACAGAACTGGAAAATGAGTCATTTTCAAGGTAAACCCATCAAAACTTACTGGAAACGACATCGAAGTGTCTAAAAATCTATAATGCCAAAAGACAAATTCTTTCCATAGAAGGAATATTCCCCAAGTTTAAACTGACTGAGCTTTAGGTGCTCAGCCACAAATACTAAAAGCCAAGTATGTGAGAGGTGCTCATGGGACAAAAGCAAAGCCAGTATTGTAACCACAAAATGCACCATAGCGGGGTAAGCTCTATGACAGGTGAGGAATACAATGCAATGGTAAGATAGCCTAGGGGCAACCACCACAGATTTAGGTGGTCAGGGAAACCTCCCAGGAGCAGTATCAGAGTGAGAATCAAAATATGCTATTAATACAAGCAATATAAAGGAGACCAGCAGTAATAAGGTTGGGTTTGCATTTCAGAAGCCTCACCCCCAGAGTAGCATGAAGAATGCAGAGAAAGTCCTATTCTAAGAGCAAGAGACCAGAGAGAAGGCTGATGTAGTAATCTCAGATGGAGCTCGGCCTAGGGAAGCAGTGATTAGGCTAGAGAAGGTCCTTGGAAGTAAACTTGTACAGATGTTTTGCAACATCTACAAATGGCCAACCTTATCCTAAGCTAAAATAGCCACTGTTTTTCAAGTGATTTTAAAAACAAAAACATACTTAATTTCACATTTAGACCTAATTTTAACTGTCCCATGATTATTTTTAAATAGTCATGACTACGTTTTAGAAACTCTTTTGCCAATACTAATTAAAGTCAAATATTCATGTTGGATATAATCTCATCACTCATCTTTCTTCCAGTATGCTACATTTATTCTGATGAAAAGAGTAGAGAAAAAATGGAAACAAAGAAAAGAAGAACTGTTTGTTCTTCTTGTGTCTTTGGATTTGCCACAAAACCCTAAAGTACAAAAGTGTCCTTTAAAGCCTTTATTCAAGATTAACAAAAGAAATTTATTCCTTCAGGTTTAGAGCTTTGTTCTCCCAGTTTAAGATAAATGCCACACGGGCAGCCACTGACACCCAAGAATTCAAGTTCTTTAAATTTATCTTTCTCGGTTTTTGCTATATTAAAGTGAAAGCATTTTCTTGGCCACATGATGCATGACCAGAACCTTAATATTCACTTCCTGGCACTAAATCCCCAAGGGAGGAAGGGAGCAAAGTAAACTAAACTATAACAATCCTCATACTGGCTGGGCACTGTGGCTCACGCCTGTAATCCCAGCACTTTGGAAGGCCGAGACGGGCGGATCATGAGGTCAAGATATCGAGACCAGCCTGGCCAACATGATGAAACCCCGTCTCTACTAAAAATACAAAAATTAGCTGGGCGTGGTGGCGCGCACCTGTAGTACCAGCTACTCGGGAGGCTGAGGCAGGAGAATCGCTTGAACCCAAGAAGCAGAGTTTGCAGTGAGCGGAGATCACACCACTGCACTCCAGCCTGGGCAACAGGAGACTCTGTCTCAAAGAAATGAAAATAAAAATAAAAATAAATAAATAATCCTTATATACCATCACCGCCACCATTCCAAACTTCCCAAAAATGCCACTGCCGAGTGCCAACAGAAAACTGAATTTCACTCTCGACCAAGTATAATGGGAGGAAGCGAAGGTCAATCTATGACCAGAGCAGCAGTGCGTTATCTGTAGCCCATATCACTACTTTCGTAAGACTTAAAACCATCTGCTATGTTACGTATTTATTCATTTATTTGTTTACGTCTTTCTTTAGTAAAATGTAAGCTCCATGAAGGCAGTCTTTGTCTTGTTGACTGTTGCAAATTACCTGCACCTAGAGCAACGCACAGCACCTAGTAGGTGGTCAATAAATATCTATTAAACAATTGAGTAAAACAGACTAAAAAAATCGAGAATTAACTTTCAAAAACCTCATGTCACTCTTGTTGAAACATCTCTGATAAACCCATCTTGTCTGGAGGATAAAGTCCAACAAAACAAAGCACACAAGCACCTTCAAAATCTGGCCCTGACCACTTTTCCAGGCTCATCTGCTACCAGCCCCGCGCACTCAAAAAACTTCAACTCCAAACATGTCAGTCCAAACTCTGGTGATACAGTCACTTGCTACTCATGAGACATGTTCTTTCACTCATCCAAGCTTTGTAAAATGACTTTCCCTCCCCCTGGAAAAATCTTTATTCCCTCTTATTTAACTCTTATTCGTCCTCCAAGGCCCAATTTAAGTGCCTGCCTTAAAAATCCTTCCAACTCTCCCAGGATAATTTCTCCCTCCCTCTGCTCTCACATATACTACAATGCAGGTGTGTATGAGCTGCTATCATCCTGTATCGTATTCATTTGTTTCCCATCCCTTTCCCACCATCCTGAAATTCCGGAGGTCAAGGACCGTGTTTAAAATCTCTATCGCAGGTGCCTGGCTGAATGTATCCTGCGGGCAAAGGCGCCAGTCGAGTCCTGTGGACACCATGCCATCCCATTTAGCGATCGCCCCGTCCTGGCCCTGTGGCCCCACAGCCGTCCCCTCCTCGCCCTGGGCTGAAGGTCCGTCTCCCCAAGACCACGGAGGAGTAAAGGAAGGGAGTCAGCCGGCAGCAGCCCGCTCGGGCCCCGCGAGCGAGGCAAGCAGGTGACCGCTGGGCGGGCCGAATCCGTCAGGGGCCCGGTCCCAGGTTCCGGCCGTACCTGTCTCACGTTGGCCGGCAACTTGTTCCAGGGGTAGTTGTGCCGGATGTGGAACTCCACGTCTATGTTCATGATGCCGCGGCCAGGGCCGGCGGCCGGGGCCGCCACCGCGACCCACACTACGCCTCCCGCCTGCCCGCCCGCAGCCTGTCAGCGGAGCGACGCGGGAGGCCCCGCGCCTCACACTGCAGAAGGCCCAGGCTGCCCCATGGCCTAGGCTCCCGACAGTTCAGCGCCGCCCGGGCCAACCGAGTACAAGAGCAGCAGCGATTGGAGGCTGGATCGCCTGAACAGCTCCAAGTTTCTTCCTAGTTTCGGGCCGCCGGAAATGGCTCTGGGCACACGTCACTTCCGCCCGCTGGCGCGCGGCCGGAGGGGCGGGGCACGGACTGGCCTCTAGCCACGCCCTCTACAGGCTGCGGGGCGGGGCGACGACGAGGTACCGGGAGGTGCCCGGGTGAGCGTTCCCCGCCCGCGCGCTTCGTCTCCCCGTTTCAGTCTCTGAATGAACGGCGATAGTCGCTTGGGTCTGCGTTGCCGTTGCTGATGACCCAGTTTACTCAAATTGTAAAGCCGGAGGCACTGGGGTCGGTTTTCAGAGAAAAGCGACCTGGGAAGCGGGCCGGCAGTGGCTGGCTTTACATTGGAGTGCGGTGCGCTCGCGGGGGTTCTCCACAGGCCAGCCCGGAACCCGGGCCAGTGAGACGGGGCGGGGGGTTGCGGGGACGGGTCCAGGGCCCTGGAGAAAGAAATAATCTCTAAGTCAGGTCTCGCACCGGGTTGAGCGAGAAGCATGGGCAGTGGGAGAGCAAAGGTCTGGTAAGCCCTCTTCCCTTCCGCGGTGTGCTGCACGTCATTGGGCTCCACTTCCCAAGAAGATCCAAATTCTTACAATGCAGGGATTCAGGGAGCTGAAATTTTAAACAGTGGTGCTGACAGGTCGAGGCAGCCTACAGGGCTGACAGAGAGATACCCTTGCCAACTTTGTCATGCAGCCTGTCGGTTTCTGCTTTATTCTGCTCCACACAAATGCCTCCAGAGTCACTTAAAAGCAAAAATCCAGCATGTCTTAATTTCAGATTGAGTGATAAGGTCTTTGGGAATAATTTCTTTCAGAAGTTGTTACGCTGCCTTAGCAAACCCGTGACCATTATTCCTGGCAGCAACCAGAGACAAGTTCAGTGTTATTGCAACTGTTTTTCAGTTTTTAACAATGGTTTTAAATAATGTTTTATTATATACTGGGAGATGTATACTTAGAACTTTTTATAAGATACCTAGCTCACACCTCAACAGCTGGCAAGTCTGATGCTTAGCAGAAACCCCATTATGTCTGATGAAATAAAGGTGACAAGTACACACTGCCCTTGCTTAGATGTTTTGGTCTCCTATTATCCAACTATAATAACCCAAAGATAAGTGCTTTGAACCTTATGTTTACAGATCCTCATCAGCATAGCTAAGGTTAACTGAACTCTAACCGTGAGACATTTATTCAACAAATATTGATTACCTGCCCGCCATGTATTAAGGCCTTGACTTGACAATAGATTATTCCTCACAACCCTGATATTCCTACAACAGTAACCACTTACTATCCCAGTTTGATAGAGGAGGAGACTGAGGCTTGGCAGGGCTTCATGACTTGCTCGCAAGATCACACAGGTAGCACTGACAGAGCCAAACTGGAGCCGAAGGCTATCCTCACTCCAGAGCCATCCTTTCAGTTCCCCAACTCAGGCTCTCACTCACTGAACTCTTCTACCTCCTGTTCCAATTTAGACAATGTTCATTCAAAGTCAACGACATAAACATCCTCTAAAATAATGCTTTACAGTTCTAAGTGTGGAAGAACCCATATTCTTCCAAAGTCTAACTTAGATCTAATGCAATATAAGTAACAATGAAAATTAAAGTCAATTTAGCTTAAAAAAATCCCTGTAAACTATTATTTTAGCTAATGATAGCAGTTCAGCAGGTGAATGCCTGATAAACTCACTATATTGAGTTTAGTGGACACATCAAAAACTATAAAAGTGAACGTGGGATAAGTAGAGGTGAACCTACACCCATTAAATTAATAAGGCAAACAGACCTTTGAAAATGCGACCCTGTGACTAGAAAAGATTCTCACTCGGCAAGTAGCTGAGAAAAGCAGACACATGAAGGAGGAAATGGGAATGAGATAGAGCTATGTGGATGGGAAGAATTCAAATAACAAGCCCTTACGAGCAGGAACCAGTGATGGACTCTGGCTTAATACACAATCTTATTAAAGTACTGATCTGCCTCATTTCCCACCAAGGACCAGTCTTTGAGAGGATAGGAGTTCAAAGACGGTAAATTAACCCACAGGGCTCTATGACCCCCTCTGCTGGGAAGTTCAGGAACAGTACTGCTTCCCCAAGCATCAGAAAGCTGGAAACAGTCGCTCACTAGACTGACTCCACATGTGACACTCATTACAGCACCTCACCTTTTCGTTTAGCAATAATGTCCTTCCTTTACGTCCCTGACTGAGGCTCCTGCTAATTTTTACTTTACTAGACCTTTGGCTTTTCAAATTCCACAGAGGTCAGAAACTGCAGAGTGTTTAAGTCCCATCCCAGAAGCTGCCATTCGAATTAACACTGTGGGTTAAAAAAAAAAAAAAAAAAAGTGTTCAAAAGCACAAACAAGTGCAATGAAATTCAGTCTTATCTGGCTTTACAAGATCAGATTGAGGAAAACTGCCCAACTAGCTTAGGCAATTGGCCCTTTAGAAAGACTACAGAACTATTTCATTCCCAAAATTCCAACAGAAATAATGAGCAGAAACTACCTGAAAATAGGGAGCCATCTAATGACCCCACTCATAGACTCCAGAATGTCATGCCCTGTGGTAGGAATAATAATAGTCCCCAAAGATGTTCACATCCTAATGCCTAGAACTTGTGAATTTGCCCCTTATATGGTAAAAGGGACTTTGCAGATGCAGTTAAGCATCGTGACATGAGGAGATAATCTTGAATTATCCAAGTGGGTTCAAGATAATCACGAGGTCCTTATTAGAGGGAGGCAGGGGGTCAGAGTTAGAGAAGGTGATGTGACAACAGAAGCAGAGATCAGAGTGATACAGGGCCACAGGCCAAGGAATGTGAACAGCTTCTAGGAACTGGAAGAAATGGATTCTCCAAAAGGAGCACAGCCCTGCTGAGCCATTTTGAGCTTCTGATCTCCTGAAATGTAAGATAATAAATGTGTGTGATTTCAAGGCACCAAATTTATAGTAATTTGTTACATCAGCAATAGGAAATTAATATACTCCCCAACAATAAAATATTCCAACACCCAAATAGCTGATGCATCAAATGTTATAATTAAAGTCATTGTGATTAAATGCCCTTAGGAGGAATAATTCCCTTTAAGCCTTATTATTTTTTAAGTATACATGAGCTGTCACATCCTTTTCTGAGAGCAAGTTTGAAAGAGATAGAGCTTAGGGATGAAATGAGGCTAGAGAAGCACCTGTAGGGGAGGAAATGGTGTCCAGAAAAAAGAGAGGAAAGGGAGTCACTGTAACATTTTTCTGTTTCACAATTTTGCCTGAGTCCGACCTTAGTCGTGGGTTTCCATACCGTATATGATTTGCTCTGTTCCATGAACCATTTTATCTCCATGCCAGACACCTTAGCCTTGCTTGTTCCCACCTCCCAGTTTTTACCCTTCTAATCCCCTCCACCTTGAATGCCTTTCCCCAGACCTTTGCACAGCAGGTTCCTTTGAGTCCACCTGCTGTCACTTAGAGTGGCCTTCTCCAACTACCTTGTCCAACCTAGCCACTTCTCCCCTCAACCTCCCTCTAACCTCATTACCTCTCTCATTACCTTGTTCATGTCCTTCATTGTAAGGAATTACTGTCCAACATTATCCTGTTTGGCTCCTTGCTTGTTGTCTGTCTCTGCATGGAAGGAAGGACTTTGCTTTCTTGTTCATCAGTTTATCTCTAGGACCTAGAATCATGCATCATATATAATAAGTGCTCAATAAATACCATTGATTGTATTGAATGCATGAACTAGTTATGTGATACCTGAGCTCTCAAGTGCTACTTCTCAGTTAAGCCTTCCCTGACCACCTTATTCAAAATCGTAACATATCTCCAACCCTCTGCATCCTCCTCCCCTGCATTATTTTTCTCCATAAAGTGGAGATGGCACTTATTACCATCTAATATAGTCAGTAAATGACTTAATCTTTAAAATTGTCTCTCCCATCAGACAGGAAGCTCCCAAATGATAGGGGCTTTTGCCTGTTTTGTTCTCTGCTGTGTCCTCGGCTTAGGTCAGCACATAGTAGGCACTCAGTAATATTGAATGAACAATAAATGTTGCATAGGAGCAGAATTTTCATAAAAGTCCAGATTTGGGGATTCTCTTGAAACTTTGGAAAGTCCTGCAGCATCACCCTCCTTCATACTAGACAGTGAAGCTGAGAAGAGGCTAGGCTGCCTCGCTTAGGACACAGGCTTTCCCGGGGGCCGTATTCCCCACTTCTCCCTACTGCCTCCCTTTCATGGAAGCTGTCAGTTATGCTTTGTTTATTTTGGAGTGAAAAATAATTTTGTAGCCTTGTCTTTGTGGAAAGCAAAGAAAACTTTTTAGCTAGGCTGGAAAGTTTAGGTGTCCATTGTCTCTTGCCTCACACACTTCAGAAAGACTAAGACATTTGCAATCCTCCTAAACATGCCCTATGGTTTAATCCCTTTGAATCTCTGCATAGAGAATACCGGTTTCTGGAATGCTTATCCCTCCTTCTTTACCTGGAAAACTTTTCATCTGGACACTGAATGGAATTCTGAAGAATCAGGATGTGAGGACGCAGAGGTTGGAAGAGGCAAAAAAATGCAGGGACATTTTTCTTTACACTAAAGAGTTTCTAGGACTTTCTTTTGCAATTGATGGAAAACAACTGAAAAACTACAGCTTGTTTTAGAGAGTCAGAGAGATGCCCTGCCACAGAGCCTTTGAAAGATTGACATTCCATATCCATGTATACTATAGAGAACATTATATTTCTGCCATTTGAAGTCAGTTTGTGTTTAGGACATTAGTGATCTGAGGTGGAAATGAGCATTCCAATATCAAGCCTCATCACCTCAATACAAACGCCAAACAATTGTAATAGTTAAGGTGACCACCAGGGGCTGATCTCACACAACAATTCTATATTTAAAACCTGCAAATTCCACTTTCCCGTATCTAACTGTTGACTTTAACCCAAGCCATTCCCTCAGGCCTTAAAGTCCGTGAAATTCATTTTCTAATTTGTCTACAGTAAATAATAATACTTGTTGTACTTAGGCCCGCCCACTGGGAAGTGGTCCAATTGAGGTTTGTACAATCTCAAGGTCACCATTTGTGCCGCTTCGTAGCTCAGGTAGACAGGATAAGTTGGTCAGCTACAAAGCATGATTTATACTTAATTGAAAATATTGTCACAGTATCCATGACAAGGAGTAAAATCACATTTTGAGTGAATAGGGAGGTATTCCTTATCGGTACTCAATTTTATTTTATTTTATTATGTATTTATTTTTGAGACGGAGTCTCACCCTGTAGCCCATGCTGGAGTGCAATGGCACGATCTCGGCTCACTGCAACCTCCGCCTCCTGGGTTCAAGTGATTCTCCTGCCTCAGCCTCCCAAGTAGCTGGGATTACAGGCACCTGCCACCACGCCTGACTAATTTTTTGTATTTTTAGTAGAGACAGAGTTTCACCATGGTGGCAAGGCTGGTCTCAAACTCCTGACCTTGTGATCTGCCCGCCTCGGCCTCCCAAAGTGCTGGAATTACAGGCGTGAGCCCCTGCGCCCGGCCATCAATTTTATTTTTTAGAAAAGGTTGGACTAGCTGGAAAAACAGGCAAAAGGCATAAGATGATGAAGCCCAGTGGAAGTGAATGCCATCTGGAGGGTTCTCGTTTTTTTTTACATTTCTTCCTCAAGTTAGTTAATGTAAGTATATGGGTAATCTTGAAGGGATAAGATGCAGAATAAATAACTTGAATGCCAGTTTTTTAAAAGGGTGGGGGTAGTACTAGGAGCATAAGAATTGCCTGAAAAGTTGTTTAAACTACAAATGTCTAGATCTCACAGCAGGTCAACTATGTCAGAGTTTCTGGGGTTAAAGTCTAGATGCTGCATTTTTTGGGAGGCGGATTGCAGAAATTTATTAAAATTGGAAGACATTGTTTAATTAATCTCTGCTGTGAGACTCCATCAGGCTGTCTACAAAGATCACTGGGAGGCTGAGGTTCACTTGAGCTCAGGAGTTTGAGACTGTAATGAGCCTCAAAGGGCCACTGCACTCCAGCTTGGGTGACAGAGTGAAATCTTTCCGAGGGATAAGCTCGGTGCTGCATTTTAAAAAAATATCCCCAGGTAATTCCAATGTACAACAAAAGTTGACCACCATTTATCAGGCCTCTTTGGGCCTCAGGTACTCAATAAGCATTTGCTAAAATGAATTTGTAAAATGAGGAGACTGAACAAGGATAACTTCTAATGTCCAATCCTAACTCTACAACTCAATAATTCCATGATTGCATATAATAATTTTTGCATATGCAAAACAATTACCCAATCTAAGCTTTTAGTGTAAGAAGTAAGCAGCCATCTATTCAACATTCATGTAGACCAAGGAAATAATTTCTCTACCCCTTGATAACAATCAGGAAAACTGGGAGATAAATAAAGAATTACACACTATTGGACCAATATGGAAATTATCTGAGTATGTGTTACACAGATGGCACCGGGCCAACTTGGATCTTTTTAGCTTATTTGGGTATATTGTTACAATGCCTTGGAACTTGGCTAAAATGAAATTGTTTTTGTTTCCTTCTACATTACACCATTCAAACTTTACACCTTTAGCAACACGTAATCTCTTAACTGTCTAACAAGAAATACAAATTTGTCTACTAGTGTAAACTGTGATTAGGGATTAAGTTCAAGTATAGTAGGATTGTTTCGTGACCTCTATAAACAAGATGTGAGTGAGAGATAGGACACTTTCTTGGCTACAACTACAACTAATCCTGGAAAAACATAAATTGGCTATTTCTTGGCCAGGTCTACGTAAGCATTTCTTCTCTCTGAAGAACAGAAATGTTGACTTCTCTTTCTTTTAGATTTAATAAAGTCATTAATTACCACATGTTTTTAGAAATGATATAGCCTTAATGGATAATATTTTATTTCTCTTTTCTTTTTTTTAGGGATATAGAAAGCTAGCTGAACTGTGTACCTGGTAAAAGTAGGCCCAGGAAAACAAAAGTCAGAAAAAGATTAATCAAGAAGCCAGAGACATCTATTTGCCTTTGAGAAAATAAGGATTATTACAAAGAAAGCCCAAGACAAAGTCAAAGTTCAGCTTTTGAAATAGAAACTAGGATTTTTGAGTCTGAGCAAGACAGTAGGCTTAAAAGCCAGGCTTTGTTGAGAAAGGGTTTTCTGAATTCTTTTAGCTCCCATTGGCATATCTTGGGGGGAAACAGGGGAGGAAGTTGAAATCTTCAAGAGAGAGCATCTCCAGTAGAAACCATACTCCCAGTGAGATGACTATATTTAAACAGAAAGAGGCCAAATAAGAGCCTTTCAATTGATAGATTTAAGCTTCCCCGACTGCCACCACTAGCCAGTGGAATGACAGTGTAAGAATGATTAGGTCCACTTCAGGAAATAAAGCAGCCACATTTTCTTTGTGTATATGATTAGTCACATATGAACATTTTCAACCCAAAACAACTACCAGCTTTAGTCTGAAGCAAGACCTATTTTCCGCACATGGGAGATAAGGAGCAAGACTGAACTGGAGTGATAATCCCTCGCTGTCTGCCTGCTAAGATAGCATCAGTATCCACACATTAGCATCCCTGGCTGTCACACAGCAGAGCCTGTCATGAGGTGAAGGAAAGCAGGCTTTCACGGATCACTCAGAAAGAGAAATAACCAAGAGGACCAAAACTATGACTTACTGAAGAGCCTATCTCTGATGGGAACTGTGAATCTTTTAAAGAATCAAAGTTTTGGTGGGATTATTTTAGGCAGATAATTCTGACCCAGGCTACAAAGAGTATAGGGCTAAAGATTGCTTCATGGACTCCACCACTGAAGTGAATACCAAAGATTGTGATTAATTCTCAAGTGTGAAAGAGACAGAAAGCAGTTAAATATTTAGGGCTAAAGAAAAATCCCAGGGGAAAATCTCTTACTCTGTAAATAAGGGAAGAGGATGGAGAGGTTGACACTGAGATCCCCCCATAACCCTGATTCTCAGAGTCCAACAACAAAATAGTGTTTGTAACTGATTATGCCTTGCTGCCAAATATTGATTTTGTGATTCTAGAAATCTGAAATTAATCTGAGAAGGATTAATTTAACAAAAGGATACCTTATTTCAGGACTGAACTATTTCTATGTGCAAGGTGCTACATTAAGCATTTGGGGACACAGAGATGAACAAGGCATGATCTTTACCCTTAAATAATTTACAGTCTAGTAGGCTTGAGAATCCAGGTCTATAACCCAGTGGAATATAAAGTAGAAAGTAATGATTGGTACAAGATGCTAGTAGAAGGAAAGGAAGCTTCTCATTAAGGCCTCTAGAAGCAATTATGAAAGAGGTGGCTTTTATGCTGGGTTTTAACACGGGATAGATCTGAAGGGACTGGAGGAAAAGGTGTTTTGGCTTCCAGAGACTATATGGGCAATGTAAGGGAAGAAAAAGGTACACTAAAATAAAAAGAATAAAGCGACATTCTTGCTAGACTCGTGTCAATGACCAGAAAGCCCCACCTACGTGATAATTTATCCTTTTATTTTTTAGCTCTTCAGTGTTTTATGATATATTATTATATCATGATCATTGTTTTAATTCTTGTCTTTAAAATCCTGATGAACATATTTAAATATGGAGAGTGTGCTAAGTTTATAATCTGTCCTATGTTTACATAGAACGAAAAAAAATTCCAAATGTGACAAAACACCAAGTCAGGGAAAGAAATGTGGGCTGGCTTAAATATTTAAAGAGATTGAGGACCTTTAGAGTTTCTTGCTCCGTGTGTGGCCACTGGATTCAAGGGAAATCAGAAGCTTATTGTTCCATTGATAAGTAAGCCATAAAGTTAAAGATTCACCACACATTGCATGGAAAACCAATAGCTGGTACAAGCTGGTACCATATATTTATTGCTGATATGAGAAGCTAAGCACACCTGCTATTAACAGATAATGACATGGTACTGTGAGAGAATACACAAGGTAACATACCAGAGCAAATTGGTCACACCATTGCATCATGCTGATGATTGTTAATGGACTCTTCACTAAGACACTTCAGACTCCCTAAACCAGTAGTTCTCAACTGGGGGCAGTTTTGTCCCCAGGGGACATTTGGCTATGTCCAGAGACATTTTTGGTTGTTACAACTGGAGAAGGTGCTACTAGCATCTAATGGATAGGGGCCAGGGATGCTGTGCTACAGTGTATACAACAGTCCCCCACAATCAAGAGCATCTGGCCCAAAGTGTCAATAGAGTGAAGGATGAGAACCCTGCTCTAGATGACAAACCACTTGGCATGAAAATGCACTGTAAAAGCATTCACTTTATGCTTCTGACCCCTAATCTCAATTAGTGCTAAGATATTAGGTACAATAATTTTACAGGAAGCCATGTCCAATCTATTCATATCGTTGTCAGGTAGAAGGTAGTGGCCTGAATTCACCTCCCCATTTGACTGTGTACTGAGTGACTTCTGGTTAACTGTTTTGTGCCTCAGGTTCCTTATCTGTAAAATGGGGATAGTAATAGTAACTGTCTCATAAGGTTGGTATGCTGTTAAAAAAAAAAACCACAAGTCATGTCAAGTGCTTAGAAGAGAGTCTGGCCCACAACACTAAAAAGTATAAACTTTTGTTATCACTGTTATCATCAATATTATTACTATTACTTGGCACAAAAAGGAATTTAGAGATGTGCATTTACCTAGACCAGTTTCCAAAATCTCAGTCATTTGAAGAATAATACGATTTTTTGAGTATCATCTAAACTATCATTTACTTAAGACTCTTCTTTAAATTGTCACACTTTGTACAAATCTTTTGTGTCATTCACAGGTTTGATATCTTAATTGTATTTTCCTAAAATACATGAAATAATGCAGTGCTATCAAAGTAAAGGTTTTTGTATGTTCCAACTAAAATCATCTCACATGTGCTCCATTGGCAGAGACGCAGCAATTACTGAAAATCAGTGGTATGCACAGCCTCAGATTTAGAGAGGAACTTAGATATCCAACCCCTTTCTATGGGATTTTTTGCCATTCATTTGGCTGAACCCACCTCCCTATAAATGCCAAATATTCTCACTCCCAGCTACCTTTGCACCTAACACCTGAGCATGTGACCTCAGCTGCATTGATCAGATATGCTCATGCTTGAGTCTGAATCCGAAGCTGGTGCTGAAAGGAAGCAGGGACTGTGTGAATCTTCTCAGTCCCAATAAGATGAGCTCCTGGGGCTGCAGGGACATCCAGCCCTGGGCAGCTGAGGTGGCAGGGATTTTCTCACTTGTCCAATTTTGGTGTATGGTTTTTGGTGTTGTTCCTGACTCTGAAGTTCCAGACCTGGTTCTGTAGCCTTCTCAGATGTTTGTTGAGAGATCCTATATTGTTTAGTAAATCTTTTTTCAAAAATCCTTAATTCAGCCAGTGTCAGCTCCTATCGTTTGCAAATAAAACCCTGGCAGATACACTCTTACTTTATAGATGAGGAAACTGAGACTCACAAAAGTTGTGTTCTGCACAACGCAGCCATGGCTAGGTCAGGATTAGAACCCAGGCCAGTGCCTTTTTAGCATACTGCATTTCTAGCTCCTTTATGCTGGGTCAAACCTTGACAAAAAGTTGAGTCTGAAAAAAAAAGTTGGCTCTTCAAAAAAATTTTTTCAATTAACACATAATAATTGTACATATTTATAGGGTACAATGTGATGTTTCAATACATGTATACATTGTGTAATGATCAACTCAGAGCAATTAGCATATCCATCACCTCAAACATTTGTCATTTCTTTGTGATGAGAATATTCAAAATCCTCTTCTAGCTATTTTGAAATATGCATCATTGTTTGCTATAATCACCCTACTGTGCAATAGAACACCAGAACTTATTCCTCCTATCTAGGTGGACCAACCTCTCCCATCTCCCTCTCCCCTCTTCAGCCTCAGATAACCACTGTTCTACTCTTTACTTCTACAGGATGAACTTCTTTAGATTCATATGTGGATATGACTGAGGTCATCCAGTATTTGTCCTTCTGTTCATGGCTTATTTCACTTAACATAATGTCCTCTAGGTCCATTCATGTTATTGAAAATGACAGGATCTCATTCTTTTCTATAGCTGAATAGGGTTCCATTGTGTATATTTTTAAAATTTATTTATCAGTTGATATGGTTTGGCCGTGTCCCCACCCAAATCTCAAATTGTAGCTCCTATAATTCCCATGTGTTGTGGGAGAGACCTGGTAGGAGGTCATTCAATCACGAGGGCAGGTCTTTTCGATGCTGTTCCTGTGATACTGAATAAGTCTCACGAGATCAGATGGTTTTATAAAGAGGGGTTCCCCTGCACAAGCTCTCTCTTGCCTGCCACCATGTAAGATGTGCCTTTCACCTTCTGCCATGATTGTGAGGCCTACCCAGCCACATGGAACTGTGAGTCCATTAAACCTCTTTTTCTTTATAAATTACCCAGTCCTGGGTATGTCTTTATCAGCAGCATGAGAACAGACTAATACATCCACTGATGGACACTTAGGTTGATTTTATATCTTGGCTATTATGAATAGTGCTGTAATATGCATGGGAGTGCAGTTATCTCTTTGTCATACTGGTTTTATTTCCTTTGGATATGTATCTACTAGTGGGATTGTTGGGTTATATGGTAGCTCTATTTTTAACTTTTTGATGAAACTCCATGCTGTTTTCCATAGTAGTTGTACTAATTGACATTCCCACCAATAGTGTATAAGACTTCTCCTTTCTCCACATCTTTGCCAGCATTTATTGTTTTGTCTATTTGGTAATAGCTATTCTGACTGGGGTGAGGTTATATCTCATTGTGATTTTGACTTGCATTTCCCTGATGATGAATTATGTTGAGCAATTTTTCATATACCTGTTGGCCATTTGCATATCTTCCTTTGAGATATGTCTATTCAGATCTTTTGCCCATTTTTAAATCTGATTGTTTTTGTTTTTGTTTTTGTTTTGCTATTGAGTTGAGCTTGTTATGTATTCTAGATATTAACCATTCTGTAGGTTGTCTCTTCACTGTGTTGATTATTTCCTTTGCTGTGCAGAAGCTTCTTAGCTTGATGTAATCTCCTACATCTATTTTTGCTTTTGTTCCCTGTGCTTTTGAGGTCTTATCCAAAAAACTCTTGCCCAGATTGATGTCATAAAGCATTTTCCCTGTGTTTTCTTCTAGTACTTTATTAGTTTCTGGTCTTACATTTAGGTCTTTAATCCATCTGAAGTTGATTTTTTCAACAGTGAGAGATAGTAATCTAGTTTCATTCTCCTGCATATGGCTATTCAGTTTTCCCAGCACTGTTTATTAAAGAGACAGTCCTTTCCCCATGTGTGCGCTTGGCAATGTGTGTGTTGGCTATAAAAATGGGGATTTATTTCTGTTTAATTTTAATTTTAAATTTTTGTTGATAATAATTGAACCTCTTTATAAGGTACATGTGATGTTTTGATACATACATTTATTGTGTCATGATTAAATCAGGGTAATAAGGGATATCCATTGCCTCAAACATTTATCACTTCTTTGTGTTGGAAACATTTCAAATCTTCTCTTCCAGCTATTTTGAAGTATACAATGAATTATTGTTAACTATTGTCACCCTAATGTGAACTTATTCCCATTATCTGACTGTATTTTTGTACCCTTTAGCCAATCTCTCTTGTGTGAATTTACTTCTGGGTTATCTATTCTGTCCTATTGGTCCATGTGACTGTTTTTATGCCAGTGATGGTGGCAGTGGCCTGTCTGGAGCAGCAGCTGTGAGGATGCCAGCTGCAGCAGGGGAGGCATGGCAGAGGCTGTGCACAGAGCTCTGTGGAGCCAGTAGGGGCAAAACAGGCGGGAGCCCACCTCCTACTGAGTTAAAGTGATGGAAATCCCATGCTCCCTGTCACAGCTGCAGCCGGTCAGCTGCAGCTTCAGACCTTGGTATCCCTGCTTTCTCAGGGGCCTGGTAAGCCCCACTTCCCCCACAGGCTTAGAAGTGCCTGCTCCCTTTCCCTGGCCTCTTGTGGCTTCCTGCACCCACTCGGATTTCAGAGCAAAGTTGTGGCCCAGCCTGGGCACCATCACAATCTGGCCAGCTGTGCATGCACTCAGGGTGGTGCAGACACGCCAGCCTCTTGCTGCCTCAGCCCCCTCTGGACTTTGGACACTGATGAGCACAGGACAGAGACTGAGGGGGGCTGAGGGCAGGTTGGCGTGGGGCTACAGGCGCCCCTCTGCATGAACAGCCTGGGTGCCATGGACAACCTGTCGATGGCAGCAGGAGGCAGACAGGCTCCTAGGTGGAAAGGAGTGAGTCCCTGGTGAAGCTCCACTTTCAATCCAGGGCCAGCGTGTAGCCTAGGTGCCAGGCCATCAGTTCCAGGTGGAGTCCATGGCCTGGAGTGAGAACTTATGGTGCTTTTTCCAGACCTGCCCATGGCCACCCATCGTCCAATAAGCATGCACTTCCTCCCTTCTGAGCCCATAAAAACCCCAGACCCAGTCAGACTCACACAGACATTGGGACAACCTGCCTGCAGAAAGGAGCTACCCACTGCAGGTCTCCTCTCCACTGAGAGCTGGACATTCATGAGGACAACTTGCCTGCAGAAAGGAGCTACCAACATTGGGTCTCCTGAGAGCTGTTCTGTCACTCAACGAAGCTCCTCTCTGCCTTGCTCACCCTCCAGTTGTTTGCATACCTCATTCTTCTTGGACATGGGACAACAATTCGGGACCCACCGAATGGTGGGACTGAAAGAGCTGTAACACAAACAAGGCTGAAACAGGCCCCTGGCTTGCCAAGTTGCAGGCAACAAGAAAGAGAGAAGAGCTGCAGCCCTTTGGGGAGCCCAGACCTAGAGGCTTCCAAGCCAGGGCTGTGAAACCCTCCTGGGGCTCTGCGGTTCCTAACATCTCCAAACTTCCCTTCCGGGCACCACCGCATTTCCTGGTGCCCACAGTCTAACCATTTTGCTGTACACCTGGTCCAGCCACAGCCTAGCACAAACCCAGTGCTTGTGCCAGCACCTGGAGCTGCCTGCCCCGCTGCAGCCAGCACACCTGGCTGTACGCAGTGGCCAGACCCTGCACTCACTCACACACCCCTCAGCACTCCACACCTGGCACACCCTTGGCAAGCATGGGATCTGGTCCAGTAGAACTCCTGAGTGTAGCCTGCCAGGCCGAGTGGGTGAAATGAGCCCAGTGAGCCCAAGCAAAACCAGGCAAAGTTTCCACCAGCCACAGAGGTTTCCAGGTGGAAAAGTGACACCCTACAGATCCTGTGATACCAGGGCCATGCTATTTTGGTTACTATCGCTTTGTAGTATATTTTAAAGTCAGATAGTATGAGGCCTCCCAACTTTATACTTTTTGTTCAAGATTGCTTTGGCTATTCAGGATCTTTTGTGGTTCCTTATGAATTTCAGGATTGTTTTTTCTATTTCTGTGAAAAATGTCATTTGGTAGTTTGATAGGATTTGCATTGAATCTGTAGGTCACTTTGGGTAGTATAGACATTTTAACATATTAACATAATTAATTAACATTAATTCATGAACACAGGATATCTTTCCATTTATTAGTGTCCTCTTCAATTTCTTTCATCACTGTTTTATAGTTTTCATTGTAGAGAACAAATTATCTTATTGGCCAAGTAAACTGAATACAGTGGTTATTACCACCCTCATCTTTGTATTGTATATCTTTGGGATATGTAGACATGTTTCCTATAGCTCTTCAAAAGTACCCAATATTGAGTGAATTCCCAGAATTGCAAACTCTGATGCTCAAGAGGCCAGGCAGTTCATGTAATGTGAATAAGTAACAGGAGCCAGATCAGGGAGTGGTGGGGACTGCATGGAATTGAGCACTCATGCTTCATCCAAGTGGGCATGTGCTGCTCAGCCCTTATCATTTGATTTTATATAGAGGATCTGATTTTTCAAGGCAAATAAAGTTTCTCATTTTTACATAAAAGTGATGGGCAACAAATTAAACCAAACAAAAAGTCCCCATTGTATGAGCCAACATTAAGGGGTTTATGCCTGTGAGCCAGGTTCCATGCTCAGTCCACTGGGGTACAAACTCCAGGGTATTCCTAAATCTTCTCACTTCTTTTTTTTTTTTTTTTTTTTGAGACGGAGTCTCGCTCTGTCGCCCAGGCCGGACTGCGGACTGCAGTGGCGCAATCTCGGCTCACTGCAAGCTCCGCTTCCCGGGTTCACGCCATTCTCCTGCCTCAGCCTCCCGAGTAGCTGGGACTACAGGCGCCCGCCACCGCGCCCGGCTAATTTTTTTGTATTTTTAGTAGAGACGGGGTTTCACCTTGTTAGCCAGGATGGTCTCGATCTCCTGACCTCATGATCCACCCGCCTCGGCCTCCCAAAGTGCTGGGATTACAGGCGTGAGCCACCGCGACCGGCCATCTTCTCACTTCTTATCTCCTCCTTAGTGGAAGGCTTAATGGAGAGAGAGGTTAAAGCAGACTTTTCTCTGCCCCAGCAGTAATGTAATTAAGACTTCAAGACATCACCTCTTCTACTAGCTTTCCAATTAGAAATCTTATCCCATAGCTCCATGTCCCTGTATTTTTGCTCATGTTGTTTCATCTTCTCTTATCAACCCCACTTTGCACAACTGTGTCTTACTCTTCCTTATAAACCCTATTCCAGGGTCACCTCCTTCTGGAAGCCTTTCCTGATTTCATCTCCCTCCCCAACCCTCCTCAACTCATATTCACCTTAGGTTATGTACCCCATAGCACCCAGGGATAATATTCCAAACATTTAAAAAAGAGTATCTTAGCTCCAATTCTCTAGAAAAAAAGATAAAGTATATGCAAACACATTAACAGGGGGTACAATCCCAGGACAGCAAAATTGAGAGTAAACAATATGAGACAGGAAAGGACCAACAGCAAATGCAGCTCAAGCAAATATTATATTACCGAGTAGGCACAGCCTTTCCAGAAAAGTCAGCTGCTCAGTCCTGTGTGATACATCTCAGAGGTAATATGAAATCCCTGCACCTCAGAAGAGCTACTTAAAAGAAGGAGGAGTGAGGTATTGATTTATTGGATCCTTCTTGTTTTCAACCTCCCATTGGCCAAAATTTGAACTATGGTATGGTAACTCCCCCATACCAGAATAAGTGCCCTGGTGCACACAGTCCTAACAGCAGGTTTGCCTACACCATAGCACCTTCCACATTGTAGGAAATGATGCTTCTATGTCTTTTTCACCAATGATACAATCAATGATACCAATAATGACTTTATCACTTACATTGTTAGAATCTGCATAGTGCCCAGAACATAGTAGGCAGGTAAGCAGGTGAGTTTGGTTTAAACAGATATTTATAGAACATCTAGAGGTTATCAACTGGAATGAAATGCAGAGGAGGGTTATAATAACCTTGAAATACCAAAACCTTCTTTCAACTCAATAGTACAGCTATAGGGAACCTTGCCAACCCAAGGTGTTCTGACTTCTGGCCTTCACCTCTATTCCAACCACCCTCAGGCAGCTTGACTATGGACCACAGGACACCCTCACCTTGGGTGGTTGCCCTAGACACAATTTCACCAAATTGAAAATCCAGCAGTGTATATAATATCTATAACTAGGCCTCTGGGGTTTTAATATTGTTGGTGTTGAGCAATGTTCACATGCCTACACAATGCAGTTGAATTTTGTACAAGAAGGCTTTTGCATATCTTTTCAACCAAATAAAAATGTTCCTTTCAACTTAATGGTCTTTATTGTACTAATTAGTTTTAAACAAACCTTGCCTTAATAGGGCTTCCTATTCCTCTAATGACACTGAACCAACAATAAATTAATATCATGAATGTATTTATGTAGAAAAGGAATCCCCGAGGTTTATCTACACTGTCACAAATAGCAGAATCTCCTTCTTTTTTAAGGCTAAATAATGCCCTATTTTTTTATATACGTATATGTATGCCATAATGTCTTTATCCACCCATCCATCAATGTACGCTTCAGTTGTTTCCATACCCTGGCAGTTGGAATAATGCTGCAATGAACATGGGAGCTCAGATATTACAAACTGAAATAAGCCAGACAGAGAGAGAAAAATACTTCATGATCTCACTTATGTGTAGAATCTTTTTAAAAGCCAAATACATAGAAACAGAGAGTAAAGCGTGGTTACCAGAGGTGAAGGGAATGGGGAGTCATAGGTCAAATTGTAAAAAGTTGCAGATATGTAGGATGAATAAGTCTGGAGATCTAATGTACAACAGAAAGGTCACAGTTAATAATATTATATTGCATACTGGAAATTTGCTAAGAAAGTAGATTTTAGGTGCTCTTAACCTCCCCCCCACAACACATACACACACGAAGGTAACTGTGTGAGATGAGATGATCATCACTGTGGTAATCATTTTGCCAGTATATGTAATTCAAAACATAATGTTGGGTACCTTAATATATACAATGAGAAAAAAAAAACTAAAAAAAAGAAAAGGAGGCCAGGCACGGTGGCTCATGCCTGTAATTGCAGCACTTTGGTAGGCAGAGGTGGGTGGATCACTTGAGGTCAGGAGTTTGAGACCAGCTTGGCTAACATGGTGAAACTCTGTCTCTACAAAAGTACAAAAATTAGCTGGGTGTGGGGGTGCATGCCTGTAATCCCAGCTACTTGGGAGGCTGAGGCAGGAGAATCACTTGAACCTGGGAGGCAGAGGTTGCTGTGAGCCAAGATCACGCCACTGTACTCCACCTAGGCAAAAGAGCAAGACTTCATGCCACCGCCCACTGCCCCCGCTCAAAAAAAAGAAAAAGTAAAGGAGTCCTCATTTATATGGGGATTTTTATATTTGCTAGGAGGAAAATGGTACCTTTCAATTTTTTTTTTTTTTTTTTTTTTTTACTTAGGTGTAGACACCATGCCTTTTCAATTTTTATCCCTGTTCATTTTTTACATCCACCGAGCACATGATTCCTCTTTGTGTGTGCGTTTGTTTTCTCGGCTGTCTACTCAACACCTACTGGGACATGGCACCCAGTTAGGTATCGTCACTCACTGATGGTTTAAGAGGCCTCGTGTTTTCTATCTGCTTAACACATACCTCAAAGGTGAGACGGAAAATCTTTAACTTGCTCTTCTCAGGGGGCTGACAAGCCTATCACTGGAATTAACAAAAAGGAGAATTTCAAAAAGTAAATTCAGGGAAAGAAAATAAGTCACTGGATCTAAATTATTTGGTTTGTGTGAAAGTAATTGCAGTTTTTGCCATTATTTTCATAGACAAAAATCACAATTCCTTTTCCACCAACCTAATAATTCCATTTTCTAGTAATGCTTGTTACTTTAAGAATTTCATCCCTAAAATAGTCTTGACTACCAGGAAAGGTTAGGAAGTCTTAGTTATCTGTTAAAAAGTGATGGCGACATTTATCGCTTAGGCCTTCAGCAACTACATTTCCCCAGGGCGTATTAGTCAGCTGGTCGTTTATTAGCTTCCTGTGCTGTTAATCATTTATCTCTTATGACTACACATGACTTAAGCTATTAATACAATTTTCTACAGTTTTTACTATCTATTTAAAAGATAGTTTGGAAGTATTCATGAGGGCTGAAACAGACTGAAAAAAAAGATTTTTCTGGAACTGCATTTCCCGGTCTCTACCTTTGCCATGTGTAGATCATCAAAGTTTGGTCCGACTCCTGAGTGTGGCCCTCATGGCCTGGTGACAAATCACTTTCAACATGTACCTTCTTGATAGAAAGTTCAGATCTTGGAGTTGGCCAGTGCCATAGAGCCAAAATATGGGGAAGTTCAAAAGACGAGGAAGTCTTATCTTAGGCGTCTTGGTCACAATGTACCCTCATAAAGTAAAACTTAATTTATAACATGGAACAGGCTTTAAGATGCCATAGAAATAATAGCAGTCTGAAAATAGGGATCTTGTGTCTTGCTACTGACACTGCTTTTCCTGGAATCATGAAAAGTCAGAAATGAAATTGTTTTCTTTTTCTTTTCTTTTTTCTTTTTTTTTTTTTTTTTTTTTTTTTTTGCACATTAAGGCAGGCAACACTAATCTTAAGCAAATTTTTGGAACCAAAACCAAGTTTAAAAAAAAAAATTAATGTTAATAAATTTCAATAAGAAAAGACTGGATAAATGCTTCTAGCTGGGATCATAGAATCAGTGCAGCCTTAAGATGGAAGGGAATTTACAAGCTGGATGGTCTACTCCCCCGCTTTAGAGTTATAAAAATGGAAGCCTGTAAAAAGGAAGGGGCTTGCTCACAGTCATCCAGCTAATTACAGAGAAGCAAAGTCCTGTGGTAAGGTGGCCAGGGAGGTCCTTGAGTGACAGCCATCTGCTTTCCCTCATCCCAGTCAAGCCAACTCTGATTCTCATTGAATGTCTTTGCACACATTTTTTTTTTCTGTTGAGACGGAGTCTCTCTGTCACCCAGGCTGGAGTGCTGTGGTGCGATCTCGGCTCACTGCTACCTCCACCTCCAGGGTTCAAGCGATTCTCGTGCCTCAGCCTCCCGAGTAACTGGGATTACAAGCAAGCACCAGCCACCACGTCCGGCTAATTTTTGTATTTTTAGTAGAGATGGGGTTTCGCCATGTTGGACAGGCTGGTCTTGAATTCCTGACTTCAGGTGATCCGCCCACCTCCACCTCCCAAAGTGCTGGGATTACAGGCATGAGCCACCGCGCCCAGCCCTTTGCACACATTTAATTAAAGTTAATTAAATCGGTACTTATATTAATTAATTATAAATAAAATTATCTGAGAAAAGATTGCTTCTGTTCATGTAATACATATGTTCCTGAAAACCTGTGAGGTTAATTTTTTAAAATAAAATATATTTTGGACACTTTGCTCTCTTCCTATTACTGTTGGGAGTATTCAAGAGAGCTAACTACTTTCCTTCTTGAACAGCTCTCATCTTGCTTTCTAGAAACCACATTCTTCTCATTTTCCTCTGCTCCTACTCACCACTCCTTCTCTGCCTCCTTTGCTGCCTTCTTCACATCCTCTATGCAACAAGTAAGTGTGCCACACCTGAGGCTCACTCCAGGGCCCCTTTCCCTCTCCTTCCCCTCCTCTCCCCCCCCCTCCTCCTCTCCCCTCCCCTCCTCCTCTCCCCTCCCCTCCTCCTCTCCCCTCCCCTCCTTTCCCCTCCCCTTCTCTCCCCTCTCCTCAACGTGTATCCCCTGCCTTCCCCTCCTTTTCCCTCTCATCTCCTTCCCTCCCCTCCTCTCTCCTCCCACCTTCCAGCAGTAATGTCCACCTGGCTAATGACTTCCATACACTGTTATGACTCCCAAATATGTCTCTAACCCACACATCATTCATCCCAAACTGTCAGCTTGACATCTCCACCTGAGTGTCTAATAAGTCTCAAACTTAACACGATCAAAGCCCTGCTCCACCATTTCTTCCCTCCACCAAGTCTTCCTCACCTCCATTAATGGCCCCACCCACCCAAGTGCTTGGGCCCAAAATCTGGGAGAAATGTTCTTGACTTTTCTTTCCACTCCATCCCTATGTCCAACCCATCAGCAAGTCTTTTTGGTCCCACTTCCAAACCTGCCCCCATCTCTAAACCTCACACCTGCAGTCCAAGCCGCCTGCACCTGTCACCTGGTCTGCAGTGAAGGCCTCTTGACCTTTCTCTTCTGCTCTGCCCCACTGACATCCTCACCTATTTATAGCTGGGGCAACCTTTCAAACACGAACTCAGATCATGTCACTCTCTTATCTAAAACACCTGGATGAGTTCATCTTTCTATACACATAAACTCCAGCCCCTCGCCATAGCCTACACATGAGGCCTGGCTTGGTCTTTTTCCTTCCACTCTCCTTCACCCTCTGACCACATTGACATCTTTTCTGTTCATCACATGTACCGAAGACTTTCAGCCTCAGGACCTATTTCTCCTTGCTTGAAATCATTCCCCTAGTTCTTCAAATAACTGTGCCATTCTTGTTCTTCAGGTCTGGCTTCCCACACACACACACACACACACACAAACAGGCCTCTCTTTTCTGCCTTGGCTATTCACACACACACACACACACACACACACAAACAGGCCTCTCTTTTCTGCCTTGGCTATTCACACACACACACACACACACACACACACACACACAGGCCTCTCTTTTCTGCCTTGGCTATTGGCCTCCCCAATTGCTTGCCACCATATCACCCTGTTTATATCTGTCACAGCGTTGCATGTCCCACAGCCTGTAATTGTGCTGTTTGCATCTTTGTGTACTTCTGTATATTTCCCCTTGCAGAATATAAGCTCCACCAGGGCCCAGACATTGTCACCACCAGATCCCCAATGCCTAGAAGAGCTCCTGACACATAGTAGGCCCTCAAGATATTACTGTTTAATTAATGAAGTAGTGGATTTGAATGTGCTTATAAATCTCCTTTAAAAGAATGCTAATGGTAAACAATTGAAGAATGATGGAATCACTCTCACACATACTCATTCATCTTTGGGTGTGTGGGTGACAATTTCAGTCTTCCTGCTCTGCATTGATGAGAAAAATGCATGTGCTTTCCAGCCATACTACCCACTTATTTATGGAATATTTGCATTAATCAAATTCCGGCCCAAGAAACTTGTATATCCCTTGGAGTTTGTCATAACAAAATCTGGCCTACAACAGACAAGGTTTTTTCTTTTTTTATTGTTGTTATTACATTCTTTCAAAAAATTTTTTTATTATACTTTAAGTTCTAGGGTACATGTGCACAATGTGCAGGTCTGTTACACATGTATACATGTGCCATGTTGGTGTGCTGCACCCATTAACTCGTCATTTACATTAGGTATATCTCCTAATGCTGTCCCTCCCCCCTCCCCCTACCCCACAACAGGCCCCGGTGTGTGATGTTCCCCTTCCTGTGTCCAAGTATTCTCATTGTTCAATTCCCACCTATGAGTGAGAACATGCAGTGTTTGGTTTTTTGTCCTTGTGGTAGTTTGCTGAGAATGATGGTTTCCAGCTTCATCCATGTCCCAACAAAGGACATGAACTCATTGTTTTTTATGGCTGCATAGTATTCCATGGTGTATATGTGCCACATTTTAAAAGCAATGGCAACAAAAGCCAAACAAGGTTTTTAAAGAATTTGTTCCTGCCAGTCCCTCATTCAACAAAGACATATTGTACATCTAGGGCCATTATTTCCATATGACAAGTGCTATACAAGGCTCCAGAGAGAGAAAGGTGAGGAGGATATAGTCACTGCCCTTGTGGAATCCACCCCGGGTGGACAGGTATAAACTGGGGAACAAGAAAGACAATACAGTGAGGTCAGGGCTGACACGAGGGAGACAGCTTGTATCCCACGAGGCTAGTATTTGGTGGTGATTTTGTTTCATCTTGTGTTTATTTCATCACTTTCTCTGATGAACTTTCTGACTTCTTTGAAGGCCTCTTTCTCCTTACCACCTCTAAATGCACTTTCCAAGGCCCTGCTCCCAGCCTTCTATTCTCTTTCAACATGTTCCACACCACCGTATCCACCCCTTCAAGGCTCTGACACCCACCGTGTGATGACTCTGATCCGGCTCTTGTCCCAAACTTCTCAGCCAAGGCTCATCCCTCTTCCTCCACCTCCCTCTCAACTCTTCCTTTGGGGCTCTCTGAGCACCTCAGCTTCCATGTGTCTCACCTAGAGCAGCTCCTTCTCTGATTTTCCTGTCCCTGAAGATGCCTACACAAAAATCCCAGTCACTTCAGCTTGAAACCTTGGGTTCTCTTTGACAGCTCCCCCTTGGCCACCATCCTAGTCCAGGCGTTCTCATCAATATTAACTTCTCAACCTCATTTCCAAGTCTCGTTGACTCCCTTTGTCCCCTAAACACACCACACTCCTGATCACCTCCTCATCATTCCCCCAGGGCATTCACCATTTCCTGTGCTGTCTCCATGATGCCTTCCCTGCACCCCTTTCCAATTCTTGCCACTCCACACATCCCAGGGTAAAGTCCATGCCCCTACGAAGCCTTTCTTATTCCTTTTGGCCACCATTTCTTCTTTTTCAACTTCTGTGAATTACCTTATTTATAACAGTCATTTGTTGCCTAACTATATCTTGGCTTCCAATTGCACTTTTTAATATCTTATTCCTCACACATAAATTTGAAGTTCTTGAGGGGCAAGAACTCTGTTTTTTACCTGTCTGTCTTCTGCCTCATGGTGCCTAGCACAGTGCTGTAACACCCCACACTTAGCAACCAATACCTGTGCATTAATGAATGAGTGCTGGGTTCTGAAATTCTGCAGTGTGGGCCCTAAGCAGTGGCTTATCTCCCCAGAGGCATTAACAGTGGAGCACCCCCCAACCCCCGCCGCCCTCCACCAACCAGCAAAGCTCACGATGACAAAGTCCACAGGGTGGAGCAAGTCAGAAGTGGAAATTGCATGAGTGCGCGAGCAGATATTGAATGTTGGGTACCTGCAGGTCAGCCCAAGAAGATTCACAGAAGGCGTTCCTGGACATGGAAGCTCTAAAGGGAAGGGCACTTTACTCACCTTTTAGTGTCTCTAATGTCAGGTCTTAGCCTCTGGGGTACCATTTCCACCTTCTTCTCCCATCCTCATGAACTCTCTCTCTCTTGTCTCCTTTCTTTCTCTTTTTGCTCTTCTGTAGTGGACATCTCTTTTTTGGCCAGCCTACCATTACATTCACCCTTCTTTTATTAAGGGCACCCCAATTTTCTCTGGTGACAATCTTTCCCCTACTCTCAGTCCACATGGTTTGGGTGGGATTGACTTCTCACACAGCTCTAGAGGAGGACATGAAATCTGGTCCTCACAACCTGCCCCCACCCCAGCTATGGTGACAAGTTCAGAGATGAGGATGAATCCCAACGTGAGCCAGAGAATCACACCAGGTTCTGTATTCAAACTTATGGGGAAAAAAGCTCTCATTTCCTTTTCACTAGTTTTGGAATTTTTAAGCATGAAAACATTGATCCGCAAGCCAATATCTTGCCTTTGAAATGTGGAATCTCTTTGAGAGGGGGGAAAGAAGCACTTGAGAGATGGAGAGAGACAGTGGGTCTCCAGGATATATTTTGAGTAGCTGGATCCAGTTATGCCTGAAGCTAGCGCGTTTTCCAATTATGTGAGCCAAAAATTCAATTGTTTGCTTAAGTTGTTGTGAGTCAAGTTTTCAGTCACTTGCAACCTACCTTCCTAAACCGAAAGTGTTCATGGTAAATGTAGAGATGAAGCCCAACTGCTCTATTTACATAGTACAAAGCCAAGAACTGGACAGAGTGAGTGACTCTGATGTGATCACACACGTAAGTTGTAGCAGAGACCACCCTAAATCCAGGGGGCTTTGCTGTCCCAGGGCTGTGGTTTTTCTGCCACAAAATGCAACATTACATTAAGATGTGGTTTTGCTTATACGGATGTTTCATTTCCCCAACTAGAGCGTAGCATCTAAAAGGGTGGGGTGAGAGCTGTGTCTTGTATTTTTGCTATTCCCTGTAACTCTGCTTAGTGTCTTGTACATGGGAAATGTACAATCAGTATTTGCTAACACACCCATGAGTTTCAGGTGGCATTTTGTTCTATGTTATTTTTATTTTTGTACATGCAAGATGAAATGTGTGACTTTCAGGGTTTTTACTACTGGAAAAATATAGGAGTATACTTTCAGCGACTCTAATGATTTCCTGCAGATTTCAGTCTTTTCATCTTAGTCAAGCAATAACTTTTATAAAGTAGGCATTATATGAAGACACTGTGGGAATTAGTTAAGCAATAGTCCTGTTTCTGCTCTTAGACATTTATTAACTAATGGGGCGAGGGGAGACTATGCACAAACATGACAGAAATCCTAACATTTTTGCTTTTTCTATGTGGAAGAAAGTACCTGTCCCAAAATCAACTGTAATTTGGGGGTTTTAGCTAAATTACCTTACATAAATAAAATACTACGAATTCTCCCTGCAGAAAGAAAAATCAGGCAAGTGTTCAGCATTTAGAAAATAAACATTTATGTGCTTTTATTTTAATTAATATTGTATGACTATAAGAGAATCTGAATTACTTGTAGTCTTAATATCATATAATATTTTCCCCAAAGTATTTCTAAATGGAAATTTTATTAAATGCAAATTACACAGCATAATGTAGTTGCTGTGATTGTCACAGCAATCAATGAGATTTTTGCTTTCTGTTTAAGGTGTTTTAGTTTCCTAGGGCTGTCATAACAAAGTGTCACAAACTGGTGGCTTAAGACAACAGAAATCTATTGTCTTACAGTTCTGGAGGAGAGCAGTTGAAAATCAAGGACCAGCCTGAGCAACATAGCAAGACCCCAGTCTTGAACTCCTGATCTCAAATGACCTGCCTGCCTCAGCCTCCCAAAGTGCTGGGATTACAGGTGTGAGCCACCACGCCTGGCCAAGACCCCATTCTCTTTTTTTTTTTTTCTTTTCTTGAGACAGAGTCTCACTCTGTTGCCCAGGCCAGAGTGCAGTGGTGCAATCTCGGCTCACTGCAAGCTCCGCCTCCTGCAAGACCCCAGTCCCTAAAAAAAAATTGTTCGGAAAATTAGCCAGGTGTGGTGATGCACGCCTGTAGTCCCAGCTACTTGTGTGGTGGAGGGCTAAGGCTGGAGGATCACCTGAGCCCAGGAGTTCAAGGCTGCAGTGAGCTATGACTGTACCACTGCACTCCAGCCTGGATGACAGTGAGACTCTGTCTCAAAAAAAAAAAAAAGTCCAAAATCAAAGTGTTGGCAGGACTGTGCTCCCTCTGAAACCTGCAGGGGAAAATTCTTTCTCTCCTTTTCCTGGCTTCTTGTGGTTGCTGGCAGTCCTTGGCATTCCCTGGCTTGCAGCTGTAGCATGCCCATCTCTGCCTCCATTGCCACATGGCCTTCTCCCTGTGTGCCTGTAACTTCATATCGCATTTCCCCCTTCTTCTACGGACATCCATGAAACCATTCTGTTTTTCACTTTCAGTGCAGTATTCAATAAATTACATGAGATATTCAACACTTCATTATAAAATAGGCTTTGCGTTAGATGATTTTGCCCATCTATACACTAATATAAGTGTTCTGAGCATGTTTAAGGTAGGCTAGGCTAAGTGATGACATTCAGTAAATTAGGTGTGTTCAATGCATTTCCAACTTAACGATATTTTCAATTTATGATGAGTTTATCGGATGTAACCCCATTGTATTGTAAGTTTCGGAACATCCTGCAGTATAGAATCTCATCCCACCATTCTTTCTACTAACTAGCAGGCTGATGTTGGGTGAGATATTGTCACTTTCCAGGACCGGAATTTCCTAATCTATAGAATGAAGGAGTTGGTCCAAGTGATTTGTCTCTTCTGGTCCCCCTTGTCCATTTACAGATTCTCCAACTTTCTTTTTTTCTTTTTTTTTTTTTTTTTTGAGATGGAGTCTCGCTCTTTTTGCCCAGGCCGGACTGCAGTGGAGCTATCTCGGCTCACTGCAAGCTCCGCCTCCCGGGTTCACGCCATTCTCCTGCCTCAGCCTCCCGAGTAGCTGGGACTACAGGCGCCCGCCACCGCGCCAGGCTAATTTTTTTTTTTTTTTTTTTTTGTATTTTTAGTAGAGACGGGGTTTCACCGTGTTAGCCAGGATGGTCTTGATCTCCTGACCTCGTGATCCACCCGCCTAGGCCTCCCAAAGTGCTGGGATTACAGGCGTGAGCCACCACGCCCGGCCCACATTCTCCATCTTTCATACTTTTCCAGTAGCTACAATTAAGCTCATAGCATTGCAACTTCAGATTTTACAGAATTTTAAGACCCGGGAGCACCACAAAAGTTCATAAACTCTTGGTCTGCCGATAGAGCCCATCATAGAAGGAAGGTGAGAGAGGCAGAATGTCTCCCACCTTTCAAGGGGAGTGGGACACCGTTGGCTTGAGGACTGGACAATTCTTTGCTGTGTGGGACTGTCCCATGCAGTGCAGGATTTTTCTTATCCCTAGGCTGGGCTCCAGTTCCCACTCCACCACTCATTATGGCCACTCAAATACTCCCACACACATTACCAGCTGCCCTATCGGTGGGCAACATCATGACTTTGAGAACCAAAATCCAAGAGATGTAAAAAGCAGATGTAGCCCAGTTGACTAGAGGAACCTATTACACAGCACCTGTTATAATTTATGATCACTAAATATTTACAACCATACAAAAAGCCCTCCCACCTGTCTTGTGCCTTCTCTTCACCCAGATCGTGTCTTCTCACACTTCCTTCCCAGATAGTTTCCTCCTTCTCCCCTCTGGGCCTCCAAGCATGCATCCTTCCAGAAATGGCCTGAGGTCACAGGAATGTTCCTTCCTTCCCCACTGCTGCTGTTGCTGGTAATTATCCCAGCCACCTTCCTAAGTACCCATCCACCTGAGGAAGGAGAAAAGGAGGGGCACTTAGGGAAGCACCATCTATGTCAAATCAAAACCTGACTATGGCCAAATCTAAATAGTCAATAGGTGTCTACACTGGTAGAGATGTTGAAAAGTAAAAAGACACTCCTGCCTCTCAGCTGTCTATCTTTCACCTGGAGCCATAAACTGTATCTCTTCCTTAACTAGGCATTTCCTGTGCTCAGTAACTCAGCACCCTTGAACAGCACTTATCTCTACAATGAGCATTGCACATCAAATTGCCCTGCCCCTTGTGACCTCTGAGATGTCACTACTCAGGGGTCCCTGAAGGACGTGGTTAATGACACAGAGGTGGGACACAGAGGACGTGGCCTTGGGAAGTCTGGGCTGGCAAAAGGAGACAGAGGATAATAAAACAAAAATTCAACACTAAAGAAAAAATAATAGTGAGTGTTCAAAGCAGTGGTCATTAACCTACATCTTCTTCTCTTCTCCCTCATTCTGCTGTCAATTCCTGGAGGAGAGTTTGTCTTGCCCACCACTATATTTCCACACCAGGCACCCTGTGTGGCACCCAATAGTCTCCAGTCTCAATGACATCTTTTATTTTCTCCAATTCACAAAGCTCTTTCCTATGTTGAGCCTTAGCACAAGCTAAGAACATCCAATTTGGAGCACTTTCTCTTTTTAAATGATGAACTCCTTCTTTTAATTCACAGCTTCAGTGTGAGCTCCTTGAAAAGCCCTTTCTTCATTTAAAGCAAAGTACACACACACACACGTGTGCACACACACACATACTCTTATGTGCACACACACACACGGGTTACTCTTTATTCTAGCGTCCTGCTTATCTTCTCCATAGCCCATATGACAATTTATAATTATTTATTTGTTTGTTTCTTGTATAGAAATTTGACTGCAAGTTCTAGGAAGGGAAAATCCATATCCATCCTGTCCGTCTTTCCAACAATTAGCACATCCAAGGCACTCAACAGATAATAGTTTAAAGAACAAAATAATAAATATATAAAATCAGAATTTAATAAACCTATACAAAATTTTAATTCTATGTTACATAAGAAATTAGCTTTAAATAAAAGTGGCATCTTAGACCAATAGTGGAAAAGTGCATTATCCAGTAACTGTCTAGGATTGACTGAATAACAAAAACTAAGCTGACTCCCTTTGATATAGTTTGGATGTTTGTCCCCTCCCTATCTCCTGTTGAAATGTAATTCTCAATACTGGATGTTGGACCTGGCAGGAGGTGTTGAATCATGGGGGTGGATCCCTCATTAATGGCTCGGTGCCATCCCTTTGGTGATAAGAGAGCTCTTGCTCTGCGTTCACACATGATCTGGTTGTTGAGAAATGTGTGGCACCTCTGCACTTCCTCTCTTGCTCCTGCTCTTGCCATGAGACATACTGGTTCTCCATCACTTTCCTCCATAATTGTAAGCTCCCTGAGGCCCTCCAGAAAGGAAGCACCATGCTTCCTATACAGCCTGCAGAACCATATGCCAAAATAAAACCACTTTTCCTTATAAATTACCCAGCCTCCGGTTCTTTCTTTATAGCCATGAAAGAACAGCCTAACACACCCTTCCTTCCTTAATGTATGTCAAAATCAATTCCAGATGAATCAAAGATATAAGCCTTTGAAAATTAAGCCATTAAAAGAACTTGGAGGAACACTTATGCAAGAAGATTTAAGCATCTTAATGCAGAAATGGTTTTTCTAAGCAAGTCAAAAATAAAAGACTGATATATTTGAATACATCAGAGCTAATACTTTCTTCACATATATACCCTCAAAACAAACAAAGACAAAAGATAACAAACTGGGGAAAAATAATTGTTACACTTCATGAAGGCCTAGATTTTATTATAAATAAAGTGTTTTACAAACAAATAATGAAAATACTAATAACTCAAAAGAAAAATAAAGACCACAAACAAGCAAACCACAGAAAAAAATACACAAATGGCTTTAAAGAAATGGGATATACAATTTCCAGGATATCAAATGAAAGAAATGTAAATTTAATAAAACACCATGTTTTTATCTTTGAAGTTGGCAGAAATGACAAAGTTTGACAATATTTAGTGTTAGCCAATATGTAGGGAAAATCACACTGGTATATTCATATAGTGGGAGTGAAATTTTCATTTTTTTAAAGTAAGCCTCATGGATCAGCTGGTCTTTAAGAGTGGTCCAGCATTTTATGTCAGTGTGGAGGACAACTTGGCAACAGCTATCAGAATTTTCAGTGCACATAGTCTTTAGCCAGCAACTCTATTCTAAGATTTTATTCTACAGATAAGAAAGCACAACAAAGATGTGTATGAGATATTCATGCAAAAGATCAAAAACAATCTAAATGACCTTCAACGGTAGACTGATGAAATAAGGTTTGGTTCATATCCATAACAGTTGACTACATGGCCACTGAAAAAGAAATGTGCCAGTGTCAAATATCTCTTTAGTATATGAAATATACACTATATTAAGTGAAATAAGCAAGGCACAAAAAGACAAATATCACATGTTCTCCCTTATAACAAATATCACATGTTCTCCCTTAAATGTGGGAGCTAAAAAATTGATCACATGAAGGTAGAGAGTGGATAGATGGAGAAAAGAGACTGGAAAGGGTGAGTTGCGGGGGAAGAGGAGAAGTGGGTTAAAGGGTACAAACACACACTAAGATGGAAGGAATAAATTCAGTGTTGGATAGTAGAGTACGGTGGCTGTACTCAACAGAAATCTATTGTACTCAGGCAAACACTCTCAATACCCTGACTTGATCACTACTCATTATATGCATGTAACAAAATGTCTTATGTACCACATAAGTTTGTACAAATAAAAAAAGAAACATGTTGTAATAATCTCAGAAAAAAAAAGGAAAGACAAGAAATATGCAAGGCATGGAACAGAATACATTGTACAAACCCATTTGGTGAGGAAGAAAAGACAAGTTGGATCAAGATAAACAGAGAGGTAGGTAACTAGACAGGCAGACCGACGGACATAGCTGAATATGCATGGACCACTTCAGGAAGGACTCACGGAAAACCTCTGGGGGAAGGAAAAAGGAAGTCAGTAGGCCGACTTTTCACAGGACCTTTATGTATTATTAGAAACAAATTTACCATCTGCACATATTACTTTTTAAATTCAAAACTCAGTAAAATTTTTTAAATGATCTAGTGTAATGCAATGTAGCCTTCGAAAAATTCTCTGTAATAATAATAACAATGTTAGTAAAAAATAGTAATATTTTTCTATTTGGTTAATGCTTTCATTACTAAAAGGCATAATATTTTAAATGAACACCAGAATATGAAAGAATAACTCAACAATTCAGAAGTGAGGCAGGTTTAGTCTTTTAGGTGGGAAGAAGCTATTCAACTTTAAAAGCCTAAACTTTATTTATTAAGAAGTATATTATTTTAAAAACATGGGTACCAAGGAAACCTGGGCAGTCTAAGTTTATCTGTAGCTAGAGCCACTCCCTACCCATCCCCAACAATGTATTCAAATTCAGTGCCAAAAGTTACTTATTAAACACAAGAGATATTATGTCCGGGGGGAAAACTGTTGTAAACTTTGCCTGTAGGAGGACTGATCTCTTGATGAAATACAGAAAAACCATCTCAGAAAAAGGAAAATGGGCAATCGTCATGTAAGTACTCATTGCCTTTGGGAATTGGTTTTAATTTTGGTTAGCATGTGGAAGAATTTAAACTATAAAATCATGACTGATACTTGTATACTTTATCACTATGGTTACCCTTTAATATTGGTTTTAGCAACAGCATACCATGCTTTTAAAATGCATTGAGGCCGGGTGCGGTGGCTCACACCTGTACTCCCAGCACTTTGCAAGGCCAGAGTGGGCGGATTACTTGAGGTCAGGAGTTTGAGGTCAGCCTGGCCAACATGGTGAAACACTGTCTCTACTAAAAAAATTAAAAAAAAAAAAAAAGTTAGCTAGGTGTGGTGGAACATGCCTGTAGTCCCAGCTACTCAGGAGGCTGAGGCAGGAGAATCATTTGAACCTGGGAGGCGGAGGTTGCAATAAGCCGAGATTGCACCACTGCACTCCAGCCTGGACTACAAGAGTGAAACTCCGTCCCAAAAAAAAAAAAAAAAAAGCACTGGGGATATATTATTCCCTTATTGGCCAAAAATCTCTTAAGAGGGGCTAAAGAGAAAGAAGTATGTAAAATAAGGCAGTAAATAGTGCCTTGCAGAGAGCAAATGGTTAATATGTATCTGTAGAATGTATAACTAAAGCTGTTAGTTTGTAGCAAATTTGTATAAAACTTCATAAACTAAGCCCATTCAGAGTTATGTGGGAAAGATAGGTTCATGTTGCAAATATTAATAGACCAAGGTAAATACTCATGTAAGTCCACACAACTTGGATTGCAAGGTGAAAATATTCCATTATTATTTCTAAACATCCACATATTTGCAAATATCCATGGAATGGACTTAATAATTTACATTTCTTTTGAAATGTTTAGGCTCCTGAATAGTGTGTCTATAAATAGTTAATGACTAAAAACTGACTAAAACACTACCTTTTGGAACCAACTACACACAGGACAGATCAGAGTTGAATCTTGAATATTTTTTACATTGAAGTATATCTAAAGCTATTCCAATACAAATCTTAATAAGGTTTTGTGTACCTGCTGTAAATTTCCACAGCAAGAATGATATATTTCATGCACACTATGAGCAGAGAATAAAACTCCAAAACTTTCTGTAAACTGTTACTTTGTCTATAAGGTTTTTCCTTCGCTATATATTCAAGCTGCACTCAGATGTTTACAAACTTACAAATATATTCTTAGGAAAGGCATTGTTTTTCAAATCATCTACAAATAGCATTTTCATACCAGCAGAGATTATGAGCCATCCGTTCAGTGTATCTTTCAGAGAAACTGAAGCCTATTTTTCAAATATTTCTGATAGATGCAGAGGACCCCAGGAATAATCAATGGACCCTGCATTCACAGCTTAGGAGGATAATTTTGTCTTTTGAAAGTCAACCTAGGGAGCAGCTGGCCTTTAGGAGTGGACCAGCATTTTTATGTATTTTTTTTTAATCCTCAGAGCCAGTCGTACACCCTCTCAGAAGGCAGTCAACAGTTGCCTAAAGGGGACTCCCAACCCTCGACAGTCGTGCAGCCTCTCAGCCACCCATCACGGAATGGAGAGCCAGAGGCCCCACAGCCTGTAAGCACTTTATTTTCCCCCCAAATCATAGGTATGACCCCTGCTCTGTCATGGGGCCAATATGAGCCCCCAGTGATCTGTCATGTTGGACCCTCCACCAGCCACCAGCCATCATCAGGTGTGACTTCCAAGCAGGGAAATCTTTCCCTGCAAAAAGTTTGTTACTGTATTTACAGGTAATGTAAAAATGAACTCTTCTAGGGGCTTAGTTTCTGTTCCCAACAGTGTCTCATTAACAACTCCTTGAAATCAAGCACATGAGGCTACACCAGGACCACTATGACATTTCAGAAAATAGTAAAGGAACTCAACATGTGCACAAAGAATGAATACATGTAAAAAAGTAAATACAAAATCTTTTTAAAGAACAAAAAACTATCCCAGTAATGGCTTAACTTATTTGCATTAGAAAGTTACTTGAATATGTACAAACAAAACTAGAATGCTGGTGGTTTTGAAACAGCTACACAACCAAAACAAATATATAAATTAAATGATAATGTTATAAGTCAATGCTGTTTAAATGTATGTCATCAACATAGTGTAATAGACAATGTTATTTTGTTGAGATTCAATAGCTGTGCTCAACATGAAATGGTCCCAATGGCTATAATGCTGGGTTTGTTTTTTTTTTTTTTTTTGAGTTTTACTTGGTTTTTGTTTTGGTTTGGTTTGTTTTCTGAATCTCAGCAAATCTAAAATATGATGTGGTATGTGACTTCTGAGTTCTTTTATCATATTTCTCTATTGAACCTACTGAGACACTTTTGTTTGTAAGCCTCCTTGTAATGCCGTGGGACCTTCTCTCGGCTTACACACATGGTGTTTCTATTAAATCTCCCTCTGTTCACTCTTCTTTCATCATTAGCCTGCAATTATTGAAGTATGGCTGTTTGGCATATAAACAATCGTAAATACAAACACAAATGCAGACATTTAAATCATGAGCCAGGACTTGGTCATCTTGATGATCTAGGATGCTTTATATTAATTTTTAAGTTATTATCAGCATGAAATGCAAAAGACTCCTAGAAAAGTTTTTATTCCCCCAAGAATATGTCCACAGACCAGGGCCCATAGATAATTGACAACTATTATTGCAGAGCCAGTAGAATATTGGCCAGGAAATTGCATTTTTCAAGGTACTATCATCTGAAATCCTAACCAATCCTGAAACGAAAATTACTTTTGTGCTATCCTCAATTCTTTTGCCACTATTAATGATTTTTTTGAACCAAAGACCTAGTGTTTGTAACTAACCTATGTGGAGCAGCAGTAACCAAGATACTGGGTCATTATCATCCGCCAAATCACACAATGTTCAAAGAATTTCCTTATCCTGGAGGACATGTCCTTGTGTCCAGTGAGCTTTGCAGGTAGAGTGTACACAGAGAGAAAGATCAGATCAGTGGAAAAATCTGCTTAGGTTTAGCTAGATGACTCTTCTATTGTCTGGGTTTTCACAAGAATCACTATCTAGGGAAAAATACAGAAGTGAGATCAATATTAAGATTACTTTACCACGGGAGTGTGGCTATAGGATATGTGCAGAATGACAGAGGGAGGGAGACCTAGTAGAGCCATTGATAAATGTGGAAATAATCACAAACTCAAATGGACTCATGATTTCTGGGAAATTACTTGCAAGGCTAATGAACAGGCAATAGAAAGGACTACAGCCCTGCTACTCAAAGTATGGTCCCTGGATTTGTAGCAGCATCCACATTGCGTGGGCACTTGTTAGGAATGCAGATGCTCAGCCCACTCAGATCTATTGAATCATAGTCTGCATTTTAACAGACTCTTCAAGTGATTTTCAGGCACATTAAAATCTTAGAAGCACTGGACTATGGAACGCGTTGTCAAACTTGCCTGCATTGAGATCACCTGAGGAGTTCTAAAAGCCACCGATGCCTGGGTCCCAGCCCTAGAGTCTGAATTAATTGGTCTGGTGGTTGTCCTGCGCATCAGGGTTTGTAAGTGCTCCCCAGGTGGCTCTAATGTGCAGCAGAGTTTGAGAAACACTGGACTGTAGAATATGGCTAACCTTTCAAGAAGAGCTCTGCACACTGGGGACAAAGGCAGATGGTCATTGCACATGCTCCTAACTGAAAACCGATTTGTAAATGTTAGAACATCTGTTCAGTGGTCTGCCACGTTGTTTGTGAACATGCCAAGTTTATGACTTGCTTGTGCCAATATTTAGCCAACATAAATATTGTCTCCAGTGGAGAACAGTTTGGGACTTGTGGCAGGTGAACACCAGGCAAGGTGAACACTCAGATGAACGTGGACAAAGAACATCTGAAAGCTGCATGACAAGTGGGGAAATAGATCCAGATTCCTGAGAAAAGAAGACAGGCTCTGGAGGCAGGTGAAATATGGCTGAGAATTTGAAATTAAAATAAGTATGGTCTTAACCAAGGGTGTGCATTAAACTGTGATCCCAAATCCAGAAGACCCATGATCAAGCCCTAGCAGAAAGCAGTCTAGATCATTTCAAAAGACTTAAATAAATAAATAAGATCCTTATTTATTTATTTATTTAAGATCATCTTAAATAAATAAGATTAGGAAATATTACTTTTTTTTGAGACAGGGTCTTGCTCTGTTGCCCAGGCTGGAGTGCAGTGGCACAATTATGGCTCACTGCAGCCTCAACCTCCCTGGTTCAAGCAATCCTTTTACCTCAGACCTCCAAGTAGGTGGGACTACAGGCATGTGCCATCATGCCCAGCTAATTTTTTTAAAGACGGGTCATCCTATGTTGCCCAGGCTGGTCCCAAACTCCTGGGCTCAAGCGATCCTCCCACCTCAGCCTCCCAAAGTTCTGGGATTACAGGTGTGAGCCACTGCACTTGACCTCAGGAAATCTATTATCCCAGAAAGTTAGTCCTTCAGAATGCCACTGCAAAAGTGTAGGAGGAAGTGAAAAGGGCCTTTGATGTCAAAGCATGACATGCACCAATGCATACCTTCTTCATTTAAAGACAAGTCTCTGAAGGGTAGCTACATTTTAGGTACAATTATGCAATCTTGGCCTTTTGGATATTTTGTCTATGGTGGATGCAAAAAAAAAAAACAAACCAGCCATTGTAAGGAGGTGGTAAGAAGTCGGCAGAGGACAGATACACTGATAGAAGGAAGAACATGTTAAATGAAACCTCAACACAAGAATTCTAGAGCCGCGGGAGTCTGGAGCCACTTGGTGCAGGGGAGAGAATCCTGCATGTCCCAGCAGCGTGAGCCCACCTCCCAGTGCTACAGCCACAGCAACAGGAACCAAAACTAAAACTCCCAGTGGTGATGGTTGTAACTGGAAGTTTAAACGAGATCTTCTGAAATGTTAATGATAATAACTGACATTTATAAAGTGCTTACTAGACTGTGGGCTGTTTTGAGGGTGTGAACAGTGACCCTGGAAGTTTGAGTCCTTCACGCCACCAAGCACTTCACATGTGTTACGTCATTTGGTCTTCACAACAATCCTATCAGGGAGATACTATTATTAGTCCCCTTTTAAATATGGGGAAAGTAAGGCAAAGAGAGTTTAGGTAAATTGTTCCTAGTTGGACAGCTAGTAAGAGGTCAAGCACAGATTTGGATTTAGGCACAAATTTTTAACACTATGCCTTGGGTTCAATAAAGCTTCTTTTTACGCCAAATAGAAGATTAACCTATTGGGATTTCTGAAACTGTTGAACTGAATCATCACCTCGTCATCTCTTTAGCCCCTTCCCTGAGCTTTCTCCATCCCCTGCCCCCCAAGCTGGATTGGATGCTCTTCCTTAAGGCTTCCATAGTTCTCTCTGCATAACTATTACTCCACTCCCATGTGGTTTTAGAACCATCTGGGTTTTTTGTTTTTGTTTTGTGTTTTGAGACAGGATCTCGCTCTGTGGCAAAGGCTGGAGTGCAGTGTCACAATCACTGCTCACTGCAGCCTCAGCCTCTCGGGGTTCTCCTACCTCAGCACCCCCATACCCCCAAGTAGCTGGGACCACAGGCGAGCATGACAACGCCCAGCTACTTTTTAATTTTTTGTAGAGATGGGGGGTCTTCCTATGTTGCTCAGGCTGGTCTAGAACTCCGGGGCTCAAGAATCCTCCAACCTCAGCCTCCCAAAGTGCTGGGATTGATTACAGGTGCGAGCCACTGTGCCCAACAGAACCACCTGTTTTGTATACCTGCCTCACACTGGACTGATGGTTTCCTGAAGGTAGAATTGTATTTTGTTCACCTATATATCCCCATCACCAACACAATGCCTGCAGCATGGTAGATGCTTAATAAAATTTGGATAAATTCATCAATGCATTCATTGCATTTTCTAAATAAATCTTAAACAAATCAGTGTTTTGCCCAGTTGGAGTTCAAATTCTTATATCTATTTACATTCCCAGACCAATTCATGCGCAAGGCCCTGGCGTCTGTATATTTTTAAACTCCCCAAATGATTCTAATGTATCCAAAGTTGAGAGCCACGAGTCTAACGTCAGGTATTCTAGTGCAGTAGTTTTCAAATGAGGTCTCCCAGGCCCGCATCATTGGTATAATCCAGGATCTTGTTAGGAATGCAAATTCTGGAGCCCCACCCCAGATCTACAGAATCAAAAACTCTGGAGATGGGATCCAGCAATCTGCATCTGAACAAGCCTTCCACGTGAAACTGATATGTGCTCAAGTTTGAGAATGACAGTTGAAGCATAAGCCTTTCCCATGCCCAGGCTGGGGCTGTGCCTCAGCATTGACTATGGGGAACTCCCACCATTCAACCTACAGAGATGCCCAGATGATGGCATTGAAACCCGGGTTAGCACCACACCTGCCTCCTCAGGCTTCTCACCCGGAATGCAGCCCGGAGAACTCCCCCATTCTGCTCATTTCCCCACCCCACCCAGGGTTCCCTCTCTCCCTGCTGCCATGTAAGATGTGACTTTGCTCCTCCTTCACCTTCTGCCACAACTGTGAAGCCTCCCCAACCATGTGGAACTGTGAGTCCATGAAACTTCTTTCCTTTATAAATTACCCAGTCTGGGGTAAGTCTTTATTAGCAGCTTGAAAATGAGCTAATACAGACAGCAATAATTGGATTTAGGAAATACTCTAAATCCAGGATGATTTCATTTTGAGATCCTTAACTAATTACATCTACAAAGACTCTCTTTCCAAATAAGGTGAATTCTGCGGCTGTGAGTAGACATGAGTTGGGTGAGGGGGTGGGGGTGATACTGTTCAACCTACGACACTAAGGAAATTAGATTTTATTTCCTTAGGCCAGCAGTGATTTTAAACTTCAGCACATTAGAGTTCCTTGGAAGGCTTTCTTAAATGGAGAGTTGGGTCCAACCCCCAGAATGTTGATTCAGTAAATCTAAGGTGGAGCCCGAGAGTCTGCATTTCTGAGTTCCCTGGTGATGTTGGTACTGCTGGTCTAGGAACTACACTTTGAGAACTGCTGCCTTAGGCATAGGGAAGCCCAAGTCAGAATCAGACAAGGGAGTAACAACTTGAGTGCTGCTTTTAGCTAGACCATGCTGGAAGCTAGTGGAGAAGGGCTTGGAGAGAAACATGACTAGAGGCAAGTCAAGCACTTCGGAAGCAGTGGCCCTGGAGAGAAATGAAGACCCTCTGCCACCCTCCACCCTCATCGGCTAAAATAGCAACAATGGAACTGGGGAGAAGGTAGATCTGAGTCAAACGAACATAACTTGCTAAGTGGATGTGGGAGGTGAGGGAAAGGAAGACGACAGAGTGACTCCAGGTGTCTTGTCTAGTTTGTGTGCACAGGTGGATGGTGGCACATCCCAGGGATGTAAGGCAGTGACAGATTGAATTTGGTTTGGGGATCTATAGAGTTTGAGATATCTTTGCGAAGTATGAGTTCACAGTTGTTTTTGTTTGTTTGTTGGACAATTAGTATGTGTTTGATCGAAAGTAGCACACCACAGGACTCACTTTGGCTTAAATAACAAAGACATTTAATTGTCAATTCTAACAGGAGCTCTGAATTAAGCTGATTCCAGTGTTGGTTCAGCAGTTCAGTACATCATTAGGGACCCAAGCTATGTCTGCCTTTCTGTCAGACATACTCTGGATGTATTAGCAATGTCTCCCCACCTAGGTGCAAGATAACTGTCATGTGTTCAAGTTAATGATCTCTCAAGATAGTCACAAGCAAGAAGGAAGCAGATAGAGGGAAAAAATACCTTCTTGCTTATGTACATCTCCCCTATCAGGGAGGAAAATCTTTCTGCAAAGCTCCAAGCAGCAGACATCCCTTTCTATCTCACTGGCCAGAACTGGTCAAAAGCCCAACCCAAGACTGGCAAAGAGGAAGAGGAGAGCCTTGAATCATAATTCATCCCTGAGGCTGAACAAATCATCTTCTCAGTTCTCTCTCTCTTCTTTCTATGTGTTGGCCTCTTTCTCTCCTACTGAAAATAAGCTTTTTGTTTTCCTCGTATGGGAAGCAAAAGGGGCTGGTGAGAGGGAGGCATGGCCATAGATAGTTCAGGCACCAAGAGAACTCCATGGCCTCACATAGCTCCAGATTAGCAGCCTCAAGGAAAATCTCTTCTTTCTCTAAGTATCTGTAAGATGTCAGGGAAGAATTCCAGTTGGCTTGGGTCATGGACCTACCCTGTGAATAATCATAGTAAGTAAGGTTGGCCTTATCTTTATCATCACCGCTTTCTTATAACTATTATATTTATTAATATACTACTGCTATTACTACTACCACTACTGATACTAATACTACTAGATGGACTGAAATAGAAGGAGGATGCAAACTTGAAAATCAGATAGAAAGGGAGAAAATAATTCTCTTTCCAAATAATGGGGACTTGGATGGTTGTAGTAGGAATGAAAAGGAAGATAAAATGTTAAAGATAATTTTAAAGAAATAATAGACTAAAAATTAATTAATTAACTAAAAGAATTAATTTTTTTGGATCCAATGCATAAACTCTTCTACCAAGGGAAAGAATAACATTCATTGTTTTGATACTGATTGAGACAGAAATTTGCTCAAAGCAAATTTAGCTATTTTACCTTGTTTCCTTTTCAGCAAATCAGAACTTGTCCACATACTGTTGACTGCATCCTGCTACACAGCACATTTGATGCCATGAAGGCCCCGCTCAGCCCCCAATATTCTCACTTTTCAATTCCATCTGCCCACTTATCATTGACTCTTGAGGATTCCAGAGTACACTTGCTACCTTTTTTCCTGCAAGTAATGAATCCCATGTTCATACTCTCATTGAATTGGCAAAAGACGACCTTTGGCAATATAAGAAGGAAATGGATCATTCTTTTCTAATGAGAAACGTGCTTCATTTTTCATAACTCCTGAAAGCATGGTTCCTTTCACGGTTGAGAAATATCCATCATCTCCACACAACCACTTTATCCTCCAAGTTCTCTTTTGTTGATGCAATACAGTGGTAATTGGATATCTGGAAGTTTAGCACTCTTCAGAGGTCTCCAACTCCCCAAACAATCTGTGGACAACCTCAAAGCAGACAGTCATTTTCCCCAGGACACAAAATCTTGTTTCCACATAATGAATGTTATTCTGCCTCTACTAGAAACTCCAAGTTCTCCAGCCCAACACAGCACTCAAGGGCCCCTAAGAATGAGTCAACAGAGAGATGTCACTTGGGCACGTTGCCCTGCCGGTATAGGCTGGGATGTTCACAACAATCTTGATGCAGACAAAGAAGCAGGAGGTGACAACAGGTTTCTCACTTTGAACTGATCTCAGCTCACACCTTCCTCCTAGTTACCTTATCTCAGCACTCATCTTTCAGATTTGTCATCTGGGTTTCTTTGCAAAAAAATTAAAGAATGTAAGACATCATGGTCCATTTCTATTCTTCCCTTTTAAGTTACCACAGCAATTTGCCCTTGGTGACTGGAGGCCTTGCTTTAGTCAGCACCTGTGTGCCGTTTACCACCAGAGGCTTGGCCTTCTCCACACTTTTTAAAGAGACCCGTTGACAGAATCGTTACAACCATTCAGCCAGGGTTGTGGACCCTTGGCACATTCGTCCTTGGCACTGCTGACATTTGGGACCAGGTAATTATTTGTGTGTGTGTGGGCGGGGGGAGGGGGGCTGTCTGTTCTGTGCATTACTGAAGGATGTTTAGCAGAATCCTGGCCTCTATCACTAGATATTCCAGTAATACTCCCCTACTCGTGCCAACTGAAAATGTCTCCAGACATTGCCAATTGTCTCCTGGGAGACAAAAATCGCTCCTGGTTTATTGAGAACCACCGCTTAAATGGGAAAACAAGGCTCCAGGGCAGATGTCCTCAGAATGTCTTTATGTCACTGGATCTCCACCAGAAATCACCATTCCTGCCCTTCTGGCCCAGGCATGTCCCTACACTGATTTCTTCTCTTATAACAGAGAAAAGTCAGCTTCTCCTGAAGATTGACCCTTATCCTCCTGTTGATGACAGCAGCAGCCAAGAGGCAGCAGTTTTTCTCAAAACTGTTAGCCCATGAGTAACAACTTCTTCTTTTTTAAAAATTCTTTATTTCTGTAGGTTTTGGGGGAACAGGTGGTATTTGGTTACATGAGTAAGTTCTTCAGTGGTCATTTGTGAGATTTTGGTGCACCCATCACCCGAGCAGTATACACTGAACCCTATTTGTAGTTTTTTATTCCTTACCCTCTCCCACCCTTTCCCCCAAGTCCCAAAAATCCATTGTATCATTCTTATGCCTTTCCGTCCTCATAGCTTAGCTCCCACTTATGAGTGAGAACATATGATGTTTGGTTTTCTGTTCCTGAGTTACTTCACTTAGAATAGTATTCTCCGATCCCATCCAGGTTGCTGCAAATGCCATTAATTCATTCCTTTTTATGGATGAGTAGTAGTCTATTGTATATATATACCACAGCTTCTTTATCCACTCATTGATTGATGGGCATTTGGGTTGGTTCCACACTTTTACAATCGCAAATTGTGCTGCTATTAATATGCATGTGCAAGTATCTTTTTCATATAATGACTCCTTTTCCTCTAGGTAGATACCCAGTAGTGAGATTGCTGGATCAAATAGTAGTTCTTATACCAGAGTGAGAAGGGTTTCACTGCAGAAACCCTCAGTAAAAAGGCTGCTGGGCTGCTGGATTTCCTGCCTAGATGAGCAGTGCTCCCCTGGAAAGACACAGGCTGGAACCTTCAGGAGCTGATTGGCTCACCTCTCCTCTGTTTGGGTGTAGCCCCCAAAAGGGCTACCCCACTTGGACTCCCTATACCACAGCTCAGTGCATGGCAGGATGCCCACATTGTTTACACTCCTGAGGATACCATCAGTACCTTCAGGTACAATGGTGCCCACCAGTTTAAGGCACAGCATATTGAAGGGCCTTCAAGTCAGGTCTCCTAACTCCTACCCAGCCCTGCAGTCACCTTTGATAAGTAAATATCACATCAACACGTGTAACCCAGATGGCATAGCCTAAGGAAGCTTGTCTTTCTGGAAAATGACCTAACTATACCAATCTTCATTAAAAGGTGCTGAAATGCCAACATGGAAGCAATCCCAAATGTAATAGAAAGGTCATGTTTTAATCTAAAGAACTGAACTCATTTTTCAGAACATACAGTCAACATATGCAAGCAAATCATGTTGAGCTGTGATCCAAATGGATGTTTTTCTAGTTTTAGTTTTAGTTGTTAAATGATACAAATATTTCTGCCCCTTTAGAGTGATAGCCAAACACTTAGTCATCATGTAAGTCACTGTAATACTGCATCTTGGAAAGGAGGTATCAACAGCAATGAACAACTCTGTAACATTCCAGCACCCTACTAAGGTGGGCAGAGCTCAAGTTTCCTAACACACTTTCCCAACAGCTCTCTGATCAACCCCCGCAGATTAATAAACTTCTAATGTGGGAAGAGGTTCTAGGCATGAAGGAATTGGCTTGCTTTTAGTCGGTGTGAGATCCTGGAGAATCCTAATGAAAACAGCAATAACTACATGATGAAATACCAAATATTCGTATTCAAACTGTGCTTAAATATACCCAACAGGGTATACTGCCAAATATATTTTTTTCTGTTGGGTAGTTTTATGACTTAATGAAACCAATATGTCACTAATCACCCAAGATTCATGCTTCAGATGTGAATGGCCCCTCTATTTTGTTTCAAATTGCTCATCAATCTCTACTAACCATGTCTGTGGAAATGTCACCAGGATATTTTCTGGCTCTGAATTCATGAATGTTAAAAGTACAATAATTTGCATTCATACTAACTGGCTTCAAAGTGCAAATGAGTAACCGGTTAGAGGTAAAAGAACATTGTTCTGAGAGAGATAGGAGATGGATGTTTCCATAAGGTGACCCTGAGCAGGTGACTTAACAACCAGGCTTCAGTTTCTTTATTTGTAAATGATGGGATTGGATACATTCAATGTCTCCCAAACTTCAGATTTAAGTACAACCTTCATGATTGTTGCCAAATATATGGGTTACCTCTTCTACTAATTATTCTATTAATTATTTTTAAATACGCACTTTTTAATATAAATTAATCTTAAAAGGAAATTTTATACTGATACCATAAATGGAAAATTAATGTCAGTTGACATAAATATAGATAACTAAATGAAAGCAAAAAGAATGTATTAAATTCTAACTAAATTTGATGTTGCCAGCTGAAGGGTAAGGTCCTATCCTCTGACTAAAAAAGGACCTGTTTACATGGTCCACATGGGATACAGTGGGAGTCCACAAAGTAAATAATGAGGCTTTGTGGGCCACAGAACCTCTGGTGCAAGTAGGTAACTACTCTGCCATTGTAGCGTGAAAGAAGCCATAGGCCAAATGTAAATGAATGGGTTGGCTGTGTTCCAATAAAACTTTATTTACAAAAATAAGTAATGGGCCAGATATGGTCCTCAGTCTGCAGTTTGCCAACCCCTGGATTAGACGAGTGTGAAAGATCCACTATCACTAAGCAAAGACTTAATCAGAAGAGTTGGGAGAGAATTTTAAAAGGAGTTCCTTTCCTAGCTGGAGGTCCAATGGCTTTAATGCTTTCAGTGTTCCATGTCACCCATTTGGAAAAACCTGGGTTCAATTTTCACTTTAAGATTTCATGCTAAACCTCTTCCCTTTATCTTTAGCATCTTGGATAAGGTCAAGGATTTCTTTCTTGTGTAAACCTTCAGCACATTTCTAAGTTGTCTTCCTCCTTTACCGGGATATCAACAGCGGAAGTTTCTAATTTTTCTCAGACTAACGGTTCTCAACCCTGGCTGCTTGTTAGAATTGTCTGGGGAGTTTTAGAAATATTTATACCTGATATATCCCTGTACCTCAGAGATTCTGATTTCATAGGATCAGACTGGGATCCCAAATGATTTTGAGTGCAATCCGGGTTGAAAGGCTACTAATCTATATCTTGGCAAGGTCACTTTCCTCAGAGTCCATTATTTTCTCCATTTGGTATTAAATTCTAAGAGCCCCAAACTCTATTTAGCTCAAACTGTTTCACACCCGAAGGTCTTAGGACTTCACTTTCATTTGTGATTCCTGTTATTTCTCCAACTGAGGTCTGATTGAGCCCTCCCAGACACCTTGGTTAAATTTACTGTTCCTCTTTTCATTCTCTCTGCTTCATCATTTTGGAAAGCTTGACACTATTCTCAGCTCAAGATTTCTATCCAGATAAGTTTCCTGTTCCATTCTTCTGTCCCTACTACTGCCACTGACTCTGACATTAATACAAACTGGGAGCAAGACCAGGACGCAAAGAAAAGGCATTCAGTGTATTCTGTAACATACAAAGGAAGAAGATTCTTCCTCCCATGGAAAAGAAGATAACATTTACCAAGTACCTACAATGTGTCAAGCATTGTGCTAGGTGCTGGGGATATGAGAGTGAACATGACATAACCTAGCCTCCAAAAGTCTTACAGTCTAGGGAAGGAAATAGACTAATAAAAAAGTATGATAATGTATCTGTTAAAAGATCTGATAGAAGACTCTAGAGTGGAGGGTAGAACAAAAGAGTCAGTGGTGTGCTAGAATATGTCTCACCACCAGCTCTCCAGGAGAAAACAAAAGCCTAATTTGTGGTGCTTGCCAATTTCCGTGGTGTAAATACTTTCACTGTGACTGATTTCAGGTTACCAGCATGATCTCGCCAAGCAGAGTTGGGAGGAGATCACACAATTTGTTCTTGCCAGCTTGCAAAGTCAGCTCCAGCTAGCAGGGCCAACCATCCTGGTTTACCTGGAACTGTCCCAGTTTTAGCACTTAAAGACCCACATTCCAGGGAACCCCTATGTCCTGGGCAATCAAACAGTTTAGCTTCAGCACACCACTGGAAGAATTCGATTCTTCCCAAGAGGATCAGGAATGGTTTCAGAAAGGGGAGGCTTCAGCTTATTTGCTTAAGTAGAAACATTCTCCACTGTTGCCAATGGAATCAATGGCTCTGTGCTGTCAATCTCAAGTTTCTTTGGTCCTCCGAGGACTCAGGAAGTTGCAGGGAGGAATCCACTTGCAGCATTCCCCCTTTTTCCTCCCCCTGCCTCCCACTGATGGGCCCCTTGGGAATCAAACAACTCAGCAATCCATTTGCATAGATTCTGTCAAGCAGGGAGAAGTGATATTTTACCTATAAATATATTTGGCAATTTATCCAGCTGGAAAGCAGGCACCCATCAGAAGAAAGCATATTGGAAACCTTGGCCATCCCACTGGCTTCGTGTCTTTTCAGTCTTCAAAATGTGTCTGCTAAAATTCAGCCCCCTCGTACACTGTAGTCTTTTAGCTATGATCCCTCCTCTACTTGAAGGGAAAGATACTTTAGGAAAGGGAGAACTGGAAGATTGGGTGTGAAATGAGGAGGGAAGGAGAAGGAAGAAGCTTCCTAACAGCCTTTGAAGGGCAGAAGGGCCACTTCCTCCCCTGCCAGCCCTGAGTCATCATAATGAAACCTCCCTGTCCAGCGCTGTGACATTGTCTTATTTAATCTTCCTGAGATTCTTCAGGGTGGGCAGGTATTAGTCCCATTTTACAAATGAGAGGCAGAAAACATGATTCTATTAGCATCAGAAGGAATATTGGGAGCAGAATTTGACAATAGTGCCTCTCCTACATACACACTTTGCTCACTGGGAGATGGCTGTCTGTTTTGCCTTGCAAATAGCGGTGACTTCATTTTTCATTTTACTTTCTATTTTCTCATCATCGAGAATATTTATTGATCCTACAGCTATGCAAGGGGTTCTTGGCTTCTCTGGTCACCGGACAAGTCTCAGGTCTCATCTAGTGTTTCTGTAAAAGACTATCATTCTAAGAGTTGAACTGAGCTTTTCTTTCTTTCTTTCTTTCTTTCTTTCTTTCTTTCTTTCTTTCTTTCTTTCTTTTCTTTTCTTTCTTTTTCTTTCTTTCTTTTTGAGACAGGGTCTCACTCTGTCACCCAGGCTGGAGTGTAGTAGTGCAACCACGGCTCACTGCAACCTCAACTTCCTGGCCTCAAGTGATTCTCCTGCTTCAGCCTCAGCCTCCCAAGTAGCTGGGACTACTGGCACACACCACCATGCCAAGCTAAATGTTTAAAATTTTTTGTAGAGACAGGGTCTCATTATGTTGCCCAGGCTGGTCTTGAACTCCTGGTCTCAAGCAATCCTCCCGCCTTGGCCTCCCAAAGTGCTGGAATTACTGGCATGAGCCACCCTACCTGGCCCAGCTTTTCTATTATTAAATTAAAAATAATAACTATTATTTAGACAATAACCCCAAAAACCCATTAATGAGAAGTCAATAGTAGAGTTTCTGAATCCAGACTGCATGGGTTTGAATCCCTATCTCATCATACTTGTGTGTCTTGGTTTTTCTCATCTGCAAAATAGGAGGTAATAATACCTACCCCATAGGGTTGTTGGGAGAATTAAATGAGTTGCTATTTGTAAACGGTCTGGACCCATGCCCGGCACATATGAAGTGCTCTATATTTTGCTGTCATTCTCAATTTTGAGTTTTCCTCCTATACATCTCTCTTAGAACTTTAGCCCCTGCTACTCTTTTTCTATGAGTACAAAGTGATTTCTAATTTAGGACAAGCTTTTGTAAACAGTCATTTTGAGCTTCCTATAGTAAACTTCCAATTTTAAAGGCACTACACAAAGCACCATGCAAAGGGCTCACTCAACACTCAGCAGGAATCAGGTCAAGATGGAAGAAAGGAATAAAAATAACACTCAGCACTCACCACGTGTTGAATATCCTGCCAAGCGCTCTTGATACATATTCTCCTAACAACCCATACGAGGTGGGTACTATTATTACCATCTTTCAGATGGGAAAACAGCCTTGGAAAAGATACGGAGGAAAAAACAGCCTCGTGCCTGGTTCAAAGGTAGATGTCTGTGAGAGAGGAGGCAGAACTTATGTGACCTCAAAGAAGAACCTTCCCCAAACTGGACTCAGTTTCCTTAAATCTGTAGTATTCTTAAGATCTATACAAGGCAAGTTTACAATGGAATATTATTCAGCCTCAAAAAAGAAGGAAATTCTGCCATTTGTGACAACTTGAACAAACCTGGGGAACATTATGCTAAGTGAAATAAGGGAGAAAAATAAATACTGCATGATTCTACTTACATGAGGTACCTAAAATAGTCAAACTCATAGAAGTAAAGAATAGAACTGTACTTACCAGGGACCAGAGGGAGGGGAAATGAAGCACTGTTCAACTGGTACAAAGTTTTGGTTACGCAAGATGAATTCGTTCTAGAGATCTGGAGTACAGCAAACTGTACCCTATACTTTATTACACACTTAAAAAATTGTTAAGGTCAATTGTTAAGGTCAAGTGCAGTGGCTCATGCCTGTAATCCTAATACTTATGGAGGCCAAGACTGAAGGATCACATGAGGCGGGAGGATTGCTTGAGCCCAGGAGTTCAAGACCAGCCTGGGCAACATAGTGAGTCCCTCTTGCTACAAAAATTTTTAAATATAAAGTATTATTTGTTTAATGGGTTGATGTCAAGTTAAATGTTCTTAACTCACACACACACACACACACACACACACACACACACACACACGGGGACACAGGAAACGTTCATAGCTGATGAAATACTTATTACCTTGATGGTGGTGATGATATTATGAGTGTATGCCTATGTCCAAATTCACCAAATTGTATAATTAAATATACAATATATTTTACAGCAATTATACCTCAGTAAAGATGTTTAAAATATTTTTCAGGAATTTTGAAAAAAAAACTATACAAGGCAAGCTTAATCAGAATCACCAATATTGGCGCAAGGTGCCATTAACCAACAGTGGCAATGGTAACAGCCTAAACCGAGGAGAATCAGGTGTGTCTGAGGCTCTCTCCAGCACACCCTTCACCTGCCTCCATTTTGCTCCTGCTTAACAAGCCCAGGCAAAACTACCTGGTTCTAATCTTGGCCCTGGTATTTAATCTCATTTCATGCCAGCTCAAACAGCAGTTCTCTGTAGATCAGTGTACAGTTAGCCCTCTGCCCTCTGCTCCCTGGCTCTTCCCGGGGGCCCCTCCTGGCTCACAGCCCAGATACTAAGCAACCATTGTCAAATGTTTACTGAGCAGAGTGCAGCCAGCCAAGGCTTCTGAGGAACTGCACTGGAAATATTAAACAGTCCAAATGCCACTCCCATTGCATTTTGATAATACTTTCAGAGTTTACAAATGACCCTTACATCCTATGTCACCCAGCATCCCACCTCCTACGTGCCACCACCTGAGTGCTTACCGTAATCCAGCACCGTGCTACTACATCCCAAACACGAATGCATCTACACCGCACACCACCCCATGCACAGGTGCATCTCCACTTTAAAGATGAGACAACTAAGGCTCAGAGACGTGAATCAGCTTGCCCAAGGTGGTACAACCAGCAAAGGGCAAAACAGCAATTGAACAGAGTAGGTCTGACTCCCAAGTCCACACTATGTGGACTATTATGTCATGATTAGATGCAATCATGTTAGCACATTGATAGGTCATAGTAAGCACGCAAGTACACAGACTCCCAAAGCATCAGGCTGTGGTCTCTCCCTGGCATGTCTTTCTTCTACCTCCCCTCTCTCTTTTATTTAATTGCTTGTCTAATTCCTACCGCCCTTTGAGAACCAGCACAAATGTCAACTCCTCCTTAAAAATTCCTTTCTCCTCTCAGCTATTTGTACCCAAAAGTGCTTACTGTATCATAATGCAATTGTCATGTGTCATTTACATGTTTATTTCCCTGGGAACAGGGACTATGCTTCATAAATCATGGAGTCAACTTCAACTGGGGTAGTGCTTAACATACAATAGATTTTCAGTACTTGTTTGTTCAAGGAAGATAAGGGAGGAAAAATAAGGAGAAGAAAGAAGAAGAAAAAGAGAAAGAGAAAGAGAGGGAAAAATAATTCAGAGTCTAATTTGCCTGTAACATATTTCTTAATTAATTCACATGCCTCTCATGAAACAATCTATTCTTATTGTCCAGCCTTGAAGCTATTCAAGTAGAAAATCAGGACACAAGGACTGACAAGTATGAATGTACTTAAGTGAGTGTATTTCTGGCTGTGTTCTGGAAGATGCTGGTTACTATATAATACTTAGAGCAACCAATTTGCAAATCATATCCCTCAGCAAACTCCTTCACACATTCCATCCCCAGAGTTTGCTGCAACCTGGAAGATGTTCCTAGAATGTTCCATTTCTATTATAAGAGTTAAGACTTCCTTGAATTGGACTGGGACAGAAGGCATTTGATCAGGCGTCTGTTTTTCCATTCTGGTTCTTCTGGCTGAGGGTATCAGAATCTTGATTCAAAAGAGCTGACCTCCCTCCTGGGCAATCTGCTCTGTTGCAGCAGGAACATCCCTGAGTCATTTCTCAACGTAGGTGTTTTCTGCATTCTTTCTGCCAAGGTGACACCGCTTCCTAGGATCAGAGCATCTCGTTTATTTTCTATGCTTCCTCCTTTGAGAAAAATGGATCATTCATGTCCTTGTTTTAGAGGAGGAAACACAGGAACGTAAATACACAGAGAAGGACATGTAGACCTACTAGAAGGAAGAAAAAACCAAAGTGGAAGTCCCCCCAGCACCAGTGCTGCCTTGTTCATGCACCAGGCAGTGCCTTTCATAGAGCTGACAGCACTTGCTTCCATTTTGGACCTGAGGTCCAGGCATGATGGCCAGCACCTCAACAGAAAGGTATCCCAGGGAGAGTCTCACACCCCATGAGGTGTGAATTTTCACACTCGTCAAATGAGACAGTTAACAAGGTGTGATGTTGGGACATCATGCCAGGCCACCTGGACTCCGCAGTGTGACTGCCCGGTGTAAAATATATGTCTGGAACTTCAGATCCAAGCTGCAGGTGACCAATGAGAAATTGATCTTTAGAGTGCCATTTACAAGGTGAAAACTCCTCAAGCAGGAAAGGGGTTTGAAATATTCTGGAAAGTTTATTGCTGATTTGCCTTCAACAAATATCAATAGTTTGCATTTACAAAGTCCATGCTGTCAGCCAGGCTTGTTTTAGATGCTTGGCATGAATAACTTTAATTCCTCCAGGAACCTTACGTGGTAGGAACTATTATTATCCCCATTTACCATAGTTAGTTTCTAAGTGAGATCCGAAAAAAGTCGGTGGGGTGGCGGGCAGCTGGAAAAACACTCGAGGAATCGCAGGGAGTTTCAACATGGCTTTACTCTTTCTCTGGGCGCAAGCGAGCCTGGGTGCGAGTCTGGGCGTGAGCCCCAAGCCAGAGGTACAGCGTTAGCAGCGTAATTGTACCTTTTACAGACAACAGTGGCTCCAAGCCAAGCACGAGCGCATCTGAGTGGTTACTTAATGCGCCTCACGTGGCGTGGTTACGTAAGGTGTGGACTTGTGCATCTGCACTCCAAACCTGCTGAGACACGCCCCGTCAGAAAGTCGCCTCGGCCTACTCCCTACTAGAGTGCAGCCATCTCCCTTACAACCATGAAGAAAGTACAGCACAGAGAGGTTCTCTAACTTGCCCGAAGTCACACGGCTAATAAGCAGTTGTGCTGGGACTCAAATTCACTCTGACAATAAAGCCACATTCTTCAACTTTACTATTATATTTTCAGTGGCCACCTATTATAAATATGATGTTGCTTGGGCATTATAAGATAAATATTTGACAAGTATGGAAGATATCTATCCATCTGGGATCAACATATGTGAATTAGAAACCTATATATCTACATATGGTACATATGTTTGTGTATGTATCTTCATATACATACCTTCCAAACCTGTTAAATCTAAATATGTAGAATTGAAATCTGCTTGGATATCACTTTTATGAAATCTTATCACAAGGCAAAAAGCCAAGAAATGACCCAAAGAGACAGGGGAAGGACTAACATTTATCTAGCTCCCTGTTTTCTGGCATTTGAAAAGTTATTTCACGTAAACCTCAAGCCTTGCAACACAGAGACTGCTCCCATTTTACAGATGAGGAAATGGTAGCTTAGAGGTTAATGGCCCAAGTTCACACAGCTGCTAAGAGGCAGATCCTCATTCAAACCAGGATTCCTGTGGGCTCAAAGCGCAGACCTCCAAAATCATTATTATTGACGTTTAATATCTTGTGCTGTTTTTATCTGTCTCCTGAGTGTCAGTGCAAGCACTGTCAAAAAATAAACAAATTGAAAGAAAACAAAACAAGGAATGTTGCCCTGGCTCTACAATGTCTCCTAGTTGAAAACAAATGGAATATCCGTGTGGTCTCCTAAAGCCTCACAAGCTTGTCAGACCCCATCCTGGAGTACCCCGCAGCCCATTCTGTATCTGACTTGCATTCTCACTGTATGCAGAAGTTCTGCTCAGTTGCTTCAGGTTTCAAAAACTAAATCTCTGGATAGGGAAACAGGCCTGAGGCCCATCGTCAGCTGTCTATCCTATTAACAATGAACAATGGACGTGGAATGTCCGCTCCATCTACATTCCCGAGAAGAAGTTCGGTACCCAGCTCCTGGGAACAAGCCATAGGACACCCGTTCCATCAGCACTGAGCATCGCTGATGAATACAGCCATTGTGGAGGCAGCCCCCACCACAATGAGGGGACAACGCCAAACCGACTGTTTTTCTTTTTCTTTTAAAATCACATCACATGATTCTTTCACTTCGACATCAAATATCCTGCTGTTACAAGGAACAAGCCTGAATTATCTTCTCAAGCAGATTAGGAAAGATAACCAACGTGGCTAACAGTGGTTCCTACAGGGAGTCAGGCCACTGGGACCTCAACCTGCCCTGCTGATGGTGGCGCCTCTGATAGAGAGTCCTACCCCACATTATTTGTTAAGGTGGCTCACGCCTGTAATCCTAGCATGTTGGGAGGCCGAGGTGGGTGGATCGCTTGAGCTCAGGAGTTTGAGACCAGCCTGGGCAACGGGTGAGACCCCATCTCTACCAAAAATACAAAAATTAGCCAGGCGTGGTGGCACATGCCTGTAATCCCAGCTACTTGGGTGGCTGAGGCAGGAGAATCGCTTGAACCCGGGAGGCAGAGGCTGCAGGGAACCGAAACTGCAACACTACACTCTACCTTGGGCAACAGAGTGAGACCCTGTCTCAAAAAATTTTTTTGAAAAAGGAAAAAAGGAAAAATTAAGTCCCAATATTATCTTCATTCATAGCACATGACTCAACACTCTCCTGCTGCACCTCCCAGATATCAGAGTTACTTGGGATCAAATGACACTTATTTACTAGGTTTTTTGGTCTTGGGCATGTTGAGAGCATTCTTTTGTCTCACCCCTCAGCTCCTACAACTCTGTGATATTTGTATCATGGAATGGCCTCCCTAAAACGGGAAGGGGATGAGGGGCAGGCATGTCATTTAGATCTGTCAGAATCAGAAAATCTGGTTCTAGCCTTGGCTCCCACTCAACCGCTGCCTGGCCAGGTGATCTTAGACAAGTCTCCACACGGTCTCTGCAAGCCCTCACAGCTTCTTTGTGCAAATGAGAAAAAGGTGACCCTTGAGGGGAAGCAGTCCTGCCAGCACCAGGCTTGGCAAGCATGCCCCCAGCTCAGTTCTGCCCCAGCCCCTCAGCCAGGGCCTCAGGCAGGGCATAACCCACACAGCCATTTGCAGAGCCCTGCATCTCTGTTTCAGCGCATTAGTTGTCAAGTGGGACAGATCATGTGTCCCAAAAAATTCTCTGCACTGATGAGGCTAACAGGACATAGAGAACAGCTCATGAATTAGCCGAGTGATAGGAGATTTCTGTTGCCCTGATTCAATTCTACCTCACTTCCTGGGCACTCCATAATACTTCGGATGAAAAGCAAAGAAGCCATTACTATTTCGAAGTTGCCACTTCCACACTTAGAGGACCAGCTCCTTCAGAATTTGATCAAAAGTAGGGTGGCCTTTATAAGTGTGCAGCCTCTGCAACTGCATAGGGCCCCATGCTCAGAAGGGCCCTGTGCTTGGCTTAATACTCTGATGTTACCATATTGAAATTCTTGGTAATTTTTGAGGAAGGAGCCCTGCACTTTCATTTTGTACTAAGCCCAGCAAATTATGTAGCTGGTCCTGCCAACAAGCCTACAAAAGCACCAAATAGCTTTCTTACATCTCACAAAAGATTTGGATAAGGAAAACAGGAGGTATCATTCTGCAACTCCAGAGTCATCCGACCCCTCTGTTGGATGATGGAAGCTCTAGTTATAGAATGTGAGGCAGTATTGTGCGCTGCACAGAGCACAGGCTTTAGGAGGCAAATTGAGCTGGGTTCAGTCCTGCATCCTGCCAGACCTCAAACAAATTATCTAACCTGCCTGAACCCAGGTTTCCTTACCTGGAAGGCAGACTAGTAATGCCCACTCTTCCCTATGCATAATGAAGAAAGGTCTATAAACTGCCTGGCACACAGCAGGTGTACAACAATGTCAGTCCCCTTTCTGGCTTGTTTCAGGAACAGATGCTGCGAGATGGGGCATGCCCTCATGTTCCAAAAGGCAGGGAGGTTATAGGTGGCCCTGATGTTCCTTTCGGCTCTAGGAGTCTATGATTCTCCATTAACTAAAGCCTCAAGCCAACTCACCTTCAGCCCACAGATGTTAGCCAGGACACTTTGGATCGCAAGGATGGAAACCCAACTCATATTAACTTAGACCAAGGAAGTTTGCTAGCTAATGAAACGGGGAAGCCCAAGGACACAGGCGCTGCTGTGTCTGAGGATTTGTACAATGTGATTCTTTCTCTCTCTCCCTTTATGTAGTGGACAAAATGGGCACTAAGAGCCCTAGACTCACGCACTTTCACTGTAGCAGACTCAGCAGGAGGCAGACGTGTATCTCTCTCAGTATCTATGTATCCACCAAGGGAAAGACTCTAATTGACTCTAATCCTGCTTGGATTACATCTTCACTCCTGAACCAATCCTGATTGCCAGAGTCACAGGACACGTGCCTACATTGGTGACCAAGGGCAGGACAAAGGGGCTCAAGCCTCATGACTGACAGCCCCAGTGAGGCCACACAATGGGGGAAGGGGAAATAAGGAGAATAAGGATGCCATGCAGAGAAAGGCAACATACCCACTGAGCTGCATGTGGTTGACTGTTCACTTCCACTGGGTGCCAAAGGATATGAAAGCAGGGAGAGTTGAACTGCGGTGCTACTGCCAGTAGCACTTAAACCAGCCTTCACTGAAGGATGGAAAATATATGGACATGCCGGGCGCCGTGGCTCACACCTGTAATCCCAGCACTTTGGGAGGCCAAGGCAGGCAGATTGCCTGAGCTCAGGAGTTCAAGACCAGCCTGGGAAACATGGCAAAACCCCATCTCTACTAAAAATACAAAAAATTAGCCAGGCATGGTGGCGTGCACCTATAATCCCAGCTATGGGGAGGCTGAGGCATGAAAATCACTTGAACCCAGGAGGTGGAGGTTGTAGTGAGCTGAGATCGCACCACTTCACTCCAGCCTGGTTGACAGAGAGAGACTGTGTCTCAAAAAAGAAAAGAAAATATATGGACACATATCACTTAGGAAAAGCTCCATGAGAAAAGGCAAAGACAGGAAACTCAGGGTGTGTTCCTAGCTACCAGCTGCATAACTACAATTAACCTCACAGGTTAATTGCAGTTTTTAATAGTTATGTGTTTATATTTATGGTTACCTTCCATTTATGCAAGCAATACTGGGTTTCCATTTTTGTGCTCACAAAAATTTCCTTTTTAAGATAACTTTAAGTAAAAACAAATGTCAATTTAAAAGAAAATAATAAGCAAATAATAATTATAAGCAAACAATAATTTCCTTATTATTTAGACATAGGTAACTGTGGATGCAATAGTGCATGTATTGTGCCAATGACTGAAGTATGGGAAACAGCTCAATACACTATATAAACAGGACTTTACCTTCCCAAGGAGCACTAAAACCAAAACTGTGCTTTTACTGGTTCCTACAGTATCTCCAACAAACCAAATATGTATCTCTCATTGTATGGATGGCAAAGATCCAAGTCACCATATGAACCTGTAATAAGGTCCTAGAACCCTCAGCCTCTGACCTATTCCTTAGACATAGCTGTGTCTCATGACAAAGGGGGAGAACAAGCACTCCAGTACACTGGCTTACAGTATTATTCTTTGTTTCAGAGGCAGACACACAAAGGTGGGGTTGATATGAAAATCTCTCATTGCAGAGCTGGCCAGGATGATTGTCCTTGAGAACAGAGGGGCCCATTCTCCTGGTCATCCAAGGCCAGCTGGCCCCAAGGAGTACCAGCCACCTCTCTGGGGCCAGAGTCTCCCCAGCTGATTTCCGCATGTACCAGTGTGTGAAGTGACAGCTGGTCCCTGGTTAGGATGACTATTTGGTCCTCCAGTTTGCTACCGATTTTAGCCAGAGATCATTTAGGAATGCGTATATTGTCATCTCACCTTTTCAATTATTTTCTCCAGGCTAAAGCGAGCAGTCCTCAGGGTTTTGATGTGGATCGAGATGCCAAAAAGCTGAACAAAGCCTGCAAAGGAATGGGTATGAGAGATATTTTGTTGCTAATTTGCTTCTGAAGTTGATTAAACTTGGTCTCATGTCCAACTTCCCCATGATGTTAGGAAGCTGACATCTCACTATCTTGTGTATTCCGAGCTAACGCAAGTCAATCACTTCCACTAACCTCTTTATTAAAGTTCGCAAAATTACAGTAGGATCCTATTACTTTTCAGGATTCTATATAACAGCTAGGAGTTGGATATTGTGACGTTTAATTTGAACTTGAGGTGAGAGAAACTTCATGAGAAGTGCAGTTCATGCAATCCTGGTGTATTAGTCTGTTCTCACACTGCTAATAAAGACATACCCGAGGTGGGGTAATTTATAAAGAAAAAGAGTTTAATGGACTCACAGTTCCACATGGCTGAGGAGGCCTCACAAGCATGGCAGAAGACAAAGGAAGAGCAGAGGGACTTCTTATATGGCAGCAGGAAAGAGAGAATGAGAACCAAGTGAAAGGAGTTTCCCCTTATAAAATCATCTGATCTCGTGAGACTCATTCACTACCGTGAGAACGGTATGGGGGAAACTGCCCCTGTGAGTCAATTATCTCCCACCAAGTCCCTCCCACAACATGTGGGAATTATGGGAGCTACGATTCAAGATGAGATTTGGGTGAGGACACAGCCAAACCAGCCAAACCTGGTATGATCTAAACCCCTCTGATCCCTTCCCTAGGAGATGGTGGGGAATTGAGTCTGATGAGAGCCGGATTAGGGACCTGGAAGCAGCATGTAGAAGTAGATCGGCCGGGCACAGTGGCTCACGCCTGTAATCCCAATACTTTGGGAGGCCGAAGCAGGCGGATCACGAGGTCAAGAGATGGAAACCATCCTGGCCAACATGGTGAAACCCCATCTCCACTAAAAATACAAAAATTAGCTGAGGGTATTGGCATGTGCCGGTAATCCTAGCTACTCAGGAGGCTGAAGCAGGAGAATCGCTTGAACCAGGGAGTCAGAGGTTGCAGTGAGCCGAGATTGCGCCACTACACTCCAGCCTGGGTGACAGAGAGAGACTCCATCTCAAAAAAAAAAAAAGAAAAAAGAACTAAATCAAGTGAGTAACTGGCCAAGATCAACCATCAAGGGTTGAAAATGGAGAAGCTGTTTACATCCTAAGGGTCAGTGCATGGCCAAGAGTGGGGGACTCTGCAGGAAGTCAAAACAAAGGTAGACCAGGGACCAGGGTGGGATGAGGGAGACAGCATCTAGGTCTAGGGCCATGAAGAGAGGCCCTGGGATCCAAGGAAGCCACTCATGACACAAGGTCTAGTCCCAGAAGCCTGGAAGAGGGTGACATCCAAAGCACAGATGGAAGGATTTCCCTTGAACAGGACAGGGAGGGAAGGTACTGAGACTGACAGCTGGAGTAGATGCCTTCATAGGTGTTGTTGGGGCAGAAATTGAAGGCATCCATGCCTGGTAACCTGACATTGCTCAGTGAGTGGTAGGTGAGGTTGTCTGCTAAAGAGAAGGGTTTGACAATGGAGTATGGGGCTTGAGTGGTGGCTTGAAATAGCCCTTGAGTAGCAGAGAAGGGGGAGACGACCAACAGAAGACTGCTGATACACACTAAGGGCCCCACTGAGTAGGGAGATCATGGTTTCTCATGGCTCCAGCCCACATGGTTGTGTGATTTTCCCCTGTATCCTTGGAGGTAGGACGGGAAAAATTGATTGACTCTGGGCTTGCTGATCAGGAGTTCCAGAACAACAAGCAAGTGAAATCATTGAAGGAGACAGAGGGGTCAAGGGGCAAAGTGGATTAATTTCCTAGATTTTCTTTTTTACATTTATTGAGAAACGGTTAAACTTTCAGGCATTGGACTAAGCACTTTATATACAAAATCTCATCAAGTTCTTACAAAAATCCATTTTCCAGCTGAGGAAACTGATGACCTGACATTTTAAGTAAGACAGCCAAAGTCACCAAGCCAGTAAGTGGGGAACACTGTGATTGAACATATTCTTGTCACTCACTCCAAATGCCACCAATTTAGAGACATCCTAGCTAGGGCACCTCAGCCACATGGCTGCAGTCCTGGAGGGGGTGGGGACAGACTGAGAAGACATTGCTCAGTGTCATTAACAATAGGTAGGAGCCATGTCAGTCCACAGAATGTTTTATTAAACTAATTTTTTGCTTATCGAGATATAATTTGCATACCATAAAATTCACCCTTTTGCAGCATGCAGTTCAGAGTTTTAGTATATTCACAGGATTTTGCGACCATCTCCACTTATTCCAGAACATTTCATCACCCCAGAAAGAAACCTCACACCCATTAGCAGCCCCTTCCTCCCTTCACCTCCAGGCAATCACTAATCAGCTTTCTGTCTCCACAGATTTGCTTATTCTGGACATTTCACATAAATAGAATCATATGATATGTGGCTTCTTTTACTTGGCATAATGTTTTACAAAAACAAGTGATAGGTTTTTTACATAGAAGTGGATTAGTAGAGATTTACTTTCCTAGAATGGGTGTCATGGTAGAATAAATATGGCCACAAATTTTTTGTATGGCTCCAGAGGAATAAAACTTGGATCCATGGTAGAAGTTCCAAGGAAACATATTTTGCTTTAATATAAGAAACTTGGCTGGGCGCAGTGGCTCACACCTGTAATCTCAGCACTTTGGGAGGCCAAGGCAGGTGGATCACCTGAGGTCAGGAGTTTGAGACCAGCCTGGCCAACATGGTGAAACCCCGTCTCTACTAAAAATATAAAAATTGGCCGGGTGTGGTGGTGCACACCCGTAGTCCCAGCTACTCGGGAGGCTGAGGCAGGAGAATCGCTTCAACCTGGGAGGTGGAGATTGCAGTTGAGCTGAGATGGCACCACTGCACTCCAGCCTGGGTGACAAAGAGAGACACCATCTCAAATATATACACACATACATATATGAAACTTATCTAGCCATAGAATGGTAGCCTTGCCCAAGAAATGTTGACAAGTCTGCAGGAGTTGGGATTGGGAAGATCTGGTAGGAAAGTAGTACAAGCTATGGCTACATATTAAAACCCATTTATGCCTAGTGTTCCATTATTGGGACACTAAGCATGTGGGAGTTATTTATATCCTACTGCTCAAGGTCATTGCCAAGGTCTGATTGCAAAAATTCAAAAAACTGCAACCTCAGGCATCAATGCGTTAAGAATTCTTGAATAAATCAGAGCTAGAGAATGGGGGGAGGAAGACAGAGAAGGAGGGAGGAAAAGAAAGAAGATAGGGAGAGAGAAGAGAAAGAGAGAAGAGAGAGGGAGGGAGAGAGTGAAGGAGAGAAAGAAGAGAAGGAGGAAGAGAGAGAAAGAAGAAAGAAGAGAGAGGAAGAGAGGGAGGGAGGGAGAGTGAATGTGCAACCTGTGTTCTCATCTACAAAATGAGGATAACAATGTCTCCTCACATGGAGAGGGATAAAGCAGGCAACGCAGAGCCCAGCACCTCATTGGCCCTCGTTGCATGTGGATCGCCTCCTTTGGAACAATGTGCTGGGATCCAAAATCTGCACAAAGCCAGTGAGATCGGTATGAGCATTGAGTAGGCGCGCCCTTGTTCTCCATCACTCAGGGTGAACTGGGTTGAATGGGGGCTCCCCAAAAATATATCCCCCCAGAACCCGTGAACATGACTGTTTGGAAAAAGCGTCTTTGCAGATATAATTAAGTTAAAGATCCTGAGATGTGATTATCCTGGATTACCTGGGTGAGCCCTATATCTAATGACAAGTGTCCTTAGGAGAGACAGAGACACACAGAGAAGGCCATGGGCAGATGGAGACAGAGACTAGAGAGATATGGCCAGAAACCCAAGAATGCTAAGGGTTCCCGGCAGAAGCCAGGAGGGGCAAGGAACAGACACTGCCCCGGGGCTGCTGGAGGGACTGTGGGCCTGCCGACACCAGGATTTCAGACTTCCACCCTCCAGAGCTGTGCAGGAATAGACTGCTGTTGTTTTAAGCTATCAAGTTTGTGGTCATTGAATCAGCAGCCTCCCCTCCGGAAACTGAGACAGTGAACAAGTGGGAAGCAGTGACTTGCTCAGGCAGGCAGGACTGTGCCCATTCATTACTTCATCTGTCTTCCTTGCACTCCCATTTCCAAAGGAGAAATGAGGGACTGCGCGGCCCAGCAGTGCTAGCAGAAGAGAGTGACCCTTAAGCACCAGAGCGGGGGCTGCAGCCTCCTGGGCCCAGCCAGGCAGGCTGGGCTGGCATTGGAGCCCAAGGGAAAGCTGAGCCTCCACCACAGCCCCGATCACTGTTCTGCCACAAGGGCCTGGGGGCTTCCCACCCTGTCTGGAGCCCCCTTCCTGCTGAAATGTGACTCGGTATCTTCCCAGAAAATTTCTCGGAAAAGCAAAACCAAGGAGGCCCGGAGGCACTTCCTGAGGCTGATTATTGCCCCGTCTTTGACCTCTGCTGTGAAATTACAGTGTCCAGTGTGTGGCTCCTTCTTTTCTCATTTTTAAAAAAGCCTTTCCCAGAACCACTGGGGACTGGCCCTGGTGCCTCAAACCATTGTAAGTATTTACAGGAAATCATTCAGCGGCACTGCTTATACGATACACATATTGTGAAATGTAAAGTGAGGTCACTGTTCAGTGACTGGGTAGTAGAAACACCCCCCGGATCAACCTGAGACCTGGACTCAAAGAACTTGGGGGAAATCCAGTGTTGTTTTCATAGCCTCCCCCGACGTCCAGGTTGTTGCTGGGCCGTCTCAGGACTGTTTTGCAATCTGGTTTCTCGCCCTTTTTTTTCTTTTTTAGCTTTAAAATTTCATAGATTTTTATTAGGTTTTTTATTATTATTATTATACTTTAAGTTCTGGGATACATGTGTAGAAGGTTCAGGTTTGCTACATAGGTATACATATGCCATGGTGGTTTGCTACACCCATCAACCCGTTATCTACATTAGGTATTTCTCCTAATGCTATCCCTCCCCTTGCCCCTGACCCCCTGACAGGCCCTGGTGTATGATGTTCCCCTCCCTGTGTCCATGTGTTCTCATTGTTCAACTCTCACTTATGAGTGAGAACATGCAGTGTTTGCTTTTCTGTTCCTGTGTTAGTTTGCTGAGAATAATGATTTCCAGCTTCATCCATGTCCCTGCAAAGGACATGAACTCATTCTTTTTTATGGCTGCATAGTATTCCATGGTGTATATGTGCCACATTTTCTTTATCCAGTCTATCATTGATGGGCATTTGGGTTGGTCTCTTTTTTTTTAAAGCATTCCCAAAAAGAACATCTAAAGATCACTATTATTTTCAATATTAATTTCATTTTCCTGATTATCCAGTTGTGGACTCCATGTGGCATCAGAGTATGGAGGATTTCTATTGGTCCTTGCTACACAGACCCATCTGAATATCACATACAACTTAAACCACTTCAGAGACAAGGTTCTGTCGTGATGACATGCAAACTTCCTCATTCATCCATTCATTCATTCATTCACCCATCAATTCATTCATTCATCTGTGCACATGTTTAAGCATCCGTTCATTCAGCAAGTCATCTGATAAATACTGACAGCCTTCTGTGGGAATACCATGGTGAACAAAATACTCTGCTCCCGTGGAATTTGCCATGTGTCCTGGCAGAAACAGGAAGAGCAGGCAGCATGAGAGACACAGAGGGCGAGATGCCTCATCTGTCCAGGAGTGTGCAGGGAGCTGAGACCTGAAGGAGAAGTAGGAGTGGAGGTGAGGATTGGTGTGTTCCAGATGAGGGGAACAGCCCATGCAAAGACCCAGAGGCAAGAAAGAAAGTGTTGTTTGTTCTAGGAGCTGCAAATCATCTACAAAGTGGGTGGAAAGTAGCCTGGGAGAGGACAGGTAGGAGGATGAGACTTTGAGAGGCCAAAAGGCCCCATAGGCCCCCCTGCAGAGTTGAAGCCTCATTCTGCATTTGAGAGGGCCTATACTGAAAGGTTTGAAGCAGAGGGGTGAGCAGGCCAATCTGCACTTCAGAACGGTTGTTCTGGGGGCAGTGAATGCCAATTGGAAAAAGTGAGAGCAACAGAGGAACTTGCATGTGGGTGGTATCCATAGTTCTGCTGAGCGATGGGGTGGAGATGAGGATGGAGAGAAATGGGTGCATCTGAGAGGCACTAAGGAGGTGGAATGGAGAGGCCTTAGTCTGATTGAATGTGGGGTGAGGGAAAGGGGACAGCCAGGCCTGAGCCCCAGCTTCCTGGCTGGCCCAGTACAGTGAGTGGGTCTCCTGCACGCAGAAAGGCTCCTTCCGGGCTTGGCACCTGCCAGGATCCAGGCCTGAGAGGCCAAGGCCCTCGTCTGGGACAGGAGTGGCCTGAATGGAAAGAAAGAGGTAGGCTCAAGAGATATTTACAAGAAAAAGAAATCCCTTTTGAAGTGAGATTTCTGACACTCCGAAGTTTTTTTTTAAAAATCATAATAGTGTCATAGAATGAGTAATTGGATTCCCACGATGGAGGCGAAGCTCCGGGAGGAAATGAAGGAGGACAACGTGAATCCCAGTGTTGAAACCAAGCCAGCACCAGGCAGGCAACTCACTCCTGCTATTTTTGCAAGTGAGATCCTCCTAGAATTCTGTTTCTCCAATTGAAACCAAACAGCTAAATGTTCCCAGAGCTGTAGAGGTGAAAATACTCTTTGAGGTTAAGTGAACGGTTCAAGGACCCAAAGGTTTGGAACATGGTTGTCACATCAGACCCCTGCTCAGGCCTGTCTTTCCAAGTCGCCTCTCTGTCTTTCCAAAGCTGACTCTGAGGGCTGGTGCTGGAGCAGAAGGAGGGTTAAACAGCTCACATTTTTTTGCCAGGGCTCCCTTTTTTTTCTCTACCCCATCTCCAGCTAGTTTCCCTCCATTCATTTCCCATCCCCATGGCCTAGATTTTTCCTACTCTCAACCCTTCCATCAAAATGCATTGCACGATCTTGTTCCTTCAGGATCCTGATGGCTCAGCTGGGTGGCAGCCATCATCTAGGTCCACACACCAACCAGAGCAAGACAGCAGTAAGTGACACTGTAACAGCACACACTGCCATGTAGTGGCCACTCCCTAGAGCCCAGGTGTCGGGCTCAGAATGTCACTACTGCAGTCTTGGATAATCACTGCAGTGATCCTAGAAACATACATGTAAATAGTGTGCTGTGCCAAAACAGAGGAAGCAGAAACTTAACAAGTGTGGCTGAGATTAGGTGAGTAAGCCTTGGGCTGCTCTGTGCAGAGATGGATCTAGAAGAGTAGCATGACACCAAACTGCGGGAAGTCTCGATGCCACCATAAGGGATTCTGATGTAATTCTAGGAGTCAAGAGGAATCACTAAAGGTATTTAAAGTATGGTGTGAAGTGAACACATGCGAGCTTCCCAGGGTGGACTGCAGAGATCAGAGCCTGGTATCGGGGTGAAGGCTAAAAACACTTAGGACCTGTTAGGCAGTGACAGAAGGAATGAAGAAGAGGAACAGGTAAAAGAGTTGTCTCATAGGTGAGACAGGCAGGACTTGGTAGTATTTGAGAGTAAAAAAGACTGATGGGCCCTCAAAGGTGACTTTGGATTTTCTCTAATCCGTGTGATGCCATGCACTGAGACAAAGGAACAGGATGAGGAGTGGATTTAAGGATAGACAAAATGAGTTTGGTTTAAGCTACAATGGAAGTTGAAATGCCTTGGGAGATCCGTGGGAAGTTGACTACAGGCAGCTGGAAATAAGATCTGAACTCAGAGGAGAGATTAGGGCTAGAGGCGCTGATCCTGGAGTCATCAGTCAAAGGGCGAAAGTCGCCTGGGAAAGGAGTGACTCCAATAGAGAGGAGAACTGAAAATCGAGTTTAAAAGGCCAGTGGAAGAATACAGGCCAATCAAGAACCCTGAGAGGGAGGTGATGGAGAGGAGAAAGGAAAGACTGGGAAAGGAGGTACAAAGCCATCTAGGAAGGTGTTTCACGCAAAGAATTGTCAACCGCAGGCCGGGTGCGGTGGCTCATGCCTGTCATCCTAGCACTTTAAGAGGCTGAGGCAGGTGGATCACCTGAGGCCAGGAGTTTGAGACCAGCCTGACCAACATGGTGAAACCCCATCTCTACTAAAAATACAAAAATTAGTTGGGCATGGTGGTGGGTGCCTGTAATCCCAGCTACTCGGGAGGCTGAGGCAGGAGAATTGTTTGAACCCAGGAGGTGGAGGTTGCAGTGATCATGCCACTGCGCTCTAGCCTGGGTGACATAGCCAGACCCTGTCTCAAAAAAAAAAAATAATTCCCGACTGCAGAATTCAAATGCTGCAGAACAGTCAGGTACATGCAGGAACCGAGAAGAGGTGCTGCATTGTGCCTCAGCTTCCTCTTCTGTAAAGAAGAGCTTGGACTAGATAGTCTCTAACATTTCCTCCAGCTCCAGAGATTGCTGACTGCTGTGCCTTGATCCCACCGAGCTCGATCACTGGGGTGAGCAGTTCATGGAGGGTGGTCCCTGTGCACACCCTGCATGGATGTGAGGCAGTGCCAGGCGCGTGGTCATTTACATCCCCTGGTGTCCCGGGTTTCCCACGTGCGTGCTTAGGACCACCGCGGACTGGACCCACACTTGGATTCTCGCATTTCATTCTCACAATAGCCTTGTATACTATTACCCTCATCTTAGAGGTGGGAAAACTGAGACTTGGCAAGAAAAATCACTTGCCCAATGTCATGCAGTCGGTACAGGGTGGAGCTGTGATTTGAGTCCAACCTGAATAAATCTAATGTGGGGTTTGATGGTAAAACCGTCTTTCTTATTCGCACACTGGAAATACCTGTGTCATCTTTCCGATCCTGGTTCCTGGTTCAAACAAGGACATTCTCCCCTTCTTTCTTATTCACTATAGTTTTCAGTACTGATCAAATTGCTGCCATGAGCTTGTATTACTTTGAGCATCAGGGGTAAAAAAGCTTCTAAAAATAACATAATCTAAAGGTAATAGGAGTTAAAAGGGGCAACCTCCCTTCATGGTTTCAATCAAGACTTCTCTCCTGAGATTAACAAATGTATGGGTGGGGTTAATATTGTAACAGTTTCAGCCTATATCCTAATCTTGTTCATGCAATTGTAAGCACCCAGAGGCCAAGGAACAGGCCATCTTTTTCCTTTTTGTTTTTTAAAACATTTTAATTGAGATATAATTCATGCACCATATAATTCACCCATTTAAAGTGTTCAATTCAACAGTTTTTATTATACTCACAGATGCATGCAACCACCACCACAGTCAATTTTAGAACATTTTCATCACTTCAAAAAGCAGCCCTGGACTCCAGCTACCATCCCCCTAGGCAGCCCACCCACCCCCAGCCACTAGTATACTTCCAGCCTCTGTATATTCTCCTGTTCCGGACTTTCATACGAATGGAATTATATAACATGTGATCTGCTATGATTGACTTCTTTCACTTAGCATAATGTTCTCAAGGTTCATCCATGTTATAACATCTATCAGTAATTTATTCCTTTTTCTGGCCAAATAACATTCCATTGTATGGATACCCCATATTTTGTTTATTCATCTTCAGGTGATGAACACTGGGGCTGCTTCCACGTTTGAGCTATTATGAGTAATGCTGCTATGAACATTCACATGCAATTGTTGGGTGGACATATGTTTTCATTTCCCTAGGAATAAAATTAAGGAACCAGCCATACTCGTTCCTCTTTCCACCACAATGCCTAGCACTGTGTGCCATGTGCTGTGAGGCCTCAATGGCTATTTGTCTAAGTGAATGAAAAGAATACAGTTTTCAGCACAAGGCATCAAAGCTAAGGGTCCGTTGGGTTCCATAGACACCTCCAACCACCTTTAAGCTGTGAGTCCTGGCTTCCTCACCCTGGACTAAAATAAACTTCCACCTTGTTTCTTATTCACTGTGGCTTTGTTTGTTTCTCCTGTATTTTAGGGACCAATGAAGCAGCCATCATTGAAATCTTATCGGGCAGGACATCAGATGAGAGGCAACAAATCAAGCAAAAGTACAAGGCAACGTACGGCAAGGTGATTCCAGGGGTGGTCAGCAAGCTTGCACCCAGCCATGGCCTCAGCCGTCTCGGCTTCCTCATGTCCCCAGGCCACGCAGAATATCTTTATAGCTTTATTGAGTCAGCCCAGGAGGAAAAGTGAAATAACCACTTAAAAGCATTAATGGAGTTCAGAAAAACTGAAATTGCTTTGTTAACTCAATAGCCTGTAAAATCAATACTCTTAAACTCATTTCTTAAATTGACTTCATTTTTCTATGAAGACCCTAGTCTTTTTTTCACTTAATTGGGACTAACTGTACATATGTAGCTAGATCAGTAATTTGAAAATCAGTTTCCACAAGTGGGTCTTTATACAGGAATTTTTCATAAGCGATTGTTACAGAAAACTACCAAAAAAACTCTCCATTTTATTAAGCTATCAACACCTATTTTTCTTTACATTTTCTTTCTTTTCTTTCATTCTTTTTATTGTTGAAAATAATTTTATAGAGAGAAGTCTTCAAGTATGCATTAGGCTTTCTTATTTCTTTATTAATATGTAATGAACACAACTTAAACTTTTCTTAATGTCATTAGAATTATCATTATGCAAAATGAATATCAATTATTATGCTGTATTCTCATTTATATTTTTCAAACTTTTACCATTTCAATCACTGTAGGTATAAATAGATATATAGAAAGATGAAGATGGGTTTTCCTATTTATTTGATACTGAGCAGGTAACAATTGCTTCAGGCCTTGGTCTTTTCATGGATAGAAAGAAGATGATAACTTAGCTCCCTTCTCAGGTTGCTGGGAGAATCAGTCAGGATAATGCCAGCATGTACCAATACAGGAAAAAGCTATGATAGCTATGATTGTTTCCATTTTACAAAATCACACACCTAAAAAAAAAAAAGAGAACCAGGACTCACATCCAAGTCTCACATCCAAGTCTCCTGACTTCAAGAACAGTATCCATTCCTGGAGGACCCAGTGCCATAAATAGAGCTATTTGCTTGTACACTAAATGGCCCAAATGGCTGTGCTTTTGTGCTTTTTCTGCTTCTCTCCTTACTATTAGGTGCGTCAATGTAATTTTTGATGAAAATAAGTGCATCTTCAGTTCAACTGCATTTAATTGAATGCATGAAGCTGAATGTGTGTGTGGTTTTTTTTGTTGTTGTTGTTTTGTTTTGTTTTGAGACGGAGTCTCACTCTGTTGCCCAGGCTGGAGTGTAGTGGCATAATCTTGGCTCACTGTAACCTCTGCCTCCCGGGTTCAAGCGATTCTCCTGCCTCAGCCTCCTGAGTAGCTGGGATTACAGGCACGCGCCACCATGCCCAGCTAATTTTTGTGTTTTTAGTAAAATTTTTGTATTTTAATTTTGGTCAGGCTAGTCTCAAACTCCTGACTTCGTGATCTGCCCACATCAGCCCAAAGTGCCAGGATTACAGGTGTGAGCCACCGTGCCTGGCCTGAAGCTGAATTTTTATCCCTGTCAACATCCCTAACTCCAGTAGCCTCCCAAGACACATTCACCCTACCAATATGAAAAGTCAGTCCAGGCAAGGTGGCTCACACCTGTAATCCCAACACTTTGGGAGGCCAAGGCAGGAGGATCACTTGAGCCCAGGAGTTTGAGACCAGTTGAGACCTTCATCTCTACCAAAAATAAAAAATTAGCTGGGCATGGTGGTGTGTGCCTGTAGTCCCTGCTACTCAGGAGGCTGAGGCTGGAGGGTTGCTTAAGCCCAAGAAGTTGAGGCCTCAGTGAGCCGTAGTTGCACCACTGCACTCCAGCCTGGGTGACAGAGAGAGACCCTGTGGAAAGGAAAGAAAGAAAAGAAAAGAAAAAGAGAGAAAGGGAGGTGGAGAGGAAGGGAGAGAAGGGAAGGAAGGAAAGAAAAAGAAAGAACAAAAGAATGAAAGAGAGAGAGAAAGAAAGAGAGGAAGAAGGAAAGAAAGAAAGAAAAATCGGATACAATGCTTCTTAATCTTTAGTCTTTAGTCTAAAGAAGAGTAAATGGATTCAAACTGAAAGCCTAGGGGCCCTGTTAAAACTTAAATGGGCATGTTCTGGCACAAAACTTTGTGATACTTCATTTGCCAATCATTTGCTTACTTTCTGGTTCTCAGCTGTGTTTCAGAGAACTGAGACTGCCAAACAGATAATCTAGAATCCCAACAACGCAAAGCTAGAAGATGTTAGGTATGATCCAATCTCAGCCCCGTGTCAGTTGACCTCCAAAGAGAATAACCACCCCGTGGTAACAGAGTCAGCAGGAAAACCAGGAGTAGAGCTGAGCTATCCCGAGCCTTCTACTCTGTCCAGTCAGAATGTAAGCACACAAGGATTTGTTTTTATGCCTGTGGCTTGTAAGAGTGGGAAGCTGGGATTTTTCTTCTCTGCAGCTTATATAATGCCCATCTGGCCTGAAAATATATTTCCAATTTTTAGATGACTCCACACCATAGAGTACTGACCACAGACCTGCCTTCACAAGATGCAGTGTTGGCTGGAGCAGCCACTGTGGGGCGGAGGCATAATATAACAGCCCCCTTGTAGGACTGCAGATCCCAGGGCTTTGGACAAAAATATTCCGGGTTTTTCTCCCAGGCCAAGAGCTCAGAGCTTCATTTGAAAAATAGTTGATGTGCCTCCTCTTAGAAAATTTTTTTCAGCATGGGAGATTAATGATAAGCATTTATTGACCGTTTAAAATATGTCAGGCAGTAATGCTCAGTATTGACAAGGATTGTCACATTTAATTCTCCCAAAAACCCTGTGAGGTCAGTCTAGCACTGTCTCCATTTTCTAGAGCTGAAAACTGACAGTTGGTGAGATTAAGTACATTTCCAAGGTCACAAAGGTACTGTGGCTGTGTTCTTTGCCACCATGCCACACTGCTGGGGAGCTGCCCACCCTATGCTATAGTTTGTGTCCTTGAAATGCCAGCTTGTCTATGGGCCTCCAATCTGAGCCATCCCAGGCTGTCGCTCTATGTGAAGGTCTTTGGTTTAAGTTAGGGCATTAACTACTCTAGGTAGGCTGATGCCCATCCTTGACCATTTCTCCTGTTAAACCACATTGTCAGAGGGAGACAGGGAGAAGGTAGTTAGTTTTCTTGTGAAAAGAGGGTGCTCAAAGAAAAGAGGAAGACAGGTGCTTGTCAGAATAGATGGCAGGCTGGGGTCATGGTGGCTCACGCCTATAATCCCAGCACTTTGAGAGGCTGAGGTGGAGGATCGCTTGAGCCTAGGAGTTTGAGATTAGCCTGGACAACATGGCAAAACCCCATCTCTACACAAAAAAATTTAAAAATTAGCCGAGCATGGCAGTGTGTACCTGTAGTCTCAGCTACTTGGGAGGCTGAGATGGGAGGATCATCTGAGCCCAGGAGGTCGAGGCTGCAGTGAGCCATGATTGCACCACTGCACTCCAGCCTGGGTGACAAAGTCACCCTGTCTCAAACAAAGAAAAAAACAGATGCCAGTAAGAATTCCATGTACTTCCCCTTCTACATACCTGCATTCTTCTTCACCTGTGTCCCTTCCAGGATTTAGCGAGATAACGGAAGTGACGGTACAGGCCGTCGTTCTTCCCATGACAATCCTCTTTATTCCTGTTATCCTCTGCAATTGCTAATAGTGCCCCCTTTCACACTGAAAGGCATCCCAATTTGGATGACAAATTCTCCAGTCCTAGAGATAACAGCCCTGTATTTCAGCCCTTCCTAGCTGAATATTTGGGGAAAATTCTTCATCTTATCAGGTTCAACAGATCTTGAGGATTTTTTCAGCGATCTTGAAGACTGGCTGAAAAAGCTCTCTGAGCTCTCAAATGTTCCACAGATACTGTTGTTATTGTGATTCATCGGTGAGGTCTCCAGCCCTGAGCAGGGAGCTCCTCTCTGCCTCTCTGCCAGCCCTGGGGAAACGTGGATGGGCAGCTGAGAGCAGGTTGCATGTTCTCAGCAGGTTGCAGGTTGGCAGAATTCATGTCCACAGCACCTTTCTTGTCAACTATGAGCACTTGCAATAGTGCAAGCAGACACCTGCCCCTCTCCTCCTGGGCCATTCCCAGCACGTCTCTCACTGTCTTCTGGTAGGAGCTGGAGGAAGTACTCAAGAGTGAGCTGAGTGGAAACTTCGAGAAGACAGCGTTGGCCCTTCTGGACCGTCCCAGCGAGTACGCCGCCCGGCAGCTGCAGAAGGCTATGAAGGGTCTGGGCACAGATGAGTCCGTCCTCATTGAGGTCCTGTGCACGAGGACCAATAAGGTCAGTCCCAGCTGAGCCCGCAAGGGAGCATCACACACCCAATAGAGATGGTTGCAGCCCCCCAGAAGGGACCCTACTTCCCAGCATTCTATCCATGGACTGAGCAGGTGTCTGGGGAGACATATGTGTGCTTGGTCCATGTGGGAGGACATCTCTTCCAGTCTTCCAGAGGTCAGTCTTGGTGTTGCTGCCACTTAACAGAATCGATCTTTTCAGAAGAGCTGTGTCCAGCGAGCTTCTGCTTTTCTAAACTGATGCTTTTATAAGCAGGAGGCACAATTCTACTTTCCCCCACCCAGCCTGACTTTGCGGCTCTTCTGACATGAAAAATCAACAAGCAGCCCAAGCATGCCTGTGCCACTGCCTGGGCTATGGCGGTCAGCTAGCATAGGGTACAAAAGAGACTATAATGAGGAAGAGAGGTGAGTGGTGCTGGGGGATGCCAGTGAACACCCCAGTGGCTGCCAGTACTACCCTGAAGGGTTGTGTGTCCTTCTGTCATCAGACAGAGGGATGTCACTCGGCACATGCCACCTTTGCAGGGGCTGAAGAGAGCATTTGTTGAGGCCCCATGGAGAACTATTTGTCTCTGGCTCCAGAAGCCAGGAGAACCAAGGGACTCATCAAGTCAAGAGGGTCCACAAATAATTCACAGGAGAGACCCCTCCCTCTTCAGCAACCACACATGACAGCAGAATGGGGCAGCCCAGCAAGGAAAATGCCAGAAGAGCCCAACATTCTTGAGGCCTCTCAGCAGGAAATAGAAGCAGATGTTGGAGCAGACAGCAGGCAAAATGCAAACAGTGCCCTGACACAAAAATGCCTGGAGAAGGCCTGGGTGCTGGGCCACGTTCACGCTGCTCAGCCTCTTTTCCTGAAGTGCCGCCAGGGTCCAGGCTACAGGTGCAAACCTTTTCTGGAGCATCCCCGGACTTCTTTTCTCCCCACAAGATAATAAAAATCCTCCATTTCAAGGAGTCTCAGGTTGGGATGATGCTTCGGAGGAGGGTTAGCACAGGCCCCCCGGGAGTGTGAGTTGAGGCCAAGAGGCACACAACTTCCCCCACTCAGCATCCACCCTTCTCAGAAGCACCAAGGTCCCAGCAGGGAGGCAGCCAACGCCAGGGCGGTCAGCACCTGCCTTTGTGAAAAGGTTAATTTTAATCATATTTTTCAGGCCAGGTACAGTGGTTCACGCCTGTAATCTTAGCACTTTGGGAGACCAAAGCAGGAGGATCACTTGAGGTCAGACGGAGTTTGAGACCAGCCTGGCTAACATGATGAAACCCCGTCTCTACTAAAAATACAAAAATTAGCCAGGTGTGGCGCCATGCATCTGTAATCCCAGCTACTTGAGAGGCTGAGGCAGGAGGATCGCTTGAACCCGGGAGGCGGAGGTTGCAGTGAGCCAAGATTGTGCCACTGCACTCCAGCCTGAGCGACAGAGCGAGACTTCGTCTCAAAAAATATATTCATATATATTTTTCTAATCTCATGTGATCATAGCTTTTTCTCCCTCAGCCTAGTTTCTTTAAGTTCCTGGCTTCAACCAATAAGCAAGGCCTCTCTATCAATCAAATAGATCTGATGGGATGAGAAGAAAAACCTGCAGAGAGTGGGTGCCAGGTTCAGGCAGATCCTGGTTGCGGGTTGGAAGGAGAAAAGGGAGGGAGCTGCACAAACACAAGTGATCAGCCTCCCCCAGCACCTAGCCTGCCCTTCCCTCCCACCCAGGAGCAGTGAGGCTCCCCACCGCTTTCTCCCCATCACCACCTTCTCCCAATCACCACCTACTGACTTTCATTTTAACCAGCTTGGTGGTGGGGGGGGTGGGGGAGCAGGAAGCCTGCTCTTACAAGCTGCTGGTTCAAGTGTAAACTGAGGCAGCTCCTGAGGTGCACCCCTTGGCACCAGACATTGAAATATAAAGCAGTTTCTCCAAGAACACACCCTCAAGAGAAACTAGCACTCCTGCACGCAGCCAGTCTGTTACTGAACGAAGCCTTGTTTGAAGGAGAGAAAACTTGGAAACGACCTAAGCCTCCATCAATAGGAGGTTGGCTAAGTAAACCGTAGCTTATTGTAGTATGGAATATTTTGTGTCCCTTTAAAAAACTCTAGGTGACTATCCATGTACAAGCATAGCTGGATCTCCGGGATACTATTATTGAGAGAAAAACTAAGTCAAGGAATGATAGGTACAGTATTCCACCTGCTAAACACATGACACCTATACAATTCTGTTTTCAGTAGCACATATATATACAAACGCAAAAAAAAAAATCTGTGTATCTTTCTGATACGCACTGAACTTCTAACATGGGTTACCTGAGTGGGGAAGAGAGAGTGAGACCAGGCGAGGAGGTGGTGAAAGAAGGTGTTAGCCTAGCTGTAAACTTCTCACATTTAAAGAAAGAGAATGCATGCATTTGTCACTTGTGTGTTAGAGATGTTTGCAGAGGTGGGCGGAGTGGGGGGGGGGCGGGCCGTCACATCTCCAGGGACTCGCTCCAGGCGTGTGCCCTGGACCTATAGGGATGACCATCTTAAGAGGAAGTCTTGAAGGCACTTTGTGTCCAGACATGGTCTCCCGCCTCTTCTCTCTGTATCTCTTATTGATTAATCCCTCCTTGGAATATTGATTTTTTTGTAAATTACCTTCCCTAGGAAATCATCGCCATTAAAGAGGCCTACCAAAGGCGTAAGTGACTTTTCATTCTGGCTTTGGATAAAGTATGTTTCTTTCAAAATACCTCTGGGAAACTAAATCATCTGCTTTCTTCCCTCCTTGTTTACTTCCTTCGAAGTATTTGATAGGAGCCTCGAATCAGATGTCAAAGGTGATACAAGTGGAAACCTAAAAAAAATCCTGGTGTCTCTGCTGCAGGTAAGAGGAAAGAGGTGTCACCTGTTTTATCATCTTAGGAAAGAATCCTTGGCAACATGGCACCATGATGAAAAAGGGTAACGTAGATAAACATTTCTTTCTTATATTAAAAATATTATCAAGGGATTATCAACCCATGCTCCATCAGCCCAGCTCTGGTGAAATTATATTCAATTGGAATTACTTCCATATAAACAATCTGCCTAGTCATTTGCAGTTTACAATCACTTTTTGTAAATGAATCGGCTCATTAAGCATCACTTTGTCATTTTGCCAGTGAGGAAATGTAGGCCATGAGAGGGTGGGTAACCTGCCCAGGTTCATGCAGCCAGTAAGAGACAGCCCAGAAGCAAGAACCAGACTATCTGACCCCAAGCAGGGCCGCTTCCACAACACAACTCTACAATTACTTCCAGGATTCACTGGATCCTGGGCCTGTAAGGACTACAACAAGAAACTCAGCCAGGACATCAGGGCTTTCAGAATTGGCCCTGCTGGGACACAGCCCCCCGAGACCTCTAGACAGACACATCTGTATTCTTATGGACACACTCATCTTTACGAGCTCTGTGCATTTTCTCTGTTTTGTTTCTCCCAATGGGATACACTGACAGCAGAGAACAGAAGAGAGAGGCTTCCACTGCAGCAGGAAGAGAGTTTAAGTTTTCTCTTGCTGCATAACAAATCGCCACAAACTTAGCACCTCAGAACAACATAGATCTATCATCTCACAGTTTCCATGGGTCAGGAGTCCAAGTAGTATCTTGGAGATCCAGCTGAATAATATTTGGGTTCGCTGAGTCCTTTGGTCAGGTTATCAACAGGCTGAAATCAAGGTGTCGGCCAGGGCTGCCATCTCATCTGAGGCTCAGAGTCTTCTTCCAAGCTCATTAATTGTTGGCAGAATTCATTTCCTTATGTCTGTGTTTGATGTCCCCATTTTCTTGCTGTTGACCAGAAGCTACTATCAGCTCCTAGAGACCGCCAGCAGCTCCCTTCCACACAGTCCCCCAAGGCAGTGCACCACATGGCTGTTTGGTTTCTTCCAGTCCAGCAGCAGCTCATCTCTCTGACTTCTTCCATCTCTGACCTTTTAAGAAGAGCTCATTCATCTGGGTCAGGCCGGCCAAGGATAATCTCCCTTTTGGTGGACTCAGCTGATTGGAGACCTGAATTATATCTGCAAAATTCCCCTTTGCCATTGAATATAACACAATCACAGGAGTGGCATCTCCTCACATTCATAGCTCTCACCCACACTCAAGGGAAGGGGATTATACAAGGATGTGGACCATTGGGTCATCTTAGAATTCTGCCCACCACAAAGGGCTCAAGTTAGACTTCCATGACCAGCTCTCAGGGTTTTTTAGGACTGGGACCTTGAGTGGTGAAATCTGATATTTTGAAACGAAGAGGGGACTCATTCTAGGGAAAACCAGAGATCGCACTCAGTCTGCTCAGAGGTCAGTGGGGTGTGTGGGTGACTCTGGTTTCTACAAAAAAAAAAAAAGGCAAAACCAAGTGTTGCCACAGAAGCTCCTCTGTTTATCCATTGTGCCCAAAAGATGGCAGCAAAGAGCAGGTGTTTCCTCCTTGCCAGGCTGAACTGAGCTGAGCTGAGAAAGAATTCACCTCTTTCTCCAGGACTTTGTTTTTTTTGTTAGTTTGTTTTCTGTGGTCAAGCAGGAATGCAAGTTAATAACAATGTGTCAATTTTTCTAGGCTAATCGCAATGAAGGAGATGACGTGGACAAAGATCTAGCTGGTCAGGATGCCAAAGATCTGTATGATGTATGTGTGCAGACATGCCAGTCTCTGCAAATTCTTTTTTTAAATTTATTAGCATTATTTTCAACAAATGTTTATTTCATGCAAAGAGGAGTTACTTGGGAAATAAGAAACAAAGATATGCTTAGATCTTTCTAGATCATATATATAGTCTCCATGAATCTAAATGAATGGTTCCTATTCTTATACTCTGGGGTTGACCACATCAGATCTGTTTTGGAACAAAGAATGGTATAAACAATATAAATAAGTATGTGAAATACATTTGTGGGTTAGAAGCTGAAAGTGCTTAGTCCATTTGACTTCTATTCAATGCATAGTTTATAATTTCCTGTCAGTGAGGCCTAGTCACAGCACTGCATAATCAGTCTTTTCACAAAAGCCTTTTTCAAAGTGTTTGTATTTGACCCTTGAGGCAGGGGAAGGCCGCTGGGGCACTGATGAGCTTGCGTTCAATGAAGTCCTGGCCAAGAGGAGCTACAAGCAGTTACGAGCCACCTTTCAAGCCTATCAAATTGTAAGTCATAAAGTATTGGGGCAAAAGAGTTCACTCTGAAAGTGTCTTAAGTTATTTCCAAAAGAAGCCAAGATCTGCAATAAGGAATTGGGGATCCTTTACAACAGTGGTTCTCAATTGGAGGCGATTTTCCTACCTAGGGAATATTTGATAATGTCTAGAATTATCTGGAGTTGTCACAGCTGGGGGTGGTGGCCCTGGCATCTAGTGAACAGAGGCCCGGGATGCCGCTAAACAGCCTGCAGTGCACAGGACAGCCCACCACCAAGAATCCTCCAGCCCCAGATGCAGTACCCAGGCTGGAAACCGGCTTCACAACAGACGCCAGGGAAGCAAGTGTCCCATTCAGGGGAGAAGCTCTAGAGTCCAAGAGTCCAGGTGCAAATCCTGGGTCTACCACTGGCAAGTGACCAAATCTCTCCATCCTGTTTGTAGAACAGGAACCGTGAACATCATCTTCACACCCTCAGAGTGATTTTAAGGTTAAATAAGATAAAGACTCAGAACAGTTGAGCTGGCATGTGGCAAGCATACTAATGTTTGCTACTATTACTCCAGTTTACAGTTGGCTAACAGTGCCCACCATTCTCAAGACAGATATGAGGTACCTCAAAGATAGCCTCCTGAAAAGATGCACATAAATTATATTTTAATCCCAGGATAAATTTAAGCCCACAAAGCGAGTTAGTTATTTCAAGGCCCTTAGCAGTAAGTCCTTCCCTGAAAAGCAGTCTTTACTTGCAAAACGCCTGGAGTGGAATATCAGATTTTTTTTTTGGCATCCTATTTTATATGTGTAGAGTGCTTTTACCTGCTCAAAGCACTTCTATGTTCTGTGTCTCATTCAGTTTCACAACAACAGGGTAACTATAATGTAGGCCGAACAACTATTGTGACCCACAACTGCTGGACAAGGAAAGTCTGTTGAGTGAGGAACCATCTGTAACTTATCAGGACCACACAGCAAGTTGGTAGCAGAGAGTGGATGAGAACTCCAAGACTCCCCGGCCTGAGCTCCTACCTCAGCTGAAGCTGGCCACTCCTCACTCCAAATAGCATTTCCTATGTGTTGCCAGCAGATAAAAAGACAATAAAGCTTTGGAATTTTATCATGACTGTATATAAGCCTTTAGGGCCTGCTCCTTTCAAATCGTGCCCAGAGTCATGATCAAAGACAGCTGACCCTGCACTCCCCTGGTCTCTTGTTCCTGGAGCTGCGTAGCCTCTGAGCTGGAGGACTTCTCTATGACTGAGATCCTCCTCCCACACTACGGAGCCCACAGATGGAGTTTCTGGGTACGTGTGTGTGTGTGTATGAACTGACTACCTGAAAGTACACTCTCCAGGCTAATATCTCAAAGTTGATCCTGAAACAGCACCATCAGCATCACTTGAGAATTTGTTTAAATTGAGAATTCTCAGTCCCCACCAGACCTACTGAATCAGATTCCCCGGGGCTAGGGCCTGACCATCTGTGTTAGAGCAGGTGTTCCAGGTGATTTTAATGTATATTACAGTTTAAGAAGTCAGCTTTAGGCTACAGCTGTATGTCCTTGTGCAAGTTATTAAGGGTTCTGTGCCTCGGTTTCCCAAACGTAAAATAGGGATAATAGTACCTACTTCATAGGGTTAATAAGGATTAAATGAGTTAACAGAAATAAGCAGTTAGTCCCTGGCATGCAGTAGGCGTTCAATGAACATTAGCAATTGTCGGGCGTCTCCCTGGGTGAACAGACAGTGCCAAAAATCAGGGCTAAAGCTTATATGTACAATAAGGTAATCTATGGATTTGATGATTCTTTACATGAAACCAGCTCTAAAATGCTATCTATTCATCCATTTCAAAAGCCTTGCTCAAGTGTCATTCTTGATATTTATTGCTGATGTTTTTAGAGTTCAGCCTGCTCTTAGACCCTGGTTCTATGATTTTTCTGATGGCTTCTGACCAAAAGCACAGAGATGCTAGTCTGAGATCACTGGAGTTTCTTATGTGGCATGAGTCGTCCTGGCTTAGGGTTGAATTTTAATTTTCAGCACAAAAACTCAGGGTTTTGCCATTTATTTATGCTCTAAGCCTGAGTCTTAACTTCTGACACTCCCAGCAATCCCAGGCCACGCAACAGTTTCCCAAACTTCTGCATCATGCAGGATTATTACAGTCCCCAGCGTTACCAAATATGAAAGACTTATATAGCTATAAAACCAAAGTAAAGTCCCCAAACAGGGCTCAGCATAAACAGTAGGTATGCATACCCATAGCCCACTTTGCTGCCACCTCACTGCGTGCCTCACCCTTTGCCCCTCCCCTGTACATGTTCCTTATTCCACGCCAGAGGCTTCAGCCCTCTAACTGCTATAGTCAGTGCCAGAGCACAGAGGGCTCTGCTGTCAGCGTGCCGTCCATTTGGGGAAACCGATTTTCAAAGAAAGAAATGTCTCCCCTGCTCCTCTAATAACCTCCCTGCAGGCATTGCTGCCTGTTTAACTAGAGTCTTAGAGACTTGTTTGGAATCTACCCTTATAATGTGTTTTTCTACTGAGATCAGAAAATCTGCTTCTGTACAAAGAGCCCCTAAGAATCACGTTGCAGTAACTGAAGTGAGAAGTATCCAAAGTACAGTCCCAACAGCTTGGGCCAGACCATTGTTTCAGATTGTGTCCCACGGAGACGCCTCAGCAGCTACCAGGAGTAGGGTGGGGCAGGAAGCAGACAGGGCAGTACCTTCTTGTTGCAGTGTGTGAATAGCGCCTCCTGGAGTTGTGCAAGGAAAAAACCTGAGCGGGCAAAAACATGGTATAGATGCCAATGGCAAGGGAAAGGAGCCCACCTCCCGCCTCCCAGCACAGCTCTGCTTTCTGCTTTCATCTGTTTTGTAGGCTGAGATTCTACAGAAAATTTAAAATCCCTGCTCTAGCCTGGTATTAACAATAGAAATGGAAAACGGTTTAATGTGAGGATTTTTTAAAGTAAACAAGACCTGTGTGAACAAAATGTTCTCTTGAAGTATGATCTCAGTCTACAGAACAAGAACCTTGTTTCTGGGAAAGGGATACCAATCCCTTCCAAAATAATGACTCCCACATCAAACCCAAAAAAGACTGGGGGCAGCTAAGGAAGGGACAGTTCCCCCACTCTTCTAATCTGGTTTCTATTGCCACACACCAAGGCCTCCAGATATGCAAACAATGACTAGGAGATCAAGCAACAGGGCTTCATTAAATCTGGACACAGTTCCTCCCCCGACATATATTGTGCTTACATCACAAAGAACATTTTGTTTACCTGTGTTTTCAAAATAAACCACATAAACTCCACTGGTGCATACTCAAAGTCCCCAATTATTTATAGAATCAATTGTGTCATATCCTCAAAAGATAATTTCTAAGAAAGAAATTTCAGTGTTTCTAATGCTTAATTGCATTTCTCCAAACCCAGCAAAGCATTCTCCTTTCTCTTTATGTGCCTGCCCTGAGCTTGGCCCGGGCAGTATTTGTGTTAAGGATAGTCACAATTTACTCTGAACTTCAGCTTCTGTAAATATTTAGAAAGAAACCTAATGTGTAATGCTGCGCAGAGCAATATGTGAGCCAGTGGTGAATATAGGATTATTTGGAATCACCCCAGAGTGAAGACAAGTGGCATTTTGATGTGGTCAGCACCCCCGGCTCCCAGCCCTTGCAGACCCACCCTCTCAGGAACTTTAGATCAAGTTGTTATCATGAACTTCACCATGCCTACTTATTTCACTCAAACTGTGACTAAGTCCCTGGTCCCAAGACAAGGGAGAGGATGGAGGTGCATGTCAGATGATCATAACCACAGCCTCCTGGGAAATTGAAACTGGAAAGGGTGAAGAACACATGGGAACTAAACTACACATCAATGTTAAAAAAAAAATCTATGATTATAGTATATATAATATATTAATTATATATATTATAATATATATTATATATTAATTGTTTCTCCACTCCCAAATTTTACAGATGAGGAAATTGAGGTTGAGGGAGTGGCACTAAGGTCAAATCCATTGGGAGTCAAATCTAGACTGACTCCTCAGCAACGAGAGCCCTCTCTCGAATGGGTGGCAAACACCCCAATCCTACAAGGCAAGAGTCAGGATAGCAGTTCCCTGAAGCCACAGGACTAAATCTGGAAAACTTGAGTGCTTTTTGTAGAGGAACAACCCCAAGAGTACTAAGGTCAAAGGCAAACCTGGAATAACAGTTGATTTTGGTTTTCGCTGCAGCTCATTGGCAAAGACATAGAAGAAGCCATTGAAGAAGAAACATCAGGCGACTTGCAGAAGGCCTATTTAACTCTCGGTAAAGTAAAGTTAGGAGAGCTCCTGTCTTAGGTTGGGCTGCCTGGAACCAGACTCAGACAGAGGTTTGTGTGTAGGAAGATTTGAGGGAATAGCTTTTGGGGGTCAACAGGTCTAAGCAGCACTGAGCAAGAGAGAGAGTGACTGTGATGTAGTTGCAACAGGGGCGTTGCTGATCCCACAGGAAGCTTGGAAGCTGAGATGTCCAAGGTGGAGCAAGGGGGCCAGGCTTTTGCACCCCACATCAAACAGTCATGTAACACTGGCTGTACCAGGGGAGCAGTGCAACTTTGGGCAAGCCAGCTCTCTCCCTTGGAGGGAGATTCCTGGGGAGGGACTCAGCTGTGAATGACTGCCTCGATCCTGAATAGGGCATCTGAGTGGCACACCACAGCATCCATTGCAGTCCTGCTGTATTAGTCCGTTTTCATGCTGCTGATAAAGACATAGCCAAGATGGGGTAATTTATAAAGAAAAAGATGCTTAATGGACTCACAGTTCCACGTGCCTGGGGAGGCCTCACAATCATGGCTGAAGACGGAAGGCACAGCTTACATGGTGGCAGACAAGGCAGAATAAGACCCAAGCGAAAGAGGAAACCCCTTATAAAATCATCAAATCTCGTGAAACTTATTCACTACCATGAGAACCGTATGAGGGGAAACCACTCCCATGATTGAATTATCTCCCACTGGGTCCCTCCCACAACATGTGGGAATTGTGGGAGCTATAATTCAAGATGAGATTTGGGTGGGGACACAGCCACACCATATCACCCACTAACACCATGGGTCCCTGAGGGCACCTGTCAACAACCTAGACTGTTATCCAGTTTCAGGCAGCCTGATAGCTCACAGGTTTCCTTTTCCATTTGGTTCCTTTCAATGTTTTCAAATAATGAAGTTTGTTTGGAAAGAGAGGTGAGGGAGATCAGATCCTGATTGTGCCAACCAAACCCCAGGACCTCCTCTCCAGGTGTTGCCCAAAGGCAGGAAATAGCAGAGAGATGGGCATGGGGCTGTGTCTGACAGGCTCCTTCTTTCTTTCTGCAAGCCCTGGAATGAAGGCATTGTCCATTGTCCACAGTCCTGTGGTGAGGAATCCAGGGCACCAACCCAAATGGCAGAAGGAATGGAGAGACCTGTTCTCAGAAGAGGAAGAACCAAATAAGCAGCCCTGGAAGTTAAAAAATGTGCTCCAGTTGCCAAACTCTTTTGTTTGGTTTCTTTGGGGTTTTTTTGAACAATGTCAGCAATTGATTTTTTTTTAATCCATCCTTATTTTGCATTCAATGAGCAAGACCTCTGCTGTGATATCCGGAGGCCTAAAAATCCCTGGCATTACTCATGACCCACACTGGATATATACACGAGCCCTGGTATAAGTGACTGTGCTTAGGGCCTTAAGCCATTTATGCCGGAGGTTGCAATTTTTTGAATTGCAGACATGTGTGAAAAATTCAGACCTCGGCGATGACCTTGAGCAGTAGGATATAAATAACTCCTACAAGCTTAACATTCCAATAATGGAACACTAGGCATAATTAAGAAGAGTCTTGAGTAGATAATAGGATCTACTCACAGCCTGGTTCTGAGGCTGTACGTCCTTGCTTGCTATACCTGCATTGTGAGAATCGGGAAAACACCAGAGTGCAGTCAGAAGATGGTATTAAAACTATTCAATGATTTAACATTTACTCAGCACCTGCCTGGGCCCAGGGTTTGTGCTGGGTTGGGAATAAGAGGTAAATAAGGCCAGTTCTTGCTCTTAAGGAGCCTAAAGCTCATGGTGGATTTTAAGCTGGTGGGTACAAATCAACAGATAAGGCTAAAGATAAAGATAAAAAAACAAAGAGCAAAGATGGTACAGATGACAGAAAAGCCAAGTCCCTGGGGTTGAGGACCACACAGTCCAAGAGAGAGCTGTACTCCAGTGGTAGCGAAAAAAAGTGATTAGAAAAGACCTTGAGAATAAGCCACACAAATAACAGAATACGGCTTCATGACTATTTTCTAGACACTTCCCACCCCGCTCCCACCTAACTTACAGCGATGCCAGTTTATGACTAACATCTAGGAGCAGGGGGTGAGGTCAAATGGCTCCCACCACATCCAGCCTCTGGAGCAGCATTTCTCAAAGTGAGGTCTATGGACCCCCTACCTTGGAATCACCTGTTACAATGCAGGTTCCTGGGCCCCACTCCAGGTTCCCATTGAGAACCTCCAGGAAGGGAGCCTGGGAAGCCACACTTCTACAAACTGTCCAAGTGACTGTGTTATACTCACTGAAGTTCAGGAACTCACTCTGAAGGCAAAGGGGAGCAAGATATAGAGCACCGGGCTGGCTGCCTTTCCTGCCATTTGCTGTGAAGAGGTTTTTTTCTTTCTTTCTTTCTTTCTTTTTTTTTTTTTTAAGACACAGTTTCACTCTGTCACCCAGGTTAGAGTGCAGTGGTGCAATCTTGGCTTACTGCAACCTCTGCCTCCCGGGTTCAAGTGGTTCTCATGCCTCAGCTTCTCAAGTAACTGGGATTACCAAGCCTGGCTAATTTTTATGTTATTAGTAGAGACGGAGTTTCACCATGTTGGCCAGGCTGGTCTCGAACTCCTGACCTCAAATGATCCACCCACCTCGGCCTCCCAAAGCGCTGGGATTACAGGTGTGAGCCACCATGCCTGGCTGCAGTGAATAATTTTATTCCACATCTTCTTTGGCTATCCCTGCCCAGCCTTTTGAGAGATTCCTGCTGCTGCTAACAACAGAGGTTGTTCCCCAAGCATAGATTATAGACAGGAGAAATGTTGAGAGTTTTCTTCCTGAAATATCAGGTAGAAGGAATGTCAAGGGAGAAGATCCCTGTGCAGGAGCGGAACACGGTGACTTCAGGCAGACAATGATCCCCACATCAAGCCGTGCTGTATGGAAGAGGATTTTCAGGAAAACTTTGTGGTGCTCATTAGCTCAAATTGTCTGGGGATCACAGTAAGTCTTGAATATGCTACTCCCCAGAATAGCATGCAAGTTTCCCCTGAACCACCAATCCAGCAGCTTTTGGGTTGTTCTCAGGAGAAAGAGGCCAGACATTGTTTCTTTTCCGGTGCGATTTTCTTTTCCACTGAAACTGTGGCAGCTGCCACATGGCCTGTAAAAGGCGGCTGGTCCCCAAACTAGACTCTCCTTCCCGAACTCTGCTCCTCTCCCCTGCTTATAAGCATCAATCACACAGACAGTCCCCTAGACAACAACAGCCCCATTATGGGACATAGTAAGATTGCACATTCCACATTTATGCTGAAATAATCACTTACTGTTAATCACTAACATCATCAAGTGTTCTAGAGAAATGTTAACAGCCTAAAGGGCAAATATTTTTTTTTTCCTCTAACGTGTTAGCCATGATGGATTCATATGAGCCTGGGAAGAGGGGAAGGAATGATTTATTCCCAGGAGAAGAGATGCACCCTGTCACCTGCTTGATGAATAGAGACCACGCTTCATTAAGCTGTAGATAGATCAAAGCTGGAAGGCAAGGGGAAGCCAGGAAAGAGCAAATAGCAGCATCGTAGGAAAGTGATCTTTAAAAAGGATCAAACATTTCATCAAGTCCACATCCCGGATTGCAAACCAAAAGATCGTGGGGAACCTGGAAAAGGTTCAGAGATGAGGCTTGCAAAACAACCCCAGTGAGGAAAAACAAAGAGTAGGGAGGTTGTTGAGCATAGGAGAGCAGGCGGCTGTCCAACTGGATACATTGTCAAGATGATGAAGTTTTGTTCCAGAAGGTTGCTGGCCAATCTGTTTCCCTTCAGAACCCTAGGACAGCACCAGAGATTTCACTCGATAGGGAAAGTTATTTCTGCTGGGAAATAACGAGAATCATGGACGTGGCCGGGAGGGCCCGAGGATGCCACAGCTCTCCTCTAGAGGGTCTTCAGGGGACAGGAGGGGAGCTATGCTTGAAGATTCCAGGTGCTCTGACCAGGGAATCTTCCAAATCTCATTTCGCAACGGTGTCAAGTCAGCTCTTTTCACACCTCTGTCTCACCATCCAGTCAGCTCGAAGGGCAGCCAGGTGACATTTAGGGGGGTCCCAAGGTCATTCCACAAAACGTGAAAGCCTCACATTCTCTTTTCCTTTGTCCTGCCCAGTGAGATGTGCCCAGGATTGTGAGGACTATTTTGCTGAACGTCTGTACAAGTCGATGAAGGGTGCGGGGACCGATGAGGAGACGTTGATTCGCATAGTCGTGACCAGGGCCGAGGTAAGACACACTCCGACTCCAAAGAGGCGGCTGCAACTTCTCTTTTTTCCACCACTGATGTCATCAACAAATAGTTTCTATTAAGGGCCTATTTACAGAAAAAGTAAAACAGAGACGGCCCCTTGCCTTCCCAGAATTTGCAGAAGACATTGTGCTCTGCTTCAATCTGTTTCTTTTTATAAAAATACAATAATGATCGTTGCTTCTTTTTTTGTCCTCTGTGGCTCTGGAGAGCTAGTGGAGGGGCGCAGAGGCAACCATGTCGAGCAGTTCTCAGGGGCTGCAGCTATGCATGGCTCCATGTTAAGGAAGACAAAACAAACACACTTGAAAGAGGTCAACCAGCAGCAGGAACAAAAAGAGAATGATTTCTGAATTCCTGAGTGAGGCCTTTCCTTAACTGAACACACTGCAGAAGCAAGCACATCAGCATAAGGCAATGGTTCTCAATCTTTTTAAAAACTATTGCTGTTCTAAGGAACCTTTTTAGACACGTGTTTCTTCATTGCCATCCCTTCCCCACAAGAAATGTTAACACCAGAGATAATACTACAAATCTGTTTATATACCATGTGGATATCAGTGCTTTATACATAAAAAAATTAAGGGCTTTTTCACCCCCTAAAAACCAATTTGTGCTTGCTCTCGGAGAATGTGTATGTATAAGAAAGAAAAGGGAGAGGAAGAGCCAACGGCTTGGGAGCAGCCGTCAAGATCACAGCTGGTCGGGTGCAATGGCTCATGCCTGTAATCCCAGCACTTTGGGAGGCCGAGGTGGGTGGATCGCCTGAGGTCAGGAGTTCGAGACCGGCCTGGCCAACATGGTGAAACCCCGTCACTACTAAAAATACAAAAATTAGCTGGGCATGGTGGCACACACTTGTAGTCCCAGCTACTCAGGAGGCTGAGGCATGAGAATTGCTTGAACCCAGAAGGTGGAGGTTGCAGTGAGCCAAGATGGTGCCACTACACTCCAGTCTGAGTAACAGAGCGAGACTCGGTCTCAAAAAAAAAAAAAAAAAAAAGGTCACAGCTAACAGTTCGGGATATGGGGCCACAGACAGAAGGTGGTACAAAATAAAGGGGAAGTGGCATTTCATCGGCAGCAGGAGAAGCCTTGGGGAATGAAGTGGAACTAAGCACTTGAAAACCACAGACATCTTCCCTCAAAAAAAAAAAAAAAAAGTGGTTAAATGAAGGGGGAGGTGAAGGGGGAGGGACACCAACCCAAATTCTGATCCATGGCTTCTTAACAAATAATGCTTAACATCTGACACTGTTTTTAAATATAACTTTGCAACAAGATGGTTCTTGCTTTTTTATTTCTATTCCTGGAATTTCTCCTCCCCTCCTTTCTCCTCCTCCACAACTCATCTTTTTCTATTGAAGGCCATGTCTCTCTCTCTCCCCTCTTTCCCTTTGCCAGTCTCTCTGCTCTGCTCCTGCCATGCCTCTGCCTCTCTCCTCCATGGCTCCAAATCCCTCTCCCTCCTTTCTCTCCAGGTCTTCTGCCTTGTCCGTCCCTCTGTCTGTTAGCAACTCGACCTCCAGCCAAAGTCACTGAGAGATGAGAGATCTTGAGGGACTCAAAAGGGACAGGTTGAACACAATGAAGACCCAGGATTCCAAATGACCCCCAGAGAGACTGGATCCATCCGAAGGGCTTGTGAGGGTTCCGTGATCACTCCGACATGGCCCACGGAGTGTTTTATTCCAAGAAGCTCTGTCCCATCTCAGAATCAACCACACGTCCTGGGCCATCTCAACATGTGGGCAGTTACCTCAGAAGGCTTCAGGCCTGGCTAGATATAGTAGTTTGGCCAGATTTCCTAATCTCCCAAAGCCACAGAACAGAGCCCTGTGCACCCCATCCCTACCCACCCTCCACCTTCCTGCCCGTGTCCCAGCACGGGGCAAGGAGCCAAGCAGCGGAGCAGGGGGACACACAGGCTGGGGGAGAGACAGACACCACCTGTCTCCTGTAGTGTCTGCCACCTGCTCCACATCCACTGCAAACCCTCCCTCACTCCCCCACATACTCCCATCCTGATCATTTCTCTCACTGTCTCAGCTCAGCCCTCTCACTGGGGCAAGAGAAGAAAGAATCAGATCCCTGAGCCACACTTTTTGGGTCTGGAGTACAAGGTAGGGTCTAAGCCAAAAAAGAAAAGAAAAGAAAGACTCCTGGTTAAAAAGAGTTCTCTGCTTCTTTTATGAGATCCATTATGTTCTACCTGGAATTACATCTTTTCTGGTACAAGTATCGTCTCCTTTGCTAGGCTGTAAGAATCTTCTGGCAGAGCAATCTTTGGATTTATTTTTCTCCTGAGTCCTATCATCACTTCTAGCACCTGGGTTTTTCAAGCTTCCAATAAATTAGATTCAAAATAAATCCTACAAGTTGCTAGTGATTTGAGTTGTGTTGACTGGTACTAATATCCTTGCTAATCATGGTATGAGGGAAAAACTGCTTAATTGCTTAATTCCACATCTCTGTGTTGACAATTTTCTTAGTTTTATACCAGGGGTCAACCAACTACAGCCTGCAGGCCAATTCAGGCTCACTGCCAGGTTGTGTACAGTCCTGCTAGCTTAGGGCAATTCATTTTCAAATAACTGTTAAAACTCAAAAGAAAGATAATACTTTGTAACATGTAAAAACTGTATGAAATTCAAGAGTTTTAGGGCCAGGCACGGTGGCTCACGCCTGTAATCCCAGCACTTCGGGAGCTGAGGTGGGTGGATCACCTGAGGTCACGAGTTCGAGACCAGTCTGGCCAACATGATGAAACCCCCGTCTCTACTAAAAATACAGAAAAAAATTAGCCAGGCATGGTGGTTGACTGTAATCCCAGCTACTTGGGGGGCTGAGGCAGGACAATTGCTTGAACCCAGGAGGCGGAGATTGCAGTGAGCCGAGACTGCACCATTGCACTCCAGCCTCGGCAACAAGAGCAAAGCTCTGTCTCAAAAAAAAAAAAAAAAAAAAAGAAATTCAAGAGTTTTAGTGGAACACACACACACGTGGACACCTCTGCAACCTTTGGGGAATTGACCTCTGCCTTCCCTTTCCTGATCACAAAATTGAAATAACGTGATAAAGGAAATAATGATAGGAAATAAAGCCCTATCTCAAGGGCTGTTTTAAGGCATGAATGAGCAAATGAGTATAACATGTGTAGAACAGTGCCCACTGTTTGTGAACACACCATAAACGTTCTTATCTCCATTGCTGTTATTTTTTCTACAGGTGGACCTTCAGGGGATCAAAGCAAAGTTCCAAGAGAAGTATCAGAAGTCTCTCTCTGACATGGTTCGCTCAGATACCTCCGGGGACTTCCGGAAACTGCTAGTAGCCCTCTTGCACTGAGCCAAGCCAGGGCAATAGGAACACAGGGTGGAACCGCCTTTGTCAAGAGCACATTCCAAATCAAACTTGCAAATGAGACTCCCGCACGAAAACCCTTAAGAGTCCCGGATTACTTTCTTGGCAGCTTAAGTGGCGCAGCCAGGCCAAGCTGTGTAAGTTAAGGGCAGTAACGTTAAGATGCGTGGGCAGGGCACCTTGAACTCTGGCTTAGCAAGCATCTAGGCTGCCTCTTCACTTTCTTTTAGCATGGTAACTGGATGTTTTCTAAACACTAATGAAATCAGCAGTTGATGAAAAAACTATGCATTTGTAATGGCACATTTAGAAGGATATGCATCACACAAGTAAGGTACAGGAAAGACAAAATTAAACAATTTATTAATTTTCCTTCTGTGTGTTCAATTTGAAAGCCTCATTGTTAATTAAAGTTGTGGATTATGCCTCTATCAGCTGCTTTTCCAAAGATTGTCTTGATAAGTTTGGGCTCTTCTCTGGGAAATGTATGACTTGTGAAATTCAAACCTACATTTTTTAGTGGTCACTAATCAAGGCTAGTCATAAGGAAACAATTCACTTGCTTTTGTAAACTGTAACTAAGGGTAAAATTCCCTAATCTGCTACCTGGTTTAACTGGGTTTTCTTCTCTAGACATTTGACCCACTTGAGTCTTCCCTCTGATCTTCAAATACAATTAAGCTGAGCAAAGTGCCAACAAGATCAAGATCAATGGTCTACCTCTGAAGTGAATTGGTTCCACACCAATAGATTCTGTGTTCCAAAACTTTAGTCTCATAGCCACGTGTTGCTAGACATAGAGGGATCTGTCAAGAGAACCTGGACACTTTGGCCCAATAATCATAGTTGTCATTCATTGGCTGATTATTTGTGCCTGACACTGAGTAGTCCAATTTCATTCTTAATCCTCCCCACAGCTCTATGTGGTTAATATTACTCCCAATTATCAGTTGAGGAAACTGACACATTAAGTAACCTATCTAAATTCATTTACAAGTGCTGTTTTCACACTGCTATAATTACCGGTAAAAAATTACCAAGACTGGGTAATTTATAAAGAAAAGAGGTTTAAGTGACTCACAGTTCCGCAGGGCTGGGGAGGCCTCAGGAAACTTACAATCATGGTGGAAGGGGAGGAGGCACGTCTTATGTGGCAGCAGGAAAGAAAGAGTGGTGAGCGAAGCGGAAAGAGCCCCTTATAAAACCATCAGATCTCATGAGAACTCCCTCACTGTGACGAGAACAGCATGGGGGACACAGACCCCATGATCTAATCACTCCCACCAGGTCTTTCCTGGGGATTACAATTGACACATGAGGATTACAATTTGTGATGAGATTTGGGTGGTGACATAGAGCCAAACCATGTCAACTAGCATTTCAATCCAGGGCTGGCTGACACCAGGAATCATGCTACTAACTGCCTTAATTGGAAAAATCAGTTGAAGTACATGGGAATGGGTCTGTATTCATTCATCTGCTTAGTTCCCTACTATCTGCCAATCACTGTGGTGTGCTCTGAGGATACAAAGACAAGTAGAACACTGACTCCCCTTGGGGCAGTTCATTCCCAGGTCAATAATGTCTCTTTTATTCAATAGAATGCTGTAAGTGCATTAATAAGAGCAGTATATTTGTTCATTTTCACACTGTTCATTTTCACACTGCAGTAAAGAACTACCTGAGACTGGGTAATTTATAAAGAAAACGGGTTTAATTGACTCACATTTCCACCTGGCTGGGGAGGTCTCAGGAAACTTACAATCATGGCAAAAGGTAAAGGGGAAGCAAAGCACGTGTTACATGGTGGCAGGAGAGATGGGGGAGGGGAAGTGCCACACTTTTAAACCATCAGATCTTGTGAGAACTCACTCACTATCATAAGAACAGCATGGGGGAAACTCCCCCCATGATCTAATCACCTCCCAGCAGGTCCCTCCCTCGACACATGGGGATTACAATTCAAGATGAGATTTGGATGGGGACACAGAGCCAAACCATATCAAGCAGGTAAAGGGCTCTACCTATGAGTAAGAAGAGAGAACACACAGCTCTGCATGGGGAACTGGGGAACACTTCCCAGAGATGCATTTGTGCTGGGTTTTAAAGAATGCATAGAAGCTCTCCAGAAAAATAAAAGAAGAAGGGCACAAGCAGAGGCTGGAGAAGCCTGAGTGGGCAGGGTGTGTTCAGGGAGAGGTGAAATCCATTCTCCTGGGGCACAGATGTGTGGAAAGAAAGGAATGGCCCTGGCAGGCAGGCAAAGCAGCTGTGAAAATAGGTTTGAACCACATCAGCCATGGTTCTGCCTGCCAAGCATGAGTTTGGTCCTCTGGGCAACAGCAGTCATTGGAGATGTTTAAGCGAAGAACATGATCACATCTGGGCTTTGGGAAATCACTTTAGTGGCTGCTAGACATAGAGGGATCTGTCAACAGAACCTGAACACCTTGGTCCAATAATCATAGTTATCCTTCATTGGCTGATTATTTGTGCCTGACACTACTAAGTAGCACAATCTCATTCACACCATTTGGGGTGTGATCAACATATAACAAACAGCCCAATCAGTTAAGGATAGATGCCATAATTGTCTTTTTAGTTGCTACAAAACAGTGATGGACATATTAAGAAGTTATGTTAACATCAGTGTCTTCCACATCCTGGTTTATCTACTTAATAGTCATTGCCATCATTATAAACTTTAATACATAAAAAATTATTTTCTAGAACCAAGCTCAGTGACAAAACGTATTTGTATTTACCTATTTGTTGCCAAAGCTGGTCTTTGCTTTTATAACCAGAAACAAAACAACCAGTTTTTGGGATCTGAGCTCATGGTAAGGACAGAAAAACAAATCAATGGACTGAAAAGAGATCTATTAAAAACAGACACAATTTGAGATTGTTGATGGCCATAATTCACACAGAGACAAGCAAGAAGATATTTTACAGGTGGAGAAACTGAGGCTGATAAGATGGAGAAGCCAGGTCATTTACTCAAGATCACCCACATAAAGTACCAGGGCCAGAATTCAACCCAAGTCCTTCTGCCTCTAATGCCCGTGCTCTTCGCCAGACTAGCTCATGGTCCATGAGTGCTTTTGTCTAAAATTTTGCTGAGTGAGACATCAAGGTTCCTTTCTGTGGCTGCTCAATATTGCTCATCACTTGCAAGCTGGAGCCAGTTTCTAGGTATTCGCCTAGGGTCTGGTCTGCCCCAGGTATGCCCCTCTGTGAGAGAGGTATGCCTCTCTCACAGAGGCAACTCAGGAATGTCTTCTTTTTTCCCTTCCACACACCCCTGCCCTGCCCAGGTCCCTCTGACTTCTCCCTGTGCCCCCAGCCCGCCTGCCTGCAGAGAGAGGGAATGGGGAGGATAAAAATAGAAAGAAGGGAGAGAGGAGAGCATCACCATCTTGACATCTCCCCACTGCACAGCCCTGTTCCTCATACTAGCCCCTTCCTCTAGGGCCACTAAAGGAATGCCAGCTCCTGCCACCCAGATGCTTAGATAGGTAGGGGGCTCCAAACCCCACCTCCAGGGATGCACAGAGGAGAGCATATTCTGCCAAGGTATGCCATTCCCCATGGAATTCTGTGCCAGGCCCTGACTGTGCTCCACACTATTTCTCACTCACAGTGAGTCACCTGGGTTTTGTGGGTGAATAGATTCTGGGGAGCTGGTCTGGGTGAACCATAGAAGAAGCTGAAAGTCCTCCCACCCCACCCCAGGAGCCAAGGGTGTCCCATGACTTACTGTGGGAGCTTCAGCCCTCCATAGATCCCTCTCAGCAGTGCCAGGGCTTCCACGTGGCTCCCCCATACAGGCCCACCCCTCAAATGTGTGGGTCCAGCCCATTTCTTCAGCTTCTGCGTCTGTCCTGAACTGGGAGGGACCTATGAGGACAGCTTGGCCCACCCAGCCAACTTCTTTCCACAACCTGCTATGGACCTTGGGAAGAGACCCGCAGCAACCCTGGAAGCTCAGGGCTCAGCTCAGGGCTCAGGGCAGGGCATTTTGAAGTCTCAGGAGCTAGGTCAAGAAAAGGGTGTCCAAGCCACAAGTGGGTGTGTCTCCTGGACCCCAAGGACTTCCCAGCCCACAGGGAGGGGCACAGCAGCTGAAGGCAGGGAGGCATCCTCCAGAGTGGGCCAGGGCGGGACACCAGGGTCCAGGGTGGGACATTGCTCCCATGAGCCCCTTGGAGTGGCACTGGCCACTCACGTTCTTAGTCTTCTCTGGCCTCTAACTCTCCTATTTCTTCTGCTCAGGTTGCTGGGACCCTACATGGGCCTCAATCACATCGAATAGGCAAAATGCCTTCCTGCATGCATGCACACACCTGTGCATGTGTGCACACACACACACACCCCACTTCCTTCTGCTGCACAGGTGGCACTGCCTAATCTGGACTTCTGGGGCCTGATGGAGACTGGAGGCAATAGCCCTTTGTCATTTCCTTTCAGCCCCACCCCTCACCAGTACTCAGGCTTTCAAGTCCAAAGGGCTGGAGGGCAACTGGCCAGTCCCTATTCCAATCATGTAATGGGCCTGAACTGCGAGCCATGCACCGGGCACTGTGCTAGATGCTGAGGGTTCCAGGGCAAGCCCCTCACACCTCATTCTGCCCTTATGGTGCTTCTTCTGGTTTGCAGGGAGACAAACAACTGTCAAGTAAACAAACCCAATCGGAAATTGAGCATGGTTTATAAAGCCAGCCATAAAAGAAAGAAACTGGAGCCTGTGGTGGGTGGTGATGGGGGCTGGACTGCAAGGGAGGGAGCAGGGAACTTCTTTACATGGGCAGCCAGGAAGCCTCTCTGAGGAGAGACTGAGGGGTGGGAGGAACCACCCATACACTAGGCAAGGGGAGTTTTGAGCACAGAGTACATGGGGATGACATACAAAAGAACAGAAGTGGCCAAGAGATCCCTGGACAGCCAGTGGCTGATGCTGTGTGAAGGAGGACAGAGCGAGGGGTGGTCAGGGCCCTGGTGGAGCAGCACCTCACAGGCCACAGTCAGGTGTTCGGGTTTTACTGTAAATGTACTTTTGAGGTACCAACCCGTCCTTCCCATGGGGGTGTCCCACATTCAGGCTCCAAGGTTCCACCCCTTTTGGTTCAAGCTCCACATTCCCTATGGTTCCCAGTGTGACTGGGACCAGGGACCATGTGGTATCACCCAGCCTCCCCTGAGGCCCTAAACCTTGTGCTGAGCCTGGGTCCCCATTCCAGTCTTCCCTCCCTCTCCTCATGGTGAATTCTTCTTTGAGGATTTTGGTGTCGTTTCCCACAAGATGACCTCAGTCAGGACCATGTGTCAGAGAGTTTCTGGAAACACTGGGTCCCACTGGGTCACAGTCAGGGGCTGTGGTGTGTTGGTTGATGTTTAACAATCAGCGGTGGGTGGTGGGAAAGACTGATGCATAGCATTTGTCCATTTCCATGGTGTAAATACTCTCACCATGCCAATTTCAAGAAAGTGCCATGACGACATAGAGCCCTGGCTTAGAAAAGCAGAGTAGTAGCACACGGATATAGAGTGTTCCCACCAAACACATACAAGAGACGTCAATAACTTGAAAAGCATAGTCAATAGTAAAATGAAGTCCATAATTAGGAATGAATTTTGAGTATTTATTACATCTGTTATCAATATATTTTCATTGTACATTTATATAACTTAATTTTTTAAAATGTTTAGCAACCAGCTTCTACAAGTGTTGAAAAATTAGCAATTGGCTCTTATGAACCAATAGGAACTGATGACAGCATTCCCCTTGGTCTAGGTCTTAATCTCAATTCTCCCAGGGGACTCCAAAGACAATCTGCACCCTGTCCTCAGGTACCAACCAGTATGAGAAGAAATAATTATCCTGAACGCTGTTTCCCTGGAAAAATGAGCTGCTACCCACTGTACATTTTAGGGTCACAGTGAATCGTTGTATAGGTTGGCTACTGTGCAAAGCTGCCTGGCTGAGGGGATATCTGGGGTCTGAAATTGAGCCCTCGTTCTCCCCACACCAAGACTTTGCTGCAGGTCGGTAGCTGCTTAGAGAGGGTGCTTTCTGCTAATTTGCACAGAGGGAGCATCTGGGCTGGTTCTGGCATTGCACACAATCTATTTTACTTAAGAGGGGTTGAGCCATTCAAGAGACTCCTGCCTGGACAGAACGCCTTGTTGCCAGTTTCTTATTTTAAAAATTTTAAGTTCTGATGTTCGAGGCACCCCCGTATAACCATATCATCAATCCTTGTAAATCTCTCCTCAGGAGAGTGTTGAAAAGGGAAGATTAAGAGGAAAAGGGAGATGAAAATAATGGTCTAGATGAGACAGGTTTTACCACGTAAAGGAGCGAGGTAGAGAAGAAGCGAAGGAAGCAGATCGTGACGAGGGACAAACGGCTGCTTTTCAGTGGATATCGGCCCACTGAGGGTCAGACGTGACAGCCCCCAGAAGACCCCACCATCCTCAGCCACAGGCAACGTGTTCCTGGCCAAAGGCGTGCAGCCTGACTCCTTCAGCAGCAAGAGACGAATGCACAGAGCTCCTCCAGACTCCAAACAATGTCTCAAACCATGTTAGAGCCAATCAAAATGCCTCAGATAAGCCCCCAGAAAGTAGATAAGCTGAGAAATAAGGGTGCCAGAAAACCAGAAATAGTATTCACCTCCCCGTGCCAATGAGTGAAAGCCCCCAGAAGAGATGTTAAGTCAGCCTGTCCATATTGAGGCAATTTCTCTCATGATCAGGGCATAGGGTGCAGACCAGTATGTTGGGAGACATAGGATCAGGAGAAAGAAAAGAAATGGCCAGGGGTGCAGGAAGATTATTCAAAATAAACTCTTCATTTTATTTTATTTCTGTAAATTTTAGATTTACAGAGAAGTTGTAACAACATTAGCAAGAGTTCCTATATACCTACTGCCAATTTCCCATATCACTGACACTAATACGGTACATTTGTCATAACTTATAAATGAGAATTGATACATCACAGCTGAGTAAAGCCCAGACTTCCTTCGCTTCTCCTTAGTTTCTACCTAATGTTGCTTTTCTGTTCCAGGTTCCATCCAGGACACCACGTTACATTTGTTCATCGTGTCTCTTTAGGCGCCATCTGGCTGTGACAGTTCCGTAGATATTCCTTATTTTTCATGACCTTGACGGCTTTGAGGAGTACCAGTCAGGAATTTTGTAGAACGTCCTCTCAATTTGGGTTTATCTGATGTTTTTCCCATGGCTAGACTGGGGTTATGGGTTTGAGGAGTATCATAGAGGTAAAGTACCATTCTTATCACATCCGATCAAGGGTACGTGCTATTAACATGCTACCAATACCACATACCACTGTTGAGGCTGACTTTGAACACCCGGCTCAGATAGTGTTGGTCAGGTCTCTCCACTAAAAAGTTACTCTTCTTGTTCCCCCTTTCTGTACTTTACTCATTAAAAGGAGGTCCCCACCTGCAGCCCATGCTCAAGGGATGTAGAGTTAGGTCCCACCTCCTTGAGGGGGAGTATCTACATAAATTATTTAATATTCTTTTAAACAGGAGATTTGTCTGTTCTTCCCCATTTATTGATATAGTCACTAATTATTTTAAATCAGTATAGATTTATGATAATTTATTGTATACTTTGGGTTATAACCCAATAGTATATTATTTATTTTGTTGCTCAAATAGTTCCAGCTTTTTCTGTTGGGAACTCTTGCAGTTGGCTTCTGTGTCCCTTTGACGTACCCTCTCATTTTGCTTTTTCAGTATTTCTTTAGTTTCTGGAATGGAAAACCAAATACCATATGTTCTCACTTATAAGCAGGAGTTAAGCTATGGGTAGGCAAAGGTATACAGGGTGGTATACTTTTGTTTTCCATTCCTGAGTTATTTCATATAGAGTCCTACGAGATGCTCCAGGCCCATCTTGCACATTCCCTTTCCCAGCCCCAGAATCAGTCATTTCTTCAAGGAGCCCTGACTCTTTTTATTGGAAAATGGGGTTGGATACCAAGATGTAGACCCTGGTTCTGCTCATTGCTACTGGGGTGTCATTGCTTCTGAGCCAACTCAGCAGTCAGAAGTAGGAAATATAAGTATGTATACTAACCCAATGATATGGTTTGGCTGTGTCCCCACCCAAATCTTATCTTGAATTCTCAAGTGTTGTGGGAGGGGCCCGGTGGGAGGTAATTGAATCATGGGGGCAGGTCTTTCCCATGCTGTTCTCGTGACAGTGAATAAGTCTCACAAGATCTGATGATTCTGTAAGGGGGGAGTTTCCCTACACAAGCTCTCTTTTTTCTCCTGCTGCCATCCACGTAAGATGTGACTTGCTCCTCCTTGCCTTCCACCATGATTGTGAGGCCTCCCCAGCCATGTGGAACTGTAAGTGCATTAAATTCTTTTTCCTGTATAAATTACCCAGTCTCAGGTATGTCTTTATCAACAGCATGAAAACAGACTAATACACCATGTATACACACACATCTTTTTTTAGTTTCAATAGCTTTTGGGGTACAAGTAGTTTTTGGTTACATGGATGAATTGTATAGTGGTGGAGTTTGAGATTTTAGTGCAACTGTTACCCGAATAGCATACACTGTAAGAAATATGTAGTTTTTTGTCCCTCACCCCCTTGCCCTTCCCTGCTTTTTAGTCTCCAAAGTCCATTATACCACCCTGTATGTCTTTGCCTACCCATAGCTTAGCTCCTACTTATAAGTGAGAACATATGGTATTTGGTTTTCCATTCCTGAGTTACTTCTTTTAGAATAATGGCCTCCAATTTATCTATAATTATTTATACATATATGTAGGTAGATGATATAGACATAGACATAGACATAAATAGAGCTATAGACATAGATATAGATCCATCTGGATCTATATTCAGCTAAACATGAGTTCATACAATGTCTTCAACATTCATCCAATACCATATGGTTCATGCTACAAGGGTAATTTTGACATCTTGAAAACAGCACAGCTAGACAAGATAGTAGGAAGGCAGCTCCTATAAAAAGGGGCCATGAGCCAGGCAGAGGCGCTCATGCTTGTAATCCCAACACTTTAGGAGGCCGAGGCAGGAGGATCACTTGAGTCCAGGAGTTTGAGACCAGCCTGGGCAACATGCAAGACCCTGTCTCTACAAAAAAAAAAAAAAAAAAGACAATTAGCTGGGCATGGTGATATGAACCTGTAGTCCCAGCTACTTGGGAGACTGAGGCAGGGGAATTGCTTGAGCCCAGGAGTTTGATGCTACAGTGAGCCATGATTGTGCTAGTGCACTCCAGCCTGGGCAACAGAGCAAGATTCTGTCTCTAAAAAAGTGGGGAGGTGGGGAGGCCATGAGAAGAATCAAAGCAAATCACGTAATGCCCTGCATGTGGACTGATTGTACTTCCATTTTGGATGGCAGAATTTGTGCCCAAGGCAGGCTGTCACTGAGTGCTCCTTGGATCTCCGCCGCCTGGTACCCAAGGAATTGTCCCAAGGCTCTGAAGAGAATGTCCCATGACTTCTTTGTGACTAAACCAGAAATACTGATGTCTTTTGTTCCTAACATAAACAACGTTAAACAAGCCCAAAATGTGTACAGTCAATGTTAATACCACACAAGGGAAGGGAAAAGAAAGAACATCCGAGAAATATGAGTACAAAATGGGGAAACTAAGGAAGCTAGCTTTTGACCAGTCCCTGGGGAGTCTGCAGGGCTTTTGCGACGGGATTGGGCCTCTTCCTGGAAAACAGGCCTGCAGCCGGGAGGGCCAATCTGCTCAGCAAGCATTTGAGTGAGAGGAGTTAGTGGTTTCCACGGGGGCTGCCGACTCCATAGTGTGATGACTGTCTTCAGCATCACAATCAAGTGGGGTTTTATGTCAGTCTCCTTCTGTTCATGATTTTTGGTCTCCAATAAGTGTCATTTTAGGATTGCTTAGAACAGGAACAGCTCAGAACAAAAGAGACCTAAGGCATTTTTAGACTCAGAGCCAGAAGGAAAAGGCACTGGTTTTGAATCATTCCTTGCTATGAGTAATGTGGACCAGGAGAATATGACTCATAAACCGAAATGGACTGCACTAATTTTCTGAACTCTGAACCCAACCCAAGCAATTTTTTTTTACTGCACGGAAAACAAAATCAGCTGTTTTTAAAATCCTACTGAACCAGTTCAAATTAGAACCAGTCTTTATAAAAGATTGAGCCAGAAGGAAAAAAGAATTAGAAAAGCAAAATCATTTCCACACAAGTATTTCATTCATTCATTCATTTCAAGTGTCTGGCATACACAAACATATACTGTGTGTATTTCTGTCAGTAGGGGCTCTTTCTTTTTTTTTTTTTTTTTTTTTTTTGGAGATAGAATCTTGCTCTGTCGCCTAGACTGGAGTGCAGTGGCATGATCTTGGCTCACTGCAACCTCCGCCTCCTGGGCTCAAACAATTCTCCTGCCTCAGCCTCCCATGTAGCTGGGACTACAGGTACATGCCACAAGACCCAGCTAATTTTTGTATTTTTAGTAGAGACAGAGTTTTGCCATGTTGGCCAGGCTGGTCTCGAACTCCTGGCCTCAGGTGATCCACTCACCTCGGGCTCCCAAAGTGCTAGGATTATAGGCATGAGCCACCACACCCCACCAGTAGGGGCTCTTTTATATAAATCTCACTTAACTTATGTGCCAGATTAACCAGCACTCTCCATTTACTCTGCAAAGTCTATTGGTGCATGCCCTGGGGCTCTGAAGGCTGGTGGCTGCTGGGGACTGGGTAGGAGCCCTTCTCTTTTCTGGTGGATCCTGTACTTTGCAATAGTAGATTGGATTTATTCCCAAACCTGTTCTATCTGTTGTACTTACTATTGCAATTACCCAATTTAATTAAATATTAAATACATCGATCAACTGTAAGTACACAAAGAAAGACTTCCTGTTTCTGTGAAAGCTAAATTGGATGCTTCGGAAAGACTAGCTAAAGCTGTGTTTCAAAGGAGGAGGAGGAGGAAGGTGGGGAGGAGGAGGAGGAGGAATTGACACTGAATGCCCATCCGTGGCTTACTCTTAAAGAAAAGTTCACAGTAAACCAATATACATTGAATGTTTCCTACAAAAAGTTAAATAATATATGTTGTCTTTTAATGATTCCCAGCTTTAGGCTTAAGTATAAATGGCCAATTGTCTTTCTCACATGTGTTAGATCAGAGGGTTTTTACTGTATACACAACTTTTCTTCCTTCTGAAACTTTAGTCTGTCTATTACTGTTAATTACACTGGCTTTTCTTCTGGTCAAAGACCTGCATGGTGCTGCCACCGCCCTTGTCTCCCTACACCTAACCCTCCATGGAGGGAGCAAGACCAGGGACTCCACTCACAGGCTGTGTCATATTGGGAAGCCACCTTGCCCATCTGAAACTCAGCTTCCTCGTCTGTAAAATGGGGGTGTTGATAATTCCGAAGCTCCCCTACTTAAGGATCAAAAACAAAAGAACATTTATAGAGAGATGAGAACAAACCTACTTCCAGGACCAACAGGGCAACTCTGCCTGCTGATGAGAAATGTCTTTAGAGGCCCCTTATTTAGTGTTACTTTCAGCTTACCAAAAACAACAGCAAGAACAATTGCATCTATGCCTAAGTGGAGGAGTGGTGCCTGCCTTGTAGGATCTTTGTGTGGATGAAATGAGATAAAGTATCAGAAGCCCTTAGCACAGGGATGGACTCTTGCCAAGAGCTCCCTCTATGTGGGCTGTATTGTTGTTTAAGCAAGTCACTCCATGCTCTGTGCTGGGTGGCTGGCCCTGAAATGAAATCATGAAGCAGTCTATTGAGCATGGAGGCCACTCTGAGGTGCAGGTGCCAGATGGATTCAGGTCGTCATCCTTTCCCATCTAGACTAACACAGCAGACCAGGGTGGTCCCCCCACCTCCAGGCACCTCCCTCCTCCAGCCTATTCCCACCCTACAGCCAGCCTTGCCTTTCCTAACTGCAGCTCTCTCCTGAGCTGTCCTCAGGCACCCTGCCTCCACAGAAGAATTTGGCAGTCTTATATCTCAAGCCTCTATGAGAGCTGCTTCCTCTCCACCAGGATGCTCAATTAGCATCTCATACTAAACACATCCAAAGCAAAAATCTTGATTCCCCCACAAAACCAGTTCCATTCCCAGTTTTCCCTATCTCAGTAACCACCCCCATCTACCCAGCTGCTCCAGCCAAATGCTTAGGAGTCATCTTGGATTCCTCCCATCCCTCAATCCTCAGGGATCAGGTATCAGAAGTCCTATCAGTTCTATTTCTCCAAGTATCTTAGAGTTTCTGTGTTTTACCACCTCCATAGCTATCACCCTAACCCAAGCCTCTGACCTTTCTAGCCAGGATCCCTGCAATGTCTTCATCACTGAGCTCCCTGTGTCCCCAGCTGCTTTGTCTCTGACTCCTTCTGGAACACCCACTTTCCCCCTCACTCTCCAGGCACCAGCCACCCTGGGCTTTTTTGCTGTTGTTCCTCAAACTTGTCATGCTTATTCCTGCCTCAGGACTTCTGTGCTTGTAGTTCCTTTTACTTAAAACTCCCCTTCTCCCAAACAGCCCCATGAGCTAATATCAGCACGCACGTCACCTCTCCAGAGGCTCACCCTGGCCACGCTATCAGGTCCCATCCCCATCACTGCCCTCAGAACACACACAAACTCTCCCTATAACATTATCCTGCATCGATTTCACAGAGGTTGTCACCAGCCAATATTATCTTATTTGCTTACTGACTCATTGTCTCTGCTCCACTGTTAGAAAGGAAGTTCACCACTGACACTACAGCACCTAGAACAATGCCTGGCACATAATAGATGCTCAATAAAAGATTATTGAAAAGATGAATGCCTAACACAATGTCCTTCCTCCCTTTCTCCAGCCAAATTTATCCCTTGACTTCCACATTTCCTTTCAGTGGCAGCTCAAGCCTCACCATCTCTTAGAAGGCAAGACTTGCCTGCCCCCTCTCCTGTGCAGTTAGTGTCACCCCTTCTGTGTGTTCATTTCACACAATCCCATCACAGCACTTACCGTATTTTTCTTTGTCATTCTCTATATCCATATCCCTAATGAGACCAGGAGCTCTGTGAGGCCAAGAACCATGTCTTATGCATCCTTCCAGTCACAACACACACAGCAATTTGAAACCAGCCCAATTGTCCCCTAGAACTGATGTTTATGGTTTCTTTTGAATAAACATAAAAATTGATCCCGAAGTCTTAAAATTTGAGAAAGTTACAGTTGTCTTACCTGAGTTCTTTTCTCAGGAACCCAGTCATCACCCCCTCTCCCAAGATAATATCGAGGAGCTGAAATTATAAGACCATCACATCTGGGCAAAGAGACACCAGACCCTCACCCATCATGATTCCCTATCTGACCACCTGCTTCCTGTTGACCAACTCCTCTTCCTCACTCCTTCCTAATTTCTGTTTTCCCATACATGGTTACATTTCTGCCGTGCTATACAAACCCCTGATTTTAGGTGCTTGAGTAGATGGACTCAAGACTCTATCTCCCACCTCCTCAGCTGCAGCACCCGATTAAAGCCTTCTTCCCTGGCAACAGTCGTCTTCTCAGTGATTGGCTTTCTGGGTGTCAAGCAACAGAACTTAGACAAAACTCCTGGTGTTTTGGTAACAAATTCTCTATGTCTCTGTCCTCCTTGCCCACTAGATATAAACTGGTCATTTCCTCCTATCCCTTCTCCATCACAGGCTGCCTTTTCATCTCTTATCATCATCTCAAATCACATCATCTCTATTGATTGATCAACTGATTTGTTCTGCTTATCTATTGTCTGCCTCTCCCACTGTCAGTGCCTAGAAGAGTGGCTGAGGCATAGGAGGTACTCAGTCAAGATGTGTTTACAAATGGCTCATTCAACATGTTTGTTAAATGAAGGAATCATAAATTAATTAGCAACCATGGCACTATAAATCTCAGGGTCCCCAAAGAGCAGGGAGATCCAATGCTATATTTATAATAGTTACTTGTGTTTGCCAAAGACAAACAAGACACAGGGACATGCTTCATGAAAATCACATCTGAAACAAATGTTGGGGGAGGATGAGGGCAGGAAGAGATTTGGCTAATGAGCAAAATGCATCTTGAATGGCTCCAAGGCATCCACCAACTGAATTACTGACACGTTGCTTCTTTTGTTTGGCATTAAGAGCCCAGCTAGGAGCAACAGGTCTCTCTGCAGTTCTACTAATCCTATTCCAATTATTCCAATTATTTCATTAGAAATAGGTCCACAGATAATTACCCAGTTGTTCAATTTCATCCGAGGTCACATTGCATATGCAGCCCAAGATTAACATCAATATTGGCTGCAGGGGGTGACATGCAGCAAAACAGGTTTCAAATGGAAATTTTAAGAAGAGTAAAGGACGTTCAACAGCCCCTTTCCAAGAGGGGGCCTTAGGGTCACCTGCCTTCTTTAGGGCCCTCAATCCAGACTGCTGGAGAGTGGAGACATGAGATCTGCTGGCGATGCTGGCATCTTCTGTGTGACATATAATATCAACATTAAATCACTCTAGGCCCACAGCTCTGCTGAAGACACGATAAATCAAAGCTGGGCAATGTGGCAGCCACAAGGGTAGCGAAAGGTGAGCCTGGAACTGAGCCAGCCTATGGGGCCAGCAGAACAGAAGCCAGTTCAGGGCTGCCAGCCCCTAAAATAATGTTTCATCAGGATGGCATGTGAGGCCTGGCTAAGGCAGGTCAACCCCATTTCCCAGTGGACGGAAACGTATGGCTGATTCCAAACAGGTTCTCAAATCCAGAAAGGCACCCAAGAACTTAGCTGACTGCATTTCACCTTTGGGCAGAGTCTCTGTGAAGAAGACAAGAAGAAAAGTTACTCCGTTTTACTTTCTCTCTTACTGTGAGCAAGAGAGGCTAGTGAATTGTGCCTCCAGTCCCTAGGAGATGGGCACAGTGCCTAGCACAGCAGTTCCCACCCTTGGCTGCACAGTGAAATCTCCTGGGAAGCTCACAGAATGCTGATGCCTGGGCACCACCCCTGGAAATTTGCCTTTTATTGGACTTGGATTGTGGCGTAGCCTGGAAATTGGGAATTTTCAAATCTCTCCAGGGACCATCATGTGAAGACAGAATGAGAACCACTGCCCTAACACAGCCTCCGGTAGAGAAGGCCCCAAAACCCAGGTTCCATCTTCATCCATGGATACCCCTAGTCACTTCAACCCTCCAGACTCATTTTAAAGCAAAGAGAAAAGAACCACTCACCAACTCCTATCTCCAGAAAGTCCTTCTGAGACATACAATATTCTTCTATATGGGTTTTATTGAAGCCCTTAGAATTTTCTATAAAACCTTAACTCCTTAGACTAGCCTTCTGAGGCCTCCACCTCCCTGTTCATATACTCATCCAACAAATATTAATTGAGCACCTACTATGGCCCAATGCTCTTGTTCTCATGGAGCTTTTATTCTATTAAGGGAGACCAAACAAACAATGAAATGCTACAAATAGAATCATTTCAAAATCTGAAAAATACAATGAAACAAAACAGGGTGATACAGTGATACAACAGAGAGAAACAAACGGGAGGGGTGGAGAGAGGCTACATGCTACTTTAGGTGCTCAGGGAAGAGTCTATTTGATGAAATAATAGCTGAACTGAGTCCTGAACATTCAGGAGCCAGCCACGTGAGTCTCTGAGGGAAAAACACTCCAGCAGAGGGAAGAGGCTGTGAGAAGGTCTCATTGCCAGTCTCCTTGTAGCCCCACTTCTGCCCCTCCACTGCCATGCTGGGTGTCACCAGCTCCCCACCTTGGCACTTTGGATTTGCACCATCAGAGGTGCCACCTTCCCACCAAAATCTATTATTTCTTCAAGAAACCCCTTCTCCAAGAAGCTTCCTATAAGCAGCTCCTCCTCATTCTGACCACTCTTTACTTCACCTCTAATGTCTGTGCATGACCTTGGTATAAAGTTGCATGGGTATAAAAGCATGAGACATGATTGCCACTATTCATGACCTCTCTAGCACCATGCCTGAGCTTACACCGAATCATCATGCCCTTGATTTTATTGTCTTGTTGTTTCACCTGGGTACAATTAGTCTCCTCCTATGGGATCGTTTGTCCTCCAGAGCATAGATCAGATTTTCTGCTCTCTCAGTATCCCCAGTTTCTCCTAGAACAGAGCTAAGCATTCATTCACAGCCCCCGAACATTTATAGGAGGGGTTGACCATGTTTTCAATAAGTGCTTATTTGAGTGAAAGAATTAATTAGTAAGCCTTGCCTCAACACCACGCAGCCTTCATTCTATTTTGCACTATCTTTATCTCTATTTTATAGGTGAGGAAACCAAGGCACAGAGAGATTAGGTATCTTGCCCCAGGTCACACAGCTGGTAAGTGGTACAGCTGGGATTGAAACCCAGGTCTGTCCGGTATCAGATGCTGCACCACGCTGCATAACATGGCCCCAGTGAAGAATGGAGGTCAGTATTCCCATCGTTGATTTTCAATAAAGAAGACAAAACTCATAAAAGAATTAATAGAGGTGACCTGGTTCATGGATTGAGTTGATACCAGAGCCAGGGCCAGCATTCGTGGCTGTGAGAGCCAAGGCCTCTGGCTCTCCACTTTGCCATGCCCCTTTCAGAAAGGTCAAAATTCTGGTTGGGATTCAACCAAAGGATCTGATCACCACTGTGCCCTCTACTGATTTTGAGTGTCGCCAGGACACTCCTGACAATAGGTGAAAATGTCTAATGAAATGGCAAATGAGCAGAAGGGCAGAACTTGTGCGTTCACTTTAAATAATGTTGTCTTTCTCTCCCTCTTTCTCTCTTTTGACCATTTGATTGATGGAGACAGAGAAGAACAGGAGCAAGAAGCTAACGTTTATCAAGCACCCTAAGCAAGTCACTTAACCTCATTTGTAGTATGGGCTTCATGGAAGGCTGCCAGGTTTTGCAAACAAAGACACAGGATATGCCCTTAAACTTGAATTTGAGATGATGAGACAATTTTAACATAAGTGTGTCCAGTGCAATATTTGAGACATACTTATACTAAAAACCTTAATATAACCTACCCCATAATAATCATGAGAGATAAAAATTATTATTACCCATAAAAATCATAAGAATAATCATGAAGACTGAATAACACAGAGAATGTAAATTACTCATAGGTACCTGATGAGTAAGTGGCAAACACCTTGTTCAACCTAGGTTTGTTCAAAGATCACTTTTCTTCCTCTACACAGACTAGAAAATTGGCTATCATGGATTATTGACTCACAGTTTAATAAGTAAATTCACCTGAAAAACACCTGGCTGCCTCAGCATGTGGGGCTCTCTGCTCTTGCCTTGCCCCTAGAGAACTGGTTCTGTCCATAGACCGTCCATTGGTTCTCCTGTGAGATGTCTTGCCTTGGCCAGAGGCAGCTTCCATGCAGGAACTGTAACTGGAGAAATGGCCCTTTCCATAAAGCCACCCCCACTTGTGAGCAGTTGGATGTGCCCACAGAAAGAAGGGGAAAGGAGTGGAATCAGGAGGCCGGGCCATTAAGTCCAGAAATGTTGATTCCTCATGAGGAGGGATAACAGAAGGGATAACAGGACAGTGGTTTTGGGAACAATAATAACATGGCTGAGCAAGAGGAGAAAATGAGATGGGGAGGTAGTGGGAAGTGGAGGTTAGGAAGGGGAAAGGGCCTAAGAAGAGAACACAAGAAGAATGTTTGTGGGGAAATGTCAGGAGAGAAAGGCCTAATCAGAATATCTAGGCACCTTATGTGATGCACTGGGAGGAGAAAAAATGTTTTTCAAAGGTCCTTGGGGCCGGGAGCAGTGGCTCATGCCTGTAATCCCAGCGCTTTGGGAGGCCGAGGTGGGTGGATTATGAGGTCACGAGATCGAGACCAGCCTGACCAACATGGTGAAACCCCGTCTCTACTAAAAATAGAAAAATTAGCGGGGCGTGGTGGCACACGCCTGTAATCCCAGCTACTCGGGAGGCTGAGGCAGGAGAATTGCTTAAACCTGGGAAGTGGAGGTTGCAGTGAGCCAAGACTGTGCCACTGCACTCCAGCCTGGTGATGGAGTGAGACTCCGTCTCAAAAAAAAAAAAAAAAAAAAAAAAAAAAGGCCTTTGGACAAGCTTGGGATAGCTGTGAAGCAAAAGAGTTTGTCTCTGATGCCTTTCCTCCTCCCCATCCAGAGGTAACACCAAGTCAGACCACTCTCCCTATCCAGCACTCCCTCAATACCTCAGAGGCATTGTGCTAAGAGAAATACCACCTTAACACCCCAGGCCTGGCCCAGATTCAGTACTGCTTCATTTACCTCTCCAAGGTGCCCCTTTGAAGACCCCAACCAGCTCATCTGACAAGCTAATCACAGTACCAGAACCTTCTTTCTAGAGAAAATTCATGTTCTAATAACACCACTTGGAAAAATCTCTTCCCCTCCTTAACCTGCACTTTCCTTGCCATTGTTGTCTAACTCATTATCTGCTCTAATTGGGAGAGAGGGATTTTCAGACAGAAGAGAGGGCTAGTGTATAGCATGGTAAAAATGGGATCTTTGTGTGTCTCTCCAAACACACTCTGTGGGCAGGGAATATAACAGGTGTGTAGGAGGTGTTCAATCATTTTGTGTTGGAATGAAATAATCCATTGATATGACCTGGTGGCTCTCCCAGTTTCAGAAAAGGTTATCCTATGATCGTATAGTGTTCTTATGCAATCATTTCTGAAGGAACATCCACTGACATCTGGGACACTCAGCATCAGCTTACCCCCACCCCACACCCCATTGCATAACGTTCTACTTTAGGAGCCGCAGATAAAGAAAGTCCCCCTTCAGGCACTTGGGTTGAAGAAAATTCTGAAGATGAGAAGTGGAACAATGTGCACGTCTCCCAGGCGGAATGGTAGATTCCTGGTTCTATTATTACTACCAATATTGTGCAATGCCTTTGGGCAACTGGCAAAGCACTGGGTGGAATGAAAAGTTTAAATAGCAGACTCTCCAACCTCCAGCTCATGTCTGAAACTCCATGGCCTGCACTGGCCTGCCCACTGGAATGGAAAACACAAGGAGATACTCCCTACTTCCTTACCCGAAGCCCTGGGGACTCTGGCAAGCTTCCCTAGGAATGGAGGTTACCAAATCAACCATGTTTACTTTTGCTCACTCTTTCTTCTACCTTTTGATTATTCAGGTGTCAGCAAAAGTAAAGAGATGACAAGGGAAGCCTTTATCCATCCAAGAGGCTCCTGAATCCTGGTAGGTTCTGAGGATCTAACCTCAAGAACAAGGCATAAAGCTGGTGTTCTAATACAAAACAGTATCTCTCTAGTAGCACCTATTTGCCACCAAACATTATTTACAAGAAATAGTGAACACCTACCACCCCCAGGAAAGTAAGACTGATTAAAAAAAACCTTAGCAGAATCTAGGAGTCACTGGAATAGTGGGAAAGCAGATGCAGTTGGTCCAGGAGCCAGTCAATGACCTATTCACACTTTGCCTCATGAAGGACAGGACATCCATTCTCAGAAAGTCAGTAAGGAGAGAGTTCATTTCTTCTACACTCCTGCTCCTTGACTCAGAGACCCAGAGTACAGACCAATCTTAAAAACAATCTTAAAACTGACCAGCTAGTCTCTACTACACAGGTGACATCTTTTGAGGCAACCAGAGTACAGTGTTACACACACACACACACCATACCATATTTTTCAGAGACTGCAACTCTCAAGCACAGAACATGGCAAGATGTGGAAGACAGTGAAGAGTGCTCATGTCAAGGGATCCTCTGCCTCCTCAAAGTCGGAGTGGAGTCAGCGTAAAAACAAACAAACAAAAAGGCTATAAATCACTCAATTCGCAGACTTCTATTCTGCAGCACTTCAGCTTTTCCAGAATAAGAAGAGCAGTTTCTAGAGATATTTGAAGAAAAAAATTTGACCCCTAATTGTTATACCAAGCCAAGTTATTGTTCATAGGTGGTAGGAGATGGAGACTCTTGAGGATTCAGAAAATACACCTCTCCTATATTATTCCTTTAAAAAATTGCAATATCGGCAGAGGTGGGCAGATCGCTTGAGGCCAGGAGTTTGAGAACAACCTGGGCAACATGGTGAAACCCTGTCTCTACTAAAAATACAAAAATTAGCCGGGCATGGTGGTGCGCGCTTATGTCCCAGTTACTCAGGAGGCTGAGGCAGGAGGATTGCTTGAGCCTGGGAGGCGGAGGTTGTAGTGAGCCAAGTGCACGCCACTGCAGTCCAGCCTGGGCAATGGGAGTGAAACCCTGTCTCAAAAAAAAAAATGCAATTTAATGAACTCCTATTCAAAGATGAATCAGAATTAAACGTTTAAGAATGAGAAACTTGTGGCATAAAAAAACTGGCAGCTCGGGTGTAAATCAGCCAAACACAGAGCTAAGTGTAAATAATTGTCATAAATAAAAGCAAATAGCAAAGTAATTCTTAAAAGATACATTATATAAAATTTGATGACAGTAATCCAAGCCTTAATTAAACCCCAGATTATTTTCATAAAAGCCTGAAAATGGGAAGAAATAAAAGTGTTCTAGATTTGTTTTCTTACTAGCAGGGAATCAAAAAATATTTCGTTACTCTTGTTTTTGATCATTAGAAAAACATAGGTTAAAAAATGTTTTTGGAAAAACTTAAAAGACAGACACTTATAAAAATACAAAGAAGGAAGCAAACAGTCTCCAGGGTCAAACTCTCTGTCACCAAATTCTATTATATTTCATCTCTGCCTTTACTAATAAGGGGCAGAGGGCTAAGGTTTATTTCTTCCCTCAAAGAGCTAAAACCTAAAATAGGAGAGAGAGATGGAAACACATGACAAAAATTCAGGTGATATGAGAGCTCTATGTATAAAGATATATGTATAAAGTTCTCCAGAAGGTTACCAAGAATTCATGGTGGGAGGGTGATGAGATTGCAAGGAGGGAGGTTGGGGAAGGCTCTCCCACAGAACAATTTGGACACTTAAATTATTTATTTGTCTGTCTTTCCTACAAGATTGTAAGTTCTGTGTGGACCGAGACTTCGTCTGATTCTCTAGAGTCTGTATGTACAGATGAATGGATGATGGATGAATGGATGATGGATGGATGGAGGATGAATGGATGGATGATGATGGATGGCTGGATAAATGGATGGATGAATAGATGATGGATGGATGAAGGATGAATGTATGGATAGATGATGAATGGCTAGATAAATGGATGGATGGATGGAGGATGAATAGATGATGGATGGAGGATGAATGGATAAATGAATGCTGGGTGGGTGAAGGATGGATGGATGGATGGATGCTGGATGAATGGATGCTGGATGGATGGATGAATGGATGAATGGATAGATGATGGATGGATGGATGGATGGATGGATGGATGGATGGATGATGGATGGATAGATAGATGAATGAACAGATGGATAAATGATGGATGGATGGATGAATGAATGGATAAATGATGGATGGATAGATGAATAGATAGATGCTGGATGAATGGAGAATGGATGGATGGATGGATAGATGATGGATGGATGGATGGGTGGATAGATGGATGGATGGATGATAGATGAATGGATAGATGATGGATGGATGGATGGGTGGATAGATGGATGGATGGATAGATGAATGGATGGATATATGGATGGATAGATGGTGGATGAGTGGATGGATAGATGATGGATGGATGGAGGATGGATAATGAATTGATGGAGGATGGATGGATAGATGGATGGAGGGAAGATGGATGGATGGAAGATGGGTGAATGGATGGATGGATGAATGGATGATGGATGGACAATGGATGGATGGGTGGAAGATGGGTGGATAGATGGATGAATGGATGATGGATGGACAATGGATGAATGGATGGATGGATAGATGATGGATGGATGGATGGATTGGTGGAGGATGGATGGATGGATGATGGATGGATAGATGGATGATGGATGGAGGATGGATGGATGGATGAATGGATGATGATGGACGATGCGTGGGTGGATAGATGGATGATGGATGGAGGATGAATGGATGGATGGATGATGGATGGATAGATGGATGATGGATGGAGGATGGATGGATGGCTGAATGAATGGATGATGGATGGAGGGAGGATGGATGAAGGATGGATGATGAATTGATGGAGGAGGGATGGATGATGGATGAATTGATAGATGGATAAATGGATAGATGGATAAATAACACTTCCTTGCTTGATTCCCATTTCCCATAGAGATCCTAACGAATCCCACTTTAAGGTAATAAAATTTACTCTCCCAGTCAGTCCTTCATCTGTAAGCCTCCCACCTTCTATCCCACAAGTTGGTAGCAAATTGCCAGACCATTCCTGAGTGGTCAGGGGGAGGTGATGTTTTTGCCTAAATGCCTATCTCACCAAGAGGGAACGCCTGGTCCTGGGGAGCAGAAAGGCCAAGACAGTGTATTATTCTTTGTGACTCACAGTGCTGAAACAGGAGAGTAAGAAAGCATCCTTGGTCCTGTTCTTTCTTTCTTCCCAGTTTGAAAGCCCAGAAAGCTGATCTGTGGCATAAATGATGGATGAGGTCAGACTTTAGTTTGCAGGAAGAAAGAGGGGGGCAGACAGCCGGGTTATACCAACAATCTGCTAGCCATCCTGACGTCATCTGTGTTGTCCTTTTTTTCCCCTTATTCTCCCCAGGGGAAAAAAATATGAAGATATTTTCTGGTGATGGAGCAGGGTGGAGGAAGAGTTGGGAATGCAGACATTTGCACTACTGGCCTAGTCGGAGTAGCCTTAAAATTTTTGCTTCTGGAGGACGGTCGTCATGGCAACCCCTGGACTCATGGATCAGGCCCCCTTTCTGCCTTTGTCTGGAGTACAAAGTCCTTGTTCCGCTTTCCACGGGCTGCTGAAAAAACACACCCAGCCAGATAGACACAGACACAGATAGACAGGCTCTCACGTATACTTAAAAACATTTAAAATCTTATATCAAGACCCAGGTTTCTTCCTACAGCTTATAATGATTCAGTTAATTGCAACCTTACCTGTCTGCTCCTCATGTTTCTCTCCACCTGTAAGAACAGGAGATTCTCTGATGCTAGCAGGGGACAGCCTTCCAGAGAGACCGCAGCACCACAGGGGCCTTTATGTGCATGTTTGTCCATCCTTGAAACACAGCAATCACCATAGCTATGGTTCCTAATTAGAGTGAGGGGACTTCTCCTGGAAGGAGCAGATGGGGAGCACGGCCCCGAGTGGGTTGAGAGGACTGAGGGTAGGGTTGTGGCAGAGAGTGTTTTGTGGCTTCCCAGCTGTTGTTGTCAAACCTGCTGCTGACAGGAGCCAGCCTGCCCTTTCCTTGGGGACCCAGACCCCGCACACCCAGATAGGAAAGAAACCAAGGCCTCCTGAGTCAAAGTGCCCACCATGGCAATCCAAAACTCCAGGAGGGAAAATGAAGGCTTTCTGGATTGACTTACAAGGGCAAACTCATCAAGGGCACCTGCTGGGAGCTCGACTTAGGTTTCTTCTCTGCACTTGGCTTCAGGCGAGAGCCGTGAGGAAGCTCTGAAGAGCCCTCATCCCTCAGTCTCAGTTTCTCCCAGTCCCTGTTCTAGGCCACAGATTGCAGAGAACACCTCAGGGTACAAACCACAGGAAGGTGATCTAGAAGGGCCAGGTGAGGAAATAAGTGCAGAGAGGTTAATTGACTCATCCAAAGATGCACAGCTAGTCGATAGCAGAGCCCAGACTGAATGCCAGGACTCCTGGAGGCTAAGTAGATCATGAGGAACACAGCAATTGCTCAAGGAAAAGGAAAATGCTAGAATGCACAGGGGACCAATTGAGACACTGAAAACCAGGCACCAAGACCCATTGGAATCTAATGAGATTAATTTTAGAGTAATAATATCATACTGACCATACTTTACTATGAATATACACTGTGCCAGGCACTTTACTGCATACTGCACATACATTATTTCACTGTGACAAGGATGGTTATCCCCACTTAACAGATGGAGAAACTGAGGCTGGAGGAGTATAAATAACTTACCCAAGACCACATGAATACTGAGGGGAAATGCCAAGATTATCCCCAGCCCTTCTGCCCCCAAAGTTCAGGCCTTGACTTGTTATGATACTGACTTTCATCAAAAGGAGGGCCGTGATTCATGCCTGTAATCCCAGCACTTTGGGAGGCCAAGGTGGGTGAATCTCTTGGGCCCAGCAGTTCAAGACCAGCCTGGGCAACATAGCAAAACCCTGTCTCTACAAAAAACACAAAAAATAGATGGATGTGGTGGCTCATGCCTTTAGTCTCAGCTTCTCAGGAGGCTGAGGTGGGAGGATCACTCGAGCCTCGGAGTTGGAGGCTACAGTGAGCCATAATCATGCCACTGCACTCCAGCCTGGGCCACAGAGTGAGACCCTGTCTCAGAAGAAACAAAAAAAGGAGAAACAATGAGCTGAATGTCCTCATTGATGTCATTTCTTTTAGGTTGCCATATGTTCAGGCCCTAGACTAAGACATCTTCTAGATGAAAGTTAAGACAAAAAGTATAAACCTCCCTGAGAGAAGTCAACTCATGAATGGGCTGGTTGGGCTACATGTGGGTGGTAGAGATGCTTTTTGGGGTCAAGCTTGGGCTTATATGTGTGTGTTTGCCATGTTGAACACTAAGACTCTGTGTCTTGACATTTGACATCTGACCTAGAACCAGGATCCTCCTGGTAGGCCAGGCCAACAAAACAGGGCCTATTTTTTCTAAACATTAGAAACCAAAAGATTTAGTAAAGTTGGTCAGACATTGATGCTGCACACCAAGGTCTATCTGAACAATTGACAGAGCTGGATTCCAGAAAGTTTAATTAGTAAGGGGATGTAGGGGAAAATCCAACATCCTTCCCAGGGAACGGTGCTGTGTTAATTCACTCCTAGGATCCCCTACCTATTACCCTCAGAATAAATCCTTGGCTTGCTTGCTGCCTGGAAGAGAAATCATGCAGGTGTTTCAGAGCATTAAGGAAGTTATTTCTTCCTCATGTTCACTCCGAGGTCAAGGACAAGAATGCTAGCTTTGGCGTTGGGAGGACCTCAGTTCAGTTCCCAGCCTGAACTTAAGTCTTGCACTGCAGTATAAAACAAGTGTTTTACTTTTCACTTCATCACATTATTGGATTTGATTATGTGGATAATCAGGGCTGCTCCAGAGCATATTTGCAGGGCAGTCTACGCAGTAAGCCATACATGGCAGCTCTGCAAAACCGGCACAGCAGACAGTGGTGTGAAGTCCACCCAGCAAAGCTCCCTCTCTTTCCCCATTCCCCATTCTGTTCCAGCTCAATGCAGGAAGTGTATGAAATTCACCCCCTATAAGCCAGGCCCTGTGCTGGGTGCTAGGAGTAGAGCTACAATGAAGTCAAGATTCCTGCTGCCCAGAGACTTCCACTCTAATAAGAGAGACACAGGGAAGTAAACATAATCTCAGTGAGGTATGAGGCATGCCATTAGAGGCATGTAGAAGAATGGAAACTGCACAGAGGAGTGTGAAGTTAAGTGTCTTAGAGAGGGGTAAAAAGACTTGCAGAGAAGTGATACATAAACCAAGTTTTGGAAGACGAACAGAAACAGTGAAAATGATAGAGTGAGCAGAGGGGAAGAGCTCATAGAAAGGGATAGAGTACGAATCAGAGGATCCCTGGGCTCTTTCAGGAATGTGGCTACTCACTTATTATGTCACCAGCACAGCTCACCAACTCGGACATATGGAGGAACAGCTCCTCTCACCTGCTCCCTGCTTGTGCCTCCATGGGTCTCTGACCCCCTTAGCTTAGGCCTCCTGCTCCTAATTCTGGCCTCCAGGCCCATGGCCCCAGTAACATGTTTTGGATCCATTTCCCTGGCCTTGACCTTCTGGACTCTTTTGGGCATAATCCACTCTACGATCGGCAACTGTGAATGAGAAACCCTCTTCCTTCCACCCTGCCCTGTGGTGTCCCAAAGGCCAGGCCAGCCCAGCTTCCCCAACAGTGACCAGATGCATACAAGGATCTGTAAGTGTCTCATGGAGCTAGATTACCACACATGAGTGGCAGTAGACATGGTTCCAGAAGCAGACAGGACACCAGTCCGATTCTGGCTAAGGAGTCCTGCAGACATGGGGAGCCACTGAAGGGCCTGATGCTGGGGACTGGCAAATTCTGAGTTGCCTTCCCAGGGGCTGCTCCAGAGAAGACAGGGTGGATGTATTGGAGAGAGAAGTACTAGGAGCAAAGAAAAAAAAATGCATGGAAGACCATTGCACTAGTTGAGCAAGACGTTGAGTAGGAGACAAAGTCAGGCTTCCCTGCCTTTTGTGGCTAAGACAATCATGGACCTCCCTGAAGGCAGGGGCAGAACAGACCTGAGGTCCCCCTCACTCTCTCTCGTGATTCTGATTGTTATTGAAAGCTGCCTCCTACCACATCACTATCATCATTCCTCCCCCGATTCTCTACCTCCTGCTTCTTTTCCTCCTCCTCCTATTCCTCCTCCTCTTCTTCCTCCTCTCGTCTCTCTCCCTCCCTCTGTCCCTGCTTCTTCTTCCTCCTCATCCTCCTTCATCTTCTTTCTCTCTCTCCCTAAAGCAATATGCCTTGCCTCCTGCCTCTAGCTCAAGCTGCCAGACAAGACAAAATGGAAAAGTAAGACAGAAAAGGAAGTCTGAACTATAAAAAGCCAGCTGAAGAGCAATCAGCACGTGTCTGGGAGAGGCAGACGCGACAGGAGGAGCTCGGCCTTACCACTGTCAATCAGAGGTTCCTGAGTAAGGAGACCTGACAAAGGTTTGGGCCTTCAGGAGTCTGGAAACCCTGGGATGCTCAACAACAACAACAACAAAAAACAACAACTTTTGTCATGGATTTCATCACCTAGGATCCTGGAGGAGGAAATCACAGCTCTCCCCAGCGATCCCGCCAGGCAGATGGTGGGAAATAGAGATCCATTGAATAGCACCCACAGGCTCATGTTCCGGCTTCCCTTGTGACCACCTGCCACCTCCACTGTGGCCCAGAACCATCTTCAGTGACTCTCCACAGGTCACAGCAACCTGTTTACAGACGGCTAGAATTCCCAAGCACTTTTAGGACAGGGGACTCGGGATGGTTCCAAGCAGACAGCAAAGTCTTCTCTAAGAGAAGCCGCTCCTCCCGATCTATTTTTGCCGATGTAAACACTTGCCAAGGAAACGAGGCATGTGGGCATGCGCCGGCCCTGCAGGCCCTCGGGTTGCTGCAAAAGGCAACTGGAAAGTCACATGTCATAACAGTGGAAAGTACATATGCAACTATTCTTAGCCCTGGAATGTATACACTGTCTCCCTGCCCAGCAGTCCTTGCACAAAGCTCTAGAAAACTATGAAAGTGCCTTCAGCATAAACAAATCCAGAAATCTCCCAGGACAAATCATTTGCCAACTGAAAGAAAGGCCTGGGGTTTATGGTTTCCCTTGGAGCTAGAGGTAGAAACTCTCCGGGGGGATAAGTCAGACCAGGCACCAGTGGATGTCACCGCAGCAAAACAAGGTAAGTGTCCCTCATACTTATTTCTTCTGCAAGTAGAAAACCAGGTGTCATCCAATAAACCAGGGGATTGTTTGGTCTTTCCTTTTATTTATTCTATCTTTAAAACAAGACTCAATGAAGTCATATTTAAATATATGCATCAAAGGTCCATTTTCTTCCCTCATTTCTGTCCAGTGACCAGAGGGCCACACCTCCAGAATATCATCCTTGGGGAATGATTGACACCCAGAAAGAGAGGTTTAGACATCTGTTACTCAATAACAGATATGCCATCGATCTGGAAAAAGGCTCATGAACTTCTGCTGGTCAAATCCATGGACTGTTATCTTGCTTCAGACTAACATTTCAGCTTCTGATAACAGAGTAACTTCCAACAACTTTAGTTTGTTTGTTTGGTTGTTTCTCTCAGATTAGCTGAAGATACTATTTGCCTATTACTTTTGAAAATAACCATAACCCAAAAGGGCTCAGGTCTGAGATGTATGTGGCCTTCCTTTCCAATCTTCCCTACACAATATCCATGGTGACATCCGCAAACATCATGGGGAATGGAATAGGAGCACTGGTCTTGGAGTCCCCACAGCTGAACCCTCCAGCACATGCAGCTGAGAAAGGTTTGACTCTTGCTGACTCTGGGGGCTTCCTTCCCTCTTTGTAGGATGGACGAGGAGTCACTAGATGGGCTGCTCTTCAAAGACCACGACTTCTCTTCTGACTTGTTGAGGCAGCTCAACAGCTTAAGGCAAAGCAGGATCCTGACTGATGTGAGCATCTGTGCCGGTGCCCGGGAGATCCCCTGCCACCGCAACGTGCTGGCCTCCAGCAGCCCCTACTTCAGGGCTATGTTCTGCAGCAGCTTCCGGGAGAAGAGTGAAGCCAAAGTGCAGCTGAAAGGCATTGACCCCCCAACCCTGGACCAGATCGTCTCCTACGTGTATACGGGGGAGGCACATATTGCCACTGACAATGTCCTCCCCGTGATGGAGGCCGCCTCCATGCTACAGTTCCCCAAGCTGTTTGAGGCCTGCTCCTCGTACTTGCAGAGCCAGTTGGCCCCCAGCAACTGCCTGGGTATGATCAGACTCTCAGAAATCTTAAGCTGCGAGACCCTCAAGAAGAAAGCCAGGGAGGTGGCACTGACGTCCTTCCCAGAGGTGGCCGCATCGGCCGACCTGAAGGAGCTCTGTGCCTTGGAGTTGAGGGACTATCTCGGAGATGATGGGCTCTGTGGGGAGGAGGAAAAGGTGTTTGAGGCCCTCATGGTTTGGATCAAGCATGACCTCCAGGCCCGGAAGCGATACATGCAGGAACTGTTCAAGCAGGTCAGGCTGCAGTACATCCACCCAGCCTTCTTTCACCACTTCATCGCCAACGATGCCCTCCTGCAGTCCTCGCCTGCATGCCAGATCATCTTGGAGACCGCCAAGAGACAGATGTTCTCTTTGTGTGGCACCACCGTCCCAGACTGCAAACTCCTGTTGCATGTCCCTCCAAGAAACTCTTACCAAGATTTCCTCATCCTCTTGGGCGGAAGGAAGGACAGCCAGCAGACCACCAGGGACGTCCTACTGTACAGCAAACAGACCGGCCAATGGCAGAGCCTTGCCAAACTCCCGACACGGCTGTACAAGGCCTCTGCCATCACCTTGCACCGCAGCATCTATGTGCTGGGGGGCATGGCTGTCAGCTCAGGGAGGAGTCTGGTCAGTCACAATGTCTACATCTTCTCCCTGAAACTCAATCAGTGGAGGCTGGGGGAGCCCATGCTGGTGGCCCGCTACTCCCACAGAAGCACTGCCCATAAGAACTTCATCTTCTCCATCGGGGGGATTGGAGAAGGGCAGGAGCTCATGGGCTCCATGGAAAGGTATGACAGCATCTGCAATGTCTGGGAGAGTATGGCCAGCATGCCCGTGGGGGTGCTCCACCCCGCAGTCGCTGTGAAAGACCAAAGACTCTATCTCTTTGGAGGAGAGGACATCATGCAGAACCCTGTGCGCCTTATCCAGGTAAATGGCCGGTTCTTCCCATCACGTAACTGCATGAGTATGTGTGCTTGGACACACCCACACCTGCTTGCACACACATGCACATGTATACATACACACCAAAAAACACATATATGCACATAAATATATATATGCACACATATACACAAACACACATATGCATACATGCGTGCACACATATATGCAGAAATGTATATTCATGCATACATGCATACACATATGCACACATATATGCAGATGCCAACATGCATACGTGTGCACATGCATACACATATACAATTCATGCATGCATACACACATTTACATATATCTACACATGCATGCACACATTTATACATATGCACGAACACAAATACGTACATGCATACATGCACACACATGTGCACCCATGTACACACATACCAACACTTGTTATTTGCAAGGAAGGAAGAGAGGAAGGGAGGGAGGGAAGAAGGATTTTCAGCAAGATATTTTTCAATTTATGAATTTTTTTGTGCAAAAATAATACATAACAAAGGATATCAAATACCATCCCTATGCACAGAGTTTATCTTCATTTGATGAGAAAAATATATATCTAAAAATTCAAGTTATTATACAGCATATTGAAAGTCAGATAGTGAAGTCCCATAGGAATTTGGCAGGTGCTTCTAACTCAAGTCAGTAAGGCCTTAAAAGAAGATTCCCAAGCCTTGGTCCACACCTCTGTGACCAAATCCCCTGGAACCTGACCTCACATCACTGAATCAAAATATCTTTGTGTGAGATCCTAAAATGTATGGTTTACAAAAGTCCCCAGGAGACTCTAAGTTGCAGCCAGGTTGGGAAACCCCTACTTTTAATGATCGGCAGACATTAATTTCACTAACAAGCTGTCTGAGAAGTATGCTCAATAAAGGCCACATTTCAGAATATTAAGTGTTTTCCAGCTTTATGCAAGTTCCTGGTAATCTCTGCAGAACGTGAATATTGAGCCTGCCTTTACAGACAATCAGAAGCATCCACGAGATGTACTTTGCTCATCTATGAGAGTTATGTTGAACATCAACCATTGTGAAGGGCCTGGAGACCCAGCAATTTACACATAACCCTCAGTTGCAATTCAGACGCTGAAGAGAGGGGTGCTCTAAGAGCACAGGCGGGATGCCCTAAACCAGTCTAGAGCAAGCTTGCCCAACACGCATACAGCCCAAGACAGCTTTGAATGCGGCCCAACACAAATTCATAAACTTTAAAACATGATGAGATTTTTTTTAGCGATTTTTTTTAGCTCATCAGCTATCATTTGTGTTAGTGTGCTTTATGTGTGACCCAAGACAACTCTCCTTCCAATGTGGCCCAGGGAAGCCAAAAGATTGGACACCGCTGGTCCAGAGAGAATCAGAGAGAGTGCCAGGGTTAAGGGAATGTTGGAGCAAACCCTGTGAAGTTGGCTGAAGCTGACTTGAGCAGAGGGGCAGGAGAGGAGAGAGGAAGGTGGGGATGGAGAATAAAAGAGGAGGGGGAGGGGTGGGGTGGGTGCTAAGAAAGCATGTAAGGGAAGATCCGACTTAGAGGGAGATGCAGGAAGCTCCTGCACCTCCTGAAGCCGGAGTCAGAGTTCTCTCTTGAGGGAGGGGGAGTGGTCCTGGGTAAGGGAGCAGCTCACATGAAGGCCCTGAAGCACAAACAGGTGCAGCCCATGGCCCTGGGCAGCGGAAAGCAGGACAATGGAGTTGCAAGACAGAGCAAAGAGGAGAAGGGCAGTGTGCAGAGGGGTGGCTAGGGGCGGGCATCAGTCCTCATGCAATCTCCATCAGCCCCCTTCTCAGGCTACCGGGAGCAACCTCCTCCGCCCACATCGCAACCCCTGAGCCCCTCCTAGAAAAATCCTGGAACCTTCTTGAGGGATGGATATCTGTGGAGATGAGGTTGGCCTGGCTGGGCTTTCTAGGCCTTGTCAAAGAATTGGGATTAGCCTGAGAGGAACAGAACTTCATTGAAGGCTTTCAAGAAAGGTGAATGAGGTAAAACACATTCACATTTTTAGAAGTTCCATCTGGATGCCTTGTAGAGAAGGGATTGGAGGGGGCCTGAGTGGACAAAGGGGAGAACTGGGAGACTCTTCTAGAGTTCCAGGCAAGGGTGGTGATGGCTTGGACTCGGTCAGTTCCAGTGAAGATTTTTTTCTTGCCTTCACTTCTCCAGCCATTATTTTCAGCTCCTCCCTGACCATCCAGGCAGATTCCGAGTCTTTCTAGAATCGCTGTTCCAAATCCCACTCCTCTACTTGAAGTGGGGGAGACATTCTGCTCCCCTCCAGGCTCTGACCACACCAGACAGATAACAAAGTGCTTCCATGTCAAGCTGGAGCCCCTCCTTCTTTTCTATTTTTCAAAACAGTCAACAAATACGTTCATTATTTCACATTGCAAAACTGCCATTGACCTTCTGAGAATAAAACTCAGAGTTTAAGCTTCAAGCTAGCATATCAAGAAATGTATAGTACCATCAAACAAGATGTTGCCAAGCCAAGAAAATATTAAACCTCTGAGGGATCCTTTTGCATTTCAGGATTAAGAAGACAGAGAAGGGGAAAAGTATTCATTTGGATGCTTTTCTTATCTACTTTGCACTAGCTTTGAAATAAACATTCTACTCATTCGAATATAGTTTAAAATGAATGCTGGGAGTCACTTGATGGAGCAGGTTGGATTTTCAGGCACTGGTTGAGAGTTTTCTTCATAGGCTTGTTCATCTGTGTGTGTGCGTTCTTTTCAGAACTACACTGCCATGGGGTTACGATGCAAATCGCACTGTACCTGTACCTTTCCACCTGGCCTTCTCTCTACCTGTTTCTGGATGGCATTAAGCAAATCCTTTACCATAACAAAATATCGCTTCCTTGACTGGTCAAAGATCATCCTTTGTTATCCTTGCCCCAGCCTCTTTGGGGTATTATGAGCATGGTGAGCAAATGTTTAATCTATTTTTAAAGCCATACCCAAAGCTGAAGGAGAACAGAAAGGCCAGGAGGCAATTATTCATTCAAGTAAAATGCAACCAGTGTTTGCTTTTCTTCCAAGGATCCCACTTTCCAGAGAGTTTGTCACTTACATATTTTCCGATGAAACGGCCATTGTGACCTTCCCTTCCTCTAGCACTTGGCCTCTTCCAGGATTCACTGACTTCTTGAAGGACAGACAGAGACCTCACGAGGTCTCCAGTCTCAAAAGCCTTCATCAGGAAAGGCCACAGTTTCATGGCTCCAGACAGAGCCATGAGTGTGGTGGTGAAGAGCATGGATTCTGGGCTTGGTCAGAGCAGCTCTCCCACTCACTGTAGTTGTATGACCCTGGGCATGTCATTTGACCTCTCAGAGCCTCAATGTTCTAAACTGAAAGATGGAAGAAATAATAATACCTACCTCATAGGATGGTTATGAAGATCAAATTTAGTAAACTGATTTTTTAGACATCTTTAATAGTGCTGGTAATCTTACCTTATTTTATTTTTTGAGAAGGAGTTTCGCTCTGTCACCCAGGCTAGAGTGCAGTGGTGTGATCTCAACTCACTGCAACCTCCACCTCCAGGGCTCTAGTGATCCTCCCACCTCAGCCTCCTGAGTAGCTGGAACTACAGGCATGCACTACCACACGCAGCTAATTTTTTTTGTATTTTTAGTAGAGATGGGGTTTCACCATGTTGGCCAGACTGGTCTCAAACTCCTGACCTCCATGATCCACCCACCTTGGCCTCCCAAAGTGCTGAGATTACAGGCGTGAGCCACCGCACCCGGCCTCGTAATTTTATTTTATAGGAAAAGACTTTCTAGCAAAGAATACTATGCCATTTTCCTCTGTAGATAAATGCTCTTGTTCCTTCTTTGCTTATATGAAATTCATCCTATATCTCTTGTGCTAAATTTTGCCCATAATGAACTAATTTACATTTGATATTCAGATTTAAAACTGAGGACACTCACAGGAGAACATGTTTCGGGGGTGTTGATTTGACACACTGTTTCAAAGCATGGCAAAAGAGCCTGCTCTCTTCTCTTTGGTCTTTCTCCCCTTTCTCTGCTGCATTTTTCTAGGACTGTAATGACTTTCGGGCATGAACGGTTCAAAAACCTTCCTCACTTAGCCTCAGATTTATTCTTGGCTCTATGACCTTCTTGGATAAACCAGAACATTTAGAAATTTAAACAGGAGCTAGAAATAAAAAATGATCAGAAAATCATTGGTTTTCTGAATACCCAAGTTTCTTCATTTCTCATTAAAAGAAAAACATGTTCCAAGCAAGGTAAGTAAAACCCATATTACAATGCAAAACTCTTGATCTATTCTATAGAATTACAGCCAGTGAGTTCCTGGGGGTCACAATAAGATCAATTTTTAATCATATACTTCTTCCTGTTTTTCAGTACTGTTTTGTTTATTAACAATAGCTACATTTTTAAAACTGGAAAAAAGCAGACAGAAAAATCTCACTCCTAGTTCACCCTCGTAATTACTACTTCTGTCTTTTTTCAAGAATATTTCACTTTAAAATGCAGTGCCATGATTCTCTCTCTCCCTCAGGTTTATCACATTTCCAGAAACTCGTGGTTCAAAATGGAGACAAGAATGATCAAGAACGTGTGTGCCCCTGCAGTGGTGCTTGGGGAGCGGATTGTCATTGTGGGAGGTGAGTCTGAACAGAGGATCACTGGGCGTGACACAAACTTGGCACCTTCTATGGAAAAAAGGTCACTCATAGACAGATGTTATTCTACAAGACTGTCTTTTCAAAAGCACATCCAACCAACCAGAAGAGCGTGGAGAATCTGACAAAACTCTCTCCTCATCCAGAAGTTTTTCCCTGTCTTTATCTGTAAACAAGGGATGAAATAATACCTATCTCACAGAGCTGTCGTGATAATTAATGTACTCGTGTATCTAAAGCACTTAGCACTATCCCAGATACACGGTAAATAAAACATGTTTGCTTCTGCTTATAATATTAGCTACTAATAGTTTGTTTCTCTGTAATCAAATCATAGTGTCATGGTTAAGAGGACTGGTATTGGGGTCAGATGGAACTGGGCTCAAATCCTGGCTCTGTCACTAACTGGCTATATACTTTTTAGCAAGTTAAACATCTTTCTGTGCCTCAGTTTGTCCATCCATAAAACGAGGATCCTAAAAGTAACTACCAGATAGGACTGGTGTGGGGAACCCACTTCTGAGTTTCCAAAGGATTGTCATAGTTCTTGAGTGGGCATTTGAGAGAGGAAGAGGCCAATGAGGCTGAGAAAGTTACAGGAATCAGGAGGCCGCTCCCAATCTAAGAATGGCTTATATGCTGCCTTAACTTGGGGTGAAGGTCAGAGTCAGGCAGATTTGCGTGCCAGCCCCCACTCTGCCACAAAGCAGGCCTTGGCAGGTTAGCTCAACATCCCACGTGCTAGTTCAGAGCCCCAGCCTCAGCCTTACGCAGTGGCAGGAGTCAGACGCGTCCCAGGACTGCTGACCTCCAGTCCCAGATGAGCAACACTGAGCTTGCCCATGTGTCATTTGGTTTTCAGGTTACACAAGGAGGATTCTTGCTTATGACCCTCAATCCAACAAATTTGTCAAATGTGCGGACATGAAAGACCGGAGGATGCACCATGGGGCCACAGTGATGGGAAACAAACTCTACGTGACGGGCGGGCGGCGGCTGACCACGGACTGCAACATTGAGGACTCCGCCTCCTTCGATTGCTACGACCCCGAGACGGACACCTGGACATCCCAGGGACAGCTGCCGCACAAGCTCTTTGACCATGCCTGCCTCACTCTCCAGTGCATACCCCGCACGTCTGGCCTCCCATGAGGTCGACAAGAAACCTTCTGCCCTAGTCAAAATGCCTTCTGTCGCCAGGGACACAAACCCAGCTCCAAAGGGCTTAACCCTTAAAGGCTGCAGGGAGAGCTCACAAGACTGAGGTACCAGAGTCGGGAGGCCTGGAACTAGGCATTGCATTGCCAGAACTCTCTCTCTCCTTCTCTGCCTCTCTCCTTATCTCTCTCCCCCACCTCCATCTGTCTCTGTCTTTCCCCCTTCTTTCTTTCTCTCCCCTATCTCTGTCTGTCTCTCTCTCTCTCTCTCTCTCTCTCTCTCTTTTTCTTTTTTTTGAGATGGAGTTTCACTCTGTAGCCCAGGCTGGAGTGCAGTGGTGCTATCTCAGCTCACTGAAACCCCCACCTCCCAGGTTCAAGCGATTCTCACGCCTCAGCCTCCTGAGTAGCTGGGATTATAGGCATGTGCCACCAAGTCCAGCTAATTTTTGCGTTTTAGTAAAGACAGGGTTTCACTATGTTGGCCAGGCTGGTCACGAACTCCTGGTCTCAAGTGATCCACCGGCCTCAGCCTCCCAAATGCTGAGATTACAGGCGTGAGCCACCACGCCTGGCCTGTCTCCTTTCTGTCTCAGTTTCTGTCTCTCTTCTCTCTCTCTGTCTGTCTCCCCCTCTCTGCTTCTCTCTCTTCTCTGTCTCTCTGCCTCTCTCTGCCCCTCTCTCTCTCTCTCTCTCTCAGTCTCCCCTCTGTCTTCCTCTCTCTCATCCCTAGGTTTTCCTCTCTCTCTAGCAATCTTCTTCATTTACCCACACAGTGTGTGGACAATGACAAATGATAAACCCAGACTCATTTTCCAGCTTTATATCTTCAGGAGAGAACTTTGCCATTATCCATATATTAAACCTAAAAAACAATGCTTATGGGCCTCTTTTGAATTCCATGTCTACCTCTTGAGCCAATCACTGTTGCCAGGACTGGCTAGTCCTGGACCACATCCCCACAGACAGAGGTGGGGTTACCTGTTGTCACTGACAGCCCATCCAAACTGCATATAATGGGTTAGAAGCATTTCCCCAAAGAGAGAAATCCAGACAAAAACCACATCTGCCCAGGACACCACTGAAATCTGGAACAAGAGGGCTGAGAGAACCCAGAGGATTCCTGGAACTGCTTGGTCCAGGTGGCAGCGTGAGAAATTGGCCCTGACCTTGTTTTTCTGCATTCTATGGATGTAGTACATTGAAATTCCAGAGATATATGCACAATTCAGTATCTAATGTTTGTAAAATTATCCTGCATTGCCAGAATAAAGTTTGTTTCTGGTGCCAAATGATGTTTTTCTGCAGCCTCTGGGGAGCTATAAACCTGCATAATTAATCAGGATGTTCATTTTGGTCAGTGTTATGAGGATTGCTCTTCTGGGGAAAGTCAACAAATTCCTTCAGTGCTTACAGCAGTCATTGCCCTCAGATGCCAGGGCTGACTATCTCTATAGCTCCCGTTATCTCAAGGTGCCTCCCACACTGGCTCAGTCCCAAACACAGGAATAAGCTGAAGTGGAGAACAGCAGTTCTCAGCGCTGCCTGCACAACACAGTCATCTGGGAAGATGTTTGAAAATGGGGCCAGCTCCATTGGAGAAAAATGAATAGGGATGCTTTGAGGCTGGGGGCAGAACACTGTATTTTTTGAAAAGCTTCCCAGATTTTTGAAATGTACAGTCAGGGTCGAGAACCACCGCTCTGGTCAGCTGTGAGCACGGAAGACCTGCATGGCTGGTTTCATTCCCCTCCTGTCATGGTCAGCCCGTCTGAGCCTAACAATGTAAGCTAAGTCCTCTCCCCACCAACGGAAGCATCTGCCATCAGTCTTGCTGCCCTGAGCCTGGCACCAGAGTTCACTCCAGCTGTAGCCTTCCTCCCCATCTGGCTCTCCAGGTTCATGTTCTAGACTTTTCCTTCTTTCTAAGTTGTCTTTTTTGTACTTCAGATTCTCCTCCTGGGGTCTGAAGCTCTGCTCTGCTCCCCAGATCTCTTGGCTGTGGTTCAGAGACCCTGCTTGGATTGCCAGCCCTGCTCCTCAGCCTGGACACTGTCCCCTTAGCTTCTGGCTGGCATCTTGTTCCAACCTAGTCTCTTTAAACCCCCTCTATTCAGGCTCTCAGTCCCACCTCTATTAATTCACAGGACAGTTGATTGTTTAAAAGGGCATAGAACACTTCCCCTCTCTTTTGCTCCCTCTCATGTGAAATGCTGGCTCTCTAATATGGTTTGGCTGTGTCCCTACCCAAATCTCATCTTGAATTGTAGCTCCCATAATATGAGAGGACCCTGGTGGGAGATAATTGAATCATGGGGGTGGTTTCCCCCATACTGTTCTCATGATAGTGAATACGTCTCACGAGAGCTGATGGTTTTATAAAGGGTTTCCCTTTTCATTTGGCTCTCATTCTCTCTTGTCTGCCACCATGTAAGACGTGGCTTTCACCTTCCACCCTGATTGTGAGGCCTCCCCAGCCACATGGAACTGTGAGTCCACTAAACGTTTTTTTCTTTATAAATTACCCAGTCTTAGGTATGTCTTTATCAGCAGCATGAAAACGGACTAATACACTCTCCTTCCCCCTCCACCATGAATGGAAGTAGCCCGAAGCCCTCACCAAAAGCAGATGCTGGTGCCATGTTTCTTGGACAGCCTGTATAACCATGAACCAAATAAACCTGTTTTCTTTATTAATTCCCCAGCCTCAGGTATTCCTTCATAGCAGCCGAAAATGGACTAACACATCCCCTCTTTCTTTTTCACACTTGCTGTGCCCTCCCCTTGAAAACATTTGCCCCACACATCATACCCACATGGTTCACTCCCTCAACGCCCCCAGGTCTCTGCTCAAAGATGCCTTCCTTCCCTGACCACCCACCCTTCACATAACCCATCAACAGGTCCTGTCTGCAACACCCCTGGGAAATAGATCACAAACACCTCCAGCTTCTCCATCTTCACTGGTGCTTCCCCAACTCAAGCCATCCTCATCTGATCAGCCTCCAAAATGTGCCCCCTGCTTCCACTGCTACCCCATGAGCCTTCCTTGAGCAACAGTCAGAGTGATCTTTTTTTTTTTTTTTTTTTGAGATGGAGTCTTGCTCTGTGGCCCAAGCTGGACTGCAGTGGTGCAGTCTCGGCTCATTGCAAGCTCCGCCTCCTGGGTTCATGCCATTCTCCTGCCTCAGCCTCCCAAGTAGCTGGTACTACAGGCGCCTGCCACCACGCCCGGCTAATTTTTTGTATTTTTAGTAGAGACGAGGTTTCACCGTGTTAGCCAGGATGGTCTCGATCTCCTGACCTCGTGATCCGCCCGCCTCGGCCTCCCAAAGTGCTGGGATTACAGGCGTGAGCCACCACGCCCCGCCAGAGTGATCTTTTTAAAACACAGACCTGATCATGTTACGCCCGTGCTTAAAATGATTCCATGGCTTCTCAGAGACCTTTGCATAAAGCCCCCAATCCTTTATGTAGCTTCTAGTTCATTCCCTAATCCAGCACCCACCTATCTCTCTGGCCTCATCTTTTGCCACCCTCACTCCTTGAAGTTGTCTCAGGCCCAGCCATCCTTCTTTACTTTACACCCTCCTCTCTTTCCTCAGGGCCTTGGCATGTGCAGTTGCCACTACCTGATACACACCTCTCTTACCTCTTCACCCTACATAATTTCGACTTACACCTTGCACACCAGATTAAGAGTCACAGCATCAGGGGTGTCTTCCATGCTTCCCCCACTCCAGTTTGGGTCAGCTTTCCTATTAAATACCCCTATCATTCCCCCTTTTGTTTTTCTTGTTGTTGTTGGGTTTTTTTTTGTTTTTGTTTCTTGTTTTTTGAGATGGGGTTTCACTCTTGTTGCTCAGGTTGGAGTGCAATGGTGCAATCTCGGCTCACTGCAACCTCCACCTCCTGGGTTCAAGCAATTCTCCTGCCTTAGCCTCCCAAGTAGCTGAGATTGCAAGCATGCGCCACCATGCCCGACTAATTTTGTATTTTTAGTAGAGACAGGGTTTCACCATGTTGGTCAGGCTGGTCTCAAACTCTTGATCTCAGGTGATCCACCTGCCTCGGCCTCCCAAAGTGCTTGGATTACAGGCATGAGCCATCGCGCCCGGCCCCCTATTCTTCTCCTTTGAGACTCTTATCCTATTCGTAATTATTTGATCTCTGTTTTCCCCTCTAGACTTCTTATTCTGTCCTGTTCATCTCCGCATTCCCAGGGCTGCCCTCAGTGTCTGCCACATACATTATAGATCTTCCATAAACACATGATAAATGAATTAATGAATTAGTAAGTGAATTAATGAATTAGTCAATGAATTAATGAATTAGTAAATGAATTAATGAATTAGTAAATGAATGAAGAGGCTGAATCTACATCGTCTCTGAGATCTCCTTCACAAATTCAGAGGTAAACATGTTGAGGCACTAGTTCCCGTGCCCCAGATCCTCTGCTCGGAGTCATTCTGTCCTTCCCTCTTTCTTTCCCCTGACCCACCCTGAACTGAGCCTGGCAAGTCTCGGTGGGGTACAAAATCACATGGCCCACCTGGGTCAAGCCTGGTGGGCAAAGGGCTTTATCCAGGGCACCCTATCTGCCTGGAATTAGAAATGGGAGTCTTGTCTATAAATGCCTTCTTTGGCCTCCAAAAATCCTTCTGTTGGAGGCTTGCTAATCCCTTGACTATCTTTTCCTTTAGTCTCAGTCCAATATTTAATAAGACGTCAGAGTCTGTGGCTACTTACAGCTTGTCCAAGTCACCCTGGGGTACAAAAGAACTACATAAATTGCCTCCTGGGATTTATAAAGAAAGATGGCACTAGGGCCAGACACATCGCAGGCCAGCTTTGTGTGTCAAAGAAGACGCCTGCATGGCCAACGAATCCACACACCTGGACATCCCAGCAGCCAAACCCATTATCTGAATTAGGTTGCAAAATAATCTGCAGAATATGAGGGCTCCTCTCCAACCTGCCAAGGACAGTCTCAGCCCAGAAAGAAAGAGAGATGGTTTTGGCACAAGGCTTCGTTGGCCTCACTGGCTGGGGAGAGAGTCACAGCCCATGGCTGAGGTCAAAATATATTTAGCCAGCAGCCGTTAAACTGAAACGCTCTAAGTGAAAAATGTCAAACAGCCTGGCTAATCATCTCAACAGGCAATGAGGGAAAAGAGAGAAATTGAAGTAAAGGGCTCAGCAAGAAAACACAAAGATCAAACACCCCATGCCAGTGCAAAGCAGTGAGCAGAGGAGAAGGAGCCAGCAGAGAAAACAGCGATGGCAGGAAGGAACTGAAGCAGGGAGATGGGGCAGTGGGGAGCAGGACCTGGGGAGACTGTGGCATTCAGCACCGCACAACCCACCTGACTCCTAGCCAGCATCTTAAAAGAAGGCCTGGCTGTCCTGAGGCCTCCATCAGACCACTCACTGGCCAGGGCATGACCAGCTAGTTACTGCATCGGGTCATTCCCTGGCAGAAGGACATGGCCCCAGCAGGACAGAGTCACTGGAATCCTGGCTCCTCTCTTTGAGACAATTCCTGATACTCTGCCCTTTGAGACCCTCCGGATACTCTGCCCATAAGCAGTGGTGGCTCCTAGGGTGAACCCTCCCGGCCTGGAACCTCCAGTACCCCTCCAGGTGGCCCCATCCTATGATCCTGCCTTAACCTCTTCAGTATTCACTCTTTCTGGTAACAGCACAAAGGCCCAAGTATCTACTTCTTAAAACCAAAGTCCCAGCATAGGCTGAATTTACCTTTCCCACCTATAACAAAAGCCTGTCATGTCCCAGGGGACAAGGACTGTGACTGGTTTTACTCAAACACGTCATCCTGCCCAGGATGTCTGGGTCCTCCCCTAGCCCCAGTAAACCACGCACATCATGCCTCTGTGCCTTTGCACGTTAGTCCCTCTGCTATGACGCCTTTCCCTACCCTTCCTAGTGAACTCCTACTTGACCCTCACCTCCTCTGTGGAGCCTTCTCCAAACTTTCTACCCAGGATCCCTCCCTTGATTCTAGCCCCTGTCACATTGAAGCACAATAGGGACTTACTGAATCAGTCTGGAGTGGGAGCTCTTGAAGGGGGCAAGGACAGAGGCTTCATGCTGTTTGAACTCCCAGCACAGGCTCAGTCAGTGTTTGGCAGACGATGCTCACATGCTTGTAGGATGAATGAATGGATGCATGAGTGAATGGGTCCCAAACATCATCGGGGTGTCCAGGCTGCTAAGGGGTGAAAACAAGGGCAAAATTATCAAACAAACTGGGGGTTTAAATCAGATAGAAACCTACATGGTGTCTAACCTTTAAAAATGATTGCAAGGCCAGGCGCAGTGGCTCCCACCTGTATAATCCTAGCACTTTGGGAGGCCGAGGTGGGTGGATCACTTGAGCCCAGGAGTTCAAAACCAGCATGGGTAACGTGGTGAAACCCCGTCTCTACAAAAAAGATACAAAAATTATCCAGGCATGGTGGTGGGACCTGTAGTCCCAGTTACTCTGGAGGCTGAGATGGGCGGATCAGCTGAGCCCGGGAGGTCGAGGGTGCTGTGATTGCACCTCTGCACTCCAGAATGGGCAACAGAGAGAGACCCAGTCTCAAAAAAAAAAAAAAAAATGATTGCAGTTCTATCTGAGAACAATGAAAAACATAGCCTAGAGTAGTAAAATATGACAGGAAGAAAATAATATGGATTTTTACGCAGAGAACCTTATTCAAGACCAGCTGAAAGCATAGAGCAGATGGCCTTCGGATGATCAGGATCCCCAGATCTCTGCCAAGGTGCTATCTTCTTAGATCATTTTTCAGAGAATTCCTCCTCCAGTCCCCTGGACTTGGGCGACATTAAAGCCTTTTTCAGCCGAGGTACGCCAATTTCCCTTCCCAACAATCACTTATTGGCAGAAGCAGCATGTTGTACTGCAGAGAACACAAACTTGGGAGCAAAAGAGACCTGGGCTCCATTCGAGTTTGGCAGTTCTACCACTTACTGGCAGTATTACTTTTGACAGGTTTCACCTCTCTGCACCTCAGCTTCCACATCTGTAAAGTGAAGGAATTTTTACCTCCCTGATGAACTGTTTCAAGGACAGAGAGAAAGATCATGGACATTAACGGACACAGGACAGTGTCTACCATAGAGTAGGCAATGGACACAGCTCGGTTCTCTTCTCCTCCTTTCTATTTCGGCCCTTCTCCTTATCCTGATTGCTGCCTAGTCTGCAAATCCCCAGTGCAAAACATTCCTAAATATCCACTTTTACCAAGGATCAGCCATTGAAGCAGATGACTGAGAACAGCCCCTCCACAGCAGCGGCCATGGCTTTTCATGCCGGAGGACCTGCTTCGTGCAGCTTGGTCCACCTTACAGCCCCTTTCAGAAGGTTTTAATTTTGCAGTTACCCTGACTGTAAGGGTGGCCCTTTTATCTCCACCAGCTAACTTGTCCACCCTTGTTAGTACTACTCTTCTACTTATTCATTCATTCACACACTCGGTTATTCATGCATTCAACAAATATTGGCCATAGACTCCTATGCGTCAGACATCACATTAAATGTGGGAGTGGTGGAGTAGGGTGAGGCTCTTACTACCCAGGAGTTCACAGAGCAGTGGATGTCTCCCAGCCTGATGTGCTGGAACAAGGAAAGGGGCAGGAAAGCAATGGCAAGACTCCAATGGCTCATCTCAGATGCTTCCATACTGTATTTGTTTCCTGGGACTGCTGTTACAAAGTACCACAAACTGGGTGGCTTGAAACAACAGCAATTGATTCTTTTACAGTTCTAGAGGCTAGAAGTTCAAAATCAAAGTGTCAGCAGGGCTGAGCTCCCTCTGAAGGCTCTAGGAAGAAATCCTTCCTCGCCTCTTCCTGGCTTCTGCTGGTTCTAACCATCTTTGACTTTCCTTGGCTTACCGCTGCTTCACTCCCATCTGCCTGAGTCCTCCCACGGCCTTCTCTTTCTGTGCCATTTTCTTTATGAGGACATTCTCATTGGATTTAGGGCCCCCCTTCCCAGCATGGTCTCATCTTGATTCTTAACTTAATTATATCTGCAAAGACTCGATTTCCAAGTAAGGTCACATTCTAAGGTTCTGAGTGGACATGAATTTGGGGGCAAGCACCAGTTGACCCACCGCAGATGCTATCTGCCCCCAAGAAGCCATTCTTGGAGAGTCCTCAGCCCACTCTGCCCCAGGCTGGGCCACCATGACACTGACTCACCTCATGTCCCACATTTCATCAAGGGCATCTCATGGCTGAGGACTGTGTCTTTCATCCCTCTATCCCCCACTTCTTGCATGGGACCTGCCACCAAGAAGATGCTAAGCAAATATGTATTGAACCGAACTAAACCATTTCATAGGGACTAGCAATTTTTTAATGGATTCCAAGGACTACAGGCCAATATAGACAAAACATAGCTTCCAATTACCTTCCCAAAAGTCCAAGGTGAGCAACATTCACCAAATACCACTGGAGAAGGAATTAGGGTCCATGAAGAGAAGCCCAGGGCCAGGCATAAGAAATTTCATAAGAAGACTAATCTGTTGGCACAATGTTACCCACAAGGTCCCGTTCTCAATCTGGCCAACATACGCCTTTGGGGTGACGTCATGGGAGGCTGTATGTTAAAGCAGAAGCCAATGTGGAGGGTGCTGGGATGTGGGTGGGGTCTGGTTCGGAAATGTCAGCTCTCACGCAGTCTTATAGGAATTCTAGGCTCCTGTTCAAATACCACGTCATTCTCTTCATGTGGGGAATTTGGGTTTTGTTTTTCCTAAAGATATCCATGAGCCTCTTTTCCTCTTCATTTCACTTGTTTGATTTAATTAGAATGCCAGGGCCTGCGATCCAGAATTCCCCAGTAACCCTCCCATAACAAGTCAGTGGTCCAGAAAATGGTGCTTTGAGGACACAAACGGGGATTCAAGAATCTGAGGTGTTTGTAAGTGAGGAAGACGCAGGCATAGAGGTCTGTCCTATTCAAAATCAGCAGCTGCCTATGCCATTTCCCCAAAAGACCTGTCAGCCCTGTCCACAGTCACAGGCAAGAGGGCCACCTCAGGGCAACAGCAAAATCAAAACCTTCTGAAAGAGCCTTTAAGGGAAGAAATGTAGCGACATCTATGCTGAAGATAAGACCAAGGAGAAAAGCATTGGAATTCATTAGCAGGGCCTCTGAGACATTTATCTTTCATGGAGTGTTGGAGAAGAAAACAGAATTAATTCCCACTTTGCCTATGGATTTATTTGGCTTACTTATCTGAAAAGCAAAACTAAGAATGCTAATGGGGTTGAGGGAACCGAGATCATTCTCCACCTGGGACTGAGATCACTGGCGTTTATGCACATGAGCGTAACAATTAGCCCTCAGAAGATTTTTGTTGAATGAATGAATCTGTGAGTGACAATGGCTGACATTTATTGCCTACTTACTCTGCATCAGACAGGATGCTAAGGGCTTCCCTACATGACATTCAATCATTGCAAGACCCTTCCGGCACCTCTGCAGCACCCTTCCTGACCACCCTATCAAAAGGAGCCCCCACCCCACCCACCACATTATTCTCTCTCACCCCTTGTTTCTTCCCTTCATCCATTTTATCATCATTATTTATTGTTTATTTACTTTCTGAGTTTACTTAGTTGATGTCCCAAACCAAATGGAAGATCCATGCAGACAGAGAACATGTTTGCCCTGTTCATCATTCATGTCTGTTTCCCTGGTACCTGACACAAAGCAGGCAATCAGCAATACATGTTGAATGCATGAATGCATGAATGAATGAATGATGGCAGTCCAGGCATTTAGGATGCACAAATGAGAGAGAAGATGTGTTTGTAGGATGGCATGGGGAATGCATATGGGGAAGGGGTGGAATGGTCATGGCGACAGTCTTTGCCCCAGTGAGTGCTGCAGGCAGCTGGGGAAAGGATGGAGAAGCCTAGAGAGTGCGGATCCCAGCCATTCCCATCCCTGGGAGAGATGACGAGCTTTGGCCACTTACAGTAACAATGGGAAGCAAAGGGAGGAGAGGGGACCTGAAACAAGGAGGCAGGATTCACAGAGAATGGATCACAAAGTGGATCCAATTGACCGACTGGACATCACTGAAGGGGATTGGACATCACTGAAGGGGATTGGACATCGCTGAAGGGGTGAAGCAAGGAAGCAAGAGGTCAGCTCCTAGCTTGGCTGACCCAGGATGCCCGCACTATCTGCATGAGGAAGGGGAAGTTTGTCCCAGGGCCACCAGCCAGGAGGTGAAAGAACCTAGAGAGCCACTGAAGAGTGAGTCATAGAAAAGTGTCTCCTGAGTCACAGAAAAGTGTCCCTTCCTGCAAGTGTTTCCCAAATCTCTCCCATCTTGCCTACAGTCTGCCTTCCCCCATTGGATCATAGGGGCCCATCTTCCAGAACCCTTTTTAAAACTCACCAGCCACCACTGAAAACAATTCGGACAATGGTTTGTGTGGTGACCTTTGATGTCAGATTCGGAGCCAATGTGCCTGGAGTTCAACCCTGGCTCTGCTCTTCGCTGCTGTGTGGCCATGGGAAAATTAATCAACCTCTCTGTTCCTCTGTTTCCTAATCTCTAAAGTGGGGACTATGATAATACTTCCCTTCTCATAGCATTTTTCAGGGGATTAACTGAATTAATATATCTGAGTGTGGTCAGGGTTAGCCATTATTACCATTACTGTTATCAAATACAGTGTACTGCAAAGAGCAATGGCCATGGAGCCCATCTCTGCCATCTGCTGACTGTGTAGCCCTCGGAAGGACCCTTCACCTCTCTGAGCTTCAATGTCTTTTTCAGTAAAATGGAGATGATGATGACATCACCCTGCACTGAGCTGAATGATGCTCCCTCCAAAACGATCTCACCATATTTGAAAAAAAAAAGAAGGTCTTTGCAAGTGTAACTAAGTAAAGGATCTCAAGGTGAGATCATCCTGGATTACTGGGAGGACCCTAAATCCAATGACAAGTGTCTTCAGGAAAGCAGAGGGAGATCGGAGACATACACATACATGTGCAGACCAAGGCAGAGATTGAAGTTACGCAGCCCACAGGCCAAGGGATGCCTGAAGCCACTCAAAGCTGAAAGAGCCAAGGAGGAATTCTCCCCTAGAGCCTCTGGAGGGAATGTGGCCCGCCAATACCTCGATTTTGGACTTCTGGCCTCCAGAAATTTGAGATAATCAATTGCTATTTGTTTTTAACAATCAATTGTTTTAAGCCACCAAGTTTGAGGTAATTTGTTACAGTAGCCACAGAAAATTAATATGCTCCCTCACAGGGCAAGGATTGAAAGAGGTAGTTGTCACAAGGTAGCCAGCACTCAGCAACTTGTAATGATGGCGATTATAATTCACTTCCTTCCTCTGGCCCTTCACTTCTCCACCTGTAAAAAGGAGAATATGAGATGGGATGAAGATGTCCAAGTTTTTGCTACCTTGTGCCAGCTCCTTCACCACTCAACTGCTTCACAAGGTAGGCTGGGACCATGTAATTCTCCATCCCCCTTCCTCTCCCTCCTCTTCCTCACTCCAGGGATCCTTGGGAAAGAATGTACCAAGGCCTCATATCTCTGTGTCCATCACAGAGGGTATGGGCACTTGTCCTTGTCCCCAGCTCCTCACTAGAGGTGATGATGAGACCACACCATACTCAACTCCTTTGTAAGGTAGGCTGGGACCTCACCCAACCTAAAGCAGTTGCCCTCCAGATCTTCCAACCTGAATAAAGATTCTAGGCAAGTCATCCAATGCCACAGAGACATAGGTGCCCAAATTACACTTCTGAAATTATTGTATTCTCCTCCTTCTCAAGGCTGGAGGAGGAGGAAACACCTAAGATGATCATATGAATGTTAAGAGAAATAATAAAGATGAATGGCAAGAGAAATAACATATAGAGGTAAAATGTATAACGATGGCAGCAGAAAGGATGGGAAGGAAGAGTTGGCACTGCCTCATGGATGCATTGGCTGGGGATGCAATGATCTCTCACCCAGACTATAAAAAGAAGCCCTCTCACTGTTCTCCCTGGCTCCATCCTCTCCTCTTCCAGCTCACTCTCCCCATTGCCACCACCAGGAGTATGGATTGAAGGGGCAATCCTAGCAGGGGTGGGGAGGAATAAACCCACTTATTTCTCTAAAAGACAGACCTAGCCAGATGACTTCTTTCTTTAAATCCCTTCAGTGGTTTCCCACCTCAAAGAATTCTGACTTCACTTCCAGATCCCTGAGTTCCCTATGTGTGGGGTTATAAACAGCCTCCACTTGATCAGACATCAAATAAAATGGAAGCAGAGGGTGCACCCGGTAGGCACTCAGTGGGACTGTGATTTTCCTTGTTGCCCCCAAACCTCCTGTTGTCTTCAAAGGGCAAAAAGAACTATCTTATGGCCTGTTAACAGTGCCTGGCTACTAGCCATGGCTGTAGATATATAGAACCAGAGACTAAATAAACCTTGGATGCTTGGCCACCAGCTTCTTATCCCATGGGAACAGAATGACTTGCTCTTCTATGCCTAAGGCTCTGGACACTTATCCCCTGAGGGCTCAGTCCCCGTGAATGTGGTCAAGTGCTTTGTTTCTCAATACATTTTCAAGGAAATAGTTTTACCTTCAAAATTGCCCCCTTCTTTTTGTCTGCAATGATGATTAATTTCATTATTCAGTGACTGAAAATTCATGAAATTTTGTGGTTAAAGCAAAAATGTGTCACACAGAATGCCATATGCCCATGCAGTAGAGCTGAGAAAATCTAACAATGAACACCATCGTTTGTCCTCCAGAGTTTAATGGGACTCCAACCTGTGGGGTTTTTTTTTTCAACTTATAATATTTTTATCTCCTCAATTAGAAGCATTGCTTTTTTAAAAAAGTAGTTCACAAGATAAGGCTATATAAACAAAGATAATGGTCAAAATGCTGGAGTTTCTTGGATTCGTTTCAAGACTCAAAGGCAAATGTAGCATTTCCTAGTCATGAAGCTAGATGGAGGTCAGGAGACCAGTTGGTCCGGTCCAGAGAAGCAGTGTGGAGAAATAAAAATACCAGCAGGCCTCATGAAGAGCATCCAAGGACCTGGGCTTGCAGTCTGACTCTTACTGTATGAGGCACAGCCCCTTGGGCAGGTCACTAAGCTATGATGTCCTTGCCTATAAAATGGGTAAATTTCATTTGCCCAACACTCTTGAGAAAACTGTGATAGTAAACGTGAAAGCAGATTGTGGTCTACGGTGGCCAAGGAGAAATATTCTCCTACATTCTTCACTTCATCTCTCTACGCTCAAGGCCCATTTGGCCTGGGGAAGCAGGGGTAGAAGCAAGATTAGACAAAGCACCAAATACATGTAACCAGCATCCAGGTCAAGACACCAGACATTAAAGGATCCTACATGGCCCCTTCACACCCCCTTCCTGTCACTAGACTCTCCAAAGGTAACCACTATCCTGACTTTCAACACCTCAGATCAGTTATGCCTATTTCTGAACTCCATATAAATGGAATTAGATTGTTTGAACTTTTCAAACTGGTTTCCCTTATGCAATGTTAAGTTTGTGAAATTCACCCATGATGTTGTGTGTACTTTTAGCTTGTTCATTGTTGTTGCATATAGTATTCAACTATATGACCATCCCACAATTCAGGTACCTGTTCAACTCTTAATAAGAGTATGAGAGTTTACGTAGTTTCCCATTTAGGGTTATTATGAACATTCTTAGGTATATCTTTTAGTCAACATATATACACGTATCTATTGAAAATATAACTAGGAATGAAACTGCTGAGTGGTAGGATGTACCTATATTCAGCTTTACAGATACAGCTAATCAGTTTCCCAAACTTGTCATACCCATCTCTATTTTCACCAGCAGTGTATGAGAGTTTTGGTTGCTCCACATCCTCAACCACACTTGGTATTGTCTGTCTTTTTTAATTTGGCCCTTTTAGCGGGTAAGAAGTGATATCACATTGCATGATGTATTTTTAAGGGTAAATCAGATTATATTACTCTGCCATTGGTTTCCCTTCACCCTTAATATAAAACCTAACTCCTTAACATGATCTATAAAGCCCCTGTTCAGTTATGTCTGACTTTCTCTCCAAGCACTCAGTCTACACACTGTTCTTCAGCTCCACTGCCCTCTTTCTAGTGTTCAAATATGCCAAAGCCATTCCCACCTCAGAATCTTTACATTTTTGTTGCCTCTGCCTAGAACGTTCTTCCTCCACATATTTCTATGGCTGATTCCTTCTTGTTCATCAATTCATTCAACAAATATTGCTGAGCCATTATCAGGTTTCTTCTCAAATGTCACCTCCCTCCAAGGATTCTTTCCTGACCACCATCTAATGTTGTCATGGTAGCATATTGCAGCACCTACCACTATCTCCCATTTCCTCTCTTAAGAATGTTTCTGCCTTATCACACTACAACATAAGCTAAGAGCAGAGACTGTGTGTTGGATGAATGGAGAGTGAAAGGGAAGCAGTTCACAGATAGCATTCTCAAAAATAATTGTAGAATATTGAAGCTAATGGAGCCTCCTCTTCTCCCCAACTCAGTTGATAAAAATGAAGCTCAAAAGATAAAGTGAAGTGGCCAAGTTCATGGTCAGCAACAGAAATGAGGCTTGAACCCAAGCTCATGACTTTTAGTCCTGGTACACTGCATTGCCTACAAGAACAAAGGACAATGTCTTATTCCATGTAAATTAGTTTCTAACTACTGGGTGTTGGACATTAGGAACTGATTCATCCTGGAGAAGTCCCCTCTCATGCCATGAAGTCTGACAACACATCAAGAGGACATGAGATGGGAATCATTTCTGGGTCCCCCAATCATCCTTGACCTTAGTCCAGAAGAAGAGAAGGATGCTGAAAGAGTAAATATGAACAGAGGTGATGGTCAGTCCATCTTCCATTCTCCAAAGAGAAGAAAGAGAACCATCGTGGCAGGAACCATTTCCCTGGGCTCAAGGGCCTGAGGTCTACCAAGAGATCATGCTGTACCAGGTGCAGGCCCCATCTCACATGTTTAGTTTGGGTGAGAATAAGGTTGTACCACAATGCGGGCCTCTGGGCCAGTTGCATAATTGGATGTGTAATCAGTACCTTAGAGAACTTCAGCCAAAAGCACTCCTGACACCACTTCGAACTTGCTGAATCATCTCCAAACCTCATGACTGGATGATTCACTGGTCTCCTCTGGGGTCATGACTATCAGGTGCCAACCCAGAAATGAGAGCTAAATTCTAAGAGGAGAGATCTTCTAATTGGAACTCTGACTTTTCCAGCACTTCAACCTACCATTCTCTGGGTTTCCAAAGAGTGAAGGAAGCCATGTTGGTCTCTTCCTCCTCAATCTGAATAAATGAAAAAAGATAATCGGGGACCAACTAGAAAAGATAAAGAGCTAATGTTTGGGATGAAGCCAACCTGGAACTATAAAAACCATATATATCTACAATCCCTTGTCCCAAAATCCAAACAGCTCCAAAATCCGAATTTTTGGCTTATTTGTTTCTTTTTGCATACTTGCAGCAAATCCACTTGGCAGCCAAGCCTGACAGCAAAAACTGGCATAGAACTATTTGTAGTTTTAATTTATCCCACTCCAGGCACATACTAATGAATCTGATGCAGAAATACTATTGTTTGACTATGAGGTGATGAATCAGATCCCAATGGGGTGTTGCATAATATACATTGTATTGTGTATCTCATTACCTTTATAAAAGCTGAAAAATTCTTAATATCCAAACACTTCTTTTTTCTAAGATTTCAGGTAAGGACAGTGAACCTGTAATTTTTCACTTATTTTTACTTAATCTTTGCAAAAACCCAGGACAGGCAGTACTATCTCCATTTAACATATGAGTAAACTGAGGCTTACAGAAATTAAATTACCTAAGTCCACACAGGAAATTAGTAGCAAAAATGGAATTAGAACCTAGGCATAGTACACAACCATCATTTTCCCTGCTGGCCTTCCATGCCCCTGTCTTTTTGTAACAGCACCTCCGTTTTGCTTTAGAAAACTACCCGCATCTCCCCTACTGCTTGCAGACTTGGTGGGCCCCACTTTCCCCTAGGCAAGGGAAGGGCACATGCTCTAAGCTAAGTCAACCAGACTTTCACTCTCCCTTGAAACTGGGTCCAGAGAGGAGTTACTCAGGGACCAAAAAGAGTTAGAGCTGAATGGTCCCAGCAGTGGTTCCTGAAGAAGTTCTAAGTGTTGATTGCTGCCTGGACTTTCTGAGGCCTGACTCTATAGCTTGCACTTAGAGTCTAGGGCTTAGCCCATATCCTTCCAATAAACTCCTTTCTTGTATACATTGGACAGAGGTGGTTTCTTTTGCTTTCAGACAAAGAATCCTGATGAGATACCATATTATACACACAGCATGTATGCATTAGACTAAATAGACAGACAGATAAATAGATAGATATTAAATATATATACATACATAGAAAGTGCTTAAAATGGAATATGGAACCGAAAAAACTTTATATTTCAGAGTTTCTGTGAACATCAAAGATAAATAATGCAAAGTACCTAGTACCCAGTAGTTCATATTCCCAAGGGATACTCTTCTACCTCCCTGTCTTCCTCTCTATATACCATTTTCCCACCATATGCTTCCATACATCATATTTTTTTCTTTTTTTTCCAATTGCACTTTTACATACAAGTTGACCTTCCACTTAGCTTATTCTCCTATCTATATGTATTTATGCATGAGCACTTCTTAGCCCTAGGAATAATGTTAAGGCTTAAAGACGAATCCATGGCTGACCATGGATTTGAACAACCAAGCTGACATGTACATTGGCTTTTGGGACCTATGTTCTTGGGATCTCCAAAGTTTTTGCTCACACCTAAGGTTGAGCTTACACTCTCAGCCTACAAAAACCAGTCAAAACATAAACAGCGCTTGGAGGATTTGTAATGTTTTTGAAAACATTTTCAGAGTATATAGAATCATAAATACATAAAGTAGAAAAGTAATTGTAGAGAATTTGGAAAATATAAAACAGTTCAGTAAAGAAAATTATCATAATCTCACTCCAGAGATAACTACTCTTAACATTTTGGTATATTTCTTTTTTTTTTTTTTTTTTTTTTTTTTTTTTTTGAGACCAGGTCTTGCTCTGTTGCCCAGGCTGAAGTGCAGTGGTGCAATCTCGGCTCACTGCAAACTCCGCCTCCCGGGTTCAAGCCATTCTCCTGCCTCAGCCTCCCAGGTAGCTGGGACTACAGGCATGCTCCACCACGCCCAGCTAATTTTTTTGTATTTTTAGTAAAGATGGGGTTTCACCATGCTGGCAAGGCTGGTCTTGAACTTCTGACCTCAAGTGATCCACCTGCCTCGGCCTCCCAAAGTGCTGGGATTACAGACATGAGCCACCGGTTTATTTGTTTATACTTTATTGTCTCTATCATATTTCATCATATGGATATATGAAATAATATTGATAATAACTAATATATAAAGTACTTATGTATTAGTTATATAATATATTAAGTACTAACATATAAAGTGTCTATTAATTAAGAGATTATATGCAAAGCATTTTGGAAGCATTGTATTATTTAATCTTTATAACAACCCTATCAGGTGATGTATTAGTTATCTATTGGTGCATGGAAGATAAGATTACTCCAAAATTTAGTGGCTTAAAACAATAAACATTTATGATTTTGCATAGTTTCTTCAGATCAGGGATTTAAGAGTGGCTTAGCTGAACTGTTCTCATTCAGGGTTTCTCATGAGGTTGCAGCTAAGATGCTGGCCCATTATCCGGCATGTTTTATCTGAAGACTTGACTGAGGCTGGAGGATCCACTTCCAAGACAGCTCACTCTTACAGCAGGAGGCCTCAGTTCCTTACCACATGGACTTTTCCATAGGGCTACTTGGGTGCCCTCCCAACACTGCAGCTGGATTTCCCCAGAATGAATAATTTAAAAGAGCAAAATGGAAGCCACAATGTCTAACTCAGAAGTCAGAGTCCATCCTTTTCATAATATTCTACTGGTTACACAGGTCAACCTCTCCAATATGAGAGGGAGCTACACAAGGACATGAACACCAGGAAGTGCATATCCATGGGGGTCATCTATGAAGGCTAGCTACCACAACTGGGTAATACAGTTTGTTTACATTTCACAGATAAAACTTTGAGCAGTTGGCCCAAAGTTGTACAGCTGGTGAATTGCAGAAGAGGATTTGAAGCCAGGCTGATCAACTCCAGAGCTCATACTTTTAACTATGACATAATACCACCTGCTCAATTTACCTGACTGTCCTACTAATGTTGGATATTTCAGTATTACTATAAATAACACCACAGTGAATACTTTCTACATAAATCTGTCTCCATGTCCCATTACTGCCTTAGGAAAAATGTCTAGAGACAGAATTCCTAGATCAAAAGATAAAACTTTGTTTTTAAATTTTTTGTAGAGATGGGGTCTATGTTGCTCAGGCTGGTCTTGAACTCCTAGCCTCAAGAAATCCTCCCACCTCAGCCTTCCAATCTTTGGGATTACAGGTGTGAGCCACCACACCTAGGATCAAAAAACAGAAAGTTTTTTAATGCTCTTGACACGTCCTGCAAAAAATAATAATAATTTCCAGAAAGGAAACACCAGCTCACAACCTCAGTGAAAGTTCATGTGGATACCTGTTTCACTGCATCTTTAAAATGACTGAAAACTACGCCGGGCGCGGTGGCTCACGCCTGTAATCCCAGCACTTTGGGAGGCCGAGGCAGGCGGATCACGAGGTCAGCAGATCGAGACCATCCTGGCTAATATGGTGAAACCCCATCTCTACTAAAACTACAAAAAATTAGCCAGGCATGGTGGCGGGTGCCTGTAGTCCCAGCTACTCAGGAGGCTGAGGCAGGAGAATGGCGTGAACCCGGAAGGCAGAACTTGCAGTGAGCCGAGATTGTGCCACTGCACTCCAGCCTGGGTAACAGAGCAAGACTCCGTCTCGAAAAAAAAAAAAAATGACTGAATACTATTATTGTTTAAATCTCTGTTGATTTTATAGGCTAAAAATACTTGTTTTGATGTGTATTTCTTGGAACATTTCTTTATTTGCTTATTATTATTATTTATTTGCATCATTTAGGGTTGTTGATTGTAAGCAATAGAATCTAGTTGATTAATTTTAATTGAAAAGGAAAGTATTTAAAGAATACCAGGTAGCTCTTGGAATTAAAGGGAAGGTTGGAAAACCTGAGGCCAGGGCTCTAGGCAACAGGAAGGGATGAATGATGGTCTTGCAAGCCACTATCACTGGGATAAATCGATTTAACCTTCTATCCATCTTTGTGTCAAAGAGCCTTAGCTTGGGTCACATGACTAACCTTGGTTGGGCAGGACAGGGCAAGGTGACTTGATTCAACCAAGACAGCACTTAGTGGAGGAGAAGTAAATAAATTGCTATTAGCAAAAGAAAGGAGTACTGGATCCTAGAAAGCTAAAGAACAATAAATGTCTACTACAAGGTTTAATTTTGATGGCTCCCAAACCCATGTTCTTTTCATTAAGTTAAAAGTTCTCTATTCCTGTTAGTTGGTCAAGTAAAAGACGTTTACTTTGGGCTGGGTGCAGTAGCTCACACTGGTAATTCCAGCACTTTGGGAGGCCAAGGCAGGCGGATCACCGGAGGAAAGGAGTTCGAGACCAGCCTGGCCAACATGGTGAAACCCCTGTCTCTACTGAAAATACAAAAATTAGTTGGACGTGGTGGCACACATCTGTAGTCCCAGCTACTTGAGAGGCTGAATCAGGAGAATTGCTTGAACCCAAGAGACAGAGGTTGCAGTGAGCCAAGATCACGCCACCACACTCCAGCCTGGGCGACAGAGTGAGACTCTGTCTCAGAAAAAAAAAAAAAAAAAGACTTTTACCTTGTTTTTACCTAAGAATTTCAGCATCATTAGAGTCTTTGCCAGGGATAAGACGAGGAAAAGTCTTCTTCATTTGGGTGAAAAGTCTGGAAATGCAGAAACGTGGAGATAAGACCCCTTCAACTTTGCCAAGTAAAATAACCAAGAACAAACGGATCAAGGAGAGCCCTTTATTAGGGGTTGGCAAAGTTTTTCTATAAAGAGCCAGATAGTAAATATTTTAGGCTATTCCAGGAGGCACAGTCTCTGCCTCAACATTCAACTTTGCCGCTGTAACACAAAAGTAGCCACAGACAATGAGGAAACAGATAGGCATGTTCCAGGAAAACTTTACTTACAAAATCAGGAGGCCGGCAGGATTTGACCTGGAGGTCAGAGTTTGCTGACCCCTGCTTTCAACCAAACAATAGCAAAACATAATACTTCTGTTTATGGCTATTTCAATCCTGACTCCAAAATGCTAAAATTTCTCCTGTGATTTTGAAGAATTTGCCCTCAGTTCCCAACATTTAGGACAGTGTTCACTTGATTTAGCACCTGCATTTTAACCATAAATGATGTCAGGTGATTTTGGCTTGGAGAAAATATAATGACAACGATGAACTATTTATTTTGGTAGGAACTCAATATCTACATCAACGTCAAATTTACTATCCAATTAGATGGAGAAAAGTAAATGTGCTTATTCCTTCAAGAACAGTCAGCATGCATTTGCTTAGCACCTGTTATGTGCCAGGGACTGAGGCTTAATACACAAAATACACAGGCCCAGGCCTCAAAGAGTCTAAGCCTGGTGGAGAAACTTAGAATCTAGAAGAACATTCATAGTTGAGTGCTATTCTAGTGGGTGATAGGTGGGTGTTACAGAGAACCAGAATAGGTTTGAATGGCAGTAACTCTCAAAATGGAACAGGCTGCCTCATGGAAAGGTCAGAAGAACTCCAGCAAAAGATGGAAAACCAATGCCCAAAGGTAGTTCCTAATTAGAGTAAGAGCTCAGACTAGATGATCTGTAAGATTCTGTAATCATCAGACATCTCTTGGAGTGCCTTCAGAATTTATAAAAACTCCCCCTTCAATACGAGTGGCCTCCTCAATATGCCAGCAGGAGTTGGTGGCTAAATCTGTACCATGTTTCTATTCAGATGGACCGACTGGACATGGACTGATGGATCCAGGGGTCAACAGCTGACCCAACCAGGGTATAGCAGAAAGTCTTCAAAGATGGCCACCATCGATTCCTTTGCTCCTTCTATGTATATGTTACTTCTCATATCAAAAGGTAAAGACTATTTTGCCTATGCTTGATATTAGTTGATCTTTTTCTGGACCAATGGAATATGGCAAAAGTGATGCTGTCTGACTTCTGACTTCAGGAGAAGTCTGGCAGCTTCCATCTTAGTCTCTCTGAACACTCACTCTTGGAACCCAGCTGCTGTACCGTGAGGAAGCCCAAGCATCCCCAAAGAGAGGCACTGAAGTCTCTCCACTGATGAGCCAGTTGAGACCCCAGCTGACCACCAGCACCAACCTGCTGGTCATGTGATTATGCTATCCAGGAAGTGAATCCTTCAGCTCTAGTTCAGCAGCCCCAGTTCAGAAGCCCCAGCTGATGCTGCATGGAGCAGAGATGAGATACCCAGCCAAGTCCCGCCCAGACTTCTGGCCCATCAATCATGAAATCAAATACAATTTTTTTAAGCCACCAAGTTCTGGGGTAATTTGTTGTTCAGCAAGAGATAATAGGAAAATAAAGCCAATCAGACTTTCTCTCTTAAGAATTTGAAATCTGGGGTTAAGTGCAGAGGCTCAGGCCTGTAATCCCAGGACTTTGGGAAACTGAGGCGGGAAGATTGCTTGAGGTTAGGAGTTCAAGACCAGCCTGAGCAACATGGCAAAACCCCATCTCCACAAAAAATATTTTAAAATTAACCAGGCATGGTGGCCTGCACCTGTAGTCCTAGCTACATGGGAGGCTGAGATCAGAGAATCCCTTGGGCCTGGGAGGTCAAGGCTGCAGTAAACCATGATCACACCACCTACACTCTAGCCTAGGTGAAACAGAGAGACTCAGTCTCAGAAAAAAAAAAAAAAGAAGAAGAAGAATTTGAAATTTTGGTTAGAGACAAATATTGGACATTTTGGGATCTGAGTCTCATTAAAAGCAAACTTCATTGTGTATTAGAATCACATAAACTATATAAAATGTAAATAAATGCCTAGATCACCTCCCTACCCACCCAAATCTCTGATTCAGTAGGATTAAGGTGGAGCCCAGGAATATTTTATGCAAGGATTTTAAACATGCATTCCATATGATTCTGATACCATGTAATAAAACTATAATGCAGATGCTCAACTTAAAGAACAAACACACATGCACATTTAGACTTTCCCTCACCCTGTTCACTTGAGGCTGTGACAATCCAGCCTTGCTATTTGTAGCCTCAAATCTGGTTGAGCCTCAGGGTTAAGAAAAGCCCCTGTCAATAAAAAAGCTCAGCAGAAGTGATGGTGGTGCCTGGATCTTCATTAACCATATAGTTAAATCTAAACTGAACTGGAAGACTTAATCATCTTCCTAATTTTAGAATCCTAAAATATCTGGCAGTGCATGATTAAAGGTCTCTGTTTCAAATACAATGTGAAATGTGTTATAAGCCTTGTTATATTTTTCCTCCAAAAGGAAAATCTCATCCGACACCTTGGGGATTTTTCTGGATTATATCACAGACAACAGAATTATTTCAGTAAGACAGGTCCCATGACTCTGCCATTATCTGCAGACAGAATTTCAAAGGGCGGGTCAGCATGCCTGAACTCTAGCTATGGCCAGTCGCCTTGAGGGAAGAGTTTCTTTGAGGCCCTCAGATAGGAAACCTGATTTCCAGGCACTGGACTCCCACAGTCCTGCTTTAGATAGACATGAATCCTGTCTAGGTCTGTGTGTTCTTTCATGCTTAAAGGTTTATTTGGGAACAAGACAAAGAAAAAAAAGGTTTCTGGGAGTTTATTGGTGGACTATTCACCTCTTCCCACAGCCAGTCCAAATAGGCAAATACTACTTAAGTGGCCATTTGCTAGGTCTTCCAGTGACAGGCCTGTAGTTTTCAAATGCAGAGTCAACGCTAGCAAACTTTAAAGGTGCTGAATTGAAATTGACTCCAACCTTCTCCCAACTCTAATTTTAGTTCCACTTCTCTCCTCCTTTTACTCTCTAGCATCATGTTGCCTTTCTTTCCCTTCGTTGCTCCCCAAACTAAGGCTCCCCATCTACAGGGGGCTTATTCAGGAAGAAACTTAGGCTCTGGAGTGTTTGCTCCTCTTTCTTCAACCTTTCTTTAACCAACCCACCCCTTGCATCAAAACATACCCTGCTTCTTCCTATTCCCTCTGACCCTTCCCAAGCCTCACCAACCTCATAATTCATTCTTTCCAGAGTTAATAGGTGGTAATTTTATTATTATCCTTCAGGCTCCATTTTTGCAATTTAATGGGGACCTCTTAGAAGTAATCTCTCAGGGTAACTAGTGGAACCTTCATTCACCTGGCAGTGACATGGAAGGGTTAAAGCAATACATGTGCTCTCTTTCTACCAAGCAGGCTTAGAGACCCAGAGCAGCTGCAGGTACTACCCCCTTGGTTGCCTGAGAACGCAGGTACTGAGGAAAGAATAATTAATTCTTAATGTAGGTGTAATTAATATGTCTGGAGTTTGGAATAAAAGTAGCCTTTCTGTAACTCAGTGTATATTTATTCTTTAAATCTGGAAAATAGAACCACCCCAAAAATTAAACCGAAAAAAATGGAAACCTGAAACTCATCCTCCCAAGACATTACTGGCACATTTGTGACAGTGGTTGACATTCAAGGAACATCATAGCCTTTGGCCCTGGCTTGTGGTGGAGGAGAAGGAAGCACTAAATCAGTCCCTCTGACTAAAGCCACTTTCCAAATCACCTACCTTCACACCTGAGACTGGAAGAATTCTGGACTGGAAATCAGAAGACCCAACTTTTAACCCAGGTCCTACTGCTAACTGTGGGGTCTTGACTGTAACAGGAAAATGAAGAGAACAAACCCTGAAAAATTCTCTTCACCCTAAAATACCTAGGATTCCAAGACTAAAGGCTTCTTTAGTCTTGTACTTAAGATACAAACACATTCCCTAAATGCAGTGACACATTAGTCAACTATTACCCATTATCCTTTGGGTCAAAGCTTAACCCACACACCTTCCCACAGGTCCTAAAGGATGCCACAAAAGACCCGTCATTTAAACAGGGTGATGAAGAAGGAAGGATTTAGAAGATGGGGTCTCTCTCAAGAGAGGCAAGGAATCTGGCCGAAGACCACACTGGCCCATGGGGAGCATCAGGCTCCGAACCCCGAGTTTGGAGGCACCAAAAAGGAAAGTGGGGAATGAATGAGGCACAAAAAAACTCATTTTTCCCACTTTATACTTTTTCCTTGGCTGGGCCTAAATACAAATTGCAAAAAGTCTATCCTAATGAGAGCTTTTAAGACCTTTGCGGATGCTTATTAAATGGCAAATAAATAGAGTAATAATGATCCTAAGGACTTCTAATTTCATCACTGCCCTGACACGTGTCAAAATAGCCATTCCCTTTACTGTTCCAGAAATGAGACTCACTTTGTGAGGCGAAAAGGGATCAAGGGGGAGAGAAATGAAGAAAATAACTAACCAGTGCCTTTATTCAGCGTGCACTCTGCACTCAGCACTCAGCACTGTGCTGATGCAGGACATGGGTTCTCTTGTTGTGGTCTCGTGACACATTTGCAAAGGTAGTAGTACCATTCCCATTCTACAGATGGGAAACACTGAGGCTCAGAAAAGGTTCTCTTGCCCCACATCACCCAGCCAGTGATGGGCACCGCCAGGATTTAAATCCACATCAGGGTAACACAAAACCCATACTCCTTCCACAATGATCACCAAAAGTGAGTTTTAGCCAACAAGTTTTAGCTTTCCACTTCAGTGATAAGCAAAGTAATAGCGATGATGAGCATTTGATGAGTGCTTATTATTTGCCAATCATTCTGCTAAATGTCATCATTTATCCCGACATTTAATCCTCACTCTAACCCTACAAAACAGCTAATACTGTCCTCTTTTCACTGCTGAGGAACCTGAGATTAAGCAATTTACCCAGGGACACATGGTTTGATAGCAAAGACTCAGCCAGACAATCTGACACCAAACACCATAATCGTAACTGCTGCACACAGCAAACTTATTTTAGTTCAATCCCCCATAAATAAAAACTTGTTATTGCTCAGAGTATTAAGAGGGATGAGGATAAAGGAGATTTTAACTATGATACAGGCTGCTGACAGACCCAGAAATCGCTCTATGACAGCAGCTTGGAGTGACTAAGAGGTGGATGTTTTCAGAGTGTTAGGCCTGCCCTCAAAGCCATTCAGGCTCAAAACAAAACCTTCTCTGAGTCCTGATGTTTTTAAAAAACACAGGTCCATTCCAGTCGTACAGGGACACCATACCCCATCCTGCAAAAACAACACCCTGGCCCTCTCCCCTCAGGGCCTGGAAAATGTTTCTGGCGTCTTTGCAGAAATGGGAAACTGGAGCAGGAAGGAGGTAAGAAAGAAAGAAAAGAAGGGGAAAAACCCAGTGTCTATGTATGTGAAACGCAGCAGAGGGCTGAGCTAATGAAAGAACGTATTTCCAAAATTGGAACCAAAACATATTTCACAAACTCTCTTGGCCTTGCAGAGGATTAGCTGCTAATGGACATGACCGTGGGTACCACTCTCTGTTTACAAGCTTCCTGTCTGCCCTGCATGTAGACGTGACTTTCTGTGTCCTCCATGAAGGCTGATTATCCAGTTACCTGGGCTGCGTAAACCCAAACAATTCCCAGAGTCTCTTGGATAAGACTCGAGGAGCAAAGTCCAGAGGGGCACTGGCTGTGGACATATTTTCACCATCAGCTCACAAATGTGTGTCCTCAAGGGTGTCACCACCACAAACAACAGGCCTGAACACCTCAAAAATGCCAGTGTCGTGAAAGACAAACAAAGGCTGAGGAGCTGTTCCAGATTAAAGGAGATTAAAGGGACATGAGGAACAAATACAGCGCATGATCCTTGATTGCATTTGGAGGAGAGGAGTGGAAGTTTCTGTAAAGGATATGATTGGGGCAACTGGCAAAATTCAAACATGGAGTGTCTGTTAGATCACAGTGTTATGCCAAAGTTAAATCTGAACATGATCCTCGTACTGATTCAGTATACAAATGGACAATGGCCAGACCATATGTAAAAATAGAACTTTGACCCAAAACCTGCAGCAGCCTGTCCAGGAAACCAACCCCTTATCTACAATAACCAGCCCAGAAAACCAGCCTGCTGTAATTCAGACTTGCAGGAAGCCAGGTTTCTATCTCTAGTGACAATCCAGGAAGCTAAACAATAACTTCTGTAACAATCTACTCAAAATGGCCAGGACTCGGTTAGGAATGGACAACTTCCCTGATTTTTGCTCCGACTGCCAATTTAGGACCAACCAGAGAAAGCCAGAAAGGCACCCCTAACCAATCATAGAGGACACCTGGCTTCTAGTTCGCTGCCTTCAGCTTCCCCAGGCCAACCCTTTTTTCCACCTGAAATCTTCCTGTTTTCCTCTTTATGAGCATTCCCACTCTTCTGCCTGCTTTTGAGTCTCTGCCAAAAGACACATGATGGTGCTGACTCCCAGGCTGTAGCAAGCTCTGAATAAACAGCCTTTGCTTTTCTCATTTGATTGGTCTTCATTTATTTCCACAGCACCGTGGTTATATGAGACAAAGCACTTGTTCATAGGAAACACACACTGAAGTGTTTAGGGGTAAAGAGTGCACCCTTAATCCTCAGATGGTTCAGAAATATATATACACACACACATCCAGAGAGGGAGGGAGCAAGGAAGCAAAAGTGGTAACCAGCTAACAATTAGTGAACCTGGGTGAATGGTATGGGAGTTCTTTATATCAGCAGTGCCCAGGGACCGGTTTCGTGGAAGAAAATTTTTCCAAGGACCAGGGGCAGGGGATGGTTTCAGGATGATTCAAGCCCATTACATTTATTGTGAACTTTATTTCTATTATTATTACATTGTAATAAAGAATGAAGTAATTATACAATTCACCATAATGTAGAATCAGTGGGAGCCCTGCGCTTGTTTTCCTGCAATTAGATGGTCCTATCTAGGGGTGATGGGAGACAGTGACGGATCATCAGGCATTAGGTTCTCATAAGAAGCATGCAACCTAGATCCCTAAGTTCACAATAGGGTGTGAGCTCCTATGAGAATCTAATGCCACCACTGATCTGACAGGAGGCAGAACTCAGGAGGTAATGCGAGCCACAGGGAGCGGCTGTACGGAAGCAGCTTCACTCACTCACCTGCCCCCCACCTCCTGCTGTGCCGCCCATTTCCCAACAGGTCACAAACTGGTAGCAGTCCGTGGCCCTACGGTTGGGGACTGCTGCTTTATACTATTCTTGCAATTCTTTTGTTAAGTTTGAAATTATTTTAATATAAAAAGTTTTTTTTAAGTGGCCCCAGCTGATGGCTCACGTCCTAACCAAACATTTCACACCTGCTCACCTAAGACACTGGACAATGGATTTGAGTCTTATCCATGCTGCTTTATGTGTTTCCTTTTGCAGAACCGTGAATGCAGAAGCCCAGAATCTCTCAGCTTATCCCCTGAAAAATGATCATGTCCTCCCCACCCCCAGCACTCTCCTAACCCTTGTTGGCAGTTCTCTTGTTTGGATCACTGACAAGCATAGAGACAGCATAGAGAATCAGGGTGATCTTGAAGTCCCTTCTCCTTTCTTTCTGGGCCAAGAAGAACAAAGAGTCGGGGGGCTGCTCTCATTATCAGCTCTCACGTGTACCCTGCGCCGTGTGATGCCAATGGCTCACGAACTGGGATTGCAAGGATGTTTGGAGATTGGCCATCTTCTTAAGGCTAAGCTGAGTTCTTGGAACTGGCTGGACTTAACCATTACATTCCAAAGCTGTTGTATATGACGATTCCCCAACCTGGGCTTCTGATTCGTCTTTCTTCCTTGCAACATATTGAGGTGCCCTCTTAATTTTTAAGCCTCTCTTATCCCTTAACATAGAGTTTCTTAACTGTGGCTGCACATTGGAATCATCTAGAAGCTTTAAAACAATACTGTGTGCCTTGCCCCAGCCACTCTTATTCAACCATTCCAAGGTACAGACTGGGACCGGAATTTTTTTTTTTTTTTTTTGGTTTTGGTTTTGGTTTGAAGCTCCTCAGAAAATTCTTATGTGGAATTAGATTCTAATGTGTGCAGCCAAGATTGAGAACTACTGCCCTAACATATTGTTTGCAGGAAATGCACTCTACAATGTTTAGAGATAGAAGGCCAGGATGTCTGCATGTAACCCTCAAATGGTTCAGAAAAAATATATACATATTTGGAGACAGGGAGGGAGGAAGTGATAAAGCGTATATCTATGAAGCTCTTCCCTTCCAGATTTTCCATCTTTCTGATAACTTTAGAGAGATTCCTGATCATTTCCTCCAGGTTTGACCTCCCTGAAGCCCCCACTTAGGGGCAATTTCCCTGAAGTGGTTGGGATTCACTCAGTCTTTGCAAAAGGGATTTATTTGGAAGTCTTTCTCAACAACAAATTAAGGAAAGATGAGCCAAGTGAAAGCTTGCTCTGGTCTATCACAATCAAAGGTAATCATCGCAACAAGCAAACTTACCCTGTCTATATTTACAAGGTAAAAACCCCAGAAGCACTACAGCACACGTCCCCTTGTGACCCTACAAGTTGTTACAAAGCAAAAAACAACACATCATTCAGATGCAGTTATAAGATACTGAAAATACATGGGGCAAAGAGATGATGAAATTGTACCAGATTTACAGCAACAGGTGGCAGCTTCTCCTCTTAGGCATATACGTGGTCATCTGGCCTCTCGGTCACACTAAAGAGAGAACAAGGAGACCCAGCACCAGGAAGTCTGTTGAAAGATCTGTGGCCAGGATTGAAAACAGGGGGGGCATGAGACACTGGAAAAGCATGCATTTGCCCAGTTCTCAGTCCAAGTATTCATTAGAATCACACGGGGGCTTCTGAAAATGTCTATCTCCAATCCTCAGCCTCATTCAATTAAACTAGTATCTTTAGGTAGGGCCCAGGCACTGGTATGTTTTAAAGGTCCCCAGATGGTCTGAATGTGCTTCCCGCTTGACTTTGAATATCACCTTCACATGGAATTCTCTTATCTCGCCAGTCAGGCAGGCAGGACTCTTGAGTTCCTCATGCCTTCTGATCCAAGTTCTGTAGACACATCACTTTTCTTCCCCTACCCCCATCCCCTTCACTCTGCCTTCTTCTTGTCTCACCCTTTCCCTGTTACACACACGTACACACACACTCATATACACACACTCACACAACCACATACACAGGCCAACAGAGCAAAAATCCCAGCAAGCCCATTTGAGTCATTACAGCTTCATGCATACGAGCCATTTTCTCAATTACACTATGAGTTTCGGGGAACAGGTATCTCCCCTTATCCTGTGGGGCCCCTGGCAGCATCTAGCAAAGTCTGTAGCTCAGGTAGGAAGATGGCTTGAGCCCGAGAAGCCGAGGCTGCAATGAGCCATGATCACACTACTGCACTCCAGCCTGAATGAATGACAGAGAGAGATCCTGTCTCAAAAAAAAAAAAAAAAAAAAAGCAAAGCACCAATTGGCTAAAGGGTTGGTTGATCTTTTCCGCCAAAACTATCCAAAAACAGACTCACTGAGCCCAAAACTTGGTATCCTAGGGTAGAGTCAGACAGCCACTGATTATTAAGTACCATGGACTGGATTTGAATTCTGGCTCCAACACTCGTGAGTTATGAGAGTTTAAGTAAATGACTCAAGGCGTTTTCTCTAAGCCTCAGTTTCTATACCAACCAAATGCGAATAATATTGGTATCCAACTTATAAGGCTGTTAGATAATATTAATACATGCAAAGCACTTTGCAACTTCAAAGTGTCTGACAGATAATAAACATTCAATACATGGCAGCAATTTTCAATAGCCACATCTGTGGACTGAAGTCCACAGAAATGACCCCCAAAGTCCAACTCAATCATGTGTAGACAATGGTTCACAAAAACAGTCTCCAGATGGTACAGGGCCCACTGCTTTGTGGTTTGCTGCCAATATTCCAGTGTCCTGTCTGGGTGACCCTGCAGCTCAATTTTGACTATTCTCACTTTCAAGAAGCCACCCATGAAGTGTCAATACACGACTCATCTGTTTCATTCTTCCCTTACAACAAGATACAGGGCAGGTGGGAAGACTATTGAGTTCAATTCTAGAAATCAGGCCAAGTCTCCAGATTCTTAGGGATGCCCATCGGTCACACAGAAGGTCTTATGCATGAATGAATCGCCTGTAGGACTTGCCACAAAGGCAAGCTGTGGGTTCAACTCCCAGATACTCTGTTTCCATGGATCTGGACTAGATCCTTGACTCTTCCTAACAAATGGGCCAGGTGATTCTGAGGCAGGCAGTGGTGGTGCCACTCCTAAATAAACACTGATCTTTTTTTTTTTTGAGACTGAGTCTTGCTCTGTCGCCCAGGCTGGAATGCAGTGCTGCAATCTCAGCTCACTGCAACCTCCGCCTCCCAGGTTCAAGCAATTCTCCTGCCTCAACCTCCTGAGTAGCTGGGATTACAGGCATGTACCATCATGCCCAGCTAATTTTTTGTATTTTTAGTAGAGACACAGTTTCACCATGTTGGCCAGGCTGGTCTCGAACTCCTGACTTCAAGTGATCCACCCACATCAGCCTCCCAAAGTGCGGGGATTACAGGCATGAGCCACCACATGTGGCCAGAAATGTTGATCTTGTAGGGATGACAAACACAGAGAACTCTAAGCAGCAGCATGAGGTATGAAAAGAATGTGGCGGCTGGCATCAGGCACATTAGCTTCAGTTTGGGTTCATTACTACATCTCAGTTAGCATAAATTTCATCATTTGTAAAATAAGAGCAATGAAACACATCTCATGAGATTATTATGAGGATTAAATGCAAAAAATATATATAAAGTACTCAATACAGTGCACAGCCCATTGACCCTCAGTACAAGTTTGTTCATTATGGACAGCCCATTGACCCTCAGTACAAGTTTGTTCATTATGGACTGAAGGACACACCACAAAAATGACGCGGCTTTCTAGCCTGGGACACCAAGAGACAGTGGTGTCCTTGACCAAAATGGCAGAAATCACTGGAATGAATAGGCTGGGAGCAGATGTAGGGGTTCCAACCCTCACTGACTTGCTACAGACCACACAGCCCTTCTTCTACCAAGAAAGAGAAGCCCAAGGTCACTTCTTTGTCTAAATGGGTGTTTTCCCTCCCATGCCCAGGGACTTCCTTTCTTTCATGCTGCTGCCCCACGGCTTGCCTTCCAGGCTTTCCTTCTTCTGAGAATGACTTTGTGTCCCAACCCTTTGTTGCCCCCAAAGACAAGCCTACAAACCCCACTAAGCAACAGACAATAACGTAGAGAACACAGAATGCCACAAAGTTCTTAGGCTCCTGACACTGGCTCCTCCCTGGGGGATGGTCTCTGGAAGCCTCTTCAAGCTCTTCAGTTCTGCTTTCATTCCTGAGGGTGATACTCACAGAATCACCCCACTTCTCAAGATCGTTCCTTGGATGAGACACAGCATCGTCTTCCTCTATGGAAGCCCCTCTTCTCAGCTCAAGAGTCCTGGGGTCAGATCACTCTTGTCTACTAATATCTCTCAGGTGCCAAGCTGTCTCATATTTGAGGAGCCCAGGCCAAAGCCAAACTCATCTCTTTGGGCCCTGGGCTCTGGGGACTTTCCTTCACATGAGAGGGTGAGGAGCAGTGAGTCAACAATATTTACCAAGTATCCAGACGTAAGAGTCACTCATATTTTCCCAGCCATACTTGCCATGGGGGTACAACAGGGTCCCAAGGACAGCACCAACACAGAATTTGAGAGGCAACTTGTGACCCCTGTTGGGGCTCAGAACATAATATCCCAAAATATGGTGCCTTGTAACCCTCAAAGCACTGAGTATTTTGAACTAAAGGAGATTGGAAGGGCCTCAGCAGAAAGGTCTTTCTGACCTTCTTTAGTTATCTTGTCTCCCGCCCCCTCTTTCTCCTACAAAGTGAGTCATTTAGAAACCAGAATTCCTCTCCCCCAAGGCAGGTCATAGAAACTAGAACCCCTTTCCCACAAAGCAAGCTGTAAAACTGCTAAGGTCACTCCCTTCTCCCTTGAAGATCCTCAATCCAGACGGGTCCAGCCCCATACCCAGGAGGAAAGAGTACTCTACAGAGACTCCACGAAGAATCTGGGCAGGCCTTGTGTGCTTCCCCGCTCAGTCCATGACCATTAGATCACACCCCTCTGTCCAACCACACTTCCACATGGCTGTCCATTCATCATCAACCTAAGCATAAACACAGGCAATTTCCCTGGGTCCCTGGGTCTTCATTTCTGAAGGTTCCCACATCACCTAAAACTTCGATTAAGTAATTCATTATGCTTTTCTCTTGTTAACCTGTCTTTTATTATAGGGTCATTTGCTGTGACCCTTATGATGGGTGAGGAAAGGTATCCCACCTTTTGCCCCTACACCCCCTAACACAACCACCTCTACCTAGCTCTTTCCCAGGAAGTCCCCAAAAAGATGCTCACTCATGCTAAAGAAAGCCACATTCTGGGCTCTTGGTTGGAGTTTGTCTCCTGCCACAGCCATGTCCCCAGAGCTCTGGCTCCATCCAGAAACAAGGTGGTCTGGCCCTGCCTCAGGCCACGGTGTCCTGGCCCATTGTGTCTCAAAGGCACAACATCCCTTCACCCACACCTCAGCCCATGCTCCACTGAGTGTGCTTCACAGAGCACTCCAGGCTTTTTGCTCTGTCCTTCGCAGAGCTTGATTCCAGCTCCATCCTGTAACCATCAGAGAGGGCATGTGCTCCCGAAAGACACTCCCTGCTGAGCTCAAAACCTCCTTCCTTCCAACACCAACCCTGCCCTTCATACCAACTATTTAGGCATCTCCACCTCCACTCTCTCTCACTCTCCTAAGGGACTTGTCAGTCCCTCCTGCTCACACTCCCTAGAAGTCTGGCCTCATTGGCCTCTAGACAAGCCCAGACATGTCTACCACCAACAGAAAACATAGCTCTTAAGTCTTCAAGCCAGGACCACCACCACCCATAGTTCCCTGAGGAATACCAGGGAAGTTTGGGGCCAAGAAGGATGTAGTCCTCAAGGGGTTGAATACCTAAAACCTAAAGGAGTACAACAGAAATGTAAGATGATAACATTAGGGAAAACTGAAACTGAATGAGGGGTGTATGGGAACTTCTGTACTATCTTTTCAACTTTGCTGTAAATCTAAAACTATTCCAAAATGTGAAGTTTATTTTGGAAACAAAGAGAAAAAGAAGGGAAGGAAGGAAAGAGGAAGGAAGGAAGGAAGGAAGGAAAGAAGGAAGGAAGGAAGGAAGGAAGGAAGGAAGGAAGGAAGGAAGGAAGGAAGGGGAGGGGAGGGGAGGGGAGGGGAGGGGAGGGGAGAGAGGGGAGGGGAGGGGGAGGGGGGAAGGGAAGAGGATGTGAAGAAAGAAGGAAAAAGACATTATCTTTCTGTAGGGGTTCAGATTAGAAAAGACAATATCTAATCAGGCCTATCAGTGATTGCTACAAAAAATGTTACATAATGAACTCTAACATCTTTAAAAACAAAAAAAGGGAGGCATGCCCTTTTCCCGGCATGTACATTGCACCCTACTTCCCTACACATGCACACACACATGCACACACAACACATACACACACAAACCTACTACCATCACTACCCACCATCAAGGAATGAATTGCAGGCCCTTGGTTCTATCCTTTCAAGAGGGTTCAATCTTGCCATTGCCATTTGGAGTAACCAGGTATTTCTCGCCCTTCACCTATGGGGTCAGAAAGCACTTCCTGGAAATAGGAATGCTTTTACACTTGTGGGGGGAGTGTAAATTAGTTCAACCATTGTGGAAGACAGTGTGGCGATTCCTCAAGGATCTAGAACCAGAAATACCATTTGACCCAGCAATCCCATTACTGGATATATACTCAAAGGGTTATAAATCATTCTACTATAAAGACACATGAACACATATGTTTATTGAAGCACTATTCACAATAGCAAAGACTTGGAACCAACCCAAATGCCCATCAATAATAGACTGGATAAAGAAAATGTGGCACATATACACCATGGACTACTATGCAGCCATAAAAAAGGATGAGTTCATGTCTTTGCAGAGACATGAATCAAGCTAGAAGCCATCATTCTTAGCAAACTAACACAGGAACAGAAAACCAAACACTACATGTTCTCACTCATAAGTGGGAGTTGAACAATGAGAACATATGGACACAGGGAGGGGAATATCACACACCAGGGCCTGCTGGGGAGTGGGGGGCTAGGAGAGGGATAGCATTAGAAGAAATATCTAATGTAGATGATGGGTTGATGGGTGCAGCAAACCACCATGGCATGTGTTTACCTATCTAAGAAACCTGCACGTTCTGCACATGTATTCCAGAACTTAAAGTATAATTAAAAAAAAAAAAAAGCACTTCCTAGCCCCTTTGTGGGAGGTACAGTCATGTGACCAGTTCCAGCCAACCAGATGCAGCCAGAAGTGATGTGTTCCAGTGAAGCATTTGATTATGAGATGAGTCTCTCCAGAGTTCACTTTCCTTCTGTCTCCGTGATTACCCACATCCTGAGTTTGTGAGGAGACATGGAGGCTAGCCTCCAGGTGACTCACAATAGGTGTGTGATACGAGTGAAAAATCAACCTTTGTTCTTATAAGCCACTAAGATATTGGGACTGCTTGTTACCACAGCATAACTTAGCCTATCTTGACTGACACACCCTCTTTTCTTGACAGATATTCTAGTCTTTCTCCCAACTGCTATATTAGTGAGCCAGTCATAGCATTCTGCCACCTGCTTTTCATTCTTCCTATATAGTCTTTAAATGCCTCTGAATAATGTTTTCGTGCCTTTATCTATTTCTTCAGCCTGAAATGTCCTTCCTCACCAAATGCTAAAATTAGTTTCATCCTTTAAAGCCCTGCTCAAAAAAACCCTGAAGCCTTCTCTAAGTCCTGTGTTGGAATGAACAGCTCCTGCTGCTCCATGATTCTTAATTTGAGTCATTAGTATATATCTTATCACACCTCAGTAGAGAGGTGTGTCTTTCTGCTTCATGGACTGTAAGCTCCTCCAGGACAAGACTAGAGCTAGTGCATCTCTGTATTTGCCACACAAGCACCCTGGACACAGCTGGCATGTTCCATCATTATCATCTCCAGCCTTAGAATACACTGACTTTGAATCTGAAGAAAATCAAACTACCCACTTATTAATTTATCTTAGGCCTATGAACATTTATTGAGGGCCTATTAAGGGGCAGGCACTATATTGGGTGCTGGGGATTTAGAGATGTGAATGGCATGACTCCTGCCTCCAAATCCCTCAATCTAGTGGAAGAAAAAGAGACATAAGCAGATAATTGTAATGTACATTTATATTCAGTATAACTTGTTTCATAGACTTATGGTCAAATGCACTCATTTGATTTTATTTTTCCAATTAATAACTCATACCAGTATCAGCAGAAGGGCTGGTATACTCGTCTTTAGGGCCTCCATGCTTCCTTTCAGACATAACCCTGTTGGCTTAGTCCAGTGGGGTGGGAGTGGGAGAAGGGCCTTGCCATACAGGAGCAGAGAAGAGCAGAGTCATCTCCCGACACTCCCACTTCTTCTGATGTTGCTGTGGACTACGAGGCCTGCAGAGCCAAAAAGATGGTGCTCGTCTGCTGCTGCAGCCGGCGCCCACAGGTCCCGATCCCACCCACCCTGTGGAGCTGCCATCTGAGTGGGTGTCCCTTTCTGGTTTCCACTCCTCCACTAAGTCATGGTTCTCCAAAGCCTAAGCTCTGGGCCCAGGTTCCTTGGTCTGGAGAAACTTCCAGCATCAACCACATTCAGAGCTGGTCTAGCCTCCTCCTCCAACTCTCAGACCCTTGTGTGGAGCCCAAGGCCCAGCCTAGCCTCCCATTTCCTTGAAACAACTTTATCTCATGGGACCTGTTGCCTGTTTCCAGCCATAAGCATCAGTCAGAACCATGTCCACCCTGAAAGAGCTTCCTATCTTCCACTCTTAAGATTGCAGAAGCTGGGGGATCAGCCCCTTCCCTCCCTGAGGACCCTGCTTATTATTCAAGTAGGGTGAGGACTGGGCCCTGCCAGCAAGGCCCTGCCCCTATTCCCACCGCTTCTCCTAGAGCTTTGTGTGCCGAGGATAAAGAGAGTTGTTGCTAAAGTTTCCTGTGGCACTCTGATCTCTGGATCACTGGTGCCCACTTGCCTTTCATTCACATAAGTAAAAGGATGACTGAAGTGACCCCTCGGGACAAAAAGGCCAGTGGTTCATTATGATACTATAATAGGACAAGCACCCAGTGCTGTGGAGCCCAGAAGAACATCTGATCCAGAATGGGGAATGGGAGCAGGAAGTCAAGGAAGGCTGCTTGTATCATTTACCTGTGCTATGATTCCCCAGCTTATGTCCATCTTACATGTCTGTGCCTTAGGCCAGGGAGCTGGTCTGAATGAACTCAGGTCCTCAGGTGTTTGTCAGTTTCAAAACAGGTGGAGTCTCCTTGGAACTGGAGCAAACCACAGAGCTGGGGAGGAGGTGAGGACTCACGATGAAGTAGAGGTGGGAATGACGAGACAGAAGTTTGAGGAGTCGGCACTCGAGCCCTAGTGCCAGCAATTAGTGATCTGTGGCCAACTGTTTTCAAACACTGAACAGACACCGAAGTTCAGGAGCTTGTGGGCTGGGCTGAGCAAGGCAGACCCAGGGGCACAGGGCAGGTTTGCTGCTCAGCAAGGGCTCCCATTGAGGAATGAGTAAGTGCACAGAGGCATAGAAGCGAAGGCCCACCTCTTCCTGAGCAGGTTCAGAAAGGCTCTGTGGAGCAGACAACGTTAGAGGTGGGTCTACATGGCCTCGGTTAGTCTAGAAGATGACTGGACAAATTTAGAAAAGCCTTCTGCTTTAGGGAGACAAAGAGGAAAAATACACCTACTCCGAGCCAGACACATAGTCAATAATACTTGGTGAGAGGAACACAGGCTGGGTTTCAGGCTCCACTCTCTGCCCTGGACAGGTGCCTTGGCAGAGTGTGCAAAATGCAAACACAGTTAAAGTGACCCTGCCCAACAATCCCATTCCTGGGTATACACCCAAAGGAAAAGAAATTGTTTTACCAAAAAGACACATGTACTCGTATGTTCATAGCAGCACTATTCACAATAGCAAAGACATGGAGGCCACCTAGGTGCCCATCAACTAGATGAAGAAAATGTGGTACCTGTGCACCTATGCACCCACAAAAAAGAGCAAAATCATGTACTTTGCAGCAATATGGACGCAGCTGGAGGCCATTATCCTAAGTGAATTAACACAGGAACAGAAAACCAAACACTGACAGGCCGGGCACGATGGCTGACACCTGTAATCTGAGCACTTTGGGAGGCCAAGGTGGGTGGATCACTTGAGCCTGGGAGTTCAAAACCAGCCCAGGCAACATGGTGACACACAGTCTCTACCAAGAATACAAAAATTGGCCAGGTGTGGTGTCACGGGCTTGTAGTTCCAGCTACTTGGGAGGCTGAGATGGGAAGATTGCTTGAGCATAGGAGTTTGATACTGCAGTGAACTGTGATTGTGCCACTGCACTCCAGCCTGGGTGTCAGTGTGTGAGACCCTGAGTCAAAAAAAAAAAAAAAAAAAAAAAAGAACTTTTTCAGTGTTGGGAGGGTGTATGTGTCCAGGAATTTATCTATTTCTTCTAGATTTTCTAGTTTACTTGCATAGAGGTGTTTACAGTATTCTCTGGTGATTGTTTGTATTTTTGTGGGTTCAGTGGTGATAGCTCCTTTATCGTTTTTTATTGTGTCTATTTCTTTCTTCTCTCTTCTCTCTTCTTTATTAGTCTAGCTAACGGTCTATTTATTCATTTTTTCCAAAAAACAGCTCTTGGATTCATTGATTTTTTGAAGGGTTTTTGTGTCTCTATCTCCTTCAGTTCCGCTCTGATCTTGGTTATTTCTTGTCTTCTGCTAGCTTTGGGATTTGTTTACTCTTGGTTCTCTAGTTCTTTTAGTTGTGATGTTAGGGTGTCGATCTGAGATCTTTCTAGCTTTTTGATGTGGGCATTTAGAAGAGGAAAGAAAACCTAATACCATATGTTCTTACTTATAAGTGGGAGCTAAACCTTGGGTACTCATGAGCATAAAGATGGGAATGATAGACAATAAGGACTGCTAGAGCTGGGAGGGAAGGCGGGGGACAAGGGTTCAAAAACTCCTATTAGGTACTATGCTTAGTACCTGGGTGATGGGATCATTCATACCCCAAACCTCAGTGTCACACAACATAGCCATGTCACAAACCTGCACATAGACCCCTGAATCTAAACTAAACGTTGAAATTATAAAAAAATCATAATAAAAATAAAGTGACCCTGGCTTCGAAGAAGGAGTGAGAAAGTGCCCTGAAGAGAATGGAAAAGGCAATCCAGGCAGACGAACAACGTGGGCAAAGTCCAAGGGCTAAGGCAGAACTTGATCCCGAGACACCTTTAAACTTCCTGCCTCTGTGGGAAGTGGTCCCAGAGTGCAGGTGAACCAGGGTTTACAGGGATGAATTGTAAAACAATTGCCACCATTAGAGAGCAATAAAAAGGCACCACTGTTAGAGATCAGTTCTCAATCTATGGAGGATAGGGATGAGAGCTGAAATGACGAGGTGGCTGTCATTGGCAGAGAAATTATTCAGCAAGCTTCAAATATGTGGAAAACACCTGGGGCTGATCCATCCCTTCATTAAAAAAAAAAAAAGAAAAAATCCTTTCTCTTCTAAACTAGGATTCAGAGACTGAATCTCCAAAAATAACTATTCTTAGCTCTTCATTTTCCTTTGTGAGTTTGGAAAAGAACAAACACATTTTACTTGGCTGGTTTTGACCTTCTCTGCAGTAGACATACCTTCCCCACCGGCCCCCGCACCAGGGATGAGTCACTAGGGAGAACATTTTAATCAGACCACCACCATCCACAGACAATACAAGGAGATAAAACACCTGTGAGTGTGGACCATTAAAGCCAGTTCTTTATGAAATAAACAAGGCCATTTGCTTACTCTAGGTCTCCCAGAATTAAGCCAAGTGAAAAGGTGGAGGAGGCCACCCCACCACAACCAATGGTGTGATTTGAGAGAGGCAAAAGGTTTGCTAACTCTACCTCAAAACAGTCAAAAGCCCCTGCCGAAGCTTTGCAAGTGCTACAAAAATCACTCTCAGAAAATGGCAGTCTTCTGTAGGTGCTATGGAATCTTCTCAAGAGGACCTGTCTGCACAGCAGCCATGCCTCCCTTCCCTTGCAATAGTACCCTGATTCCCAAGTACCCTCCCGCAGGTGTTGCAGGGGAGGCAGGTGTAAACCCCAGCTCTGGAAGGTGAGTCAGGATTGGTCCAAGAAGGTCGTGAAGGACCCGTTCCCCTTGCCAGCTTTGGTTTAGCCATGGGCACATGCCACAATTCCAGCCAATGAGCTATAAGGGGAAGTCTGTGGGAGACAGGGAGTGACTTAGAGAAAAGATCTCTTAGCTCTTACAAAGAAACACAAGGAAGGGACAGCCTGTGTTTCTGCCTGGGACCACGGGTGTGTATGGATGTGTTTTCTGAAATTCGATGTCAGTTAGACTGAGTGACACACACAAAGGGTGGTGAAGCCAAAAGATACCAAAAACCTGGGTGCATGATGAATCATGAAGCTATAGAACTAACCAACAAAGAAATGGTCCTTCTTAGGACTCTCGTTATATGAGTTAATAAGTATTCTTATTTTTTTAGAGATTTTTAATTGAGAGCATTATGCAGTTCTTGCATTGCTGTAAAGAAATACCTGAGACTGGGTAATTTATAAAGAAAATAGGTTTAATTGGCTCGTGGTTCTGCAGGCTGCACAGGAAACATAGCAGCTTCTGCTTCTGGGAAGGCCTCAGCAAACTTACAATTATGGCAGAAAGTGAAGCGGGGAGCAAGTATAAGACAAAGAAAGACAGCAAGACTGAATCTTGTGTTTTTAGCCTGAATGATGTTGCCATTACCAAGATAGGAAACACTGGCTGGAACAGTTTTGGGGAGTGGGAGGGTAGCAAGTGTTCCATTTTGGATAAAGTAGGGGCTTTTAGACTTCCTAGTGAGGCTAATCATCAGGCAGTTGGGTTTGTGAGTTTGGAGTTTAGAGTAGGTGAGGCTAGAGATACAAATTTGATAGTCATTCAGCAAATAGGAGGTGTCTAAAGTCAGGGGACCAGAAGAGAGGATCGAGAGAATGTGTACAGATAGGAGAGAAGATGGATCTAGGGCTCTACAACACGTTATAATGGGAAGAGGAGGCCCGTGCAGCAAATAGACAAAAGAATCCTCCAGAATCCAGGTGAAGGACATGTTTTGAAGCAGGAAGGATCAATTGTGTCGAAAGCTGTCAATAGGTCATGACAAAGACTCAGAATTGACCACTGGATTTGGCAACATGGAGGCAGCTGTTGACCTTGAAGAAAGCATTCCAAGATCAAAAATACTCTTAAAACATTGGAGCTGTTTCGAGCAGAAGGAGTGGAAGACAGTTTGCATTACAGGCAAAGCTGTGCATTCACATAACCCACAATCCAGCAATTCTATTTCTAATATCTACCACAGGGGAACCCTAGCACACAAGCACCACAAAACATATCCAAGAGTGTTCAGAATGACACTGTTCAAAATGGCCCCAAACTGAAAACAACCCAAATGTCCATCAATCCTAGAATAGTAGAACACATATGTAAATTTGAGTATTGTGATACAATAAATACAATGTAATACAATACAGCGAAGCAAATGAATAAACCTTCGGAGACAACAACATCGATAAATACTAACAATAAAATGCTGAGGTTTTAAAAGAAACGAGTCACAAAAGAACACATATAATATTATTCAACTCATGTGAAATTCGAAAACAGGCAAAATCAAACTACAGTTGATCCTTAAACAACAAAGATTTGAACCACTCAGGTCCACTGGTACACAGATTTTCTTCCTCCTCTGCCACCCCTGAGACAGCAAGACCAACCCTTCCTCTTCCTTCTCCTCCTCAGCCTACTCAACATGAAGATGACGAGGACAAAGATCTTCATGATGATCCACTTCCATTCAGTGAATCATACATATTTTTATCTCTTCCTTATGATTTTCTTAATAACGTTTTCTTTTTTCTAGCTTGCTTTACTATAAGAATATAGAATTGCAATATATATGACTTACAAAATATGTGTTAATCAACTGTTTTTGTTCTCAGTAAGGCTTCCAGTCAATAGTAGGCTATTAGTGGTTAAGTTTTGGGGAAGTCAAAGGTTATATGCGGATTTTCAACTGCACAGGGGGTCAGGGCCCCAGCTCCCGTGTTGTTCGAGGATGAATTATATATTGTTTAAGGATGCATACGTAAGTGATAAAACTCAGAAAAAAGGCAAAAAAATATATTTTTTAACTTTTATTTTAGATTTGGGGGTACATGTGAAGGTTTGTTACATAGAAAACTTGTGTCTTGGGGGTTTGTTGTACAGATTATTTCATCACCCAGATAACCCAATAGTTCTCTTTTCTGCTCTTCTCCCACTTCCCACCCTCCACCCTCAAGTAGACCACATTGTCTGTTGTTTCCTTCTTTGTGTTCATAAGTTCTCATCATCGAGCGTCCATTTATAAGTGAGGATATGTGGTATATGGTTTTCTGTTCCTCATTAGTTTGCTAAGGATAATAGCCTCCAGCTCCATCCATGTTCCTGGAAGAGACATGATCCCATTCTTTTTTATGACTGCATAGTACTCCATGGTATGCATGCACCACATTTTTTAAATCCAATCTGTCATTGATGGGCATTTAGGTTGATTTTATGTCTTTGCTATCGTGAATAGTGCTGCAATGAACATTTGCATGCATGTGTCTTTATGATAGAGTAATTTCTATTCTTCTGGGCATATACCCAGTAATGGCATGGCTGAGTCAAGTGGTAGTTTTGCTTTTAGCTCTTTGAGGAATCACCATACTGCTTTCCACAATGGTTGAACTAATTTACACTCCCACCAACAGTACATATTTAAAGTAAGGTTAGTCAAAATCATTATTTTCTGCATCTGTGTCCGGCTACTTGACGTAGATAAAGAACAGGAGGAGAGTTGGAATTTTGTCCGTTGAATATAATGGAGAGAGAGAGTGCAAGGGTGTGGCTGACCTAGCAGGGCATGGACTCTAAGCTGGTCAATAAGAGAAGTACAGACAGTAGCAAACTTCGTATTCACTACTGATAACACCGTCTTCAACTGCCAATGTAATTATTACTGCCATTTGTGTTTTAAAGATATCGCAAGGGAATTTGTTCCAACAGGACTTGGTATTTTATCTGCTTTTAAAAATTTTTAATGTCTATAAAGATATAAAAGTCTTTGGGAAAACTGGGCTTTTAAAATTTGCCCTGATAGGCTCCTGGTTTTACCAGAAAACTGATAAGACACAGGAAAGCCTGGGAACCACTATCTCATGCAATCTTCCCCCAAGTAAGGGTACATTTCATGGGAACAACATGCTCTGCTGATTATCATCATAGGGCAAGGCAAAAGACAGATCTGACCTCTAAGCCCATCTCTATCCCCAGCTGAATTTGGCCAGGTTTCTTAGCCTCTTTCAACTTCAGTCTTTTCATCCACACAGTAGGGATAACAATAATATCTTCCTCCTAAAATTGTCATAAGGATTAAATGAGAAAATTCACATAAAGTGCTTAGCAAGGTGCCAAGCACATCATAAATATTCAATAAAAAATAATCATAGTGAGTTAGAGTAAGTACTCAAAAAACGTTAGCTGGTTTTGTTTGTTGGTGGTGGTTCTGTTGCTTTTGAGTGATTTAACCCCTAATAAGGAGTTAAATGTTTGAATACCTCCAGGATAAGGAAGTTTCAATCTTACTGATATTCTATTCTATAGTTGGCCAACCTTAATTTGATTTGAGACATCCTGGAAGCACTTAGGTTCTTAGCACTGTTTTAAGCACCTTATATGTATATTTCACTTAATTTGCACAACAGGATTCAAAACCAGATCTTTCTGCTGCTAGAATCTATACTTTTTCCCCAGTGAGACACTCTTCTTCCTGACAAATTCAATCATTTTTTCTAGTTCTGCTCTCAGGAAGGACTTAGAGGAAGTCAGCTCCTCTCCTACATGGTGGTTTCCTCCAAATTGAATGGCAAACTCTCCAGAGGTGCTGATCACACTGGGAGTTTGTCTCCTCACCTGGTTGGGGCTATTGGGAAAGTCAGGGGCTGGCAGTGTCAGAATGGCCTCAGGGTTCACTGGCTCCACTACTTACAGCCAGAAACCTCCTCCCAGAGAGATCTTTAATCTAAAGTTATTTCCATAATGTCCAGGGAAGCAACTTTTCTGCCAGTAAAACAAGGATCTGTTGATCCCATAGTCCCAGGATAGAATCCTAATACATGACTTTCTGCCTCAAATGGATGTGCTGTCCTTTCTTCATTCAACCAGAAAGCTGTTAGTATTTGCCAAGTACACAGGCACCCAGGGGAGTGTCAAGGAAATAGAAGGTCTGGTGCCTAAGAACATAAGGACACCTTATAAGGACACTCTAAGAGCCTATGTGGCCTCAGATAAATCACTTCACCATCCTAACCCTCAGCTTTCTCTATGTGAAATGGGGATAGGAATAATTCCCAATGCAAGGATTGAATGAGATGATGCTAGTGATTATTATGGAAGGTATTCACATAGATTCCCTTCTTCCTTGTCATCAGAACCCCAGTTTTGTTCAGGAAAGTACCTGCTCCAAGACTATGAATTAAAATATATCTGATATGGTTAAGACCATCATCTTCCTCTCCACCAAGATGCTCACTTTCCCAGCCTCCCTTATGCCTAGGGATCCCCATTTGATCTTGTTCTGACTAATGAGAGGTAAAGAGAAGTCATCTGGAAGTCTTCTGGGAAACTTTTTGGTTTCCTGTAAAAGGAACAGGCATGAAGTCATACATAGAAGCGCTTTCACCTCATCCCACCCCACCTACAAATACATACACTGTATCTTCTTTGAATTCAGATGCAATGCCTGGAGCTGGGGTAGCCACCTTGTGACCAAGAAGCAGTAAGTTTGAAGGCAACAGTCAAAAGCTAAGTAGAGAGAGGCAGAAATGAAGAATGACCCTGGATACTTGACGAGACATTAGAGCTGATAAATCAACCTCAAAATACCTACCTCATAGTTCTCAAGTGAGATTATAAATGCTTGAGTACTTAAGCCACTAGTGTCAGTTTTTCTGAATAATTGACTTGATGCTATCATCTATTGTTACCATTCACTCCAAGCTCCCATCACTGATCCTTCTATGACTTTGAGGGGTGAACCATGTCTCTGAGTACCAAAGGGGCTTTTGAGGGACATTACTTTAACCAAGGCATACACAGTAAAGTCAAGCCCCTCTATTATTTTCCATAAAGTCCTCCTATACAAAGAACCCCAGCAGAGTCTGCAAATGAGGGGCCTTTAGTCCTATGTGGTTTACACAACGCTTCTCAGGGAGTATTCCAGTATGACACCATATATGCAGGCTCATGGGTCAACTGCATTCTCCATATGTCTCATATGTTGTGCTGACACCATTCTAGGTGTATCCTGGGCATTCTGCTCTGTTTCAATGGGAAAACTTCTCCTGACTCTGAGAATCAGGTTTCACAATTACCCATTGTATTAGTCCATTTTCACACTGCTGATAAAGACATATCCAAAACTGGGTAATTTATAAAGAAAAAGAAGTTTAATGGACTCAGAGTTCCATGTGGTTAGGGATGCCTCACAATCATGGCAGAAGGCAAAAGGCACATCTTATATGACAGCAGGCAAGACAGAATGACGACCAAGTGAAAAGGGTTTCTCCTCATAAAACCATCAGATCTTGTGAGATTTATTCACTATCATGAGAACAGTGGGAGGGAAACTGCTCCCATGATTCAATTATCTTCCACTGTGTCCCTCCCACAACACGTGTGAATTATGGGAGCTACAATTCAAGATGAGATTTGGGTGGGGACACAGCCAAACCATATCACACACGAAGACAGAGGAGGGATCTGAACATGGGAGCAAATGCATAGAAAATGCTCAGCACAGTAGCTGGTACCTGACAGTTTCTCAATAAAAGGCAGCTATTATTCTCATGATGATCAGGACCATTCTCATTATAGAACACAATTGCTGTCACTTCTAAATTCAGCTACTCCACAAAGGGATCACAGGCCCTGCACTTCCAAGCCCACCCACTGTCTGTGACTTGGATATTAGGATTATTTCTCACATAGCATGCTTCCAGAGCAGGAGGGGCCTGGCAGGTTGTGGTAGGTGAGCAGGTGCCTGAATAGGCTACACAGAGAAGGAGGCAGCACTTAGCCTGACCATTCAGAAGATGAGTCAAGGCCATGGTAAAGAAATCATACACTGTCTTCCAAACCTAAGCTGAATGTCAAGATGAATTTTATATCATTCATCACCCAACAAGTATTCATTGAGGCACAAGGCAGGTGCTCAAAACTGTACTGAAAAGAAAAACCCTAAAAAACAAGACAGAGAGTGGGATGTATACTGCAGAGAGTATTTGTGGCTTGACTGAAAGAATTATGCCAGGAAAACATCCTCAGGTTTTAGCTGCTCACTTTCCTGGAATTCTAACTGAGTTACCAAGCTAGAAGATCCTGGAAGACACACACCAAGCTTGCCAACAGAGTGCTCCTCTAAAATACACCCTGCAGCTCTGTAAACAAGCCAACCCCATACATCCAAATGACCATGTGCTGAGACCATGTCTACGTGGTGCTTTCTGCCCACGGGGAGCCACCCTCGTGAGTGGTAGAGTGGGTGCACAGAGCGAAGGATGGAAACCAGGAGACATTTTCTCCACCAGCCCCCACCCCCCACTGAATTGCTGCCTGTCTCCCTGTGGATCACTGAGCCCCCCAGACCCCCATTTCCCCACCTATCAAGTGAAGGGGCTGGATTCCATGGCCCCTGTGATGATTAACTTTATGTATCCACTTGGCTGGGACGCAATGCCAGAAAAGTGGTCAAACAGTATGCTGTATGTTTCTGTGAAGGTGTTTTGTGGATGAGATTTACATTAAAATCTGTGGGCTTTGAGGAAAGCAGATGACCCTCCATCATGCAGGCAGGCCTCACCCAATCAGTGGAAGGCCTGAATAGAACAGACTGGCCTCCCCACACAAGAAGGCATCCTGCCAGCCGACAGCCTTTGGTTGGACTCAGACTGCAATTCTTCCCTGAGCCTCCATCCTGCCGGCCCACTCCAGATTTTAGACTCCCCAAGCCGCTACAATCATGTGAGCCAATTTCTTTTATATATATATATATATAATATATAATATATTATATATATAATATATATAATATATAATATATATAATATATATAATATATTATATATATTATATATAATATATAATATATATATATTATATATATATAAAATACTTTTTTCTTTTATATATATTTATATATATATATTATACTTTAAGTTCTAGGGTACATGTGCACAACGTGCAGATTTGTTACATATGTATACATGTGCCATGTTGGTGTGCTGCACCCATTAACTCGTCATATAACATTAGGTATATCTCCTAATGCTATCCCTCCCCACTCCCCGTACCCTACAACAGGCCCCGGTGTGTGATGTTCCCCTTCCTGTGTCCAAGTGTTCTCATTGTTCAGTTCCCACCTATGAGTGAGAATATGCAGTGTTTGGTTTTTTGTCCTTGCGATAGTTTGCTGAGAATGATGGTTTCCAGCTTCATCCATGTCCCTACAAAGGACATGAACTCATCCTTTTTTATGGCTGCATAGTATTCCATGGTGTATATGTGCCACATTTTCTTAATCCAGTCTATCATTGTTGGACATTTGGGTTGGTTCCAAGTCTTTGCTATTGTGAATAGTGCCACAATAAACATACGTGTGCATGTGTCTTTATAGCAGCATGACTTATAATTCTTTGGGTATATACCAGTAATGGGATGGCTGGGTCAAATGGTATTTCTAGCTCTAGATCCCTGAGGAATTGCCACACTGTCTTCCACAATGGTTGAACTAGTTTACAGTCCCACCAACGGTGTAAAAGTGTTCCTATTTCTCCACATCCTCTCCAGCACCTGTTGTTTCCTGGCTTTTTAATGATCGCCATTCTAACTGGTGTGAGATGTTATCTCATTGTGGTTTTGATTTGCATTTCTCTGATGGCCAGTGATGATGAGCATTTCTTCGTGTGTCTGTTGAGCCAATTTCTTAAAATGTGTGTGTACCCCCACACATTCTGTTGCTTCTGTTTCTCTGGAGAACCCTGACTAAGACAACCCCCAAACTCCTTTCCCATTCTAAGTTGCTGGAAGACTGATGGCAGAAGGGAAGGTTAGGCCCATCTCTCAGCCTGAAGCTCCCCAGGGCGGAGATGTTAAAGTGATCGAGACAATGGCCTCTTTTAGGAGGACTTGTGCAATGGGCCTCCTCGGCACAGCAATAAATACCAGTAGTTCCAGAACTGGTACACCAAGTACTGTGGGGTGTGGGGTGAGATAAATTGATATGAACACAGCCAAGAGGAAATCCAAAATAGGAGGTTATGAAGACAGCCTCACATTCCACAGGTTTTGCCGTCCTCTGTTGGGAGCTCCTCATCCACTTGTCACTTGACAGCACCGTTATCCCAGAGGCAAGAAACAAGTTTGTTTTTTACTGGTGACTGATGAGGTCTTGTTACAGAACTGCAGAGCAGCAAGACACAATTTGGTAAAGATCTGGGAAAGAGGTAGAGCAGAGAACATCCTGATATTCAAATCCATTCGAAGATCACAGCCACTTGGAAGAGCCTGCTCCACGCCAGCTGTTCCTGGATGCCCTGGGACCTTTGCATGCCTGTCCTTCAACCACACTCCCAGCAGATCCCAGCCACAGCTTGCAGAACTAGAGAGGGCACAGGCGGGAGATGACGACTCATTCTCAGCCTCCTTTGCCAGCTTTTCTTCCTCCTTGAGTCCTGTGTGCCCCAGGTTCCATCAAAGGCCCTCTGCTCTTCTCTTCCCTCCTACACGTTTCCAGGTTGTCCCACCCAGACCCAAACCTTCAATTCTCTCACTCCTGTGGATGAACCCCAAATCTAGATGTCCATCTCTGGCTGCTCTCCTGTGCTCCTGACCTGAGCTCCCCTAGAACATAAGCTGCATTGAGGACAAGCATGGGTGTCTCTTTTCTCTGATGTGTCTCCAGCTCCTGGAATATATTTGGTGATGAATAAATATCTGTTGAATCAATTAATGAATGTGCATTCAGCCATGTTGAAACATCTCCACTTAGGCTCTCTTGGACTAAGCATACATAAAACCAAACCCATATTCTTTCCCCCCGCCAAAACCAGGCCTCCCGCTGTGTCCCTCACTTTGTGGATTCTCTGCACTATCCATTTCCTAGCTCAATTCTGAAATCTGGGTGTCCCCTCTCTCTCATTTGCTCGCCATCACCTCCCACTTCCAGTGAATCTCCAGATTCTATCCTCTTATGCCTCTTACCTGCTCAGTCTTCTCTTTCCCCACCTGGAGTGAGGAGTGAGCCACCTGTCCCTCTTATGGTATCATAGTCATCTGTTTACTTTTCTGCTTCTCCAATTAAACAAGGAGTCATGTAATCACAATGACCTAAGGTACTGACATTTACCTGTGTGTATGGGGAGGAAGGAGTCCCAGAATCTGAATCCCCTGCTTCTTATTTTGGGAAAATCCCTCCCCTGTGGTCATAAGCATGTGACCTGGCCTCACCCTCAGAAGCTTTCACCCAGGACTTAGAAACTGGAGGGAGGAAAGCCAAGAGGCAAGTTCCTCCAGAGCTTATTCATGCTCCGGCCATCAGGGTGGCTGTACCAGCAGGGTGGTGCCAGCTCTGAGTCCTCACCAGCAGGCTGCTCTCGGGCGGGCCCTGGGGCTGTGCTCTTGGTGGACCGGCTCCCTTTGTTCCTACCTCTTGCCCAAGCCCAGTTCTCCAGCTTCCCACCAACTGTGAGAAGCGACCATTATCCTTATGTCATGGCTCTTTTTATGAGTAAGTTTAGTTAGGGTCAGTTACTGGGCCTTGGAACCAAGAACTTTGACCGACATACCTGGTCTCACCTCTCTCTTAACCTCAGCATCTAGCAGGGTGCTTGTTATCTAATAGGTAGTTAGTGTGTGAATAAATAAATACATGAAAAGAGGAAGGAACAAAAGAAAAGGAGGAAAAGAAGAAGGAGAAAAAAAAACATCATTGTTATTCTTTTTTCCCCTTTGACTATTCCCCAAGTAAGGTGAGAAGGAGGGAGAGAAGGGCTGGGAAATGATAGACCACTGAACGTGATGAGCCTTGGGTCATTTTTAGCATTAGGACCCTCCTCCTTCTTCACTGGCTGCATCTTAGAGTCCTGGAAGAATGTGAGAAAATGTGTCATTCCCCGGCTTTGAGAAATCACCAGTACTTAGCACCCTCCAGGTAGTAAGCTGACAACCGTGCTTTGCTTTCTAGAATGACGTGAGTCCAACATGATGCCCGGTCTGACTTGGCAGAGCAAGGGAAAAAAAGGAATAGGGTCTGAGTGATTATGGAACGAAAGGTGAAACAGGGAGCTGGGAATTTGGGAAAGCACACAAAGCAAGCTTATAAAATTCCCATGCTTTATAAAAACCAGCTGATAATAGAAATTGGTATAAGTTTTCTGAAAATCACTCTGGCATTCCCTTTAACCCAATAATTCCACTTCAAAGCATCTATCTTAAGGAAGCAATTAGAAATATGGACCATGATTTATGTATAAAATAGTCATGTCAATGTTATTTATAACCGGAAAAAAAAATTGGAAGCAACTTAAATGTCTCACAGTAAGAAAATGGCTGAGTAAAACATGTCTCATCAATACAATGGAATATTAGACAGCAGTTAAAAATAGTGTTTGCAAAAGAACTATGAGGAAATGTGGTGACATAATGTTGTTATGCAGAAAAGACAAGAGACATCCAAAAACATGTATATAGGAAAATGTCTGTATTTGAACACAGCCTAGAAAGAGACAAAGTTTTCACAGGGGCTGTCTTTTCCTGGAGGAGGAAAAAAAAAAATCATGGAATGGTTTTCTCTTCAGTAACTTTTCTATAGTTTTCTACAATGAGCAAATATTACTTTGTTGATCAAGAAAAAGAAAATATAAGATTAAAATGCAAGAGTAAAAATTACAACGAAATATGGAGTTGCTCCTTACTCAATAAATAATGTAACCATTTTATTAACCTCAGTTTCTTCTTGCAACAATATAATAAATGTTAGAACAAATCTCATATAAGTAATTTAAATACACTGTCACTAAGCAGTTATCCAGCCAAGTTCAACTAATCCTCAGTTCTGCTCCAGCTGGTTTTGAGTTGTACATCAAAGAGACTGTTGGTGTTAACTGCCTCGATAAGAAGATGAAGAGGATTTATAATAATAATGGTTCATTATGTGCCAAGCACTGTACTAAGCTATTTCCTTTAATATTCACAAGAACCCACAGATACTGAGTTACAGGGAGGCTGAATAACCTGCCCAAGATCACACAGCTAATAATGGTAGAACTGGCCTTGAACCCAGGACGTCTGCCTCGGAGACGCCTGCACACTCCCACTGCTATACGTGCTGTTCCATCTCATACCCTCAACTGGGTCTTCAAAGGAATGATGGCTCTTACTGTCCCCCAAAAACACCACTCTTGAGTTTCTACTCTCACCGTCTTGAGATTCTGTTTTGTGACTCACAAAATTAATGGCTCTAAAACCTCATGCCTTCATGTCTCCCAGCCACAGTGCTTTTTATTTTTTCACCTTAAGTATCTGTCTCACTGTCTGTGATCCTTGATCATTATTTTTAGCTTTTTGAAAGGAACTTTTTAAAGTGCCAAATGCCCTTCCCTTAAAATGTTTTTTAATTTTAAAAAGTCTACCAAGAAGAAGCAGGATGGAATCATTACTAGGAGCTGGGTAAATGGTCAAGTAAACTATATTATTTTAATGAAGGGAAATTATTTTTATCAAGCCAAGAACAGGAATGCCTAGTGGTGGAATTTTGTTTGTTGGCAACAGTCTGACAAAAAAAAATATTTTGGATTAGATTTTATTCTGGGGCAAAGCAAAACAAATCAAAACCAAAAAAATAGTCCTCTTGTCACTTTTCCAGGGTTGGAAAATGGGAACCCACTGAAATTTCTATCTAATGACTTGGCCTACCAGGAATTTGGCCAGTCTGCTATCAAAAGATTGCTGTCCTGAGTCTTGTCATGGTGAAGGTGATGACCATCAAGAAGTGGCTCTGAGACCTTCTAGTCAAAGATCTTTCCACTGTAGGTGAAGAGAAACACCCCTTTCACCAACATTTATTGAGCAGCTACAGGAGAAGACACAGTGCTAAGACTTGAGGTGCAGGAATGAGTAACTCCCAGGGCTTCAGATTAAGATTAGGGACAAAAATGGAAATGACTAACTATATGACAACACAAATGCAGTAAGTGGCAAAATTCAAGTAAAGGACAATTTACTCAAGGCTATGCAGAAAGAAGCACAAATTTACAGGTGTGATCTCTTCCACTGGGGTGGAGGGTGGTGGTGGCTGTGTTCTGAAAGGCACAGAATTTGAAATTACTTCCATTTTCCAAAAGTATGGGACCCGAAAAACTCTCCCCACTCATCATCCTGCTCCAGCCAGGGTAGGTCAAATCAGAGCCCAGGAGTTCAAACACAAAGAGAAATCCTTTGCCTGCCTCTGCTTCAGTGGAGCTGGGTTTACCTTAGGGGCCAGGGGTCTAGAGGACATTTTTAGTTTCCTAGAGCCTAGATACCTGGAAGTCTGGGCTGACAAGTAATTTGAGTCTCCTAGAACCTAGATCCTCACTGAGTGCCTCGCTGCTTTTGCTCCAGCTAACTCCAGCAGCATCAACAAGAGAATGACGTGCTAAGCCTTAGCTGTCCTATTCTTTCTCGTGAAATGAGGGCTTTTGAAAACAAGAGGAATACAAATAGCCTTATGGATGTAAAAAGTCGTGGAAACCCCCTAATAACCAGTAAAACATCGATCTGGTGCTTCCATTTTTTACTCATCAGATAGGCAAAATTTTTAGACTGGGAAAATCTGGTGTTGTTGAGGATCTGAGAAAATGGACCCTCATTCCCTGCTGGTTGGAGAATAAACTGACATTGCTGTTTGGTAGGGCAATTGGAAGCCTCTGTTAAAAATTTAAATGCTAATTCTTTAACCCACAACTTTGCCTTACAGACGCATTTATACACATGCATAAGGATATATGGACTAAGATACTCGCACAGATGTTCACAATAGCAGAAAATTATGAATAACCTAAATGCCCATCAATAAATTATTAAATCAACTATAATGTATCCATACTAGTGAATATCATGGGCAGCAGCTTTTAAAAATGAGGTAGATCTCTTTGTCTTGTCATGGACATCTGATCATTGAAGAATGCAAGTATGATAAAAAATACAGAATATGGTCTTATTTATGTTTTTCTTTATATGTGTTTGTGTGAATGCAAATATACAAGAGTGATTGCCTATCCTTTGTTATCTAAAATTCTACAATGTGTATTTATGTTTTACTTACGGAATTTTTTTAAAGTGAGAGAAAGTTAAAACATTTTAAAATATGACAATAGAAAGTTGAAAGAATTTTCAATTTGAGGGAGGCACACTAGCGGTCATGAGCTGTAATCAGGGAATTTGGCAGAGTCCAGATGCTGCTCATCAGCCTGACAGGCCGAGACTTGATTGCATCATTCTCCAAGAGCGGTTTGGTCTCTCGGCAGTAAATGCAAACTAAACTCGAAAGAGACTGATGGACATACTGGGATATCCATTTGTCATTTACAGTAGGGTTTCTCAACCTCAGTGCTACTGACATTTTGGGCTGGAGAATTCGTTGTTGGAGTGGGGAAGGGGCACCCTGTGCATTGTAAGATGTTTATCAGCATCCCTGGCCTCTACCCACCAGACGCCAGTGTCACATCCCTCCTCCAGTTTGACAAACAAAAGTCTCCAGACATTGCTGAATGGCAAGGACATTGCCAACATGGCCCCCAATTAAGGACCACTGATTTACAGTGAGCAATACAACCGCCAAGAAGACCAAATGCTGTCACTGCTGGAAAACTACGTGGATGACCAAATCACAATAGAAGGTTGCCAAAAGAACAGGAAGTCAGAACAAAGGCAGTCTTTATTAAAAATATGATTTAAATATTTGATGGTCTTGGGCTGTGATAGCCTAAAGCACCCCCCTCATTCCAGAGAAATCCCTGCCTTTGGACAAAACCTTGGTTAGGCACAACCAGCTTTCTCCTCTCTGGCCCACACTAATTCTTCCCCTTCTGTTTGTCACTTTTTTCCAAAGACACCAATGTTGTTGATTGTCTCAATGCTTCTCAAACATACCAATGGCCTCAAATGGCAAAGGATCACCCATGTGACCTCTGAGGGGGCAGAGCCCCAAATGCCCCATCGCAAGCACATCACTTCCTTAAAGTTGTGTTTCACCTTAAAAATCCACCTGATTTTGCTTTCTGCTCTGTATTATACCTATATATTTATCTTAACAAAAAACAAATAAATTTCCCAAGTTTTACGTCATAAACTTTGGGAAGGCACGTAAGTTTATCCTGTGGCTTCATGCACTCCCAGGCACATTCCCAGATATAAAGAATAGACAAGTTCCCACTCTTCTTTCATCTCATCTGAGGAGATTATTTCCATGAGATTGAAAAAGGTTGAAAAAAATTTGGGGGGACCAGGTGTGGTGGCTCACACCTGTAATCCCAGCACTTTAGGAGGCCGAGGCAGGTGGATCACTTGAGGCCAGGAGTTAAGAGACCAGTCTGGCCATCATGGTGAAACCCCATCTCTACTAAAAACACAAAAATTAGCCAGGCATGGTGGTCTGCACCTGTAATCCCAGCTACTCAGGAGGCTCAGGCAGGAGAATCGCTTGAACCCGGGAGGCAGAGGTTGCAGTGAGCCGAGATCGTGCCACTTGCAACAGTGCCAAACTGTGTCTCAAAAACAAAAAAAGTTACTTGGGGAACCATCTATCTCTGTGATGCCTCCTGCGTGTATCTGATCTCATCGAGTGTATTATACACACTCCCAGGACAAAGAAGAGCCCTTTTACAGTCTCTTGTACTGAATGTCTTGCTGCTTTTGCTCCAGCTAACTCCAGCAGCATCAACAAGGGAATGACGTGCTAGACCTTAGCTGTCTCCTCGGCAGAATTCCAGTGAAGACGACTGAGCTGCTTGTTTTGGTTTCAGGCAATATAGCCTCCTGAGATTATTTTTTAAAGAAATTTCTCTTAGAAGGAAAGACATAAGGACAGAAAAAAGCGTGGGAGCCTCTATTTCTGAATCAGACTTCCTTGGGATTTTATCTTCTCTTATTTAAGGGATTTCATGTTTCAATGTGGGAGAAAATTTTAAATATAGAAGTATATTTCAGTAATGACTCAAAGCATTTATCAAGACTGACTTTTGCAGGGGACAAAGGACTTATGGATGTGTAAGATAAAGAAAAAAAACATGGGGTTTGGGGGAGATCAAGACATTTTGATTGACCTGTATTTGTCTTTTGAAGTTATAGCATAGGATCCCGCAGTGCTGGGATTAGCTTAGTATTTTCTGAGACACAAACACTGTGAGGGTGAAGTCGGGTCTTCATGTACCTCTTTTCGGTATCTTTTGGAAGCCTATATTTTTTCCTCATTCCCAGCTCCCCTCTTTCAATACCTTCATTAGTTAAATGCCAAAGCTACAAAATCTGAGAAAGACAGAACTAGACACATCCCTTTCCCTCCGATTCTTCCCCAAACTGGGATGGAATTTTGTGTTTTGCTCTTGCTTTCCTTATCCAATTCTATATGTGATTTGGTCGTACTTTCATCCGTAGAGAGTTTCTTTTACACTTCTCTTTAAAAATGACCAAGAAAATGGGCTCTGGAATTTTACTTCTTCCCTCCAGAGTCTTTTTCAAGGAATCAAATCTCAATCCTGGTATTGACCCTCAGTGCCATGATATCAAAGACCCAAAGTGATGATAAATTTGAAGCCCTCTTGAAAGTCAGGCTTGTGGAGAGAGAAATAGGGTGTTGGTTCCTGTAGTTTCCAGGCCCATGAGAAAAAAGCACTCAGGCTCACCAGGGACTATTTACACAGAGGGGAGGCAGGGAGAAGTAAGAGGCACAGTTCCCAGAAATCATGTTCCACGTCAAGAAAAGCAAGGTCCAGCACCAGTTAGGTGGCATTGCCAGAGCAGAAAAATAATCCAGCCTACTTCAGCCTAGTAAGAGAAATCAAGCAAGCAAAGGTCGCACCACCACGAGGCCAGCATAGTATCAGCATTCAAGGCCAGCATAGTATCAGCGTTCAAGGTGTTTATTTTGGAGACATGCAACTTGGGTTTGAACCCCAGCTCTACCATTATATTAGCTGCAAGTTACTTAGCCTCTCTGTGCTTCAGTTTTCTCATATCTGACATGGTGATAACAGCACTACTTTATTCAACACATGTTTATGAACACCTAGCATATGCCAGACACCCTTCTGGGTGCTAGAGGAGGGGAAGGGCAGTGGTGAGAAAAACAGAAAACGTCCCTGCTGTTGGGGAGTTTACATTCTGGAGAGAGTGACAAACAAAAAATAAATAGGATCATTTCCTTAACAGATGCTATTTAGAGATAGAAAGTGATGGGCGGTTGGGGGCCGGGGGGAGGTGGCGGTGAAACGTTAGAAGAAATAATTGAGCTGATGCATGAATGGTGGGAACAAACCAGCCACATGAAGACGAGGAGAAGCACGTTCCAGGCAGAACCTGCTTCAGATGGTATTTCATAAGGATTTCATGAGATAAAGTGTGGAAAATATGAGTACAGGACCAGACACCGCAAATGTAAATTACTCAACAGATGTAGGCAACCATGATGACTCAGAGAGGGTGGAAGAGGTCCCTGAGTCAGGTCATGGGTAAGTTGGGAGAGGGAATGTCAAGGGTATCAGGGAGGGAATTAAGGCTGGAGAGTTCATTGTATGCCCTCGATCATAGGGGCCAATGGAACAAAGGAGCCATGGGAGGACTGTGGAGGTGACTGTGGAAGCTGGAGAGCTCAGGCCCCACTAAAAGGGGCAGCCAGCTTGCCCAGTTCCCTCAATTAGCTGGGTCCTAGTGACTTGAATTTTCTGCCCTGGCCTGCCCATAGCCTCCCCGTCAGCTCATTCTACCCATGTACCCCCTCCTAATGCCCGTGCCGCCACCTCTGCCAGGACTCTTAGGCAGCATGTGGGCAAAGAAGTCAAAGAGCATCTGTCTAATCTCTACGTGTTATGAATAAAGAAACTGGGGCCCAGGCAGATTATGGGATTCTTGCAAGGAACCCAACTACTCAGGCAGCCTCCACTGAAGACTACACCTCTTCTAGGTGAGAAGGTTGTCTTCTTCCACCTTGGCTCCTTCTACACTTGTGCTGCAGCTTAAGAGGTGGCGTGAACAAAACAGTATGACAGAGAGGGGACACCTGCCTAGCAATCCACCCTGGCCATCCATGGAGCCACAGATGTCACAATGGGAACATTCCCAAGCCCAAAGAAAGCCTGCTCCAGTGTACCTAGGCTTTCAGAAGTGTCAGAAGTATTTTTTGGCAGGGTGTGGGGATGGACAGGAGGCCAAGGAATTATCACCATCGGGGCACTGGTGGGGCAGGCCATCTACATACAGGGCAGGACGTTGGGGTGCAGCTCTGGAAAGCAACTCTGGTCAAATCAACAATTCAATAATCCAAAGAGTGTTGATAGTACAGCCTCAAACACAGAGCTACAGCAGAACCCAAGAGAAGTATGACACCCTCTTCTACCTGCAAATTGCTTTCACATTCCTTGTCCCAGCTGGTTTACAGAGGAGACAACCAAGCCTGAAGAGGTTAACAGAGACGTTGTGACTCCTTCGTGCCCTGCTCTCATAGAAGTCAAAGCCCGTGATATTCGGGGATGCCTTCCACTCGTGGGAAACAGGTTCCCATCCACAAACCAAAGACAGAATAGCACAATTTGCACAACACAACCACCAAGTCCCAGCGGTCAATGCTCCAGACTTTTGAACAACTTGTAGTTCCTGGACAACACACCACACCCTTTTCATCTGTAGGCTTCTGTAAATACCATTCCCTCTGCCTGAAATCCTATTCCCCACACTTCTCCCTACCATGACCTTCATCCACTTGGCAAATCCTATTCATTTTGTCCCAACTTAAGTATCACCTCCTCCAGGAAGCCTTCTCTGGCATCCATGGGTTGGTACCACATCCATGTGCCTCCTTGGCACCAATGCCTCTCTTGGAGCATCCACCAACCACATTGTCCTGTAATGGCAGGATTGTGTTCTGTCTCCCCCACTAGACTCTGTTCCATGATGGCAGAGGCTAGGTCTTATTCACTGTTATATCTTCTGACCTCAACAGGCACTTGATAAGTTGTTATTTACAAAATCATGAACAGGACCAGATCCCTGCTCTCTCGGAGCTTCAGAGCTCACCCCGCGGAAGGGAGTTCACTGCCCAGGATGATTATTCTATAGCTGATTCTGTCCTTAAGAGTTTCAGGCCTCTTATGGTTCTCTCTCTCTCTCTCTCTCTCTCTCTCTCTCTCTCTCTCTCATTTCTACCCTCCCCCACTGTTGACAGTTTCATGTTAGTCGGGTGAGGTCTGAATAACGCCAGCCCATTCCAGAGCCAGCCAGCTTCTTTCTGCAAAATGGCACCAGTCCATTTGATTTTCTCCCCTCTGCTGGCATGAGAAGCTTAGAGGCAGCCAGGAAATCGGTCTTGGGAATATTTGGCCTTTCCAGGCCCTTGGGATTAGAGCCTAAAAATCAGATCCAGGGAGCCAAGCTACCAACCTATCCCCCTGTTGACTAGCGGGGGCTCCTTGCTTTCACTCAGCTCCCTGGGCCCACCTGTCTCTTCTCTCTTATTCTCCCCGCTCTTTATCACCACTCATAGGGCAATTTCTAATTTTGATAGTGGTTCTGTATAGGCTACAGTGAAAATATTTTGGGGAATTTGCCCATTTACTATGACTCCTTAGCTGTACCCCTTACTCACAAGGGCTCTTGGCATCTATATTTTTGCCTCATTTCCTGTTCTCTCCACAGTACTAATTGGACCAAAGCTGGATACCTGAACCAATCTGAGACCATCATATTCTCCTACCTAGCAACTGGTGCAACAAGGGTCTGGTTTGGCCCGAGCTGGTCTCTTAAATGGAAGTGATGTAAACTAAGGAGCTGTGTGGTGGCTTCTCTCACCTACAAAGTAGTCTGGGAAGCATAGAAGGCTGGTCTACAGAAAGTGAAAAAAGAACCAGAAACGTGTATAAGATGTCAGAGTCAGTTGTTTCATTCCCGGTTGCAGCTTCGTTCTAAGGCCCAGCCTCATCCCTTCCCACAGGTACCTCCTTGGTGTTCAGCAATTATCCACCAAGCACCTAATATGTGCCAAGCATGAGTTTTTAAAGCACTTGGTCTAAGTGGTGTGAAAAAATAGATACAATCCACGTCTGCATGGAGCATACAACCTAATTAACCAAATACTCACAAAACTAAATACATAATCACAAATAGGTTTAACTGCTATGAAAGAAAAGTACAGGGTGACTTAAAAATACATCTAACAGAAAGACCTGATCTAGTCTGGAGAATTAAGGAAGGCTTTCCTGAGGGAGTGACATCTGGATGGATTTAGGAAACAGAGAAGCATCCATGGGCTGATAAGATGAATCCTAAACCAAACCAGTGCAGCAGAGGCAGGATTTCAGGGGCAGAGGTGACCACAAAATGCAAAATGAATCATCCACTGGGAGAATACTGGGCCTTCCACAAACTGAGGAATGGGAATCCAAGTCAATCTTATCTAGACCTTAAGAGGCAAGATGATACCTGGGCCTCATCTGATTTAATTGGTTGGGATGTAGCTTGGGCACTGGGAGTTTCTGAACTCCTCAGGTGACTTAACTGTGCAGCCATGGTGGAGAATCACTGACTACTGAACTGCAGTGAGAGCCTAGCTTGTGGCAGAAACCCTGACTTCATAGAAATACTGATCCTTGTAGTCACGCAACTTCCCCAGCATCATGGAGCGACAAATTCCTGTGATTGAATCTTACACAGTCTGTATCATAACTGATAAGGCCCCTGCCATATAGCATGCTGGGACCTTAGGCCAAAAAAAAAAAAAAAGAGAGAAAGTGACCCTGAAACAGCCTGAGGTATGATCTAGGCTCACCAACTAGGAAAGAGCTCAGATTCCAAGTAAAACAAACAGTGGTAAGGCCAAGGAAGAGAAAGAGAAAGAGAAAGACTGCTGGGCTGGCATAGAGCTCAAAGAACTGAGAACAATTCTCCTAGCCACTTACTCTCAATGCTTGCCACAGAATGCCAAGAATTTGGGGGACAGAAAGTCATGCAATTGTACTTTTGGGGTCTTGCAGGACAGTGAAAGATGTAGTGTTAGTGGCCACAGCAACAGTGTGCTGATAAATATCTAACAGCCCACTCTCTAGGGAGAGGAAAGCCCTGGTTTGCAGCTTTTGCCAATTACAGGGGTGTAAATATTCCCATCATGGCAGATTTCAAGTTACTAACATGACATCACTGAAAGCAGAGCTGGGAAGAGATGCACATGATTGGCTCTCGTGAGCTCGTGTGAATCATCTCCAGCACACCACTGGCCCCAGCAGGTAACCTGAATGAGTTTTGCAGGCTGGGGTCATCCAGAAATTCTGAGTATCTGGCATTCACATTTAATTTTTGACATATATAATAAATAGCACTTTCTGTTAATTAACATTCTAAATGTGAGAGGGGAAATGATTATTTGTACTCTATTCTCCCTACCTTCCAAGGAGGGTGAATCCCAGAGAAGATATGTCTGGATTTCTGGAGAAACTACCAAAAGGGGTGGGAGAATATTTGGGGAGGGAGGAGTGATGAGGTTGCTAATGTTGACAGAGGAACTTTGGGGAAAGAACAGAGATGCCTTAAAAGGGATTTTTTGGGTCAGTTTTGCTGTGTGACACCGTGTTAAATCTGCTACTCCAGATTTCCTTAAGAAATCTTCAGTAAAGTCTGCATTTCTCATGAAAACTTTTGGCATTCAATTTGATTTAAGGAGGAATACAGTAAAGTGCTGAATTTGGTCCCATAGTGGGTATACAGCAAGAGAAGCGGCTGCCCAAAGGGATAGAGTCGTATTCAGATTAGATGGATAAGAGCAATAATAATCTGACAATAACAACCATCCTTGCTGAGCACTAACCACATGCCCAGTACAGCTCCACACATTTAATGAATATTCATCCATTTAATCAGGAAATAAATCAGTTCAAATCAGAACCCAGGCAAACTGGTCAGAGCCCAAGCTTGATTGGTTACTACATCATGTGACCTCTTCGTGTAGTGTATGGAATATGGAACACAATGTGTAATTTTAGGTAAATAGCATCTATTTCAATATGGAACACTTTGGATTTCTGTGGTTAGGATGTTTGACCTAGAATTCAGACATTCCCAGGAGACTGCAACCTTATAGTACTTCTGGCAAGCATCACCTTTGAAATGAATGAAAACCTTAGACAGATGATGAGGGGGGTTTCAGGCATCAGTCAGGGAGGTGGGTATTTTCTTTCTGAGGCATCTGGAGTGACTATAGAAATCCATTATGCACCCCTGCCTACAACTTAATGAAACAGATATTATTAAGCACCAATTGGGGTCTACAATGATAAGGAAGAGAGTTTCTCTTGCATCTCACTCATCCAGGAGGAGAGGGTTGGGAGTGGAGTAAAAAAGCAAGCATGGTGGCTCATACCTGTAATCCCACCACTTTGGGAGGCGAAGATGGGCAGATCACCTGAGGTCAGGAGTTCAAGACCAGCCTGGCCAACATGGTGAAACCCCATCTCTACTAAAAATACAAAAATTAGCAGCGTATGTTGGCGCACGCCTATAATTCCAGCTACTCAGGAGGCTGAGGCAGGAGAATCACTTGAACCCGGGAGGCAGAAGTTGCAGTGAGAGATTGTGCCACTGCACTCCAGCCTAGGCAACAAAGACAGACTCTATCTCAAAAAAAACAAAACAAAACAAAACAAAAACACAGTTTACCCTTAACTCTGTGCCACGGGACAGACATGAGGGTGCATGAGAAAGCAAATGAGTAAGTGCTGCTCAGGACCTCAGGACGTGGCACAGAAATCATGAGAATTTTCCCGGGCTGATAAAGAGTGGGCTCAGCTCTGAAGGATTCCAACAGGTACAGCTGGAGAGTGAAAGCAGTCCAGGGAGAGGAAAAGCCCAAGGAAAGAACAGGGCAGGGGCAGGACTGCACGCATGGGGAGGGAACATGAGGCAGAGCCCAGAGGCTATTTATCTGGGAGATCACAGTCTCCTCTGGATTGTCTTATAATGAAAGTAGATAAAATTATAATGACATTATTATGAGAACCTGACAAATCAACAGGACTATTTTATTTTGAAAAAATAAAGAGTACCTTAAAATTTAAATAAAAGTTACTATACTTCCACTAATGCTAATTAATAACAATTAATTAATAATGAACCAGTTCATTGAGGCTTAAAATTGAAAAGGCAGACCAGAGTCACTCTAGGCAGATCTGGGATGCAGTCAGTTTATAAGTACCTCCTCTCCTGTCTCCCACTCCCCTAGCTCAATGTTTCTATCCTCCCCCTTGGCTCAGTTCTTGAGGTCCCTTATACCCTCAGCTACCCTGGATCTCCTTCCATGATGTCCTTTTTTTTTTTTTAATTTTACTTTAAGCTCTGGGATACATGTGCAGAATGTGCAGGTTTGTTACATAAGTATACACGCGCCATGGTGGTTTGCTGCACCTATCAACTCGTCATCTAGGTTTTAAGCCCCAAATGCATTAGGTATTTGTCCTAATGCTCTCCCTCCCTTTGCCCCTCATGCCCCTGACAGGCCCTGGTGTGTGATGTTTCCCCTCCCTGTTTCCATGTGTTCTCATTGTTCAACTCCCACTTCTGAGTGAGAACATGCAGTGTTTGGTTTTCTTTTCCCGTGTTAGTTTGCTGAGAATGATGTCTTCCGGCTTCATCCATGTCCCTGCAAAGGAGATGAACTCATCCTTTTTTATGGCTGCATGGTATTCCATGGTGTATATGTGCCATATTTTCTTTATCCAGTCTATCATTGATGGGCATTTGGGTTGATTCCAAGTCTTTGCTATTGTAAATAGTGCTGCAATAAACATATGTGTGCATGTGTCTTTATAGTAGAATGATTTATAATCCTGGGCATATACCCAGTAATGGGATTGCTGGGTCAAGTGGTATTTCTGGTTCTAGGTTCTCAAGGAACTGCCACTCTGTCTTCCACAATGGTTGAACTAATTTACACTCCCACCAACAGTGTAAAAATGTTCCTATTTCTCCAGAGCCTCGCCAGCATCTGTTGTTTCCTGACATTTTAATAATTGCCATTCTAACTGGCATTGAGATGGTATCTAATTGTGGTTTTGGTTTGCATTTCTCTAATGACCAGTGATGATGAGCTTGTTTTCACATGTTTGTTGGCTGCATAAATGTTTTCTTTTGAGAAGTGTTAGTTCATATCCTTTGCCCACTTTTTGATGGGGTTGTTTTTTTCTTGTAAATTGGTTTAAGTTCCTTGTAGATTCTGGATATTAGACCTTTGTCAGATGGGTAGCTTACAAAAGTTTTCTCCCATTCTGTAGGTTGCCTGTTCACTCTGATGATAGTTTCTATTGCTGTGCAGAAGCTCTTTAGTTTGATTAGATCCCATTTGTCAATTTTTGCTTTTGTTGCAATTGTTTTTGCTGTTTTAGTCATGAAGTCTTTGCCTATGCCTATGTACTGAATGGTATTGCCTAGGTTTTCTTCTAGAGTTTTTATGGTTTGGGGTTTTACATTCAAGTCTTCAATCCATCTTGAGCCAATTTTTGTATAAGGTGTAAGGAAGGGGTCCAGTTTCTGCCAGTGATCTACATGTTCAGAGAAACTTTTCAAGTAACGAGCTATAGAAACGATCCCTGAAGGTATAGTCTTCATGATCAGTACTGTCTTGATTCTGTCTTTTCTTTTTCTTTTTTTTTTTTTTTTTTTGAGATAGATTCTCACTTTGTCCCCCGGGCTGGAGTGCACTAGCATGATCTCGGCTCACTGCAACCCCTGCCTCTGGGATTCAAGCGATTCTCGTGCCTTGGTTTCCTGAGTAACTGGGATGCTGAGATTACAGGCACATGCCACCATGCCTGGCTAATTTTTTTTATTTTTAGTAGAGACAGGGTTTTGCCATGTTGGCCAGGCTGGTCTTGAACTCCTAGTCTCAAGTGATGTGCCCACCTCAGCCTCCCAAAGTGCTGGGATTTCAGGCGTGAGCCACCACATCTGCTACTGTCTTTTCTATCAAAAGTTACCACTTTTGTGTTTCAGGCCCAGGGAGTTCCAGATAACCTGAATTGAAGCTCAGATGATAATGGCTAATTGTGACCTTCAATGGAAACATATTGGCTTCAAAACCAAAAGTTCAGGTAGTCTGAGAATTTCAGGCCAATAGGAGAGATTAGGGGAGGGTCGTCCAACTCCCCTCAGATCATACCCAATAGGAGACTCCTGATTCCATCTACAGGGCTGGCAATCGTTGGGGGAAATTCTTTAGGAAACCATAGGCCAAATTGTACAAAGGAAAAGGTAGAATGTGGCTAGAGGGTACTCTATGCCCTCTTATGCCCTGGTCTCTGTTTTCCTTCCTCCCCTGAGGAAACGCAGAGATGTTTTTGGAATGTAATTCTAGATAACTCAGGCTATGGAGTTGCATTTCATCTGGCAATTCAGACAGGCCTGATGAGCCAGCATAAAGGGAGACTGGAGGTGGGGGAGGGAGGGGACAAAGGAAGGTGGTGACAAGAGGAGCTTATGGAGGAAAAGACCTGCAAATCTGGACCCAGCAGTTTCAGCCTATGACTGAGTCCAATGTCCGTCTGAAGGCCAAGAACATCGCCAACCACCCTATGGGAATCCCCAGCCTTTCCCGATTGCTTTGGCCAAAGTCCACGACTCTCATTTCTAGACATTTCACTGTTTACAGAGTGCTTCCCAGAAAGAGCATAAAGTCCTTGCAGTGGCCCTGGGACAAGGCCTTCTGCTGTTGATATGCCAATTATACAGATGAATACACTGAGGTTGAGAAGTCCAGCGATTTGCCAACGTTGTTCTGTGAGTGAGAACTGGGACTTCACTCTAGGTCTGCTCATTTTAAAACCAGTCCTCTCCCACCTGCTCTTCCTTCTCCATTGCCATGGCCAAAGGACGATCCAGAATTCTCTTTGATTTCTTTAGTTGATGTCCTCTCAGCATTTACTATGAACAAGCATCTGGTGCCAAACAATGTAGGGAAATAAAAAGATGGGGAGAAAAATGTCCCCTGCCCTCAAGTTACAAGCATGAGAGATTTTGAAATAGCAAGTCAGAGACTTCTGGCCTATGTGCTTTCAAAAGCAACCATAAACTCCACTCTCCTTCAGACCTTCTCCCTACAGTCAGCCATTCATTCAACAAATATGTATTGAGTACCTGCTGTGTCAGGCCCTTTCATAGGTGCTGAGGTTACAATGGGGACACAGCAGTTAAGGTCCTTGCTTTCATGAAGCTTACATTCTAGAGAATGGAGACAAGTTAGAAACCAGTAAAAAAAAATAAACAAGTGTATGTTGAAACTAAAACCAATGTAAACAGGGCTTCTGTTGGGAAAAAAGAAGCTCAGATCATATGAATGTCAGGCCGAGCTTCACAAATCAGCCTGCAACCTTCTAAATTAATACCAAGAGTTGGTTCTCTACCAGATCATATAAAAACAAATCTCTTTATTACAAAACCGCAAAAAAAATATGAAAGCTCAGTCAAGAGTCAGACTTGGAGGGACTTTTGCAAGACCTAAGGAAAGATGTTATTGCTGATAAACCACAGCCCCATCTTCAAGGCTTGGTGGATGCAGAGCCTGATAAAACAGCAGATTTCATTCACGTGGGAATGAGCTGGGAAGATGACATTATCATGATGACTTCAGGGTCAAATTAGAGCCTCTTGTAAATCAAAATTAAATCATGCTTTCCGTATTACAAGCAAGAAGTTCAGATTCCAGGACATCAATATGTGTTTGTTCACATGTGGCTTTTATATTTCAAAGGATAATACCATCTGAAATCAGCCCAGCCCACCCCACAGTGTTCTCTCTTTGAACCTAGTGCATTTGACATCCACTGTGCCTGTTTGGCAATTAACCACACACCGCCCGTGAACTTGAATTGTTGTCTTGTATTGTTCTTTATCTCTTCCAGTGTTGAACTTATGCAATGATGATTCATCCACCAACTGGTTCACAGGGATTACATGTGACCTTTACACTTTTTTAACCTTGAACAATGACAAGCTTTCATTTAATCCATAATTTGTTGAATGCCTACTATGTGCTGGCCACATCATTAGACACTGGGGATAGGTAGAAAAGGTCATGTGTAGCATCTTCTTGGAGATTAGAGGAAGAGACATTAGCCATCACTAAAATGAATCTATTGTGACAGACTGAGACAAATGTAATGAAGGAAAATAACTCAGTTCCATAAGAATGGCTCACATTCAGGAGACCAGATCTGGACTAGAGGGAATCAAAGGATTCCCTAAGGAAGTGAAACTGTCATTGAGAAGGAAAGCAGAGAAGGAAGAATGTGCAGAGACCCTGGGCAAGAGGAAACGTGCGCCAATATGTGCATTTGGCACATATTGCCCTGCAAACTGGCATTGGGGCCAGAGCAAAGAAAGCAAGGTGGGGAGTGAGGCAAGAGACTTAGGTGAGTCCTTGCAGAACTTTCTTAGAAGCAATGGGAAGCCACTGAGTGATATGCAAGACAGAGCAACGTGATCAAATTTGCACACTGGAAATGTCTCCTGACGGCAGCATGGAGCAGACTTCTCTAACCATTTGACTACACACCCTCACAAGTGATGAAGTTTTGAGTACACACCTTTGGTTTATGTAAATGTATGTATATATATATATATATACACATATACACACACACACACACACACACACACACATATGGTATAGTTTATGTACATTATAAAACATACAAATATAGAAATTTTTTTAAAGGGAGCTAACAAAAAATAGTTTTTGAAGTCTTGACAATGTGTTGATAATTGTTGAAGTTGAGTGATAGGCACATGAGGGTCATAATTATATCTTCTTTTTTTAATTAATTACTTTTTTTGAGACAGGATCTTGTTCTTTCACCCAGGCTGGAGTGCAGTGGTTTCACCCAGACTGGACTATATAACTCACTGCATTGATCTCTTGGGCTCAAATGATCCTCCCACCTCAGTCTCCTGAGCAGCTGGGACTGCAGTCACATGCCATCACACCCAGCTAATTTTATTTACTATTTATTTATTTATTTTTGTAGAGAAAGAGTCTTGCTATGTTTCCTAGGCTGGTCTTGTATGCTTGGCCCCAAGCAATCCTCCCACTTCGACCTCTTAAAGTGTTAGGATTACAGGCATGAGCCACCATGCCCAGCCTCGTGATTATATTTTCTATTTTATGTGTGTTTGAATATTTCCCTAGTGAAATGATTTAAGTCTTGAAAATTATGACTGCATGTTATCATTAGTTAATATCACCAAGGACAATATATACTTAGGGTAAGAGTTGTTGCTAATGAACAATAGTAGATATTTGTCCACATTTCATCCCGTATTTTTGATTAGCTTATTGTTGCCCTTTCCTTGCCTGTAGTATTACAGTCACGCTTAACATTCTGAGAAATGTGTCATTTGGCCATTTTGTCATCGAACATCATAGAGTATACTCACATACACCTAGATATTCTAGCCTACTGCACACCTAGGCTATATGGTATAACGTATTACTCCTAGGCTACAACCTGTACAGCAGGCTACTGTGCTGAACACTGTAAGCAATTGCAACACAATGGTATTCATGTATCTAAACACAGAAAAGGTAATGTGTTGCACTACTACATTACAACAGCAATGACTTCATCAGGTGATAGGAATTTTTGAGCTCCGTTATAGTTTTTTTTTTTTTTTTTTTGCTTTTTGGCTTTTTTTTTTTTTTTTCTGAGACAGAGTCCCACTCTGTTGCCCAGACTGGAGTGCAGTGGCACAATCTCAGCTCACTGCAACCCCTGCCTCCCTGGTTCAAGCAATTCTCTTACCTCAGCCTCCTGAGTAGATGGGACTACAGGCACATGCCACCACACCCTGCTAACTTTTATATTTTTAGTAGAGACAGGGTTTCGCCATTTTGGCCAGGCTAGTCTCGAACTCCTGACCTCAGGTGATCTGCCCACCTCGGCCTCCCAAAGTGCTGGGATTACAGACATGAGCCAGTTTTATGGGACACTGTCACTGTCACGGTCATAAATGCGGTCCATCATTGACTAAAGCATTATTATACAGTGCATAATTGTATCTTTAATCTTCAAAAAGGATGCAGGAATCCTTTTAGGTTGCTTGTCTATGTTTTTGGAAGTTCGTTTAATTGGAAGTACTTAATGTAATCCACGAACAGCATTCTCCTGGAGAAGATACAAACTGCAGTTCATTGCAACACAACAAGAGCGAACAAAACCACGCGGGCTCCCTGAAAACACACTCTTGTTCTGGAGTCCCCAGATACCTCTTGAACCAAACATGACTTTAGACTGGCTGACAGAAGAATTGGGCAAGGAGCCACAGTCAAGCCAGTCATTGAATGTCAGGAAAGCTTGCTTTCTTAATTTTAACATAAATAAAAATCAAAATACTAATGGCTTCTGCCTGCATGCCAATGGATCATATTGTGTGCAAATTCTTGGAGATACTGCAATAAATACTGGATTGATACTGAGGGGCCCAGAGAGGACATGGAGGAGGCCGCTGCAATATCCGGTATAGCAATGATGGAGGCAGTGGGACTGCTGGGAAGAGAAGTGGAGAGCTTCCAGAGCTATCTAGAAGCACAGCACGACTCAATGCTGGATTCAAAATAGGGGGCAAAGAGGAGAAAGACAAAAGGGCACTCCTGCGTTTCTGTCTTGCACAGATAATTGTCTTATACAAAAAAAAAATTATTTCAATGTTGAATTGTTAGCACATTGACATAAAATTAAAACCCATTTGCGCTATTTAAATGGACTATCTTGCCAATGGTGCTTATGGTGATATTTTTCTCTGCATTGATTTTTTTTTTGTTTTGTTTGTTTTTGAGACGGAGTCTCTCTCTGTCACCCAGGCTGGAGTGCACTGGTGTGATCTCGGCTCATTGCAACCTCCGCCTCCCGGGTTCAAGCAATTCTCCTGCCTCAGCCTCCCAAGTAGCTGGGATTACACGTGCCCACCGCCACACCTGGGTAATTTTTGTATTTTTCGTAAAGAAGGGGTTTTACCATGTTGGCCAGGCTGGTCTCAAACTCCTGACCTTAGGTGATCCACTCACCTTGGCCTCCCAAAGTGCTGGGATTACAGCCGTGAGGCACCGCGCCCTCTGCTTTGGTTTTTAAGCCATTCTACTTTAGAGAAAGTGCAGTGGTTTTCACTTAGCTAATCTTACCTGCGGGAAGCTTTTGATTTTGAACCCTGAGCCCAGGTAGAGTCTCAGAAACAATAAAGCTTCACAGTATTCGACCTGCCTGTCCAGGCCCGTATAGTGCAGCCCACACCCCAGGGGCTTTGATTCCTCCTTCCCACCACCAAGAAGCAGCTCTTTCAGGCCTGGATTCCCCGGCAGAAAGTCCTCCCTGTGAGAGCACATCACAACCCCAGCGGCCGGCAAGGGGAGCCCTGGGCCTGGGCCAAGCAGATAATCATCTTCTGTAGGTTTACTGTTGGGGCACCAGGAAGACCCAGCCCCAAGATCCAAATTCTGTCTCCCATCTCCCTGGCATTGTTACCTGACAGCCCTCCCCACCGCCCTTGGAAATGAATTACTTTGCATTAAATATCGTCTCCTAGGCATTCCTCTCAGGAGTAATGTTTTACTCCTGAGAGGAATAAAACGTTATCACTGTCACCTTAATGTGAGTGGATTTAGCTACTTTTCTCAGACTCAGGAAAAGCCCAGTGTCTTAGTTCGTTTTCTGCTGTTGTAACAAAATGCCACAGACTGGGTAATTTCTAAAGAATAGAAGTTTATATGGCTTACAGTGCTGGAGGCTGGGAAGGCCCAGAAACGGTGCCAGCATCAGGCAAGGGTCATGCTACGGCAGAAGGCACCACATGGCAAGCAAGTGCACGAGACAAAGAGAAAAATGGGGCTGAATTCATCCTTTTTATCAGGGGCCCATTCCAGAGATAACTAACCCACTCCGATTATAATGGCATTAAATCCATTTATGAGGGCAAAGTCCCCATAGCCTAATTACCTCTTACTACTATTACAATGACAATTAGGTTTTCTTTTTTTTTTTTTTTGGAGTACCTAAATATTTTATTTTTCCATAAGTTATTGGGGTACAGGTTGTGTTTGGTTACATGAGTAAGTTCCTTGGTGGTGATTTGTGAGATTTTGGTGCACCCATCACCCAAGCAGTATACACTGCACCATATCTGTAGTCTTTTATCCCTCGCTCCCCTCCCACTCTTCCTCCCAAGCCCCCAAAGTCCATTGTATCATTCTTATGCCTGGCAATTGAGTTTTCAACACAAACTTTTGGGGAACGCATTCAGGATCTCACAGAACACTGTATGTCCTGCAGACATGGAAACTAGCATGCAGGGAAACTCCTACTATAAACACCACTAACGTGCTCTTCCTTGATCTCCAAGTTGCAAGGGGCAGAAAAACAGAGAGAGCCCCTTCCTTCCCAGAGCTCATTCCCCCAAGTAGGGAGATTATGCAGTTGTAGAGGGGGAAAAAAGGGGGGGAGAATGACAATATTGGTAAGGATTTTAAAATTCTAATTTACTGAGCAATTTTTTGTGTCTGGCACTTGGAAATGCACTTTACAGGCAAAATCTCATGTACTCCTTACTCCAACTCCATGAAGTAGGTAACTCTTATTGCTTGCATTTGACATATGATTAAAGAACAGAGAGGTTAAGTACTTGCTTAAAATCACACAGTATGAGTTGATGAAGCCAAGATTATATTTCAGATAGCACGGTTTTTAAAAAACTGCCCCAAGAATCAAGAGCATGACCTTGGGTGGCCTAGGAGCCTCAGTTTTCTATTCTGTAAAATGAGAGGCAAGTTGATCTCAGGGCTCCTCCCAGCTCAAACATCCTACAAATATATTGAAACATAATCTTCCCATCCAGCCAGACACTCTCTCTTGAACAAAGTGTAATTAACAGCACTTTGTGCTGGCTCAGAGGCATAGACACTGTTTTCAGGAGGCAACCAGGTGTTACAATGGCTGTCTTTTTTTAATTCTTAAAAATGAAAAAGTTACTCTAGCACTAGTAAGATCAATACCTGGGCATTCAATGTGTTGGGTGGAAAAAGAACTATCAACCTACTGAGTGGATGGGGAAATTTGAAGTCATGCTGTTGTGTTATGGTATTGTGTTGCTGTAACCAAGGCTTGGGGAGGCTTAGTGCTTCAGCTGTTCCATCAGCTGGGAACTATTCATGTTTCTCAATTCTCAGAGTTATTGTGCTTTAAGCAGAATAATTTTCCACAAAGACACTTAACAGGTGGCCTAGAGTCCCTATTTGGTGCCCAGGAGAGTCATAATAACCAGTCTTTGCTGCAGACAACTTTTCAGAAGAGGAAGTGCCTTTCTTTATAACCTGGAGGAGACTTCATCTGGGACCTGCCTCTTGTTGATTTATCTTAAGTCTACTTTTATCATTCCAGGGAAGCTCCATAAATAAGCTGCTCCTGGCTGTGGCTATGGGCTCATAAATCTCACTTCAACACTTAAGAACACCACCTTGGCTAAGTCAACTAACACCTCCAAACCTCAGCCTCCTCACCTGGAAAATTGAGATTATGTTAGGCTGATGCAAAAGTAATAGCCATTTTTGCCATTGTACTTTACAGGGTCACTGACAATATTAATTAAGGGATTTTTTACATGAGAATATACCCAGCATAGGGTTTCTATGCATTAAGTATTGCATAAGCATTTGTTAAATCTAAATAGTGAGTTGCAAATCTCACAGCCTGGAAGAGGAAAGTTAAAGTTTTTATGTCATGCAGAGGAAAGTTATTTTGGAACTCTATGTAGCCTCCAAAAGTAACTGGAAATTTCATTCCATTTATTCAGCAAGTCTTTATTGAGTATCTACTGTGTACCAGTCACTGTTCAAGGCATTGAGGATACAGAGATGAACACGACAGGCAAGAAAGTGCTCACATGGCACTTACTTAATGTAAGCTACTTGGAATTTTCAGTTTAAATCCCCTTGGAGACACAGTATCATTTAAAGCTATTAGGCCGCTAAGAAAATCCTGTCTCAGGCCGGGCACGGTGGCTCACACCTGCAATCTCTGCACTTTGGGAGGCCGAGGCGGGCGGATCACCTGAGGTCAGGAGTTTGAGACCACCCTGGCCAATATGGCAAAATCCCATCTCTACTAAAAATACAAAAATTAGCCAGGCATGGGAGCGCACACCTGTAATCCCAGCTATCAGGAGGCTGAGGCAGGAGAATCGCTTGAACCCAGGAGGTGGAGGTTGCAGTGAGCCAAGATCGCACCACTGCACTCCAGCCTGAGTGACAGAGTGAGACTGCCTCTCAAACAAAAACAAAAAAACAAAAAAACATCTCTGCCCTCTAAGCTTGGCTTCAGCAAAGGGCAGCCACATGCTATTGCAACACTTTTCTTGGTGGCCCTATCAGAGAGCAAATTCCTAGGCTGGAAGGATGGTACTCTCACCCAGTGTGACATTTCCTGTGTCCTCAGGTATCCTTTCTGGCCTCAGTGGACAGGCAGTGTGGCGTAACACAGCCTCTCTTTCCCAACATATGTTCTTCAAGGCATAACTACATGAACAATGGAAACTTCCCACATAAGTTCAAGAAACAATGAATTGAACCAAGTTAAACAGGTTTCTTTGCTGCAGGCCTTCTCTGAGACTTTAGTAAGCTAAATTGCTTATGAACCTCCAAGAGAGGATTTGCAATGTGCAGGCTTCCCACATTGCTTTGACCATGGAATGTTTTTTATTACAGAGCACATGGTTCTTTATTCCAGAGCAATGTGGAATGTGGTTCTTTATTCCAGCATGTTCTTCAGTCGAGAGCAAGGGACCCCGAAGGACTCTTTCAGGAGGAAGACTGGTCTTCAACAGCACACATTTGCAGGCTTGGAAAGAAGTCAGGAGCCCCGAGTTCTGGTCCCAGTATGACACTGACTCTCTGTATGACCTCAAGTCGGTCAACTTACCTCCCTAGGGCATAGTTTCCTCAGCTAGAAAATGTGTTTGTGCTGTTAAGGTGGGCTAGGAAGGTAATGAAGAGGAGGGAGGAGGCTGAACTACATCCCCAGAAGGTCTCTTTTAGGAGGAAGACTTCATCATCAGGGAGGCCACCAACCCCCCTGGTGTACGAGCAGGCTCAAGACTTTCCACTGGCCTCTGGGATTCAGTGAGCCCCTCACCACCAGGACCCTATGTTGGACTGGGCTGGATTCTCCAACCCAAGGATTGCTCCTGCTTCTCCGCTTCAAACCTACTAGAGCCTCTCCATCCTATGGCCTACTAGTTCTCCAAACCCCCTCCATAGCCTGTGCCAGCAGCCAAGTAGAGCCTTTAAGAGGTTCCCGGACAAGCAAAACTGAGCACAGTCCCATCTGAACTGTTTCTAGAAGGCCAGGTGAAAATTGTACAAATAATATTCATATTTCTAGCAGGATCAACCATGTACAAATAATATATTGATCTCTCCCCCTTGAGAGAGCTCTCACTCTATGTATAGATATCGATGTAAATATGAATAGAAAGAGAGAGAAACCCTAGAGAAGATACAGCCAATACAATAAAATATTAACAGTGGTTTTCTTTGGGTTACAGGACAAACAACTGCTAATATTTTATTATTTAAAATATTAAGCTACTTAAATGTTTCTACATTTCCTAAATGGCCTTTAATAAGCGTGTCTTATTTTTATGATGCAAAAACAAAACTAGCCCCTCCCCTCCCCCCTTTGTAAAAGTCATCTAGTGTAGGTCTGAGTGTGGAAGAGACCATCCAGCATTTTGTCAGGATGCCCCAGCAAGAGTCCTCCGTGTTCCTGTCTCCCATTACCTTGGCTTACTTCCCTGATTCCTAATTTTCAACACCAACACCCAAGAAGTTTTTAATAGCTCCTCAACTGAGTTCCTGGCGTTTCCCTGTGACCTCCTGCTATCGGCTTGTGCAAGCCCCAAGGCCTCAGAGTGGCCATATGTGGTTGTGTGGATTGTCCTCTGCACAACTGAAGGGGTTACAATTGGCATATGACAATGCGGATGGCACCTCCTGAGTTGTGCAGTGCACAGTCCACCCAACCAGACATGGCAGCCCTGCCTGGTGCTCCAAGCCATTGTCATGATTGTCTAAACATTTTATTACATGAGGTGCTACTCAGAAGATGAAAGTCACCGGGCTTGAGAGGTAGCACACTGATCTATCACAGCATGGGCTCCAGAATCAGACTGCCTGGTTTATACACTGCCTCTGCCACTTAACAGATGAGTGATCTCAGATAATTATTTAATTTCCCTACTAGCACAGCTTCAGTTTTCTTACCTGTAAAGGGAGATAACGCTAGTGCTTACCTCCTACTGTTGCTCTGATGATAAAATAAAGTTAAAAAAAAAAACTCACTTAATTTTCTGTCCCATGGTAAGCATTCAGTATATGTTAGCTATTATAACCAATGCATTTCCCGTGAAGTCACACCCAGAGACCTAAGACAAGGTCTTCCATGCTAATTACATCTTGTATTTTTATTTAGCTTTCTCTGAGTGGGGTGTGGGGGCAGGCCAACTAGGGTGGGAGTACATTCCATAGGACCAGAGCTGGCTCACCAGATACTCACCAAAGCCGCACAGAGTCCAGAGAGCCAGGCTGATTCAGGGATGGTGAGGGTTGCCTAAGAATAAACACCAGCAGCAACAGCAAGAGGCAAGACAGAGACGAGGGCAGGGACGCCAAGACTGCAGCATCCAATGGGAAAGACACCAAGGGGAGCCAAGGACTGAGTCGACAGCTCCTGAACCACCGCCGGGAGATCCTCAGGATGCTCCTAGCTTGTGTTTGGAGACACTGGGTCTGTTGGGTCTCCTTAAATGTCACAGTTAAGGCCATTTCTTTCTACAGTACTTAGGGTTGGCTCCAGCTGTGAGTTTTGAAAACACTTAAAATAACTGGCATGGCTGGCGCAGTGGCTCGCACCTATAATCCCAGGACTTTGGGAGGCCAAGGTGGGTGGATCACTTGAGGTCAGGAGTTCAAGAGCAGCCTGGCCAATATGGTGAAACCCCATCTCTACTAAAAATACAAAAATTAGCTGGGTTTGGTGGCGCACGGCTGTAAGCCCAGCTACTCGGGAGGTTGAAGCAGGAAAATGGTTTGAACCTGGGAGGCGGAGGTTGCAGTGAGCCGAGATTGTGCCACTGCACTCCAGCCTGGGCAAGAGTGAAAATCTATCTCAAAAAAAAAAAAAAAAAGGCGGCTTGAACAAGATAGAAGTTTATTTCTTGCCCAAGTGAAGGTGTGGCGGTGGGAACCCCAAGGCTGGTCTTGTGGCTTTGCTCCTTCCAGCTCACGCCTCCATTCTCTTCAGGGTATGGCCTCATCCTTGTGATCCAGTTAGCATGCTTGTCTAGGCAGCAGTGGGAAAGAGAGATGAAGGGAGGGAGGTGGTCTAACATTGCCAGAAGCTGCCACACAACTGTTCCTCCTATGCCCAGAACTTAGTCGTGGCCACACCTGGATGCAGGAAAGCGGAGCAGTGTCCTTTTTATTTGGGACAGTATATTAGTTTCCTATTGCTGCATAGCAAATCACCACAAACTTAGCAGCTTGAAACAACACAAATCTATTATCTTACAGTTCCAGAGGCCTGAAGTCTAAAGTGGGTCTCCCTGGGCTAAAATCAAGGTGTCAATAGGGCTGGTTCCTTCTGGAGGCTGTAGGGGAGAATCTATTGTCATGCCTCTTCCAGCTTCTAGTGGTCTGCCCTTCTTAAGTCTTGGTCCCCTTCCATCTTCAAAGCCAGCAATGGCTGAGTGAGTCTTTTTCCCAAGTCCCTCTCTCTGGTTCTGCCTCTTGTCTGCCTCACTCTTCCCCATTTAAGGGCCCTGTGATTACACAAGGCACACCTGCATAATCCAGGCTAATCTCATTAAGAACAGTTTATTAGCATCCTTAATTCAACCTGCAACCTCAATTCTCCCTCCCCACGCTTTCCATGAAACATAACAGATGCCTAGGTTCTGGGAATTAGGATGTGAACATTTTTGGGTGGGGTGGCAGGGGATTATTCCACCTACCACTGGCAACTGTGGCAAAAATTCTGTCACTGTAGAGAAAGCAAGGACATCCCAGATTCTCCAACCAAGCTATGGTTTCAGAGACGGTGCCAATCAGAATTCTGGATGAAGCAATTGTTTCAAGAAACAGGCCTGTGGCCCAAGCCAGGTCAGTCATGTCATTCCTCGTAGCTGGGCTGGAATTTTGATACTCTTTTTTTCTAGGATCACCAGTTCTGAGAATAGTGAAAACAGAGACATACCAGTGGCCATCTTTGTCACCATTCAGAAAAGTCCCCTGGTGTTGAACCCAGTGCAGAAGTGAGCAAGGATCTAAAATGGAAAGAAAGAGACCAAGGCTCGGGACATCCAGCCATGCCCACAGCCCAAGATCCACCCCTGGGCTTTTCAAGCACATGGGCCAATACCTCTCCTCCGCTCTTGTGTTTTTCCTTAAACTAATTTGAGTTTCTTTCACTTGCAGCCAAGTGCCCTCACTAATACACTCAAGAAATATATGTTGGGACAAGTCACAGCTTCCCAGAACCCTGGAGTGTCTCCTAAATTCCAGATATAAAATGCTATCATTCTAAATCAATGATTAGGACTGTGAGTCCCTTCCAGCTTTTATATGCCCTAATTAATATTCAAATGTCCTTGACGTCACTTGGCCTAGCTCAGCCCAAAGGCATACACAATTTCTCCAAGTCCATTATTCCACATGGGAAATGCCTCATGTAACCAGAGGCCCCACCTGACAAACTTGCCTTCTCTCTTCCTTATGCATCTGCTAGGAACACTAACAAATACTCATGGGTAACTGCAGGTCTCCATGGCTCTCGTAGGACATCCATATGGAAACATGTGGCAGCAGGAAGAGGAGGACCCCAGAGGAAAGAAGAAACAGCTTGCTCTCTTTGAGTGGCAGCTGCAAAGGAATGGAGCTATTTCCTCTCTTCCTGAGCCTCATCCCTAGTGCAGCATTTCGTGTCCCAAGTCCCTCCCTAAAGTCCAGCTCTTGGCTCTGTTCCAAGTTGTTCCAAGTGAAAGTCACATCTTGAAAAGCAGCCTGAAGCAGGAATACTAACTTCCGGGAATTCAGCCATTAAGAAAGACAGTAAGGAGTAATAAACGTTACCTACCGATCTACTATGCAGGGTAATGTCAAAATCAGAGCCCCCTAGCGCTGCCAGAAGGGGCTGTGGAACTGAAGAATTTTCCAAAGCACTGAGAAGCCATGTTACTTATGTAAGTATCCCATTCCAGAATCATTCCCCTGTGGGTAGGGTCCCTGGCTCATAAAAGCAGGTGTGCACGTCCCTCCACAGACTTAAACATGTCCTGGTACCCTTCACATTCTCCCAGGTGGATGGGACCTTCTCTATCATGCACGGCTGGAGAGCCCTGAAGTTTCATCTGGATTCTGGTGGCTTAAAGGACACCAACATCCTTTTAGGTCACTAATTAAATTAGAAATTAATCCTCATGATCTTTATATTTTGACTAAAATTAAGTGTAAAATCATAGTAATAACCACCATTTATGCAGTGCCTCCCAGGTACCAGGCACTTGACACCATTACCTTCTCTAAACCCAACTACAACCTGCCAAGGAGGCCTTATTATCCCCATTTTATAAACCCAGAGAGGGTAAGTTAGTTGCCCAGGGTCTCACTTACAACAAGAAGGTATGTGCTCAAAAATAACTCAATTCTATGGAATTAATTAAATTAATAAATGAATTAATTAATTAATTGATATTAATTAGTAAATTGATTAATAAATTTTATCTAGCAGGTAACTTAAAATGAATGCCTCATTGTAAACATATGATAAGGTACAGCAGCTCCGCATTTATTTACCTTCTATATGACTTTATTCTGAGAAAACTCCCTTGATGACATGGAGTTGAAGACTACTGAGGTTGTGCAAAGACCCCAGCTCTTGGAGAGCAGGTTTTGGATATAATTCTGGCTCTGCCACTAACTAGCTATGCAATTTTGGACAAATCAGGTGCTACGGTTTGAATGCTTGTGTCTCTTTCAAAATTTATATTGAAACTTAATTCCCAACGCAACAGTCTCAAGAGGTGAGGCCTTTCAGAGTGATTAGGCCAGGAGGGCTCCACCTTTATGAATGATGAGTGCCTTTATAAAAGGACTTGAGGGAGCAAGTTTGTTCCTTCCGTCCCTTCCACCACTTGAGGATGCAACAACATGGTGCCATCTTGGAAGCAGAGAGTGAGCCCTTACCAGACATCAAATCTGATGGCACCTTGATCTTGAACGTACCAAACTCCAGAACTGTGAGAATTAAATTTCTGTTCTTTATAAAGTACCCAGTCTAAGGTATTTTGTTATAGCACCATGAAGAGAGTAAGCATCAAGTAAGCAAGCTGAGCTTCAATCTTACGTTAAAAATTGGAGCTACAAATACCCACCTCTCTGGGTTTTTGTAAAGATTTTAGATAATTGTTGTGAAATACCTAGCAATAAGCACACAGTGAGTACTCAATTGCACGTTATTATGAGAACTGAGATAATGATAATTGTTTGACCTGGGACAAAGTAACGCGCTCCATGTATGGGCAGTTGGTAAAGGCAGAGAACCCACTGAAAGAAAGCCTGGGAGACATACAGTTAGGGGACTGGATGGCCAGCCCAGAGCAGAGGTTACCAGACAGTAAGATTCAAGGGCAGGGAGGTGCAGACAGGATCAGAGGCTGTGGGGGGAGAGGTGAGAGTCAAGGAAGAAGTGGTTCCATTACCAACGTGCCAAGGACTCCATAGCCTGGAACTCAGGAGCTGGCTTCAGGTAAAACCCCCTCTAAGACCTCTCTTCCAGAAGGCACACTTGCTCAGATGCTGACCTAACACCACGACTCTTGAGTTAACTTCCTATGCAAAGGGGCTGAGGCTCAAGCAAGTTCACCTGCTCACTTGCTCTTCCAACATGAGATCAACAGCCCCTCTGCCTCCCCTATCCCCTTCCCCCACCACCCTCCAGGAGGCTGAGTTGAAACATTCTCTAAAGCCACATTTTCTTTGCAAAGAATGGTGGGGAGGCCCTTAAAAAGCAAATATTCAGCCTGATAAACATGCCATAAATCCATAACCAAGTTCTCCATGTTCTCTGTGTTTCTCTGTGATGCGTCTAATATCTTTCTATCCGTGACTTTGAACCCACATCTTCCAGGTTCAGGTTACTAAGAAGCGGCTGTTCACAGGAGATTTTATTACTATTTATTACTTTTGTGTGGATGGAACAGTTGCTTCTTTTTTATTCATCTCCAAGAAAAATATATTCCCTGATGATCTCAGATAAAACCTATTAGATTTTCTTTTTTTTTTTTTTTTTTTTTTGGAAGAAGTTCCTTCTACTTCTGGTAGGTTATTGTCTGACCTGGATTTTCCAGAAGCTGGATTGCCTTAATGGTTTGAGGGTGGTGACCATTATGTGGGAAACTATTAATACATCTACTTCCTTCCCTCAGAATGAATGTGCTCAAGACAAGTGCCATCTGATGCCCACCAGGCCCCTTGCAAATTCTGTCCATAAACATCCACAAATGACAAAATGCAGGGGAGTCAACTCTTGGTTAACCAGCATTCAACACACTCAAACTCTCAGTTATTCAAAGCTTTGTACTTGACTTCAGAGGAGAAGACTAAGAACACGGAAGAAGCTGATATTAGAAGGTTTGCTCTAGAAACCAAAATCTTCCAGTGGCTGTTTTTTGATAACGGTCAATACTTACTAGGAGCTTATGGGGTGCCAGACACACTGTTAAGTAGCTTATTTTTTATTTTTTTATTTTTTTTTGAGACAGAGTCTCCCTCTGTCACCCAGGCTGGAGTACACAGGCACAATCACAGCTCACTGCAACCTCTCGCTCAACCTCCTTGCTCAAGTGCTCGACCCGCCTCAGCCTTCCAAATGGCTGGGACTACAGGCACACGCCACTACACCCAGCTAATTTTTGTATGTTTTATATATGTGGGCTTTTGTCATGTTGCCCAGGCTGGTCTCGAACTCCTGGGCTCAATTCAAGCCATCTGCCTTGGCCTTCCAAAGCACTGGGATTACAGGCATTAGCCACCGTGCCCAACCCACACACATGATATAATTAAATCCTCACAACCCTTGAAGAAAGTAGTGTTATTGTCCCCATTTTGCAGATAAGAAAACTGAGTCTTACAGTGGTTGAATAACTTGCCTAGCATCACACAAGTCTGCCCTTGAACCCAGGACACTGATTTCTGAGTCCACAGGCTTAACTTATACTCGATTGTTCTAGGAAATCAATAAATCCATGTCCAATGCCTACAACTTCTGCAGAGACATTTAGAGCTGATTGAAAAAAGCCTATTCACCTGTCTTTTTATAGTCGAGGAGACAGACGCCCAAATAGAGAAAGGAGTCTGTCTGAACTCAGCCAGCAACCACCAGAACCAGGATTTGAAACAAGTTCTTACCCACAGGGCATTGCCTACAGGCTCCATGTTTAGAAAGACGACAGTCTCCTGTCTCCCACAACAGCCTCCCCTATGGTTGCTAGGGTTCGTTAAAAATAGCACAGTGAGCTCTTATCTTTTGGACATATTTCCAATAAGAAAATTGGGAGGGGAGTAAGTTAATCACTTAATTACCCTTTTTAATTAACCAATTAAGTAGCAGGGCCTAACTGAAGTTTCCTTTGGATGTTAGATTCAACAAGCCAACATGATAGATAACAGCCATTGGTAGCTCACGCTTGTAATCCCAGCACTTCGGGATGTCGAGGCGGGTGAATCACCTGAGGTCAGGAGTTTGAGACCATCCTGGTGAACATGGTGAAACCCCTCCTCTACTAAAAATACAAAAAATTAGCCAGGCATGGTGGCACATGCCTGTAATCCCAGCTACTCAGGAGGCTGAGGCAGGAGAATCACTTGAACCCGGGAGGTGGAGGTTGAAGTGAGCCAAGATCATGCCACTGCACTCCAGCCTGGGCAACAGGGCGAGACTCCACCTCAAAAAACAAAACAAAACAAAAAACAGCCATGAAGTACACACAATGAGCCAAGTTCCATCCCAAGCAATTTACACGTTTTAACTTAGTTCTTCCTCACAGAGCTAATGAGGAGGGAGGAATATTACCCCCACTTCACAGGTGATGAAACTGAGGCACAGAGACCTTAAGTACTTGCTCGAGTTCTGTTAACTTTACCTAATATCCATATAATAATGCTTCCACACATATTTTCTTATTTAACGTCATAAGCTTGAGATTCGTGGAGAAATATTTTATTATTTTTATCATCTCCATTTGTGGGAAACCAAAGTTTTTGCCTTGGTCCTGTCACTACTGAGCTAAGGAACCCTGAGCTTTTCCTCTCTAGGCCCCAGTGTCCTCCTCTGTAAAGTGAGAGGCTTGGAACTAGATTGTTTCTGAGGTCTCTCCAGTATAAATACCCAAGATAATAAAGAGACAACCTTGTTCTCTGGAATGTCCTTCCCTTATGGTCTGACAAATGTGAGGTTTCTTGGCTTAAATACAGGTAGGTTGGCATCCCCTCCATGGTTGTAAATAAGTATGTGATTTAATCATCCATGTGCCCAAGGGCAGAGGAGAGTGGATGCATTTTTACATTGATCTTATCAAAGCCTGTTTAATCCAGGATGAGGCCTCTCATCTGGCGCAACATCTCTGTTTCCACGAGCACTAGATGTATGGTCTGGGCAGGCTTCTCTTGAGATGATGATGAAGATACAGGAGTTTACTCATGAAAAGTCCTGGGGGCACTAGCCGAGAAACAATCCACATCTTTCTCAATATATTTTCCTTTAGGACAGAGGGTAGGAGAATTTTTGCCATCAGGCCACAACTCTCAAGGGCTAAGGCAGCAGGGAAACTCCCCACTCTCACATTCATGGCAAAATCAGAGGCTGAAGTCTTCGTGTTTGTTCTGAGTATTTTTGTTTCGGTTTGGTTCTTGCTTTTTAAGGCGATTAATTCTGCTTATATTTAAAAGGGCACTGTGTTCTGGCGGGATTTACTTTTAAAACAAAAGGTGAGGGATAGATAAGAAATTAATAGGCCCCTTGAGTACATGATGACCTGTCATAGCTTTGACACCTGACATTTGGATAGTGGGATAGTGACATGGGAAATAATATGGTAAGCCTTTCAATTAATCAAAAGGTTCAGAGAACTGGGCATTTTGTCAGAACTGTCAAACAATTATAATGTGTTCAAACTTGGCTTTCCACCTATTACTAGAGTGAAGATTGTTTTTTTCTGCCCAATACAGAACCTTCCTGCTCTACAGAACTCCCCCACACTGTGTCCTAGAGTAAGGCAAGCCCACTTCTACTATAGAAGCCAAAAAGACCAAATATTCACTTTCCTGGCTTCCCTTGCAGCTAAGTCACAGACAATTAAATGGACCGATGGACTTTCAATCAGAAGCTGATGATGCAACGAAGAAGGGCCAATGGAAGAGGCATTCTGGTGAGGCCAGCAGCAGTAGCAACAATGTCTGATATCCAGGGACCATGATGGCAGCAGTGGTACACTCGGTAGTGTCCTCTGTTCAGCGGGGATGCCAGCAGCATCCTCACTAGACTCTTCTCAGGTACGATTTTGGGCATAGTCTGGGCTGCCATCCTGCTTTCCTTGTTCCAACTCATGTTCCAAGCCTGGGTCTTCCTGGTGATTATGTGAGCTCCCCGGTATCCTGTCAATAAATTCCTTTTCTGAAATCAACCAGAGTTGGCTTCTGTTGTTTATAATTAGGAATTCTAATGGATGTACTAGGTTTATGACTTGGATAAGTTATTTAATCTCCCTGACTCAGCTTCCCTGTCTGTAAAATGAGAATCATACTCCTCTGTCTTTACAATGGAATATCGTTCAGTCATAAAAAGAAATGAAGTACTGATACATGATACAATATGGATGAACCTTGAAAACATCATGCTAAGTGAAAGAAGACAGGCACAAAAGGCCACATATTTCCTGACTCCATTTCTATGAAGCGTCCAGAATAGGCAAATCCATAGAAACAGAAAAGGGATTAGTGGTTTCCAGTGGCTAGAGAGAGAGAGGGAATAGGGACTTCTAAAGGTTATAGAGTTTTCTTCTGGAATTTCCTTCTGGAAATAGTATGAGAGGCTCATCTGGGCTACTGGGGAGCTCACAAAATCACCAGGAAGACCCAGGCTTGGAACATGAGTTGGAATAAGGAAAGCAAGATGGTAGAGCAGACCATGCCCAAAATCATACCCAAGAAAAGCCTAGTGAGGACACTGCTGGCATCCCCGCTGAACAGAGGACATTACCGAGTGTATCACTGCTGCCATCATGGTCCCTGGATATCAGACATTATTGCTACTGCTGCTGGCCTCACAAGAATGCCCTTTCCATTGGCCCTAGTTCTCTGCATCATCAGCTTCTGATTGAAAGTCCATAGGTCTATTTAATCGGCTTCTAATTTCCTTCTGGAATTAGATAGTGGTGATGGTTGCCCAAACCTGTGAATATACTAAAAACCACTGAATTTTACAGGTTTAAAGGGTAAATTTTAAGGTATGTGGATTATATCTCAAAACAGGGCTTTCACATTTATTCAGTTCTTCATCACTGTTTCCCTTTATGCCCCACCTACTTTCTCCCCTAACACTGATAGTTGTCCTCAGCACTACGAAGAAAGCCTCTGGCAACCTTCCATGCATGCCCTCTGGCTTAGCAAGCCCATCAGACAGAGAACCTTCCTCTCTGGGGGTCTCCCTAGATCGATTCCACAGAAGACTCTGATTGGCCCTACTTGGGTCACATGCCCATCTATGGCCCAATCACTGTTCCAAGGGTAGGAACTGTAACTGGCTCAGCTTTGTTACCTGGCAACCCCTGTTGGTATTGTGGGAGGAGAGAGTGCTGTGATGAGCAGCCCCACAAGAACCACATGGAAAAGGGAAAATTTTACCCCAAAGGAAAGGAGGTGTGGTTAACAAAAAAAAAAGGAGGATGAGATGGTGTACATGGCCACCAACATCTATCCTGATTCACCATGATCACTACAGAAACCAAGCCTGTTCTAGGGGTGCCAGCAAGACTCTCCTTGAGGACATCAAAGCTGAGACTTAGAGAATAAGTAGAATAGTGAAGTACCTGAGCAAGATTGCTATAGGTAGCAGGAATGCCTCACAGTAGGTAATATATGTCAAAATGCATCATCTACACTAACCCACTAAGTACGTTATTGTTATTATTTTGGAACCCAGGAATCCTGACTCCCAGATGAGGTCCCTTTTTACTCTGGAGAGCTGGGACTTAGAAAACACCCTGCCTCAGGTTCCCCTGCAGAAGCTCAACCCTGACAGTCAACCCTGTCAGTAGAGTAACTGCCTAATTCTTGAAGACTCGCCAGCTGTTTAGGATCACAAGCACAGTAAATACCATTTCATGCCTAGTGTTCCAGCCCTCTTCTCACATAAAAGTTATAATCAGATATTTTAATAGTCCTTGCTTTCATCTAGGTAAAACTGCTGTAAGGGATGATAACATCAGCTCAAGCACATTGCTTGGATCTTGGAATGCTCTGCAGAGTGGGCTTTTTTTCTCTCTCTTTTTTTTTTTTTTTTTTAACTGCAAAAAGGGAGAGGGGAAGATTGCAAGACTGGCCTGATACAGATTCATAGACTTTCTGGGGCCGGAAGAGAACATTAAAGTCAATCGCCTGCTCATCTTAAAGATCAGAAAATCAAGGAGAACTGACTGGAAGGCTTTAGTTGACTTAGTCAAATCCACACAGATGTTCCTGTCCCTTGAACTGTCCATTTCTGAGTTAGTCAAGACCCATTTGGCTGCAAAGAACAGAAAACATAAGACAAAGAACAGAAAACATAAAACAGGTGGGGTTGAATCCGTGGGCTCAAACGGTGTTATCAGGACACATTCTCACTCTCTCATTTGGGTTACCAACTGTCCTGGTCTGCCTAGAACTGAAAGGGTTCCTACAATGGGGAACTTTTAGTTTTAAAGTCAGGACAGTCTCAGGCAAAGTGGGATGCGTTGGTCACCCTAGTCTACATCTTCGGTTATGCTGTCCTCTGTTAACTCCATTCTCTGGCAGGTTCTCCTCTCACAGAGGCAAGATGGCAGCCAACAGCTACAGGGTTACACCCCACCCTCTCAGGATTGCCTGTGGAAAGGGGCCTTCCCAGGCTCACTGGCAGAAGTCCTGCAATTGGCTCTGATTGGCCTGATTTGGGTCACATGCCCTGAACGCCCCACTGTATCCAGGAGGATAATTGACCAGGCTTGTGCTTACCCTCCTAGACCTTCCAGAAAAAGACACACAAGCCAACGTACTGGTCACCATTCCGTCACTATAATTTTATGCCCATGTGTGATGCCTCTCCAGGATAGCAACCCAGAAAGTGAGAGACAGAGACCCTCCCTCTCTGGGGGTCTCCCTAGATCGATTCCAGTAAAGACTTGGGTCACATGCCCTTCTATGGCCCAATCACTGTTCGGTGGTAGGAACTGTAACTGGCTCAGCTTTGTTACCTGCCAACGCCTGTTGGTATTGTGGGAGGAGAGAGTACTGTGATGAGCAGCCCCACCCAACCACATGGAAAAGGGAAAATTTTCCCCCAAAGGAAAGGGGGAGCGGTTAGCAGAAAAAGGGAGGATGTATGAAACCATACACATATATGGTTACTCACCCTTTATTTAGGGATATTTTGATATTCCTAATCCAAAAATCCAAAATCTGAAATGCTCCAAAATCCATAGTTTTTTGAGTGCTGACATGACATTCAAAGGAAATGCTCACTAGATTTTGGATTTCAGATTTTCAAATTAGGGATGCTGAACCAGTATATATATATAACCATATAAAAAGATATATAACCCAGGAACCCTATAGCAAGACGGCACTGATGACCCAGTGACAAATTGTTCCTAGAACCTAGATGTCAGATCCAGGTGACATAGCTTACAAAAGCACTTTTTGCAAGCACATAACACTGCAGTGATTTCAACAGGACTTTCTCTATCTGTACAGGCAGAATTCCATCACCATAAACCCAAATGTGTCTCCTACAAGAAAAAGGGGTGACCTAAAGAAGCAGTTCCCCCAAAACATCTTCCAGCCTGAAATCCTCTGGGGCACTTTGCTAAGAGTGAAGCCTCTGTGCTTCCCACATCAGTAAGATTGTGACATCTGTAAGATTCAGGGTTGGCTTCTCTGAACTTTCAACCCAGCCCTCTGAGAACTGTTTCACCTGGACCCCATCCCCACCCTGTCTCCTGCAGGGGGTCAGCCCACCTGAGGCATGTGTGTGAAGTATCTGGAAGGGGTGGTCCACCAAGGAAAATGGGGGTGCTGCCACCAAAGAAAGGAGGAAGTGGATGTCAGAGTGGTCAAAAACAACACACCTCCACTCCACCATACCACGGCTGTTTAACCTGTGCTTTTTCACATTATCCTCCAGACTACTGTAAAGGTGTTGTGTGTAAACGTTGAAGAGCTGCTGCTTTAACATGCAGAGCAGACAAGGCAAGGGACCTGAACGAGGAATCTCCTCTTTATCCCTGACTGGTTGCACTGGGTATTTTCCATTTTCCTTTCCAGACCCAACACTTTGCCCTTCTCTGCCTCGGTCTGTGGCCCAGGAGGCTGACCCATATGGGCTGCATCAATGGGCTCCTTTGACCTCTAGCCTCTGGTCGGGCTTTGCCAGTGAAGACACTGGCAAGAGATCGATAGGCAGAAGGAGAGTGAGTTCAGAATATTGATCTCTTTTGGCTGCATCCTTCTACCAAAGCCCACAGCTCCTATCTGGAGGCCCTCCCCTATATCATAGCCCTTCTCTCCAGGGCCCTGTAATTTCTCCCTCTGCCTCCCGCTTTAGGCCTAGGGATGGCGGTGTCCCTCCCCACGGCTATCGCCAGGGTGCCCCCCATTCTTTGTTCATTTCCCTTGCCCTGCCTATTCCACTGTAAACTGTCTTTTCACTAAACTATTCTCAATCCCCGCCATTTGCGAGTGCCATCTATTTCCTACGAGGACCCCAATTTGATATCCCAGCTAGGTGATCTAAAGCAAATTATTCACCTTCTGGGAACCTTAGTCTTACAATTGAGAATGAAGATAACTATACTTATGTCTCAAGGTCATTATGGGATGACATATATGGAATCCAGCACGTTGCGTGACCCACAGCAGACACTCTACCAGTAGACATATCTCCTACACTAGACTGGTCTGATCTTTCAGACCACAGATCTCATTTTATTCATCTGTGAATCAGTAGCACCTAACACTGAACGTGGTATACTCTATGTGCTCAATAAATGTGATTTTATATATTGTTCTTCTCTTTTTGGCCCTTCTTCCTTGCCTTTGGTCCTGGAAAATAGATAAGAAAAATAAAGCAGCACTTGACATTGATCCCTAATGTCCACCAATGCCAGAAGCTGATTCTTGTATCTTATATTTTTGATATGTTGTAAAAGGAAACTGATTTGGTCACATACAATCCATGTGCTTTCTCTAGAAGGAATCCGGCCAGGAAGGGATGCTATTTAAACACGATGGTCCTGTACCAATATTTGGAGACTTTGTACTTCAAGACAATACTCTGGACCCATTGGTTTCCCCTTGCTTAGGGACTTCTAATTCAGCTTCAGCCTTTTCAACTGTTTAAAGCACAAGAAAGTGGAGTGCCCCTCCCACAGGGATAGGCACACACTGGTTTCAACATGCCTCCAGTGTTCTAGGGTTGAACACCATGGGAGATGCTTACCTCACTCACATAGGGCTCTCTGCTTTTATTCTAGCTGAAGACTTCATATGGCCGAGGAAGATCTTCACAGCAGGCCCGAACTTGTCTTCCACTCATTCTCCGTATCTCCTTCCACGCAGCCTCTGCCCCAGCCAAACTGAGTTCACCACCTTTTCCAAAACACCGCAGATACTCTCACTCTTACATGGCTTTGCCCTCTCCCTGGAATGTCTTCCTCCTCAACATTTGTCCAGTGAAATTGGGCTTCTCTTTAATTTTCATTTTTTTTTTCTTGAGACAGAGTCTCACTCTCTCGCCCAGGCTGGAGTGCAGTGGCACAATTTCAGCTCACTGCAAACTCCACCTCCCAGGCTGTAGTGATCCTTCCACCTCAGCCTCCCAGCCAGCTGGGATTACAGGCGTGCACCACCATACCCAGCTAATTTTTGTATTTTTTGTAGAGATGGAGTTTCAGCATGTTGCCCAGGCTGGTCTTGAACTCCTGAGCTCAAGTAATCCACCCATCTCGGCCACTCAAAGTGCTGGGATTATAGGCGTGAGCCACCACGCCAGCCCCAGGCTCTTCTTTTAAATGTCACCTCTTCTATGGGACCCTCCATGATTTCCCCATAACATAATAAGTTCTTTCCTTCTCTGCACTCCCTTATTTGCACACGTATACCATGCATTACATTTTATTGGAATGAGCCTATCTCCCCAATAGAGGATCATAATCTCTAGCATTTATTAATCATCTACTATGTGCCTACTGCTTCATTTAATTCTCATCTCATTTAATTCTCACAATTCTGTGAAGGAGATCCCTAGACCACAAACGCCATGACTGCAGAGACAATCTGGTAAGTGGGATTTATATTTGTTTGGGGTAGGTTTTATGTTGTTTTGTTGCTTTTTCTTTTTTCTTTTCTTCCTGTTTTGGAGGCTTTTTTGTTTTGTTTTGCTGTCTTTTCTTTTTGGGGATTTTTTCCTTCAGTCTTCTACCTCCACTGCCTGCATTGGCACATAGCAAGAATTCAGTGAGTAACTATTGAATGAATGAAAGTCAGTATTATTTTTACACATGAAAACACTCTAGGCCTGACACGGTGGCTCACACCTGTAATCCCAGCACTTTGGGAGATTGAGATGGGTGGATCACTTTGAGCTCAGGAGTTGGAGACCAGCCTAGGCAACATGGTGAAACCCCGTCTCTACTAAAAATACAAAAATTAGCTTGGTGTGGTGGCACACACCTGTAGTCCCAGCTACTCAGGAGGCTGAGGCTGGAGAATCACTTGAACCCCAGAGGCAAAAGTTGCAGTGAGCCTAGATCAAACCATTGCACACCAGCCTGGGTAACAGAGTGATATCCTGTCTCAAAAAAAGATAAAAAATTAAAAAAAGAGGCCGGGCACGGTGGCTCATGCCTATAATCCCAGCACTTTGGGAGGCCGAGGAGGGTGAATCACCTGAGGTCAGGAGTTTGAGACCAGCCTGGCCAACATGGTGAAACCCCATCTCTACTAAAAATACAAAAAATTAGTTGGGCGTGGTGGCAGGCACCCGTAATCCCAGCTACTCGGGAGGCTGAGGCAGGAGAATGGCTTGAACCCCGGGAGGCGGAAGTTGCAGTGAGCCGAGATAGCACCATTGCACTCCAGTCTGGGTAACAAGTGTGAAACTCCGTCTCAAAAAACAAAAAAAAGCAAAAAGAAAACACTTTAAAGCGCAGACTTGAATGAACTTGCCCATAGCCTCTCACACTGTGCCCAGCTTATTCCTGGTGGGCAAAGGCCACAGCTCAATTATCTTTGTTTCACCAATGGCACGGCCTTGGTATGGCACTCAGTAACTACCAAATAAAGGCATGGAGAAGGAATAAATGAATGTTTGGTTACTGCAAATCCCAAAGGATTTTCATTTGATGATAGCCAATAGAAAAAGGTGAAGTAACAGCCAAGTTCTACCACATGTCTGTAGAAGTCAATTTTCTCATTTATGACATAGACATTTTTGTGATAAGTCTGCTAGGAGGAAAGTACATTTGCCTAAGTTTCTTAGATAAAATCAACTTTTAAAGTAGCCTCCTCTCCTTATTTTATATGACTTCTGGCATGACTTCTTGAAAGTCTGCATATAAATCAGATGTTTGTAGAGCCAATTGACTTAAATATCACAGAGATTTGCGTTTTCAAAAAACACTGTACATATCTTCTGGGAAAGTGAAGACTGCTTCAATAAAATGAAATCTGCTCCTAATTTGTATCACCCGGGGGCCCAGCAGGTTACAAAACTCTGTTCAAATGTTTTGACTTAAGAGATTTTTAATAAAGGGACCAGTTACAGAGGGGCAGATGATAGGGTTAATGGAAACTACGAGACTAGCATCTGCGGGAAGCTGTTGCTACCTCTGGGTCTTAAGGGACAAGGGGAGGAAAATGATTTCACAGAATCCAGTGACAGCTGAAATCAGGGCAGAGGGGCTGCCTGGCAGGAACTGAGGTCACAGAAGAACTAAGCCTTAGGTGCTGAAACCTAAGCTCCTCTCATCTTCTGCTAAGAACCTTCAGCGACCAACATCAACTGGAAACCAGACAGCAAGAGAACCCAGGTGAGGTGGTTTGGAGGGCTCAGCCTCCTTGGGCCTAAAGAAGAATAGAGAACGGATTGGAGAGAAGTGAAGGGGTGAGATGCAGAGAATAACCTGCATGGTCCACCCCTTTTGTATCCACTCCACATCTATCTTGCCCCTCACTCAGGTGAAGAAACTCTCATCTCCAACATTTTCGAGACAGAGAGTCTTATATACTGTCACATCATGGTAAGAGATGTCAATACATTCATACTCTCACCTGGAACCTAAATTGTAATGTGCCCTTCACACAACAGAGCAGAAAGGTGAGAGGTAAAAGAAAATTATAATCCATTAGATAAGCTGAGTATAACAGTTACATTCCATGCCTCAGTAGCCGGTCATGAAACGGAAATCAACAGCCATAGCTTCCTCCTTCCAACACCCATTCCACCTCTCCTTACCTTCAGCATCTCAGATGGGTGGAGTTTTTACCTGATAGAATGACTCAACCCTTTATTTCCCAGGATCTAAGCCCTAGTGATCCTGTATTACTGAGTTGTCACAGTTTGCCATCAACCATTATGATTGCATATAGGAGTGCTAAGAAGTGACCCAGTGAGTCTTCTAGGCTCCTAGACATGGTTTTTCTTGCCATCGTTAGATAGCAGTGGCCTAATTTCCCTTGATTAAGATCAATCACTCTAGTCACTACAGTAACCTTCTTGTCTGTCTGTTGGTTCAGTAGCATGAGGATCTTAAAATGCCTAGGGGACAGTTTTAGCTTCAGATTTAATAGAAGCATGTCTGTGTTCCTAAGTGGAAATCAGATCCTCCAAATGCACCAACTCAGGGTTTCAGGGATGAAAACCCAAAAGGCTACATCTAAGTTATTACGCATAATAGTCTCAAAGCGAGATGGGGCTACACCCATTCCTTCCACCCTTGATTCCAAGACCATGCATTCTGGACGTAGGAAGAACAACACCCTATTGACCTCCCTCTGTAGGGCAGTACCCCTAAATTTTTAGAATGTTATTTCTCAGCCGGTCTTTAGAAGGTCATTCTGCAGTTCTATAAAGCTTCTGAGTGATGAGTTACACAGTAAGATCAGTTCATTTCATCAATAAGAGCACAGGCCTGTACTTCTTTTGCTGTAACGTGAGTTTCTTGGTTATTTAGAGGTGATATTGTATGAGTTACCAAGACAATCAAAACTCCTCAGACTATACAATGGCAGCTACGAAAAACAAGTCAGCTGTGTCTTCAGTCCCAATTCTCATTTACACGGAAGAAGAATGTTCTTCTAAATTCTAAAGTCTCTCTCTCTGTACTTTTCTCCCCTGTTGACCTCATGAAATCTTTGAGAGGGAGAAAGTAGGATAGGTAGCTTTGGAGTCAAAAGTCCTGGATTCAAATCCAAGTTCTACCACTTGTGAACTGTGTGATTCTGAGCAAGTCACCTACTTAGTTTCCTTGTGAATACAACAGAAATGTTATACCTCCCTTGTAGGGTTTTAGGGTTTTGAGGTAAATTAAATAAACCAATGTACGGCCAGGCATGGTGGCTCACACCTGTAATCCCAGCACTTTGGAAGGCCAAGGGGGGAGGATCGTTTGAGTCCAGGAGTTCAAGACCAGCCTGGGCAACATAACAAGACCCTGTCCCTACAAAAAATATAGAAAGTTAGCCGGGTGTGGTGGCACATGCCTGTAGTCCCAGCTACTGAGGAGGCTGAAGCAGGCAGATCCCTTGAGCCGAGGAATTCAAGCCAGGAATGAGCTACGATTGCACCACTGTGCTCCAACCTGGGTGACAGAATGAGACCCTGTCTCAAAAATAAAATAAATACACAAACCAATGCAGATGAAAGTCATTCACACAATAGGCACTCAATAAATGTTACTCCCTTCCTCCTGCCTTCAAACTAAATTTCATCTCTGAAGCATGAATTTTAGAAAATCGTTTGCAACAAAACACGTGCCTTGGGTACATTTATAAAATCTCACCAAATGCACTTTCTCTGGGCTCGCCCTTGCTGTGGTGATGATACTCTTGCCATGGTTTTAAAAGCGAAATCTACAGTTCTGAGCTTTTCAATGCCTCATCTTTGACTGTCACAGAGGGATATTTCAACATTCTTTTCTGTCTCAATATTTCTAAATCTGCCAGTTTTGTGCAACACAAAATCCTTTCTCTGGGCTTCAGTCCAGTTTTCTCAGCAGTTGATTTCTTTTGGTAAGTCCCAATACAAATCATTCTTTCTAGTCTAATTCAACCCTTGGCCCCAGTACACGCATAAGCACGTAAGATTGGAGGGGCTCTGGGGAGTAATGGGTGAAGGATAGGGTGAGTGTGTGTGACCCTGTCTCTGGATACCTCTCCTGCATGGAAGGTCTACACTGTCAGGACCAGTTTGCAAGCAACAGAAACCAACTCTGGCTCGGGCAAAGATTTTATTAAAAGACTATTTGGGTACATAGTATCAGCAAGAGGCTGAAGACACAGACTTGAAAAATGCAGGAATTGAGAAAGCTCTGGAGGACCAGGCAGCAGGAACCACAGCAAAGCCCCCACAACAGGAACCATTTGTGGCCAACACCCCTCACTGATGCTGGCAGGAATGCCCTCCCAACAGAGAACCCCCAACCTCCTTCCTTCACTCCCCCAGAAGAATGTGTCATTCGCCAAACCTTTAAGTCACATACCTGACCCTGGCTGGACCACAGCAGAGAGTGAAAAGATCAGGTCTTTTTAGGTCCCGTTTTTGGAAGTGAGCATGACCTCCCACCAAGGCTGCACACAGTGAAGTATCCCCTAAAAATGAGGGGGCTAGCAGAAAATGGGTTCTAACCAGATGGCAAAAAAAATAAGATAAATTTTTACCATGAATTCATTGACTTACTGATTTTAGGTAATTTCATTATTTGTTTGTTTGGTTGAAATAAAGTTTATTATAACTACTTTATAGAGAGAACTAGCACGATATATATATTCATAACATTTTTAAGGCATTTGAAAATGGAACATGTACAGGAGTGCTGTAACCACTGGCAGAGAAAGACCATCTTATTCAAGATGGGTCAGAAAGGTGAAGGTAACAAGAACAGATCCCTTCTGAATGTTGTTCCAAATACAGTTCCTGCCTCTTCTTCTGGGCAGGTCTGGGCAATTAGGAAGAAGTCCTTCCAGCAACACAGGCAATCTCCCCAGGGGCAGAGGAAGCACAGAATTTGTTCTGTTCTCTGCCCGAAAGTCAGTGAAAGTGAAGTCTCTCTCAGAACAATGAGACTGCAGTCCTCAAGCTTCCACTCAACCATTTATTTCTTCTTTTACCTAAACCAGAATCTTATTTTTTTCTTTTTTGTTTGCTTTATTTTTTTATTACACTTTAAGTTCTAGGGTACATGTGCACAATGTGCAGGTTTGTTACATATGTATATATGTGCCATGTTGATGTGCTGCACCCATCAACTCGTCATTTACATTAGGTATATCTCCTAATGCTATCCCTCCCCCCTTCCCCCACCCCATGACAGGCCCTGGGGTGTGATGTTCCCCTTCCTGTGTCTAAGTGTTCTCATTGTTCAATTCCCACCTATGAGTGAGAACATGCGGTGTTTGGTTTTTTGTCCTCGCAATAGTTTGCTCAGAATGATGTACCTAAACCAGAATCTTGAAAGGCCCTGCTTGGCACTTCCCTTTCCTCATCCCTTGCAAGGAGGCATTCAGGGTGTCCTGCAGTGTTTGCCTCTTAGGTGTGGCATGAGTCTGTCCCAGCTCTCCATGGCACTCCCAGTTCTGCTGCTCATCAACTGTTGCCTGGAAACAGCCACATCCTCCTAACTGGTCTCTTGCCCCCTGTCACGTATTTCTTCTATCCATCTCTCTACTCGGCAAGAGAATCTCCCTACAGCACTATCTGCCCATTGGTGGTCTCCTGCTTACAGCTCTTCCATGGCTCCCATCATTTCAGACAAAGCCCAGGCTTTCCAGTAAGGCACATGGAGCCCTCTGCAATCTCACCCTGGCCTATTTCCCCATCACCAGCTATCCTCATGCCCTGCTCCACATCCTATTCTTCACCATGTCATATGCTGCTCCTCTCCTCTCCGCCATTGTTCCTACTGTCTCCTCTCCCCGGAATGCCCACCCACTCCCATCCTTACCTCCATTTGCTTGATTAATTCCTACCCGTCCTTTAAGACCTGGTTTGAGACCAACTCCACGAAGCTTCCTCTGACTATTCCAGGCTGATTAGGTGCTTTATCCTCCTAAGTGCTCTAATGGTGCCCTGTATCTCTTTCTCTCTCTCTCTCTCTCCCCCCCCTCCCCCCACCTCCCTACCTCCCTCTTTTCTCCACCCCCTTCACTGCACATAGGCTCGGCTTTAGGTATACATATTAATGTCTCTCTCTCTCCTTACAGCCTGTACACTCGCTAAGGGTAAGTGTTCATCTTTGTGTTCTCAAAGCTGCTTTAGAAGAGCACCAGGATCATAGCAATGGCATGATGCATCCCTGTTGAGACAATGAATGAGTAATAATTTGTAATATATTTTACCACCCCAAAAATGCTCTAAAACAGAACTAAAGATAGGCATTCCTATTGCTTAGCTGATAGAGGAGGGGAAAAAATCTAAGACATGCACCATCTCTTCAAAATATACACAGTTTCAAGACATTAGCAGAGGTTTTATGGCATACCACTTTTAGCAAAGCAGATGTTTAAAATACTAAATTATTTATTAAATTACTATCAACCGTGGTTGAAAATATTATGTCCCTTAAGGGACTGAACTTCTCAGGCTGTAGTTGGAATGAAAGAGAAGATGAACATTCTGTACTTCTTTTTAAATCACTTTCTTCTTCCTGAAATGAATGCAGTATTTAAAAGAAATCAAGGATTCATTTGCTTTTTATTCTTATTGAATCGCCTGAGAGAAGCAGTAAGACGGCTTGCAGTTGATGGGCCACAGTTGACACACACTGAAATCTCCTATGTGCCAGGAATCAGGTTTTTTTTTTTGTTTTTTTGTTTTTTTTTTTCATAAAATAACCTTTATACAGGATTAGTAGATCTGTTTACATACAAAAAACAGAAAGGACCTCATTACTGTTAGATTTCACATAAATTACACATTGACTTTTAAAAACTACTATTCAACTTCATTTAAAGTCCCTTTTAAGGATAGCATTAGGAGAAATACCTAATGTAGATAACAGGATGATGGGTGCAGCAAACCACCATGGTACGTGTATACCTATGTAACAAACCTGCACATTCTGCACATGTATCCCAGAACTTAAAGTATAATAATAAAATAATAATAAAGTCCCTTTTAAAAATTTCATTTTTGCTGGGTACCGTGGCTCATGCCTGTAGTCCCAGCACTTTGGGAGGCCTAGGCGGGTGGATCACGAGGTCAGGAATTCGAGACCACCCTGGCCAACATGGTGAAACCCCGTCTCTGCTAAAGATACAAAAAAATTGGCCGGGCACGGTGGCTCACGCCTGTAAACCCAGTACTTTAGGAGGTTGATGCAGGCGGATCACAAGGTCAGGAGATCGAGACCATCCTGGCTAACACGGTGAAACCCCATCTCTACTAAAAATACAAAAAATTAGCTGGGCGTGGTTGCAGGCGCCTATAGTCCCAGCTACTCGGGAGGCTGAGGCAGGAGAATGGCGTGAACCCGGGAGGCGGAACTTGCAGTGAGCCGAGATCGCACCACTGCACTCCAGCCTGGGCGACAGAGCAAGACTCTGTCTCAAAAAAAAAAAAAAAAAAAGATACAAAAAAATTAGCTAGGCGTGGTGGCGCACAACTGTAATCCCAGCTACTCGGGAGGTTGAGGCAGGAGAATCGCTTGAACCTGGGAGGCGGAGGTTGCAGTGAGCCAAGATCATGGCATTGCGCTCCAGCCTGGGCAACAGGGCAAGACTTGGTCTCAAAAAAAAAAAATTCATTTTGAGGCCAGGCACGGTGGCTCATGCCTGTAATCCCAGCACTTTGAGAGGCCGAGGCAGGCAGATCACTTGAGATCAGGAGTTCAAAACCAGCCTGGCCAACGCAGTGAAACCCCATCTCCACTAAAAATACAAAAATTTGCTGGGCGTGGTGATGCATGCCTGTAATCCCAGCTACTCAGGAGGCTGAGGCAGGAGAATCACTTGCACCCAGGAGGTGGAGGTTGCAGTGAGCCAAGACCGCATCACTGCACTCCAGTGTGGGCAACAGAGCGAGACTCTGTCTCAAAAAAAAATATTAATTTTGAAGGCACAGTGCATGAAATAAACCAAAGACTGAAGTACTTGAGATGAGTGGGTGTTGGGCACCTCATATAAACAGCTATAGATTGCTCTAGAACTGGGAGTATCACTTGGAAAAAACTGGAGAGGTGAAAAGTTGAGCAGACTACAACTGCAGACTTTTGCTTTCTGTGAAAAAATTGTAGACACAACAGGCAGAAATAGACAAACCACCCCAGAAAAAGGATAGGAGGAATTGTGTTTTTCTATTTCCTTATGAAAAATTGTCATTGCTGTTAATGATCATCCTTCAATCAATAATGTCAAAGATCCATACAACATGGCTGGGCATGGTGGCTTACGCCTGTAATCCCAGCACTTTGGGAGGCACAGTTGGGCAGATCGCTTGAGCGGAAGAGTTCGAGACCAGCCTGGGCATCATGGCAAAACCCTGTCTCTACAAAAAAAAAAAAAAGAAAAAAAAATTAACTGGACATGGTGGTGCACACCTGTAGTCCCAGCTACTTGGGAGGCTGAGGTGGGAAGATCACTTGAGCCCAGGAGGCAGAGGTTGCGGTGAACAAAGATCGCACCACTGCTCTCTAGCCTGGGTGACAGAGCAAGACTCTGTCTCAAAAAAATAAGAACCATACAACCACAACCATCTTTATAATGTGTGTGTGTATAAATGTGAAAACAGAACACCAAACAGGTTACATGACTTCTCCAGAATTCAACAAATCAAGAGCTGACTCATACAAGGAAACACACTTAAATGACTCAGAAAACGCTTCTCCAATCACTAGAGTCAACCAGTCAAAACATGCAGTGATGAAACAAACGTGTCCCAGAATAAGCAGCAGCAGATCTGCATTTAATCTGGTGGTCAGGTAAGGACTTCCAGGGTGCCTGATTTTCAAATCTGTTGTTTCTCTAGGATTCTGGTTGACTTTGAAGAGTAATCGCTTTCGGGGCTTAAGTACCTGTTATTGTTTTTCTTGTGTTCTTTGGACTAAACTCATTAGATGAGAAGTCCTGAAAAAATTCAGTTACTGGAATGTGTAAATCAGATTATTTGAATTTTACTTCAAAATTACATTTCTCAGGGACATTGGTCAGAACAGTAAGTGTAATGGAATATTCTGTCCCTGCTGGTTTGGTCTCATGGTGCCCAATTCTGCTGCTACCAGGTAGCTCTGTGTACCTCAGTGAGTCTCTCTTCTGTGAGCCTTAGCTTTCTCATGGGTAAAGGAGGATTGGACTAGGTCACCTCTAAGATCTATTCTGGGTTTTTTTAATTTTGTTTTTGTTTTTAAGACAGAGTCTCGCTATGTTGCCCAGGTTAGTCTCAAACTCCTGGTTGGTCAAGCGATCTTCCTGCCCCAGCCTCTCAAGTCGCTGAGACTACAGGCATGAGCCACTGTACTCAGCTCCTGTTAGATTTTTAAGCAGACCTATGAGTAAGTTAACACATCTGAGCCTCAGTCTCTTCATCTGTAAAATGGGAATAAAAATATCTACCTTGCAAAGTTATATGAACACTGTTGATATAAGTAAACCACCAGACACATATCTAGACAAATTTCAGTCCAAGCTATTTTTGCATATGAAAAATCTCAGAACTAAAATTTGACACTCAGTCATCCAAGATACCGTTTGAAGGATTATTGATAGGCTGGTTTTAACCAATTTCAGGCACTAATATTGTATTGAAAGCTTTGCATCCATAACAAATTTAACCTACAAATCGACGGTAACAAATTTAACATCCTCACTTTAAATTCTTTTTGTAAAGATACACTAGAAATTTGGCCTATTGATGGGAATGTTGTGGTTTCATTCATTTCCTTATATTACACAAAAGTTAGCAGCCTTGTCTTCAAATTCTTTTTGCTATTTATTAAGAGAAAAAAAAGAACTTTCATTAAAACTGAGCAATTGGCCTACAAAGGGAGGAGGATTACAAAATCCCCTTGACCCTCTCTCAGAAAGAGAACCAGGCCCACATTTGAGGAATGCCAAATGATTCTCATTAAAGTAATGAGCATATTTTCAATGACATATGTCTGACCGCCTTTAATTTAGTTGGCAGGACTTGCGGCAGCCAGAGACCCAAAAATAACACACAGCTGGCCATTCCTGCTCACACACCTAACAGACGTATTTCACACTGTTTCAGGGATGCCCCACCCTAGACAGATGGGGTTTAAGGTCATATGCAAATTGTTGTGACATTAAACATACATTCCTTGTGACCACACTAACAGGTTGAATTTAATACACTGAATTCCTCTAGCTCCTCCTTTATAAAATTCCCTCTAACTTCAACAGATTTAGTTGATTTCTGCTCCTGCCCTACCCGACAAGCTAAAGTTATTTTTAACTTACAACTACTGCTGATAAGTATTTTTCACCAAAAAAAAAAAACCCTTTCAGAAAGAGAAACTATGAAAAAACAAAATATCATTGCACTTCAGTGAGAAGTAGTCAGTCCCTCAGCCAAAGCTATAAACGAATGTCATTTTGGTTTAGAAGCAACAAAATGTTTTTTTCACAGTCCTTTCTACAAACAATTTCTGTAAACAGTCTTATGAGGAAGTGGACGGGCTAAATTTATGTTGTGTGTACCTTTGAAAATACAGTCTTCTAGCCAGGCACGGTGGCTCACCCCTGTAATCCCAGCATTTTGGGAGGCTGAGGCGGGTGGATCACGAGGTCAGGCATTCAAGACCAGCCTGGCCAAGATGGTGAAACCCCATCTCTACTAAAAATACAAAAAAAGGCCAGGTGCGGTGGCTCACGCCTGTAATCCCAGCACTTCAGGAGACCAAGGCGGGCGGATCACCTGAGGTCTGAGGTCAGAAGTTCGAGACCAGCCTGGCTAACATGGAGAAACCCCGTCTCTACTAAAAAAAGATAAAATAAAATACACAAATTAGCCAGGCATGGTGGCAGGTGCCTGTAATCCCAGCTACTCGGGAGGCTGAGGCAGGAGAATCGTTTGAACCCAGGAGGCAGAGGATGTAGTGAGCCGAGATCACGCCATCGCACTCCAGCCTGGGGGACAAGAGTGAGACTTCGTCTCAAAAAAATACAAAAAAATAGAAAAAAAATTAGCTGGGTGTGGTGGCAGGCACCTGTAATCCCAGCTACTCGGGAGGCTGAGGCAGAGAATTGCTTGGACTCCGGAGGCGGAAGTTGCAGTGAGCTGAGATCACACCACTGCACTCCAGCCTGGGCAACAGAGTGAGACTCCATCTCAGAAAAAAAAAAAGAAAAGAAAAGAAAAAGAAAATATAATCTTCCACATGTTCTACAGAATAAGGCCCATTTCCATAGTTCAAGTAAGATGCAAGGAATTATTTCATTATACTTGTACCCCAATAGACACATTTGTCCCACATCTGGAAATTTGCTGAGTGAGCTACGCTCCATGCCCTCAAAACTTACAGTTTGATGGGGAAGGTGGACATGGCTTAACCGAGTAAAAGATGGAGGTGTAAACTTTGCATAAAGATAATGACAATAAAGACCCATTGTCATTGGCACTGTTAGAAGTTCTTCATACATATTATCTCAATAAATCCTCAAAACACCCTTTGAGGTAGGTACTATCATTATTTCCATTTTACAAATAAAGGAAGTATGGTACAGAGATGTTAAGTAACTTGCCCAAGATCACACAGCTTTTTAGGTGGGGAATGTGATTTGAACCCAGTGAGTCTGGCTCTAGTCAGGGTTAGAGATAAGCCTGGGTACCAGTTGGAGTCCCACCACATTTGCTAGGTGATCTCACGCAGGCTATTCAACTTTTCTGAGCTGAAGTTTCCTCATCTATAAAATGGGAATAGCAATTCCTAGCCCACAGGTTTATGAGGAGTATGTAACAGGATTGTGTTTGTGAAGTGACTGGCACACTGTCCTCAGCATGGCAGGCATCTATCATCAATGGAATAGGACATTAAAACATATTTTTTCTAAGATACCACCTTTTGACTACCTTCCCCATCTGCCTCACTAACCCATAAAGCATCACTATTGGAGAATGCAGCTATACGAGGTAGGACTGGGGGCTGCCAACCCTCCCTTTGCTCCACCCTGCTATGTCCCTAGAAGTAATAAAATGTCAACAGGTAAAGACATGGGAATAACAGCCTTCCAGGTCAGTTCAACAACATTTGTTGATTTTTTTTTTTTTTTTTTTGAGAAGGAATCTCACTCTTATCACCCAGGCTGGAGTGCAGTGGCGCGATCTCAGCTCACTGCAACCTCCACCTCCCGGGTTCCAGCGATTCTCCTGCCCCAGCCTCCTGAGTAGTTGGGATTACAGGCACCCACCACCACGCCTGGCTAAATTTTATATTTTTAGTAGAGATGGCGTTTCACCATGTTGGCCAGGCTAGTCTCAAACTCCTGACCTCAGGTGATCCACCTGCCTCAGCCTCCCAAAGTGCTGAGATTACAGGTGTGAGCCACCGCGTTGGGCCCATTTGTTGATTTGTTGATGTAAATGTACCGTGTACCAAGAACCTTATTAGACACTGTGGCACTAAACTCCTAAGACACAGCCCTGCCATCAAGGAGCTCACAGTCCTAGACAGGAGAAGAAAACACAAAAAATCAAACACCCAGTATGTAATCTGGGTAATGTGTTATACAAAACAGTGCAGGAAAGGCAGTAGCTAAGTGTCTAAGCAATGAAACACACAGCCATGGTACATACATCATGTACACTGCACACACCATTAGGCTACATGGGGTCCTGACCAGTCTGTGCTGTGCCTTGTGAAATTCTCTGAGTATCTATCTGTCTCTATGTCTTCAGCCTGAAGCTATAACATTGATATTTTGCTTTTGGTGATTCTCAAATGCTCAGCTATGATAGGGCTTACAATCACAGAGTCTTTACAAAGTTCAAGCCCCCATCTGATTTGAAGGTAACTGTTCTGGACATAGCCTAGCAAGTTCTTTATCTTGAGGGGTCCAGCATTACAAAACTTCCCAGTAGAAACCATGTTTAAATAAGTGTCAGCTGAGCATGGTGGCTCATGCCTGTACTCCTAGTAGTTTGGGAGGCCAAGGCGGGAGGATCACTTGAGGCCAGAGTTTGAGACCAGCCCGAGCAACATAGCAAGACCCCATCTCTCCAAAAAAAAAATGTTTTAATCAACCAGGCATGGTGGTGCACGCCTGTTGTCTTAGCTGCTCAGGAGGCTGAGGCAGGAGAATCACTTGAGCTCAAGAGTTCAAGGCTGCAGTGAGCCATGATTGCACCGGTACACTCTAGCCTGGGTGATAGAGCAAGACTCTGTTTCAAAAAAAAAAAAGAAGTCTCAAATTAGATTTTTTTATGGTAAGAGAAATCTGAAATAGTCAATCACACTTCAGAAGAAGCCTGCATTAAGATATGATAGCAACAATTCTGTTTGTTTGTTTTAAGGAACAGAAAGCGGAAGGACTAGAGACAAACACTGAGGCTTCCTAAGATTAGTTATTAGACAAAAAGACAAGGACAAAAATAATTGTAATTTCCTATTTGTGCTTGAATTTTAGAAGTTAAAGAAACTTTCACCAACTTTGAGCCACTCAACCCTTTATAGTAGTCAGCTATCGACACAATAATGCTGTGTAACAGTAAATCACAAAAATCTCAGTGGCATCAACAAGACACATTTATTTCTTGCTAACACATCTGTGAGGTCAACGGGAGTGTCTGCTCCATGTGTCACATCCTGGGACACACGGATGTCACTCAAACCACTCCAGGAGCAGTGGCTACACAGGGTATGCTCTTTTCATGGAGCAGGTGAACACACAAAACATCAAGACCAACCAGGCAAGTACATACATCAGATCCTCTGCTCACATCACATCCATCAGCATCCCCTTGGCTAAAGCCAGTCATATGGCCAAGCCCATTGTCAAGAATTAGAAAAATACACATCACCAAAAAGTGTGGGCACATGACGCTACTGGAAAGGAGGGAAGAATGGGTACTAATAATTCAATCTACCACAGCTTTTAAACCATCCTGAAAGGTAGGCATTATTGGCTCCATTTTTTCTTGACAGTTAAGTAAATGGGGCCCTAAGAGTTTAAGTCATTCATCCAAGGGAGGACAGGTAGTATGCTGCTCCAGCAGAATTAGAATTCAAAACTTCTACCTTCTGGCCCTCTGTGGTCTCTACAGGTATGTAGCCAGCTTACTAATACATAACTAACCCACATTGTTCATAATCACATCCCAGGCGGGCATGGTGGCTCACGCCTGTAATCCCAACACTTTGGGAGGCCAAGGAAGGAGGATCACTTGAGCCCAGGAGTTTAAGACTAGCCTGGGCAAGATAGCAAAACCCTATCTCTACAAAAAATATAAAAAATTAGCCTGGTGCAGTGGTGAGTGCCTGTAGTCTCAGCTACTGGAGACTGGGGCCGAGGTGGGAGGATGGCTTGAGCTGGGGAGGCTGAGGCTACAGTGAGCCATGATCACTCACTCTAGCCTGAGTGACACAATGAGACCCTGTCTCAAAAATAATAATAATAATAATCACATCCCTTAATTATGCAGATACCAATTCCCTCCAACAGAGACCAGACCCAACACTGCCTCATTTGTTAGCACCATCACAGTGTTTAACATTTGTTTGGGACTTCTTCAATGTTTTTACAAGCTTTTTTTTTACTATTACTACACTAATAAATTATTTACGGTGGGAAATCTAAATCAGAAAGCTCTGGCTTCTTGAAAACAAACTTTATTAAAAACGTCTTCCCAGTCCAACATGTAGCCTCATAGGGCACACACAATTTCTTTGCCTGAGCCTTAAAGATTACACCGAGTCAGTGGACTAGATGATATTGATGGCTGCAGAGAAAGAAGAATGGAAGAATGAAGTTTGAAGCTAATGCTTGAGTATGGGATTTTTACTCTGCTGCTGCTGTCCTGTGCAAACTAATTGCCAAATAGACCAGGCTGTAAAGCATCATAACTAGAGGTGATGAAGGGCAAGAAGCCACCCTCATGCCAGCAGCCTCCCGTATCCATTCACTTATTCACACAAATAGTTGTTGAAGGCCTGCACTGGGCCTGGCAGGGTGCAGGGGCTGAAATGCCTCCGGAACAAGACAGACCAGCTCTCATGGAGTTCCCACTGCAGACAGGGGTAGATTGTTGTAACAACAGCAAAAAGTAAAAGCAAACAGGGTAGTTTCAGATTGTACTGTAGCATTGGCCCTGGGTACATCATTTAACCCGTCTCTTAGAGGGTTCGGGTAGGATAGGGGCGCTGTTCTTTTTCTCCACTCCCAACCTGCGGGAGCCAGATACCTCCCAGGGCTTCCTCTCCTTCCCCTCCTTTGCTGCCCCAGGGGCAGGTCTGAAGGAGGACTGGTTAGTGACAGCTAAGGGGCCCGGAGGGCTGGGAGGCTGTCCCTCCTCCCCGCTCCAACCCCCGCGCGCTAGGGCGGGGTTGGGGCAGTGAGCGAGGTCAGGAGGCTGCGCCCCCTACTCCCCGCCCGGCGGGCGCGGTGCCGGCCCCAGCTCTGCGGACGGCCCGGGAGGCTGATCTGGCTGCGGAGGTCGATCCTGATAGCTCGGGGGCAGGAGGGGGGCTGGCCCTGCTCCTCACGCCCACCCCGCAGGGACCCAGACGCCCCTCCGGCCCCCTCCCTGCACCCCGTCAGCCCGGGAGCTGCAGGAGACCGGGGCGCATCTTTCCAAGCGCCGGGCCTCGCTCTGGGACAACGGTGTCCTGGGGGCGGGGAGGGCGCGCGGAGGTGCCAGGGGCGGCGGGGTACCCGGCCCGGCAGCACCGCTTCAAGTTTCCACCGGCGCGGTTGTGCAACCGGGAGGGGAGCGTGAGCCGCAGGCGCCTCGGAAAACAAGCCGAGCCCATAAACAAAGCCACGTGGCCTCCGGGCCGGGGGGCCGGGCTAAGAGCGGGCGGCTCTTCCGGCAACAAAGAGCTGCGGCCGGCTGCGGGGATAAATACTGCGGCAGCTACTGCCGCGCAGCACTCCCGGAGCCTGCAACGCTTGAGATCCTCTCCGCGCCCGCCACCCCGCAGGGTGCCCCGCGCCGTTCCCGCCGCCCCGCCGCCCCCGTCGCGGGCCCCTGCACCCCGAGCATCCGCCCCGGGTGGCACGTCCCCGAGCCCACCAGGCCGGCCCCGTCTCCCCATCCGTCTAGTCCGCTCGCGGTGCCATGCCATTCCTCGGGCAGGACTGGCGGTCCCCCGGGCAGAACTGGGTGAAGACGGCCGACGGCTGGAAGCGCTTCCTGGATGAGAAGAGCGGCAGTTTCGTGAGCGACCTCAGCAGGTGAGGGGACCCGCTACCAACTTCCAGCCCCCGCGAAACTGACCCGGGCTGGTCTGGGGGGCGCAGGGACGGCGAATGAGGGGCAGGCAGGGCTGGAGCGGGCTGAGGAGGGAGACCCTGACCCGGAGGGTGGGACTACGGGGCCCGATTTCTGCAGAGGTCTTCGGACCACCGGAGACAGGGAATTCGGTTTCTCTTATTGTTCAAGGTCAGTGTCTCCAAGTGGACACGACTCCTTACAGAACACCTGGTCCCTCTGAGAGTCTGATGACATTCGCGGATCGTGTCCCCAAACGTTCGCTCAAACTTAATCACACAGCTTTAGTGGTCCCTGCTTTAAGGACACCGGAGTCGCGCACTTTGCCCATGTGGGGGCGCGGGCGGGTGGGCTGAGCCCCTTCACCGCGGGGTGGCCCGGCTCCCAGCGCCCAAGCGCTGTGGACGCGACAGGTGACGGGATCCGACGAAGGTCCCGCCTGGAGCGCTTCCAGGCCCTGCCCAGGCACGGGCAACCACGAAGTGGCCGGGAGGATGAGTAACCAGGAAGGGACGGCCAGATGGTCCCTGGGGCAGCCGCTTACTGGGCGGACTTGCGAGCGGTGGAGGCTTGGGGCTGCAGAGGTGCAAAGGAGGGAAGGGGGCAGGGGATGAATCCCACAAGAGCTCTGCTTCTGGGAGGACAGGGCTCTTGCACCTGTTTCCTCGGTGGCCCTCTCGGTCGGTCTGCTTTGTATAGAGTGCACTCCGTTTCCAGGGGTGCCTGTCAGCTGCGAAAAGCCTGCCTGGCCCCGGTGAGCCTCTGGATTCGAGGCCTCACCTGAGCTCTGTGGTCTGGCGGGAAACCTGAGGTCCGCTGCGCTCCCTGCTCAGCTTGGCTAACGATGCCAGCGCCGGCTAGTACGCAAGGTAGCCTGGAATTTCTCAGCCCCTGACCTCGACAGTTGACTTTCAGAGACTCTCAGCATTTAGCCCGGTGAGCGGGGGCGATGAAAGTGATTCCAGAATGGACTGGTGCAGCCAGAGTCACCCTTGGGAGCCTTTTCCTGCCACCTTTGGTTAAAACCATGGGCCCCTGCACCCTTAAATTGACTTCAATGGAGAATTCTGTTTCTGGGCCAGGTTCCCGCTTACTGAGATTTACCAGTCGTTGCTTGGATGAAGCATTGGCAATAAATTTTGAGAAAACTATCAAGAAAATGTGGTTATTTTGGCAACTTGAACTCCCGTGCCTCCCATTTGTTTGTGATTTGTAATGCATCAAATTCCCATTGTCTCACAATGTAAAGAAAGACATTATTTAATTCTGGGGGTCTGTCCGGAGAGACTTGAGCGTATTAACCACCAGCATATAACCATTTACGTTGGAGTTACTTGGAGGCTGTCCCAGGGGAGTTTAGGGACCACCATAAGGAAATCTTATTTACGTAAAATCAAGTAATTTATTTACGGGAAAGTAAGACCAACTGCTATTGACAGACTATGTCTTTTATCGACTGGAGTTACCAATTATGCCTAAATTATTCTCCCTCAACAAAATGGGAACCTTCCTTCCTTCCTCCTTGTTCCTAAGGACAATGATCTAATATGTTGGTACTTTATTTCTGTATACAAGTTCAGGTTCTTTCTAGAAAAGTGCCGAAAGGGTCTGAAGAGTCATGTTAGAGCTGCTCACCCAAATATAATTGCAGGATGCTCCTCAGTGGAGAACAGATGATTGAGTTCAGCAGAAGATTTAAAATGTAGGGTCGTATTAATACTTACCCTACTCGGGAGGCTGAGGTGGGAGGATGGCTTGTGCTCAGAAGTTCAAGGCTGCAGCGAGTCATGACTGTGCCACTGCGCTCCAGCCTGGGCCACAGAGCGAGACCCTGTCTCTAAAAATAAATAAAAATTTAAAATTTGTTTTAAAATACCCTATACCGGCATCAGGAGAGAAACTGGTGTCACTCTCCTTTAGAAATAGTGGTATCTCTGTCTTCACAGTATGGAAGACCTGAAGATGGTCTTAACTTACCACAAAAGTTTAGACTGGGCTGGAATCAGGTGGTTTCCTGCACAGCCCCCCTCCCGTGTCCTGTTCATGAGCCTCTTTTTCTTCCCATTTCACACCTGAGCTGGAGCTGTCACATCCATCATCATTACCGCAAATAGTCATTGATATACTGACCACCTGTGGTCCTTTGAGTCAGCGTTTAGGAATCATTTGGTAGCCTCCTAGCAAAGCAGCTGGCTGTTTGTTTGCAGGGTATTTTTTTTTCCAGCAACTGTAAACAATCCCTTCCCTGCTTAGCATGAGAAGCCTGCAACTTCTTAAAAGCAGTTGGCCTTCTGTGGTCTGGGTTTGTCATCTCAAATATCCTCACTGTTTTTGGTCTTGGTGATGTTTCCCCGTGATGTCAGGTTTGGACTGCGTGCCTGCCTGCACAGGTGAAGCTGAATGCCTCTCCTGTTATGAGAAAACAAAAGGCAGGCCCTTAAGCGGGGAGGGACCGTGAAACAGAGAACTACAGAGACATGGTAGACTGACTTCTCTAATTCCACAGACCATTCTGCAAACGGCCCAAACAAGAGCCCGGGATGAAGGATGCATTTGGTGGTTTTCAGCCTGGGGTTATTGTTTCGTGTTGACCAAGTCTTGTCCACACAGCACACCTATTCTGGACTCAGCTGGCCATCTTCTCTGTGGTCTAGGACTCCAACCTTCTCCAGTGTAGAATGTTACAAATCCAGTCCCAGCCATGTGTCCAGGAGTGAGATCATGGGAGGATTTAAGATAAGCTTAAAGCAGGACCCCTTCTCAAAAATGTTGAAATTATATAAAATAGAAGGGGAATGGCAAGTGTTAAATATGCTGGGGCAGATTTAAAATGCAAGGAAAGAGCTTGGCGTGAATTGGGATGATCCAAGAATGCTTCAAGGAAGTGGTGGTTCAGGCACCCGCACAGCCTTCCTCAGCAACCACCCCCTCACCGCCCACCCCCAGGATGAGTAACCTAAGCTGTCTGAGCCTCTGCCACTCTTTTCTAAGCCTACACTTCTGTCATTGAAGACTGACTCAAATGTTACTTTACTGTATGGCTGAGGCTGGACCCGGAAGCAGGAAGTTTACCTTGGTGACTGGATAAAAATAATAGTTAAGATTTTATGAGTGCTTACTGTGTGCAAGGCACTGTTCTATGAGCGTTATACACTAGGCTGTTTGTTTCACCAGAGCATTCCGGGTGCTAGCCTTGTGAGTGTGGCGATCTAGAAATGCGTCAGTAAATTGGTGTAGAAATCTCTACTGGCTTTAATCAGGCTATATAACTACAATTAAACCTCTGGGGGCACGTCACAGCTTTCTTAAATGGTTTTTATTGCAAATGAAATGAGAAATAGGGCTTTATTTTTTTTTTCATTCCCTTCTTTATCTGCTGCCAAAACAGACTTATTTATGGTCTGATTTTGAATTTTTTCTACATTTTTAAAAAGTTGCCTTAAAGTATCTTGGTATGTGGTAATGTGGGGCTGTGCAGTGGATCTTTTTCTTATTCTAGGCCTGTGCCTATAAAAATCAAGATTAGTAAATAGTGACTACAAAATAGCGACTTGCTGGCTATTATTGAATTTAGTGAAGAAAGCAGCCTCGTTGAGATGGTTTTGCTTATTAAAAAAAAAAAAATCCTGTGCTCCAATTCCTAAATGGTGGTGGTTTTTCTTGTTAAAAATTTCAGTTGTAATTTTCCATTGGCTTTGCATTTTCTTGAAAAGGACACGATTGAACTCTCAAAATAGCCTCTAACTGAATATATTATTGCTTAAAAGAAAACTTATAAGTAGGCAACACAAATAAACCCCATAGCCCTTCTTTCCAGGCCCTTCCTCCGGAATCTAAAACCTAATACCAAGTGAAAATATAGGGTTTCTCTTTGGTTAAAACTTTTCTACATTCTACGGTGAGAGAACATCATCAATTATGTAAAATTCTTTCTAAACTAGCTTTTGAAATGAGTCACTCAGGCTTAAAGCAGGTTATTGTAGCTTCTGAGGAAAGTGAGTGCTCCAATTCCTTTAAAGAACGTTTTCAATTGGAAAAGAGTAAGATGAAATCTAAATATTTGAACTTGCTAAGTAATGATCACAATCTATGGCCCAGGCTCAGAAAATCTGCTACTGAACCTTAAATGTTGAGAATAAGACAACCTCATTTTATGATTCTCTACATGTGGAATTTATACTGTAGGTTTTTGTTGTTTGTGGGGGTTGTGTGTGTTCTTTCTAAGTAAGCCTTCATGTGGTATTTTTGCACACAAAATGTTCTAGCTTTGCTTTCTAAAGCTGTTCTCAGCTGTGGTACATCATGGACCACTCAAATGACCTTCCATCGTTTGCTGTTTTTCTCAACGTTGATTGAAATGTCTTAAGTTAGCCTCAGGAATTCAGTTCTGTTCTTTGTTCTGTCCCTCTTTTCCTTCTGACCTTGGAGCAGATAATCAGCTGGTCAGTGATTCTGTACCCCTATAGTCATGCAAATAGACAGAAACACACTCATGTGTTGTACAAAGCCTGGCCCAAAATACTCATCCTTGGCTTGCTTTTGAAGGTGCCTCTGAGAGGACATTTCTGCAGGACTCTATCTGAAACCTAAAAATATCCTGTTTCCCTGAATGAAAAGGAGAAAGCTATTGAGTTTAGTAGGAAACTCAATAAATGGTATTAAGCACGGCCTTATGAAGGAAGATTAACAAATGATTATTTATCATGTTTGTCCTTAAGGGTCCAGAAAAGCAACACTGAGTATATTGTTGGAGATGTCACATGTAAGCATATTAGCAAGATACTTATACTAACCGAAGTGCTACTTGAGAGACTATTGTATTAATAACAAAAAGATACTAGAAGTTGCTTCAAATCTTTTCTCTTCTACCATTTACACAATGCCAAGGAAATAGAGAAGTGCAGATGTACATAATTGTACCCAACAGATGTATATCTGAAAAAGATGTAAATCAAGTTACATTTTAAATTCAGCAGAGAAACTCAGAACATTAAAGGAGTATAAAATATCGGTGGTATAGCAAAAAAAAAAAAACCCCTAATTTATGTTTTACCAGTTGGCATTATAAATCCTGTTTTACATACTTTGTGGGGGTTGAGGGAGTTAGGGAACCTATCTTATCATACCTCAGTATTTCTCCTGCATTCCTTCTGTGGAAATTATTCAGAGATTTACTTTGAAGTTACATTGTATAGTAGAATAGTTCATTACCCCTCAAATGATTGCTCAGCCCACTGAGGCAAATAAGCGTCTGGCCCGAGATGAGCCTGCCCATCCTTCAGTGACCTGTGAATTAGGCAGGTACATCCAATGTCTGTTCAGCCCTTATAAATTTATCAATTATAAGTTTACCTTGTATAGTCAAGACCCAAGGTCTTCACCTCACAGCATGATGCCTAGTGTGTTTTAGTCAAGGCACTACATAAAACCTAAGCAACTGGCACTACACCCAAAGCATCTCCTAGAAATGGAGTTTATAAGTCAGATTTTTGTAAACGTGATTGTGTTTTAAAGACATGTTAGAAGGATGCTACTTAAAAGCAGCTTAAGTATACTTTAAATGGATGAATTGTATGGTATGTGAAGTTTATCTCAATGAAACTTTTTTTTTTTCTAAAGAAGCAGCAGCAGCTTGGGGTAGATACTTTTGCAAAATGAAGGCATTGTGTAGTACAGCGATACCAGTAATCACCCCTCCCCCCATTCGTCATTTTTGTTTAAAGTAATATGGTAATACTCTGCATTGCTCTTAGTTGAAGAGTACAGTGCTGTGTGTCAAATTACAATGCAAGGCACTGTTAGGGAATTCAAAAGAAGTAGAAGCTCCCATCCCTGCCTTCCCCACAGATGTGAACATGTTTCATCCTAAAGGAGAAGCCTGTGACTGTATAGACTCTTTTTTCTTTGAGTGATCATTTTATTGTTTTATTTTGTTTGAGAAGCCTGTATGTTTGTTTGTCTTATAACTCAGTGAGTTATTTATAGAAACAGCTCAGGTTCATGTATAGCTGTTACAGCTCATCCTCTTTGTCTTCTGTTATTCATAGTTACTGCAACAAGGAGGTATACAATAAGGAGAATCTTTTCAACAGCCTGAACTATGATGTTGCAGCCAAGAAGAGAAAGAAGGACATGCTGAATAGCAAAACCAAAACTCAGTGTAAGCCATTTGTTTTGAACTTCAGAAAAAAGCTGTTTGAAGATAGTTATGATTGGTTCTTGGATGAAAAAAAATAACACCTCCCATGTCACACATCTGCCTCAGTGTTTTACTGTGTGTCACTGACAGAGGTTACTGAGATCTCAGCACTCAGAAACCTGGCTGTGCATTTTACAAGCAAGATTAACATGTTCTTTATAGTCTTGTTTGTAAGTCAGTTGCTAGTTGAGGGCCTTTTTTTCCTGCTAGTCATTCGTATTTGACATAGGTTATTTTACAGTGATGTGGTCAGCTGAATCAGTTCCAGTATGTACTTTTATTTTGAACTGTTTTGAGGCTTTGAAAACAGATTTTTCTCCCTCTTTCCTTGTATAAATCTTATTAACATTTCTAGATACTATATATAAGTATCAGCAGAGAATATAAAGTGGTATTAATAGCAGGAATTACAGGTTATTTTATCTGTAATGCATGTTTTCCTCATGTTATCTGTTTGATTTTCATGGACTTATGTAAGTTTCAGGTTTGGCATTTAAAATAAACTTGTACTTGAGTATTAGGGGTGTTTTTTTTTTTTTTGGTGTTTTTTGTTTGTTTGTTTTTGTTTTTTGAGACAGAGTCTTGCTCTCTCACCCAGGCTGGAGTCAGTGGCATGATCTTAGCTCACTGCAACCTCCGCCTCTTGGGTTTAAGTGATTCTCGTGCCTCAGCCTCCTGAGTAGCTGGGATTACAAGCACCTGCCACCATACCCGGCTAATTTTTGTGTTTTTAGTAGAGACAGGGTTTCGCCATGTTGCCCAGGCTGGTCTCAAACTCCAGGGCTCAAGCGATCTACCCCGCTCTGTTCACAGCATGTAACTCAGTCTGTCAAAGCCTAATTTCATTTTTGCGGGGGGACGGAGTCTCGCTCTGTCGCCCAGGCTGGAGTGCAGTGGCACAATCTTGGCTCACTGCAACCTCTGCCTCCCGGGTTCAAGTGATTCTCCTACCTCAGCCTCCCAAGTAGCTGGGATTACAGGTGCCTGCCACCACGCCTGGCTAATTTTTGAATTTTTAGAAGAGACGGGGTTTCACCATGTTGGCCAGGCTGGTCTCGAACTCCTGACCTCTAGTGATCCGCCTGCCTCAACCTCCCACAGTGCTGGGATTTCAGGCATGAGCCACTGCATCTGGCCTGTAATTTCTTATGGCATAATGCTTTAGAAAAAAAAATATAGTAGTTTGGAGCTTTGGTATATGAAATCTGGCTCTCAAAGATTTAGAGTGCTTCAGACAAAGCAACTTATAGCCCCAGTATTTCTACACTGCAGAAATTAAGCACTTGAAACTTCTTCAGTTGTCAGTAGACTCCTTATCTTTTTTGTCAAAACTTTTAAAACTTTGGAATAAATGAAATGAAATGTCTTAAATCTTGAGCATGTTGCAGATGTTAAAGCTGTGTATTCTTTTTGTCTCTGTAGATTTCCACCAAGAAAAATGGATCTATGTTCACAAAGGAAGTACTAAAGAGGTGAGCATCCCATTCATTTACTAAGTTATACTGAACCTTATCCCTTCCTGATAGCGCAGGGAGGGATATGGTAGGGAGGGAAATTACTTCGGATCATGAGAGTCTTCTTGGATGTGGGAGATGGCAGCTATTAGTCTATTATTTAGCCAACCATCAGAGTTTAGAACAGAGAGAGAAAGAAGCAAAAGTCACTAGGTGGACCCTCTAGTCGTTCAATGAGATTATGTATGTAAAAGTGCTTTATAAAGATTGACATGCCCATCTCAACCATATTATTATATTGCCCTGGGTTTTGCCTCAGGGCAAGGTCTCCCTTTTGTTCTAAGATCTCTTTGGACTTCAACTCAGTTAAATTTCAGTCCTGGAAGCGCTAATCACTAAATATAGTAGAAGTTTTCAGTGCCTGCTCAGTGTGATGTGGGAGGGGACAAGACATTGTAATAACTACATTTGTATGGTACTTTATAAAGCCCTTTTATGTATATTTTCTCTCTGCACAGGCATTTGCTAAAATAACTAGGATACAGGCAATATGAAAGAATTTCTATGACCGTCAGGGACCTCAGTGAACATCTAGTCCCCTCTGTGATTTGAGGTCCAGAGGGGGGTCACTGATATTCCCAAGACCACCCAGATACTCAGAGCAGAGCTGGGACTTTATACTCCCAATTCCCTCTGTGTTCATAGGTTAAAAGATCAAAACTTTTGCTTCCTCCCAAAACCTTATAAACACTTCTGATGATCACAGTGAGAAAAGCACTATTGGTATAAGGCAAGGTGGTGACACAGTTGGTGCAGGTAGGTCTAATTCTCCTCCCAGGAGTACGTTACAGTCACCAACCATCATGGCCTCCCATGTCCCGTACCCTGCTCCCAGTCTTTCCTTAATAAGCAATTACTTATGATTTTTCCAGACTAATATGTGGAAAAATTATAAGCAAGGTCCCAAATGGTACAAGTCACGAAAAGGGGGTGTTTGACATGTGAGGGGCTGACTGAGGCAGCTGCTGGCTGTGTTACCCATCTTGGTGGCTCTCAAGGGCTTGTGGGTACAGGAAAGAAGCCAGTGCCCCAGGTCACCTAAGACAGGCATCAAGCTCATTCGGCAAAATCCAGTTGGGTTGTTCTAACTGGCTCATTCTTACTTGGGTGACCTCTGCATGGCAGGAGTAACTTCTGTGCCTTTGTTTTCATGTTCAGCGCCATGGATATTGCACCCTGGGGGAAGCTTTCAACAGACTGGACTTCTCAACTGCCATTCTGGATTCCAGAAGATTTAACTACGTGGTCCGGGTAAGTCTCAAGTGCCTAAAGGCTCATCCAGGCTCTTTCCCAAGTTGAATCATCTCTTTGGGTTGTCTTGAAGTAGTTTCCCCAAAAAATTACTTTTTAGGACCCTAAGAATTTTGAGGCAAGCAGAAAACAGACCCCTCAATCTCCTTCTTCCCCAACGTACTTCAAGTTCTTAAGTGAGTCCTACTAGGATGTCCCTGAGATTGGCCAGGATGGGCAGGGGCCGCCATAATACCCCAGTGAGTCGGTTAAAGAGCCATTCTCTTCAAGTGAAATTTCACACCAGGCCCCTTCCGAGCCCACCCTGTGGATACGTGGGAACATGTCACAGGCAACGCTGGCCCTGGCAACAGCCTTAGCAAGAGAGAATTCAGCAGGAAGCAAGCCCTAAAGCACTTTGGACTGTTTCAAAACCCTGTATCTCTGACTGTTCTCACTGTCTCCCTCTTGTCCTACTTCAGCTGACTCTGGGGGACCCCCAAGGCATTCTCAGATGAGGCCACAAAACTGGATGAATTAAAGCACCTCCGTGTTTTGTGCCTGTGGTTCCCTTCCACCCCCATGTGATAACAGTATTCAGTCCCATGTCCACCTAAAGCTTAAAACTGCCTGTTTTGGCCGGGTGCGGTGGCTCACACCTGTAATCCCAGCACTTTGGGAGGCCAAAGCGGGCGGATCACCTGAGGTCAGGAGTTTGAGACCAGCCTGGACAACATGATGAAATCCTGTCTCTACTAAAAATACAAGAAAATTAGCCAGGCGTGGTGGCGGGTGCCTGTAATCCCAGCTACTTGGGAGGCTGAGGCAGGAGAATCGCTTGAACCCGGGAGGCAGACATTGCAGTGAGCTGAGATTGCGCCATTGCACTCCAGCCTGGGCAACAGGAGTGAGACTCCATGTAAAAAAAAAAAAAAAAAAAAAAAAATCTGACTGGATCTGTTGCTTTCCATTTTAAACCGTATTTTGAGAAAAAAAAAAAAAGGCTGGGTGCATTGGCTCACGCCTGTAATCCCAGCACTTTGGGAGGCTAAGACAAGCAGATCATGAGGTCAGGAGTTCGAGCCCAGCCTGGCCAACATAGTGAAACCCCGTCTCTACTAAAAATACAAAAAAAAATTATCCAGGTGTGGTGGTGGGCGCCTGTAATCCCAGCTACTCGGGAGGCTGAGGCAGGAGAATCGCTTGAATCCAGGAGGCGGAGGTTGCAGTGAGCGAGATGGCGCCATTGCACTCCAGCCTGGGCGACAGTGCGAGACTCTGTCTCAAAAAAGAAAAAGTTAATGAGCAAAATATTAATGATGAAGGTAGTAAAGCAAATCAGCTTAACCATGACTGTCACATTATTATTTCTAATTGGTTTATTATTTTGTTCTCCCTGCCTGCCCTCCAAAGCTCCCTTGTGTATTTTTGTCAGCAGTCAACCTGGGAGGTAGCAGCTGTTTGGGTTTTAGGCTTAGAAGTAGGAGGGAATTTTCCCCCTGTGGGTGTGGTTGGTTTGGTTTTTATTTTCTTTTTCCTGGGTTGTTGTGCTTCTCGGTGCCATGTCACTGAGTCAGATGATTGCAGAGGCTCAGCCAGGGTGATGACATTCAAGGCCCCTTGAGGCCTGGATCCTTCACCTGTCATCTGGGCAGATGCAGGCTTGGCTGTCCAAAGTGACCTGATAAAAACGCAGGCCTGCAAGAAGCAGGTTAGGAGCTGTGAGCTGAGCCTGTGACCACATGAGCAGATCTATTCACTCTTCGGCTAAGCTCTTCTTCCAATCCAAAAGGGATAAAAATAAGAGACCTTCTTGGGTGAAATGTTCATGCCATTCAGTGTGACTCTGCAAGTTCACGGAGGTCACCTAGTCCTCCTAGGGCCCACAGACTAGTCTAGGCTGGTTGGAAATGGGCCCAGGATGATCTGGAAACTTCCATTGCTAAGAATCCAAATAGTTTCCATCTTCTAGGTATTAGAGGAAGACACTTAGATCTGATGTCTTATTACAAACTGATCTTCAAAATGGTCAGTTTTTAGATGGTCTTCCTTTCTACCTGCTTTTCCTTTTACAAGAAATAAAGCAAGGAACAAGCATCATGATAGTGAAAATCTATTTCATCAATATGTTCATTTTCACCTTTTATCTTTTCAATAACCCTTTAAAATATGGGTGCTTTTATTATCTCTCTTTAAACAAATGGCAGTACAGTAAGATAAAATGACTTGTCCATGATCACAGAGGGATGAAATCAAGACTTGAAATCTGGGCAGTCAGAGTCTACACTTTTAACTGCTACCATGAGTTATCTGTGAGCAGAGGAGCTGAAGTAAAATAGCCTGAGGGCAGGTCCTAGCTCCACTGATTTCAAACTGTCTCAACCTCCCTAAGACATGGTTTCCTCCTCTGTAAGAATGACTTACCTCAACTTCCCGGGGTAGCTGGGGAAACTCAGTGATATAAACAGAAGTACTTTGGACACTAGAATCTATCTGCTGTGCAAAGTCAGCCGCTAATGTTTACTGTTACCCACTTACCAAAATTATTGATTTCCCCCTAAAACGCTTTTCAGTTGAGTTGATTAAAATGTTTTCTACTTTTAAAAAACTAATTGGTGAATCTGGCAATTGCTTAAGACTCAGCACAGAGAACACGTATCTAAGAGTATCTAATTGTAAAATACATCATGAGCGCTTTGCTTTAAATAATCTTAGAGAAACTGCTGAATGCTTTCAAAGTTGTTAGGTTCAGAAATAGTGGAAAAATATTTCTATTTTGCAAAGAACAATTTTTCCCCATCACTATTAGAGACCTCTGTAATTTGAGGAATAATATGTTATTTTTATGAAGAACTTAAAACATTTTAATGATAGCCACTGTGTTTTGAGGTTTTCCTTCTTAGGAACTCAGTATACTTCTCATACATTCTTATCCTTAAACCAACTCTGCAAAGTAGCTTGCCAGTATATTATCCCCATCGTACTACTTTGACCTAATGTTGTTTAAATGCTACAATGATTACTGGTTTTGCTAAGGAGCTAAACTGATTTTAAGGGCCATTTGGGAAAAAAACAAAAACAAAAAAAACATTCAAAGCCTTGAGAGCCAAATACATTTTCTGAAAATCTGTTATGTTCATGCTGGTTGTCATCTTCCAAAAAAGAGACATGCAGAGGTAATAAAAGAGATGGCTAACACTGCTATCTCAAAATATTATCATTTTTATCACTCAGCATGAAAATTTCACGAATGTTTAGAGTCAGAAAATTTTTTACTATAACTTAGAAAGATGTTTATATAACATTTCTACATCATTTTCACTGGCTACAAGCTACATGCATTGGCCCTGCTCCCTCCCCTACACAGCCCCAATGACATAAAGACAGTTCTAGCTATGTGTTTGAAAGATTTCACATCTCTAGAAACAGCAACTTACCTACTTGTGGAAGGACATTTAAAACATAGTTTACCCTATACCTCAAGACCAACACATTTTGGAAATTCCCTTGAGGAACTGGAAGGATTCCAGAGGCCAAGCCAGTCAGACTGGAAGTTTGTAACCATGAGTAGGTGAGTGCTGACTAACCAGGCCACAGAGAGGTCAGAGGATCGAGTGAGTCTTGGGCATCAAGTCAACCAGGAGAAGGTTTCGGAGACCATCACCCATGTAATGGCTCTGCAGTGAGCCTGCTGTGACCCCAGTGGTTCTCAGTCCTGGCTGCACATTCAAATCACCTTCGAAGCTTGTTAGACTACAGAAGCCCACCTCTGGAGCTTCCGATTTAATTAGTTGAAGGTGGTACCCAGGCATTGCTACTTTTAAAATATCTGCCTGGTGATCCCAATCAGTTTTCAAGTTTACAGACCAGCTCAGAAACTGCTTTGGAGCCCAGATATTATGTTTTGCATATTAATGAGAATTTTTAAACAAAGTGCACTGAGACATTAAACTCTAGATACGACTTCTGGGGCGTGTACTGTGGTCCATCAGGAATTTAGTGATGGAAAGAGGACAGCCCCTCCTATATTCCAGCTCAAAGTTCGAAGCTTCTTTTTTTGTAGTACTTTCTGCAAATCAATCATTTTACTTCTCTAAACTGTAAATCTAGGATAACCATACCTGTATTGAAGCATTTTTATGAGAATGAAAAAATAAAATGTAAAAATAAAGGCAGTGGGTGTGAAAGTGTTATATAAATTTCAAAATGCAATGTAACTTACTTTTCAGAAAGTTAAGTAGGATTTTAGCATATCCAACCATCTTTCCAGGGTGATTAAAACTTGAAGACTGAATTCATGGGCCAGATACAGTTGGGGACAGAGATTAGCCTATTTGCAATGGAACTTTTGAGGTCCTTAGAATGGTCGTACATTTTTAAAATCTTTATATTCTCCCCAGTGAGGCTCAGTGACAGAAAACACCAACATTTACCCAAACAACTGCCCCGTTCCCCTGGTCCTTAGTGAGTCCCTTGAGAAACTGCATTATTGGGATAAGATGGAATTAAGATAAAAACTGAGCAGTACCAATAAAAAATATGACTTTAAAAGGGCATGAAAGCAACCGTTATTTAGTATCTGTTATTGCTGAGTACAATGTAATATAGAACTTGAACTTGAATTCAAACTTACACTCCTCCAAAACCTGTATTATTTTCTCCAGGCCCTGCCACTAGCCAGTGAGGGAAATAGATGAAATAGATCTGACTCTACCTTGAAGGTCTGCAGCAGGGGTCAGCAAACTTCTAGCCCTCAGGTCAATAGCCTGCCGCCTGTTTTTGTATGGCCCATGAGCTAAGAATGATTTGTACGTTTTTCAATGTTTTAAAAAATTGAAAGGAGTATAATGTTTCATAACACATGGAAATTATGTGCAGCTCAAATTTCAGTATCCATAAATAAAGTTTTATTGGAACACAGCTACGCTCACTCATTAGATATTGTCTATGGCTGTTTTTGTGCAAAATGGCAGAGTTGGGTTCAGAGTTAGCAACAGAGAGCTTGTAGCCTGCAAGCCTAGAGTATTTACTATCTGGATTTCTACAGAAAAAAAAAAATTATTGCCCCCTGCCATACAGTCTGACTGATAGCCTGAGAAGTATGCATTAAAAGAAGTTACCTACCCTGACACCATGAGAATGAATTTGAAAAGAACCAAGATGTGGTAGAGGCAGATAGGCTATGAAGTTTCAGAAGGGTAGCATCACTGTGGGCAGGATATTCAAGAAAGACTTCAAGGAAAATGTGGGGTTTGAACTGGTCTTGAGTAGGAGTAGAACTTAGGGGAACTGGTTTGAGGTAGGCAGCTGTAAGGTCTGTTCAGAGATCAGTGAGCAGAACATTCAAGTATGGACAGAAGTAGCACAGTGTGCTTTAGAATATAGGATCATGGGCTGGGTGTGGTGGCTCACGTCTGTAATCCCAGCACTTTGGGAGGCTGAGGCAGGCAGCTCACTTGAGGTCAGGAGCTCAAGACCAGCCTGTCCAACATGGTAAAACCCCATCTCTACTTAAAATACAAAAATTAGCCAGGTGTGGTGGCACACACCTGTTAATCCCAGCTACTCGGGACGCTGAGGCAGGAGAATCACTTGAACCCGGGAGGCAAAGGTTGCAGTGAGCCAAGATCGCGCCACTGCACTCCAGCCTGGGTGACAGAGGCTGTTGTTTTAGAAACTCTGTCTCAAAAAAAAAAAAAGATCATCGAAGGGTGTTGCCACAAGCTGGTTATTATGATCTTGGTCAGGCCTCACTCGCCCATCTGTAAAATGGAAATGATGACAATAGCACCCTGCTCCTAGGTAAGATGAGGACTAAATGAGATAAGCAGTTTATGAGTGTTAGTCATGTGTAGTAAGAAGTTTATAAACACTAGGGATGATTGTTCATTTAAATATGGCTAGAAAAGGACATTGGACAGACTTGAGAAGAGGCTTTGAGTGTGAGGCTATATTATCTAGTACGCAGGAGGAAGCCACTGGAAAAAAAACAAGAAACAGCACCTTGGCCAAGCAGTGTTTCAGAAAGTCATGACTTCTAACAGGCTCTGGCATCCCCAGATGCCATCAACCAGCAAATTATAAATCTGTTACTTTGTGGTTTACGAATTCCATCTTTGTATATCTACGTCTTTGATAAGCACAGTCAAGCTGTACAGTAGGCAGATGTTGTTAACCCATTTTAGAGGTGAGGAAGCAGAGGCCAGGGAACTGGGTGATTTGCACAAAGTTGCCTGCCCAGGAAGGGACGTGGAATAAAGGCAGGACCTAAGCCTGGTTCTCCGACTCCTGCTCCAGTGTTCTCTCCTTTCGACTGCATTGCTTAGAGGGCAAAATGCAAAATGGAGCCTGCCTTTTATCACCACTAAAATATTTGCACACATGCACACAGGCTATATCGCAGGAGAGGTTCTTAATGCCAGAATGACCTTTGATCTGATTACTCCTAGCTCTCTCTGTAGAATGAGAATAAGCCCAAGTCTACAGTAACTGTAGCTACCATTAACAGCCCAGAAAGGTCACGGAGAACTTGAGTACCAATTTTCTCACTGGAGTAAACTGACCCGTATGTGCTAGTGGATCAAGAAGAACAAATAAAAGCTTGCAACCCCAGTTTCTTTGTCCCTCTGCAGCAGAGCATCACAACCTAAACTGATGCACATTCTTATTTTTTTCTGCGTTACCACCCTAAGTGCATTTGAATGTTTCCAGCAAGTTACTGCATTCCTACCACCCCTGAAAGCATTTTCCAAAAACATGTTTTAGTTTAAGTTGACTGGTGGTTTGGCAAACAAAAGGCTGGAATATGGCACGATGACTCAAATTTAAATTCAATGCCTTAAATTAAGGGCATGCTGTTGCCAAGCCCCTGCTGGGCCTTGATGTGCATCAGCATCCTGGCCCCTTCACACAGGTTCCTCTGCCACAGTGACCTTGGATTCACTTAAGGCTGTACATGCAGTGGCCTTCCTCTGATGGAGGGTGGCCTCGGCCACCTGGGCTTTAAACTGGTGCTATCTGGGATGGAGAAAAGGCCAACCACTGCAGCAGCAATAAAGCCAAAAGAGCAGAGCCACGGGCCCATTTGAAAATGATGCACAGAGCCGGGCGTGGTGGCTCACACCTGTAATCCGAGCACTCTGGGAGGCCACGGCAGGCGGATCGCCTGAGGTCAGGAGTTCGAGAACAGCCTGGTCAAGATGGTGAAACCCCGTCTCTACTAAAAATACAAAAATTAGCTGGGTTGATGGCACACTGCTATAGTCCCAGCTACTCTGGAGGCTGAGGCATGAGAATCACTTGAACCCGGGAGCCAAGATCGTGCCACCATCCTGCAACCTGGGTAACAGAGGGAGACTCTGTCTCAAAAAAAGATAAAAAGAAAAAGGAAAAGAAATGATGCACAGAAGTGATTGTGACCCCACCCTTCTGAAACTTCATAGCCAACTGCCTCTACCACATCTTGGTACTGGGGTCATTAACTTTGAGGGTACAGGGTGGGCCCTTCAATGGCTGGTTAAACTGTTAGTGATTTCACAGGAGGAAATCTGTATCTCTTGGAATTTCTGGCCTTGTTAGTCATTATTATTAGCATTCAGACAGGCAGATCCTGCGGTGTCTAGGTGCCCACGGAAGTGGGGGACACTCACAGACGGGGGGACATGGCCACAGAATTGGAGGGGGCTGTGCAGAAAAAGGAGGCCACCTGAAAAAGTGGGAGATGCCCACACCACCCTAGATGTAGTAGGGTATTTGAAGAAGTAGGAGGGTACCCACAGAAATTAGGGTTCCCATGGAAATGGGGGAAGACTAAGACTAGAGCATAGACTCCTAATAGTATAAAATAACTTAAGCATGCACTCTCAATTTATGCATATTCATAAATTCACTTATAACTCATATACCTCTAAAAGATGCCAGTAATGATGTCTACCCTGCAGTGTTGCTGTGAGAATGAAATTGAATTTCAACCTGGTAAATGCTGTAGAACCGCGCCTGGTATGTGGTAACATTCAAGGAGTGTAATGGTTGTTGCTGTTACTGTCATCATCAACTTTAGGGACCTTATTGTGGACATTAGAAAATACACAAAATCAGAGATTAAAGATGATATAAAATACTGAGATTTCTGTTTTATTATTTTTCTACCTGATTTTCTTTCCAGTACCACTTCAGAGACTGCTGGATCAAAAGTGTGCCCATTTTGTATAATTTTTTTTTCTTAATGACTCAGGATCTAAACCTATACCACCAGCATCCCAGCAGTGTTTTCTTTCTTTTTTTTGTTTGTTTGTTGTTGTTGTTGTTGTTGTTGTTGTTTGTTTTGTTTTGAGACGGAGTCTCACCCTGTCACCAGGCTGGAGTGCAGTGCCGCGATCTTGGCTCACTGCAACCTCTGCCTCCTGGGTTCAAGCGATTCTCCTGCCTCAGCCTCCTGAGTAGCTGGGATTACAGGTGCCCGCCACCATGCCCGGCTAATTTATGTATTTTTAGTAGAGACAGGGTTTCACCATATTGGCCAGGATGGTCTCTATCTCTTGACCTTGTAATCCACCTGTCTTGGCCTCCGAAAGTGCTGAGATTACAGGCATGAGCCACCGCACCTGGTCAATGTTTTCTATTAAAATTCTACCTAAGCATCTAGGCTCTGTTGGGGGCTTATCATAACTTAGGATGTGCCAAATTGGGCAGGTGAGCTGGGTTTTCAGTGCCAGTCCCACAGACCTTTTCTCATCCAAGGAGGGATGCTCCCAAGAGTATTTATACTGTGCTCTGAGTATCTGGGACCCAGAATCTGAAGGCCTCATGAGTCCACTACAGGAAGAGGTCTCTGATGGCAAGGAGCGGTAATTGATGGCATCCTCCTTCTAGGTCTCCACATGCGGCAAATTGCTTTAAATGAATGCTTTTGAGCCCCTGAACGGGTATTTCTATTTTGGGCCCAAGCACCTAGTGTTGCCATAGCCACTTGAGAATCGTGTCAGACCTAGCCCCTGCTTGTCAGGTACTTCTGGGCTACTCTGGGGGACAAAGTATAACTATTCAAATGGCAAGTTGAATTAGTACAGTCTAGGAGCCTTGGAGATGGCTTCTTGAAAGAGGTAGAACCTGAAATTCTCCTTCCTTGAGGGACGGCCAGGATTTGGCCAGATGGAAAGGCAAGTGGAAGGCTTTGCAGGGACAAGCAATGTAAGCAGAACCTAGAAATGGGAAGGAACAAAAGTGAAGGGGAATGATTGTGGGTCAGGGGCCAATGGCGATGTGACATTCAGCCTATAGAACCATAGGGCAGAGGTGACAGTTGCTGGAATAGATGGGAGCTCAGTTTAAGGAAGATCGCCAAGCCAGACATCGCTGTTAGATGGATGTAATGGGGAATAAACTGCCATTGTCAACTCAAAAGTAACCAGGGCCAGGTGTGGGGGCTCACACCTGTAATCCCAATACTTTGGGAGGCCGAGGCAGGTGGATTACTTGAGGTGAGGAGTTTGAGACCAGCCTAGCCAACATGGTGAAACACCGTCTCTCTTAAAAATACAAAAATCAGCCGGACATGGTGGCAGGCACTTGTAGTCCCAGCTACTCAGAAGGCTGAGGCAGGAGAATCATTTGAACCCAAAAGGCAGAGGTTGCAGTGAGCCAGCTCACACTACTGCACTCCAGCCTGGGCAGCAGAGTGAGACTCCATCTCAAAAAAAAAAAAAAAAAAAAAAGTAACCAGGATGGGTAAAAGATGAAGAGGCAAGTCTCTCTCTGCTGAGAATACAATTAATGCATGTAAACTTGGCTCTCCTTATTATTTTAACTCCCTCTGTTAAAAGAGAGCTGTTTCACTTGCAAATAATATTTATCCAATCTTGACATGCCTGCAGATTATTAATGTCGCTGAAATTTTTTTCTCTTTCAACCTGTCAGTGTTCAAGCTCAAAGTCAGAACAAAACTTTCCAGGTTTTTTATCTGTGTTATTCATTGAGTAAATAAGGGTCTTGGAAGTACCCAGCACTCAGAGCAGAGAGAGACACTGCCTAGTCTAACTAAAGGTTTATTATAGAAGACGCAACCTTCCTATAGATGGGCACCCAACTTGGGTATTGAGCATGTGAGGCATGGCAAGGCTGCTTGAGGCTGGGACTCGTTTCTGCCTTTGATAACTCTGGCAGATTTTCCAGTCAGACACATACTTCATACTGTAACACCCCACTGTTATACGAGATAAGGAATTTGGGGATAAATTGTGTTCTCATTCTTAACAATTCTGTATGAGAATGATAGAGCATGCTTAGGCAGCAGCCTTGTGGTTTTGTCCTTTTAAACTAACAGGTAGAGGAAGCTGCTATTTTTGTTGATGCTTCTGAAAGCCCAAGTGTTTACTGTCCCTCCAGATCTCAGGCTGCTTGCCCTTCTGGAAAGTGTTTGAGATATGTTTGCATTATAAATAATTTACTCCTAGGCCCATGCCACTCCTGGGGCATCAGTCTGGAACTAGTCTCCATATAGATATCAGCCTGACCAGCCAGATGGTCCACCATTGACCTTGATGTGTCATTTGGCCATCATGAGCCACCTCATCTATAGCAGGAGGAAATTCGGGTAAACTGTTTCCTGAGTCCCTTCCAGCTACAACACTCTTTGATTCAAAAAGACAAATGTATGTTTTAAAAAACACTATTTGTTGAGTGCTTACCATGTGCCAAGCTGGGGGTAGAGTGGGAAACAGGACAACACTTGCTGTCTTGAGGGTTCCATCCTAATTAGCCTATCAGCAAGTAAGTGAACAAGACCAATTCAGATATGCATAAATGCAACAATGAAGAACAATGAAACCATAGTAAGGTGAAGATGGCAACAGGGAGGTTTTTGCATAAGATGGCCAGGGAAGGGCCCTCTGAGCCCGGGGCAGGCCACGTTTGAACTGAGACCTGAGGGATGGGATGGAGCCGAGCATGTAAAGATGTGGCAGAGGCAAAGGCCCAGAGGTGAGAATAAGCTTGGCCTATTCGAGAGACGAATAACCTGTGTAGCCGGAGCAGAGTGAATTTGTGCAAAACTAGGCTGGAAAAGGGGTAGAAACCAGATCAGGGAGAACCTTGCCAGTCATGGTAAGGAGCTTGAGTTTTTTCCTAAGCGCAAGGAGAAGCCATTTGAGGATTTTAAGCAAAGAAGTAACGTGAACTGATGGATTTTTAAAACTATGAATGCTATGCTAAAATAAACTGTAGGGAAGAAGACGTAAGAAGCCTGCTCTTGATACGAGAGCAGTGAGATAAGAGGGAAATCTCTCTTCTGCCCATTCGTCTTGCACACACCACTTCAAACTTTGGTTGATATCCGCTCTGAGATTTGCTATACGATATTGCTTGCAACTAGATTTGTCTCCTATTCGTTGCCTCCAGAACTAGCATGAGCCAAAGCTGAAGGGCAGGATGTGGTTTCAGCATGCGGTGACCACCATCCCTCCCTCCAGTAGCTCAGAGCCATTCCTGGTACTGCACGGCTCGTCACTGCAGATCATGCCGGATGCCCAGAGTGCCCACACGATAATGACACCACGGAATTCCAGAGGAGCCGAGAAGCCTCCTCCTCCTTCCCCTTCCCTCCCCCTGCCTCTCTTTAAACATAGCCACAAATTACTAGCACCTGGGCTAAAATTTGCCCAGTCAAAAACAAGCAGCCACTTCCAAACAAGACATTTTCCTCTGTTCTTTTTTTCTCTTGTGGCTAGGGGCAAAGAATCCAATTGGCTAAGTCATCCTGGTACACAGATTGCTAGATACAAACCTACTTTCCTAGGCACGCAGCTCTCTTAACACAAATAAAATCGATAAATTTGGGCTGTGCGCGATGGCTTACGCCTGTAATCCCAACACTTTGGGAGGCCAAAGCAGGCAGATCACCTGAGGTCAGGAGCTCAGGACCAACCTGGCCAACATGGTGAAACTCGATCTCTACTAAAAATACAAAAATTATCCAGGTGTGGTGGCGGGTGCCTGTAATCCCAGCTACTCAGAAGGCTGAGGCAGGAGAATCATTTCAACCTGGGAGGTGGAGGTTGCAATGAGCCGAAATCACGCCATTACACTCCAGCCTGGGCAACAGAGCAAGACTCTGTCTCAAAAATTAAAAAATTTAAAAATCGGTAAATTCTGCTCTCTTCACTACTAGTTCCATACATCACTACCTAGTAGTAGCTCTGGGCCTATAGAGTGATGCTGATGTGGAAAGTAGACTCTGTGGTTTACCCAAAGCAGTTGCCTCATCCTAAATGTGCTGGTAGCACTTTCTGAGCATTACAGTGCCCTTAATATTAAAAGTTGTTTACCAGTCACAACATATTATTATATAAAATTTCTTTTTTTTTTTTTTTTTTGAGATGGAGTCTTGCTCTGTCGCCCAGGCTGGAGTGCAGTGGTGTGATCTCAGCTCACTGCAAGCTCTGCCTCCCGGGTTCACGCCATTCTCCTGCCTCAGCCTCCTGAGTAGCTGGGACTACAGGCACCCGCCACCGCATCCGGCTAATTTTTTGTATTTTTAGTAGAGATGGGGTTTCACCATTAGCCAGGATGGTCTCGATCTCCTCACCTCGTGATCCGCCTGCCTCAGTCTCCCCAAGTGCTGGGATTACAGGCGTGAGCCGCCACGCCCAGCCCAATATTATATAAAATTTTCTAGACTCTGTTTCCCCAGAACATAACAATAAATGGTATTGCTCCCATTTTGGAGTAAAATTTGGCCCTCCATGCAAATTGATTGGCCTTGACAAACTGAAGTCCTGAAACTGTCAGAATATATGTTCTGCCAGGCACAGTGGCTCATGCCTGTAATCCCAGCACTTTGCGAGGCTGAAACACGAGGATCGCTTGATCCCACAAGTTCGAGGCCAGCCTGGGTAACTAGGAAGACCCTGTCTCTACAAATAGAAATAAAAAAAATTAGCCAGGCATAGTGCTGTGCCCCTGTGGTCCCAGCTACTTGGGAGGCTGAGGTGGGAAGATAGCTTGAGCCTCGGAGGTAAAGGCTACAGTGAGCCATGACTGTGCCACTGCACTCCAGCCTAGGTGACAGAGTGAGACTTTGTCTCAACAAAAAAAAAAGAAAATGTGTTCTCTGTTAGACATATCTGGGCTCAAGTCCTGGCTCCAGCATTTGCTACTGCTGGTATGGCTTTAGGTGAGTACTTCTCTGAGCCTCAATATCCTCAATGGTTAAATGGAGAAGCTATCTCACTGGGTTGCTGTAAAAGATAAACAAGATTACAAATGTATAGTGCTTAGCTGCAGTTGCTGACACATAGTAAGCACCCCATTGTTATTGTTATTGTTAGCAAAATAAGACTCCATGGTAGAAAAACTATGCAAGTCATAAAATGTATCAGCATTAACTTTTATCAACAGATAGGGTGCTATTAAATGTATCACCAACATAGTAAAATGACAGAAAGGAATATTACAGTGTGAAAGCATTTATTTATTTGTTTGACAACAGCTACAATTGAAATACAGCAATTCTGAAGGTCTTTAAATGGGTTGCACTTTGCCCTGTTAACTCACTATTTCCTGATTGGCAATAATTTTACTTGGTAATGCTCTGTATTATGGTAAAAGCTAACAATAATAATTTATCGAGTATATTCTTTGTAGCAGGCACAGTTATGAGTGCTATGTGAATACATTTAATCTTCACAGCAACTTTGAAGTAGGTACTATTACTGTGCATATTTTGAAGATGGGAAAACTGAGGCAGACAGTTTGCCTCTGGAGCCCTCACTCTTAAACTCTTATGATATATACCAGAAACTGTGACATAGCCCAGGTGCCAAATCTGGCCCTCCACCTGCTTTTGTAAATAAAGTTTTATTGGAATACACCCATGCCCACTCATTTACACATTGTCTATAGCCATTTCGGTGCTATAGCTTCAGGGTGGAGTAGTTGCTACAGAGACCACGTGGCCCACAAACCTTAAAACACCTACTGTTTGGCACTTTGCAGAAAAAGTTTGCTAACCCCTGATGTCAACTTTAAACTTCACAAAAAGACTGGAGTTTAAAGGGAAAGAAATAATATCTTATAATAAAAATGCCTTATGTTTGGTATTTACTGTGGATTTGTACATATTTATCTTACTTAATTCTCATAGCAATCCTGTGAAGTAAGTAGTCTTTTTATTTCCATTTTAGAAATGAAGAATCAGGAGTTCAGAGGGATTAAATGACTTACACTCTAGGCTGAAGAGCAAACTCCATGAGTGTAGGGATCATGTGTCTTCATCATCATGTCCCTGTCACCTACCACGATGCTAGCACAGGGTGGACACTCAGAAAATACTTGCTAAATGAATGACAGTTACAAAGGTCACCCAGCTAGAGAATCCAGGTCTTCTCCTCTTCCAGGGTTCTTTCTCCTGACTCCACAGCTGTCTGACAGTTAAAAAAAAAAAAAAAGGTAGGGGGGACTTTCCCTTGAGATAGGATGAAGCACAGAATGGTTAACATGTCGTTATGCTGTCAGTTGACAAATTTTTGCTGCTATATTCCTCCTTCTCCTTAGAGAAGATAATCAGACCAAAGACAGTTCGTTTCTCCTCCAGTGCACAGTCATAGTGTTGAGAGTTTACTTGTCCTTGTGATTGGTGCATATTTTGACAAGATTAAAACTGACACCCTCATGAGATGGTAGTCACATGGAATCTGGGTTTTGGATGGATTTCAGGCAGAGCTCTGGCTGCCTTCCTCCCAACCCCTTGCCCCACCTCCTACCCAGTGATGAGTCACAGTGCACAGCTGACTGCCCTTCAAAAGCCGACCCGAGGCTTTTGTTTTCTTTCATCTGCTTCATGTTGGTCATGTGAGGATCAGGGTATTAATAGACCATCATCTTGGCCTTCCGAATCTTGCTGTTGGTCAGGGAGGTAAATGAAAGGTTTGGCCAGTCCCTTTGTGCCATTTTCACTCCTCTCTTGACTGTCACGTGCTGGTTGGTGGCAAAGCTAAACCACAGCATTCGGTGTGGTCACCGCCCATGGCCATGGTCTCTACTGGTGTTTTGATTTCCCGCCTCTTTCAGCAGACACTCGGTGAGCTCCTGACTTCCAACTAGATCACCAGTACTAATTGCAACAAACCACCTCCTCCTCCCAGTCAGCTAGCCTCATCTCTCCCTGCATGTGGAAAAGATACAGAAGCCAGGGAGAAAAAGGAGTTTGGTTTGGGGGTGGCTTTTTTTAATATGTAAAGTAAAATTACATTCAGGAAATTAAAAGTCTGTGTGTGGTTTAACAGGCTCCTAAAGAGCTCCACGGGGACAAACATGTTATGCAAATGCCATGGAAGCAGAGGTGCTCTGAATTGCCTAGGCCGTTGATCCAAAAGTTTCCATTCTCCTCTGCAACCCAATCTTTAAAATTTCATTTTGCTTCTTCCCTCAGCCTTGATTCCAGCACCCACCACAGTGTCATGCTCAGTGTTTATTGATCTGAAATGAAGCTGGGCTGAGGCCTGGCCAGGAGATGAAACTCTCTTAGAAAGTTTCCTAGGAGCGGAGATTCTAGCTTCAGTGTAAAGGAGGGGTCTCGGTTCTCTGTGTCTAGTCTACTGAGTCTCAGGCTAGTTATTACCACAATTACTTTTGCACCAGCCTAATAGTTTTCTCTGGGGGCCTGGTGGGTTCTCGTGAAGTTAATTACTTTCACTTTATATCAACCTCTTTTGTTTGTTAACTCTTTGAAAGCATGAAGTGTGATATTTTCCTGTGTTGAGAAGGACTCTGCTGAGTCCTCACTAGTTGTGGAGTGGCTCATAAGGTGGGTCTCTTGAGCCTCGCTTTGCTCATCTGTTAAGTGGATTAAACTAGATGGTCTCTTAAGATTCCTTCCAGTCTAAAGTTTCATTTTTCAACAATAGGATCTTTGTTTTTTATTTTTTATTTTTTAAGATGGAGTCTTGCTCTGTTGCCCAGGCGAGAGTTCAATGGCACGATCTCGGCTCACTGCAACCTCTGCCTCCTGGCTTCAAGCAATTCTCCTGCCTCAGCCTCCTGAGTAGCTGGGAGCACAGGCATGTGCCACCATGCCCGGCTAATTTTTTGTACTTTTAGTAGAGATGGAGTTTCACATGTTGGCCAGGCTGGTCTTGAACTCTTGACCTCGTGATCTACCTGCCTTGGCCTCCCAAAGTGCTGGGATTACACGCATGAGCCACCGCACCTGGCCTTTATTTGTTTTTTAATCTTGCCATGTCAGTAAAGAATTTTGCTATAGAAGGTAAAAAAGATTGGACTAAGTACGCACTAACTTCAGTTATTATCTTCATTTATTTTTGTCTGGCAATTATGGGGTTGGTAGGAATGGGACATACTTTTTCAACAAACAAACTGGCGGGGCGCGGTGGCTCATGCCTGTAATCCCAGCATTTTGGGAAGCCAAGGCAGGTGGATCACCTGAGGTCAGGAGTTCGAGAGCAGCCTGGCCAACGTGGCAAAACCCTGTCTCCAATAAAAATACAAAAAAAAAAAAAAACTGTTAGCCAGGCGTAGTGGCACATGCCTGTAATCCCAGCTACTCAGGAGGCTGAGGCAGGAGAATCACTTGAACCTGGGAGGCGGAGGTTGCAGTAAGCTGAGATTGCACCATTGCACTCCAGCCTGGGCAACAGAGCAAGATGCCGTCTCAAAAAACAAAACAAAGAAAACCCTTTATTTAGCACCTAATTAGTGCCAGGTACTTGCTGAGGGCTTTATGTGCATTCTCCTATTATCACTCACAACAACCTTGTATTATTGACTCTACCTTGTATTAAAGGTATTAAATACTCAACCTTGTATTAAAGACTCTAAATATTATTAGTATAGATGAACAAACTGGGTGGGGCACCAAGAAATATAGTAACTTGCCCATCATCACGGAGCTAATACATGTTCAAATCAAGACCTGAATCTAAGGCCAAGAGCTACAAGGATCCAAGTTTTTAGCCACAGTGACATCATATAAAATACATCCCTGAATTTCTCTCTCTTCCTGTGATTGGCGTCTTTCTACAGAAATGTAAGTGCAGTGAAAGAGTCTAATTAATAGACATGTTTATTGAACACTGCAGAAGCAGGAGGTATCAGGATAAGACTCTCCACTTCCATGGAAAAAGTGCACATGGCTGCTGAAGATGGGCTTTAGGTGCCTTGAGAGCAGTCAGTGCCAATAAGGAAGAAGTTCAAGCGGGGGCAGAAGAATTCCCCCGGGAGGTGATTCTGCAGAACTCAGCCATTCACAGGTCATGGGAGATTTTGTTCCCTTCAGGGTACGTCAGCTTCACTTGCTGAAGTAGGACAAGTAGATTGAATTAGCCCTGGCTGAAGCCAAAATTCTTTATATTTAAAAGAAGAAAAGCAATTAAATATTCAACCCAATCCTGGGTTTTGAATTACCCCATTTATCTTTCACTCTGAGCATCTGCTTTTTATTGCATTGTGGCCCTGCCTGCCATTTATCTCTCCCCGTCAGTCTGTATCCACGTGTCATGGGACTCAAAAGTGAAGATTAGAGGAGAAAAATATCTCTGTACTCTAAGCCTGGCAACTTCTATTTTTATCCTCAGCTGTTGGAGCTGATAGCAAAGTCACAGCTCACATCCCTGAGTGGCATCGCCCAAAAGAACTTCATGAATATTTTGGAAAAAGTGGTACTGAAAGGTGAGCCTTCTCTCACTCTCTCGCCCCTTTTTATAGGCATGGAGGTGGGCAGATGGATTTTCCAATGAAGTGGACGTGTCATTAGACTTAAAGACATGTGAATGGATGGAAATGAATAACTCCAGCTACATTTTAGAGACACTAAATTCCAGTTCGGAAAGGGGTACAACTCATCCTCATGGCAAAGGGTGAGACCATCACCCTCCTGTCCTTTCTTTGGGACCATCCACTTGCCCTACTATAAGCCTCGTAGGCTTCTCAGTGTAGACACAGGTCCCAACACTGGCTACCGAGCCTCCGGGTCCCAAATTCCTAGAAAATCGACATGTGTACAAAGTCAGAATAGATTCGTAGACTATTCGAGCTAGAAGGAACCTTAGGTCTCTGGTTCAACTGACTCATTGTACACATGGTGAAACTGAGGCCCATGAGGAGAAGTGATTTGTCCATAATCACACAGAGAGTCAGCCAGACAGGATTAGAACCCAGGCTCCAAACCCCTGAAACCATGCTCCTTCCACTGACTGTCCTAAACGGGGTCACTTCTGGGCAAAAGGAGTGGCTTTCTGATCAGGTGAACCATGGCTGCTGGGAGAACAATGAAAAGAGAAAGAGGCTTTATAGAAAATGAGAGAGAAGAGAACAAAGAGGGACCTAGATAATGGAAACTCTACCCTTTAACCTCAAGTGCAGAAGCTTGGCCAAGCGTACAATAAACACTGGTGAGGAAGAAAACCATATCCCCAGAGGCAGTGCCTGGGTAACATGAGTGGAATACAGACAGAGACAAGCTCATGTGTAAAATACAGGGTGTTCCAGTATCATAACTTTAATTATTTTTTTCTTCCCTACTCAAGTCCTTGAAGACCAGCAAAACATTAGACTAATAAGGGAACTACTCCAGACCCTCTACACATCCTTATGTACACTGGTCCAAAGAGTCGGCAAGTCTGTGCTGGTCGGGAACATTAACATGTGGGTGTATCGGATGGAGACGATTCTCCACTGGCAGCAGCAGCTGAACAACATTCAGATCACCAGGGTAAGCGGGCAGGCCCAGCCTCCTCCCGGCAGTGGGTCCCTCCACAGGGATACTGGACAGACTCGCCAAGACTTTGAATTCACTCCTGTGACGGAAGAGTCTGGTCTTTTCTGATCTGCTGCTTTGTTCTGGTGCTGAGGGTGGGCTGGGGGACCTCCTGATAAAGGGAAGTGGGAAGAAAAACTTGGCAAAACGGGATCAAAGTACATGAAAGATGACAGCCTGGTGAACTATTATGGGAAAGCTGGAAACTTGGCTTTTGGGGAGATGCTGGCCATCCTGCTGAAATCTTTAGCGGGGTTCAGAGATGTCTCTTTGCTCATTTCCTCCTAAAGCATGAGTTGTTTGCAGCCTTAGGTTGCTGTCTTGAATACAGTAGAGCTGGGAAGGCAGTAGCTTGGAGAACTGGTACCAGCCTTTTAAAATCCTAGTTCCGATTATTGGTAGTTATGACAAAGGAAGCCTTTGATTAAAGTCTGTGAACTTACATGTGGGAAAATGATGAGCAATTCTCAAAGCAAAAAGGAAAAGCCGTATATTACCAGTGAGGTTTGGCGATCTATAGCAGTTGTTTCTTTTGGCTTTCACAACATAGCTTGGCCCTCAGCTCTTGTCCTCCTAATAGTGAGCAGGAGGACCAAGGCACAAGAAAAAAAAAAAAAAAAAAAGGGAGGAAGACGCTGGTGTAATCTCTTAGGGCTCACTAAAGGACAGACACACTCAGGCGGCTCATGTAGCACTTTGCTTATTTATCTCATCACTGACTGTAACTGGCTTAAGTGGTTTCCGGGACCCACACTGATAAAGTTTGAGGTTGCCTCATATCAGGAGAAGGTAGCAGGAAGAAATCCTTTGGCTTCTTTTAAATAACTGTTTTACTAGATGAAGTTTTCAAAATGCATGTTCCTGACTTTACTGGTAATTACGTCTCTGTACCTGCACTTTTTAAGCTGTGAAACAGAATCATTCGAAGGCTCAGAGGTATGTGACTTCCTTAGAGCCACTTAGGCTACAACACCTACACGCTGCACCCACAGACACACACACAGAGCAGAGCACGGATGCAAGTCATCTTTCAGAAATGATCTCAAGTATTTGATTTTTTTAAGAGAATGTACATATTTATTATGAACATTTACCTGATTTATTCTAATAATTTACCCCATTCCCACATCTCAAGTGTAGGCAGATAGTCTGACCATGTGAATGTGAGACCCAAGTTCCCAACTTATCTCTCACAGAAAACCCACATACACATTCTACCTGGTTTCTGGCATTCTCTATGGCCTGGACTGACTGACTGGGATTTTTCTAAGGCCAGGAGAGAACTGTCCAGCCAGTGATATAAACAAGCGGGTCCCATGTGTCCCAAGGGCACTTCCCTTCAGCAACTTCAGAACACCCATTTAGACGATCACAGTTGGCCAGGTGCAGTGGCTCATGTCTGTAATCCCAGCACTTTGGGAGGCCGAGGCAGGCAGATCACTTGAGGTCAGGAGTTCGAGACCAGCCTGACCAACATTGTGAAACTCCATCTCTACTAAACATACAAAAATTAGCCAGGCATGGTGGTACACACCTGTAGTCCCAGCTACTCGGGAGGCTGAGGCAGGAGAATCACTTGAACCTGGGAGTTGAAGGTTGCAGTAAGCCAAGATCACTGCTCACCAGCCTGGGTGACAGACTGAGACTCCATCTCAAGGAAAAAAAAAAAAAACAAAAAACCTCTAGATGGTCACATTTGCCTGGAGCTTGCCTCTGTTCCCTCTGTCCACTTCCAAGGACCCCTCCTGGCCACATCTGTCCACATACCCTGCACTGCCATAGGCTCACATGCTCAGAACCCTCCTTAGCTCATCCACAAACACTCTTCGGAGCTAGCTATTGTAGCTGTTGTTACCCCTCTTGGAGTGGAGGTGGAGTGGGGACCAGAGACACCCAGTGACTTTCTTAGCGATGCACAGCACTTAGGGCCAGAGCTGAGGCCAGAACCTTGGATTCCGTATTCCTAAAATGGCAAAGCTTGCTTGACATCAGTGGTTTCCAAACTTTTTCAATCCAGCTTTCTTCCAACTATTTATCCAATGATCCAGCTTTTTAAAAAACTCTCTTTAATCCAATGAGATCCCATGAAGAAGAGATCAAACACTGAAGTTCACTCACTATCTCTTCTGCACGAGGAGCTCCAGCCGAGCCAAGCCATTCTCTGCACACTCCAAGCTTGGCCCTGCCTCAGGGCTTTGAAGCTTGCTGCCTTCTTTGACCATCCAATCTATGGACATCACCATCATATCACCTTCTTCCGAGCAGCTATGATCTGAAATTGTCTAATGTGTGTGCACTTTTCTGTCTCTGTCCATGGGCTTATAAACTCCACAAAGAAAGGACATTACCCATCTATTCCCTGTTCCTGGCACAGAGCCGGAGACAGTCAGTAAATCTGAGCTGAATGAATGAATGGTTGAAAGGGAGTCTCCTCCCATTGCCTGCCTGAGTACTCGTTCAGTGTTCAAAGGAACACAATTGGAAAACATGGCCCTGTATTATGAATGATGATAATAATTTACCAGCTGTAGGATTTCTTTTTTTGAAACAGGGTCTCTGTCACCCAGGCTGGAGTGCAGTGGTGTGATCTCAGCTCACTGCAGCCTCCACCTCCTGGGTTCAGGTGATTCTTCTACCTTAGACTCCCCGGTAGCTAGGATTACAGGCATGCACCACCACACCCGGCTAATTTTTGTATTTTTTGGTAGAGACAGGGTTTCACCATGTTGGCCAGGCTGGTCTCGAACTCCTGACCTCAAGTGATCCGCCTGTCTCAGCCTCCCAAAGTGCTGGGATTACAGGCATGAGCCACCGCGCCCGGCCCCAACTGCAGGATTTGAGGCAAGTTATTCAGTCTCTCCATGCCTCACTTTCCTCATTTGGAAAATAGTTGCAATAGTGTCAACTCATAGCCATGGTATGAGATTTAATAAGTTAACATATAGAAAGCAGACGGCACAGTGCCTAATGCACAGTAAGTATTGTAAATGTATCAGCTGTTATTATTAAGGGCTGGCTCTGTGCAGGCCTTCTTCTAAGTCCTTTGCATGTATTAATTAACTCACCTAGTGAAGAATTGTAAATAGGAGTCATCACAGTGGCTAGCATTTATTGGGCGCTGTACTGAGTGCTTCTATGTATTATCTCATCTGCCCCACCCAGCAACAATGTAGGATAAGCTTTTTCTCATGTTATAAATGAGAACAATTAGAACAAGTAGTTAAGAATAATTTGGCTGATGCCTCATGCTTAGTAGGATGTGGCACAAGAACTGAACCCAGGCCTGTCCACAGAGGCTGTGCTTTCAACCACTGTACCTTCCTCCCACTGTCCTCTGTCCCAACCCTCCTTGGCTCTGAGCTTCCTTATATTGAGAGCTGTACTGGAACCCACGGAGCCTTAAAGGGCTTTTCTTTTTTTGTTTTTGTTTGTTTGTTTGTTTGTTTGTTTTTGAGATAGGGTCTTATTCCCCTTGCCCAAGCTAGAGTGCAGTGGCATGGTCCTAGGTCACTGCAGCCTTGGCCTCCTGGGCTCACATGATTCTCCCACCTCAGCCTCCCGAGTAGCTGGGACTACAGTCACTCGCCACCACACCCAGCTAATTTTTGTATTTTTAGTAGGGATGGCGTTTCACCATCTTGCCCAGGCTGATCTCGAACTTTTGGGCTCAAGCAATCCTCCCGCTTCAGCCTCCCAAAGTACCAGGATTACAGGCATGAGCCACTGAGCCCAGCCTCCACACAGAAGCTCAACTCTGCAGAGGAAAGAGAAATTGAGAGAGAGAGAAAGAAAAAAGACTTAATTACTTCAGTCTGGACTGTATTTTAAAACTTACTTTTTTAACAGTTTGGCCCAAAGAAAAGTACATTATTATAGGCAAATATAAAGTCAACTTTCAGAGTAAATGCTTTCTATTTTGCCAAAGTTCTGTCAGTCTCCTTCCAGCATAAAATTTTGTTTTCCTGCAAAATTTTTATATCTAATTCTATGGAGCCAATTTTTATTGGCAAAATAATTAATATAATAAAGAATGAAGGAAACAAATTAAGAGAACTGGGTCTTGGGGAAAAAATCAAATACAGTGACAGTATGCGGTGGGCAGGGCACTGTTTTGAAGCATGTGAGGAGTGACATAGACCCTAGTGGATGTTAGCCAAATGCTTGACTAGAGGAGCGAGAGTGACTAATTTTTCTTTTATACGTTTATATTCGAAAGGAAGAGGCATGTAAGCAGTTAACCACTTATCAGGAGGAAGGGCTTAGCATGGGGTCTGGGCAAGGATTTTGGAAAAGTTCAGGTTTGAAAATTTGACAGAGTGAACCCTGCCAAGTGGACTTGCCTTTAATAGGAGTTAATGTAATAATTGGCCTGGGAGTTTTAACCAAAAAAGTAGAGGCTTTGAAGTGTTGGAAACGAAAAGAAAATCTCATGGCAGTTTTATTAGCTCATATGATCAGCAGGAGATGATAAACGATAAATAGGTCTAGGGCCTTCTGCGGTTGGCAAAGACCTGAAGTTTGCAAACAATTGAGAGCTCTGCCCAGCAGCCTGGGGTAGAACCGAGCGGTATAAATTGTCAAGTCATAGATACTTTGAATGAAATAGGAGGCTGAAGTCCTTCTACATCTGAGATTGTTGGAGCTGGAAGGGATCTTCAGAGTCTTCTAAGCCATTCATTTTGGACATGGGGAGACTTCCCAGGGGAGCTGGGATCCAGATGTGCTGCCTGTCCATCCATGTTGCTCCCCTGCACCTCCCATTCTTCTCCATAGCTTAGCCTTCCCAAGGCCCCTTGCCACTGCTCCCTCCCCACCTCGTGCCTACCCTGCCTTGCTGGGGACACAGGAGAGAACTGCCCAGACCTAGTGTCTCCTGGAATCCTCCATGTGTTTAGGCTTCGATGTGCTTTGTACAGAGTTTGGCTCCTGTAAAAATTTGGGCAGGGAAATTGATACCCATTCTCAGGATATTTTCCCCTGAGCTAAGGAAGGGTTTCTTCATCCTGTATTATTTTTCCCCTGTGACCTCTCAGAGGTCACAGAACATTGATGGAAAAATGTGAGTAGTCCAAAATCAAGAGCTCACCCAGAACCAGCAGGGGCAGGACAAGGAACCGCAGTCCCAGGTGGTCTATTGACTTATCTGGATGGCAGCATCCTGTTGCTGTTCAAGACACATCAGCAAATACATATGCGGATTCCCAGGTGCAGATTCTTCCCACAGCGCTTTGTGCTTCCCTCCATGACAGCGTTTACTGTATTATTTCATATTATTTTATGATTATTTGTTTCTGCCTCTGGGTCTCTCACCAGCCTGAAGAGCTCAGTGCAGCCACTTCAGCACCAGGCCATAGTAGGCACTCAGGAGAGGTGGCTTGTGCTGGGCTAGTCTACAAGGGACATAAAATTAGACCCTGCCTTCAAGGATGTAGATCTGGGCAGGGTATCATGAGCTCATCAAAATTTAAAACAATAAAGGCTTAAATATATTAATAAGTTCAGGGATGTACCAGAAGCTCTTGGAGAAGCTCGCCATTAATTGCCAAGGTATCATCCACAGACCAGCAGTTTTCACAATGCTCCACGGAGGCCTCGGTTGAAATAGAGAAGTCTCAAGGGATGGTGGAGCTTGGGCCAAAGGCTTCTGGACCTGCCATTCCCAATGTGCACGTACACACACACACACACACACACACACACACACACACACACACCCTAGCACAGAGTCTCTGTGTTATTGTTTTCTACCTATTTAATTATTTGGGCTTCATTCATTCCACAGGTATTTGTTGAGCACCTTCTGTGTGCTGGGCACTCTTGTAGACACCCTGGACACAGTAGTGAAAAAAGATTAAAATTCCTTCCTTCATAGAGCTTAAGTTCCAGCAAGAATGTTCCTTTCAAAGTTTCTTTTAGAAAAAAAGCTCATGTTGCATGACAAAAAGAAGGATATTGCAAAATGTGTCTCAAAGAGATCCTAAGAATTCTAGGAAGGTGCAGTGAGTAAGGGAGTCACAAAAACAGAAAAGGCCTTTCAGAGGAAGTAGGTTTGAACTGGATCTGAGCAGGATGACCACGTGGCCGGGCAGAGAAGACTGGGGAGGCGAAGGCATTGAGGTCAGGCTGAGCCAGGTGTGTTTAGGTGCCAGTGAGTAAACCTACTTGGAGGGACCTGATGTCTGGAGGGGGGCCAGAGAGATGGGACTTGGGGTGGCAGGCTGGGCCACTCCATCCAGGGCAGTGAGGCCTTCAGGAAAGCAGCGAACCTTGTAATTGTGTGAACTGAGTAAAGCACATGCGCTATTTGGAGAGTCTTTAAGAGTGAAAGTTTCAAGCTTTGGAAATGTAGGGCGATCCCTCTGGCACCACTCAGCTCAGCGCACTCCACACTTCATTGAGGGTCATGGCCATGGTCTCCTGTCTGCATTTAGGATGGGGAGATTTACTACTGCTTTCGACCTCTTATCAATAAACTGCCTTGAGGGTGGAGGACGGGCACAGCTGCATGCCTGGAGGGTGTGGCCTGGTGAATCGCTGCTCTCTGGCCCCCCCACCTATTGTCACCCTTCTCTCTGCAGCCTGCCTTCAAAGGCCTCACCTTCACTGACCTGCCTTTGTGCCTACAACTGAACATCATGCAGAGGCTGAGCGACGGGCGGGACCTGGTCAGCCTGGGCCAGGCTGCCCCCGACCTGCACGTGCTCAGCGAAGACCGGCTGCTGTGGAAGAAACTCTGCCAGTACCACTTCTCCGAGCGGCAGGTCAGCAAGGCCCAGTGGGCTTTCCTCCCACCCTCCTTCTCTGGCCCTCACCCCAAACTTCCTTGGTGCCCTGCTCAAGCCTGAGGTCTGGGTTCCCCCTATTCCAGGTTCCCTGGTTTGACTGAAAAATGACAGTTGAAGGAGTTTTGTGATTTTGTTTTTTGAGACAGGGTCTCGCTCTGTGGCCCAGGCTGGAGTGCAGTGATGCAATCATAGCTCACTGTAACCTCAGCCACTTGGGCTCAAGCAACCCTCCCACCTCAGCCTCCCGAGTAGCTGGGACTACAGGCTCATGCCACAACACCCGGATAATTTTTTTATTATTGTTTTTGTAGAAATAGGGTCTCTCTATGTTGCCCAGGCTGACCTCAAACTCCTGGCCTCAAGCAGTCCTCCTGCCTCGGCACCCCCAAAGCTCTGGGATTACAGGCATGAGTCCCCATGCCCACCCTGTCTGAGTTTTTAAATAGAGATGTTGTGTGTGTGTGTGTTTCAGGTAGTTTTTATGGAAAAAATTAAACTTACATTCTTAACCTATTCTCATTTTACAACTCACTCAAAAAAATCATAAATTGGCACCCATCCTTTTTTTCTATAACACAATAACTTACATTTTCTGAGTGCTTTACAGTACTTTTTGTTTTGTTTTGTTTTTTGAGATGGAATCTCACTGTGTCACCCAGGCTGGAGTACAGTGGTGCAGTTTCAGCTCACTGCAACCTCTGCCTCCCTGGTTCAAATGATTCTCCTGCCTCAGCCTCCCAAGTAGCTGGGATTACAGGTGCACACCGCCATGCCTGGCTAATTTTTGTATTTTTAGTAGAGACAGGGTTTCACCACGTTGGCCAGGCTGGTCTTGAACTCCTGACCTCAGGTGATCCGCCTGCCTCGGCCTCCCAAAGTTCTGGGATTACAGGCGTGAGCCACCGCACCCTGTGTGGTAGAGTACTTTTACAGATATCATTTCATTTTATTCTGATGGCCCAGGGAAGGATAGGCATTGTTGTGCCCACTTTAAACAGATGAAGGGACTAAAGCCACAAATGGCTAAGTGACATATCCAAATTAGTGAAGTAGCTCTTTGGGTGAGGAAACTGGCCCTGACCTTGAATTTGGGCCTTCAGACACCAACTCCAAGCCTGTTTCCCTTCATCATGCTGCCTCAAGTTTGTTGGTCTTTTTCCAGTTTCTTTATATGGATGTGTGAGTTCAACAAGTTCTGTTCGTGAAGCCACTAATATTTAGATATAAAATAGAGCCCTGGTGCCAAGCAGTTATTGCATCTCCCTGGAAATGATCACTCAAGTCTACAGCAAAGAAAAGATTAAAGTTGTTTACTGAGATCACCTAAACTTTAAAGGACCATCCAGCCACAGTTGAGTAAAGGTCACTAGTAACATGTCACCAGCCACCTGGTTTTTTTGTTGTTGTTGTTGTTGTTTTTTAAGCTTGGTTAAAAGCTACTGTTTAACTGAGGAGAGCTAAGCAGGTACTTCTTTATATAGTGACAGTTTTCCTTCCTGGCTATTGTAGAGCTGAAAAGAGGGGGAAAGGGTGAGAGTAAACCTTTTCAGAACCGGAAAACCACAAGCCATCTTCTTGACAAACTCTCCTGTCATTTCCTTTATTCATTTGATTTTTTAGATCCGCAAACGATTAATTCTGTCAGACAAAGGGCAGCTGGATTGGAAGAAGATGTATTTCAAACTTGTCCGATGTTACCCAAGGAAAGAGCAGTATGGAGATACCCTTCAGCTCTGCAAACACTGTCACATCCTTTCCTGGAAGGTATGTGTCTCAGAGGTGGCTGCCACAGACCCCCAGCCCAGCCCCTAAGAGCCAAGAGTGCCAGCCAGCATGGTGAGGCCAGCGCCTTTCCGCCTCTTCCCCATCACAGCCCCCAGCTGAAAGTGAGGGTAAACTGATTCAGTGCCTGGGAGGGTGGGGGGGAAGGACTTTTATAGACCTCCATTTTCTTCACTTTCTTATGTTTACTTTTTTCTGCGTTCCACCCACTCCCCCTTAAATCCTCCTCTCTCTGTGTGTACGGGTACACACACTTACACATGGAAACACATAGCTTTTAGTTTTTCCAGACTTATAAAATTTTTTCATTGATGCATAATAGATGTACGTAGTTTCAGGGTCCATGCGATAATGTAATTCATGTAATTTGTCAAGATTAAATCAATGTACTTTGACACATTCATAACCTTAAATATTTGTCACTTATTTATGCTAGAACCATTCCAGTTCTTCTCTTCTGGCTATTTTGAAATGTTCAGTAGATTTTTTTTTTTTTTTTTTTGAGACGGAGTCTCTCTCACTCTGTCACCCAGGTTGGAGTGCAGTGGTGGGACCTCGGCTCATTGCAACCTCCACCTCCCAGGTTCAAGCAATTCTCCTGCTTCAGCCTCCCCGAGTATCTGGGACTACAGGCACATGCCACCACACCCAGGCTAATTTCTGTAATTTTTAGTAGAATGGGGTTTTGCCATGTTGGCCAGGCTGGTCTTGAACTTTTGACTTCGAGTGATCCACCTGCCTTGGCCTCCCAAAGTGCTGGGATTACAGGTGTGAGCCATCGTGCCCAGCCTGAAATATTCAATAGATTATTATATACTACATTCACTTACTGATCTAACAGCAGGTCTTATTCCTTCTATCATACCGTGTATTTGTACCCATTGATCCACTTCTCTGCATCCCCTTCCTTTTCCCTTTCCCGGCTCTGGTAACCACCAGTCTACTCTCTGTCTTCATGAAATCTACTTTCACAGCTCCCACATACGAGTGAGAACATGCAACATTTAGGCCTGGGGCATTATTGACAGAGAATTGTTGCTTTGAAGTTGGAAAATGCCTTATGGTGCTAAAAGCCAAAGAGAGGCCTCTGAGAACTTGAAGCTAACCATGTGTTCCTTTCCAGGGCACTGACCATCCGTGCACTGCCAATAACCCAGAGAGCTGCTCCGTTTCACTTTCACCCCAGGACTTTATCAACTTGTTCAAGTTCTGAATCCCAGCACATGACAACACTTCAGAAGGGTCCCCCTGCTGACTGGAGAGCTGGGAATATGGCATTTGGACACTTCATTTGTAAATAGTGTACATTTTAAACATTGGCTCGAAACTTCAGAGATAAGTCATGGAGAGGACATTGGAGGGGAGAAATGCAGTTGCTGACTGGGAATTTAAGAATGTGAACTTCTCACTAGAATTGGTATGGAAAAGCAAAATACTGTAAATAAACTTTTTTTCTAACAATTTGCCAGCAAGACTATAAGGGCAATAATTCTATTTCAGCGGTGAAAATGGAGTCCTCTTAATGGTCACAGAAACTCTCTTATAGTTCCCTAGGAAGAAAAAGGCAAAACTCAAATACAAAATAGGACGCTTTGTTTACAATGTGAAAATTTGTTTAGAAAAGAAAAAATGAAGAAGGAAAACTATATAGGAGAAATTCCTGGGCTTTGGGGTTTGATCTGGTGTTTGTTTTGAGAAGGCGAAGGAAGCGCCACCCATCCTAAACCTGCATGGGCACAGAGCCTTACCCTACAGAGATACCACACAATGGTCTACCTCTAAAAGCGTAGAGTGCCCTCTCTGACAACGCATGTGATCCAGTAGGCAGTGTCTGTTTTTCTCGTAAGTGTTTTCATCACTATAAAAAGTGATTTAAAATGGAAAGGGATATTGGAGGCAATCCTCTGGTTTCACACTTCCTTTTCAGGCAAACAGGGCCCTCCTTAGAGTTATCTGTTCACCAGAACAACCCAAAAGCACATGTTCCTTTTTTCCTGTCATGTTGTAGCTCATTTGGGGGAAAAGAAGGCCAACTTAAAACAGTCCCAGGGGAGGATTGCTTGAGCCCAGGAGTCTGAGGTTTGCAGTGAGCTATGATTGTGCCACTGCACTCCAGCCTGTCTCCAAAACAAAACAAAACAAAACAAAAGCCGTCCCAGAGGAAGTCCTGCTGCAGAAAAGATGATAGAATTGGTCACCCAATCAATAGCTGTGAAGACTTCCTTATTCCTGCTGAACTTCCTTCCTTGGATATCTTCATGGATAAGCCTGTGTCTGTGGACAGAGTGGGGCCCAAGTGCTGAGGCTCGAAAGACAGGTTTTACAATCAGCCAATTAAACATCTTACCAGTTGCTGTACCCCTTGCCAAGGGGATGAGCTGAGGAGCTTCTTTTCTTTAGGTCCAACATCAAAATGAGTCCATCTGAGCTAGGGCTTTTTGCAAAGGTGATTAAAAATCAAGGCTGGAGTTCCAGCCAAATAGGGAGGAGAGGTACCACAAGTTCATCTTAAACTTGCTTCCGGGCTGGGTAGTTAAAACAGGAAGATCCCAAGGGGATCTTACGAGGCAAATATCAGCAGGTAACTGTGGAAGAAAGGAAATCTCAGGACCTAATGAGTTCGTTGTAAAATATTCCTGGGAATAGATGGGGGATCTACTCCCAGTTTTTTACTTTTTACAGAATATTGTTGCTTTCCTACAACAATGTACATATATTTGCAGTTGTATATGCTTTTTTTTTTTCCAAATAAACTTGTCACCCTGCATGCCCTTGGCAAATAAGTGAAGCAGAAATAGGAACACAGTCCACATTCAAGTTGAGGAACAGTGTATCTTTAAGAGCTGAGCTTTGGGTGACCTGGAAAGGGGGAAAGATGGCTAAGCATGGAGAGAAACGAGGCAAGAGACAAGCTATGATACAACACCGCTTCAGCCCCTGCCCTCAATAGCACACAACCCACATATCAGCTTTCTGAAGAGAAGGAACCTACTGTTTAGTGCTCCTCACTTTGCAATGTTTGTGCTACGCCAGAATTTCTCCAGTTTTTTTCATTATCATCCCCCTGAGAAAAAAATTACATTGAATTTAAATTTTCCCTAATAAGAGAAATTAAATATGAAAGAATAGGATTTTGTTGGGTAAGATTGAGCTTTGGAAGGTCACGAACCATTATTCTATCTAAGGTGTGTGTTTTGTTTTGTTTTTTTTTGTTTTTTTTTTGCAATCCCTCTCCCCCTGAACCAATTTCACATTGGGAATGCAGGACCTAGACTGCTGAATAAAAAGCTACTTCTTCTATAATTGTCAGGTTCTCTCCAATTTCTCAGCTTCCTCAAAGACATGGGGTGGAGTTGGGTGTGCCATCACTGAGAGAGCTCTGGAACTTTTGACTCTTAGTGACATTTTTAGATTTAGGGGTTCATGGCCTTCCACATGTTGCCACCAACTGGTGATCTCTGCCCCTTCATGCTGATCAAGAAAGTAGAAACTCCTCGTCGCCTTCAGGTTTGCAGTCGCAGAAACATTGCCTGCTGTGGACTGTCAGCACAAAACTGGGACACTGGTGTCATTTAGACTGTCAGCAGTGCACATGATTGTACGATAGACTCCAGGCAACCATGTGCATCTGTGCAAGATGACCTCTGCCCCAAGAGAAGGGTTACGGTCTAATTAAATGTTTACCAAGATGGTACCAGTGGGCTCTCCCCGTGTCCTTTGGTGTTATTGGAGCTGGTGTATGACAGACTCAAGGAAATTTTTTAAGGAAAATGAAGAAGAAATCAACCTTTATGGTTCTCTTTCATTGGAAGAGGAGAATAAGGAAAGAAATGGCAGGTAGAGAGGGAGGGGGAAAGGAATAGAAATGGCATGTCTTTGATGCTGTGGCTTGTGTGGGGACAATGGGAAGAGCACAGCAGGCACAACATATCTGTGTTAGTGCCACGTGGTATCTGTTAAGTATGGCCAGAGCCTCACATATAAGTGAAGAGAGTTAAGACAATTCTTGCTCTTTGAACAATAATAGTCTATAGAATTTCTATTGGCAAACCATCCCAGACAACCTGACCTATCAAACAAAAGCAAATAATCCCTGTCTCAGAACTGCTGGTCTAAAAGCTAGAAGGGGCATGATAATGGAAATTGCTAGAAAAGAGAGAATGCTCTACTCTCTTTCCTGTGCCTACCTACCCCCATCCTAAACCCTGTAAAACAGAATTTCAAAATAGATGTCAAATATGAAGTAATTCAGACTTCCAAAGAAGGAAAGAGTTCTGCCCAGGGCAGTATGAGCAAATCCACAGGGATGTTAAGATTTGGTCCAACTCAAAGGTTTATGGGCAGTGAGCCTAGAGTCTCTTGAGAGTAAACCCTTGCATTTGGGACAAGGAGAATATGTGAAGTTCAGGAGTGCTCACACTAGAGCAAGATCCAGAAAAAAAAAAATCCAATGGCATTTTAAACTAGATTGCATTATCACTCAATGCTGTTACTTTGAGCAGACAAATCAGTTGAATGGGAGGGCAAATGGCAGAAATGAACAAAAGCTATTAGGTGAAAGCATCCCCAATGTATCAGTTGTGAGATGATTTTTGTTTAATGATGATCAGGTTTACATTGAAGTGGCTTGGAAGACGTATTTCAGAGGGACTGGGTTTGTACTGCAAAACTCTGAACACTAGAGCAGGTTCTACTAGCACTTGGGCAGTAAGGTAGCGGGTGTGTATTATGCTATTGCCATAGTTCTCGTCTTTGTGGATTCACATACCCTTTCCCATGAGGAGCTTGCTACTAACAGCCTCCTGTTTCTGTTGTTTTTATATGGGAGAAGAGAAAGAGCTTGGAATTTCAATTGTCTAAACAATTGGTATGATTTACAAGAAGGCAAACCATTCAGGAGATGTTCAACAGTGTATCATTCTTAGCATTCAATACAATGTTTATTATAAAATATACACCTGAGTTTATGTTTTTCTGCCAGGCTGAAGGGCAATAATGTCTTGCTATGCAAACACTCTATTTTATGTGTGAATTTTTTTAACTGTAATTTTATGTGTGAATTTTTTTAACTAAACTCTATCATCATTTTCTATGTTGACATCTTTTTTTTTTTTTTAATCTGTTTCCAACTCTGAGTCTGTGAACTATCTCTTCTGACTGGATGCTGGCCTAAAATCCTATTAGTGCTTAAACAGACCTCAAAACACTCTGAACCTGTAGGCCAATACAGAGATGTTGTTCTTTGATATATCTTGGGTCCTTGATGGCTTCAACAAACAAGGTCATAATTTGTTTAAATTCAGTGTTTTCTGTAGATACCTTCTTCTCAGTTTCATTAAGAAGAGTAACCATCTTTGGTTTTCCAAAGAATGGAAACTCCTACCCTAGACTTTAGACTTAGAGCGTCTGCCTTTCACGATGAGTAAGAGATCCAGAATGTTTAGGGGATGTGCGTCAGCCCACCTGGTACAGTGGCAAAGCTGAATGCGAACTTGAGGCCTCCTGAGGCCTGACCTTCTATGCCCCCAGCCCTCCACCCCAAGCACCTTTTGGTGTGGCTGGAAACACATGACATTGGATGTGATTTTTCTCAAGCCCTTCACTGTGGAAGGCATGGGAGACTGCCCAGCATTGGGCATGTGGCTGTTAACGTTTCCATTTCAAGTCCCTGATTCTTACTGGAGAAGTTAAGGAGCCACTTAATGTTTTCACAGACCTCTGATTCTGTTGTGAATGTGGCATTCCAGTGAGTACAACCTGCTTGCTATAAAGAAAGCAGCATATTTTGACAATTTTATTTCTTCCTTGGGTACTTACATTTTTATTACAAAAATGGCCGTTATAAAAAAAGACAGAAGGGCTGGGCAGTGGCTTGCTCCCTAGAAACTGAGATTCCGAAGCAGGTGTTTCCTCTCCCCTAGACTCAGAGGTACATTTAATCCATCTTCTCCATTTCCTCCTTCAGGACCAGCTATGAGATTCAGTGCATTTCTAGCCCAGCGGATGTTCATTCTCCACTAAACTTCATCTTTTACTAAGCAAAGGGGGATTATTCCATGAGGCAGCCAGGAGCAAGGGGCCATGATATTCATGACTTTGTCTGCTGGGCATTTTTCAAAGTGTCCTTGAATTCACTCAGCAAACAAAGCTTTCTGGAGAATCTCTCAAAACTTAGGCCCTGCTCCATTTGGCCAAAAATGATGGCTGCTCCAAAACTCTGAACTTCTTAAAACTCCATCTGCTACATTATTTCTGGAGTTTAAACATGACTTTTTCTGTCTTTGAGTATAGATGTGTTTGTTTAATTAACGAAGCACAAGTCTGTTAAGCAGAAGGCTCCAAGCTGTATTCTATACTTGGGAATCCTTGGTGCCATCTTTATTCTACCAAGTGCCAATCACCATGGCTAAAGTGGGCGTATATTACAGCCTGTGTCCTAAGCTTAGAAGCTTTAATGTACTTTTTTAAATGAAAAGTATTAGAGGGGGTTGAACATTGTAACTAAAGCATAAAGTTAGACCAATTACATGCAGAGATGTTTATTTAATATTGTGTGAGCTGAGTCCTTCTGTATAAATTATTTGCACACTTTTCTTGCATGATGAACTGATTTTTTATAGTTGTTTGTACCAGACGGTGGCATATTTTTGTAAAAAACTTTTGACACTGAATTGCAATAAATGTTTTTCCAACAACACACACTGGTGCATTTTTAGTATGTCCCAATTCAAGTTGGCTTTTTATCATACCAAATATGTTTATCTTTTGCCTATTTAGACTTATATTCCTTCTCCCAGAAACTTGTTACCATTTTTGTAAAATTTCTAGGAATCCATAGAAAAATAAGCTTGTTGCTGAATACCAACCTGAGTCCGTAATACAGCATTATGCTTAAATTGAATGTTTTCATATACTGTTTGCACAGCAGAATGATTAAGGAATAATGAATTTTGAAGTCAACATCAATTTATTCATCAACAGGCATTCATGGAACAGCTACTATATGCTAGACCTGTGCAAGGCACTGGGAATAGGGTAGTGAACAAGACAGAAATTGTCCCTGCCTTTTGTGTGTGGTTTTGTTTTGTTTTGTTTTTTGGTGACAAGGATGGGATCGTCCTTGCCTTAATGAAATTTAGATTTTAGTAAGAAAGAGGGCCCAGGTACAGTGGCTCACACCTGTAATCCCAACATTTTGGGAGGCCGAGGCGGGTGGCTCACTTGAGGTCAGGAGCTCAAGACCAGCCTGGTCAATATGGTAAAGCCCCGTCTCTACTAAAAATACAAAAATTACCTGGGTGTGGTGGCAGGTGCCTGTAGTCTTAGCTAATCAGGAGGCTGAGGCAGGAGAATCTCTTGAACCTGGGAGGCGGAGGTTGCAATGAGCCGACATAGTGCAATGCATTCCAGCCTGGGTGACAGAGGAAGACTCTGTCTCAAAAAAAAAAAAAAAAAAAAAAAAGCCGGGGGAGAGCCGGGCGCGGTGGCTCATGCCTGTAATCCCAGCACTTTGGGAGGCTGAGGCAGGTGGATCACGAGGTCAGGAGATCGAGACCATCCTGGCTAACACGGTGAAACCCCATCTCTAAAAATGCAAAAAAAGTTAGCCAGGCGTGGTGGTGGGCACCTGTAGTCCCAGCTACTCAGGAAGCTGAGGCAGGGGAATGGAATGAACCTGGGACGTGGAGCTTGCAGTGAGCCGAGATCGTGCCACTGGACTCCAGCCTGGGCGACAGAGCGAGACTCCGTCTCAAAAATAAATAATTAAAAATAAAAATAAAAAATATTTTTAAAGGGGGGGTGGGGGAGAAAGCAAGTAAAAAAAGTTATTTGTAATAACCAATATGAGGGGAATGAACAAAGGGTTGAGATCTAGAATAACAAGTGGGACCCAGTTAAGACAGTGAGGACCGAAGCAGCAGGGGCCTCTCTGAAGAAGTGATGTTGAAGAAGCCAGCCCCAGAGGAATGAGGGCAAGAGCATTCTGAAAAGAGAAACAGCTTGTACAAGGTTCAAATCATGGTCCTGCCACTTACCTGCAGAGTGGCCTTTGTCACCTCACTTCAGCCCTCTGTGTCTCAATTTCCTCGACTCTAAGAATACCTATCTCTTATGGCTCAGAGGGTTAAGTGAACTAACACATATGAACTGCTTGGAGACAGGCAGTGTTAATGATTATTGTTATTTCCTGAGCAACAAGAGTCTAAGAATCGGGTTCAGAATTGCACTGTGTTTCCAGGAGGGTATGATTTATTCAGGTGACTGACTTGCGGGAGATTGGCTTACCTGATACTTTCACTCTGGGACGCCCTCCGATCTGACCACTAACTGTCAATCAGAAAATGACAGAAGGTACATGAGAGTAATTAGAGATCATTTTTTTAAACCTCCACCAGGATCACAAAATCTCACCATTCCCTAAATATGACAAGCCTTCTCTGCTCAGGTAATGTGCCTCCTTAGAATGTTCTTCCCCTACCATCTATCATCTGTCTGATTAGCACCTTTGGGCCACTTCCTCACTAAAGCCTCATCCAGCTGAGTGAATCCCATTTCCCATCACACTTCTTTGCCTAGGGACTTTGTTACATCGTAGTCTTACTTGTGGCAATTGCATAGTACCTAGCACAGTGCCAGGGCTGAATGAATTAATAGGACCATATATACCAGGGGTCCCCAACCCCCAGACCATGGACCAGCACTGGCCCATGGCCTGTTAGGAACCGGGCCACACAGCAGGAGGTGAGCAGCAGGCAAGTGAGTGTCACCACCTGAGCTCCACCTCCCGTCAGATCAGCGGTGGCATTAGTCTCATAGGAGCACAAACCCTGTTGTGAACTGCGCAGGTGAGGCATCTAGGTTGTGTGCTCCTTGTGAAAATCTAATGCCTGATGATCTGACATAGAACAGTTTCATTCCAGAACCATCCCCCCCGCACCCGCCCAGTCCACAGAAACCAGTCCCTGGTACCAAAAAGGTTGGGGACCACGATATATACATTCAAAAAATGCTTTTGAAAGTCTTAGGACCATATACCCACACTTAACTAGAACAAAAATTGGCATGAGTTTATGTCATAGACAGAATTATTTACAGCTTTTTGATTTAAAATTAATGTCTGTTGATAAAGTAACAAATACAGAGACCCAGTTTTCATTAAAGTTGCCTTTAAATTCCACTAACAAATCTTGATATTTACAAGCCTAGTAAATTTTAATACAAAATAATAGGATCTTTTATTACTCTTAATAAACTCAAATTTAATAGATCACAGTCCCACTAAAAAGTAATTCTCTTTTACAAACTTAATAAAAAAATCCTTTAAACATTTTAAAGCTGCAATTATAAATCTGATACATTTGATTTTTAAGCACTTCAATTATAAATTGAATGCATTTGCTTTTTAAAAAAACACTGCAGGCTGAGCGCAGTGGCTCACGCCTGTAATCCCAGCACTCTGGGAGGCCGAGGCGGGCGGATCATGAGATCAAGAGATCGAGACCAACCTGGCCAACATGGTGAAACCCCCCTCTCTACTAAAAATAGAAAAATTAGCTGGGTGTGGTGGTGCACACCTGTAGTCCCAGCTACTCGGGAAGCTGAGGCAGGAGAATCACTTGAACCTGGGAGGCAGAGGTTGCAGTGAGCTGAGATCGTGTCACTGCACTCTAGACTGGGGACAGAGTGAGACTTTGTCCCAAAAACAAAACAAAACAAAAAGAAAAAACACTGCAAATACTTGCTCAGATAAGCTTACAGCCTTAATAAGCAAAACATTCTCAAGTAAATAAGTTACAAATTTCACAAATTAAGCATAAATGTATTTTATCTCAAACTCTCTTAGAAACTCTAACATTGTTAAACAAGTGAAACTATCACATCTTTCCATTTAAAATCATATCTTACACTAATCACTTATGTTAAATGGAAATCATAAGGCCACCATGGTAGGCAAAATAATAGCTCTCTAAAGATGTCCACATCCTAATTCCTGGAACCTATGAATATGTTGCTTCATGTTAAAGGTAAAATTGCAGATGTGATTAAATTAAGCACCTCTAGATGTAGGGGTTATCCAGGACCATCTGGGTGAGCCCAGTGTAACTTCTTTTTTTTTTGAGACCGAGTCTCACCCTGTGGCCAGGCTGGAGTGCAGTGGCGTGATCTCGGCTCACTGCAACCTCCACGTCCCAGGTTCAAGTGATTCTCCTGCCTCAGCCTCCCGAGTAGCTGGGACTACAAGCACACGCCACCACGCCCAGCTAATTTTTGTATTTTCAGTAGAGACGGGGTTTCACCATGTTGGCCAGGATGGTCTCGATCTCCTGACCTTATGCTTTGCCCTCCTCATGGCCTTAAGTGCTGGGATTACAGGCGTGAGCCACCACGCCCAGCCTTTTTTTTTTTTTTTTTGAGATGGAGTTTTACTCTTGTCATCCAGGCTGGAGTGCAATGGCGCAATCTCAGCTCACTGCAACCTCTGCCTCCTGTGTTCAAGCAATTCCCCTGCCTCAGCCTCCCCAGTAGCTGGGATTACAGATGCCTGCCACCACCCCCGGCTAATTTTTGTATTTTTAGTAGAGACAGGGTTTCGTCATGTTGGCCAGGCTGGTGTCGAACTCCTGACCTCAGGTGATCCACCCATCTTGGCCTCCCGAAGTGCTAGGATTACAGGCATGAGCCAGCGCACCCAGCCCCAGTGTAACATTTATGGCAGAGTCTTTAAAAGTACAAGAGGAATGCAGCGGAGGTCAAACTGATGCAACACAAGGACTCCACTGGCCCTTGCTGACTTTGAAGGTGGAGGAGGAGACCACCAGCCAAGGTATGAGAGCAGTGCCTATAATCGGGAAAAGGCAAGGAAAGAGATTCTCCCCTAGAGCTCCCAGAAGGGAACAGTCTTGATGACATCTTGACATCAGTCCACCAAAACCTATGTCAGATCTGACCTGCTGAACTATAAAAATAACAAATTTGTGTTGTTTTAAGCCACTGAAGGTGTGATTTGTTGCAGTAGTAATAGGAAACGAATACAGTTAAGCTGGCAGCTTCTCTAGTACGTCTAGCAGCCCACCCCTACAAAAGCTTTTCCCTGCCAGTTCTGCCCCCACCCCAGACAAATTCCCACTGTCCCTAATGCTGCATAGCCCTCAGCCCAAGCTGGGCAAGGATCTGTCTGAAAATAAAAGGCACAACCATCTTCACAGCCTAATTCAGAAGCAAGACTTATTTTGACCGCCAGATACGTGGCAGTGCAAAAGCTAGACAAGCGGTGTCAGCCTCTGTCCATGGTAGGTGTAAAGTTTTCTCCTTCCTGTTTTACATAGGCTTAAATTGAGGCTGACACCAATCACGTTTCTGCCCAAGAAACATCACAGAGAATCAGTGTTGCAAATTGTCTCCACTGAGCAATGTTTATGAAGCAGCAGTGTCGTGGGCACTGGAGCAGCCAGGCAGAAGTGTGAGCTTAGCCCTTGCCCTCAGGGAACTTACCTGCTGGTGGAGGAGTGGGAGGGGCTGGAAAATGTGTTATCAATTACAATACAGGAGCCAAAGTTTTAAATGCCCAGAGTCAGTTACAAGGTACTAGAGGAGTTCAGATAGGAAGAAGAACTGAGTTCACGTTTTTGAGAAGGAGAACAATGTGGGATGAAGCATGAGCTCCTTTGTTGGAAGCCAGAAATGGCACTAGGGATCAAGGGCCAGAGACCAATACTTAACACTTACCAACCAAAGTCCATTCTGTGCATTGATAGATTTCTTGGGAGGGGAAAAAAACTACTCTAAAGTTTGGACAGAGTTCCCTTTTAGAGAGAATTAAAGCTGTGTCCCCTGGGGTCTCAGTACCAGAGCTTTCCCAGTGTTCCAGAAAACTAACAGAAGCTCAAATGAACCTCAGCTCCCTTCAAGTGGTTCTATGATGGTTAATTTTATGTGTCAACTTGGCTAGGCCATGGTACCCAGTCATTTGGTCAAGCATCAGTCTAGTTGTTGCTGTGAAGGTATTTTTTAGGTGTGATTAACATTTACATCAGTAGACCGTGGGTAAGGCCTTCCATAATGTGGGTATACCTCATCCAATCAGCTGAAGGCCTTGAGAGAACAGAGTGACATCTCCTGAAGAAGGAATTCTGCCTTTAGACTGCCTTTGGACTCAAGATGGCAACATCAACTCTTCCCTGGGTCTCCAGCCTGCCAGCCTACCCTGGAGATTTTGGACCTGCCACCCTCACAGTTGCATAAGTCAATTTCTTTTTTTTCTTTCTTTCTTCTTTTTTTTTTTTTGAGACAGAGTCTCACTCTGTCGCCCAGACTGGAGTGTAGTGGCACAATCTCGGCTCACTGCAAGCTCCACCTCCCAGGTTCAAGCAATTCTCCTGCCTCAGCCTCCCGAGTAGCTGGGACTACAGGTGCCCGCAACCATGCCCTGCTAATTTTTTGTATTTTTAGTAGAGACGAGGTTTCATGGTGTTAGCCAGGATGGTCTCTATCTCCTGACCTCAGGATCCACCCGCCTCAGCCTCCCAAAGTGCTGGGATTATAGGCGTGAGCCACGGCACCCGGCAAGCTAATTTCTTAAAATAAATCTACATACATACTGTATTAGTCTGTTTTCATGCTGCTGATAAACGCATACTCGAGACTGGGAAGACCATGCTGCCGATAAAGACATACCTGAGACTGGTAAGAAAAAGAGGTTTAATTGGACTTACAGTTCCACATGGCTGGGGAGGCCTCAGAATCAGGCAGGAGGTGAAAGGCACTTCTTACGTGGCAGCAGCAACAGAAAAATGAGGAAGAAGCAAAAGCGGAAACCCATGATAAAACCATCAGATCTCATGAGACTTACTACACAAGGATAGCACGGGAAAGACCAGCCTCCATTATTCAATAACCTCCCCCTGGGTCCCTCCCATAACACATGGGAATTCTGGGAGATAAAATTCAAGTTGAGATTTGGGTGGGGACACAGCCAAACCATATCACATACATACATAGATGATAGAGATAAATAGAGATAAAGGTATACAGAGAGATCAAAAAAAAATTTTTTTTTGAGACAGGGTCTCACTCTGTTGTCCAGGCTGGAGTGCAGTAGTACAATCATAGCTCACTGCAACTTTGAATTCCTGGACTCAAGTGATCTTCCTGCCTCAGCCTCCTGCGTATCTGAGACTACAGGCACACACCACACACCGGGCTATTCTTATTTTTATTTTTTGTAGAGATGGGGTCTTGCTATGTTGCCCAGGCTGGTCTAACTACCAGCCTCAAGCAATCCTCCTACCTTGGCCTCCCAAAGTGCTAGGATTACAGGCATGAGCCATTGTGCCTAGCCAAACATAGGTCAATTTTAAGGAACAAAATATTTTACTTTACCTAATAAAGTAGTTAAAAGAATAAAATATATCGGCCAGGCACAGTGGCTCACACCTGTAATCGCAGCACTTTGGGAGGCCAAGGCGGGCAGATCACCTGAGGCCAGGAAGTCGAGACCAGCCTGGCCAACATGGTGAAACATGCCTCTGCAAAAAATACAAAAATTAGCCTGGCATTGTGGCATGCACCTGAAACCCCAGCTACTCAGAAGGCTGAGGCACAAGAATCGCTTGAACCTGGGAGGCAGAGGTTGCGATGAGTCGAGATCATGCCACTGCACACCAGCCTGGGCAATGCAGCAAAACTCTGTCACAAAAAAAAACAAAAAACACCTACCTATATAAGCATATATGGAGATGATAGATGATAGATAGATGGATGATAGATAGACAGATAGAGATACTAGAGAGAAAGAGAGATTTAGAGACAGAGAGATCATATATATATACATTTATCAGTAGAGAGAAAGACATGTACCTCCTACTGGTTCCGTTTTTCTGAAGAATAATACAAGCTCCTAGAAAGAGAACAAGGGCAAGGGAAGTCTAGAGGAAGGTTTCAGAGGGCAGGGGGAAAGGGAGAAAAACCAGAGAGAGAATGGAATCCAGTGGCCACAAGGGCAGTCGGCCAACCACCACATCCTGAGAAATCATGCTTGGCAGATGCCAAAGAGTGCAACAAAACAGTCACTCCTGACCCACATAAAAGTGCCTGTGTGGCTCTCTCTTTTTTGTACTTTTAAAACGAGTATTCAAACGTTTTCATTATATTGTACTATTTAATCCTTTCTTAATGTCAAAAGTATCCCAAAGAGCCCCTACTTCCTTCAGAGAGGCAGCATAGCACAGTGGTGAGGGGCACAGAATCTGAAGCCAGCCCACCACTTCCTAGCTGTGTTGGACTGTGTGTTAAACCTTGACCAGCCTGGCCAACAAAGTGAAACCTGCCTCTACAAAAAATACAAAAATGCCTCAGTCCCTCCATCTGTAAAATAGGCACAATGACAGCATCTGCGTCACAGAATTGCCATGAGGAGTCATTGAGTTGGTGCGTTTTGCATGATTTGATACATGTTATGTGGTTAGAGCAGTGCTTGGCACATAGTAAGCTTTACATAAACATTTATTATTCGTATTCACTAAGTCCACTTTCCATTTTTTGTCTCTGTCTTAGATGCTCAAATCTGCCTAGCCCTATACCCAGTGTTGGGTTTTTTTGGGGGAGGGGGTTGTTGTTGTTGTTTCAGAGACAGTCTCGCTCTTTCGCCCAGGCTGGAATGCAGTCACATGATCTCGGCTCACTGCAACCTCCGCCTCCCAGGTTCAAGCGATTCTCCTGCCCCAGCTTCCCAAGTAGCTAGGATTGCAGGCATGAGCCACCATGCCCAGCTAATTTTTCTATTTTTTAGTAGAGATGGGGTTTCACTATATGTTGGCCAGGCTGGTCTCAAACTTCTGACCTCAGGTGATCTGCCCACCTCAGCCTCCAAAAGTGCTGGGATTATAGGCATGAGCCACTGTGCCTGGCCTACCCAGTGTTCTTTTATGACACCACCGTTGTCTCTCCCACACAGCACCTAGTGCAATACTTTGGGAAGAGTCTGTGAAATATGTTTCCTGCACCAGATACCCAAGGTCTCTAGGATAAACCTTCATTAGCCTTGCCAACCAAATGGGCTTTTGATTGGAGGAAGACTTGCTGACAACTTTGAAATAACTCGACTTGTTTTAATAGTCCTGCCTCTGATAACTGGGAGTAGACTAGACACAGAGCACTGTTCGGCTTCCATTTCCCTCACGTGGATGAACAAAATGCTCTCTCCTTCCCCAGCTAGGATCTGTCCCTCTTTCTATGTCTGGCGCTTCAGAACTATGAAGTGCTTTGATATGAATGTAGTTTTTGAAACAAAGATGAGAAGAGAAAAACCTTGAAATCAAGCAAACCTAAAACCATGAACTCTATAGACTCAAAGCTCTACCTGACAGAGATCTGAAGAGGTGACATGGTCCAGTTTCTGCTACCTTCCTAGAGGCATACCCACTACCCCCATCTCACAGATGAGACAACCAAGACCTAGAAATGTTAATGACCTGCCCCCCAAAAAACTATAATAGAGCATCACACTCTGTAATTAACCAACTACTGCAATAGATGTTGAATGGAGTTTATCTTATTTTCCCAGAACTTTGGATAAAACCTAATGCTGGCTGGCCACGGTGGCTCACGCCTATGATCCCGGCACTTTGGGAGGCTGAGGCAGGAGGATCACTTGAGGCCAAAAGTTCCAGACCAGCCTGGCCAACATAGAGAGACCCCCATCGCTACAAAATGTAAAAAAAAAAAAATTAGTCTGGGGTGGTGATGTGCACCTGTGGTCCTAGCTACTCAGCATGCAGAAGGAGCATTTGAGCCCCAGAGTTCAAGGCTGTAATAAACTGTGATCACATCACTGCACTCCAGCCTGGGTGACAAAGGAAGACCCTGTGTCTAAAATAAATAAATGAATTTCTTTTAGAACCCAGTTCAGAAGACAAATGGCATTGAGTATCCTCCTGATATTCTAGTTTCCAGTTTCAATAGTTGGAGCCAGCCACCTCCATACAGGGTTTATCAAGAGGCCAGAATTGATCCTACTCATTCCATTCCCAGCATCAATATAAAAGAAGGGGTGAGGAGAAAGAAGGACACCCTGGAAAGGAGAGTAGTATTCATGGAAAGAGCCTATCTTCTCCTGTAAGTCACAGTGGGGACTCCAGGAGAATCATTCACAAAGCCCCGAAGTGGAACAGCATCGTTCATCTGGGGTGATACCTGAGATTTCGTTGTCTCATGGCCACAGAAAGCTAGGACACAGACACACAAACAGTGAGTTTAAGAGCAGACGTTTAATAGGCAAAAGCAAGAGAATAGCTCTCTCTGCTGCAGAGAGATGGGTCCCCAGTGGGTTTCGGGTCCGTGGTGAAATGCAGGGGTTTTTTTTCAGATGAGCTTGAGGCGGTGTCTGATTTACATAGGAACAAAAGATTGGTCAGACCAGGTGTGCCATTTGCATAGTGTGTGAATTTCTGGACTCTCCACCTTAATCTTTTATTATGCAGATGCTCTCTACCTGACTGGCACCAGGTTGCCTATTTCTGTATTGTACATGTGGTAACAAATAAAAGGGAAGATGGAGCCTCCATGTTGAACATACCTGGCCCCCAGGTAGCCCTTTCTATTGGCACAGCGGCCGGCATTCACCTGTGAAAGCTTCCAGCTTGCTTATCTGTTTGCAGCTTGATTTTTCAGTCTGCTCTTTATTAGAAAAAAGAATTTCTTAGGCTGATTTTTGTTAAAAGGGAAGTCCTGCAGAGGACTCTTTTACCCTCAATGTCTGCCTAAATAATTCTTGTTTTTGTTTTTGTTTTTTTTTTTGAGACGGAGTGTCACTCTGTCACACAGGCTGGAGTTCAGTAGTGGCGCGATCTCAGCTCACTGCAACCTCCGCCTTCTGGGTTCAAGCGATTCTCCTGCCTCAGTCTCCCAAGTAGCTGAGATTACAGGCACCCATCACCACACCCGGCTGATTTTTGTATTTTTAGTAGAGACAGGGTTTCACCATGTTGGCCAGGCTGAACTCCTGATCTCAAGTAATCTGCCTGCCTCGGCCTTCCAGAGTGCTGGGATTACAAGTGTGAGCCACCGTACCCGGCATGGCTTAATAATTTCTTTCTGTCTCCTGTACCAGAAGCTCCAGTCTGGAAAGCGTATGGGGAAATAGTCCCAAAGGACTTGCTCCCGTGCCCCACAGAATAGCCAGCTTGGAATGCCTGCCCCAGGGAGACCTGGCAGCAACAACCCACAGGGAGAGGAGAGAAACCTCTTCTTGAATGGCCAAGTCAGGAGGCAACTCTGCCTACTCCTAACCACCACCCCACCACGCCCTTATCCCCCAACACCCATGTAAGCTCCAGAAACAGAGACAGCTAAGGGAGAGTACCAGCAGCCATTGTAGCCACAGCCTCGCCCTGCACTGTCAGGGAGAAAAGGAGAACTACAGATGGATCTGAAATAGACATTATGAAATAATGTCCTGTATCAGAAGTGCCAGCAACATGCAAGCCAGTCAATCACTCCCCTATGCATGGCTGCTGGGGCAACAGACTTGCAAATATTGCTTGGGGCTGGGGAAGAGAGACTTGGACAGAACAGAGGCCTGGGAGCTGGAGGGGTGGTGAGGCAGCTTTCATTGCCCCCAGCAGCACACAAGGATACGAGAGCGTTCCATAAATTGAGTGGATACCAAGAAGGTAGCTGGGTTTGAGCTATGTTTGCTGCATCTCATTAAGGGATGTCCCCCAGTTCAGCAGCCTCAGCAGCCAGTAAAGGAGGTGGGGATTGAAGTGGTGTTTGTAGAACCATCCCAGCTCCCAAATGAGGGCTGCTAGTCACTGGAATTACAGGCTTGCAGCCTGTCACTGGGGAGAAAAAAACACGGATAATAGCTCCATCTGCCTGTGGAATCCAACTCTCTCTGGAAGTCATTCAAAACATCTACTTTTATTAAACAAATAGAATTTAGCTGCCCCCTACCTGAAGAGGACCGTGGCCTCATAAATGACATCATTGCATCTGGGTAGCATTTTGTGAAACTGAGAGGCTCCTCTGAGGTTCCCAACCGCACAAATCCCCCAAAACATGTTCTTTAATCAAGAATAATGAGTTCCACTTCATAAGCATAAGACATGTTCATTAATCCATACTGTGGAGCAGGATTCCAGATACCCAAATACTTCATAGCATCTTAGATCTAGTGAAACAGACTCGTGACTGAGACACACATAGCCCATCAATTCTAAACACCTTTCCCGGATCAGCCCCCTCCTCTCCTCCACCGCCTGCCCTCTGACACGAGCCCTCAGCATTGCTTGCCTGGACATTTGCAAGAAGTGCTTAACCTATCTCCCCTCCTCTAGGCTGAGGCCCTCCAATCCACCCACTTAACTTTCCCACAGGTCTTTCTAGAACACATTCCTAATCGTATCACTCCCCTGTTTATAATTCCTCAATAGATCACTGTTGAATCTGGGTAATGGGCAAATAATTCCTTTTACTGTTTTCTCTATATTTGGTAGATTTGAAATGTTACATCATAAAACACATAATATGTCAATGAAGATGCCACCAGACATTAACAATGTCTGCAGCAGGACAAGCCGCAGACAAAACCCCTCAGACACTGAGTTAAACAAGGAAGGGCTTTATTCGGCCGGAAGCATCGGCAAGACTCATGTCTCAAAAACCGAGCTCCTCGAGTGAGCAATTCCCGTCCCTCTTGAGGGCTTACAACTCTAAGGGGGTCTGTGTGAGAGGGTCGTGATCGATTGAGCAAGCAGGGGGTACGTGACTGGGGGCTGCATGCATGGGTAATTAGATCGGAACAGAACAGGACAGGGATTTTCACAGTGCTTTTCTATACAATGCCTGTAATCTATAGAAAACATAACCGATTAGGTCAGGGGTCGATCTTTAACTACCAGGCCCAGGGTTAGCGCCGGGCTGTCTGCCTGTGGATTTCATTTCTGCCTTTTAGTTTTTACTTCTTTCTTTGGAGGCGGAAATTGGGCATAAGACAATATGAGGGGTGGTCTCCTCCCTTATGTCTACCTCGTTTTGGATGGGAGGAGGGATTTGGATGGACACAGAGAGGGCATCCAAAAAAAAAAAAAAAAAAACTGCGTAATTTGGAAGTTTGCCAAGAGTTCCTTTTTTCATTTTTGCAATAAATTTTAGAATCATTTTGAAGCTTCCCATTAACTCTGGTCTAACACCCAAGCTCACTGCCATGGCAACAGGCCAGTGCTCCCAAAGCCTCTCATCGAGAGCCACATGCGTCCTCTGTTCCAGCCACGCCAAATCACGTGCAGCTCCCTGAATGGGTCGCCTACTTCATGCCTCTGTTGTATGTGCTGGTCTCATTGTCTAGAATGCCCTTCCCTGACTTGTCTGCCTGGTAAACTCTTTCCCTCCAAAGCCCAGCTCAATTAAAGGCTTCTCTAAGCATCACCCCCTCTAAGTCAACCCTTTTCCACTTCTAATTCATTTTCCACCCTACTTTGTCTTCTTTGTGGCCTGGGAGGTGGACCTGCTGAACTGCATCTGTGGGTTCCTTGCCTGTAGCTTCTGGCTAGGCCTGGCCTGTAGAAGGAAGACAGGAAGATTGGAGCATGAGGCAGGGTGAGGACAGAGTGTTTATTCCAACTGACATCTCTCTGCCAGGCCACAGGAGAGCTGGGTGTCAGTTGACTGTCCATGCAGCCTCCCTGGGATCCGGTCACACCCACCTCCCCTTGCTGCTGCTTTATGCGTAAGGGCTGTGAATCCCCCTGCATCCGCTTCCTATTGCTGCTATAAGAAACTACCTCACATTTGTGGCCTTAAAACAAGACAAATGTGTTATTTTATAGTTCTATAGGTCAGAAGTCTGAAATGGGGCCGGGCACGGTGGCTCACCGTGCCTATAATCCCAACACTTTGGGAGGCCAAGGCGGGAGGATCACCTGAGGTCAGGAGTTCGAGCCCAGGCTGGCCAACATGGTGAAACCCCATCTCTACTAAAAATACAAAAATTAGACAGACATGGTGGCGCCCACCAGGAGGCAGAGGTTACCAGTGAGCCAAGATCTCACCACTGCACTCCAGCCTGGGGGACGGAGAGAGACTCTGTCTCTAAAAAAAAAAAAAAAAAAAAAAAAAAAAAAATCTAAAATGGGTTGGCAGGGCTCCATTGCTTCTGGAGGTTCTAGGGAAGAATTCATTTTTTGTCTTTCTCAGTTTCTAGAAGCTGTCCTCATTCCTTGGTTCATGTCCCCGCGTCATCTGGCCTCGGCTTCTGTGGTCACATCCCTTTGCCATCTCTGACCTTACAGCCTCCCAGTTACAAGGACTTGTGACTGCATTGAGCCACCTGGATAATCCAGGATAATCTCCCTCCATGAAGATCCCTAACTTGACCATATCTGCAAAGTCTCTTTTATCATGTAAATTAGCATATTCACAAGAACAGGTGATTTGAACCTGGGGACTTTGGGAGCCCATTGCACTGCCTGCCACAGCTCTCCATCATTATTTTTATTTTTATTTTATCTTATTTGAGACAGAGTCTCATTCTGTTGCCCAGGCTGGACTGCAGTGGTGCAATCACAGCTCACTGCAGCTTCGACCTCCTGGGCTGAAGTGATCCTCCCACCTCAGCCTCCCAAGTAGCTGGGACTACAGGCACATGCCATCATGCATGGCTAATTTTGTTTAGTTTTTGTAAAGATGAGGTCGAGGTCTCACTGTGTTGCAGAGGCTGGTCCCAAACTCCTGGGCTCACACAATCCTCTCTTGCCTCAACCTCCCAACATGCTGTGATTACAAGCATGAGCCACCAGGCCCGGCCCACAGCTCCTAACTCTGCCCATGCCTTTGTAAACACTGCATTTACTATGTTAAGGGAGATGGAGATGTTATACTCCAAATGATCCAGATGGAGTATTACATCTGTTTCTTGCCAGGACTCTGACAATGGAGCCATCCAAGACAGGACTCTATGCTGCATTTCCAGCCTCAACCGTCCCTTGGTTCCACATAAACCCTCTGAGGTCATAATTCTCCTCGGAACAACCACAGGCCTTTCTCATGGGTTTCATATCCAGATTACCAGGGAAGAGAAGGGACACAGAGACCAAGAGAAAAAGCCCCAGAATCACAGGAACCATGGGAGGGCTCAAGGCTATCAACGCAACTGGGGATTCAGGTCAAGCGTAGTGAGATCTCTAAGGGGAAGGAAAGCCTCGGGTGATATCCAGGTGACACTACTGTATGTGCAGTTATGACACAGGGTACAAGAGCTGTGTTAGAGGACAGTGTGAGACCACATGAACAGAGTGTACATGATATGTACACCTGGGACCAGGGTATGGTGGAATGCCTCCTTCCTCACTTAGGGAAAGTTCTTTGGTCTCCACCATCTCTAATAGTTGGTCATCCAGGCTCCACTTTGATTCCAGCAACACTGATTTCCAGTGGCAAGGAGGTGACTACTACAACACAACAACAGCTCTGGAATGAAGCTCTTCTCTGGGCTGTGCACAAACCTCCCTGTCATTTGCTCATTGGTCCACTTCTGACCCCAGAAGCCAAAATGTAAGTCTAATTCACGTGCGCACTTCAGCCCTTCCAATATGGAAGACAGCCCTCGTGCCGTCTGCCCTGTCTTTTCACACAAACCACACTCAGTCAGGGTGGAACTCTGAGACTTCTGCAATTATTTCTAAGCTCTTCACCGTCCTGTTCCCTGCCTCTGAAAGCATTCCAGAACTTCAAGACACAGGACCCAGAAGTGGCCCAAACAGTGCAACTCATCCCCCCCAACTCTGTATACCCCATGTATGTTAATATATTATATTTTAATGTATATATTAAGATGGAATTAATTGTGGGAAGCAACAATGACTTACTGTTGACCCACATTATGTTTTCTGTCAACAGAAAGGCCTGGGACTTCTGGCTCTCCATCACGTTGAAACTTTCTTTTTAACCTAGCTATAGGACTTCTCATTTTCTTTACTATTACATGTTATCCTGATTTCCATCTCTTCTTCAAGTCAACAAAGATTTTTGGAGGTCTCACTTCTGTCATCTCTCTTTTATCTTATACTTTCTGTATCTTCATTCAAGTTGGCAACAGAATATACTGAAGAGGATGAGATGAAGGGACAAACTCCACCCGCAAGTTTCTCAACCTGTGACTTGGCCCATGAGTGTGCCATGGCGCCACCAGCCTTGAAACCATCCGGCTGTGAGTTAGCGGCCACGTTTCTCCATTGTGCCCACATCTAATCATGAGGGCCTGTGCCAGCTGCTATAATGAAATCAAGACACACTTCATTCAGGGCTTTCTGCTTTCTACACTTGATCTTAGCCAGAAGGCCGAGAAGTGATGGGCACTCTCCTTTCTAAGTAGTCTTACACAGTAACACAATAAATTTAAAAAGCAATGAGGTTCTTTTGGTATGAATTTATTCTTGAATTTATGGTGGCCTTTCATGATCATAGCTTCTCTAAGTATGTACATTAATTTTCCCTCTTGGAAATACTTGACCACCTGTACCACTCCTTCTTCCCCAAGATGCCCTCTTCCACCAGCTTCCAAGGTCCCACACACCTTGTGTTGCATACAGGAGGGTTACTGGTTGATGGGCACAGAAGTAGGAAGTAGTCACTGTATACCCTTTTGCAATTTTATTTTATTTTATTTATTTATTTATTTTTGAGATGGAGCCTCACTCTGTCACCCAGGCTGGAGTGCAATGGCGTGATGTCAGCTCACTGCAATCTCTGCCTCCCGGGTTCAAGCAATTCTCCTGCCTCAGCTTCCTGAGCAGCTAGGATTACAGGCACCCACCACCATGCCCAGCTAATTTTTGTAGTTTTAGTAGAGATGGGGTTTCACCATGTTGCTCAGGCTGGTCTCAAACTCCTGACCTCAGGTGATCCACCCGCTTCGGTCTCCTAAAGTGCTGGGATTACAGGTGTGAGCCACCGCACCCGGCCCCTTTTGTAATTTTAGATCTTGATATCTTATAAATGGATGACATGTTAAAAAATAATTGTTAAAAAAAAAAAAAACCGTGGCTCACGCCTGCAATCCCAGCACTTTGGGAGGCCGAGGCGGGTGGATCGTGAGGTCAAGAGATCGAGACCATCCTGGCCAACATGGTGAAATCCCGTCTCTACTAAAAATACAAAAATTAGCTGGGCATGGTGGCGCATGCCTGTAGCCCCAGGTACTTGGGAGGCTAAGGCAGGAGAATCGCTTGAACCCAGGAGGCGGAGGTTGCAGTGAGCCGAGATCATGCCACTGCACTCCAGCCTGGGTGACAGAGCAAGACACTGTCATAAATGAATAAATAAATAAATAAGCTATTTTCTTCTATTTGAGAAAATCCACAAAATATTCATTTCCAAATTCTGCATATCATCTTTCTTTCCTTAGGTAAGGCATATAAAAATCCCTGACATGTAGCACCACTTCCTTAGTTTCTAACCTAACAAGCCATGTCCTGGGGGTGAGCACCGTAACAGCATTTGAAATTGGGGTATTTTATATTATGGTTCCAAATGATTATCCCTTTGTGTAAAAGAATAATTCTTCCTTGCCCCATTGACATCTCTGACGTGTAACTTACTTCTGCCAATGTAATGCAAGCAGAAATGACATGTGTCACATTGAGTAGATGTTTTAAGAGCTATTGCATGGTTCCACAGCAGCTCTTCTCATGTGCCATAGATTGGTGTGTCCTAGACAGGGGCTATTTCTTCAGCCTGGATCCCAATTGAAAAGCCACAGTGGACTCACAGTGGACAAATAACACAAATGGAAAATAAGATTTTGCTGTATAAATCACAGAGAATTGAGGGTTATGTGTTACTGGAGCAAAACCTAACAAAAACTGACTAAGATAGTAATAAGTTTATGTATTTGTTTACTTTAATACCCATGAGATGGTATTTCCCCAAATTAAAATCTGAGTCACCTTAATTTCTCCCCTCTCCCTCATCCTGCACATCCAATCCTCATGGATCAAGTCTTGCCAATTCCCAAATCTGTCAATCTGTCAGCTTCTTTCCCTCCATAGCTGCCGCTTCATCCAAGCCACCATCATTTTTTGCACAAGGAGGTCCAACAACCTTCTTATTCCATCTAGTCCTTTCTCCGCATGGAAGCAAATCAGATCATGGCACTCACCTATTCAGGACCTTTTGGAGAGTTTCTATTAAACTTGGAATAAAACCCAATTTCTTATCAAGAGCCACAAAGACCCTGCATGATCTGGTTCCAGTCTCCTCTTATCCTGTTAGGCTCCAGCCACACTCATCCTGTAACCCAGGGTCCCTGGTCTTTGTGGTTACGCTGTGATAGGGTAACCACTTGTAACTGTTGTGCCTTGAGCTTCCGTTGTTCCAGGAAGAAGCCCAGCTATAGCAAAACCAAAACCAGCTGGAAGACAGATGCCTCAGTTAGAGATGAATTTTGGTGAGCTCTCAGCATTACCATACTAAAAAGCCCATCCAGGGAGGAGCTTATTCTCCATTTTCATTTTCTTTTTTTTAAGGAGCGGAGAATTTAATAGGCAAGAAAGGGCAAGAAGGAAGGGAGAAGTAAGAAGCTCCCCTGTACAGAGACAGAGGGAGGGAGGCTCCAAAGCCGATAGAGGGAACCCCACCTGCCACAGATACCAGCTAGGTATATATACAGAGGCTGGAGGAGGCGGTGTCTGATTTGCATAGGGCTCAGGGGATGGGTTTGACTGGGCATGTCGTTCACACAGCCCTCAAAAAAGCTGGTCCTCCCACCCTAGCCTTTTAATATGCAAATGCAGGGCACCATGATGTTCTACACACGTGGGGATACGTGGGGGCGGCCATGTTGCCAGGAACCTGTGGGGAAAGGGCAAGAAGGCCTGCGGGAATCGCCATGTTTGGGCGGACTCAGTTTCTAATGGCTTGCATTTGCATATCAAAGGTTGCCGACCTGGCTCTAGGAGCCGCAGCTTTACAAGAAACTTTTCTGGGGATGCTTTAAAAAACGAAAACTTCCCAAGGACCCCTTTTCCTCTCTATCTGCCTAAAATAATTTCTTAGTAACTCCTATGACATCCCCCCCTGCGGAGAAGCCACACTAACTGCTGTTAGGGGGTTTTGGGCAATGACTCCTTCTGGCTACTTCCTGCTGAAAAAGGGCATCGAATGGGGAACAGCAGCTAGGGCTCCTCCTGGGGCCGATCTAAGGGTCCTCGGAAGAATGGCGTGTCCATGTGTGGTTCAGTTTACAGCACTATTTGGAAATTGATTCCTTCTAGGAGAGAAGAAACAATTTGAGTTATAGTATTGTGTATGCAGGGTCCAAATATCAATACAAGACATAAAAGCAAGAGAGGGCTTAATAAAGGGGTTAACCGATTCCATAAAGAAGACTGGAATTTATTAAAGAGGCATTGTAGCCACTCGGGACTGAAGCCAGCATTTTCCCTGAGCCTGTCGATATTTTTCTATTTACCATTTTCAATACATGCCATGTGTGAAGAAGCAGAATCTGCGCCTGCACCTGCACTACCTTTACCCCACCTTTATATGCAATGACTCAGCCAGTGGCACAATAAAAGCCCTGCTTTCACCTTCATTCCAGGAGACACTACTTTGGGAACTGTCCCCAGTGTTCTTACTTGTTGCAAGTACTAAAACCCCATTGTTACATTCTCCTTCATTGTGGTCACTGGGTTCACAATAGCCCTACAAGGGTATAGCATACCAACTAAGAACATATGTTATATGGAATCATATTGATTTAGGTTCAAATGTCAGTTGCTACTCTTGCAAATTCCTTGTCTGTACTTTCATTTCTTCATCTGTAAAGATGTTCACCCACCAAGCAACTGAACCCAACCATTATATGGGTAACAATCCTCCAGCTCCTCGAACTTGTCAAGCTCTTCCCCACCTCAGAGCTTTTGTGTGTGTTGTTCCCTCTTCCTAGGTTCTTTCCCATCATCTGGTCTTAAATGTCACCTACTACAGGAAGCCTTTCTTTACTACCCCATACAAAGTAGGATCCAGACCCTCCTCCCCATGTCCCAACTCCATTACTCTGTATCTTAACTCTTTGATTATTTTCTTGGTGGCACTTATCATAATTTGCAAAGATTTCTTTTTATTTTTAATTCTCTACTAGACTGTAAATTCCATGAGCAAAAGGATTAAGTCTTACCTAATATTGTGTCCCTACAGGCTTTGAGTCTGAGAAAGCAGGCATTTGGTGCAATATTTGTTACATACGTTATATGGTCATTTTATAGACTCTATGAAGCAATGGTTAATACGGTCAACATTGCAGACTTTATCTCAGTGTAGACCAGTTTCCTTTACTTGTTTACAAACTCTCTAACCCAATCAACTGTCACCATTATTGTATCTTCAGCCTCACTGAAATGCTGCATAATATAAATATATTTAGCACCAATCATCACTACTGCTATTCAATTCTTTTCAAATAATTAGATACTTAAGAGCATTAAGTGCTGCGTGTCTTATTAATACGTCAAGAGGATGAGTAGCATCACCTACTTATATGAAAAACCAGCATTATTTTGCTTACACATGTAAATAATACCTGGAATTAATTGTGATGCTTATCATGGACCTGGGCCTTTGATAAGTTTGTTACATACATTACGTTGTGTCCTGTAATCTTCACAACAGCCCTACAAGGGTATAGCATACCAAGTAAGAACATAGGTTATAAAATCATACTGATTTGGGTTCAAATGCCAGTTATGCTACTGTTGCAAATTCCTTACCTTCTCTGTGCTTTCATTTCTTCATCTGTAAAATGGGGGCAATAGGCTGGGCGCACTGGCTCACACCTATAATCATAGCATTTTGGGAGGCCAAGGTGGGCAGATCACGAGCTCATGAGTTTAAGAACAGCCTGGCCAACATGATGAAACCCTGTCTCTACTAAAAATACCAAAAAAAAAAAAAAAAAAAAAAAAGGTAGGCGTGCTGGTGCATGCCTGTAATCCCAGCTACTCGGGAGACTGTGGCACAAGAATGGTTTGAACCTGGGAGGAAGAGGTTGCAGTGAGACAAGATCATGCCATTGCACTCCAGCCTGGGTGACAGAGAGAGACCCTGTTTCAAGAAAAAAAAAATAATGGGGGCAATAGTAGTAAACACACCTTAGGAATGATTGCTCTGAGGATTAAATAAGATAATGCATGTAATGTGCTTAGCTCAGTGCCTGACACATAGAAAAGTGTTCCATAAATGTCAGCTGTCTCTTCTTAACTTGCTCTTCTGAGGGTCATTTTATGTCCTAAAGCATCAATGTGTCCAGCACAGAGGGAGAATGAGTTCCTGCCCTTTAGGATCACACAGTCAGAGATAGCTGGGAGCACGTTTGCAATCAGAAGAGGACAGCAAACATGTTCTTAGAATGGCTGCATTCACTTTTATGGTCCAAGCATAGTAAACTCATGTTCTCATTTCCTTTTCCACCAAAACAGCTATCTCTGCTCCCTGAAGAGGCCTTGGATTATTATAGTTCCTTAAATTCCCTGAAATTCTCAGGAGAGAAGGAATATTTTTTTAAAGCAAGCACAGCTTGGAGCTAGAAAACAAAAGGTTACTAGGACAATGTAACTCATTTCCTGTTTTTCTCAACTGTCTAGACACAGATCTCATAAGCATTAGCCATGAATCCCACCATCAGGTTAAAAATAGAAGGTTTAAATATGAAATGCTGTGGTGGAGGAAAGATTATAGGTTTCTACCTTTGTCCACAAAATGACTACTTTGAAATAGGATTTTTTACCTTTTTTGTTAGTTGTGCCATAAGTTTTGTGAAGCAATATTTCAATGGCAGGAATAGAGAACACCTTTTTTCTAAAGAATATATTTGCCCCTTGTAAAGCTAATGCAATTTAGGTTTTAAAAGCCACTTGAAGACAAGCTTATGGCAGCCTATCCAAACAAAAAATCTGATCACAATTATAGTACTTGAAACTTTTCAGGTTATTGCACATACCAACATTTAACCTTAAATAAATTTGTGCAACAGAAAATGCATACAGATTTGATTTTACTTTTTCTTTTTTTCTATCTTCTGCCTCCATAAAATTATTAGACAAGTATTTTGTTTTGAACACAGAATTACTCTGTAAAAAAAAAAAAAAAAAAAAAAATTTTTTGAGACAGGGTCTCACTCTGTTGCCCAGGCTGGAATGCAGTGCTGTGATCTCAGCTTGCTACAACCCCTCCCTCCAAGACTCAAGCAATCCTCCCACCTCAGCCTCCTGAGTAGCTGAGACTACAGGAGTGGACACAGCTAACTTCTTTTGTATTTTTTTAGAGACAGGTTTTTGCCATGTTGCCCAGGCTGGTCTCAAACTCCTGGACTGAAACGATCCACCTGCCTCAGCCTCCCAAAGTGCTGGGATTACCACTGTGAGCCACTGCACCCAGCCTGGAAAACAAATTTTTAAAAACTCCTTTAATAATCCATAGGCATGCTGGGCATGGTGTCTCACACCTGTAATCTCGCAACTCAGGAGACTGAAGTGGGAGGACTGCTTGGGCCCAGGAGTTTGAGGCCAGCCTGGGCAACCTGGCAAGACCCCATCCCTAAAAATAAATAAACATATAAATAAAATAATCCATTGGCAGTGTCACACAAGTGTGGAGGATCTACAATGCTGTTTCCCAAACTTATGGAACCGCAAAACCCTTTGATCAGGATAATGCTATTAACAACTCCTAAAATAGTATTCCATGGAACACCAGTTTAGGAAACATGAATTGGATAGTTCCATGATTTCTTTTTCTGGTTCCAGAATTACATAAGGCTAGGTCTCTTCTCTGACAACCTCAGCTATCTGAATTACAACATAAAACTTGAAAGTAAACAAGTACTAATGACTCTGCAATAGTGTAATGGACCTACTCTCTTTATTATTAGGAGATAAGTAGAAGTATGCCTTAGAGATATTCACACATTTACCTTTGAATGTATTCATTGTGGTCCTTAATAGTTATACAGATATATGTTGAAATAAACATAGATTTATAACATATGTATAATTTTATAATACAGAAATTTAAAATTATACAATTTTATAATTTACAAATATAAACATATGTATGTGTGTTAGCATACCTGCATATATTTCCAAACTCTGTCCACTGAGAGGACGCAGAAGCAATGAAACCCCAGTAGCAATGAGACTACTCAATGCCAAGATCTTGGTTCCTAAGTCCATTTTCCAATAAAAGGAATCAGAGTTCTTTGGAGAAAAGATCAATTCCATGGTTGGGGCAAAGAAAGTACAAGATGAGCCTAGATTAAAAAGTAAGCATCAAAAAGCAAGAAAGCACTAAAAATAATGAGGCATGTTGAAAGGATACAGGAGCCAACCTGTTTAAGCTCCTAATGCCCAGAGCTGGAACCACTGGAGCAACAAAATAAATAATGACAGTGTTCGATTATAACCCATAAAATAAAATAAATATTCATCAGCCCATATTGATATAAAAAAATAAATGAGGGAGGAGAATAACTCTCTCTTAGAGAAGAATTCCTATTAATAGAGAAGAAATGAAGGAAACAGAAAATCACTAATAGGCAAATGCCATAGTAATAATTGTGGCAGGCAAGAATCATCCATAGATGCTAAAACTAGTGGGTGAAGGTACAAGAAACAGGATATTTGCATAGTTTTGTTTTTGTTTTTGTTTTGAGACAGAGTTTTGCTCTTATCCCCCAGGCTAGAGTGCAATGGCAGGATCTCGGCTCACTGCAACCTCCTCCTCCTGGGTTCAAGCTATTCTCCTGCCTCAGCCTCCCAAGTAGCTGGGATTATAGGCGCACACCACCACTTTTTGGTAGAGACAAGGTTTCACCATGTTGGCCAGGCTGGTCTCGAACTCCTGACCTCAAGTGATCCGCCCACCTTGGCCTCCCACAGTGCTAGGATTACAGGCATACGCCACCACGCCTGGCAATATTTGCGTAGTTTTAAAGTATTTCCCCAAGATATCTGTTAGTCACTGAGGGAAAAATGGTAATTTAGTGGAGAAACCTGGAAGACACCACTTTAACCCAGAGATCAATGTTAATTTCACCAGTAATAATATATACTAGCATTGTGTACTTCTGGATATGGTGTATGAGAAAGGACACAACATTACTTCTGAGGTATTCTTGCCAAAATTGTATTATCTCAATTTAATCAGAGAAAATACAGACAAAGCCAAATTGGAGGGCATTCTACAAGGTTACTGACCAGCTTTCCTCAGAAGTGTCAAAATCATGAAAGACAAGGAAAAACTAAGTTATAAAAGACTAAGTTTGTCTCCTTCTCATAACTAAGTTCAATTGGAGATCAAGGTTTGGATCCTGGATCAGAAAAAACCGTTAATGGGAAAACCTGCAAATTCAAGTCAAATCTATAGTTTACTTAATAGTATTGTAGCAATGTTAATTTCCCAGTGTTGATCATCATACTGTGCTTATGTAAGATGTTAAACAGTAGGGGAAGCTGGGTGACGAAATATATGGGAATTGTCTGTACTATTTTTGTAACTTTTTTAAGACAAATTATTTCAATTTTTAAAATAACAAATATGTTCACAAGTCAAATATGTATAACTCAGTGTCTTGCATACCAATGATATTAATAATAACAGTAATAATAATAACAATGCAATTTAAAAAAAAAACTTTTACTTCCTGACTAACCATAATGTACCAGGAGCTTTTATATGTGCTCTTTCCTTTAACCTTCACAATTAGAGGTCATAAAGTTAAATAACATAAACAAGATGATATTTCTAGTGAGTGGCAGAGCTACAATGTCAACTTTTGTTATAACCTAGCAGAGAAGATCAAAGTAAATTACTTACCGCTTGAAAGAGACCAAATAGAAACCTAAAATTACGTGGGAATGTTGAATATATGTGCTACATGATTTCTGTTTCTTGCTCATCGTCTAAGACTTCAAGGCATGTCAACAATGTAGAAATTCAAAAATACAGGCCGGGCATGGTGGCTCATGCCTATAATCCCAGCACGTTGGGAAGCCAAGGCCAGATCAGTTGAGGTCAGGAGTTCGAGACCAGCCTAGGCAACATGGTGAAACCGTCTCTACTAAAAATACAAAAATTAGCCAGGTGTGGTGGCATGTGCCTGTAGTCCCAGTTACTTGGGAGGCTGAGGCAGGAGAATTGGTTGAGCCCAGGGCACGGAAGTTGCAGTGAGCCAAGATCGCGCCACTGCACTCCAGCCTAAGCAACAGAGCAAGACTCCATCTCAAAAAAAAAAAAAAAGAATTTCAAGAATACAAATTAATTAATACCCTAGGTGAGTAATGGATGCCTTACTTTCTAAATGATTTTCTACAAAAGTCCCTCAGGGCTGTATGCCTTGGAAGATTTTCCCAGACACTTTCTTACACATTGATTTTGTGATCGGTTGTATGTGATTTAATAATACATGCAACCACCAAATGAGACAAGTTTCATTTTCTCCATTTTTGCAAAAAAAGTAAACTAACTCTCAAGGAGATTGAGAGACCTTCCACTGAACACCTTCCCATCCCCTCACCCCAACAGTTAACAGTTAACAATGGGCATTTTTCTCCATTCAAATGAAGGTAAACTAATATCCAGGGCATCCTTGGATAAGAAAATAGGCGATGAAAGGAAAGAGGGAAGAGGGCAGAGGGGAAGAAGGAAGACACTTTGGCTAATGAGTACACATGAAAGCTCAGCTCAACCACTTAACAGTGATCTGGACAAGTTACTCTCCCTGCCTCTTTCTCTTCCACAGAAAAAGAGTTTTAGTATAGGGGGTTGAATAGCATCTCCCTCAAAATGCATGTCTATCCAGAACTTTAGAATGTGACATGTTTGGAAACAGGGTTTCTGCAAATGTAATTAACTTAAAATAAAGTCATGCTGGATTATGGTGGACCTTAAATCCAATGACTGCTGTTTTTATAAGAGAGGGCACACAGAGAAACAGAGGGAAGGCCATGTAAAATGGAGGCAGATATTGTGGGGAGCCAGCTGCAAGCCAAGGAACACCAGGATTGCCAGGAACCACCAGAAACTAGGGATAGGCAAGGAAGGATTGGACACTTCAGTCCCTGGACAACTTCAGATGGAGCATGGACCCTGTGACACCTTGATTTTAGACTTCTAACTTCCAGAACTATGAGACAATATATTACTGTTGCTTTAAGTCATCAAGTTTGTGGTAATTTGCTGACATCCCTAGAAAATAAAGTAAGCAAATGGGAAGCCATGCCTGTAAAGTGACCAGCAGAGGGCAATTAATAACCCATGAGCCATTTCACCCACTCTGCTTTAGTAAGGAGGAAGGGCAAAGGAGGTCAGGGCTAATTACACATTTCTTAGCTTTGGATATTTTTTAGCACTGTTTGGCATACTTCCTTCCTTTCTGTCCCCACTCACAACTCTCCTGAGTCACTGCCCAGCTGCCAGCAACCCTAAAATCCTGGAAAATAGCCTCTGCCAGCCTTGATGGATAGGAGTGGGGTAAGACCCCTATCAAATAACAGTACAAAGCAACAGGTACAGATTTGAATTAAACTTTCTATCTCTTCAACTAAAAAAGTTCTCTAGGCATGATTATTACTTTTATGGGTTGAATTGTGCTTCCCAAAAAGATATTTTAAAGTGTGATGGTTAATTTTACGTGTCAACTTAACTGGGTCATGGGGTGCCCAGATATTTAATCAAACATTATCCTGGGGGTTTGTGTGAGAGTGTTTTTGGATGAGAGTAACACTTATATTGGTAGACAGAGTAAACCAGATTACCCTCCCTAATGTGGGTGGCCCTCATCCAATCATTGAAGGTCTAAATAGAATAAAAAGCTCATTCTCCCTTGAGTAAGAGAGAGTTTCTCCTTGACTGCCTTTGAGCTGGGACATTAATTTTTTCCTGTCTTTGTACTTGAACTGAAACATCAGCTCTCCCTGGGTCTCAAGCCTGCTGGACTTCAGACTGAAACTATACCATTAGCTCTCCTGGATCTCAGGTCTTTGGACATAGCCTGGAACTAAACCACTGGGTCTCCAGCTTGTTGATTCACTATGCAGATCTTGGGACTTTCCAGCCTCCATAATCATGTGAGCCAACTCCTTATAATAAATTTATTTCTATCTATAGAGACGGAACCATCCTATTGGCTCTGTTTCTCTGGAGAACCCTGACTACAACAAAGTCCTAATACCCAGTACCACAGAATGTGACCTTACTTGGAAATCATGTTGTTGCAGATGTAATTAGTTTATTTGAGATGAGGTCACAGTGGAGTAGAGTGAGCCTTTAACCTGGTATGACTGATGTCCTTATAAGAGGAAGCAGAGGCAAGGCATGGTGGCTCACACCAGTAATCTCAGCACTTTGGGAGGCCAAGGCAGGAGGACTGATTGAGCCCAGCAGTTCGAGACCAGCCTGGGCAACATAACAAGACCCCGTCTCTACCAAAAAAAAAAAATCTTTTTTTAATTTGCCAGGCATGGTGGTGCATGCCTGTAGTCCCAGCTACTTGGGAGGCTGAGGCAGGAGGATCACCTGAGCCCAGGAAGTCAAGGTTGCAGTGAGCTATGATCATGCCACTGCACTCCAGCCTGAGCAACAGCGTGCTATCCTGTCTCAAAAAAAGAAAAAAAAAAAAGAAAAAAGGAAGGAGAAACACACAGGGAGAGGATGACGATATGACTTTGGAGGCAGGGATGGGAGTGAAGCATCTACAAGCCAAGAAACACCAAGGATTACCACCAAACACCAGAAGCTAAAAGAGGCAAGAAAGGATTCTCCCCTCTAGTTTTCAAATGAAGCATAGGCTTGATGACACCTTGATTTTGGACTTCCAGCCTCCAGAACTGTGGGAAAATAAACTTCTATTGTAAAAACAACTGGGTGTTTAAAAAGCACCCAGTTTATGGGACTTCATGCACAGCACTAGGACACTTATACAATTACTTTTTAAAGGTGGTGTGTCTGGCCTCCAAAAGTTGTCTTATGAAATAAGTGAATACAGTCAACACAGGTTCACTTTTAAGCACCTACCTGGTTATTCTCCACTTACACACTCCACTATTCTCACTCTTTGGGACACTGACTCCTTCAGACACCTGGTTGTAACCCTCAGCCTGTAGGGCCTCATCCCTTTTATTCTCCAGTTATAAAATGCGTCCATCTCATCAGTGATTTGCCCTTAGCAAAGATAAGTGAACACAGGGACTGCGGAGGCCACGGTAACAAGTTCACGAACCCTTGAGAGGATGAACAGCATCTCACTGTCCCTTATGCCTTGTATTAGTCTGTTTCGGCTGCCATACAAAATACCATAGACTGGGTGGTGGCTTAAACACAGGAATCCCAGCTCTGAAGCCTGGAAATTTCAAAATCAAGGTCCAGCAGGCTTCAGTTCCTAGTGAGGACCCTCTTCTTGGCTTGTAGATAGCTGCCTTCTTACTGTGTCCTCATGTGGCAGAAAAAGAGAAGAACCTCTCTTGTCTCTTTTCTTATAAGGCCACTAATCCCATCATGGGGACCACACCTTCATGACCTCATTTATATCTAATTACCTCCCAAAAGCCTCACTTCCAAATACCATCACATTGGGCGTTAAGGCTTCAACATGTACATTTTGGGGGACACAAACATTTAGTCCATAACATGTCTCCCCAAACTTCTAGCAGAGGGAGGGCAGGCAATACATGTTTGTTGATGCTTCTAACGGAAGACGAGATTCTGCATAGACTCACAGACAGCAGAGACTTGCCTCTTATACACACCTATATTGCCTTGGCTAGTTAGTGCCCAGAACATAGTAGACGTTTGATAATCACTTTTGGTGAATGAATTAGTAAAACAACTGCTGCTCTTTGGCATTGATGGCATTTGAAGAAAAGGTTTAACTAGGTCTCCATCTAAGTCTCAAAGTTTTATTCACATTTTAGTATTTTTATTTTGACCTCTCCACCTCACTCAAAAGATCAGTACATGCTCCCAAATCTATCTTATAAAAGAAGAATTCTGTTATTTTGTTATTTTTCCTGCAGTTAAAAAAATTAACATTAGAAGGGAGAAGACAAACAAAAAGGAGTAAGTTCACATTATCAGTGGGATCTTGGATTCCATGGTGTAGGTAAATTTGTAGGGCTGTTTCACAGGATGAATAACCAGCCTAGTCTCTTGTCTGTAAGCTTGACCAAGGCTTACTTTTCCAAGATGTTAAAGTTCACTCAAACCGTATTTCCTCCTACAGGCTTAAACAAATGAAAAAACATATTTCCAATGATTTCTTGGTATGACACTAAATGCATAGGCAACAAAAAGCAAAAGTAGACAAATGGAATTATATCAAACTTAAAAACTTTTGTGCACCAAAAGATACAATCAATATAGTGAAAAGGCAACTTATGGAATTGAAGAAAATATGCTCATATAATACATCTGAGAAGGGACTAATATCTAGAATATATAAAGAATTCCCTCAACTCAACAACAAAAATCAAATAACCCAATTAAAAAACGGGCAAAGTACTTGAACAGACATGTCTCCAAAAGTGATATACAAATGGCCAACAAGCACATGAAAAGATGTTCGCATTACTAATCATCAGAAAAATGCAACTGAAAACCACAAGGAGATATCACCTCACTCCCATTAGGATGCCCACTATGAAAAGAAAGAAGGGAGACTGTATAACAAGTGCTTGCTGGTAAAGACATAAAGAAATTAAAACACTTGTGCACTGTTTGTGGAATGTAAAATGGTAGAGCCCATGGAAAACAGAATGGAGGTTCCTCAAAAAATTAAAAATAGAATTACCAGCAACTATATGACCAGCAATCCCATTCCTTGATATATATCCAAAAGAACTGAAAACAAGATCTCACAGAGATATTTGCACATCTATGTCGCTTGCAGTATTATTCACAATAGCCAAGAGGTGGATGGAACCTAAATGTTCAGTGATGGAAAAAATGATAAAGCAAATGTGATATATACATACAATGGAATATTATTCAGTCCTTCAAAATAAGAAAATCCTATCATACACTATAACATGAATGAAACTGGAGGACATTAAGCTAAGTAAAATAATGCAGATAAATGCTTTATGATTCCACGTATACGAGGTATCTAAAGTAGTTAAACTGATAGAAACAGAAAGTAGAATGGCAGTTAGTGGGGGGATATGGAGAGAGGAAAATGGGGAGTTGTTTGATGAGTACAGAGTTTCCATTTGCAAGATGAAAACTTCTGGAGATCTGTGGCATGATGATGCAAATATACTTAACACTACTGTACACTTTAAGATAGTGAGTTTTATGTTATATTTTTACCATAAATAGATAAATACATAAATAAAGTTTTGAATTTATTGGTGCTTAGGGTAGGAGGAAGCTTATTCCCTACCCCACTACCCCCTTTGGGGGCCACGCAAGAATCCCTATCTCCTGAGGCCCTTTCCCAACTCACCTCCTGACATCATGGTGGGCATCTCCTTGATCTGGCCTCCTGCTTCAGTTTGTTTACCTCTCATTTAGAGATCCTGAACCTCCAGCACTTTGGGAGGTGAAGGCGGGTGGATCACTTGAGGTCAGGAGTTCGAGACCAGCCTGACCAACATGGCAAACCCTGTCTCTACTAAAAATACAAAATTAGCGGGGAGTGGTGGCTGGCGCCTGTGACCCTAGCTACTTGGGAGGCTGAGGCAGGAGAATCGCTTGAACCCGGGAGGCAGAGGTTGCAGTGAGCCGAGACCGTGCCATTGCACTTCAGCCTGGGCAACAAGAGCAAAACTCCATCTCTAAATAAACAAATAAAATAAAAATAGATACCTTGAACCTGTCTCTCATATTCACTGCTCCTCTGGCCCTTGCCTCTCCCTTTCTTCCTTGCTCACAATTCTACAGGATTTGGTCTGGTTCTAACTGCTCCAAGGAACCCTCTGGAACCTGGATATGAATGGCCAGTAATTAATTTATGAAATCAGACCCTCAGCTACATTCTATACTCAAGATACTAAAGCCAAGCTTAAAGACATTGATAAAACACTTAATGCAAGAATTATTTTATGAAAACACTTTAAAAATTATTTCAAACATCAAAATGGTACTTAAATCCCATTACATTAACAATCTCATAACACTATCTCATGCCATTGAATATGTGATAAAACCTTCATACAATATCTGGTGGGAATGTAAGTTGGCACAAACATTTAGAAAAGCAATTTGGCGGCCGGGCGCAGTGGCTCATTCCTGTAATCCCAGCAGTTTAGGAGGCCAAGGCAGGTCGATCACTTGAGGCCAGGAGTTCAACACTAGCTTCACCAACATGGCGGAACCCCATCTCACTAAAAATACAAAAATTAGCCGGGCATGGTGGTGCATGCCTGTAGTTCCAGCTGAGGGAGGCTGAGGATCACTTGAACCCAGGAGGCGGAGCTTGCAGTGAGCCGGGATCACGCAACTGCACTCCAGCCTGGACAACAGACTGAGAAAAAAAAAAAAGGAAAAAGAAAGAAAGAAAAGCAATTTGGAATATGTTTCAAGAACCACAAACATTTCCTGGTCCTTTGACCTATTAATACCATGCTCAGGAATTTGCTCTAAGGAAAATTATACTATTAAAAAAAGAACTTATATATAGAAGATGTTTATTTCCAAGTTATTTATGTAACTGATAGGGTAACATAATCAAAATGCCACTTTATTGTTTTTCTTCCATCATCCCTTTACTGTAAAATGGTATCGCCCATGGAAAACAGAATGGAGGTTCCTCAAAAAATTAAAACTAGAATTACCAGCAATTATATGACCAGCAATCCCATTCCTTGGTATATATCCAAAAGAACTGAAAACAAGATCTCAAAGAGATATTTGCACATCCATGTATACAGTTTGCCAGGGGGGAAAAGGGAGGAGGGGCAGCAGGAGAAAAGAATCTTGTCCTCACTCCAGATGAAAACAATTGCAGGCTCCTGCCTGCTGTGTCACTTTCAAGTAATGACAGTCTGATGGTCACATCAAGTCACAAACATGGTCTTACTAGAGTAATTCAGTGAGTCAGTTCATTCTATTCATCAACAATTCCATTTTCACTCAAAAGATTTCTTCCCCTTCTTTGCGAGAGCTGGCAGTTCCCAGGGAGGTGAGGGGAAAGTAGTCATTTTCTTCTGTCTTGCACCATGCGCCATAATCCTCCTCCACTCACTAGCTACTGGCTTGGATCCCATGCCCAAATGGACAGACGGCAAAGAGGTAAGTGGTTATGTCTGGAGCTACTTTAATTGGCTTCTGAGTGGCACAGTTGTAAGCTGACTTCCTGCTCACTGGGCTTTGCAGCTATATAAAGCTGCCTCTCACTTGGGGCACTTTTCTTGGGATCTTTGGTGATTCCCATCTCTGGGAACCTCTCCAGTTGTAATTCTCAGAACAAGGGAGAAGCATTCCATTCCAGCTGCTATTGCCCTCAGCCCCTGGTTCTCTGGCAATCCCGTCCACTCAGACTTCACTCTTTGGCTTCCTCTCACCCTCCCAGAGGGTCCTCTTGGACAGGATTTAAAATGACTTTCATGCAGAATGACAAACTGTGAATGGGTATACAACAGAATACAACTCTAAGTTATAGAGAAAGAATGAACTACTGACACAGGCAACAATATGGATGGAACTCAAAGATGTCATGCTGGCTGGGTGCAGTGGCTCACACCTGTAATCCCAACACTTTGGGAGGCCGAGGTGGGTGGATCGCTTGAGCCCTGGAGTTCCGAGACCAGCCTGGGCAACATGGTGAAACCCCATCTCTACTGAAAACACAAAAATTAGCCTGGCATGGTGGCGGGCGCCTGTAATCCCAGCTACTCAGGAAGCTGAGGCACAAGAATTGCTTGAACCCAGGAGGCAAAGTTTGCAGTGAGCCAAGATCGTGCCACTGCACTCCAGCCTGAGTGACAGAGCAAGACTCTGTCTCAAAAAAAAAAAAAAAAAAAAAAAAAGATGTTATGCTGAGTGAAAAAAGCAATCTCAAAAGGGTACGTACTATACAATTCCATTTACAGAACACTCTTAAAATGACAAAATTCTGGTGATAGAGAACAGATGAGTGGTCGCCAGGGGTTAGGGTTGGCAGGAGGGCCTGACTACAAAGCTTTAGTATGAGGGAGTTTCTCTGCAGTGACGGAAGCTGGTGACGGTGTCCTTGTTTTGGTAGTGATTACACATATCTATATGTGTGACAAGATTTCACAGTACTGTTTATACACATGCACACACAAGAGCATGTCAAAATTCATGAAAATCAAGGTCTATAGTTTAGTTCACAGTATTGTGTCAATGTCAATGTCAATTTCCTAGTTTTGAAAATGTACGGTGGTTCTACATTATCAATGGGGAAAGCCAGATGAAGGGTACATGGAACTCCCTTTTATTTTTGCAATTTCTTCTGAGTCTTAAATTCGTTCAAAATAAAAGGGTTTTAAAAATGGCTCTGGCTCAGTATCGTCTCTCCCCTGGGGCCCACACTTTTTTTTCCTGAGACAGAATCTGTCTCTGTTGCCCAGGCAGGAGTGCAGTGGTGTGATCTGGGCTCACTGCAACCTCCATCTCCCAGGTTCAAGTGATTCTCGTGCCTCAGCCTTCCAAGTAGCTAGGATTACAGGCGCATGATACCACACCCAGCTAATTTTTATATTTTTAGTAGAGACAGGGTTTCACTATGTTGGCCAGGCTGGTCTCGAACTCCTGACCTCAAGTGATCCGCCTCCCAAAGTGCTGAGATTACAGGCGTGAGCCACAGTGCCCAGCCAAGGGCCCACATTTAAGTCCCAGGAAACACTCTCTCATCTCTTGCCCCAACAAACCCTGGGAACACAGGACCAAACCCAGCCCTCTGTGTCCTGCTGCCACAGGCCACTCTAGCCAGTTACATATTTCTCAACCATAGGAAATATGTAAGTTAAATATGTGGTCCTATCAGAGCCCCCATCGTACCCTTGAGGTGAAGGTGGTAGCACTCCTGGCCCTTACCCCTGGGGAGGGAGAGTGGAGGCACAGCCTGGCAATGCTCTCTCCAGTGGCGTCTCTCTACCCTTCCTCCTCCTCATGCCGCTGCCACTCTGACCTCTCGTGTATTCAGTCTGAGGGCATCCAGGGTTAGGCAACATGTTCACGAGCATTTCCCTGCTGTTATGGATGCTGTGGTCCCTGCCCAAATATCCCCTTCAGGCCCTCATTTCTATTCCAAGTCTCTCTGAAAATTGCTCTAAGCTGAAGGGAGTTACCGTGATCACATCTCTGTCCCAGGGGCAACCTGCATCCATTGACTGGTCCCTTTAGGGGTATAAAGACCCAGCCTCCTTGCTCCAGAAGGGAACAACTCTGCAAGACCATCTCTATTAGTCTGTTCTCACACTGCTAATAAACACATACCTGAGACAGGATAATTTATAAAGGAAAGAGGTTTAATGGATTCACAGTTCCACATGGCTAGGGAGGCCTCACAATCATGGTGGAAGGTGAAGGAAAAGCAAAGTCACGTCTTAACATGGCGGCAGGCAAGACAGCATGTGCGGGGGAGTCCCCTTTATAAAACCATCAGATCTCGTGAGATGTATTCACTATCATGAGAACAGCACAGGAAAGACATGCCCCCATGATTCAATTACCTCCCACCAGGTCCCTCCCACGACAAGTAGGAATTATGGCAGCTACAATTCAAGATGAGATTTGGGTGGGGACACAACCAAATATCACCATCCCAGCTCTAGAGGTCTCTGGGGATTGGCTGAGTAGGGATTGCATCACAGTTCAACACCTCCCTGTGTCTCATCCTGCTTCCTTTCTTCCCCCTTAGCTGCTGAGCCCCAAACACTCCCCCAATAAACTGCCTCCATACAAATGTCCATCAAGAGCCTTTTACGAGGAACCTAACCTGTGACACTTGATGAATTCTGTATACCACGTCAATCTCACACTCACTTTGGATTCTGATATCTATTTAATTGGTGCCTGAGTCAAAACTGAGAAATGGGAAGTCCCACTTAACATCATGGTATACTTATAATAGGAATAAACAATATCAATCAAAGAGAAACTTAATAAAGCATGGCAAATCAACTTTATGAGTTATTCAATAGACGGTAAAAAGTATAAGCATTTCACAGCAAAATATTCCAGAAGAATAACTGTGATCTAATATTAAGAGAACACAAAATTTATTTTGGATTGAAACCAAAAAAAGCAATAAAGAACATCTTGGGGATATCTGGAGAAGTTTGAATACAGACCACATATTAGACATCATTGTTGCATCAATGTTAAGTTTCTTAGACGTGATAATAATATCATCATAAAGCAGAAGAATATCTTTCTTAGGAAATCCTTCTGAAGTATTTATAGGTGAAGTCTCATGATATCTGCAACTTGCTTTCAAACTGTTCAAACAGAAAAATGTGTTTTTCAGTGAGAAAGAGAGAAAGAAAAAGTGTTCTTCCCTACAAAGAGCAGGAATAGTCACTTCCTGGAGCCACCGTATTCCCATTCCTGTACTAAATGCTCCCCCTGGTGTACCAAGAGAGCAGAATGCATTCATTAAGATGTATTTCAAAATGCCCTTCACAGTGGGAAAGCAAAGCCCCAAGACTTTTACAGAACGTGATCAAAGTGTCAGACTTTTTAATTTATCTTCTCCCAAGTCCTAACCAACAGTGTAGTTCCTGTTCCCCAGTTTGCTCTCTATGGTGTCAAAATCTTGAGTTTCAATTCTGGTGAATTGGGGGCATGCTTGGGGAAGGAGTGAAGAGAAGGGTACCTGTAGCCATGCCCATGAATGCATGAGCTCTGGAGTCAAACAGTCAAATGAATCCCACTTTGGCCACTTACTAGCTGGGGGACCTCTTTGAGTGTCCGCTTCGTAATCTGTGAAGTGGGAATGATAACAGGACTCATATCAAAGAGGATTAAATGAGATAACACAGACCAAGACTTAGCATGGGGCTTGGCACATGGTCTAATTAGAATTCAATAAGTAGTAATCAATTATTATCATCTCCTTCTTTTTGAGGAGGCTTCTAAGAGAGTGCCTTAGAAGTCCTAGTGCCTTGTGTACTTCAAAAACTACTGCCCTAGAGTATCTGAGTTGTAGACTTAACTCTGCTGAGAAAATCCACCCAATGTTCTTTCTACAAAGTTATAATAACTAATCTCATATTAAAAACAAAACACAGGCCCAGCACGGTGGCTCATGCCTGTAATCCCAACACTTTGGGAAGCTGAGGCAGGCAGATCACAAGAGGTCAGGAGTTCAAGACCAACCTGGAGAGCATGATGAAACCCTTTCTATACTAAAAATACAAAAAAATTAGCCAGGCGTGGTGGCATGCACCTGTAGTCCCAGCTACTCGGGAGGCTAAGGCATGAGAATCGCTTGAACCTGGGAGGAGGAGGTTGTAGTGAGCTGAGATCACGCCACTGCACTCCAGCCTGGGTGACACAGCGAGACTGTCTTAAAAAAAATTTTTAAAAAGAAAACCTCCCTTTTAGGGATACATGCACTGAAAAATATTTTTTCACTAGATTTCCCTGTCTCACACATTATTTCCAAGAAAAATGATTTTTTAAGTTCTGTAATTTTCTGCTCACCCGTGGGCCTCCTGGGCTTTTGCCTGTGACACTCTAGCCATAGCCTCCTCCAAAGCAAGTCACTCTTGTGCCCCATGTCAAGAAGGAGCACAAGAGTCTCTCTCCTCTGCCCCAATTTCATGCTCCCATCTCCTCTTCCCCTCACATACTTCCTCTTGCTCTATCTCCTTTCCTTTCAATAAATCCTTATTAAGCATCTACTCGCTGAAAGACACAGTTCCTGCTGTTCTTGAATATACAAAGTTATCAAGGTCATAGTTCTGCTTTTTATGAGTTTATGGTCTAATAGGCCAGACTCCTGCAGGAAAGCCCAACATGTGAAAGGACCTAGGGTGTCATTATAGCAGATACTAAGCATGGTAGAGCAGAAGACAACACCAGGCTGGGGCTAAGGAAAGCTGGGCTAAAGTCCTAGATTTGTTACATACTGGATATGTGAGCTTGAGCAAGTGAAATAACCTCTCGGGGTGTAGATATTATCATCTGGAAACTGCATTGGGTTGAGTTTCCCCAATGCATGCCTTGAGACAGGAAATTCGGTAGAAGTTGTTTATTTGGTAGGTGATCCTAGGAAACACCAGTAGGGAGTGGGGACGTGAGTCAAGGAACAAGGAAGCCAGCCAGGTCACTGAGCAGGTGCCAAGAGGATAGGCTGTTGTGGGCAGCTGGGGACCAAGGCTGCTGGGGACCCTGGGAGATGGTGCAGCGTCTAGCCCAGAGTTGTACCCTCCAAGGAGCAAGAAAGCTAAGCCACTTATCCACCTACTCCCACCCATCAGGGCTGAAGGCTGCTCCAGAATGTATTAACTCCATGCTTCCCGCCTGCCCAAGCCAGGACCAAGTGTGTTAGGTCACTTAGGCAAGGAATAGTAAGGAGGGTGCCTATGGAAAGCAGGGATTGACAGCATCCATACACCACCTGCAAACACTGTACGGAGGAATACATGAAAGAAAGATTCCAAAAGCTCAGAGCAGAGTACCTGACAGAAGTGTGAAATGTGCCTGAATGTAGAAGTCAGACGGCACGCCTCCTCAACTCATCTCTGGATGCTGGCGCATGTTATTATTCTCTCCTTGCTTCCTTTGCAACGTTCAGCCAATACAAACTCCACTACGTCGTCAAACCAAACCTACCAAGTCCATTCTTCCCTCATTTCACTCCCAACCCCCTGCCACTGCATGCAGGTCTCCCCCAGCTGGTCTCCACTGACCCTTCTGCCAGCCCAAACCTGTCCACCACAGCCAAAGGACACTGCAAAACGCTGGTCTTCTCACATCTGATGTTGAAGAGCTTACCCTGACCGCTTTTTTCCTACAAGATTCAGCCCTACATCACATCTTGTGGTTCAAGGCTGTCCAGTAGTAAAGACATCCCGTGTGCCACAGACAGCCCACTCCATCTTTTCCCCTTGGCTCTCACCTCTGCAATATGCCCCTCCTTAGACCCAAGACCAGCACAAGAAGCAATGCCCTCATTTTGCCTTTGGATTTATTCCAGTGTGACTGAATCTCCACTTTATGGTGTAGTGATTCTGGAGTCAGGCCCAGGTTCAAATCACATTCCTTTACATATTAACTGTGCTACTTTGGGCAAGTTGCCCACTCCCATTTCTTCATCTGAAAAATAAGGATAATAATCATTCCTACTTCATAAGGTTATTGTAAGGACTAATAATTTCATGCCCAATAAGTAGTTTTGAGCAGTGCCTGGCACAAAATGAGTACTCCATACATATTATCTGTCATTAGGGGTTCTCTCAAGGTACTATTTAAGATTTTTTTTTTAAAGAAATCAAGAGATATCTGCTGTGAAATAAAAATCACGTACATTGGGCTGGGCGCAGTGGCTCATGCCTGTAATCCCAGCCCTTTGGGGGGCCGAGGCAGGCGGATTACCTGAGGTTGGGAGTTCGAGACCAGACTGATCAACATGGAGAAACCCCGTCTCCACTAAAAATACAAAATTACCCAGGCATGGTGGCGCATTCCTGTAATCCCAGCTACTTGGGAGGCTGAGGCAGGAGAATCGCTTGAACCAGGAGGCGGAGGTTGCGGTGAGCTGAGATCGTGCCATTGCACTCCAGCCTGGGCAATGAGTGAAACTCCATCTCAAAAAAAAAAAAAAAAAAAAGAATGATGTATATTGGTCTCCACCCCAAGTTCCTGGCACAGAGCTTCGAAAACCCTTGTGATTTCCTGAGCAATAGGGGTTCTAGGAGAAACTTTTGTTGGAATTATTGGGTCTCTGCCCCAGGTACCTGAGACAGAGCTCTTAAACCTTTGATTTCCTGAGTAATAGGAACACCTGACTTAGAGTTCCTGAATCCCTTGGAATTTTTCTGAGGAACATCTTTTTTTCTAATAAGGGGACTCTTGGTGAGCTCCTGGACAGGGGCTGCTCACTGGAAAGACTAAGCAATGATTAGAAGCTTGGAGCTTTCAGCCCCATCCTCCATTCTTTAGAGATGGGGAAGGGCTAGAGACTGAATTAATCTTCCATCATGCCTACCTGATGAAGCCGAAGTACTGAACTATGGGGTTCAGAGAGCTTCCGGATAGCAGAACACGTCCATGTGCTGGGAGGGTGGTGCACCCCAACTCCATGGGGACAGAAGCTCCTGCACTCAGGACCCTTCCACACCTGATCTCTTCATCTGGCTGTTCATCTACATCTTTTTTTTTTTTTGAGACAGGATCTCACTCTGTCACCTAGGCTGGAGTGCAGTGGCATAATCACGGCTCACTGCAGCCTCGACGTCCTGGGCTCAAACAGATCCTCCCACCTCCTGAGTAGCTGAGACTACAGGCACACACCACCACATCTGGCTAATTTTTTCATTTTATTTTATTTATTTGAGACGGAGTCTCACTCTGTTGCCAGGCTGGAGTGCAGTGGCACGATCTCGGCTCACTGCAACCTCCGCCCCCTGGGTTCAAGCAATTCTTTTGCCTCAGCCTCCGGAGTAACTGGGACTGCAGGCATGCCACCATGCCCAGTTAATTTTTTTGTATTTTTAATAGAGGTGGCTCACGCGTGTAATCCCAGCACTTTGGGAGGCCGAGGCGGGTGGATCACGAGGTCAGGAGATCGAGACCATCCTAGCTATCACGGTGAAACCCCATCTCTACTAAAAATACAAAAAATTAGCCGGGCGTGCTGGCGGGCGCCTGTAGTCCCAGCTACTCGGGAGGCTGAGGCAGGAGAATGGTGTGACCCAGGAGGCGGAGCTTGCAGTGAGCCGAGATCGCGCCGTTGCACTCCAGCCTGGGCAACAGAACGAGACTCCGATTCAAAAAAAAAAAAAGAAAGAAAGTACCAACTATTTTTCCTGTCTCACACATCTGCTAAAAAGGTTTTCTCTCTTCGCATGAGCTCATGGGCTTTCTGAGCATTTCTGTACCCAGATCGCAGCTTAATGCCATATATGCCACAGAAACACACCCCTGACCAGCACACAGACAGCTACTTAGCTGTTTAATGGTTTCACCTAGACTCACAATTTCAAGGTCTCACTTTCACTCACAGCAGCCCAATCAAAGGGTTAGAATTGGTAAACAAACAGGCTCGGAGCGGTATAACAGAAAAATAATTTCTTTTGGCTTTTCTTGCTCTTGGTCAATGAAACTTTGATCAGAGAGAACATCTGAGGCTATACTTGTTTCAAGTTGTGTTTGTTTGAAAAAAAAAAAAAAGTTAGCCAGGCACAGTGGCTCATGCCTGTAGTCCCAGCACTTTGGGAGGCCAAGGTGGGAGGATTGCTTGAGTCCAGGAGTTCCAGACCAGCCTGGGCAACATAGCAAGACCTTGTCTCTACAAAAAAAAAAAAAAAAACAGTGAGGGGAAGTGTGATTTATTTGTTTTTTTTTTTTATTTTAAATCTTTTTTTTTTTTTTTTTTGAGACAGAGTCTTGCTCTGTAGCCCACGTTGGAGTGCAGTGGCATGATCTTGGCTCACTGCAACCTCCACCTCCCGGGTTCAAGCGATTTTCCTGTCTCAGCCTCCCGAGTAGCTGTGACTACAGGCACATGACACCACGCCCAGCTAAATTTTGTGTTTTTAGCAGAGATGCAGTTTCACCATATTGGTCAGGCTGGTCTTGAACTCCTGACCTCAGGTGATCCATCCGCCTCGGCCTCCCAAAGTGCTGGGATTACAGGCGTGAGCCACTGCGCCCAGTCAATTCTACCCTTAATAAGTAATATATTCACAGGGCTTACAACACTTAAAAACACAAAAGGGTACACAATGAAGTTTCCCTCCCTCCCGTGACCCTAGCCACCCAGTTCTCTTCTCAGAAGCAACCAATATTACCAATTTGGTACTGGATACTGGATATTCCTATAGATATTCTGTACAAATATAAGCAAATACACGTTTTTATCTTTTAGTACAGATTTCCACTTGCTCTTTAAATTTAATTGTATTACATATATAATATAGGTTTATTACATATTTAATATAGGTTTAATTTGAAAGTAAAGGCAAAAACTGCAATTACTTTTGCACCAACTAATACATACAAAAGAATATTTATATCATGTTTAAGATTTTTTTTTTAATTTTGGCTGGGTGCAGTGGCTTATGCCTGTAATCCTAGCACTTTGGGAGGCCGAGGCAGGCGGATCACTTGAAGTCAGGAGTTTCAGACCAGCCTCGTCAACATGGGGAAACCCCGTCTCTACTAAAAATACAAAAATTAGCTGGGCATGGTGGTTCACAGTTGTAATCCCAGCTACTTGGTAGGCTGAGGCAGGAGAATTGCTTGAACCAGGGAGGCAGAGGTTGCGGTGAGCCGAGATTGTGCCACTGTACTCCAGCCTAGGTGACAGAGGGAGACTCTGTCTCAAAAATATATATATCTATATGTATAGATAGATTTTTTAAAAAATTTTAAGCCATCACTCAGCTTAAGAAACATAAACATTTCATCAGCCCCCAGTTGATAAGCCTACAGATGGTTTCCAACTTCCTGTTGTTATGCCCACAGCTACAATGAGTTTCCTCGTGTATCCACCATTTTATATGCGTGCAGTATATATCTGTAAGATAAATTCCTAGATGACGAATTCCTAAGTCAAAGGGGATGGTCACAGGTCATTTCTATAGATAAATATCTGGATTGTCCTCCACAGAAATTGAAAAAAATTGATTCGTTTGTTTCTGAAAGTTTCCAAGATGCCTAGAAGTCTAACAGGTGTAAAAATCATTTAAGTGACAGAAGACAGGAAAGCAAAAGGATCTCATTTAAGTGACAGTTCTTGTTAAAAATATATAAAGCATAACTATCTCTTGTTTCCCCTGAGGCAATCATGTAAAACAACTCCTGACGGTGCCTTCGATACTTGGGGAAGTGCCCAAACATATACTTTATTCTGGTGTAATTCCTGTAAGGATTAATATTGCTCAGAACTGACAGGAATTATTAGTTCCCGCAATGAGGTAATTACAGAATCAAGTTCAGCCACACTTTTTTGACTTTGTTTACTTTAAAATGCCTGCTGCCTTAGATATTTAAGATGTGCATCTTGGGTTCCAAGTTTCGAAACAAAAATCCCTGCAGAGGCGGAGGCTGCAGTGAGCCAAGATCGTGCACACCAGCCTGAGCGACAGAGCAAGACTCTGTCTCAAAATAACAACAACAACAAAAATCCTTGCAATATATAAGTTCTCTCAATATTCAAAAGCATAAGGAACAAGCTGGATGATCATTAACAAAGGGTTTATCCAGAAATACAACAACCGTCAGATTATAGGAACCTCTGCAATGCAATGTCATGACCACTGGGGTTTGGCATTGGAGATGCAAGAACCTAAATATCACCCTTTTTGGGGAGGGCCACTAACTTGAGCCCTGTCATAAGGATCAGACCTAAAAAGATGCTCTTAAAATCCAGAGATTGGAGAAAGTCAATATTCCCCCACCTGACCAGATGCCTAAATCAAGAGTATTAGCACATTTTACAACCAAACATGAATGGGCTGAGATACAGTTCCTGACCTCTCTTGCCACTTTCTGTAATTAGCCACACCAGCCACCACTTTGGAAAGGTGCTAAAGTTTACCCACTTACTAAAAACAGCCTAATTACACTTAAAATTAGCAATATACCTAAATCCATATTTCATGATACATGGTCCCAGAACACCTGCAGTAGACTTCCGGGTGGGGAAGTGGGAGTGAGTCTGGCTATTAAAATGCTGATTTCGGCTGGGCGCGGTGGCTCATGCCTGTAATCTCAGCACTTTAGGAGGCCAAGGAGGGTGGATTGCCTGAGCTCAGGGGTTCCAGACCAGCCTGGGCAACATGGTGAAACGCTGTTTCTACTAAAATTACAAAAATTAGCCAGGCGTGGTGGCACACGCCTGTAGTCTCAGCTACTCAGGAAGCTGAGGCAGAGAATCGCTTGAACCCAGGAGGCGACGGTTGTAATGAGCCAAGATTGCACCACTGCACTCCAGCCAGGCGAGAGTGGGAGACTCCGTCTCAAAAAAAAAAAAAAAAAAAAAAATTTCTGGGCATGGGGTTTGAGGATATTGGTAACACAAGTGGTTGCTCACTACAGGTCCTCGCTGGAAACAGCACTAAAGAACCAGGATGTGGACTGACTCCTCTGTGCAAGTCACCGACAGTGCCCATGTTTATACTGTAGGCCCACGAACCAAGCAGCCATGGCGGCAGGGACGGAGGTGTGCATGGACTCAATCACCATCTTTCCCTCACCAGAGCTGACTCAGCTGCCTTCTCTGCTGAAGCCCTAAGTGGAGACCAAGGCTGAGCTATGGCATCTTAATTATGAGGCATCCCTTCCAAAAGGGAAGACAGAGCTTTGCGTGTGGCAGTATCATAGCCAATGAGGTTTATCCGAGGCGTGATTATTGCTAATTGAAAACAAAATGGAAGACAGGTGACTTTTCCCCTCCCTTGAATAAACACTTCTTCCACACATGGATTTCCTTTTCCTAATCACCATGCTTCTGCCAGCAACTTACCAACTCAATGAATGCCTCATCCACTGCCACAACGCCAGACACCCACATTGCTTCTGATCACAAATCCATTCACAGCAAAAGAAATGGGTCCATATGCTGGTACCCCCCAGATGCTCTGATCTTACCGTGGTCCCCAGGGGTAGGTGATCTTCTTGATGGTAGAATGAATGGCCCATTGGAGACTGAGCTACAGTATCCGCTGGCAGACACCACCTGGTGACACTGGGGTTCTGTCCCATAAGATGTAGTAGATGCTCTGAACCAGTGACAGTACTGCCAGAGTTCACAGGTCTGGGCACCAAGGCTAGAAGTGAGTGCATCTCCGACTGCTACACCTGAGGTCAGGCGTTTGAGACCAGCCCGACCAACATGGAGAAACCCCGTCTTTACTAAAAATACAAAAAAATTAGCCAGGCATAGTGGCGCATGCCTGTAATCCCAGCTACTCGGGAGGCTGGGGCAGGAGAATTGCTTGAACCTGGGAGGTGGAGTTGTGGTGAGCTGAGATCGCACCATTGCACTCCAGCCTGGGCAACCACAGTGAAACTCCCTCTCAAAAAAAACAAAACAAAACAAAACAAAAAACAAAATTGCATCCATTTATTATCAAGGGAGCAATTATAGCAGAACTTCACTATGAATGACTGTTTCTCTAGATGTTTGTTTCCCGTCTCCATCACTTTGAATCAAATGCCTTTTGGATTCACGTAGCAAGCAATTTCTGTTCTCTGCCGCTGAGACCTGACTGGGATGCTTACTAAACCAGAACCACTCAGGGAGGTTCTGGACATTTGCCTTTTTAACAAGTTTGACATTTATTGATAAAGTTTATTTGCAGTAACTACAGGGTAAGTTACTTCAGGTGGACAGCTGTGAAGGACACTTCATCCCGACCATGGGGAAGCTCAGTGACCCACTCCTGCCCTACAACAGACAGCACCTTGCTAGTGACCCATTATCTGATTACAGAATGTGGGCATGAACTTGGAACTGGGTGAACTGGGAATTGGATGGCAGCCAGGCCCTGGAGTGGGAATGCCTAGATTCAAATCCTGTCTCCACCACTCACTAGCTATGTGGCTTTCTATAAGTCACTTTACTTTACTGTGCCTACGTTTCCTAATTTGTAACATGAGGAGAATAATGGTATCTACCTTATATTGTTGTTTTGAGGATTGAGTTCATACACATGAAGAGCTTAGATGAGCTATCTGGGGCCAGGCACGATGACTCACACCTGTAATCCCAGCACTTTGGGAGGCCAAAGCAGGCAGATCACCTGAGGTCAGGAATTCGAGAGCAGCCTGGCCAACATGGTGAACCCGTCTCTACTAAAAATATAAAATTAGCCAGGCATGGTGGCAGGTGTCTATAGTCCCAGCTACTCAGGAGGCTGAGGCAGGAAAATCACTTGAACCTGAGAGGCAGAGGTTGCAGTGAGCTGAGATCGTGCCACTGCACTCCAGCCTAGGTGACAAGAGCAAAACTCTGTTCCAAAAAAGAAAAAAAAAAAAAGCAACAAAACACTTCACCTTTCGGTGTATGAAATATTCTCTTCCCTGCCAACACACACACAATCTCATTTGAGCCTCAAAATAATTCTTAGGTGAGGCAAGGAAGGCCCAGAGAGGTTAAGTGACTTTCCCAAGGTCACACAGTATGTCACTAGCAAATGCAAAACTGTAACGGGGGCCAAGGACTTGAACTTATTTTTCCTGTATTCCAGGGGCAGGGACAAGATCTCCTCAGCATCTGGCCCCAAGGAGGTCAAACATAGCTCTGCATCCTGTGGGCCTTGAGTGGGAACTGATTCAACCGTCACTTACGGCTGCAGAAACAGCGTGTGCCAGAACGGTGTGACTGTATTAACATCTTGCCCCACAATTTCCTTCCAATGTTCTTCCCAGAAATTGCTCTAAAACTCCAGGTCCCCATGGAAACCTCAGGAGAGATTGCCTATTGACTCTAAGTGAAGTTCTGCTATGAGTGCTCCCTTGATAATAAATGGATGCAATTTTGTTTTTTGTTTTGTTTTGTTTTGTTTTTTTTGAGAGGGAGTTTCGCTCTGGTTGCCCAGGCTGGAGTGCAATGGTGCGATCTCCACCTCCCGGGTTCAAGCAATTCTCCTGCCTCAGCCTCCCGAGTAGCTGGGATTACAGGCATGCGCCACTATGCCTGGCTATTTTTTTTTTTGTATTTTTAGTAAAGACGGGGTTTCTCCATGTTGGTCGGGCTGGTCTCAAATGCCTGACCTCAGGTGATCCGCCCGCCTAGGCCTCCCAAAGTGTTGGGATTACAGGCATGAGCCACCGTGCCCAGCCTTTTAAAATTTTATTTTTGTGTGTGGAGACCGAGTCTTGCTGTCACCCAGGCTGGAGTGCAATGGCTCGATCTTAGCTCACTGCAACCTCTGCCTCCTGGGTTCAAGAGATCCTCCTGCCTCAGCCTCCCAAGTAGCTGGGATTACAGGCATCTGCCATCATGCCCAGCTAATTTTCATATTTTTAGTAGAGACAGGGTTTCATCATGTTGGCCAGGCTGGTCTTGAACTCCTGACCTTAAGTGATCCACCGGCGTTGGCCTCCCAAAGTGCTAGGATTACAGGTGTGAGCCACTGTGCCTGACCAATAAATGGATGTTATTAAAAGCCTGGCCTGAACAGATACCTGCTGTAAAGCTCAGGGCCAAAGCCACATTCTCCCTGGACTGCCAGGGTAAAAGACATAGTTCATTCTCTGGTGCTAGGCTGAGTGGTCAGCTTGGAGCAAAGGGGAAAAGTATACTGTGAGCTCCTGCTCTCAATATCAGACACTAGACATGGTGCTTTCCATATCTGCGTTTGTGACAAGAGGCTGGAATGAGGTGCCTGCCAAGAATGTGAGAGAACTAATTAAATAAATCCATGGTGTTCTTTGCTCTCTGCAAAAGTCATTCATAACGTGCTTTTCACACCAAAAGGTGGAAGAGTAGGGCTTGGAGTTAAGGCTGAAGGGACTGCAGACAAAACCGGTTTGAAAAAGGACAAGATCATCTAAAAAAGGAATAGAATCTAGTCAACGGGAATAATTCAAAGCACAAGACTTTAGCAGCAGTTTTCTAGCATTATCCTGAGATCCAGTGGAGTGGCGGACTTGATGTTCCAGACCCCTTTGGTGACAGGAGTTGTTCCTTTATTGAATGCTTGAGGAATATTTGTTGAGTGCTTACTATAAGGTATCAGATACCAAGACACTGTATTACAGTGGAGAATAAGGCAGGGAGGACTCACAGTCCAATGGAGGGAGATAGAAAACAGACTTTTAGACCAGGTGTGGTGGCTCGTGCCTGTAATCCCAGCATTTTGGGAGGCTGAAGTGGGCGGACCAATTGAAGTCAAGAGTTCGAGACCAGACTGGCCAACATGATGAAACTCTGTCTCTAATAAAAATACAAAAATTAGCCAGGTGTGGTGGCACATGCCTATAATCCCAGCTACTTGGGAGGCTGAGGCAGGAGAATCCCTTGAATCCAGGAGGCGGAGGCTGCAGTTAGTCAAGATCACGCCACTGCACCCCAGCCTGGGTGACCGAGTGAGACTCCATCTTAATTTAAAAAAAAGGAAAACAGACTTTTAAACAAATAAGTGTGCAAGATCATTTCAGTTAGTGATAACTGCTATGAAGAAAAAAGGGTACTGTCATGTTGACTGGGGCAGTCAGCTCTAGATACGTCACCAGGGAAGAATTACCAGACTCGGAGCTCAGACCTCAATGTCAGGCAGTGTCAGCCAACAGAAGATAAGGGAGAAAAAAAGGGTCAGATCAGGGTAAACAGAATGTGAGGTCCCTGAGGAAGGAATGAGCTTGTCCTGCTCACCAAAAGAAACCTAACGGGGGAAGCAGGACAGGGAATGGGCCAGCAGTAGCAGAGCTGAAATCACAGAGACAGCCGTAATCCAGACCACACAGGGCCTGAGAGCCAGGGTAGAACAGTATATTTAGCTTAAGGACATGCTGAGGCCATTGCAAAGTGGTGGTGGTTTGTTGTTGTTTGAAAACGGGAATGAGATAGTCTGGTTTTTAACAGATCACTCTGTATGAAGGAGACATGAAGCAGAAAGAAAAAATAAAGATCACTTTGGCTGCTTTGTGAAGAAAACACTGCAAAGTGGGAAGAGGTCAAGGAAAAAAAGCAAAGAGTTATTGGAGTGGTGCCTGAGGCTTCCCCATGACCTGGATGAAATATCCCTGAAAGTTATCCAGCTTTCTTTCCTCTCTGTCAATGCTGAAGAAGGGCTGCATGAACCAAGGGATGGATCGAGTCAAAGGGAGCGTCCTACAGAGTGAGAACTGAGGAGTGTTTGCCCTGCTTCAGAGACAGTGGCCCTGGAGGACAGACAGGTTTTGATGTCATGAGAGGTCTCCTTGGAGGGGCAGAAATGGGTAATTCGTTCTTCAAAATGGAAGAATCAGCTGACAACCTGGCAAACAGCAGTCTCCCCTGCTGACCCACATCCTCCTGCAGTACCACCCCCTTTCTCTGCCCCCTTCCCAAACCACTCTACTTCCTTCCTCCTGTTCCCTCCTGAACCTACTGAAATTAGGCTGTCATCCCCATCACTCCACTGAAATTGCCCACAGACCTCCACAGTGCCAAAACCAACGGTCATCCCAGTCCTCAACTTACTCAACTGATCAGCAACATCTGACAGAGCTGATCCCTCTCCCCTTCTAATACCACTTTCTCCTTTGGGCATCCTTGTTTTCTCCTCCTTCCTCCATGACCATTCCATCTGTCTTCCCATCTCCTAAGCCCTAAATAAAAGCTCCCTAGGCTAGGTCCCTGGACCTTTCCTCTATCCACACACATTCTCTCAATGATATCATAGAGGCCTGTATCTTTAAATGTCATCTATTAACAGATGTCTCCCAATTTGATATTCCTATCCTACATCTCTCCACTTGACTCTGGGACCCCTTTATCCAGCATATATATATATATATATATATATGCACACACACACACACACACATATATATATACACACACATATATACATATGGAGAGATAGAGAGAGAGAGAGAGAGAGAGAGAGAGAGAGAAAGCAGCGAGCCAGAGTCTCACTCTGTCGCCCAGGCTGGAGTGCAGTGATGTGATCTCAGGCTCACTACAACCTCCGCCTACCACACCCGGCTACCAACTCCTATTTGACAGCTCCTGTTAGACATCCAACTGGCACCTCAAATTTAACATGCCCCCAGTAAAACTCCTGATCTTCCTCCCCAAAATTACTCCACCCACAATCTTCCCCAACTCAGTAAATAGCAACCAATCTTCCACACATTGTAGAAGTTCATTGTCTGTCTTCTCCACAAGAATGTAATATCCATGAGCGCAGGACTCACTGCTGAATCACCAGGGCAGTGATACAGCAACAGTAGAGGTCTTGAACTCCTGGCCTCAAGTGATCTGCCCACTTCAGCCTCCCAAAGTGCTGGGATTATAGGCATGAGCCACCACACGCAGCCCTCCAGCTCTTTTAAATAAGCATCCTCCATGAAGAATTTCTGCAAATCATCAAGCTGTTAATTGCTATATGCTGAATGTACACAAGCCCCTACCAGTCTGAGAGTCCTGTGTAAATCATTTTCTCTTTCAAATCCTGATGAAAAAGGGACTCAAAGAGAATCCAAACCACAGCCTGCAGGCTTCCTCATGCTTCTGCTTCACTACTGAGCCAGCCACTGGTCATGGTGTGTACTGCTGTCAACCACCAAAATACCAGACTCAGTCAGAACACTGCTGTCCACTGTTCTACGGAAAATCAGCAGCTACCTCCAAGGCTCCCACAGAGCCACATGGGGCCCCCAGTGACACAGTTCTTTCTTTCCTTCCCAGGAGACAGGGCTTTCAAGAGAGTAAGAGAGTACAGGTAAGGGTGCACCGTGGCACATCTCTCATGGCACCTGCCATCAAGGAACACTCTAATGTATAATCATCTAGTCTGGTCCTCTCAGCCAGATGTCATCTTCACTTACATTGATTTTCTCTCAGGGACCTGTTCATGTTTTTCTCTCCTCTAGCAAAGACATCTTTGAGGACCTCTAGCCCACGGGACAAGCCTATAAACGTCTGAACCCTAAATGAGAACACAGACCATTTGGCTTCTTTCCCACAAGGCTCCTGAACCTCATGCAAAACAACAGGACTGGATAGACGTCTGTGTTCAGGGTTTGTGAACATTCTGGGAAGGGCAGTAATTCCACAAAAACTGTGGGACACTAAGGGGGCAGTCTGCGCAAGGACACAGAGGCTTACACCACAAATTCTTCTTATTCTTTTTCGACGGAGTCTCACTCTTGTCGCCCAGGCTGGAGTGCAGTGGTGCAATCTTGGCTCACTGCAACCTCCACCTCCCGGGTTCAAGCAATATCTCAAGTGATACTCAAGCCTCCCGAGTAACTGGGATTACAGGCATGCGCCACCATACCTGGCTAATTTTTGTATTTTGGGGAGAGATGGGGTTTCACCCTGTTGGCCAGGCTGGTCTCGAACTCCTGACCTCAAGTGATCCACCCGCCTTGGCCTTCCAAAGTGCTGGGATTACAGGCGTGAGCCACCGTACCCGGCCTGGAACACCACAAATTCTTATTTCTGACCCAGCTAAAAATATCGTTACATGCTTGAATGGGCACTGAATTATTTAGGGAGGACTAAATGGCCAAATCAAAACTCACCAAGAATTCTGTGACTTAAAAAATACATAAGTTTGTCTCCTATGAAAGAGTTCCACAATATACTATTTAGGCAGGCATGCAACTCGGCTCCATAGAGTTATCAGGAATCCAGGCTGATGGTGGCTCTTCTGCCTTTGATAAGTAGCTTCCGAGGTCACTCCAGTCATCACCATTTCATCTGGTAAGAAAGTAGGCAAAGGTGTGAAGGAGTGGGCACGAGTTTCACAGGTCAGTCATGTAAGTGGCACACACACTTCCTCTTATATTCAGCTGGTCACATGGCCACACTGGCTGCAAAGGAGAATGGGAAATGTAGTCCATGGCAGAGCAGCCACACACCAGTCACAGCTCTGTTGCTGTAGAACAAGGGACAGCAAACTACAGCCCAAGGGCCAAATCTACCAGCTCTTGGTTTTGCAGAGTTGTTTTTTGTTTTTTGTTATTTTTTTCTGCCATATACAAACATATTTTTATATGAAATTATATAAAATACAGAAAGAGGCACAATGAATGTATGCAGTTAGAAAGCAGGATGGTGGTTACCCTTAGCGAGTAAGGAGGTGATCAGAAAGCAGCAGGAAGCTTCTCAGGTGCTTTTTTTCCTTAATTTGAATCCTGGCTCTACTACTTACTGGCTAGTGACTTGGTGAGCTATATGAAAACCTCTCTCTGCATCAGTTTCCTCATCTGTAAAATAGGGATTAAAAATAGTGCCAACCCCATCAGATTGTCAGAAAATTGCCTGGCATACAATGACTTCTAGATAATACACAATGAGCTCTATTAGTTAGTTTCTCTAGACAGTTATATTCTTAAAACCAGGGTGATTATCAAAAAGGACATTAGATTTATCCATCACATTGTGTATTTTTTAAAAAAGAACACGTTCATATATTAATTATAAATAAAAGTTAACCTTGTAATATGAACATTAAGCAAAAGACAAGCACTGCTCTTTAGTTGTATGTGCATCTGAGCCTAAGATTAGGTTTTATTATAAATATGTAAGTATAATTTTTTTTAATAGTAAGCAACTCAAGCCTAGCAAAAATACTACTTCTATTGCTACTCAGTGAAAAAGCATATTTATATATTTAAAAAGTACAAGGACACCTAGACAGAAAAGTAAACTTAGAATGAGGTTTCTGATAATGAAGGTTATTGTTCTTCCTCTCTATAGATAGACAGACAGAATATTCAAGCAGACAATGAACAGGGCACAGATGATAACAGAACCCTGACCCCCAGCTCGGCGGCAATCAGCATGGAGAGATCAGGACGTGGTCAAAACTTGCAGGCTTCCCCCATGTTGTTGTTGTTCTTACTTTCAACATGGAACCAGACAGAGAAAACCAAACATACTCCTCCAACCAATCACTTAGGATGTCCAGCTTCTAGTTGGAAAAAGAAATCCATGTTTTTCCTTAACTTCCTAAGTTCATAGTTGGAGCAGAGTCTGTTGCGGAGGCTGTAAGTCCAAGATCAGGGCTGAGCAGATTATGTTGTCTGGTGAGGACTTGGTCTCTGCTTTGAAGATGGCACTGATACGGCTCCGATGAGTGGAGGAGCACCAGGGCTCGTCTTGCGCGAATTGGATAAAACAACACAGACACAGTTGGAGTGGTTTTAAGGAGCAGAGTGTTTAAAAGGCAAGAAAGAAGAGAGAAGAAAGAAGGAAAAAGCTCTCCAGAGGGAGGAGGGCTCCAAAGACAAGAAAGGAGACCCAGGTTTTGCAAAGTTTTATTGGAGCTCAGCCACACCTATTCATTTACATATTGTCTGTGGCTGCTGTTTTCGGCTACAAAGGCAGAGTTGAGTAGTTGTGGCAGAGGCCTTATGGCCTGCAAAGTCTAACATTTACTGTTTGGCCATTTACAGAAAACATTTGCCAACTCCTGCTCTAGAAAAAGAAGAGAATGGGCCAGTTGCAGTGGCTGATGCCTGTAATCCCAGCACTTTGGGAGGCTGAGGTGGGGGGAATCACTTGAGGCCAGAGTTTGAGACCAGCCTGGCCAACATGGTGAACCTCTGTCTCTACTATAATAAAAACACACACACACACAAAATTAGCCAGGTGTGGTAGCGCACCTGTAATCCCAGCTACTCAGGAGGCTGAGGCACGAGAATCGCTTGAACCTGGGAGGCGGAGGTTGCAGTGAGCTGAGATCGTGCCATTGCACTCCAGTCTGGGTGACAGAGTGAGACTCTGTCTGGAAAAAAAGAAAGGAAAGGAAAGGAAAAAGGAAAAAGGAAAAGGAAAGAAAAGAGAATGGATTTGGTGGGACAACCAGCAGCCTATGGTTTCAAAATTCATCTTGGGGGTGGGTGAGGTGGCTCACGCCTGTAATCCCAGCACTTTGGGAGGCTGAGGCAGGCGGATCTCTTGAGGCCAGGAGTTCGAGACCAGCCTGGCCAACATGGTGAAACCCTGTCTCTATTAAAAATACAAAAATTAGCCAAGTGTGGTGGTGCACGCCTGTAATCCCAGCTAATGCGGAGGCTGAGGCAGGAGAATCACTTCAACCCGGGAGGCGGAGGCTACAATGAGCTGAGATCACAACACTGCACTCCAACCTGGGCAACAGAGTGCGACTCTGTCTCAAAAAACAAAAAACTTAAAAAATTTTTAAAAATTCACCTTGGAAATTTTTATGAAGACACATAAACAAAAACATTTATTGTAGCATTTTTTTTGGCACACCAAGAAGCAAAAAACAACTTATAAAGGACTGTTAAATTATGGACCATATGTATCGCAGAATACAATGTAGCCTTTAAAAATAATGTAGATATTTTCTCATTCTTGTTGATTTTCCAATCAATATGTACTGACTAGAAAACATCCAAATATATTAACTTTAAAAAGTAAAATGTATTTTTCTTTGTTTAGTGAAGGGAAAAAAGTAAAATACAGAACAATATGTTTAGGATGCTACCATTTGTCGGGGGGGTGGGGAAACAAAATTTAATATATAATACATACCTATATGTTTACATAGAAAATTCCTGGAAAGAAGGATACAAAATAACCTGAAAAAGAGGTTATTTCTGGGTGGGAACATCAGAAAATTGGAGGACAAAGCAGGAGGGAAGTTTACTTTTCACCAAATACTCTTTTATACATTTTGAATTGGTACAATGTACATGGTACCATCTATTTTTTAATTAATTAAAAATTAAACCAAGAAAAACACACAAAAAGGTTTGCATTTACTACCATTGCTAACCAACTCCTCTTCTGAAAGACATAATTTCCTTAAAAGCTCCAATAATATCTTCAATCAGGGATAGCCAGTTCTACTGAGCTGGGAACCATTTTATATTTTCATATTTGCTTCCCAACTCCTTGGTGTGTCAGGTTCTCAGAGATACTCTGTTTCTGTTGCTTTCATAGTCAGTTTACAAATTCTGCTTTAGGCTGGGCACCGTGGCTCACGCCTGTAATCCCAGCACTTTGGGAGGTCGAGGCAAGTGGATCACGAGGGCAGAAGATAGAGACCATCCTGGCTAACACGGTGAAACCCCGTCTCCACTAAAAATATAAAAAGAAATTAGCTGGGCGTAGTGGTGGGCACCTGTGGTCCCAGCTACTCAGGAGGCTGAGGCAGGAGAATGGCGTGAACCCGGGAGGCAGAGCTTGCAGTGAGCCAAGATCATGCCACTGCACTCCAGCCTGGGCGATAGAGCGAGACTCCCTCTCAAAAAGAAAATTTTTTGCTTTAGTCAGCCAGGCACTATGGTTCATACCTGTAATCCCAGCATTTTGGGAGGCCAAAGTGGGTGGATTACTTGAGGTCAGGAGTTCGAGACTAGCCTGGCCAACATGGTAAAATCCCATCTCTACTAAAAATACAAAAATTAGCCAGGTGTAGCGGCGCATGCCTGTAATCCCAGAAACTCAGGAAGCGGAGGCAGGAGAGTCACTTAAATCTGGGAGGTGGAAGTTGCAGTGAGCCAAGATTGTGCCACTGCACTCTAGCCTGGGAAACAGAGCAAGACGGCATCTCAAACAAAAAGAAGCAAACAAACAAAATTCTACTTTAGTCCCCTGCTTTTCTTGAAATATCTTCTTTCCATACAGAAAATCTTCTCACACATGTTGAATATTAAGAGAAAGAAATCTGACCTCAAAAGAAAAATTGTCTTAGTTTGGGTTCAAAAAAAAAAAAGAAAAAGTTTAAATAGAAAAATTAAGCACAGAGAGACATAAATAACAGTTCCTAAGCCCGATAAACAACTCTGAAGAAAAATCTTGTAAGAAAACCTATCTTTCAGTTAAAAATGACAGAAATCCAGCTCGCACAAGCTGAAGAGAAAAAGGAATCCACTGGCTCATAGAACCAGGAACCGCAGGCCAGGCGCAGTGGCTCACACCTGTAATCTCAGCACTTTCAGAGGCCGAGGTGGGCAGACTGCTTGAGTCCCGGAGTTCAAGACCAGCCTGAGCAATGTGGCAAAACCCCATCTCTACTAAAAATATAAAAATTAGCTGGGCACTGTGGCACGCCTGTAGTCCCAGCTACTCAGAAGGCTGAGGTGGGAGGATCGCTTGAGCCTGGGAGGTGGAGGTTGCAGTAAGCAGAGATCACACCAGTGCTCTCCAGCCTCGGTGACAGAGCAAGAGAGTCTCAAAAACAAAAAAGGTGGGCTTGGCTTCAAGCACAGATCAATCTGATACAGAGCAGGCAAGCCCCAAAGTAGGGCTGAGCCCATGAGACTTCTTGGCTTTGCCCAGGAAAGAATTCAAGGGCAAGCTGAAGGTAAAAGAAAACAGCTTTATTGAAGCGGTAGTGTTACAACCCTGTGACTGCTCCTGCAGAGCAGGTTTACCCTGTAGGCAGACAGGAGCAGCTCCGGGCAGTCTGGCAGCCACATTTATACCTACTTTTAATAACATGCAAATTTGGCCGGGTGCGGTGGCTCATGCCTGTAATCCCAGCACATTGGGAGGCGGAGCCAGGCAGATCACCTGAGGTCAGGAGTTTGATACCAGCCTAGTTAGCATGGCAAAACCCCGTCTCTATTAAAAATACAAAAATTAGCTGGGCATGGTGGTACACACCTGTAATCCCAGCTACTCGGGAGGCTGAGGCATGAGAATCGTTTGAACCTGGGAGGCAGAGGTTGCAGTGAGCCGAGATCATGCCACTGCACTCCAGCCTGGGCGACAGAGTGAGACTTTGTCTCAAAATAAATAAGTAAATAAAAATAACATGCAGATTAAAGGGCAGTTTATGCAGAAATTTCTAGGGAAGGGGGCCGGGCGCGGTGGCTCATGCCTGTAATCCCAGTACTTCGGGAGGCGAAAGTGGGCAGATCACCTGAGGTCAGGAGTTCAAGACCAGCCTGGCCAACGTGGTGAAACCACGTCTCTACTAAAATACAAAAATTCGCTGGGCATGGTGGCGCACACCTGTAATCCCAGCTACTCAGGAGGCTGAGGCACGAGAATCACTTGAACCTGGGAAGTGGAGGTTACAGTGAGCCGAGATCGTGCCGCTGCACTCCAGCCTGGGTGACAGAGCAAGACTCTGTCTCTAAATGAATAAATAAATGGTTACATTTGTACCCTCCATAAGGTGGAGGATTACCATTAAATGTCAGTTTCTTTTCTTTTTTTTTTTTTTTCTGAGATGGAGTCTTGCTCTGTCACCCAGGCTGGAGTGCAGCAGCATGATCTCAGCTCACTGCAACTTCCACCTCCCAGGTTCAAGCAATTCTGCCTCAGCCTCCCAAGTAGCTGGCATTACAGGCGCCCGCCACCACACCCAGCTAATTTTTATATTTTTAGTAGAGACAAGGTTTCACCACGTTGGCCAAGCTGGTCTCAAACTCCTGACCTCATGATCCGCCCACCTAGGACTCCCAAAGTGCTGAGATTACACGCATGAGCCACCATGCCCAGCTGATAGTTTCTTAATAAGTAGAAAGCTCATCTAAGAACAAAAGGTCAGACATCCTTGCTATAAGAAGTTGTTCATTTTTAAAGTAGAATCATGAAAACATGAGAGCTGGTACTATATGCCAATGTAATGCCAAATATCTTTCATTTGGAATGATATGATTAAAGCCAAATAACCAAGATGTCTTCCAGAAGGCACATGTAATAAATATTTTTTAAAGCCCTGGTTCTCATCTACAATTGAGGCATATTTAGGTATTTCAGATCATCAAGGGTGACACAAAAATCTTCAAAACAAAACTAACGTTAAATCGATTTTATTTAAAGCCATAAATAAATAAGCCAATTAACGCTCAAGTCTGAGAGGGCTGCAGTCTTTTTAACAATACCATAGTCCAAAAAGACTAATACTTATTGCTGATTCAGCTCACAATATTACCCCTTTCCAGACAACAGCACATTCAAATGTTCAAGAAAACATTTTATGGGCACCTTTTATGGGCATTTGAGATTCACAGAGCAATGGGCCATGGCCCTGCCCTCAAGGAACTTACAATGTAGCTGGAGAGACACAAAACATCCAAAACAGACATGAGGGGCTGGCTCTACCTCCACACCTCTATCTGAACAAAAACGATTACTGGCTTAAGTCCTCGTGTTGTAACGCATGAGCCACAGGAATATCTTAGCAAGTACGCACTTTATCAAGTTTCAATTTGACATGTCAAAACAAAAGTTTTTATGTTGTTCATTTATATTTGTATTCACTCAGATTTCCACTCAATCAAATTAAAAGAGAAAGACATAATTCCAAGCCAACTGTACCATAATGTTTGCTGTCCTCGATGAAAGGATAGCTTGTTCATGTCCTAGAATTTCTCCACAGTTCCACATCTTGAGACCAAGTTCAGCAGTTTTTACTGCCAAACCGATGTGTAAATTCGGATAGTGTGTAGACGGCGCCCCATCCTACCTTGGGATCCATACTGATGAAATCGTTCAGGTTCATTTTGGAATCTAAAAAAATATATGAAAAAAAAATGTCCACTGAAAACACAATTTTGGTTTAACAGCAATAAAACAATGCAGAAGACCAAAAGTAGGTAAAATTATTCAAATGGATAAGGGCTCAATGTCACTTCTGTGGTTTTCTGGCCTTGAATGTATAACTTCAATCCAATCATGACAAAACACACACACCCAAACTGAGGGAAACAGAATATCAGTGAAGAGGGGACTACACAGAGAGTCAGAGCTCCAAAGATCAGCAGAGGGGACCCCCGAGTCTTTGGCTAAGTACTGATCTTCTCTTCTATGGAACGAAACTTCATGAGGCCAGGGAAAGAAGCACCAAGAAGCGGTGGGTCTAATAATCCCCAGAACTTCCACAGGGCTAGAAATAATTCATGTCACCACCAGCCAGAGTGGAGAGAACTCGTAACATGCAGCGTTCAGTAGCGTCCTCAGAAGGGTCATGTCAGAGTAGGGGGGCTAAATTAGCCCTCGATGAAAGGCTGCTCTGAGCCAAGCATGTTGGCTCACACCTGTAATCCCAGCACTTTGGGAGGCCGAGGTGGGCAGATCACTTGAGGTCAGAAGTTAAGAGAACAGCCTGGCCAACATGGTGAAACCCCATCTCTACTAAAAATACAAAAATTAGCTGGGTATGGTGGCACACCTCTCTAATTCCAGCTACTTAGGAGGCTGAGACAGGAGAATTGCTTGAACCTGGGAGTTGGAGGGTGTAATGAGCCAAGATCACGCCACTTCACTCCAGCCTGGGCAACAGAGCAAGGCTTTGTCTAAAAAAAAAAAAAAAAGAAGAAAGGAACGCTACTCTCAACCTTTACTCAGAAAGACGAAAAGCAGCCAGGCGTGGTGGCTCACGCCTATAATCCCAGCACTTTGGGAAGCTAAGAGGGGTGGATCACTTGAGGTCAGGAGTTCGAGACCAGCCTGGCCAACGTGGTGAAACCCCGTCTCTACTAAAAATACAAAAACTAGCCAGGTGTGGTAGTGGGTGCCTAGAATCCAAGCTACTTGGGAGGCTGAGGCAGGAGAATCGCTTGAATCCAGGAGGCAGAGGTTGTAGCAAGCCAAGATTGTGCCACTGCACTCCAGCCTGGGCAATAGAGCAAGACTCCGTCTCAAAAAAAAAAAAAAAAAAAAAAAAAAAGGAGTTAATCCTGGCCAGCGTGGTGGCTCATGCCTATAATCTCAGTATTTTGGGAGGCCAAGGTAGGAGCAATATACTGAGACCCTACCTTGATTAAAAAAAAAAAAGAGTCAATTCCATAACTAAATCCAACATACCCAATAATGCATGTATCTAAAACATGCATTAATTTAAAGTCTGTTTTCTTTTTTTTGAGACAGAGTCTCCCTCTGTCACCCAGGCTAGAGTGCAGTGGTGCAATTTTGGCTCATTGCGACCTCCACCTCCCAGATTCAAGCAATTCTCCTGCCTCAGCCTCCTGAGTAGCTGGGATTACAGGCGTGCACCACCACGCCTGGCTAATTTTTGGTTAATATGGGCCAGGCACAGTGGCTCACCCCTGTAATCCCAGCACTTTGGGAGGCCAAGGCAGAAGGATCACCTGAGGCCAAGAGTTCAAGACCAGCCTAGCCCACATGGCAAAACCTCATGTCTACTAAAAATATAAAAACTAACCAGGTGTGGCCGGCGCGGTGGCTCACGCCTGTAATCCCAGCACTTTGGGAGGCCGAGGCGGGCAGATCACGAGGTCAGGAGATCGAGACCATCCTGGCTAACACGGTAAGACCCCATCTCTACTAAAAATACAAAAAAAAAATTAGCCGGGTGTGGTGGCGGGCGCCTGTAGTCCCAGCTACTCAGGAGGCTGAGGCAGGAGAATGGCATGAACCCGGGAGGCGGAGCTTGCAGTGAGCTGACATCGCACCACTGCACTCCAGCGTGGGTGACAGAGTGAGACTCCGTCTCAAAAAAAAAAAAAAACTAGCCAGGTGTGATGGTGTATGCCTGTAATCCCAACTAATCCAGAGGCTGAGGCATGAAAATTGCTTGAACTCAGGAGATGGAGGTTGCAGTGAGCTGGGATCGTGCCACTGCACTCCAGCCTGGGCAACAAGAGTCTCAACAAAAAAAAAAGAAAGAAAGAAAATTGGGCTGGCAGTGCTCACCTCGGCAGCCCATATAGTAATTGGGCTGGCAAAAGCCCAGCACAAAACAGCATCCAATGACTAGTAGTCATCAAAACAAAAGGAATTGCCCCAGTTGGACCAGGGCTGACAAGGGGTTCACTAAATGCCTGCGATGCACTAGGTTCTGTCTTAGGTGCTCACATCTCAAGGGGAAACAGGTAGCTGCTAAAGGCACACTGTGGCCAGACCAGGCCCTGTAGAGCAGGTTGCCATAGATGCTAAGGCAGACCCCTCGAGCCCTCTCCTTACCAGGGAGCTTCCCCAGTTCTCACACTGAGGCCAGGAAGCAGCTCTGTGTACTGATAAGCAATTCCAATATAATTTTTTAAATTATGAGAGCTTTTCATAGAGAGCCTCAAAAATCAGAGTTTGAACCCTCTCTTAGTGTTCAGTCCCCTCAAATATGCCAAATGTATATTTTACTTTCTTCCGTTAAACTATTTTTTTCTTTTTCTTTTTTTTTTTTTGAGATGGAATCTTGCTCTTGTCACTCAGGCTGGAGTGCAGTGGTGCGATCTCGGCTCACTGCAACCTCTGCCTCCCGGTTCAAGCAATTACCCGGTTCAAGTAATTCTCCTGTCTCAGTCTCCCAAGGAGCTGGGACTTCAGGCACACACCACCACACCCGGCTAATTTTTGTATTTTTAGTAGAGACGGAGTTTCACCACATTGGTCAGGCTAGTCTCGAACTCCTGACCTCAGGTGGTCCACCCACCTCAGCCTCCCAAAGTGCTGGGATTACAGGCATAAGCCACCACGCTCAGACCCTTGTTGAAGTACTAACACTACTGCCCTATTTTTCTGACATGCTGCAGAGCTCACAGAGCACTTTCACACAGACTGTATTATCCAGGTGTTGGGATGATCTCACCCCTAAGTGGGAATGTTGTGAATTACTTACAAACGTAAATAATACTTCAAACTCATATGAATGCCAAACAATAGTAATAGGGTGAAGGACCCTTTATCTTCTTAAATGTCAGGAAATTATCAACTGGATTGATGCCTAAAAGCACATAAATGAGACAAGTGGTACAATAAAACCTGCTAGCGCTCACCTCCCTCTAATGCAGATTTTATTATATAGCCAAAGTGACATTTCACACATCATAAGGATGCAATGGGGATTTCTTTCACCACAGCACAAAACCCTACCATGGCAAGGTGCTACTAGTCCCGCTGTTAAATGACACAAGCATGCGAGTATCCTGATGTTCAGTGTCCCCGCAGTAGCTACATCCAATAATCCAGCAGTTTGCAGGTGCCCTGGTTCTGATCCTTAACACCCTTCCTCTCCCACATGTTCTTATGCCTTCCAGTCCTATTCTCTGTGCCTTCATTTCTGAATCTAATACACACACAGAAGTAGTATTTCCTATGACCTCCTTATCATTCATGGAATTTTTTGTTTTTTGTTTTTTGTTTTTTTTTTTTTTTGAGATGGAGTCTCACTCTGTCACCCAGGCTGGAATGCAGTGGCCCGATCTCAGCTCACTGCAAGCTCTGCCTCCCAGGTTCGCACCATTCTCCTGCCTCAGCCTCCCTAGTAGCTGGGACTACAGGTGCCTGTCACCACACCTGGCTAATTTTTTGTATTTTTAGTAGAGACAGGGTTTCACCGTGTTAGCCAGGATGGTGTCTATCTCCTGACCTCGTGATCCGCCCACCTCGGCCTCCCAAAGTGCTGGGATTCACTCATGGAGTTTTATTCAAAGAACAACCTGACTTTTGTCCTCCGTTAAGGAAAAATGCTGATGTGTATGTGATCAATCAGAACCCCCATCTGAGAAGGCATCTTGGCTCACCTCCAGTCTCAATGCAGGGATATGGCGGCGGAGGCTCTCTCCAATTCCCACTGGAGTCTTTCATGTGAGATCGGTCAGAAGCAAAGTTCTTCAAATATGAATCTGCACGGATCACTCTAAATTTCCTGCAGAAAAATCAATATACACTCACATTAGGGAGATGTCATGTTTGAAATTCTAACTCCATTTTTATATCGACTCATTTCCTATGACATGCACAAAACTACTCATGCATTTCTGTATGGTTAGTAATACAGGCAACTTTACTACCTATTAGAGAAGCATAGGAAATGATCAACCAAACCCCGAAACAGAAAGGCAAAGGCACAAAAATATATCTGGTTGCCTCGATTTACTCGATTTGTGTATCAAGGGCAATGGGCATGATTTTCTGATGCTGCCCTCACAGCCCTCTCAATGGTGACAGCACGAGGTATCCCCACAAAAACAAAAAGAATATAAGAAAAATCCCCAACCCGCTTGAAATTAAATGTCTGAGATCTCATCACACAAAATTTTAAAAGAATGACAACCTTTCATATGATAGATAACTTTTAAAGCTTTAAAACATTTTGAATCTCCTGTGTTGCAAATACATCATTCTTAAACATCAACTCAATGGTGATGTCAGACGAGATCTTTACAAAACAATTGTCAAAAAAAAAAAGAACCTCTGTGGAATCGTCAAATTCTTACTTCAGAAAATAAGTAAATCCATCTTGAATGTCCTCACCTCCTAAACTGTGGGTGAATGTCATCATCAGACTTAAAGGCATCTTCTACATAAGTGTCAAAGAGGCAGGGAAATGGCAAGACAGTATCGAGATCATAAATGAAGTTCTGTCCTCCACTTGAAACATGAAGCAAAACAACATGGTAATCCTAAAAGTAAAAGTTGCTGAAGTTAACCAAGTTACTTCATAATGATGAAATCCCAGTATTCAGACACATACCTTATCACTAAAAAGGATATAGGACTGCTACAGCCCTCCTTATAATAGCAAAATAGAATAAAGCAAACACAACACCCTGAAAACATGAAAACAGACTAAATGTCCACAGATAGGGAAATGGTTAAATAATGGAAATGTTCATAGTCATTAAATGCACATCCTCTGAAACTGCAATTTTACCTCTAGGAAACTTTTTTTTTTTTTTTTTTTTTGAGATGGAGTCTTACTCTCGTCACCCAGGTTGGAGTGCAGTGGCATGATCTCAGCTCACTGCAACCTCCACCTGCCGGGTTCAAGCAATTCTCTTGCCTCAGCCTCCCGAGTAGCTGGGATTACAAGCGCGCACCACGATGCCCAGCTAATTTTTTGTATTTTTAGTAGAGATAGGGTTTCATCATGCTGGCAAGGCTGGTCTTGAACCCCTGACCTCAGGCGATCCACCCGCCTCAGTCTCCAAAAGTGCTAGGATTACAGGTGTGAGCCACGGTGCCTGGCCCCACATATTTTTTTTAATTGAGACAGAGTCTTGCTCTATCACCCAGGCTGGCGTGCAGTGGCATAATCTCAGCTCACTGCAACCTCCGCCTCCTGGGTTCAAGCGATTCTCCTGCCTCAGCCTCCTGAGTAGCTGGGACTACAGACACCCGCCACCACGCCCAGCTAATTTTTGTATTTTTAGTAGAGATGGTGTTTCACCATGTTGGCCAGGCTGGTCTCCAACTTCTGGCCTCAAGTGATCCCCCCGCCTCAGCCTCCCAAAGTCCTGGAATTACAGGTGTGAGCCACAGTGCCGGCCCCACCTGCTATTTGTTAAAAGCTATCTGTATATAAAGACATACGTGCGCATTCAGAAGTACATTTGCATGCATGTGAATGCAGAGGAAAACGTCTGCAAGGATCTGCTCCAAACTAGTAACAAAGGAGGCTTCTGGGGGTCAGCCTGGAGAGGAGAAGGAGGACTTTAATTTCTAGTTTGGAACCACTTTTGCAATTAAAAGAAAGGAAAAACTATTTTTTAAAAAAAGAAGTTAGCCAAGCTTTCATCTGTAGCCACTAAGGGAGAAAGAAAAAGACAGCTTTTCCCACACAGCTCTGTCACAGTGTGGATGTTAATTCTCACCCTCACTCTCAGACTCAAGGTACTGCCCAACACCAGCGATGAGCTGAAAGGGATTTCAGGGAGGTGATCAAGGGACATGAGCAATGTGGTGCTCTGAGTTCTTCCAAAGAAAAACGCTCTCATAGAGAACAGCACTGTGAAATCAAAGCAACCTAGCAACATTAGTAATACCAACTTATATTTCTACAATATCTTAGAGTTTAAAAGGCACTTTCTTTCTCAAATATCATTCTACTTGAGCCCTGTATAAATCCTGAGGTAAGAACAATACTTAAGACTAGGGATGCTGTGCCTTTAAAAGCCTGAGTGCTGCCTTTGGCTCTAAGTCTGTCTTAGCAAAACAGAAAGATTCAAAAATGAATGCCTATTCTCTGGACTTCCCCAGATACATCCTATCCTCCACGCCCCCAAACAGTCCACCACTGCCTCCCAATGGGTCTGCTCATGTCATTCCCCTCCATCTGCAGCAACCTTCTCTACCTCTTTCTACCACACAAGCTCCAGCTAAAGGCTTTCTTCCCACGAATCAATTTTTTATCTTCTCCCACCCCCTGCCAGAATCTCCGCCTTATCCAAATTCTGTTTCTCTCTTAACATCTTCTAATTCATATTACAGGTTTGTTGTTGTTGTTGTTTTGAGACAGAGTCTCTCTCTGTCACCCAGGCTGGAGCACAGTGGCACAATCCCAGCTCACTGCAACCTCCACCTCCGGGGTTCGAGTGATTTTCCCACCTCAGCCTCCCGAGTAGCTGGGATTACAGGCGCGCCACCACACCCAGCTAATTTTTGTATTTTTAGTAGAGATGGGGTTTCACCATGTTGACCAGGCTGGTCTCGAACTCCTGGCCTCAAGTGATCTCCCTGCCTCTGCCTCCCAAAGTGCTGGGATTATGGGTGTGAGCCACTGTGCCCAGTCCCATATCAGTTTTTTTGAACCACACATTATCTATTCTATGTGAAAGACTGTGCTGCTGAACTGCAGATGCAAAGATGAAAAAGATAAGTTCTCACCCTCAAGAAGTTCCCAGAGAAGTGAATGGGAACCAGGTAAACTGCTGCAGGATATTGTGGAGAACAGAGAACATCAGAGGCAGGAGAGCAATGCAGGCAGGAGAGCAATGCAGGCAGGAGCAGGTAAGCGCCTGGTTCCAATCTCAGCCCCTCCCCTCGGCAACCTCACTCTGCTCTTTTATAAAATGGAGATAACTGGAGTATCTAACTCCAGGGTGTCCAATCTTTTGGCTTCCCTGGGCCACACTGGAAGAAGAATTGTCTTGGGCCACACATAAAATACACTAACACTAACGATTGCTGATAAGCTAAAAAAAAAAAAAATCACAAAAAAATTTCATAATGTTTTAAGAAAGTTTACAAATTTGTGTTGGGCTGCATTTAAAGCTGTCTTGGGCCACATGCAGCCCATAGGCTGCAGGTTAGACAAGCTTGGTCTACCTCATAGTGCTGCTAGAAGCATTAGTGTGTAAATGATCAACCCTTTTAAAAGACAACCAAAGGCTGGGCATGGTAGCTCATGCCTGTAATCCCAGCACTTTGGGAGGCCGAGGCAGGTGGATCACATGAGGTCAGGAGTTCAAGACCAGCCTGGTCAACATAGTGAGACCCCGTCTCTACTAAAAATACAACAACGAGCCGGGCATGGTGGCATGCACCTGTAGCCCCAGCTACTCAGGAGGCTGAGGCACGAGAATCACTTGAACCCAGGAGACAGAGGTTGCACTGAGCTAAGATCATGCCACTGCACTCCAGCCTGGGCAACAGAGCAAGAATCTGTCTCAAAAACAAATAAATAAATAAAAATAAAAAATTAAAGCCAACCAAGAAAGGAAGAGGACAGGAGCCCAATGGCCAAAGAGAGTTTCACAGAGGAAAGGACCCCATTGCAGAATCTTGCCTGATGGGGACAGCTTTCCAGAAAGAAGGTACAACTTGTGAAAAGGCATACATAATGACTATTCACAACTCTCTAGTAAGTTCAGGTCCACATTCCTATACACTAGGCAGCTGAGGGACTGCAAAGGAAAAGGGTTGGCCCAAAATTGCCTTCATGGCACAGATGAGGAGCCAAGGAATGCAGGCTTGAGCAGCGGCCTCACTCTCTGAGTTGGTTCAGTGTCTGCCCAGCTGCCAGGAAAAGACTGATTGTGCTAGGAGTGGGGATGTCACCTACAGATGCCACCATCTGCTCCATGTTATTTGGTCTAAGATAGAAGGACTATAGGCATGTTTTCTTTTAACTTTTTGTTTTGAAATTATTACAGGAGGACAGGCACAGTGGCTCACGCCTGTACTCCCAGCAATTTGGGAGGCCGAGGCGGGCGGATCACTTGAGGTCAGGAGTTCGAGATCAGCCTGGCCAACATGGCAAAATCCCATCTCTACTAAAAATAAAAAAATTAGCCAGGCGTGTGCCACATGCCTGTAATTCCAGCTACTCGGGAGGCTGAGGCAGAGGAATTGCTTAAACCTTGGGGGTCAGAGTTTGCAGTGAGCCGAGATCACACCACTGCACTCCAGCCTAGGCGACAGAGTGAGACTCCATCTCAAAAAAAAAATACATAAATAAAATTTAAAAAAAGAAATTATTATAGGAATGATTTTTTTTTTTGAGATGAAGTCTCATTGTATCGCCCAGGATGGAGTACAGTGGTATGATCTCGGCTCACTGTGACCTCTGCCTCCCAGGTTCAAGCAATTCTCCTGCCTCAGGCACCCAAGTAGCTGGGACTACAAGCGCCCACCACCACGCTAATTTTTGTATTTTTAATAGAGACAGGGTTTCACCATGTTGATGAGGCTGGTCTCGAACTCCTGACCTCATGGGATCTGCCTGCCTCTGCATCCCAAAGTGCTGGGATTACAGGTGTGAGCCACCACGCCCAACCTGAAATTATTATAGGAATGATTTTAAATGGCTAATGTGGCAGATATATTTGTGATGTCATAGACTTTTATCCATTTAGCATGGGAAGGGACTTTGGCAATATGTAGTCTGGCTACACATTAGAATTATCCAGAGACTGCGTTAACAATGTAGTTTTCTGATTTAGTAAATCTAGAAAGGGGTTCAGGATTTAGTGTTCTCGAATTTTACTCACTACTACTCACTGGTGTCTCTGCTCACTCAGCGAGGCCTACCCATGCCCTACAACAGGACAGCAGCGAGGCAAAGCAAAACCTGCCAGAGGGTGTGGGGAGACTTCTTGCAACAGGATTCCCCATCTTGAGCTGCCATGAGATGTGTAAGGGAGACATGGCTACAGGTCCTTCCCCTCCAAGTTTCCCTAGGATGGGGAGTAAGACCACGACTCAAAATCAGCTAAGCTGTTCAGCAACAGGGATGATTTCTCGTGCACACGGACCATCTATAACAGGGGTTAGGTATCACTGCTAACAGTAACTGCCAACACTTCCTGAGTACCAGTAGCAGACACCAGGAAGATGCTTCCTGTGCATTACCTCATTTAAGCCTCACGACCCCACTGACCAGGGGGAGACACTGAAGACAGAGGGTAAATAACCTATCTGGATCCCACAGCTGACCAATGAGAGGCCTGGGACTTAAACCCAGTATGCCTAACTCCAGAGCCTGTGCTCCTAACCCTAGAGCTGAGGGGCTTGGGCTTTCATGCAAGAGCAGCTTTCATGCAAGATCACCTGCTGGCAACGAAACTGAGAACGTCAGCTCTGTGAGGTCAGGGATTTTAATCTGTTTTTAGCCTGGCATATAAAACACACTCAATATATACATGTTAAATAAATGAGCGAAGCCAATCAAATGATACATAATTTTAAATAAATACCCAGAAACTAGGAGTTTGTTCCAATTCATCAGTGTCATTTTCCTTTTACTTTGCTTTCGTGTTTATTAGCATAAAAACTCTATTTTTTTTTTTTTTTTTTTTGATATGGAGTTTCATTCTTTTTGCCCAGGCTGGAATGCAATGGCGTCACCTCAGCTCACTGCAACCTCTGCCTCCCAGGTTCAAGCAATTCTCCTGCCTCAGCCTCCCGAGTAGCTGGGATTACAGGCACACGCCATCACACCCAGCTAATTTTTGTACTTTAGTAGAGACGGGGTTTTACCATGTTGACCAGGCTGGTCTTGAACTCCTGACCTCAGGTGATCCACCCACCTCGGCCTCCCAAAGTTCTGGGATTATAGGCATGAGCCACCGTGCCCAACCCTAGCCTCCATTCTTTAGGGGAATGGGTTAAGGTGACATGTAGATGTGTACTAAAAAGGACCCAGGTGTGAGACCCAGTTCTGCCACTGACCATGCCACTCTGAGCTACTCAGTTTGCTCTTCTGTGTTTATTTCTTCCCTGAAAAATAAAGGGGTGGGAGTAGATCCGTATTTTTCAAATGCCAGTCATGTTCACCTAGGAGTTCATCAAGAACACTAACTCCTGAACCCCTCTCTAGATTTACTAAATCAGAAAACTACATTATTTATTTATTGAGACAGGGTCTCTCTCTGTCACCCAAGCTGGAGTACAGTGAAGCAATCTCAGCTCGCTGCAGCCTCCACCTCCCGGGTTCAAGCAATTCTCCTGCCTCAACCTCCCGAGTAGCTGGGACTACAGGTGAGTGCCACCAGGCTCAGTTAATCTTTGTATTTTTTTTAGTAGAGACGGAGTTTTGCCATGTTGGCCAGACTGGCCTCAAACTCCTGGCCTCAAGTGATCCACCTACCTCAGCCTCTCAAAGTGCTGGAATTACAGGCATGAGCCACTGCGCCCGGCCTAATATTTGTATTATTATTAGAGATGGTGTTTCGCCATGTTGGCCAAGCTGGTCTTGAACTCCTGGCCTCAAGTGATCCGTCCACCTTGGCCTCCCAAACTGCTGGGATTACAGGTGTGAGCCACCGCGCCCAGCCGAAAACTACATTTTTAACAGTCTCCAGATAATTCTAATGTGTAGCCAAAGTTCCTTCCTGTGCTAAATGGTAAGAGTCTAGATCACAAATATATCCACCATTTAAAATCATTCCTATAATAATTTCAAAACAAAAAGTTAAAAGAAAATATGCCTACAGTGTTTCTACCTTAGATCAAATAACATCTATTCTCAAAAGGTCAATTTATTAATAATTACCATAGCCTTTCTCTACTGCTTAGGTCACTTCTGCTTTACCAAAACATACAGAACACTAAGGGGTTACAAGTCATAATGCGTCAATACTCTCTGTATTAACTGTCTTACCCAGATCACAGGTCCATCTCCAGGTCTCGCCTGTTGTTTCCAGATAGGTATCTACAAAATACAATACATTTCGTAAGCCATACCTTTAGTTAAACCACTACTAAATTATTTTCCTTTTTTTTTTTTTGAGACGGGATTTTTTTTTTTTTTTTTTGAGACAGAGTCCTGCTCTGTCACCCAGGCTGGAGTGCAGTGGCACAATCTGGGCTTACTGCAACCTCCACCTCCCGGGTTCAAGCAATTCTCCTGCCTCAGTTTCCCAAGTAGCTGGGATTACAGGCGTGTGCCACCACACCCAGCTAATTTTTTATTTTTATTTTTTGATGAAGGGTTTTGACACAAGGTTTCATCATGTTGGCCAGGCTGGTCTCGAACTCCTGATCTCAAGTGATCTGCCCACCTCAGCCTCCCAAAGTGCTGGGATTATAGGCGTGAGCCACCGCACCTGGCCAAGACAGGATCTTGTGATGCTGCCCTGGCTGGAGTGCAGTGGCTACTCACAGGTGCCATCATAGTATACTGCAGCCTTGAACTCTTGGCTTCAAGAGATCTGCCCGCCTCAGCCGCCTCACAAGTAGCTGGGACTACAGGCACGTGTCACTGTACCTGGCTACTACTATTTAAAGCAATACATACATGAGAAATAAAATATTTTTAAGCATGCAAAAATCAAGGTGAAGGAATGAATGAAGAGGAAGAAATCGAAATCCTTCTAAGTATCCCCAACAATGAAAGCTCTCAAGAGCACTAGTTATTGTATGATGGTCTTTGGAGAGTGAAAAGGGATCTGAACTAGGAATCAGAAGTCCTGGCAGGTATCAAATCTTGCTCTCCCATTTAATTATTCATAGGGCCACCCTAAGTCTTAATCTCTTCATCTATAAAATGAAGAAACTTGTCCAAATATTGCCTGCTTCACAGGGCTTCCATTGGGATCAAATGAGATGATGCCTGCAAATGTGTTTTACAAAATATGAAGGGCTTACTTTTTCTAATTCTTCATGTAAGTTGACTGTAGTTCTATTTAAACTCCAGAGACAAATCCTTACTTTAAAACTGAGAGTATGCGTCTCTAAGCAATTTTTAAAAAGTCTACATCTTCCATCTTGAATTTAAAAAAAGAAAAAAAAATGGCCAGGCACAGTGGCTCATGCTGGTAATCCCACCACATTGGGAGGCCAAGGCAGACAGGTCACCTGAGGTTAGGAGTTCGAGACCAGACTGGCCAACATGGAGAAAGCCTGTCTCTACTGAAAATACAAAAATTAGCCGGCCATCGTGGTGGGACACCTGTAGTCCCAGCTACTTGGGAGCCTGAGACACAAAAATCACTTGAACCTGGGAGGCAGAGGTTGCAGTGAGCCGAGATCACACCATTGTGCTATAGCCTGGGCAACAGAGTGAGACTCCGTACCAAAAAATAAAAGAAAAAACAAACAAACAAACAAAAAAAAACAGGTCTACATTGATACCTAAAGAAAAGGGACTTTATCTGCGTAGACCATCACATATTTCCTTACCTAAAGTAAGGGACTAAGCTGGGCATGGTGGCTCACACCTGTACTCCCAGCACTTTGGGGGGCTGAGGTGGGAGGATCACTTGAGGCCAGGAGTTCGAGACCAGCCTGGCCAACATAGCAAAACCCCATCTCTACTAAAAAATACAAAAATTAGCTGGGCGTGGTGGCACATGCCTGTAGTCTCAGCTACTTGGGAGGCTGAGGCAGGAGAATCGCTTGAACCCGGGAGGTGGAGGTTGCAGTGAGCCAAGAATCACGCCACTGCACTCCAGCCTGGGCGACAGAAGGGACTCAACTCTTCTAACTCAATCGTGCCTTGTAAGGAAAAAAATCTCATTCAAAAGCAAGCTTTTAAATGTTGCTGTATTTAATAAAGCACACTTCAGAAGAGTACTACACCCATGCTATATTTAGCTTTTTTTTTTTTAATTTAGCTTCTAATGTCATCCTAAATCTCTTGTTTTCTTTCTGCAATCACTCACCAACTTACCATCTTCCTCTCATTAGATATGAAGACAGCATAACATTCTTCTAAAGGATACTGGTCATGGTTTTTGATGTATTCACAGAGCTTCCAAATATTTTCTTCACTGAAATAAAATAATTGTTTAATCAAGATTAGAGAACATTCTATGTGTCTTTTAAATTTGAACAAAATACTGATGATGACATCAAAAAGTTGGAAAAGACCTTAAACCCCATGTCATCCAACAACTGGCTAATGTCTGAATCTCCTCTAAAACATCCCAACAAGCTGGTATTCAACCTATACTGTGTGTAAACCCCTCTCCACACAGAGCTAATTACCTCCCCTAGCAGTGCTTGTACATGGAGGCATTTTATAACTGATAAAATATGTCAATATTCTATGAGTTTTGGGCCCAGCAACTTGTAATACAGCTGAAATTCTAACTCAGCCACTTACAAGGTAAGAACCTTTGACAAAGGCCAGGCGTGGTGGCTCAGGCCAGTAATCCCAGCACTTTGGGAGGCCGAGGCGGGCGGATCACGAGGTCAGGAGTTCGAGACCAGCCTGGCAGAGAGACCAGCCTGACCAATATGGTGAAACCCCGTCTCTACTAAAAATACTAAAATTAGCCAGGCATGGTGGCGGGTGCCTGTAATCCCGGCTACTTGGGAGGCTGAGGCAGGAGAATTGCTCGAACCTGAGAGACAGAAGTTGCAGTGAGCCAAAGATCACACCACTGCACTCTAGCCTGGACAACAGAGCAAGACTCCAACTCAAAAAAAAAAAAAAAAAAAAAAGCTTTGACCATCTTGACTTCTCCAAGAATCTGCTTTTCTCATGTGTAAAATGGGCATAATCATATACTGTAAACACACAAAAATCTTAGTTAACACTGGTTCCCTGCTCTCTTTAGAAATGGGGCAGGATGGGTGTTTTGGGTTGAAAGCCTCCTGGCTGGAAAGAATCAGGAGCAATTATGTGATATGTCCGGGAACTCATTTGGGGGAATCCCTGTGAGTGGGATTCCCCATGCCCCTCTAGTAAGAAAGGGACATAATTTTATTTTTTTTATTTATTTATTTTTGGAGACAGAGTCTTACTTCACTGCCCAGGATGGAGTGCAGTGGTGTGATCTCGGCTCACTGCAACCTCCACTTCTCAGGTTCAAGTGATTGTCATGCCTCAGCCTCCTGAGTAGCTGGGATTACAGGCGTGCAGCACCACACCCAGCTAACTTTTGTATTTTTAGTAGAGATGGTGTTTCACCATGTTGGCCAGGCTGGTCTCAAACTCTTGATCTCAAGTGATCCACCTACCTCAGCCTCCCAAAGTGCTGGGATTACAGAGTGAGCCACCGTGCCCAGCCTATGCTTATTTTTAGAGACAGGGTCTCACTCCATAGCCCAGGCTGAATGAAGTGCAGTGGCTCAACCACAGCTCACTGCAGCCTCAAACTCCCAGCCTCAGCCTCCTGAGTAGCTGGGACCACAGATGCACATCACCACACCCAACTAATTTTAAAAATTATTTTTGTGTGTGTGGAGACAAGGTCTTGCCATGTTGCTCAGGCTGGTCTTGAACTGCTGAGCTCAAGCAATCTTCCCACCTCAATCTTCCTAAGTACTGGGATTACAGGTATGAGCCACTGTGCCTGGCCTTCTCAAGAGGCCTGATTTTTAGAAAGTTCTTTCTCATACTGAACTGAAATCAATCTTCCCATACCTTTGCCCCAGATGAATCTCTCTTCTACGTGACAGGTCTTTGGCTATCTGAAGCAGTAGTCAGAACCCACCTAAGTAAAGTGATGCCCAGTAGTACATCAAACAGAGCAGTAACTGAGCTGCACCTCCATGCACAGGAAACCAGTCACTTCGGGCAGTACTCACAGCTCAGCTGTTGGGTTCCTATCTTTTTCTAGTAAGATACACGCACCTTTGCTCAAAATGAGGTACACTAACACTCTGTTCACAGAATGTGGCTCAGTCTGTCAAAGCCTAGTTTCTTTTTTGCAGGGGGGAGCGGGGACGGAGTCTCGCTCTGTCACCCAGGCTGGAGTGCAGTGACACAATCTCAGCTCACTACAACCTCCACCTCCTGGATTCAAGCGATTCTCCTGCCTCAGCCTCCCAAGTAGCTGGGACTACAGATGCATGCCACCACTTCTGGCTAATTTTTGTATTTGTAGTAGAGATGGGGTTTCACATGTTGGCCATCACATGTTGGCCATGGCTGGTCTTGAACTCCTGACCTCAGGTGATCCACCTGCCTCGGCCTCCCAAAATACTGGGATTACAGGTGTGAGCCACCACGCCCGGCCCAAAGCCTAATTTCATCCACGCCATGCTACCTAAAAATGAAGCAAGGCATGAACAGCCCTGAGGATGGTCACCATCTTACAGAAGTAGACACTCTTTCAGTTCATCAATCTTTGCCTTGCCTGTCTCAAATGCTCTATAAAACTAGGCTTAAAATACGGAAGTTGGACATGTTTTTCTCCCATGGTTTTCCTTTTCTCTAAAATAACTAGGAAACTACAAGGGAAAAGTGATGGTTGTGGTTAAAAAAAAAAAAAAGTGGGGGGGTGGGAAGATTGCTACTGCTACTGACTACTTCATATGATATGTACTATAGAGTAATAAAAATTTACTGACTGGGCCGGGCATGGTGGCTTACGTCTGTAATCCCAGCACTTTGGGAGGCTGAGGCACGTGGATCACCTGAGGTCAGGAGTTTGAGACCAGTCTGGCCAATATGGTGAAACTCTGTCTCTACTAAAAATACAAAAATTAGCTGGGCGTGGTGGCTGATGCCTGTAATCCCAGCTACTCGGGAGGCTGAGGCAGGAGAATCGCTTGAAACCAGGAGGCGGAGGTTGCAGTGAGCCAAGATTGTGTCACTGCACTCCAGCCTGGGCGACAGAGAGAGACAACCTCTAAAAAAAAAAATTTTATTGACTGTTTCAACATGACATATGGTATATGTCATATTACGTCACAATAAAATTTCCTTAATCTAAATGTTCTAAGGCCAGGTTTGAAGAAGACAATTATCTCTCTGGCTTATACAAGTTTTTCGGGAGTTTACCGCAAATACCTTCAAGAGCTTATAATGTACAAAATACTGTGCTAAGTGCTTGGAGGATATGATGATAAATTAGAGCTTACAGACCATGAGCAGAGACATACAAATCCATAACTGGCAAGCATCATAGAAGGCCATAAAAGATGCATGCAGAAAGGAAGAGGGTGTCATTAATTCGGAGGGATATGGGAAGAGGTATAGGTTGTAGTTTCTCTTTGTTCATTCCCCTCTAAGGGTGGGCTTAGAGTTAATACAAAGGGGCCAGGCGAGGTGGTTCATGCCTGTAATCCAGGCACTTTGGGAGGCCAAGGCAGGCGGATCACCTGAGGTCAGAAGTTTAAGACCTTGGATCACCTGAGGTTGGGAGTTCAAGACCAGCCTGGCCAACATGACGAAACCCTATTAAAAATACAAAAATTAATGGCCAGGCGCAGCAGCTCACGCCTGTAATCCCAGCACTCTGGGAGGCCGAAGCGGGTGGATCATGAGGTCAGGCGTTCAAGACCAGCCTGGCCAACATAGTGAAACCCCGTCTCTACTAAAAATACAAAAAATTAGATGGGTGTGGTGGCAGGCACCTGTAATCCCAGCTACTCAGGAGGCTGAGGCAGGAGAATTGCTTGAACCTGGGAGGCGGCGGTTGCAGCAAGCTGAGATCGTGCTACTGCACTCCAGCCCAGGCAACAGTGCAAGACTTCGTCTTAAAAAAAAAAAAATACAAAAATTAGCTAGGCGTGGTGGCACAAACCTGTAATCCCAGCTACTTGGGAGGCTGAGGCATGAGAATCACTTGAGCCCGGGAGGCACAGGTTGCAGTGAGCCAAGATCGCACCACTGCACTCCAGCCTGGGTGACAGAGTGAGACTTCATCTCAAAAAAAAAAAAAAAAAACGCATAAAAATAAAAACACAAAATCAGCCGGGCGTAGGAGCATGCACCTATAATCCCAGTTACTCAGGAGGCTGAGGCACAAGACTCACTTGAACCCGAGAGGCAGAGGTTGTAATAAGCCAAGATTGCACGACTGCTCCTCCAGCCTGGGTGACAGAGCAAGACTCCATCTAAAAATTAAAAATAATAATAATAATAATAAAAACTACAAAGAGTTCATGAATCCACAGATACCACAAGCACCACTGGTAAGCTGAATACATAATGTGGCTTGAACATACACTGTTATTTTTGAAATATATGTAAATGTTACACAGAAAAAAATGTAAACTTCGTAAAAGTCACTGACTTTTTAGTCCCTTTTAGTCAGCAATTGTTTTTCAAGAGCATAACGAATATCATGTAGGAGAATCCCATGAAAGTTTCAATGTTAAAAAAAAGGGGGAGATGATCTTATACTCGGAAATACAAGGAGTCACAGCTGAAACAAAAATACCTGTAGGTGGGGTGCAGTAGCTCACAACTGTAATCCCAATGCCTCGGCTGAGGTGGGAGGATAACTTGAGCTCAGGAGTTTGAAACCAGCCTAGGCAATGTAGCAAGACCCTCCGGAAAGAAAAAGAAAGAAAGAAAGAAAAAGAGAAACAGAAGAGAAGGAAAAGGAGGGAAAGGAAGGAAAAGGAGGGAAAGGGAGGAAAAGGAGGGAAAGGAAGGAAAGGAGGGAAAGGAAGGAAAAGAAAGACAAAGAAAGAAAAAAGAAGAGAAGAGAAAACAAAAGAAGAGAAGGAAGGAAAGAGAGAGACAGAAAGAAAGGAGGGAAGGAGGGAGGGAAGGAGGGAGAGAGGGAAGGAAGGAAGGGAGGGAGGGAAAGGAAGGAAGAGCAAGCGAGTTGTGGAAGAATTAGAAGAAACTATTCTAAAACTCATATGCACCAAAAAAGAGCCCAAACAGCCAAAACAATCCTAAGCAAAAAGAACAAAGCTGTAGGCGTCACACTACCCAACTTCAAATTATACTAGAAGGCTATAGTAACCAAAACAGCATGGTACTGGTACAAAAACAGACACACGGACCAATGGAACAGGTTAGAGAACCCAGAAATAAAGCCGCATATTTACATTTACAACCATCTGATCTTCAACAAAGTCCAATAACAAGCAATGGGGAAAGGATTCCCTATTTAATAAATGATGCTGGGATAGCTGGCTAACCATATGCAGAAGATTGAAACTTGACCCCTCCCTTTCACCATATACAAAAATCAACTCAAGATGGATTAAAGACTTAAATGTAATACCTAAAACTATAAAACCCTAGAAGAAAACCTAGGAAATACCACTCCAGACATAGGCCCTGGCAAAGATTTCATGATGAAGACTCCAAAAGCAACGGCAACAAAAACAAAAATTGACAAGTGAGACCTAATTAAACTAAAGAGCTCTGCACAGCAAAAAAAAAAAAAAAAACTATCAATGGAGTAAATAGACAACCTACAGCCAGGCATGGTGAGGCTCGTGCTTGTAATCCCAGCACTTTGGGAAACCCAGGCAGGAAGATCACTTGAGCCCAAGAGTTCAAGATGAGCCTGGGCAACATAGAGAGACCCTGTCTCCACAAAAAGTAAAAAAAATTAACCAGGCATGCTGGCACACATCTCTAATTTCAGTTGCTTGGGAGGCTGACGTGAGAGGATTACTTGAGCCTGGGAGGTCAAGTCTGCAATGAGCTATAATTGTGCCACTGCACTCCAGCCTGGGTGACAGAGTGAGACCCTGTCTCAAAAAAAAAAACCCAAAACAAAAAACAGACTACCTACAGAATGCAAGAAAATATTTGCAAACTATGCATCTGATAAAGTCTAATATCCAGAATCTATAAGGAACTTAAATAAACAAGCAAAAAACAACCCCATTAAAAAATAGGCCAAGGACATGAACAGATACTTCTTCTCAAAAGCAGATAGGCACAGTGGCTCACATCTATAATCTCAGCACTTTGGGAGGCCAAGGCGCGTGGATCACTTGAGGTCAGGAGTTCAAGACCAGCCTGGCCAACATGGTGAAACATTGTCTCTATTAAAAATACAAAACTTAGGCTGGGCGCGGTGGCTCACGCCTGTAATCCCAGCACTTTGGGAGGCCGAGGCAGGCGGATCACGAGGTCAGGAGATCCAGACCACGGTGAAACCCTGTCTCTACTAAAAAAAAATACAAAAAATTAGCCGGGTGTGGTGGTGGACACCTGCAGCCCCAGCTACTCGGGAGGCTGAGGCAGGAGAATGGTGTGAACCCAGGAGACGGAGCTTGCAGTGAGCCAAGATCACGCCACTGCACTCCAGCCTGAGCAACAGAGCAAGACTCCGTCTCAAAAAAAAAAAAGAAAAGAAAAATACAAAACTTAGCTGGGCATGGTGGTGCACACCTGTAATCCCAGCTACTCTGGAGGCTCAGCTGGGAGCATCACTTGAACCTGGGAGGCAGAGGTTGCAGTGAGCCGAGATCGAGCCACTGCACTCCACCCTGGGCAACAGAGTAAGACTCCATCTCAAAAAAAAAAAAAAGGAAAAAGAGACATGCACATGGCCAATAAGCATATGAAGAAATGCTCAACAACACTAATCATTAGAGAAACGCAAATCAAAACCACAATGAGATACCATCTCACTCCAGTCAGAATGACTATTCTTAAAGTCAGGCCAGGTGCAGTAGCTCACATCTGTAATCCCAACAGTTCGGGAGGCCAAGGCAGGAAGACTGCTTGAGCCCAAAAGTTCAAGACCAGCCTGGGCAACATGGCACAACCCCACACTACAAAAAATATAAAAATTAGCTGGGCATGGTGGTGCACACCTGTAGCCCCAGTTACTCGGGAGACTGAAGTGGGAGAATTGATTGACACCAGGTCGAGGCTGCAGTGAGCCATGATTGCACCACTGCACTCCAGCCTGGGTGACAGAGTGAGATTCTGTCTCAAAAAAATGAATAAATAGGCCGGGTACGGCAGCTCATGCCTATAATCCCAGCACTTTGGGAGGCCGAGGCAGGCAGACCAAGAGGTCAAGAGATCAAGATAATCTTGGCCAACATGGTGAAACCCCGTCTCTACTAAAAATACACAAATTAGCTGGGCATGGTGGTGCATGCCTGTAGTCCCAGCTACTTAGGAGGCTGAAGCAGAACCGCTTGAACCCAGGAGGCGGAGGTTGCAGCGAGCCTAGATTGCACCACTGCACTCCAGCCTGGTGACAGAGTAAGAATCCGTCTTAAATAAATAAATAAATAAATAAAAATAAACAAATAAAAATAATTTAAGAAGTCAAAAAAGTGGTGATGCCCACCTGTACTCCCAGCTACTTAGGAAGCTGAGGTGAGAGGATCACTTAAGCCCAGGAAGTTGAGGTTGCAGTGAGTCATGATCATGCCACTGCACTGTAAGCCTAGGTGACAGAGTGAGACCCTGTCTCAAAAAAAAAAAAAAAAAAAGGCAAAAAATAACAGACGCTGGCAAGTTGGTGGAGAAAAGGGGATGCTTATACACTCCTGGTGGGAATGTAAATTAGTTAAGCCACTGTGGAAAGCAGTTTGGAGATTTTTCAAAGAACTTGAAACAGAACTATGATGCGACCTAGCAATCCCATTACTGTGTATATACCCAAAGGAATATAAATCCTACTATTAAGACACATGCACATATATGTTCATCACAGCACTATTCATGATAGCAAAGATGTAGAATCAACCTAGGCACCTATCAATGGTGAACTGGATCAAGAAAATGTGGTATATATCATCCACCATGGAATACTACACAGCAATGACAAAGAACAAAAATCATGTCATTTGCAGCAACATGGATGGAGCTGGAGGCCAATATCCCAAGTGAATTAACACAGGGACAGAAAAGCAAACACTGAATATTCTTGCGTATAAGTGGGAGCTAAACCTTGAGTACACATGGACACAAAAAAGGAAACAGTAGACATGGGGCCTACTTGAGGGTAGAGGGTGACAGGAGGGTGAGGATCAAAACTATCTATCTGGTAGTATGCTCACTATCTGGGTGACAAAATAATTTGTACACCAAACCCCCAACACATACACTTTACCCATGTAACAAACCTGCACATGTAACCCCAAATCTAAAATAAAAGTTGGAAGGGAAAAAAACTCAAACAAAATATGTGATTGGATAATATCTGAAATGTTCTTTAAACTCTAAACAAAAGCATAAGGGACTCAAAAAAGGGAGAGAGGGAGGGAGGGAAGAAAGGAATGAAGGAAGGAGGGAGGGAGGGAGGGAAGAAAGGAAGGAAGGAAGGGAGGGAGGGAGGGAGGGAGGGCTGTGGATTTGCCCCAAGCTGTCAGCTGATCATCTTGGCAGCAGAAAGGTTGGGACACTCCAGGGGTTCCCAGTGATGAGCTGAGGTCAGAGATGCATGCAGATGGGGAGGACCCCTGGCACAAAGCAGGCACTCCACAATTGTTTGAAAAACACAAAACAATTAAGTCAGAATCAGAAATGCTCTGCTGACGACACAGTCCCAAACAAATACTGGCTGCCACTATTATCATTAAGCAGGGTCTTGAAGCGTAAGTAACATCTGGAAGCTAACATGACGGAAGCTAACAGAAGTAGACAGGAGGCATTCATTTCAACTTAAAAAACCTGCAGGATGGCCGGGCACGGTGACTCACACCTGTAATCCCAGAATTTTGGGAGGCTGAGGCAGGTGGATCACCTGAGGTCAGGAGTTCAAGACCAGCCCAGCCAATGTGGTGAAACCCCGTCTCTACTAAAAATACGAAAATTAGCTGGGCATGGTGGTGGGTGCCTGTAGTCCCAGCTACTCAGGAGGCTGAGGCAGAAGAATGGCTTGAGCCTGGGAGGTGGAGGCTGCAGTGAGCCAAGATGGCATCATTGCACTCCAGCCTGGGCAACAGACTGAGACTCTGTCTCAAAAAAAAAAAAAAAAAAAAAAAAAAAAAAAAAAACCCCCAAAGCTGCAGGAGCCAAAGTAGTGTGGTGTCCCCACCTGATGTGTTCAGACAGGGTAGAGCACTGGTTCTCAGCAAGAGGCGATTTTGCCCCCCAACCCCTACAGGACACTTAGCAATGTCTGGAGACATTTTTGGTTGTCATAACTAGGGCTAGGGTGCTAACAGTATCTAGTGGGTAGAAGCCAGGGATGCTGCTACACGTCCTGCAATACACAGGACAGCCTCCATAGCAAGGAATTATCATGCTCAAAATGTCACTCAAGCCAAGATGGAGAAACTCTGTGGTAGAGTGGTCATCTCTTACCATTCTTCTACAAGACTGCTCTAACTCCAATACTCCAGTTGTACCAGCCTCCTCACTGTTCCTATCACACTCACAGCACCATTCCTTCTCAGAGCCTTTGTACCTGCTGTTCTCCCTGCTTAAACAACCATCCTCCAATAGTTGCAAAGCTCCCACCCTCTTTTTTCAGATCTCTTTTCAAATATCACCTTATCAACAATGTCTTCTCAAAATATCCTAATAGAAGATAAGTCACCATCCTTTATCTTATTTTTCTCATAGTATTTAACATCACCCAAACATGGTTTACTTGTTTTTTTGGCTTTTTATTTTTTTTTTTTTTTTGAGATGGAGTCTTGCTCTGTTGCCCAGGCAGGAAGGGGCAGTGGCATCAGCTCACTGGAACCTCCACCTCCCAGGTTCAAGCGATTTTCCTGCCTCAGCTTCCCGAGTAGCTGGGATTACAGGTGCACGCCACCACACCTGGCTAATTTTTGTATTTTTAGTAGAGGCAGGGTTTCTGCATGTCGGCCAGGCTGGTCTCAGACTCCTGGCCTCAAGAGATCCGCCCACCTCGGCCTCCCAAAGTGCTGGAATTACAGGCGTGAGCCATCGCACCGGGCCTTATCTGCTTTTCTCTCAAAATGAAAGAACCAAGGGATCCATGAGGGAATTTGTCGATTTTGTTCACTGCTATATCCCCAGTGCCCAGAAGTATGCCACATACTCCAAGTGCCTAATAAACATTTATTGAATGAATGAATAAAACAATGACTGGACATTAGGGAGGAGAACTAACGGGATTTAGAAGAGAGGCAGGACAGAAAAATAGTGCAGTAGTTAAGATGCATGAACTTCAGAATCACGAAGAGGTTCCAGTTTCAGCACCACCACTTGCTAGATGTGTGATTTGGGGGCACAGAACAGCCTCTCTGTGGCTCAGTCTTTTTATTAGTAAAATGAGGATAACGATAATAAAAGAAGGTACCTCCTGGACATCGATGGAAGCACCTGCCACTGAGCCTGACATGCAATCAGGGCCGAACAAATGTTAAGCTCTTGGTGGCATTGGTTTAGTGACCAGCAGAAGGGGGAGGAGTAGGTTTAGATAGCACTGAGGTTTCCTGTACAAGGACTAGAAGCTGGGGAAGAAGCCATTACTCAGGAAAGAGTAGGTATGAGGACTAAGGCAAGGGCGGTACTTCAGCTGCAGAGGTGGCCTAGGACAGGGGTGCACTGCGTGGATTCCGGGGCCAGACCCTGACTGTAAATCCCCACTCCTTCATTCACAAGCTACGTGGCCCTGCGCAAATTACTTGCAGCCCTCTGTGCTTCAGTGCTCTCATCTTTCAACTGGGGATAACAATACCTACCTCTTACGGTTATTGTGATGCTCAGTGATTTAGTTTACCTAAACCACCCAGAACAACGCGTGGCATATAGCAAGTGCTGTATGAAAAACTCTCCGTGCCTTCATTCTCTTACAAAATTAAAATGACCTTCACCTCAGTCTGAAACCCCACAGGCTTCAGCAGAGTAACCCCCAAAGATTTTCAGAGCTCCACCCTTCCTGGCCCCGAAGCAGAGATCTGCTGAGCAAATCCAACCGACAAGCGCCAGGCACAGGTAATGCACTATCGACCCTATGATTCCGGACGAATTCCCAACCCCATCCAATAGCCCACGCTCTACTCAAGAGACGAGAGCTGCCATTCCCGCTCCCTCCTCCCGCAAAACTGTAGAACCCGCCGGTAGAGGCCGGGAGCGCCCCCGAGGAGGGGCCGGGAAGAGGCGGGGCCCGGTTGCGACTCGCCGCCCGGGAGCCTGGGAGACCCAGAGGCTGCGCCCGCGCCCCCTCACCAGTAGCAGCTGCTGTAGACGCAGGCGTCCCGCGGGGGGCTGGCCGGCTGGTAGTGGACAGCAGCGGGGCCATTACCTTCCATGGCCGGCTAGCTGGGCCAGGGCCCGGGCCGGAGGAAGACCGACTGGACCAGACGTAGGAAAGGGCGGGCTTGTAGTGGCCCGCGTGGGTTCCCGGCGTGGGGTGGGCGGAGCCCGGGGGGAGAGGGCCGGGGCAGTTTCCGGGTGGTGGGGCCAGTAGCGCGGTGGGCGGGGCCAGGGCGGGACTAGCAGCACGAGTTCCCGGCGCGGGAAGCCCGGGACGAAGTAGGCGGAGCTCGGGGCAAGCGGCGCCAGTTCCTGGGAGGGTGGAGCCCAAGCGAAGTGGGCGGGTCCGGGGTGGGGTGAGTGGCGCGAACTCCCGGTGGGCGGAGCCCGGGACGAGGAGGACAGCGCGCTTCCGGGTAGGCGGAGCCCGGCTGGTGGGTGGGGCCCGGGATGGGGCGGGACTGGAGGACCGGGCTCTGGTGGGCGGAGTCAGGGGCGGGGCCCCGGTGAGCTTTGGGAGAAGAGGGGTCTCTGGCGGCGGCTTGGGGAGGAGCTAGGTTTGGGCTTGGAGTTGGGCCCTGAATGGCGCTTTGCTGTGAATCTCCGCGGGGAGGCTCTTCCAACCAGGGGCTGAGCTTCTGCGCTGTGGAGAAGCCAGGTGAGACACTGAAATAACAGAGGTTTGGGTGTGAAAATCCACGCTTCTGCACTCAGCCTGGAGTCTGCGGGAGCCCAGAGAAGAGGGGAGTGGAGGTTAATTCCAATATGACCGCATCGAGGACGCTTTCCGAAAGGGATAGCACCCCAAATCTCACTCTATTGTAACTTAATCTTTTAAATTGGAAGGCCTGTAGCTATTGGCTCGAAAAGATATATTAATTCCCTGATACAGTAAATTTGAAAAAAAAAAGTTTAAAGAGTCCATATGGTATCCTTTTTGTGTTAATCATATATTTTGTTCAATTACTGGCAGTCTGGAAGAAAAGACACCATATTGTTAAAATAGTGTTTAGGGCCGGGTGCGGTGGCTCACGCCTGTAATCCCAGCACTTTGGGAGACCGAGGCGGGTGGATCACGAGGTCAGGGGTTCGAGACGAGCCTGGCCAACATGGTGAAACTCCGTCTCTACTAAAAATACAAAAATTAGTTGGGCGTGGAGGCGCGCGCCTGTAATCCCAGATACTCGGGAGGCTGAGGCAAGAGAATCGCCTGAACCCGGGAGGCGGAGGTTGCAGTGAGCCGAGATGGTGCCATTGCACTCCAGCCTGGGCAACAGGGTGAGACTCCGTCTCAAAAAAAAAAAATAGTGTTTATCTCTGGTGAATGAATGATATTAATATCAGGGACTTTCAGTTTCAAGGTCTTTACACTTTACAGTCTTCTGAATTGTTTATATTTGCAATGAGCATAGCTAGCTAATCAGGGTACTTCCCATTATAAAAACTGAGATGTTTACATTGATTTTAGCCATCCACAGTTGGATTCTCCAATCTCTTCAGTCTCAAAGCTGATAAATCCTAAAGACTTGGAGCACAGTTCCTGTGTCAATTACCAATTTTATTGCCTCTCAGCTCCTAATACAAACTTCCACATAGCCTCTATGCTATATAACAACTCTGGTAAACATTTCTCCTTTAAAGTGAGTGGGAAACCCTATAAGCTAGAAGGGATTGGGGCCCTATCTTTAGCCTCCTCAAACAAAACAATTATCAGCCAATAATTTTGTATCCAGCGAAACTAAGCATCATATATTAAGGAAAGATACAGTCTTTTTCAGACAAATGGTGAGAGAATTTGCCACTACCAAGCCACCACTACAGGAACTGCTAAAAGGAGTTCTAAATCTTGAAACAAATCCTGGAAACACATCAAAACAGAACCTCGTTAAAGCATAAATCACACAGGACCTATACAACAAAAATACAATTTAAAAAACAACAAAAAAAAACAAGGTACACAGGCAACAAAGCACGATGAATGGAATGGTACCTCACAAGTCAATCCTAACATTGAATGTAAATGGTCTAAATGCTCCATTTAAAGTGAGTGGGACAGGTGTAGTGGTGAGAACATCCTTGTGGAGTCTGCCCCAGCCCCAGACTCAGAACATGGTCCCTTCCTAACCTTGCAGGTTTAGCCTGGCAATAACCTTTCTTCAGCCTCTTGACACAAAAACCAGGGTCCTCCCTAACCCTACCTTCTATACGGTAAGGTACTGAATAGAGTTTCCTTATGTGTTATCGTTATGCCTTTATCATAGTTAATAATAATTTTTTGGTGGGGGACAGGGTCTCCCTCTGTCACCCAGGCTGGAGTGCAGTGGTGCAATCATAGCTCACTACAGCCTCAAACTCCTGGGCTCAAGTGATCCTCCAGCCTCAGCCTCCTGAGTAGCTGAGACTGCAGGCACGCACCACCGTGCGCAGCTAACATAATTAATAGTTCTTTACATTTAACTTCCCTTGCTTGACCTACTGTGTAGTTTCTTATCCTGATTGGGCACAAACTACTTACTATAGGACTTTGAAGCTAGGCTGGGTAGGTTCTACAACTTGCCAGTTGGGTCACCTTGGGCAAAGTTACTTCACTCTTCTGTGTCTCACTTTCCTCATCTGTAAAATGAAGTTAAAGATAATGCTACTACCTCATAGGGTCATTATGAGGATTAGTTGAGTTTATGTATATAAAGTACTTAGAATAGTTGGTAGCATATAATATAAATGTTAGCAACTATGATTTTTTGTTAAAAAAATCTGATTTCATTATTTCCCGCATACCCTATACTTTTTTTTTTTTTTTTTTTTTTTTTTTTGAGATAAGAGTCTCACTCTGTCGCCCAGGCTGGAGTGCTGTGGTGCAATCTTGACTCACTGCAACCTCCGCCCCCACCACCCCAGCTAAATTGTGTATTTTCTTGTGGAGGTGAGGTTTCACCATGTTGGCCAGGCTGGTCTCAAATTCCTGACCTCAAGTGATCTGCCCGCCTCGGCCACCCTCCCCGCCGCCATACTCTTGTCACTGAGTGTCTTATTCTTCCTTTGATACCCCAAGCCTTTGCACAAGATGTATGTACACTCTGTCTGATGCATTCTTTCACATGCCTTATTTGCAGCTTTTCCCAGGAAGAGTTTATTGTTGGCTTCCATCTTCCTGGAGCTTTTTTTCCTGTTTTGTCACAACTTTTATTCATATGTCTTGAAAAGCAGTAGCATGCTCAGCAACTCAATCTGTCTCTACCTCTGCCATGAGCTCTTCCAGGGCATGGGTCTTGCCCTGAGAGGTAGAATAGTATAAATAGTGCTGTAGTCAGAAACACACTCAAATCTTATCTTGGCTACTTACTACCCTGAGTGACCTTGGATAAGTAACACTAGGATTTCTGAGCGTCAGTTTCTTTGCAAAATGAGGATAATAATAGTAGAGTGCTTATCTAATGGGTGCTGCAGTGAAAATTAAATAAACTAATCTCTGCAAAACACTTAGCATAGTGCCTGGCAGAACATAGGTACTGTCAAAAATAAACATAGCCGTTGACCATCAGTCAAAGCGATGAAAACAGATTTTATTCAGCAACTATTGACAGTAGGGGAAAGAGCTGAGCTCCATTCCAATTGTGCAGAGGTAATTTGGGCATTTGGAAAGAAGAATGAGGAAGCAGGGAGGAGTTGGGGGGGGGGGGGCGCTCATTAGAGCCAGGGAAGTGAAAATTACAAAGGGTTGGTCAGTGTAAATACCATTAGGCCAGTCGTGTCTGCTAGCTGGCAGTTATCTAAGTTAGGATTCTATCCTCCCACAGAGACTGGGAGTCAGAGGCCCTATCCTTCCTGATGATTACATTTCAAAGGAATGGCTCTCTAAGTCCTTGAGAAGGACTTCTGAGTTGTAAGTAATACATATTTACAATTCTAAGCCCTTTTAGTAAATGCTCTAAGAAAAGGAGGTCAGGGGCCTATCATCAGGTACTGGCAACAACAAATAGTAAATTTTCCTGGGAGCTTTGAGCTTTCTTAAGCAGGCATTTTAATGGGGGGTTTGGGGGAGAAGGCTGACATAGCCTTATACTGCTAGAAGCCATGCTAGAGTTTGGTCAAGTCTGTTAGTGCAGGGATTTGGAACCAAGTTGTGCTGAGAGTTCTGCAGTACTCAGTACCCTACGTAATAAACAACTACATAGGCCAGGTGTAGTGGCTCACCCCTGTAATCCTAGAACTTTGGGAGACCAAGGCGGGAGGATCGCTTGAGGTCAGTTTGAGACCAACCTAAGCAACACAGCAAGACCCTGTCTCTACAAAAAAAAAATTTTTTTTAATTAGCCAGGCATGGTGGTATCTGTAGTCCTAGGCACCCAGGAGGCTGAAGCAAAAGAATTGCTTGAGCCCAGGAGTTTGAGGCTGCAGTGAACTGTGATTACGCCACTGCACTCCAGCCTGGGCAACAGAGTGAGACCCTCATCTCTTAAAAAATAAATAAAATAACTTAAAAAAACTACATAATTTTGCAGTTATGATTATTATCACATAGCTCTGAGCAGGGTGTAAGCATTGTAGTTGGCATAAATCCTTGTTGAATTGATATTTTTATTAATTAAAATACAGGTGACATTGCTGTAACAAAGAAATCCAAAAATATTAGTGACTTAAATGAGATACAAATGCATCTCTCATTCCACAGCCTGAGCATATACATTCTAGAGCTGATATAGTGTCTCTGCAATATCTGTTACCCAGGCTCCTGATGTCTTATTGGGGGCCATATCTAGAGTGATGCCCTAGTTCGCGTGGCTGAAGATGGCTTGCCACCCTACCTGCTGATTGCATTCTGACTGGTAAGACCAGGGAAAAGGAGTAGTGGGAGGTTCAAGGACAAAATCTGCAGGTTATGCACATCACTCTGCTCACATTCCACTGACCAAAAGATGCTCACAGGATCACATCCAGGTGTAAAGGAGATCAGGAAACATACAGTTTATTCTGAGCAGTGCAGGTATTATTTGAGTGTCTCAAGCAAGAAGGGGAGAATGCATACTGAGAGATAGCCAGCAGTTTCTAATCTGCCATATTGTGCTTTTTTTTTTCTGTTTCTAAACTTTCTATTATAAGCAGGAATTACTTTTTATTTGTTTATTTATTTATTTATTTTTGCAGTTGCAAGATTTAATAGATTGAAATAGAGTGAAAACAGAGCTCCCATACAAAGGGAGGGGACCCAAAGGGGGTTGCCGTTGCCAGCTCAAATGCCTGGGTTTATATCCCGATCCTTGTCCCTCCCGCTGTGCTCTCAGGCAATAGATTGGCTATTTCTTTACCTCCTATTTTTTCCTAATTAGCATTTTAGTGAGCTCTCTGATTGGTTGGGTTTGAGCTAAGTTGCAAGCCCCGTGTTTAAAGGTGGATGCGGTCACCTTCCCAGCTAGGCTTACGGATTCTTAGTCGGCCTAGGAAATCCAGCTAGTCCTGTCTCTCAGTCCGCCCTCTCATCAGGAAAACCCAAGTGCTGTTGGGGAGGTTCGCCGACGACTGCTCTAACTGCTTCTTGCTGAATTGGGGCGTAGTAGGGGTTGTGCAGTTGAAATTTCCTGGGGAGGGGTGCCTTCGATGTCATTAACATCGGAGCATGGGCTAGCAGGCCAGTCCAGGGGTCCGCGGTAGATCTTAGTCATAGACTGCATCTGGGGCTGCATTTGAAGAATGATTTGTAGTTTTGCAGCTTTGATTCTGGAAGAGACAAACGCTTTGGAGGTCCCTTCAGGGTCTCCAAAATGTTACCAGGGGTCCTTGTTCACAAAGTTTCCAAGATGGTGGCAAGCCGCTTCCAAGATGGTGGCAAGCCTCCTGTTCTCTGACCTGGGGTTCTTGGCCTCATGGATTCCAAGGAATGGAATCTTGGGCCATGCGGTGAGTGTTATAGCTCCATTAGAAGCCGTGGGTCACGGAAGAGAACCGTGGAACCCAGTGACTAGTGTTCAGCTCGATTAGGATGAACCCGGGCACTTAGCCATGCAGGAACAATGGCAAGCCTTTAGCCCGATCCAGAGCGGCAATGGGCGCCTCGCTGGATCAGGAGCACAGCGGACACCCTGCCGGATCTGGAGGGATAGAAGTCAGTGGCGGGTCTGCCACGGCAGCAAACAGCAGTGGTGGACGGCGAGCGAAAGCTCAGCTTGAGCCGTAACAAGCATGGTCCAGAAGAGTGCAGTAGCAAGATTTAATAGAGTGAAATAGAGTGAAAACAGAGCTCCCATGCAAAGGGAGGGGACCCAAAGGGGGTTGCCCAGGAATTACTTTTTAGATTGAAAAAAATAGATCATAAAAAACATATAGGCTGGGCATGGTGGCTCACACCTGTAATCCCACACTTTGGGAGGCCAAGGCGGGTGGATCACTTGACGTCAGGAGTGTGAGACCAGCCTGACCAACATGGAGAAACCCCTGTCTCTACTAAAAATACAAAATTAGCCAGGTGTGATGGCGCATGCCCGTAATCCCAGCTACTCGGGAGGCTGAGGCAGGAGAATCGCTTGAACCTGGGAGGTGGAGGTTGCCGTGAGCTGAGAGTACACCATTGCACTCCAGCCTGGGCAACAAGAGCAAAATTCTGCTAATAAATAAATAAATAAATAAATAATATGATCCTACAATAGAAACTATAAAAACGGATATGGTTTCAGAAGAGTAGGAGATGGTTAGAACCAGATTCTGACCTACAAACTCCAATGATCTGGTTAAGGAAGAAATACGAAATGCTACTCAAAGAAACCTGTGTCCAGTGAAATTAAGATATTAATGGGCAGGTGTTTAGAAGAGAGATCAATAACAGAGGAAATTATAAGAAAGGCCACAGACATGTAAAAGGAGATCCAGGGAATCCACAGCACACAGTATATTGAGCTTTAATAACAAAAGGTTTTTTTTAAAGCTTTTTTTATTGGAAGGATGTGCTTTTAATGCTTTTTTTTTTTTTTTTTCCGAGATGGAGTCTCACTCTTGTCACACCCAGGCTGGAGTCTAGTGGTGCAATCTCGGCTCACTGCAACCTCCACCTCCCAGGTTCAAGCAGTTCTCCTGCCTCAGCCTCCCGAGTAGCTGGGACTACAGATGTGTGCCACGACACCCGGCTAATTTTTGTATTTTTAGTACAAAACTAAACCAACCCCAGGTGATCCACCTGCCTCAGCCTCCCAAAGTGCTGGGATTACAGACGCGAGCCCCTGTGCCCAGCCAAGGATTATTATTTAAAAACGAAAACTAGAATGGGTGTAGTAGCTCAAGCTTGTAATCCCAGCACTTTGGGAGACTGAGGCAGAAGGATCACCTGAGCCCAGGCGATCAAAGCTGTAGTGAGGTATGATTCAGCCACGGCACTCCAGCCTGTGTGACAGAGTGAGACCCTGTCTCAAAAGAAAAACAAATTGGCAAAACAAAATCAAAACCCTGACATTCCCACTGTTATTCTAATTTGCATTTATCTGATTTGCATTATGCTATTTTCCCAAGTTAAAGCGATCATTTCAATACAAAGCAATTTGTGCTATGGCAGCAATGTACTATGTGAACTCAGAGGGTAGAGTCCTTATCACTGGGGGTGGGAAGTTGGCTGGGTTGAAACACAATATGAGACCCATCTGAATTATATTGGGGTGGGAAGCAGGTCCATACTTGTGGTATTAGACTCACTGCTGTGTACCATACCTTACATGGGAAAACTGAGAAATTAAACTATGTATGTTCGGGAGAGGTCAATAGAGAGGTAAGGCCTGAAAACCACATTATAAGAATATATCAGCCGGGGCCGTGGCTCATACCTGTAACCCCAGCACTTTGAGGGGCAGAGGCGAGTGGATCACCTGAGGTCAGGAGTTAGATGAGTCTGGCCAACACAGCAAAACCCCGTCTCTACTAAAAATACAACAATTAGCTAGGCGTGGTGGCACGCGCCTGTAGTCCCAGCTACTGAGGAGGCTGAGCCACGAGAATCGCTTGAACTTGGGAGGCGGAGGTTGCAGTGAGCTGAGATGGCGCCACTGCACTACAGCCTGGGTGATAGAGCGAGACTCCGTCTCAAAAAAAAAAAAAAAGAATATATCTTCCAGGCCGGGCACGGTGGCTCACGCCTGTAATCCCAACACTTTGGGAGGCCGAGGCGAGTGAATCACCTGAGGTCAGGAGTTTGAGACCAGCCTGGCCAACATGGTGAAACCCTGTCTCTACTAAAAATACAAAAAGTAGCCGGGCATGGTGGCAGGCGCCTGTAATCTCAGCTACTTGGGAGGCTGAGGCAGGAGAATAGCTTGAACCCCAGAGGCGGAGGGTTCAGTGAGCCGAGAACGTGCCATTGCACTCCAGCCTGGGCGACAAGAGTGAAACTCTGCCTCAAAAAGGAAAGGAAAGGGAGGGGAGGGGACGGGAGGGGAGACCACCATTAATGCCATGGCTCTGTATCCTTTGCTCTGCCACCATGAATAATCTCTGCCCCGCATCTTTGGGTCATTCCTCCCAGAGGAAATAAATGCCTCAGATAGGAGCAGCCCATTGGCTGGTCCAAGGTCACATGCCTGAATCCTTATTGCCAGGTTTCCAGGGAAATGAAGTGTATTTCCCTGTAGGATTTCCACAGAAGGAGGCTGGGCCCTGCCTAAACCAAACCCACCCAAAGAGAAAAATCTCCCAGACAGAAGGGGAATCTGGGATATAGTTAAAACATGGAATAGAATAGCTAATATATGGCAAATGTCAAAATGTCTCCCCACCTCCATTCAATTAATTTTTTTTCTTCTTTTGTGGGAAATCAATAAGATTTGGTATACAATTTAAGTAAGCTCACATTTGCAACATTCCTAAAAGAAATCCCAGTCCAAATTAATGTTTACTTTCTAATTTTGCTACCAAAGAACAGAAAGGGACCCACCTATGACCTCATCCCAAATGAGGTAGTGGAATCATGATTAGCTCTTACCTGAGCCTCGTTTCTGTAGCACATGAAGTAAGAACACTTGAGTCTTTCTGAAGCAATTAGGGGTTACCAACAAGAACCTCCGTTTCTTTTTTTTTTTTTTGAGACGGAGTCTCACTCCGTCACCCAAGCTGGAGTGCAGTGACGCAATCTTGGCTCACTGCAACCTCCGCCTCCTAGGTTCAAGCAATTCTTCTGCCTCAGCCTCCCGAGTAGCTGGGATTACAGTCGTGTGCCACCACACCCAGCTAATTTTTGTATTTTTAGTAGAGATGGAGTTTTGCCATGTTGGCCAGGTTGAACTCTTGATCTCAAGTGATCCACCTGCCTCAGCCTCCCAAAGTGCTGGGACTACAGGCGCCCGCCACCACACCCAGCTAATTTTTGTATTTTTAGTAGAGATGGGGTTTTACCATGTTGGCCCAGCTGGACTTGAACTCCTGACCTCAGATGATCCACCTGCCTCAGCCTCCCGAAGTGCTGGGATTGCAGGTGTGAGCCACCACACCCAGCCTCTACTGCCTTATTATTATTTTTTTCCTAAATCAAGTCACTCCTAACTAGAATAGTTAAGATTAGAAAAGATAGAACTGGTCACCAAGAGAAGACCAATCCCAGACCAACTGTACTATATACATTTCCCAGGGGTGCTATATGTAACAAATTACCACAAACTTGGTAACCTTTAAAAACCAGGAATGTATTCTCTCACAGTTCAAGAGTCTGGAAGTCTGAAATCAAAGCGTCAGCCAGGTTGATTCTTTCTGGAGATTTGGAGGAAGAATCTGTTCCATGCTTCTCTCCTGGCTTGCAGTGGTTGCTGGCAAACCTTGGCATTTCTTGGCTTATAAACACATCACTGCAATCTCTGCCTGTCTTCACATCACTGCCTTCTCTGTGTCTGTATGCACCAATCTCTCTATGCTTTCCCTTATAAGAACACTAGTCATTGGATTTAGGGTTCACCATAAACGAGAATAATCTCATGTCGAGATTTTAATTACATCTGCAAAGATCCTATTTCCAAATCAGATCACATTCACAAGGGGAGGTTTATATCCTTTATGGGGGCACAGTTCAACTCACTAATCCAACCAAAAGCTAAAGCCAGTGTGGTAATTTTTTTTTTTTTTTTTTTTGAGACAGGGTCTCACTCTATCACCCAGGCTAAAGTGCAGTGGCGAGATCTCGGCTCACTGCAGCCTCCACCTCCCAGGCTCAAGTGATCCTCCTGACTCAGTCTCCCAAGCAGCCAAGAGTACTGGCGTGCACCACAACGCCCGGCTAATTTCTGTATTTTGGGTAGAGATGGGGCTTCACCATGTTGCCCAGGCTGGTCTTGAATCTCTGGCCTCAAAGGATCCTCCTGCCTTGGCCTCCCAAAATGTTGGGAGGGCTAAAGCCACCACACCCGGCTCCAGTGTGGTAATTCCTTAATGTTTAATATTATAAAGAGAGAATAAAGGAATAGAGAAAAGCTTTTGGCTGGCCATCTGTTAGTGTTCTGGAATTTTGATTTCTTTGCTTAGTTTTTTTTTTAATTTTATTAAAACTATTTTTTTTTTTTTTTTTTGGTGAGACAGTGTCCCGCTCTGTCCCCCAGGCTGGAGTGCAGTGGTGTGATCTTCTGGGCTCACTGCAACCTCTGCCTCCCAGTTTCAAACAATTCTCCTGTCTCAGCCTCCCAAGTAGCTGGGATTATAGGCATGTGCCACCACACCCAACTAATTTTTGTATTTTTAGTAGAGACACAGTTTCACTATGTTGGCCAGGCTAGTCTCGAACTCCTGGTGTCAAGTGATCCGCCTGCCTCGGCCTTCCAAAGTGCTGGGATTATAGGCATAAGCCACTATGCCCAGGCTGCCTTCATGTTTTATAACCCCAAGAATATCAATATTCTGACTTCTAACAGCAAAAGTTAGTTTTGTCTGTGTTTCTGCTTAATATAAAAGGAATTATTCAGGCTTCTTTTGCTTAATATTCTGTTTGTAAGATTTATTCATATTATTGCATCTAGTTGTTGTACATAGTTTTTGACCTAGCCATTGCACTTCTAGAAATTTATTCTACAGATACAATGTAGAAGTGATATTTGAACCTATTTATTCATAGCAGTTATGCAATAGCAAGAGAATGGAAACAAATGTTCAGCAAGAAAGGTCTACTTAAATAAAATACGGTGTGTCCACAGAGTGGACTATGATGTTGCTGAACAAAGAGAGGAAGTTCTTTATGTACTCACAGGGAAAGATCACTAAGACCTAGATAAAGAAGCACAGTACAGAACAGAGTGTACAGTATGCTACATTTGTGTAAACAGGGTGAAAATTAATACCCATGCAAACACATGCTCATACTTACTTGTATAGTATAAATCAGAGGTTAGAAAACTAGCCAGGTGTGGTGGTTCATGTCTGTAATCCCAGCACTTCGGAAGGCCGAGGTGGGCAGATCATCTGAGCTCAGGAGTTGGAGACTAGCTTGGCCGATATGGTGAAACCCCATCTCTACTAAAAATACAAAGAAAAAAAAAAAGCCAGGCTTCATGGTGCTTGCCTGTAATCCCAGCTACTCGGGAGGCTGAGGCAGAAGAATCACTTGAGCCTGGGAAGCAGAGGTTGCAGTGAGCTGAGGTCGCACCATTGCACTCCAGCCTGGGCAACAAGAGCAAAACTGCGTCTCAAAAAAAAAAAAAGAAAGAAAGAAAATGAAAAAGAAAACTATGACCTCCTTGGGACAAATACAGCCTGAGATCTGTTTTTGTAAATAAAGTGTTATTGAAACACAATCATGCCCATTTGTGTCTATATTGTATGTGGCCACTTTTTCACTACCATGGGATTGAGTAATTGCTACAAATATCATACCATCCACAAAACCTAGAATATTTACTCTCTGGCCATTTACAGAAAAAGTTTGCCAGCCCCTAGGGTAGTGGGTTAAATAGTGGCTCCAAAAAGATATTCAAGTCCCAACCCCCCTCTTATGTGTGAATGTGATCTGATTTGGAAACAGGGTCTTTGCAGATATAACTGAGATCTCAAAATGAGATCATTCTGGATTCAGGGTGTGCTCTAAATAGTTCAATGACTGACGTCCTTATGAGAGAAAGGGGGGGCTGGGCGCGGTGGCTCACGCCTGTAATCCCAGCACTTTGGGAGGCCGAGGTGGGTGGATCATGAGGTCAGGAGTTCAAGACCAGCCTGGCCAAAAATACAAAAATTAGCCAGGCGTGGTGGCGGGCGCCTGTAATCCCAGCTACTCTGGAGGCTGAGGCAGGAGAATCACTTGAACCCGGGAGGCAGAGGTTGCAGTGAGCCAAGATCGCGCCACTGCACTCCAGCCTGGGCGACAGAGCGAGACTCCATCTCAAAAGAAAAAAAAAAAAAAGAGAGAGAAAGTGGGGAGAGACTTGAGTACAAGCACAAAAAGACAGGAAAGAAGGACATATGATGTGAAAGCAGAGTGTGGACTTACACTCCTACAAGCCAAGAAACTCCGAAGGTTGTCAGCAGACACCAGCAGCTGGGAGACAGGCATGGAATAGATTCTCACTCAGAGCCCCCAGAAGGAAGCAACATGGCCAACACCTTGATTTTGGATTTCTTGCCTCCTTAACCATCAGAGAATAAATTTCTGTTGTTTTAAGCCACCAAGTTTTTGGTAAGTTGTTGCAGCAGCCTCAGGAAATGAACATACCTGATATAGATAACTCTGGAAGGATACCCAAGAAATGAATAACTTTGGTTGCTGATGGGAAGGGTGACAAGATGGCTAGGAAACGGGCATATGAAGGAGACTTTTAATCCATATGCTCCTTTGTAACTTAAAATTTAACCATATGAATATACTACATCTTGAAAAATAAATACAATGTAAGTAGAAAAGTTAATAACTCCTAATTGGTTTAGCCCAGAGAAGAGAGTTACCTCTGATTGTAGCAGGTGTCTAAAATAATCACTGTAAAGCATGTTGCCTTTTTAGTCTGCTCAGCTCTGACCAGCTAAAATAGCCTCCCCTCCTGCTGGTGTGGCTTCCTGTGGATGGCCTCACAAGGTCACTTTATGTCAACAGCACACCTAGACAAAGTCCTTCTGTTGAAGGCAGACAGGATCTTCTGTAGGCTGTGATCTGAAATAGATCCCCCATCTATGTCCATTTCGCATCTGCTCACTGCCACTAGTCCAGGCCGCCATCTTCTCTCACCAGGACAGTGCAGTAACCTCCTAGTTTTTCATTCTACATCTGTTCTTGCTACTTCCAATCATTCTCACCAAAGAGCCAATCATGTGACTTCTTTCCTTTGCTGTCCTTTCACAGCTGCTCTTTGCAAATGGATCAAAACCAAACTCCCATCCTGGCGTGGTGGTGCATGCCTGTAGTCCCAGCTACTCAGGAGGCTGAGGTGGGAGGATTGGTTGAATCCAGGAGTTCGAGGTTGTAGCAAGCTGTGATTGCGCCTGTGAATAGCCACTGCACTGCAGCCTGGGCAACATAGGGAGACCCTGTCTCTAAAATAAATCAATAAATGTTTAAAAAAAAAAAAAAACCCTCCTGGCTGGGCGCAGTGGCTCACGCCTGTAATCCCACCACTTTGGGAGGCCTAAGTGGGCAGATCACCTGAGCTCAGGAGTTCGAGACCAGCCTGGGCAACATGGCAAAACCCCGTCTCCACGAAAAATACAAAAAATTAGCTGGGAGCAGAGGTGTACCCCTGTAGTCCCAGCTACTCCCAGCTACTTGGAGGTTGAGGTGGGAGAATCTCTTGAGCCTGGGAGGTGGAGGTTGCAGTGAGCTAAAATCCCACCACTGCACTCCAGCCTGGGTGACAGAGTGAGACCCTTTCTCAAAACAACAACAAAACCCCTCTCTATTGTGCTCTTGAAGCGCGCCATCTTGCCCATGCATACCCTTCTATTCTCAGTAGCTACTTCTCTAGCAATCAACTCTTTCCTCGTCACATTCCAGAACAGCGCGACACAAATCACTCTGTGGATAAGAATCACCAGGAGACTTCCTGAAAGAAATCCAAGTTTCCAGGCCTTATCTCAGACGCATGAAATCAGGATCTTTAGAGGAGGCACCTGAAGCTGTGTGTAGTGTGTTGATTTTTATTATTATTATTATTATTATTATTATTGGCATTGAGACCTGCTTGATTTATTCTGATTATTTAATACACAATGACGCAACTATGATCCCAAAGTGTGCAAAGTTAAAGCCTTCAACTACAGCTGAGGAGAGGGCAGGAATGGTACACCTGGGGACGGTGGTGAGTCAGGAATGAGGGGCAGGCAGCCATGACCAGAGCAGCCTTCTCCCCAGGGCCAGGGACAGGGGAGTGGCCTGAGGAGCAGGACCCAAGGGTAGCCCAGGGCCGGGGAAGGGGGCAGAGACCTCCCCTTAGCCTAGGTCAGGAGCTCAGAAGTGCCACATGGCTGAGGGGGCAGTAGGCCAGAGGCAGGGCCAGGAGAGCACCATTTCCTGGGGGACTGGGGGCAGGGAAGTGCCCTACAGGAGAAGCCAGGAGGGGCTGCCTGCCCCTGGGGTGGGGGCCAGGCTGCAGCAGGCTGCAGCAAGACCTGAAGCAGGCGTAGGGCCTGAAAGCCCAGCTGGCTGGGCTCTGGGGGCCTCCCAGGGCAGCCTGGCCCAGGGAGCAGTCCTGACTCTGCAGGGGATGCCCAGCGAGGGGTCACAGACCCCTCACAACTTCGCCTCCTCTCTCCCTGGAAAGGAGCTGGGGAACCCGTAGTGCAAATCTGTGGACCACTCAGTGATGGAGGGAGGCTATGCCCGAAGGTGGACACTGGGGGGTGCCCCCTCCACCACCTCGGCCTCCACTGCTGTCAGTACAGCCGCTTCTCCTAAGAGTGCAGGCCATGGACGCCACCCTCAATCTGGGCCGACATGGTACGCTTCTCAAACTTGAGCTCTCCTGAGTACATCATGGACCAAAGGACAGACAGGCTGCGGGCCCTGATATCCTGGCAGCCATGCTGGATGCCCACTATGAGGTAGGGCACAAACTTCTGAATGGACCCTTTGTCCTGGATGGAGCCCGAGACACCCTGTGTGATCTTCACCTTATCCTCCTCACTGAAGTATCGTGCCTGGCTGCTGCTGCTCTTCTCCATGGCATCCAGCAAGCCTGTGCCCCAGTATTTCTTGAGCCGCACCCCATCTGAGAACTATTCGCTGGGGGCCTCCGAGGTGGCAGCCAGCAGGGAGCCCATCATCACTATGGAGGCACCAAGGGCCGGCACCTTGACGTGCCCCACAGTCAGGATGCCACCATCGGCTATGATGGGCACACCAAAGTGCCGGGCATACTCAGCCACCTTGTACACACAGTGCCCTGGGGGCAACCACATGCCATCACTTCCTGGGTGATGCAGAGGGAGCCGCAGCCTATGCCCACACACAGCCCGTCCACACCAGCATCAATCAGGTTCTTGGCCTGGGCTGCTGTCACCACGTTCCCCCCAATCACCTGGAGGTGGGAGTACTTCTGTTTGACGTAATACACCATGGCAGTTGATACAGCAAGTTCCCTTCGGACAAGTCCAAGACTATGACGTCGACACCCGCCTGGGTGAGCAGGTCCAGGCGGTATTTGTCATCCTCACAGGTGCCCACAGCTGCCCCACACAGCAGCTGCTCATGGGAATCCTTGGAGGCCACAGGGTAGTCTCGGTTCTTCAGGTCGGTGAGGGCAATGATGGCCACCAGCTCATCATCGTCATTGACGATAGGCAGCTTCACTTTCTTGCTTTGCTGCAGGATCTCATTTGCCTCTTTCAACATCACTCCTGCTGGAGCCACCACCAGCTCAATCCTTGGCATCATCACCTCACTGAGGAGGGTGGTGTGGTCCTTCTCAGCAAGAAAGTCGATGTCTCGGGAAGTGACGATGCCCACCGGCTTGCTGCCCATGGTGCCTGTCTCAGTGATGGGGATACCAGAGAAGCCATGCCGCATCGTGGCCTCCAGCACATCACCCACAGGGTGCGAGGGGCTCAGCACCATGGGGTCCGTGATGAAGCCATGTTCAAACTTCTTGACCTTCCGCACCTCCTTGGCCTGGAACTCTGGGGTGCAGTTGTGGTGAATGAAACCAATACCTCCCACCAGAGCCATCGTGATGGCCATGTTGCCCTCTGTCACAGTGTCCATGGAGGAGGAGATCAGCGGCGTCTTCAGCGTGATCTTCCAGGTAAGGGCTGAGGTGAGGTCCGCCTCATCAGCTATGAAGTCTATGAATCCTGGGAGAATCAGGAACTCGTTGTAGGTGAGGCTGTCGGCTCTGGCGAAGAGCTGCTGCGTGGTGAGCCCGTCCTCGGGCACGCAGCCGGTGCCCTGGCTCATCAGGTAGTCTGTCAGGCTGCCAGAGACCCGGCGACCCAACATAAACACCCGCTCGGCTGCCAGCCTGCCAGGGCAGGCTATTTTTTTGAGACTGGGTCTCACTATGTTCCCCCGAATGGTTTGGAACTGCTGGGCTCAAGCGATCCTCCCACCTCAGCCTCCCAAGTAGCTGGTACTACAGGCCCGCACCACCACACCTGGCTTTGTGTAGTGTGTTTAATAAGCTCCCTGGGGAATTCTATCTTTGAAGTTCTGGAAGCATTTTCAACTATTTTGGACTTCCTACCTCAGGGCCTTTGCACTTGTTCTTCCCATTCTCTGGAAAACCCTGCCAATTTTTTGATCGGCTGATTCCTTCTCATATTTTACGTGTCATCTAAAATGTCGCCTCCTCAGACTGATCTTTCTTTTTTATTTATTTATTTTTGAGCTGGAGTCCCACTCTGTCGCCAAGGCTGGAGTGCAGTGGCATGATCTTGGCTCACTGCAACCTCTGCCTCACGGGTTCAAGCAGTTCTCCTGCCTCAGCCTCCCAAGTAGCTGGGATTACAAGTGTGTGCCACCATGCCTGGCTAATTTTTGTATTTCTAGTAGAGACAAGGTTTTGCCATGTTGGCCAGGCTAGTCTCGAACTCCTGACCTCAAGCAATCTGCCTGCCTCGCCCTCCCAAAGTGCTGGGATTACAGGTGTGACACATGCCTGGCCTCAGACCTTTCTTTCTTTCCTTCTTTTTTTGAGATGGAGTTTCGCTCTTGTTGCCCAAGCTGGAGTGCAATGGCGTAATCTCGGCTCACCGCAACCTCTGCCTCCCAGGTTCAAGAAATTCTTCTGCCTCAGCCTCCTGAGTAGCTGGGATTACAGGTGCCCGCCACCATGCCCAGCTAATTTTGTATTTTTGGTAGAGATGGGGTTTCTCCATGTTGGTCAGGCTGCTCTAGAACTCCCGACCTCAGGTGATACCCACCTCGGCCTCCCAAAGTGCTGGGATTACAGGTGTGAGCCGCCCCGCCTGGCCTCAGATTGACCTTTCAAGTCCACTGTATGTTTCTCTCCTCTTCCTTCAACCACTCTGTATCACATGACCCTGTTTCATTTTCTTTATACCACTTGCTATAATGAAGTTACCTTGTTTATTTACTTCCTTGTTTATCCACTGAGTACCTCTTAGAATGTAAGCTCCATGAACCTAGGGTTCCTGGTTCACTGCTTTACTCCCTGCACCTCTAACTATGCTTAGAATAAGATGGGGGCTCAATTAAAATTTCCTGAATAAACAAATCAAATGAGATGGTATATACAGTATATAGTCGTGTGGTTTTTTTTTTTTTTGAGACGGAGTCTTGCTGTGTCGCCAGGTTGGAGTGCAGTGGTGCCATCTCGGCTCACTGCAACCTCTGCCTCCCAGGTTCAAGCAATCCCCCTGCCTCAGCCTCCTGAGTAGCTGGGGCTACAGGCGTGCACCACCACGCCCAGCTAATTTTTTGTATTTTCAGTAGAGACGGGGTTTCACCATGTTGACCAAGATGGTCTCAATCTCTTGACCTCGTGATCTGCCCACCTCGGCCTCCCAAAGTGGGGGGATTACAGGCGTGAGCCACCGTGCCCAGCCATAAATAGTATTTTAAAACCAAGTAATAGTAAACTCTGCTACTTTTTAAATTTTTTAAACTGTACTACTTTAAATATTGTTCCTTTCTTTTTCACCTATGTTGGTTAAACAATTATTTTAAAGTTTTTTTCTATTGTAAAAGTGAAGCATATTCATGCAAGAAAAATCAGAAAAATTGTTTGGGCATGGTGGCTCACACCTGTAATCCCAGGCTTTGGGAGGCTGTGGTGGGAGGATTGCTTGAGGCCAGGAGTTTGAGACCAGCCTGGGCAACAGAGTGAGACCCCGTCTCTAAAAACAAATTAGCCAGGTGTGATGGCACACACCTGTGGTCCCAGCTACTAGGGAGGCTGAGGTGGAAGGATTGCTTGAGCCCTGGAGGTCAAAGCTGCAGTGAACCGTGGCTGCGCCACTGCACTCCAGCCTGGGTGACAGAACAATAATCTGTCTTCCTGGGGACGGTAGCTCACGCCTGTAATCCTAGAACTTTGGGAGGCCAAGGCAGGTGGATCACCTGAGGTCAGTAGTTCGAGACCAGCCTGGCCAGCATGGTAAGACCCCATCTCTACTAAAAATACAAAAATTAGCTGGGCATGGTGGTGCACGCCTGTAATACCAGCTACTCTGGAGGCTTAGGCAGGACAATCGCTTGAACCCGGGAGGCAGAGGTTGCAGTTAGCTGAGATCATGCCACTGCACTCCAGCCTGGGCAACAGAGCAAGATTCTGTCTCAAAAAAAAAAAAAAAAAAAAAAGAACAAGAACCTCTCTCAAAAAAAAAGCAGGACTCCCAGTTAAATGCGAAGTTCAGATAAACAACAAATACTTTTTATATGTCCCCAGACATTGCATTCTTCATTCAGCAGCCACGCAGATTATTTTTAAAGTCGGAATAAGTCAAACCTCTGTTCAAAACCCTGAGATGTCTTTTCATCTCAGGGTTTGGATGGGAATTTGGGGGCTATAATAAAAGCCCTCAAAAGTTTCAAACTAAGACCCAGAGTCCCGTAGGACCTGCTCCCAGTGGCTCTGTTCTCATTGGCCTCGCCACTCTCCCCTTCCTGCTTCCCGCCTCTCTCTTCTTCCAGAACCATCTAACCTTTAGGCCTTTGTCAGACTTCTCAGCCAGACCTTCCCTAATCACCCTATTTTAAATTGCACTCTTCCCTCCCCCTTCCCTACTTTATATTTCTCTGTAATGCTTGCCACTTTAAAACTTTTACATTTAGTTTATTGTCTTTCACCTTCCACTAGAGTTTAAGTTCCATTAGGGCATTTTTGTTCTTTTTATTCACTGCTGCATCCCCAGTGCTTAGAATAATGCCTGGTACATAATAGAGGCTCAATATGTATTTAACAAATATTAAATTAATGAACTGTAGTTATCCAAATCAATAAATAGCTTTCGTTTATTTCGCTAAGAGCCCTCGGACATTCTGATCATTCAGCGTGTTACCTATTTCAAAGTAGTCAAGTAACTGCCATCTTAGAGAAGCCATCTTCTTGTATTCTGTGATAATAGCGAACGCTTATTGAGCACTTATTATGTGCAAGCACGGCTCCAAGGTATCATAATAGTACTTTAGGGCCTTAGGTATTACAATCGGAGTTACTTTCCGATTATATGTACATTCCGAGATACGTATAAAAAGTATTTGTTCTTTATCTGAACTTCACATTTAACTGGGAGTCCTGCTCTTTTTTTTGAAACAGGTTCTTTTTTTTTTTTTTTTTTTTTTTTGAGACAGAGTCTTGCTCTGTTGCCCAGGCTGGAGTGCAGTGGCACGATCTTGGCTCACTGCAACCTGTGCCTCCCGGCTTCAAGCGATTCTCCTGCCTCAGCGTGTGAGGAAATTAGAATGCAGGGAGGTGAATAATTTGTTCGAGATCTTCTATGTGGGATGATCAATGGCAAAGATGGGTACAGAACCCGCGTCCTTAACTAAACGATGGCACTCTGCTGGCTCGCTTTTAGCTCCTTGTGTTTTCTTTCTTTTTGGTGGTTAACTTGTTTTCGTCAAGCCCTCAATTATTTAAAAAAAAAAAAAGTTCTTAAGGCTCAAAGTCAAAACCTGTCAAAGGCCAAGTGCTTTATTTCCCTCCAGTCAAGGACTGGGCATTTTGCATTTGAATCCTGGATGGCGGGAAGCAGCAAGCAGGTGTCAACAGGGGTGGGGAGGAGACGCCGGACCCCACCAGCCAATCAGAGCGCGCAGAGGCCTCCCTTCCCCCGCCGCCGTCCCGCGCCAAAATTCCAAACGGGCTACGCACCGCTCCCACCGTCTCCTTCCGCCGAGCTCAGCGAGCCGGAACTATGTGAAGAAAAAGAAGTCAGCGTTTTCCCCAGGACTCTCCGCTCAGGTCCTCTATACTGTCGGCCTGTGTTCCTCTCCACGTTGGCCCGGCCTCCTTCGCTCTACAAATGGGAGGAGAGTTTCGAGCCTGCTGTTCTACGGTGGTGGCGTGGGCGGGACAGACGGCGGAGGGATTCTGGGCGCGCGCGCTGCGGCCGCTGGCGCGGAGCTTGTGGCGCCAGAATTCGGAGCGCGGAAGAGCCAGAGCTGCGAGCGCCTGGAGCTGGATCTCTCTCCGGTCGCGCACGCCGAGGCCAGTAGGGAGAGAAGATGGTGGTTCTCCGCAGCAGCTTGGAGCTGCACAACCACTCCGCGGCCTCGGCCACGGGCTCCTTGGACCTGTCCAGTGACTTCCTCAGTCTGGAGCACATCGGCCGGAGGCGGCTCCGCTCGGCCGGCGCGGCGCAGAAGAAACCCGCGGCGACCACAGCCAAAGCGGGCGTGAGTACGGGCCTGAGGCGGGCTCCCAGGGCGGTTCCCGGGGGGACTGCCGGCAGCCCGGCGCTCGGAGGGGCCTGGGGGTGGGCGGCGCCGGTCAGGGTGACAGTTGTCGGGGGAGAAGTGTGGTCGAGGACGAGTAAAATGGAAGCTCTCGGGATCGGAGGTGCGGGTCGGATCGCTGAGCTGAGGCTGGCCGGGAGAGGACTAAGCATTTGGTCACCACCTACTTTTACGCAAGAGGAAATCGAAGCCCGCCACAGCGGAGTGCGGTCTGGGGCCAAGCCGCGGCTGTTCGGCCGCCCGCACGACCCCCCACTCCCTGGCCGATCGATCGCCCAGGCTCCTGCCCTAGGTTCGCATCAACCTGGAGGCAACACGCATCCCCTGACTGCTTTCTGTCTGCGCCATAAACGTTGGGGGGGAGGGGGCACAGGGACAGACAGGTTGTAATTCAGGTTCTCTGACCTCCATTAACGATCCAGAGGAGTTCCGTAATAACAGCGCAGTGAATAATACCAGGTTGCATAATGTGGAGGGATGAAGACCAACATTTCATGTACGCCCCCCGCTTCCAAGCCTCGTCATAACCCTTTGAGAATGCGTAGTTGTGCTATCTCTTTGACAGATGAAGAAACGGATTCAAAAAGGTAAACAGTAAGGGGTAGATCTAAAATTGGAACTCAGATTGCCTGCCTCCTAAATCGTTCCCTTTCTATGCCGTCATGCTGCAGTTACAAGCAGTGTCTATAGGGGAAGTTTGGAAGGAAGGAGGGTCCTCTTGAAAGAAGTGCTGCTTCTAGGTCTGAAGTGCAGTGACGGTTTTTGCAGGGCAGAGTTAAAGCTGAGCAGTTACTCCCCTCCCATCCACCTCCCCACCCCAGCTGCTGAAAGAGGCCTAGGTGGAGGGGTTTCAGCATTCACAGAAGGTTGAAGAAGTCGGGGAAGCTCGCTAGTAAATTTAGTTAAGGCAGCAAGTAATATATAGCTGGACTGAAGGTGTTGGAGTGAGTGAGGGTAGGCATGGAGTAGGAAAAATAGGACCTGAGAGAAGGTTGGGAACTTGGGAATGAGAATGAGAGGCTCAGGGGAAATGTGTGGTGGAAGTGACAATGTAATCCTCTTCAGTTCAGCAGACGATTTCAGGGTCTTGTATTAAGTCTTCTATTAAGATCTTGTATTTAGATAACTATATAAAATTAGTTGCCAGTATCTTTTGTGGGCATCCCATTCTGGTTGCTACTCTACTGAGGGGAATGGGTTAAAAACTACACTCCCTTCAGTCTCTGAAATTGTGATTCTGAATTGAAAAGACAAGTAATTTCCTGACTTTAAAGATTTGTTTCTCAGTCATCTGCCAGGAATTGGCAGAGACCTGGAGAGGCCAAACACTTCTGCACTGGAATTGGTTACTTGACTTAACCTGTGTTCAGAAAATGTGTTTCAATACTGATTGATTATTTATGTCCAGGGTAACACTAGATCCTGTGAACATAATGATACGTACTGATATATTGAATACTGGTTAAATACATAGGCTCTTTTTTTTTTCTTCGAGACAGAGTCTCACTCTCTCATCCAGGCTGGAGTGCACTGGTGTGATCTCGGCTCACCGCAACCTCAACCTCCACCTCCCGGGTTCAAGCAGTTCTCCTGCCTCAGCCTCCCAAGTAGCTGGGATTACAGACATACACCACCACGCTGGGCTAATTTTTGTATTTTTAGTAGAGACAGGGTTTCTGTATGTTGGCCAGGCTGGTCTCGAACTCCGACCTCAGGTGATCCACTTGCCTCAGCCTCCCAAAATGCTGGGATTACAGAATTGAGCCACCCTGCTTGGCCAAATACATAGACTCTTAAGAAAACTGTTAATTATGAATTTCAGTTTCAGCTTCTCAGGTTTACCAATAATCATCAGGTTTCTACACTTGTTAAATGGGATGATACCCACCACATTGGTAGTGAGGATTAAATGTGATCATGTATGTAAGGAGATTAATTGAACAGTTAGCATATGGTTAGGATTCAGTCATTGTCAGCTATTAAGACCATCGTCAGTTTTAGTTAATGGCCACTCCGTTTTTTTTTTTCAGTTCCTCAGGAAAAAAAACCTTAGGTTGTTGTTGACTCCTCACATCCAGTGCATTAGCAAATTCTGTTGGCTCCACTTTCAAAATATATTCCAAGTCTGACCACTTTATATGTCCTCCAGTGTTGCCATGCTGGTTCAAGCCATAATCTCTTTCCTGGATTATTTATTTATTTATTATTTTGAGACAGAATCTTGCTCTGTCACCCAGGCTGGAGTGCAGTGACGTGATCTCGGCTTGCTGCAGTTTCCGCCTCCCGGGTTCAAGTGACTCTCCTGCCTCAGCCTTCCAAGTAGCTGGGATTACAGGCATGCGCCACCACGCCTACCTAATTTTTGTGTTTTTGGTGGAGACGGTGTTTCACTGTTTTGGCCAGTCTGATCTCAAACTCCCGGTCTCAGGTGATCGGCCCACCTCAGCCTCCCGAAGTGCTGGGATTACAGGCATGAACCACCGCGCCTGACCATCTTTCCTGGATTATAATAGATTCTTGATTGGCCTCCTTCCCGTTTTCCACTGTTTGATATATATATTATGCCCCACCTTCCCTCAACAGTCAGTTCTCTTTATTTATGCATTTATTTATTTTTGAGACAGAGTCTTGCTCTGTCACCCAGGTTAGAGTGCAGTGGCACCAACGTGGCTCACTGCAGCCTCAACCTCCCAGGATCAAGTGATTCTCCACCTCAGCCTTCTAAGTAGCTGGAACTACAGGGGCTCGCCACCACACCCAGCTCATTTTTAAGTTTTTTGTAGCAATGGAGTCTCACTATGTTGCTCAGGCTGGTCTCGAACTCCTGGACTCAAGCAATCCTTCAGTTTCAGCTTCCCAAATTGCTGGGATTAAAGGTGTGAACCACCACGCCCCACCAATAGTCAGTTCTTAATGCAGTGAATCTTTTTTTTTTTTTTTTTGAGATGGAGTTTCGCTCTGTCACCCAGGCTGGAGTGCAGTGGCCCAATCTCGGCTCACTGCAAGCTCCACCTCCCGGGTTCACGCCATTCTCCTGCTTCAGCCTCCCGGAGTAGCTGGGACTACAGGCACCCGCCAACACGCCTGGCTAATTTTTTGTATTTTCAGTAGAGACAAGGTTTCACCGTGTTGGCCAGGGTGGTCTCGATCTCCTGACTTCATGATCCGCCCTCCTCGGCCTCCCAAAGTGCTGGGATTAGAGGCGTGAGCCACCGCGCCCAGCAAATGCAGTGAATCTTTTAAAAAGTCAAAACAGTTGATCACTTAAAACCCTCTTGAGACTCCCTATCTAAGTAAAAGTCTGTAAGTTTGGAAGCAGCCCTAAGCATCCCTGCATCCTTTATAATGACATCTTTTTCTACCCCTTTACAAAACGCACTCTATTCCAGCCACACTGGCATAGCTGCTTCTTTAATACCAGGGCCTTTCCATTTGGTATACCTCTGCTGGAAATACTCTTCCCCTTGATATCTGCATGACCCATTCTTTTAACTTTTTTTTTTTTTTACATTATTTTAAACTAAAAAACAAAACCTCAGGAATTATAGTACTTTAGTGTGGTCCAGAAATTGTACAAATAAATAACTCAGTCCTTACAACCTTATGAGGTAGGTAAGATTTTTTTTTTATGAGAAAACTGATGCACAGAGACTTAAATAAATTGCCCAAATTCACCTTATAGTAAGCTGTGTGACTATGATTCAAATTTAGGAGTCTGTCTACCTCAAGTCTTTGCTAAAATTTCACCTTTGCAATGATGTTTACCATAAGCACCATATTTAAAATTACAAACCACTCTCCTGACATGCCTCTCCTAGCACTTGTCACCTTCCAACATTTTCTGTACTTTTCTATTTTTAAGTATTTTTCTCTCTTCCCCAATCAGAATGTAACTGCACGGGGACTTGGATTTTGACTTTTTTTTTGGCAATGTTATCCCAGCACTTAGAACAGAACCTAGCAGGAAGTAAGTGTATATTAAATATTTGTTGTTGATTGTTCTTACTCTAAAGAGATACAAGTCTAGCAGAGGAGACCTAACAGCAATATACAGAGACTATTTGCCATAAATCCCGTATTTGTGGTATATGGTGGTTGAGCAATTAGAATGCACTCTGCTGGATGTTGTAGGGTAGAAAGGATCCCCCTCAACCCCCACCACAGTTCCCAGCAGGCATTATACCTTTTTGAGACAAAGTTCTCCTCCCTTTTATACATCAAGGTGTCTGTGTAGACCAAATTATAATCACAGTGTTACATAATGAGCATGGGATTGGATTAAAATAAATCGGTGGTCTTTAGGGGTAATGTATTCATACTGACAAGCCCATCAGTACCAAAAATGAAACATGCCTCTGTAATTGGAATATTTTCTGATTTGGGGGCTTTACATTCAATACATTTGGTTGGATTACACCTTGCTGTTTTACATCAATCATGCATTTCAGAGACTTCACTCCCTGATCACCCTGATTATATTTGGATATTTCTTAGTTTCCTCAGCCACATATTTATTGACAGAGCATTTCTTAGGCTAGGCTGCTTTTATGGGTGGTTACATTTATTCATTTAATTCATTAACTTGAATTTTTCCTAGTCTAATCTCAGGCTGACCTTTTTTTTTTTTTTTTTTTTTTTTTTCAAAACTTCTCATTACCTCTGATCAGGCTGATCTTATCTTCAAGTTCTGAAGTTACTTTTAGTCACCTATTTATTAACTACATTGTATTTTTATATTTTGAATATGTTCTCATTCAGCTGGGCTTATAGATTTGTGTTTTTGTTTTTTCCTGACTTGTATGGGTTCCCTGAATATTGTGGTGGTGGTGGTCTAAGTTTGTTTTTTGTTGTTTTTTTAAAACTTCTATTTTCATCCTACCAACTTTATGACTATGGATATCTTTTCTGTAGTTTCTTTTTCTTCCAGAATCAGAGTAGCCATTGTCTATTTCTGTACTTTCTTTGTTTTCTAAGGTCTGAGGTTCTTTGGTTTCTGTAAATTTAGGGTTGTTTCTCATGTTGAAGAGTCACTTAAGGATGGATAGTAGGGTGTTTTTTTTAAATTGATGATGATCGTACATTACTTTTGGGTTTTTTTTTTCTTTTGAGACTGTGTTTTGCTTTTGTCGCCCAGGCTAGAATGCAGTGGCGCAATCTCTGCTCACTGCAACCTCTGCCTCGTGGATTCAAGCAATTCTCCTGCCTCAGCCTCCGGAGTAGCTGTAAGCGCCTTCCAATTACAGGCGCCTGCCACCATGCCCAGCTAATTTTTGTATTTTTAGTAGAGACGGGGTATCAAACTCCTGACCTCAGGTGATCCACCTGCCTTGGCCTCCCAAAGTCTGGGATTACAGGCGTGAGCCACTGCGCCTGGCCTACTTTTGGGTTGTTTACCTACATTTTTACTTTTCTGTGTGTTAGGTAAAATAGAACATTCTGCAGTATGTAGAAGGTACTATTTTAAAAATTGTATGTTTATTTGAAAGTCTGGAAAGATACTCAAAACTCAACACCAATATGTGTAACATACAGGAGATTTTAAAAACTTAAAGCATAACACAGTACAGAAACATGAAAAGTATATAGCTTAATGAAGTATCACAAAGCATAGATAGGGAGCTTCTGGGTGTGGCAGTGAATGGTGTTCCCTGGAATTGGGTGACATGGCAGTTCTGTATTCAGTCATAAGCAAGAAAGGGCCCTTGATTTTAGGTTTAGAGGTTACAGCTTTATGTGGGAGACAGTGAAGAGCTAGAACAGGGATCTGATGAGACAGTGTTTCGGATGGATTATAGTTAACAAAAACCTAGAGCTAAGAAGACCAGTTAAAAGATTATAATGGTAGTCTGGGTGCAGTGGCTCATGCCTGTAATCCTAGCACTTTGTTTGGGAGGCCGAGGCAGGCATATCACCGGAGATCAGAAGTTCAAGACCAGCCTAGCCAACATGGTGAAATCCCGTCTCTACTAAAAATACAAAAATTAGCCGGATGTGGCAGTGTGCACCTGTAATCCAAGGTGCCGGGGAGGCTGAGGCAGGAGAATTGCTTGAACCCTGGAGGCAGAGGTTGCAGTGAGCCGAGATTGCGCCATTGCACTCCAGCCTGGGCAAGAGAGCAAGACTCTGTCTAAAAAAAAAAAAATATATATATATATATATATATATAAAATAATAGTAATAGCTACCACTTATATAGCAGTTGCTGTGTACCAGGCATAGTACTTGATAAGACACATATATTTCTCCTGTTTATAAACTATTATTATCCTCATTACTAGATTCTTAGTATCTAGTATCCATATACTAAGTATTCTAGATTCCTAGATCCTTAGAGTTTAAGTTAAGGTGGTATTAGTAGGAATGGAGAAAAATGTCCAATAATACAGCACAGGATCTGAGAGTTGTTTGAACACAGGGAGGGAAGACGTTGTTTCCAGCTAAAGAAGTGAGCAGTAGACCATTGGGAGTTTTGTTTTGTTTTGTTTTTGAGACGGAGCCTTGCTCTGTCGCCCAGGCTGAAGTGCAGTGGCGCGATCTGGGCTCACTGCAAGCTCCTCCTTCTGGGTTCACGCCATTCTCCTGCCTCAGCCTCCTGAGTAGCTGGGACTACAGGCGCCCGCCACCACGCCCGGCTAAGTTTTTGTATTTTTAGTAGAGACTGGGTTTTCACCGTGATAGCCAGGATGGTCTCAATCTCCCGACTTCGTGATCCGCCCGCCTTGGCCTCCCAAAGTGCTGGGATTACAGATGTGAGCCACCACGCCCGGCCGACCATTGGGAGTTTTATGCCAGAATTGCTAAGAGGTTGGGACTGCTTGTCCTTGAGGATGAATAGAAAACAGCAAAGCACAGGCCGGGCACGGTGGCTCACACCTGTAATCCCAGCACTTTGGGAGGCCAAGGCGGGCGGATCAGGAGGTCAGGAGATCGAGACCATCCTGGCTAACACGGTGAAACCACATTTCTACTAAAAATACAAAAAAAAAAAAAAAATTAGCCGGGCGTGGTAGCAGGCTCCTGTAATCCCAGCTACTTTAGAGGCCGTGGCAGGAGAATGGCGTGAACCCAGGAGGCGGAGCTTGCAGTGAGCCAAGATCGCGCCACTGCACTTCAGCGTGGGCGACAGGGCGAGACTCTGTGTCAAAAAAAAAAAAGAGAGAGAAGAAAACAGCAAAGCACAAAAAGAATTAAGGAGGTCTGAAGCAATGCCTGTATTTTAAAGGTGAGAAGTTGAATCATGGAACTAAGAGTATTAAGTAAACCAAGGGACCGAAGCATTTTAAGAAAGTACTGGCCAGGCACAGTGGCTCACACTTCTAATCCCAGCACTTTGGGAGGCCAAGGTGAGAGGATCACCTGAAACCAGAAGTTCGAGACCAGCCTGAGCAACATAGTGAGACCACCCCCCCGCCCCCACCATCTCTAAAATAAAAAATAAAAATTGGCTGGGCATGGTGGCTCACACCTGTAATCCCAGCAGTTTAGGAGGCCGAGGCAGGTGGATAACTTGAGCCGAGGAGTTCAAGACCAGCCTGGGCAATGTGGTGAAACCCTGTCTCTACAAAAACCAGCTAGGTGTGGTGGTGCCTGCCTCTAGTCCCAGCTACTCAGGAGGCTGAGAGAGAGAATCGCTTGAACCCAGGAGGCAGAGGTTGCAGTGAGCTGAGATCGTGCTGCTACACTCACTGCACCCCAGCCTGGGCGACAGAGCAAGACTCCGTCTCAAAATAATAAAATAAAATAAGATAAAATACATAATCAGTAGCCAGGCGTGGTGGCACATGCCTGTAGCCCCAGCTACTACCGGGGAGGCTGAGGCAGGAGGATCTCTTGAGCTCAGGAAGTTGAGGCTGCAGTGAGCCATGATTGTGCCACTGTACTCCAGCCTGGGTGAAGGAGCAAGATCCTATCTCTAAAAATAAATAAAGAAGGTAGTGATCAGTTCTGTAGAATTCAGTGAGGTAGAGAAAAGGCTATTGGATGTAGCTATTGGGAGACAGTTGTGAATGTACTGAAAGAGCTGTGGAGGTAGAAACTAAGTTGGAGTTTACCGAGTAGATGGTGAAGTGGTTTAAACTCATGTTTAAAGACAAAACTAAGGAAGGATATCACAACTATAGTGATATAACATGTATATCATGTATTAGAATATACTGTTGTTTAAGTTTTCAGGGAGCCCTAAATTTGTGTTGAGTACATCCTATTTCAACCTCATTTGTTGATATTTGAATTGACTCAAACAACTGACCTCCCCCCCAAACATGCTTTTTAAAAAATGAATTTAAAGCTTGAATAAGCTTGGTCTTCTGTGAAAAATAACATAGAATATTTTTATTATGCAACTGTGTATACTTTAGGAAAACTTTTTTGTTATTTTATTGCTGCTTTTTCTCTATGTTAACTTACTGATTCTGCAAGGTTGTGAGAAACTTAAAATTTAACAAAATACTAACATTTCCTCTCTTAAAACTTCACTTTTAAAGAACTATAAGTGCTCTCAATATTTAAGTAGATTTTAGCCAAAGAATAAATGAGAATATTACATCTCTAGGTTAAAATTTCAGACTAAGTTTGTTTTCTCTTTGTTTTTTAGTTTTTAGGAATTTTTTTCTGGTAATACATGTGAAAATGTGAAAAATAGAAAGTGAAAGTCCCCATCTCTGTCATCCAATGTTAATTACTGTTAACAGTGTTGAACTTACCTCTTGGGAATTAGATGACTTCGGTTTAATACCTGTGCTAGTCTTCCTTAGGAAAGAAGATATACACAAGATAATTCATCTAGAGATATTTATAACATCAGAAAAAATTGCAGGCAACCTAAATATAATACATTCAGCAATTTGTTAAATAGATTCATGTAATGGCTGAAATACTATTCATTCATTAAATTTTTAGAGTAATATTTAATGACATGAAAAAATATTGATATTACTAGAAAAAACTTATAAAACATATAGTATTATCTCAGTTTTAAAATCATGTAAATATGTTTGCATAGGAAAAAAATGGTTTTTGCACCAAGAGATTAAAAGAGGTTGTCTGTGAGTGGCTGAAATTAAGGGTGACATTTTCATTTTTCCAGTAATAATGGGCATGTATTGCCTTTATTTTTATATTGCTTTTGTTAGAACTGTTTTTGAAAGATGCATTTAAAAATTTTTTAGTGTATACTCTATATAGAGGACTCCCACATAATTTTTTTTTTTTTTTGCCCACATTGTTGAGTCTTTCTTGCTGCCTAGTACTTATTTGGAGAGAATGACAAGCCGTTCACTATGCACATCAAAGATTCTCTTATACCACTTATAAGATTGTCTTCCAAGTTTCTTAGGAAATGTTTTTTCCTAGTATTGTCCCCATCCACCCCTTTTCTTGTTTTGTAAGGAAACAAAATCTTTTTTTATCCTCAGGAATATGGTAGCATTTATTTTCTTTTTTAATGTACCAAAATATACATAACATAAAATTGACCGTTTTAACCGTTTTTAAGCTTACAGTTCATTAAGTACATTCACATTGTTCTGCAACCATCATCACCATTCATCTCCAGAACTTTTTCATCTTCCAGAATTGAAACTCTGTACCCATTAAACACTTACTCCCAGTTCCTCTCTCCTCCTAGTCCCTGGCAACCACTGTTCTACTTTCTGTCTCTGAATGTGACTGTTCTCTGAATCTCATATTCCTAGACTAATCATATTTGTCTTTTATGACTTGCTTATTTCACTTAGCATATCTTCAGAGTTCATCCATATTGTAGCATGTGTTAAAATTTCCTTTTTTAAACAAGAAGGAATAATATTCCATTGTATGTACCATGTTTTGTTTGTCCGTTCATCTGTCAGTGGACACTTGGGTTGCTTCCCCTTTTGGGAATTGAATAATGCTGCTGTGAACATGAGTACAAATATTTGTGCAAGTCCCTGCATTCGCTTCTTTGAGTGTATACCCAAAAGTGGAATTGCTGGATCATATAGAAATTTTGTGTTTAACTTTTTGAGGAATTGCCTTACTATTTTATGTTACCACCAGCAACACACAAGGATTCCAGTTTCTCTACATCCTCACCAACAATTGCTATTTTCTCCTTTTTTTTTTTTTTTGTGAGTAGCCATCCTAATGTGTGTGAAGTGTTATCTCTGTGGTTTTGATTTGCGTTTCTCTAATGACTAGTGATGTTGAGCATCTTTTCATGTGTTTATTGGCTATTTGTCTATCTTTGGAGAAATCTCTATTCACATCTTTTGCTTATTTTTTAATTGGTTTGCTTGTTTTGCAAAGGAGTTCTTTAAATATTCTGGAGATATATATATGTATGCGTGTATATATGTGTGTGTGTGTATGTATATATAAAACCTTATATACCTTATCAGTATATGATTTGCAGATTTTTTTCGTATTCTGTAGGTTGCCTTTTCACTCTGTTGATAGTGTTCTTTATGCATAAAAGGTACTCATTTTGATGAGGTCTAACTTACATATTTTTATTTTGTTGTCTGTGCTTTTGGTGTCATCCAAGAAATCATTGCCAAATCCAATGCTGTTTTCTCCTAAGAGTTCCTAAATTGTTTTTTAGTTCTTTATTCTCTCATACAGTTTTAAGTTATCATCTCAACTTCCCCCTCATTTATTTCTTTCAAAGGATGTAATTTCTGTCATCTTTTGATGTTGACATTAAAAAGAATAAAACTATTATGTCAGACTTTACCTGTATCCACTGCAGTCTAAAAACCAGTTGATATGTTTTGAAACATTTAAAAATAATAACATGAGCAAACTCTTAGCAAAGTTTACCTTGATTCTTTTTTTTCTCTCTTTTAATTTGCATTTTCAGTCCACTTAACCCACTGCATTTTATGGTGATGTGAAATTTTTTTCTATACAAGCCATTTATTTGAAATGTCTACTATATGTAAGACAGTCAGTGTTAGCATGCTCATCAATAACAGTAGAAAAATAGAACCAGTGGAAACCTGTATAGCTGTAATGGTACTCAAAAGAGAATTGTATCCTTTTAAAATGTTTTACACAGGTGAATTCAAGTTTGGAGGTACCTAAATAAAAATATTACATATTTCTTTAAAAACGTTTATATACAATTAAAATATAAACAAGTTGTACAAAGTACTGGTTATGCAGGTTGTAGACAACACTTGAATGGGACATGAAATCAGTTTAAGAAAAATGTCTGAGCCTTAGTGGGCTTCTGAGCGCCAAGAAATAAAATGTTTGTGGGTAGAGTTGTTAGAATTAATGCTCTGTCAATCAAAACAAGAACATATTATCTACTTGGATTTGAAATGATAAAACTTAGAAAGTAAGATTTTAAAAAATTGTTTCGCTAATCTTTGTATCGTTCCAATTTTGTGAGCAAGAAAAGTAAGATTTTAGGAGATCTCACATGGTTGAAGTTCCCTTACCCACCCAATTAGTTCATGTGTCTGTGGATGTATCATAGTTATTGCTAAAGACAGTGTTCTCTTGAAAATGCCTTGCATGGGCCTGGCACATGGGTGCTTATTACATACTCTTGCTTTCTTGCCTCTGGGTTGGGGAGGCACTGCACTGCAAAGGGAGCCCCTCCATTCTGAAGACATTGCTAGGGGAGAGTCTGGACTTCTACCTGTGACCAGAGTGAAGGGAAAATTCTTGCCTTGTCAGAGATGGATCAATGACCATGAAAAATCTACCCTGTGATCTTTTTCAGTCTAAGCATTAAAAGCTCCTAAAGCAAAACAAACAAACAAAAAATCAAGACTGTGTTTTTGTGTATCGGTTGCATTGTTTTTATAAATGTAAGTATTGTTCATATAAATAAGTAGACAGTAATAAAAGGAGTTATGCTTAGCAGTGCCACCCAGTTTTTTTTTGTTATACATCAAAAGTCACTTGCCAAAAATGATTTTTAATGTTCTTTTAGCTTTATTAGGTCTCCTTTCAATTTTATTGAAAGCAGAGAATTGAAAACCACCTAATAAGGGAAAGTATTTGTTGCCTTTCTTTAGTCATTCAGTTTTTTTCTTTCTTTCTTTTTTTTTTTTTTTGAGACGGAGTCTCGCTCTGTCACCAGGCTGCAGTGCAGTGGCATGATCTCAGCTCACTGCAACCTCTGCCTCCCAGGTTCGAGCAATTCTCCTGCCTCAGCCTCCCAAGTAGCTGGGATTACAGGCACGTGCTACCACACCCAGCTAATTTTGTATTTTTAGTAAAGACGTGATTTCACCATGTTAGCCACAATGGTCTCTATCTCTTGACCTCATGAGCCCCTCGCCTCAGCCTCCCAAAGTGTTGGGATTACAGGCGTGAGCTACCACGCCTGGCCTAGTCATTCAGTTTCTTTTTTTTTTTTTGAGACTGAATTTTGCTCTTATTGCCCAGGCTGGAGTGCAATGGCACGATCCCGGCTCACCGCAACCTCCGCCTCCTGGGTTCTAGTGATTCTCCTGCCTCAGCCTCCCAAGTTGCTGGGATTACAGGCATGCGCCACCTCGCCCGGCTGATTTTTTGTATTTTTAGTAGAGACAGGGTTTCTCCATGTTGGTCAGGCTGGTCTCGAACTCCCAATCTCAGGTGATCCGCCAGCCTCGGCCTCCCAAAGTCCTGGGATTACAGGCATGAGCCACCATGCCCGGCTGTCATTCAATTTCTTAACACCTACACCAGTGTTTTTCTTTGGCTTTATGAAAGTTTTTAATACCTTGAAGTGTCTGCAATAGTGAAATTCAGAATGGGTGAGAGATAGAACTTTTTTTTTTTATTTAATTTTGTTTACTTTTAAAATTATATTTTAAGTTCTGGGATACATGTGCAGAATGTGCAGGTTTGTTACATAGGTATATATGTGCCATGGTGGTTTGCTGCACCCATCAACCTGTCATCTACGTTAGGTATTTCTCCTAATGCTATCCCTCCTCATGCCCCCCACTCCCCGAAAGGCCCTGGTGTATGGTGTTCCCCTCTCTGTGTCCATGTGTTCTCATTGTTCAACTCCCACTTATGAGTGAGAACATGCAGTGTTTGGTTTTCTGTTCCTGTGTTAGTTTGCTGAGAATGATGGCTTCCAGCTTCATCCATGTCCCTGCAAATGACATGAACTCATCCTTTTTATGGCTGCATAGTATTTCTATGGTATATATGTGCCACATTTTCTTTATCCAGTCTATCATTGATGGGCATTTGGGTTGGTTCCAAGTCTTTGTTATTGCAAATAGTGCTGCAGTGAACATGTGTGTGCATGTGTTTTTATAGTAGAATGATTTATAATCCCTTGGGTATATACACAATAATGGGATTGCTGGGTCAAATGGTATTTCTGGTTCTAGATCCTTGAGGAATCGCCACACTGTCTTCCACAATGGTTGAACTAATTTACACTCCTAACTGTGTAAAATTGTGCCTATTTCTCCACCTCCTCTCCAGCATCTGTTGTTTCTTGACTTTTTAATGATCACCATTCTAACTGGTGTGAGCTGGTATCTCATTGTGGTTTTAGAACTTTCTTTTTTAAAATGGAGAAGGGCAAATGAATGGGATGGCTTGTGCCTTTTCAGGCTGATCAGTTTTAAGAAAAAGTACATATGAAAGTTGATAATTTGGAAACAGATTCCATTTAAATATTCCTTGGAAAATGAAAGTCTTATACACTACACTGATCTAAGATGTAAATATTTGTCTTAAAAATAATACACCACCCAAGGTGTAAGTATTCTTTTTTCAAACATCCTCAAATATAGGTACATTGATAAAGATGGTGACAAATCTTACACATCATTTAATATTTTTGAAGTACCTGTCTAATTTTTACACAAATTATTGTGGTATAAATATCCTTTTTATTGTGAACCAACCAAATATTTTGCTCAAATCAAAAATAAATGCCCTGATAAAACAACATTCGACAATAGAGTAAAGCCAGCCTGGGATGTGATCCAAGGACTCAAATGTTTGGTGTTTTTTTCCTAAATCACTGCCCGTTTTTCTAAACTGATCAGTTTTCAGAGTAGTAGGGCATAGAATTATAGAGTTGTTAGGAACCTTTGACTTTGATTTCTATCTTTGGTTTGTTTGTTTGTTTGTTTGTGATGGAGTCTTGCTGTGTCGCCCAGGCTGGAGTGCAGTGGCACGATCTCTGCTCACTGCAACCTCCACCTCCTAGGTTCAAGCGATTCTCTTGCCTCAGCCTCCCAAGTAGCTGGGATTACATGCACGCACCACCAGGCCCAGCTCATTTTTGTATTTTAGTAGAGACGGGGTTTCACAATGTTGGCCATGGCCAGGCTGGTCTCAAGCTCCTGACCTCAAGTGATCCGCCCACCTCAACCTCCCAAAGTGCTGGGATTACAGGCATGAGCAACAGTGCCTGGCCCTATCTTTTTTTGTTTGTTTTGTTTTGTTTGTATTTTAGATACCTTTGACTTCTAATGTGAAAATACTCTATATGATCTCAGAGCGGTGTATGAACTTTGGAATACTTTATGACAGAACCTCTAGCTCATAAAGCAGCCCATTAACTTAGCCTCTAGTCTATTTATTGTACTAAAATGAAGTTACATAAAGCTGTATGGTTTTTACAACAGATTAACATACTTAAACAGTTTTGTTTTGTTTTGTTTTGTTTTGTTTTGTGGCAGGGTCTCACTCTGTTGCCCAGGCTGGAGTGCAGTGGCGCGATCACGGGTCACTGCAACCTCCACCTCCCAGGCTCAAATCATCCTCCCATTTCAGCCTACCAAGTAACTGGGACCACAGGTGTGCTCCACCATGCCTGGCTAATTTTTTTGCAATTTTAGTAGAGATGGGGTTTTGCCACGTTGCCCATGTTGTTCTGGAACTTGTGAGCTCAAAGCAATCCACCTGCCTAGGTCTCCCAAAATGCTAGGATTGCAGGCATAAGCCACCATGCCCGGGCCCTAAACAGTTTTTTAATTCAGCTGTTGCATTAGCTGGGTTAAAACTGGGCAAAATATACAGTAATAACTCTTTTTCATTGTTTAAGCCAAAATTATAATTCTGATGGACCAGTTATTTTGAGGTTGCTGCTGGTGGTTAGGTGACAGTATTTTGGTGAGTCTGTATCTTTCTTAGGTCTTTCTAACTTCTATAGCCTTAAAATAAATGAGTACCTACTATAATAAACTATTGCAACTTTTCGTCAGTGGTGGAAAACTTCACTCTCTAGACTACTTTTTATAAAGTGGTTATGAACTACTTGTTATGAACTATAAACCAGTAAATCTTATATTAGCTGCTTCATAGACATTGCTGATATTTGTTTATCATGAAATGGTTTTTCTAGATACTAACTTGTAGTTTCTTGGGGAGATACAAAATGATTCTGCACAAAAAGCAGTTTTTACTAACTTGTAATCAGAGAATACTCTTTGGAGGAATTTAAATTGGAGTTTTGTAAAGAAAAACTTAGATGGCTTTCTTAATTTTTCTTAAAGGATGGGTCATCAGTTAAGGAAGTTGAAACCTACCACCGGACACGTGCTTTAAGATCTTTGAGAAAAGATGCACAGAATTCTTCAGATTCTAGTTTTGAGAAGAATGTGGAAATAACGGAGCAACTTGCTAATGGCAGGCATTTTACAAGGTAATACAAGGTGGTTGAACACTAATTCAAAATAGTTTTAAAGCAGTAATTTAGGATTTGCTTTAATTTTTGAAGTGTATTTTTGACTGGTCATCAAGGTTCTAGGGCTATAAAATGTAGTTTATTTGAAAATAAATGATCACAAGTGAGTATGACTAAATTAAAAATTAATACGTGGCCAGGCACGGTGGCTCACACCTGTAATCCCAGCACTTTGGGAGGCCGAGGCAGACAGATCACCTGAGGTCAGGAGTTCAAGACCAGCCTGACCAACATGGAGAAACCCCGTCTCTACTAAAAATACAAATAATTAGCCGGGTGTAGTGGCGGGCGCCTGTAATCCCAGCTACTCGGGAGGCTGAGGCAGGAGAATGGCGTGAACCCAGGAGGCGGAGCTTGCAGTGAGCTGAGATCGCGCCACTGCACTTCAGCCTGGGCGACAGAGCGAGACTGTCTCAAAAAAATATATACAAAATTAGCTGGGCATGGTGGCGCATGCCTGTAATCCCAGCTACTCAGGAGGCTGAGGCAGGATAATCACTTGAACCCAGGAGGTGGAGGTTGCAGTGAGCGGAGATCATGCCATTGCATTCCAGCCTGGACAACAAGAGCGAAACTCAGTCTCAAAAAAAAAAAAATAATAATAATAATAATAATACGTGGCCGGGCGCAATGGCTCACACCTGTAATCCCAGCACTTTGGGAGACCGAGGCAGGCAGATCACGAGGTCAGGAGTTTGAGACCAGCCGGGCCAATATGGTGAAACCCCATCTCTACTAAAAATAAAATTTAAAAAATATAGCTGGGCATAGTGGCATGCACCTGAGGTCCCAGCTACTCGGGAGGCTGAGGCAGAAGAATCACTTGAACCTGGGAGGCAGAGATTGCAGTGAGGCAAGATCGTGCCACTGTACTCTAGCCTGGGCAACAAAGCAAGACTCCATCTCCAAAAAAAAAAAAAAAAATTAGTATGTACACATTCATGCTTTTATTATTCAAAGATGATACCTGTGATACATATGAGTACAGCTAACAAGGTTAGCTGACGTAGGATCAGTTCTCAGGTATTTGAGTATCTAAAGAGACCTTTTGTGACTATAACTTAGCTTGTGGTTTATGGCTCCACTTCATAGTCTATACAAAGCCTTCATTCATAATCGTAGTTCTGTTTCTGATTGCTTGCTATAAAGTTTTTTATCAATTCTGAGTCATTTATGAATTTCTATGTGTTGGTGTTGGTGTATTTCTAAAGCAGTCTGTACATACGGTTTTTTGGTTTTTAGAAGAGGAGGCATGAAACCCATTTTAAACTCAAGAAATCAATTTTAATGGATTAGGTAGTTTGGCTAAATTCATGGAACTGGAATATCTTTGGTTCAGGGCGAAAAACCCCAATTAGGGTAAAATTTGTTTGATGAAATAATTGTTTTGGCTGGGCACTGTGGCTCACACCTGTAATCCTACCACTTTGGGAGGCCAAGGCAGAAGGATCACTTCGGTCGGGGAGTTTGATACCAGCCTGGGCAACATAACGAGACCCTCTCTCTACAAAAAATAAAAATAAAAAAATTATCTGGGCATGGTGTCGCACACCTGTAGTCCCAGCTACTGTGGAGGCTGAGGCAGGAGGATCACTTGAGCTGGGGAGGTCAAGGCTGCAGTGAGCTATAATCATGCCACTGAGAGTGAGACCCTGTTTCAAAAAAAAAAAAGAATCGTTTTTACATTACTTCTTCTCATAAATAAACAATTTGTAATGACTTAGAAGACTGAAATCCTCCTGCTCTTAAATGGAATTTTGATTTTTTTTTTTTTTTTTTTTTTTTGAGACACAGTCTTGCTCTGTTGCCCATGCTGGAATGCAGTGGCATGATCTCAGCTTACTGCAACCTCCGCCTCCCAGGTTCAAGCGATCCTCCTGCCTCAGCTCACCTAGTAACTGGGATTACAGGCACGCACCACCATGCCCAGCTAATTTTTGTATTTTTAGTAGAGATGGGGTTTCGCCATGTTGGCCAGGCTGGTCTCGAACTCCTGACTTCAGGTGATCCACCCACCTCAGCCTCCCACAGTGCTGGGATTACAGGTGTGAGCTACTGCGCTGGCCTGGAATTTTGATTCTCTTATTTTGTATACCATATTTTCTAGATAAGCAAGGTTATGCCCTTTTGAGTTTTTAATTTTTTTCTCAGCTATTTCATCATTCTTTTAATACATATTTTTTAATTTGCGTCTTATCCATTATTTATGGAGTGTTTTATACTGTATTTTATGAAATCCATAGTATCAGCAATTACATGACAATGTTTATGGGACACTAAAAAAGAAAATCACTGACAGTAAACTGTGAGGTGCCATCAGTAAGACACATTCCAATTTCAGAGATGTTAAAATGGGGAGAAACGTACAACTTTTAGAATTGATGAAGTACAATATAAACCAGCCTGATATTTCTGAAATTTGAAGTCTTAAGGTTTATTCTTCTGAGGTAAGGTAGTGGTCCATTAACTGTCTCTGAGAACTTAAAATTGTTTTTGACGATCTGAAGAAAAAAATAAGCATTTTAGGACCCCTAAATTGTTACCTTATAGAGAATTGCCATAAAATTTGAGGCCATACATTTGTGTTTACAGTTGAATTGGCATCAAGTAGTACTACTTTAGTTATCTTAGATTAATGAGATAAGAACAGAATCAGACCTGAATACATAAATGATGCATCTGCTTCTGTATGAAAGGCAATATGATGTGGTAGCATGACATACTATTTAAATGAATGTTTGGCACATTTCCAATAAAGAGAAGTGGATGAGTTGCCCCATCGTGGTACACAGCAGTATATATAGCAATTATGGTACACAACATGCCAAACTCGAGAGAAACTGATAGCAGTCAATACCACATTCATACACCAAATGGTTATTTCATTTTAGCAAAACCCCTTATTACATTAATATTTATTGATGGTTTTATAGTTTTATTTGTATAAAACTTATAGATGAACTTCTATTTAGTTTGGTTTACATAGTCATACAAAAAAATTAATGTTGGAAGTCCTGTTTTTACCTTTAAAAGGATCTGTACATTATTCAAGTTTATAAAACATTGTTTGGCTTTATGTTAGAAAGGTCTTAAGGGAGTATAATAAAATAAATGCTTTCGATCTGGATTTAAAGAGGAATGACTTGGTATTTTTAATTAGATTATTTCTAAAATATATTGAATTTCTATCCTTTTTATTAATTCTTTTTTTCTTTTTGAGAATATTGCCTTGCTCTGTCACCCAGGCTGGAGTGTAGTGGCATGATCATGGCTCACAGTAGCCTCAACCCCCCAGGCTCAAGTGATCCAGTGGTCCTCCCACCTCAGCCTCCCAAGTAGCTGGGACTGCAAGTTTGCACCACCACACCTGGCTCTTTTTTTTTTTTTTTTTTTTTGAGACGGAGTCTCACTCTTTTTGCCCAGGCTGGAGTGCAGTGGCGCAATCGTGGCTCACTGCAACCTCCGCCCCCTGGCTTCAAGTGATTCTCCTGCCTCAGCCTCTGAGTAGCTGGGATTACAGGCATGCCCTACCACACCCAGCTAATTTTTGTATTTTTAGGAGGATAGGATTTCACCATGTTGGCCAGACTGGTGTAGAACTCCTGACCTCAAGTGATCTGCCTGCCTTGGCCTCCCAAAGTGCTGGGATTACAGGCGTGAGCCACCACACCCTGCCTCATTGTTAAATTTTTTGTAGAGATGGAGTCTCACCATGTTACCCAGGCTTGTCTTGAACTTTTTTGGACTCTAGCAATCCCCCTGCCTCAGCCTCCCAAAGTGCTGGGATTACAGGTGCTAGCCACAGTGCCTGGCCATATTAATTATTTCTTAATAACAGTTTATTGAGATATAATTTATACACCATACAATTCACAATTCTAAAGTGTACAATTCCATGGTTTTAGTGTGTGTGTGTGTGTGTGTATTTTTTTTGAGATGGAGTCTTGCTCTGTTGACCAGACTGGAGTTCAGTCTTGGCTCACTGCAACCTCTGCCTCCCAGGTTCAAGCAATTCTCCTAACTCAGCCTCCTGAGTAGCTGGGATTACAGTCATGTGCCACCATGCCCAGCTTTTTTTTTTAGACAGAGTTTTGCTCTTGTCGCCCAGGCTGGAGTGCAATGGCACAATCTCGGCTCACTGCAACCTCTGCCTCCCAGGTCCAAGAGATTCTCCTCCCCCAGCCTCCCAAGTAGCTGGGATTACAGGCAACCGCCACCACATCCAGCTAATTTTTCTATTTTTAGTAGAGACAGGATGAGACCATGTTGGTCAGGCTGGTCTCGAACTCCTGACCTCAGGCAATCTGCCCGTCTAGGCCTCCCAAAGTGTTGGGATTACAGGCATGAGCTACTGCACCCAGCCTAATTTTTTTTTTTATTTTGAGACGGAGTCTTGCTCTGTCGCCCAGGCTGGAATGCAGTGGCTCAATCTTGGCTCACTGCCACCTTCGCCTCCCAGGTTCAAGCAGTTCTCTGCCTCAGCCTCCCGAGTAGCTGGGATTACAGGTGCCCGCCACCACGCCCAGCCAATTTTTGTACTTTTAGTAGAGACGGGGTCTCACCATCTTGGCCAGGCTGGTCTTGAACTCTTGACCTTGTGATCCACCTGTCTGAGCCCCCAAAGTGCTGGGATTACAGGCATAAGCCACTGCACCCAGCCACTAATTTTTGTATTTTTAGTAGATATGGAGTTTCACCATGTTGGCCAGGCTGGTCTTGAACTCCTGATCTCAGGTGATTCACCCGTCTTGACCTCCCAAAATGCTGGAATTACAGCGTGAGCCACTGCGGCTGGCTCAGTACTTCTTATTGTTGAATAAGAGTCAATTGTATTGATATACCATGTTTTGTTTATTCATTCATTGGTTGGTGAGCATTTGGATTGTCTACTTTTTGGCCATTATGAATAATGATATGAATGTAGGTATACACATTTTTATGTGGAGGTAGGTGTTAGTTCTTTTGGGTATACACCTGGCAGTGGAATTGCTGAGTCAAATACTAACACTAACATTTTGAGGAAGTAGCATACTTTTCCAAAACATTTACAGCATTTTACATTCCTACCACCAATGTATGAGGGTCTCTACATCCTCACCAACACTTGTCATAGTCTGCCTTTTTGGTGTTCGCCATTTTAACAGGTGTGAAGTATCTCACTGTGGTTCTGATTTACCTTTCCCTGATGGCTAATAATGTTGAGCATCATTTTATGTGCTTATTGGCCATTTGTATGTCTTCTGTCAAGAAGATTTCCTGTACAAAAATCCTCTCCCTACATTCAGGTCATTATTACAAATAGTGATGATTATTTTACGTAATGGTAACATCAGTGTCTGTTTGCATAAGGCTTATATAAAAGAGCCTACAGTATTTCTGAGTCCTTTTTCATATACTTTTCCTGTTTCTTTTTCACTGTTGTCAGCATGCCTGACTATAGAAATCTCTTTATTTCCTTCCTTTCCATTCTTTTTTTTACTCTTTGTTTTCAATCTACTTGAGGCTCAAAGACCAGAGGATCAAGATTGTTAGAAAAAGACAGAAAGATATGAGTAACTGTGTCATGAGGGTACGATCTACATACTTACTTACTTGATCCTGGGGTTCTTAACTAGGGTCCAGTGATTAGGTATAGTCTTCGCAGAGTGTACACAAAACCTCTGAAGTAATGTTTAAACTTGCGTATACCGTAGCTTTCATCAGATTTGCAGCGGTTGACAAACTCCAGCTGCATATTTTTGTAAATAGTTTCCTTGGAACACTGCCATGCCCATTCATTTTGTATGTGGCTCCTTTCACCCTATAATGTTAGGTAGCTGTGACAGAGGAGACTGTATGGCTTCCAAGCTTAAAATATTTAGTGCATAGCAATTGAAGGAAAAGTTTACCAACCCTTGGAAGGTTGCTTTCCTCCTGCAGGCAAAAAGAAGACAGTAGGGGTGGGTGGTTCAGAAAAATAGTGCTTTAGTCATTCTGTTCCTAGCATCTGAAAGGGGCCTGGTTTATAAAATGTATAGACCTACATGGTATGAAGGGAGGAGCTCCTTTATGAGAAAAGTCTGTGAGCCTTTGAAGAAACTAAGCCTTTACCTGTAGATGAACTACTCAAAAGTTTGTTTGTTTGTTTGTTTTTGAGATGGACCCTGTGCTCTGTCACCCGGGCTGGAATGTAGTGGTGCAATCTTGGCTCAGTGCAGCCACTGCCTCCCAGGTTCAAGTGATTCTCCTGCCTCAGGCTCTTGAGTAGGTGGGACTACAGGCACCTGACTGGTTTTGGTTTTGTTTGCTTGTTTGTTTGTTTGTTTTTAACTAGAGATGGAGTTTCACCATGTTGGCCAGGCTGGTCTTGAACTCTTGGCCTCCCAAAGTGCTGGGATTACAGGCATGAGCCACTGTGCCCAGCCAAAAGTTTTTATTTTCTTCTTAATTCTTACCTGTCTTCCAAGAGAGATGAGGAATTAATGAAGACTTACTTTGTTAATGAGAATATATAAGTTAACTCATCAGGGAAAGATGGTTTTATTTTACTTTAAGTTGTAATATTTGAAATTCCACATATAAACCAGCCCACTTGCAAATAGCTTGATACATAGGTTGATTAACAGATGCAGCCTAAGGATGGAAAATTGAGTCACTAAAAACAAATTAATGGCACATACTGTTTTGCTTAGTAGATTTTTTTTTTTTTTTTTTTTTTTGAGGCGAGGTGTCACTCTGTTGCCCAGGCTGGAGTGCAGTGGCGGGATCTCGGCTCACTGCAAGCTCCGCCTCCTGGGTTCACGCCATTCTCCTGCCTCAGCCTTCTGAGTATCTGGGACTACAGGCGCCTGCCACCATGCCTGGCTAATTTTTTTGTATTTGTAGTAGAGACGGGGTTTCACCCTGTTAGCCAGGATGGTCTCGATTTCCTGACCTCATGATCCACCCGTCTCAACCTCCCAAAGTGCTGAGATTACAGGTGTGAACTACTGTGCCTGGCCTATTTTTTTCAGTATATTTTAAGTTTTTAGGTATCTTAGTATTTGTTCTCCAGGCTGATTTAACTTTTTGTCTTGTTTGTAGTATTATAGAATATAAGAAATACAGTTATGTCTTGTTTGTAGTATCATGGAATATAAGAAATAGTTATGTCAGTTATAGCCAGGTATGGTGGCTCATACCTATAATCCTAGCACTTTGGGAGGCTAAGGTGGGAGAACTGGAGAACTGCTTGAGGCCAGGAGTTCAAGACCAACCTGGACAAAAAAGCGAGACCCCCCCCGCCCCATCTCTACAAAAAAATGTTAAAAGTTAGCGGCCAGGCGTGGTGCCTCAAGCCTGTAATCCCAGCACTTTGGGAGGCTGAGGTGGGCAGATCATGAGGTCAGGAGATCGAGACCATCCTGGCTAACATGGTGAAACCTCGTCTCTACTAAAAATCCAAAAAATTAGCCGGGCGAGATGACAGGAGCCTATAGTCCCAACTATTCGGGAAGCTGAGGCAGGAGAATGGCGTGAACCCAGGAGGGGGAGCTTGCAGTGAGCCGAGATCGCGCCACTGCACTCCAGCCTGGGCGACAGAGCAAGACTCCGTCTCAAAAAAAAAAAAAAAAAAGTTAGCTGGATGTAGTGAGGTGTGTAGTTCTACCTACTGGGGAGGCTGAGGTGGGAGGTATTGCTTGAGCCCAGCAGTTTGAGGCTGTAGTGAGTCATGATTGTGCCACTGCACTCCTGTTGGACGATGGAGTGCAATCCCATCTAAATAAATAAAAATAAAGTTATGTCAATTATTTTGAATTAATCTAATTTTTTAAAATATAGGCAGTTGGCCAGACAGCAGGCTGATAAAAAAAAAGAAGAGCACAGAGAAGGTAAGTACTGTTAAAGTCATTTCAGATCTTAAAATGTGTAATTAATATTCTGTTTACAGGTTTTTTGAGGTACCTACAATAAATTTTACATGTTTAAAGTGTATAATTTGTTAGGTTTTAACGTAAGTATATGCCATGAAGCCATCACCACAATAAGATAGTGAAGGTAATTATTACCCCCAAAAACTTCCCCGGGCCGTTTTATAATTCCTCCTGGCTCTTCTAGCTTCTCTCCTCACTCTTTGACACTACTCCCCACCAGTTTCCTGAGCAAATAATTTCATTGGAACATAGCCGTGACCATTCATTTTAGAATCTGTTCTCTGTTATTATAGCTTAGTGTGTATTATCTACAGTTTTATATAAATGGAATCATACAGTATTTATTCTTTGTTTGGCTTCTTGCAACTCATCATAATTGCTTTGAGAATCCATGTGGTCACTTTTTTGTTGATGAGTAGTATTCCATTATATGGATATACCACAATTTATCTCTTCACCTTTTGATGGACTTGGGTTGTTTCTGGTTTGGGGCTATCACAAAGCTGCTTTGAACATTCATGTACAAGTCTTTGTATTACATATCTTTCCTCTTCTCCTGGGAGTAGGTGGGCTCAATCTTATGGTAGGTGTATGTTTTAACTTTATTTTTGTTTTCTGATGTTTTTAAGAAAGCTAAGTTTAAGATACTGTAATTTTGTTACATGAAAGTATAGCTTTTCAATTGTTCATTTTAGAATTGTTTTATAAATACTATTATTTCAAATGTTTCTATTTATTTTTATGTATGCATTTGTGAAGACAAAGTGATTCCAGTTACTCGGTCATTGAGGGCTAGAAACATCGTTCAAAGTACAGAACACTTACATGAAGATAATGGTGATGTTGAAGTGCGTCGAAGTTGTAGGATTAGAAGTCGTTATAGTGGTGTAAACCAGTCCATGCTGTTTGACAAACTTATAACTAAGTAAGTAAAAATTCCTTAGATCAAGATGATTTATCTGTCAGAGACTTTTTGTTGGGGAGGAATCATGGATTTCAACCAGCCCAAACATTTAATGCATTCTACTACGTAAAGCGTACAGGAGAATGATTATCAGAGGTCTTTGTGACAATTCTGTATATGTCTCTATTCTTGGAAAGAAATTTTAAAATATTTTTATACAAGTAAATCAATGCTTCTTATAAAAATATTTAAAACCTTAGTGCCAAAAGTTTGCAATGGAAGAAAAATAAAGTTTTTAAAATTCTGCTACTCTTTTACAATTTTCACTTACATTTATATCTTTTTTTTAAAGCACTGCTGAAGCTGTACTTCAAAAAATGGATGACATGAAGAAGATGCGTAGACAGCGAATGAGAGAACTTGAAGACTTGGGAGTGTTTAATGAAACAGAAGAAGTAAATATATTCTTCCATTAAGGGAATGATTTAATATCCAGTTTAATTTTTTTATAGTACCTAATCCATTTTTCATTAAATATCTACTTTTTCCAGCATTTATTTGATCAGTCATTAGTTACTGCTGGAAATGTAAGAGTTTATGGCTGTAAATATCTTAATTTTAAACAAGATTGGAGGATCCAACTTAATTTTTTTAATAAATAGATTCCAAATGTTAATGGCTTTTATTTAAACATTTTTAGAGCAATCTTAATATGTACACAAGAGGAAAACAGAAAGATATTCAAAGAACTGATGAAGAAACAACTGATAATCAAGAAGGCAGTGTGGGTTAGTCTCTTCTCTTGTTCTGTCTTCTGGGATTGAATTTAAGAACTTTTTATTTAGTAGAAAATAGCCTTTTTAGCTAGAAGGTGTGACATTTATGGTAGTTTGTGAGAGATCAGAGGATTGGTAACTTAAAAGTGGGGAAAGGGGAGAGCTTAAGAGGATAGTATGTTTTGTTTGGGAAAGTAACTGAAATCAACAATCTAAAGCCAATAATATTGGTCTGCTTATGTAATACATCCACTATGGACAACACACTGTATATCTCTTTTTTAGTTTAAAGGTGATTAAAGTTATGTTTTGCTATTCCATTTAGGACTTAATTACCATAATCTATTAGAACTTATCTTAAGTGAAAATCAGTTTTCTGAAATGCATTTTAAATGTTTGGTGAGCATGTTTTACCATAATCATAAGTAGATTGAGTTATGCAGCGTGTAACTCCATGACAGCCAGATGGGCTGGGTGAAATGTCAAACTTAAGTTTAGAAAGCAAAAGCTTAATGAGGAAATTTGAAAACTTGTCAAAAAGTTATGTTAACTTGGAAGCTTAAGTTTAGTCACCTACATTAATGAAATTCATGGAAAGACTATAAATTTTAGTTTGGTGCTTGCTTAACAGTAGCCTTCAAACTTCTTTCTCTACTTCCTTTTTTCCTTCCTTGTGTTTTTCTGCAGTTTTTTAATGTTGGAAAAGAATTACAAATACTTCCCATGAACAATCTAGGAGTAGATAAGTTTGGTTTTTTTTTGTTGTTTTTTTTTTTTTAGGAGTAGATAAGTTTTAAAAGGGTGGATCTTTCTCTCCCAACTCACCTATGTTAAAAATTGTTAACATTTTGCTGAGTATCTTTCTGGAAGTAAGGATCTCTTAATTGTAGAGTCATCTGAAGAGGGTGAAGACCAAGAACATGAAGATGATGGTGAAGATGAAGATGATGAAGATGATGATGATGATGACGATGATGATGATGATGATGATGATGAAGATGATGAAGATGAAGAAGATGGAGAAGAAGAGAATCAGAAGCGATATTATCTTAGACAGAGAAAAGCTACTGTTTACTATCAGGCTCCATTGGAAAGTAAGTGCTATACATACTCTTTCCAGGAGATGTAATTATATTAGCTTTATATTTCCTGTTTCTTCTCTGTTATTCTTGTCTTTTTGGTATTTTTCATATTTTCATTTTGTTGAATACTCATTACTGTTGTCTTTACCTATCCTAAGTTTGTAACAAATAATTTCTCTGAAGAAAGTTAAATGTTTGCCTTGACCAAAGCAAATAACTGGGCTATTTTTGAATTTTATATCTGTCTTTACTTTAGACTGCACAGCTTTCTACTTAATTTATTTTGTCAGTTTGTATAGAGATAGGACTTCTTTTGATTTATGTTAATATTATACCACAGTACTTGTGAGCATTAATATACAAGGCTGATAATCAACCTGTTACACATCTCTACAGTCACAATGGTTGTTTATGGCCTGTGTGTGTTTTGGTTGGTTGGTATCTGTGCTATACATGTTATCAGCTGCAACCCTCTGGACATAAATGACTTAAAATATGAACAGCAAAATATTCCATAGTAGATATTTACTAGTACTTCATGGAAGGCGATAAGCACCTTTGTAAGTATTTAGATGAAGAGCAAAATTATCTTCATACATATTTGTATGCCATATATATATATATATACAAATATATATATATATTTCTTTTTTTTAGAACCTCGTCACCAGAGAAAGCCCAACATATTTTATAGTGGCCCAGCTTCTCCTGCAAGACCAAGATACCGATTATCTTCCGCAGGACCAAGAAGTCCTTACTGTAAACGAATGAACAGGTTTGGTTCTGATATAGTGATTGATTTATGACAACATAATTGTTTTTATGTTAGGGCTGGACTCTAGACTTTCAGGATTGGGTGTATTAGGATAAAATTCTAGAATTGTGTATTTGGGAGAGCTTAGTTTCTATACCTTTAGTAGTCTAATCCCCAGTACCACTGACTAGTTTTTGCTTTTGCTTCCACTAATAGGAGGTGTTAGTAACTACCGTAGTAAGGTAGTTTATTCCATTTTTCCACACTTTAATAATAGAGCAACCTTAGACTCAGGGTTTACTGTAGTCCTGGCTCTGTGTTAAGCATTTTACGTAGATTGTTTCATTTAATCTTCACATTAAGTTAGAATATAGGTTTAGTCTTTTCTTTGCATACTATCACAGATGCATTTTCCTACCATGTCAGATGTTCTAAGCTACATGGCCTCTAGACCTTTCATGACTCTGGTTATCTTTTTCTGGATCTATTTTATAATTTATTCCTCTTCTGTTGTAGGAAACATTTATTTTCTTTGACTATTCAATATTTGTGGATTTCTTTTCCTTCTACATCCCAACAGTTGTTCATTGGTCAAATTTAAGTCCAAAGAGATAATTCTTCTATTTTTATTTTATTTATTTATTTTGGGGAGGGTGGGGGCGGAGCAGAGTCTTGCTGTGTTCCCCAGGCCGGAGTGCAGTGGCACGATCTTGGCTTACTGCAACCTCTGCCTCCTGGGTTCAAGCGATTCTCCTGCTTCAGCCTCCCAAGTAGCTGGGACTACAGGTACCTGCCACTACACCCAGCTGATTTTTGTATTTTTAGTAGAGACGGGTTTTCACCATGTTGGCCAGGCTGGTCTCAAACTCTTGACCTCAAGTGATCCACTCGCCTCAGCTTCCCAAAGTGCTGGGATTACAGGTGTGTGCCACCACACCCGGTCAAAGAGATAATTCTTGATACTTCCTCATCAATGCATTGGAATAATCATTTTGGTAGTTCATGAATGAGAGAGAAGACTAAGAAACCAGGAAAAAAATTTTATTTGTATGGGGAATGGTAATTTTTTTCCCTTAATATTAGAATTTTCTCAGAAGTAAGACCGAAGCCTTAGGATATTTCAGTTATTTGAACAGTTCTTGGAAGTTTTCTCCTAGAGACAGACCATCTGATCATGTTTTGGTCATGGAAGCAGCACCTTTGTAAGTGCTGAAGGTTAATTTCTTTCAGGAAAAATAAAAAATACTATTTGTGTCCCTAGGTCTTTTCATTTCATTGTAGGAATCACAAGTGTACATCTAGATTTCTTATTTCATCATCCTATTTCACATGACCAGGGTCCAGAAGGATGGAGGATCGGGAAGACAAACTCAGTCTCTCAGGGCTTTTCAAGATTAATTGCACTTGAAAGGAGGCTGCACATCAGTATTCTCACAGGCCCCTTAGAATGTAAAGACCTCTATTTTGGTGGTGAAATGTAATGATCTTCAGAAAAGGAGAGGAAGGTATAGTGTTCCCTAGAATCCCCACCACCACCAGGCACAGGACCAAGGCACTGTTATGGTTACCTAACTCAAGGGGTGGATCTCTGTTTGATCCAGCAGTACTAAGAGGGTGGCAGCTACTTTGGGATCTTATTTCTTCTCCCGTTTTGTTTTGTTTAAGAGGAAATCTCACTCTCTCGCCCAGGCTGGAGTGCAGTGGCGCGATCTCGGCTCACTGCAACCTCCGCTTCCTGGGTTCAAGCGATTCTTCTGCCTCAGCCCCCCGAGTAGCTGGGATCACAGGCGTCTGCCACCATGCCCCGCTAATTTTTTTGTATTTTTAGTAGAGACGGGGTTTTCACCATATAGGCCAGGCTGGTCTCAAATTCCTGACCTCAGGTGATCCACCCACCTTGGCCTCCCAAGTGGTGGGATTGCAGGCATGAGCCACTGCACCCGGCCGAGTTATTGGTTAGATTCAAAGTGCTGGTCCAGTGTTTGTGGGTGTCAGATTTTTAATTGGCTTTCAGTAAAATGGAGATTGGGGGATGAGCACATGTAGACAGATATGTGTGTTTAAATGTTTTTTATTTATTTTATTTTATTTTTGGTTTTTGTTTTTCAAATTTAGGAAACATTTTCCTATGAAAATGGATTATACTGACTTGCCTCAGCCCCTCTTTTCCTCTTTTTTTTTTAAATTTTTTATTTCCGTAGGTTTTTGGGGAGCAGGTGGTATTTGGTTACATGAGTAAGTTCTTCAGTAGTGATTTGTGAGATTTTGGTGAACCCATCACCCAAGCAGTATACATTGAACACAACTTGTTGTCTTTTATCCCTCACTCCCTTCCCACTCTTTCCCCCTGAGTTCCCACAGTTCATTGTGTCATTCTTATGCCTTTGCATCTTCATAGCTTAGCTCCCACTTATTAGTGAGAACACATGGAACATACGATGTTTGGTTTTTCATTCCTGAGTTACTTCACTTAGAGTAAGTCTCCAATCTCATCCAAGTAGTTGCAAATGCCATTAATTCATTCCTTTTGATGGCTGAGTAGTAGTCCACTCAATTGATGGACATTTGGGTTGGTTCCACATTTTTGCAATTGCGAATTGTGCTGCTATAAACATACGTGTGGAAGTATCTGTTTCATATAATAAGTTATTTTCCTCTGGGTAGATACCCAGTAGTGGGATTGCTGGATCAAATGGTAGTTCTACTTTTAACTCTTTAGGGAATCTCCACACTGTTTTGTATAGTGGTTGTACTAGTTTACTTTTCCACCAGCAGTGTAGAAGTGGTCACTATATACACACCAACATCTATTATTTTTTGATTTTTTGATTATAGCCATTTTTGCGGGGGTAAGGTGGTATCACATTGTGGTTTTGATTTGCATTTCCCTGATCATTAGTGATGTTGAGCATTTTTTCATATGTTTGTTGGCTATTTGTATATCTTCTTTTAAGAATTGTCTGTTCATGTCCATAGCCCACTTTTTGATGGGATTGTTTTTTTCTTGCTAATTTGTTTGAGTTCGTTGTAGATGCTAGATATTAGTCTTTTGCCAGATGTATAGATTGTGAAGATTTTCTCCCATACTGTGGGTTGCCTTTTTACTCTGCTGATTCTTCCTTTTGCTGTTCAAAAGCTCTTTGGTTTAATTAAGTCCCACCTGTTTATCTTTGCTTTTATTGTTTTTGCTTTTGGGTTCTTGGTCATGAAACCCTTGCCTAAGCCAATGTCTAGAAGGGTTTTCCTGATGTTATCTTCTAGAATTTTTATATAGTTTCAGGTCTTAGATTTAAGTCCTCGATCCATCTTGAGTTGATTTTTGTATCAGGTGAGAGATGAGGAACCAGTTTCATTCTCCTACATGTGGCTACCCAATTATCCCAGCACCATCTGATGAATAGGGTGTCCTTTCCCCACTTTATGTTTCTGTTTGCTTTGTTGAAGATCAGTTATTTGATTTTATTTCTGAGTTCTCTATTCTGTTCCATTTGTCTGTGTGCCTGTTTTTATACTAGTACTGTGCTGTTTTGGTGACTATGGCCTTATAGCGTAGTTTGAAATCAGGTAACGTAATGCTTCCAGATTTGTTCTTTTTGCTTAGACTTGCTTTGGCTATGCAGGCTTTTTTGGTTCCATATGAATTTTAGGATTGTTTTTTCTAGTTCTGTGAAGAATGATAGCTGGTATTTTGATGGGAATTATGTTGAATTTGTAGATTGCTTTTGGCAATATGGTCGTTTCCACAATTTTCATTCTACCCATCCATGAGCATGGGATGTGCTTCCATTTATTTGTGTCATCTGTTATTTCTTTCAGCAGTGTTTTGTAGTTTTCCTTGTAGAGGTCTTTTGCCTCTTTGGTTAGGTATATTCCTAAGTATTTTATTTTATTTTGCAGCTATTGTAAAAGGGGTTGAGTTCTTGATTTCATTCTTAGCTTGGCCACTGTTGGTATATAGTAGACCTACTGCTGATTTGTGTACATTGATTTTGTATCCTGAAACTTTGCTGGATTTTTTTGTCAGTTCTAGGAGTTTTTTGCAGTAGTCTTTGGGGTTTTCTAGGTGCACAATCATATAATCAGCAGACAGACAGTTTGACTTCCTTTTTACTGATTTGGATACCCTTTTATTTTTTTCTCTTGTCTGATTGCTGTGGCTAGGACTTCCAGTACTATGTTGAATAGAAGTGGTGAGAGTGGGCATCCTTGTCTAGTTCCAGTTCTCAGAGGGAATGCTTTTAACCTTTCCCCATTCAGTATTACGTTGGCTGTGGATTTGTCATAGATGGCTTTTATTACATTGAAGTGTGTTCTTTGTATGCTGACTTTGCTGAGAGCTTTAATCATAAAGGGATGCTGGATTTTGTTGAATGCCTTTTCTGCATCTGTTGAGATGATCATGTGATTTTTGTTTTTAATTCTGTTTATGTGGTGTATCACATTTATTGACTTGAGTATGTTAAACCATCCCTGCATCCCTGGTATGAAACCTCCTTGATCATAGTAGATTATCTTTTTTGATACGTTGTTGGATTCGATTAGCTAGTATTTTGTTAAGGATTTTAGCATCTATGTTCGCAGGGATGTTGGTCTATAGTTTTCTTTTTTGGTTATGTCCTTTCCTAGTTTTGGTATTAGGGTGATACTGACTTCATAGAATGATTTGGGGAGGATTCCCTCTTTCTCTACCTTGTGGAATAGTGTTTACAATGTTTTTAAACTGAAGTAATGACCTTTCTACAGTATAGAGTAATTGCTAAGAACCTGGGCCCATGACTAGGACTGTCTAGGCTTGGAGCTCAGCTCTACTAGTTATTAGCGGCCTTTGGCAAGTTACTTAACTCTGTTTCAGTTTTTTTTTTATCTGTAAAGTGAGGATAGTAGGACCTATCTCATAGTATTGTGAGAATTAGATGAGTTAATACATGTAAAGCATTTAAAATAGTGTCTGCCATACATTAAGTGCGGTATGTATTTGCTATTATAACTGTACTTCGATGTTTAAAAATAATCTCCATTTTGCAAATCAAATGTCAGAAATTTCATGTTGGTCCACAGGTTGTGTTATTGTTTGCTTTTAACTTTATTGGTTTATGAAATTAAAAAACTGGAAATCATCAGTATAGTAATGTATAGAATGCAGATTTTTTGAATAAACATATAGGTTTGAATTCTGACACTATCAATGACAGATTCTGATATTTTGAGTAAATTATTTAACCTGGAAGCCACACTGGCCCTAACTGTAAATTGAGCCTACTAATAATCCACTTTTCCAAAATTTTAATTAAGATTAAATACTATATCAAGTACATGGTACAGAAAGCAGTCAGTTAATGTTAGTCTTTTTTATTAATTGGGAGGTTAGTCTGAATTCTGTGACTACATAGTGAGTTCACATAAAATTATGTGAATACATTAAAGTCTAATATTCATGGTAATAATGAATAAGTTAGTTTTTCATATAAAGTTGCAGACTTGTACTGGATATAATAATTTTAGTTTCAGGCTGATCACAAAGATGGTCTTGGTGTATTTGGGTAGGTGGATGGGTGAAAGATTATTTTCTCATTTATTTCTGTGTTTCCACAACCCCTTATCCAAAACCCTTGGAAAACCATTTGTGTTTCAGAATTCAGACTTTTTGGCTGGATTTACAGATAACACACAACATATGTAGTGTGGCAACATTAACATCTCTAGGGTCTCCAAGCCAGCACTGTGTGGTCAAATACATTAATTAATAATTCTGTAGTAAAACATATGAATAATCATAGTAAGTGGGACAAAATAGAAACTAAAAATTGCCTTGTACTATGTCAGGTTATGATTTGCTGCAAGTGAATAATGGAATAACTTCCGAGTTTTTTTGATACACGTTTCTGGAACTACATTATGCAGATAATAGATTGTGAACCTTTTGTATTTTTGGAAATACTTACTTACCATCATTGCACTCTGACTCAGAAAAGTTCTAGACCCTGAGCAAGTAGAATAATTAAAGTTCTTCCCAACCAGACTCTTTGTTTTTTCTGTGAGTCTTTTGCAACCATTCAAAGGTAGAAGTGATTAAAAATTTTCTTGTATATTTGTAATATCTGGCATCTTATTTAATAGTACCAACCAGCCTAAGTATTTGATAGTATTTTTTTCTTTTTTGTGAGCAAGAAAACTTATGGGTTGAGTAACTCATCCACATTTACACAGCTGTTAAGTGACAGTTGTGAATTTACAGTGGATGGTATACTGTTGATAAAAGGCCATCTTATTCATCACTGTTTCCCAGCATTTAAAAAGTCTTTCTTGATGCCCTTTTGTTTACATAAAATCTCATGTCCTTCTTTTAAAATTGTTTGATATTTTTGGCCGGGCGTGATGACTCACACCTTAATCCCAGCACTTTGGGAGGCTGAGGCGGGCGGATCACAAGGTCAGGAGTTCAAGACCAGCCTGGCCAACATGGTGAAACCCCATCTCTATCGAAAAAAAAAAAAAGTTAACTGGGCACAATGGCTCATACCTGTAATCCCAGCTGCTCGGGAGGCTGAGGCAGGAGAATTGCTCAACTGGAACCCAGGAGGCAGAGGTTGCAGTGAGCTGAGATCATCCCACTGCACTCCAACCTGGGCTATAGAGCGAGACGAAGTCTCAAAAAAAAAAAAAAGTTATTTGATTTTTTAAAGTAGGTGATTTCCTCCCAAATGTGAATATTATGTATAGTGTAATATTGAAAATAGTTTCAAATTACAGTCCCAAATACTTTTTTTTTTTTTTTTTTAGATAGAGGCAGGGGCTTACTTTGTCACCCAGCAGGCTGCAGTGCAGTGGTGCAATCATGGCTCACTACAGCCTCGTCCTCCCAGGCTCAAGCAAATCTCTCACCTCAGCCTCCTGAGTATCTGGGACAACAGATGTGCTACAACCATACCTGTCTAAGCTTTTTGATTTTTAGTAGAGACCAAATCTTGCCAAGTTGCTCGAATGATTTTTAGTGGAGACAATGTCCCGCTACGTTGTGCTTGAACACCTGTCAAGTGATCCTTCCCCCTCGGTCTCCTAAAGTGTTGGGATTACAGGTGTGAGCCACCACACCCAGCCCCAAATATTCTAATACCCTCTTAATCCCACCTTTCTCTTTGAGAATAACTGATTTATATCAAGACTAAGAAGTCACCCTGCCTTCTCCTGTCTCCATGAACATTTGATATTCAGCTCTGCCACAGTCTTTAGTCTTTTTTCCTTTCCTCTCAGTTGTTTAAGTCTTTTATTCCATTTGAAAGATTCAGCGAACAAAGTTTATGTCAGTGGGTCAGCAGATGTATTAATTTTATGATAAACTTTTTGGAGCATTAGGTATTTCTGATGCTTTTCTTATGCCTTTTCTTTTTCCTGCCCTTCCTTATCATGATTTCAATTTTGTTTTTTACTTTAGGCGAAGGCATGCAATCCACAGTAGTGACTCGACTTCATCTTCCTCCTCTGAAGATGAACAGCACTTTGAGAGGCGGAGGAAAAGGAGTCGTAATAGGGCTATCAATAGGTAAGTGCCATATTGATGCCTTTTTAAACTAGCAGACACATTTTGTAAAAATTGCTAAGAAAACAGAATAATTTGGGTATAAGTATAGGCTGGCTGATTAAAAAGTTGCACAACAGGTTAATGTATAAACTAGAATGCTGTCTTGTTAGAATTATCTACAGTTGAATCAGAATAACAGGTTAGAACATATGACTGATTTCTTGACTTTTTTTTTTTTTTTTTGAGACAGGGCCTGGTTCTGTTGCCCAGGCTGGAGTACAGTGGCGTGATCTTGGCTCACTGCAACCACCACCTCCCGGGTTCACACGACTCTCCTGCCTCAGCCTCCTGAGTAGCTGGGGTTACAGGTGTGCATCACCACACCTGGCTCATTTTTGTAGTTTTAATAGAGATGAGGTTTCGCCATGTTGGCCAGGCTGGTCTTGAACTACTGGCCTCAAGTTATCCACCCGCCTCAGCCTCCCAAAGCTATGGAATTACAGCTGTGAGCCACCATGCCTGGCCCGCTTGCCAAATCATTATATATGGCCCACAGTGGTTCTGGTCAAACAGTGACTTAAGGAAATAACCTTTTCTTTTCATGTATTTTTTTTTTTTTTTTGCTTATAATAATGATAAGTTCTGAGGAACTCTTAAGGAAAACGGAAGGCTTTACTCATTTTATAACTCCTTGTAGTGTAAGTCCATGTATACTAACCAGCTTATTTGATTTTCCCAATAAATATTTAAGGGAGATAGAGCAAGGATTATTTACATTTTACAGATCTGGTTGAGTAAGTGAAAATGCAGTGCTTAGGTGCTTGGATTCTTTTTTTTTTCTTTTAATAGAGACAGGTTCTCACTATGTCACTGAGACTAGAGTAGAAGCTAGGCTGGTCTCGAACTCCTGACCTCAAGTGACTCAGCTGGGATTACCGGCATGAGCCACCACACCTGGCCATAACTATTTCTGAATATTTTTGAAAGTAGTTAGGGAACTTCCAGCCTGTCCAGCATGGTGAAACCCCGTCTCGACTAAAAGTACAAAAATTAGCCAGATGTTGGTGGTGCACACCAGTAATCCCAGCTACTCAGGAGGCTGAGGCAGGAGAATAGCTTGAACCCAGGAGGCGAAGATTGCAGCGAGCCGAGATCACACCACTGCACTCCAGCCTGGGCGACAGGGTGAGACTCAGAAAAAACCCAAAAGACAAAACAAAACAACAAAAAAGGAAGTAGTTAGGGAACTTGCTTGAGAGGATTGATCTTGGATCCAAATGCTGGTAGACTGCGAATATTTTTTCTGGGAGATATCATAGCAGAATTGTTATAGCTCTGGAGACAGACCACTTGTGTTTGATTCCTGGCCCTGCCATTTACTAGTTGGGTGATCTTGGACAAATCAGTTAATCTTTCTATGTCTTGGTTTTGTTTTAAAATGGGGAAAATAATAATACCTTCCTCATAAGACTGTTGTGAGGATTTATCAACTTAATCCACGTAAAGCACCTAAAACTAAAACAGTGTCTGGCAAATGGTAAATACCCTGTCTGTGTTAGACACCTCCATTAAAATGTAGGTTAGTACTGTCTGATTTCACCACCGTGAATCACTTTATGGTGCCTGTGGCATCTTGGTATTTTTATTTGATTATATGTCTTTAATTTCATAATAAAGCTTCAGATATAAATATTTCTAACACTTAAGTTCTGGACCTATTACAGAAAATGAGGAAATTAAAATACATATCTTAAGATTGCTCCGGTTGAAATTTAGATTTTTTTTTTAACTTAAATGTTTATATTCAAACATGGAATTTGGGAAGGAGGGTGAGTTGATGGGTTTGTGTGGTTTTAAAAAATCTTTTTAAATAGGTGCCTCCCACTAAATTTTCGGAAAGATGAATTAAAAGGCATTTATAAAGATCGAATGAAAATTGGAGCAAGCCTTGCCGATGTTGATCCAATGCAACTAGATTCTTCAGTGAGTACTCTGTTTTGAAACATATGCTTGAACTATAATGTGCTTTGTTTTAGTTTTAAAGTTAAAAAAAGGAACCAATGATTTTTCTTTTTAGTCAAAACTCTAACCTTTACAGACGTTTTCTGTTAATCTTCAGGTCACAATTAAGATATTATTACTTCATTGACTGTGTATGGTGTGGGGTGACATTTTAATCTGGACTCCAAATCTAAAAATGTACATGTTCGCTTCCATTACCAGGTACGATTTGATAGTGTTGGTGGCCTGTCTAATCATATAGCAGCTCTAAAAGAGATGGTGGTGTTTCCATTACTTTATCCAGAAGTCTTTGAAAAATTTAAAATTCAACCCCCAAGGTAATTTAATTATATTTTTAATTTTAGCTGAAAATCTTTGCTATTCTTGCTTCTTGTAGTTCTTATACCTTGCTTATTAACCCATTTTTAAGTGATAGTTCCCTTTTCCCTTTTCATTATACAACTTTTCTCTCTGAATCACCTTTATAGAAGCAGTAATTTAAATAAACTTTTAAAAATTAGTAAGCTTTCCCCCCATCATAAAAGTAATATACTGGGCCAGGCACAGTGGCTCATGCCTGTAATCCCAGCACTTTGGGGGGCCAAGGCGGGTGGATTACCTGAGCTCAGGAGTTTGAGACCAGCCTGGGCAACGTGGTGAAACCCCGTCTCTACTAAAATACAAAAAATTAGCCAGGCCTGGCGGCGTGCGCTGAGGCACAATTGCTTGAACCCAGGAGGCGGAAGTTGCAGTGAGCTGAGATTGGGCCACCGCATTCCAGCCTGGGCGACAGAGCAAGACACCATCTCCAAAAAAAAAAAAAAAAAAAAAAAAAGTAATGTACCATATATCAATCACAGGTAAACACTGGTGGGTTTTAAATTAAATTTTGTAATTTAAAAAATTAGAAAGTGGCCAGGCACGATGGCTTATGCCTGTAATCCCAGCACTTTGAGAGGTCAAGGTAGGTGGATCACAAGGTCCGGAGTTCAAGACTAGCCTGGCCAACATAGTGAAACCCTGTCTTTACTAAAAATACCCAAAAAATTAGCCAGGCATGGTGGCGGGCACCTGTTGTCCCAGCTACTCGGGAGGCTGAGGCAGGAGAATTGCTTGAACCTGGGATGCGGAGGTTGCAGTGAGCCGAGATCGCACCACTGCAGTCCAGCCTGGGCGACACAGCAAGACTCTGTCTCAAAAAAAAAATAGAAAGTGCCAGGCATGGTGGCTCACACCTGTGATTCCAGTGACTTGGGAGACTAAGACAGGAAGATTGCTTTAGCTCAGGAATTTGAGGTTGTAGTGAGCTATGATCATGCCACTGCGCTCCAGCCTAGCTGACAGTGAGACCCCATCTTTAAAAATAAGTCAGAAAGTTATTAATATTAAATAACATTTACTTCTTACAGGAAATGTTGGAAGTGCCTAGTTAAAGTAATTTAGTAAATTAAAAACAAATTTCTTGAATTTTCTTTCACATTTCTTCTTCCTTACAATATACGTTTTCCCCCATACAAATTGAATTATATGATTGTGATATGTGATTACATATGCAAGGTAAGATAATATGATGAACATGATGAATGAATTGTTAAAATGTTTCAAATAGAGTTTTATTTACAGTTTCAATATTAATTTTACAGTATCAGTATTAACTCCCAGGTTTTAAGTTGTGCTTTGTGGTGCGAAACTGTACCATAATTCAGTTGTCTTACACATTTTAATTTTCTAATTAAATGAATCATGAAATTGGTTTCTAATTTTTGTTTTAAAAGTCTGCTTTTTAAATGTAATACTAAAATGTTAATGTATTGTTTTACAGAGGTTGTTTGTTTTATGGGCCACCTGGAACTGGAAAGACTCTGGTTGCCAGAGCACTTGCCAATGAGTGCAGTCAAGGGGATAAAAGAGTAGCATTTTTCATGAGGAAAGGTGCTGATTGTCTAAGTAAATGGGTAGGAGAATCTGAAAGACAGCTACGATTGCTGTTTGATCAGGTATGATATTAACATTTTATATATCTGGATAGTTCTGTAATCTAGGCAGATGTGTGTGAGGATTAGATAAATCTTACATTTAATCAGTGTTCTAAATAAACCCAGAAGAATTAGACTATTTCTTTCTAGATTATTTTCTTTTATATGTCGAGATGACACTGACCTACAGTGAACAGTTTTATAGTAAGAAGGGAAAGAAATAATTGGATCTTAGTTGTTTGGAGTCTTAGGTCTCATGCATATAGGAAGAGAGTGGTAATCTCATATTTAGAGAGATAGTAGTAGTGAATTATGGCTCAGTATGGGAGTTAAAGACTATTTCTGCCCTGGAGCGGCTTTCATTTTCATATCCCAGATTGTATTGACAGCACATTGTAAGATAATACTTTCTGATCTACTGAGGCATATTGCTGCAAATGCTTTTAAATCTCTTTTTGGAACTCTCCCGAGGTTCTTTTTTACTTTTATGTTTATGGAAATGGATAAAAACTGTGGCATCTTGCTAAATAATGTTTTCCCATCCTGACTTGGAGGAAGACTATGTCACTGTCTTCTATTCTTTGTCTTGTTTCCATAGTTCAATAAATATTTTTGCGTGTCCAGGAACGATAGCTATGTGAAATCTAAGGTATATAACCAGTGGAGTATATCTTTTGAATACTTCTGGTTGAAAATGCAATTGAAAATTAAACCATATATCATTATAATTTAGTTTGAATTCTTAAAACCCCGTTACTAGAACTTATGTTTAAATTTATAAATTATAAATAGTTATAAATTATAAATAAATTGAGACTGAGGCAGGAAAATCACTTGAACCCAGGAGGCAGAGGTTGCACTGAGCCAAGATCACGCCACTGCACTCCAGCCTGGGTGACAGTGAGACTCCATCTCAAAAAAAAAAAAAAATTATATATAAATTCTGGTAAGTAAGTTTGAAGAAAAACCGATTCAAATAGTATATATTCAGCTTTATAAATTCTGTTAAGCATATTTGAATGAGAATTTATTAAAATGGTTTATATTAAGTCTACGTGTTTGAGGCTGTTTATGCTAACAAATGACCACTCCACCTACTTTCTAGGCCTATCAGATGCGCCCATCAATTATTTTTTTTGACGAAATTGATGGTCTGGCTCCAGTACGGTCAAGCAGGCAAGATCAGATTCACAGGTAAAACTTGCTTGATGGCACTTCAACGTTTCTTCCTATTTCCTGAGTGGTATTGATGTGTGAGAGATAGAATGTTAAATGGTGAAAGAAACTTTATAAGCTAGTAGTTCCTTTTTTTGGTAGTAGAACCCCAGTATATAGTACAAAAATAAAAAATGTGGATGGTTGCAGTGGCTCATACCTGTATTCCTGGCACTTTGGGAGGCCAAGGCAGGCAGATCACTTGAGGTCAAGAGTTTGAGACCAGCCTGGCCAACATGGTGAAATCCTGTCTCTACTAAAAAAAAAAAAAAATTAGCCGGGTGTGGTGGTGCAAACCTAATAATCCCAGCTCCGTGGAAGGCTGAGGCAGGAGAATCAGGAGAATCACTTGAACCCGGGAGGCGGAGGTTGCAGTGAGCTGAGATTATGCCACTGCACTCCAGCCTGGGTGACAGAGCGAAACTCCCTCTCAAAAAAAAAGTAAACCTGCTCCGAGTGTCAGTGTGTTGTAAAGCATGGTTTAAAAATCTTGGTTACAGAAGATTTAACTCATGATAGAAACAAATGTCTGCGGGTCAGTGATGTTAAGCCACTAGTAAGAGGAGGGCTATGGTGGGGAATGTGGCTGAATGTCCTATCACAAGAGCATATTCAGTTGCTTTTATCTCTGACCTGTTACTGATGTGCAGAAGCTTACCCAGACTTGAAAAATCGATTTTTTCCCTCAGATTTTATGTTCAAATTGTCAAGTATCTTAAATTTTACCAGCTAATTTGGATGCTTTTAAGACATTGCCTGCGCTAAACAAAATCTAACTTAGGGCATTACTACTAGTTTAGGATTCTAATACTAGACCAATCTCCCCATTTTAAAGATGGGTAAATTGAACCCTCAACCCCCATGATTAGTTGCTTATCCAAGGGAGCACTTTTACAAGTGCTATTGTCCCAACCTGAATCTAAATTGCTTTTAGTCCCAATTCATTTCAGTTTTTTAGAACTTCTTTTTAAATGGTTTCATGAATGATGTGTAATTGATTGATTAATTTGGAATATCCTAAAGGAAATATTTGCATACTTTCATATATGCTAGTAGTATTGTTTTATATTGTAGATAATGTAGATGAATAAGATATAGTGTGTGATTGATAGGTGGGTTTTGGCTTTTCTAACATCTAACAAGATTTGCTATATTCTAATGGCCTTTTAAACTTGATGATAAACAATTTTGCTTATTGCTGTGAGTAAATTAAAATATATGTTAAGTACCATGGTAAAAGTAGTTTTGTCTCTGCATGTCCTATTAGTAATCAGATAAACTTTTTATATGTGACGCATTTCATTATCAGTCACACTATATTCATTGTGCTAACAGGAAGGAACATATTTAACAATACTTCCATCACTTCATAATCAAGTAAGTTGAGTACTTACTGTGTTTTGGGATACTTCTAAAGGTATTGGAGGAATTTTGGCAAAAAAATTACAGAGTAATTGTAGCAAAACTGTGCCATCTCAAATATATATATATATATATATATATTTTTTTTTTTTTTTTTTTTTTTTTTTTGAGACAGAGTCTTGCTCTGTTGCCCAGGCTGGAATGCAATAGCGTGATCTTGGCTCACTGCAACCCCCATCTCCCAGGTTCCAGCGATTCTTCTGCCTCAGCCTCCCAAGTAGTTGGGGCTACAGGTGTGCCCCACCATGCCCAGCTAAATTTTTGTATTTTAGTAGAGATGGGGTTTCACCATGTTGGCCAGGTCTTGAACTCCTGACCTCAGGTGATCAGCCCGCCTCAGCCTCCCAGAGTGCTGGGATTACAGATGTGAGCCACCGCACCCAGCCTGTTCTTTGTATTTTTAGCAGACACTGGGTTTCGCCATGTTGGCCAAGCTGGTCCTGAACTCCTGACTTTAGGTGATCCACCCGTCTCTGCCTCCCAAAGTGCTGGGATTACAGGCATGAGCCACCGCGCCTGGCCAAATATAGCTACATTTTTAAAAGAAATTTAGTATTCAAGTTATTTTAACCAAAAACTTAAAAATTCTGACAGAGTAAAAATGTATGTTAAATTAAGCTTTTTTAGAATTTAGCACATTGCATGTTGAAGATGATTAAACTGTATTCTGCACTTAATTTTAGTAATAATACTGTAGAATAATGCAAATAAGTAATTATGTGAATGTCATTAGGTAATAATATTTTCAACCTAAGAGAAAGAAGATACAAGTGTGAAATAAAGAAGTCAAATTACCCTAAATTGTTTTTTTTGAGACAAAGTCTTGCTCTGTCGCCCAGGCTGGAGTGCAGTAGCACAGTCTTGGCTCACTGCAACCTCTGCCTCCCGAGTTCAAGCAATTCTCCTGCCTCAGCCTCCCGAGTAGCTGGGATTACAGGCATGTACCAGCACACTTAGCTAATTTTTTGTATTTTTAGTAGAGACAGGGTTTCACCATGTTGGCCAGGCTGGTCTCGAACTCCTGATCTCAGGTGATCCACCTGCCTCAGCCTTCCAAAGTACTGGGATTACAGGCGTGAGCCACCCACTTGACCTGAAACCCTGATAGTCTTTACTTTGAATTGCAAATATCAATAGAAACTTGGGACAGAGTTTTTTGTTTTGTTTTGTTTTGTTTAAAGAAAAAAAAAATCCTAACTCTGGACACTTTAAACAGGCCTAGAAGCAATCACAATCCAGTAGCAATTAATGTCCATCCCTGAGTGTGGTCTCTAAATATTAGGACTCAGGAGAGATGGCGGATTGTAACACTGAAGCAGAAACGATCAAGACAAGCCTGGAATACTTTGTAATGCCTGAAAGCAATAAAAAAAAAAAATTACTGGAATCGTACCAGAATGACATAGGAGCCAATTTTGAGGGATCTCTCACTGGCTGAAGATGAAACAATTTGAGCATCAAAAATAGTGACTACAGTAGATAGAAATATATCAAATACCTAAAAAAAATCACTTTTTTATGTTGTTAGTTTTTTGTTGTTGTTGGTTTTGGTTTGGTTTGTTGTTGTTGTTGTTGTTGTTTTGTGACAGAGTCTCACTCTGTCACCCAGGCTGGAGTGCAGTGGTATGATCTTGGCTCACTGCAACCTCCACCTCCCAGGTTCAAGCTATTCTCGTGCCTCAGCCTCCCCAGTAGCTGGGATTACAGGCATGTGCCACCACTCCTGGCTAATTTTTGAACTTTTAGTAGAGACGGGGTTTTGCCATTTTGGCCAAGCTGGTCTTGAACTCCTGGCCTCAAGAGATCTACCTGCCTCAGCCTCCCAAAGTGCTGGGATTACAGGCGTGACCCACCACACAAGGCCTTGTTTTTGTTTTTTGAGACAGAATCTTACTCTGTTACCCAGGCTGGAGTGCAGTAGCATGATCACAACTCACTGCAGCCTTGATCTCCTGGGCTCAAGCAATCTTCCCACCTCAACTTCTCAGAACTACAGGCACACACTACCACACTCAGCTGGGTTTTGGTTGTTTGTTTGTTTGTTTTTTAGTAAAGATGAAGTCTCTGTTGCCCAGGTTGGTCTTGAACTCCTGAGCTCAAGTGATCCTCCCACCTCAGGCTCCCAAAGTGCTGGGATTACAGGCATGAGCCACCATGCCCAGCCACCATCAGTTTTTTGTTGTTGTTGTTGTTGTTGTTTTTGATTTTGTTTTTGTTGTTTTTTTTTTTAAAAGAAAACATCTTATTTGTAAAAAAAAAAAAGGTATGATTTCTTAATTTCTATTCTTGGCATAAATTTTCTTTCCAGTGCAACCAAAACTTACGGAACCCTCTTCAGCACTGTTATTCAGAACTTGGAGTTCTATTGCTGGATAAAAAATTCATTCACAAATAAGCTGTGCAATTCGATCACCTTGAAGTTTTGACTTCAAACTTTTCTTTGACAAAACACCAATGTTTCTCCTATAACCTTCATCTAAGATACCCAGCTCCTAAGTGTTGCAGCCAAGCCAAAATGTAGAGCTACTCTTCCATAATACCCAGAAGGAGCAGCTATCTGAATGTCTGATAGCTTCTTCCATAGGTGGTACTGTATAATCATATGCACTGTATAGGTCATAGCCCTCGGCCTGTGTGGACTCCCAGCTCCCAGGTTGAGTCCAGAACCAGGCAAGGTGGAGCTACATGCCCCACCCCACCCTCCTGTGCAAGCCAGACCCACTTGCCGGGGGAAATGACAGGTGTCTCTTTGGAGCAGGGCATGGCAGAGCAAGGAGGTGAGGGGAGGAGATAGCCACGAGAACCAGAAAGTGCAGAATGAGCCTCCTCCCCATCACCACCACCCCCGCCACTGCTGGCAGGGAACACACCAAGATCTTAAAAATCATCAGTTTTTAGGGCCGGGCACGGTGGCTCACACCTGTAATCCCAGCACTTTGGGAGGCCAAGGCGGGTGGATCACGAGGTCAGGAGATCGAGACCATCCTGGCTAACACGGTGAAACCCCATCTCTACTAAAAATACAAAAATATTAGCCAGGCATGGTGGCAGGTGCCTGTAGTCCCAGCTACTCGGGAGGTGGAGGCAGTAGAATGGCACGAACCCGGGAGGCGGAGCTTGCAGTCAGCTGAGATCGTGCCACTGCACTCCAGCCTGGGCGACACAGCCAGACTCCGTCTCAAAAAAAAAAAAAAAAACATCAGTTTTTAATAATGTTTTTAATTCAACTGGTCACCTAAGGTTGCTGAGTTATTATTTATTACTCTGAAAATTGATAAGAGGGAAAGAATCAAACATTTCTTCTTCCTGTCCTATACAGGCCATGATTGAGGGTAATTCAGCAGTTGATGAAGTAGTGTAGTTCTTTGTATAGGAAAATCACAGCTAATAAATGCAAAAGAAATGATTGAATCAGAAAGTCACCATTTTGCAGCCTCTTATGAAATAGTGGATCTAGACCTGTCGTTTTTTAACCAGGGATGATGCCATCCCCCTCCCCGAAGGGACAGATATCTAGAGACAGTTATGGTTGTCACAACTGGTGGGGGCAGCTACTTAGCATTTGGTAGATGAAGGCTGTTAAACATCTTACACGTACAGGACAGCTCTCCACAACAAATAATTATCTGGCCCAAAATGTCAGTAGTGCTAATTTGGGAAACCTTTATCTAAACAATAATTATCAATGGCCACTCAAGCAGTAAGATAAAAAAGAAGTTTGATGGGGATATTTATGATGGGTGGAACAAGCTGTTAACACCTGACCGAAACTCAACCCACTGATTGACCTTAAATGGGAAACTGATATTAGGTGCCTCCTGTGGGGATATAATAGGAATTACGTGGTATCTTCCTGTGAAATATGCCATCCCAAATGGTTTAGCCAGCATCCATGAAGCTTCTAGATCTAGGCCGGGTGCAGTGGCTCACGTCTGTAATCCCAGCACTTTGGGAGTCCTAGGCAGGCAGGGCAGATCACAAGGTCAGAAGATGGAGACCATCCTGGCTAACACGGTGAAATCTCGTCTCTACTAAAAAAAAAAATACAAAAAAATTAGCCAGGCATGGTAGCGGGCGCCTGTAGTCCCAGCTACTCAGGAGGCTGAGGCAGGAGAATGGCGTAAACCCAGGAGGTGGAGCTTGCAGTGAGCTGAGACCACGCCACTGCACTCCAGCCTGGGAGACAGAGCGAGACTCTGTCTCAAAAAAAAAGAAAAAAAAAGCTTCTAGATCTAGCTACCAGTTTCCAGGAAATGTGAAAGATAGAGGGGGACAACTTAAATGACCCTATCAGGAAGCAGTCAGCCCAGTCCAGAACGTGGGAAGGAAATTCTACAAGCCAAACGACCCAGTTTCTTCAACAAATAAATGTCATGGAGGGAAAAAAAATGTAAGAGGCACAGTGGGAACTGTCAAGGAATTCAGTGACAAATAATCAAGTGTAGTGTGTGGGTCCTGGATTAACTAAATCAAATGTAAACAGGTATTTTGAGACAATCAGGAAAAATTGGGTATTAGATATTATTAAAGAATTAGTCATTTACTTAGGATGATGATATTGTTGGGTTTGTTGTAAGTCCTTGTCTCTTAGAAATCCATACATGAAGTACTTACATGAAATATTTATGAATTGAACTGTGTGTCCGAGGTTTTATTTTTCTTTTTAAAAGTGATCAGGTGAAGACATTAAAAAAGTCATACTGATAATTGTTGAAGCTGAGTGATGGAAATTTGGAGATCATTTTACTATTCTGTCTTTATAATAAAAAGTTTAAAATGTAATGAAAATTCTGTTATGCTTTATGTATATTCTATTTTGGTGTCCTTTGATAATGTATATACAGTGGAAATTTTATTATTTTTAGATACTGTGTGTCCTACCTGGTGCTACCAGCACTTTTTTTCTTTTTCTTTTCTTTTTTATTTTTTTGAGACAAGGTCTTGCTCTGTCACCCAGGCTGGAATGCAGTGGTGCAATCTTGGCTCACTACGTACAACCTCAGCTTCCCAAGTAGTAGGACTACAGGCACAGGTCATGTCACCATGCTGGCTAATTTTTTTTTTTTTTTTTAATAGAGATGGGGTTTCCCTATGTTGCCCAGGCTGGTCTCAAACTCCTGGCCTCGAGTACTCTTCCCACCTCAGCCCCCAAGTTCTGGGGTTACAGGCGTGAGCCACCATGCCTTGCCTTTTTTTTCTTTTTGATGTTATATATTGTTTGAGAACTCTTAAGTTCCTTTGTGAAATTATGCTTTATAAAATGTCTTCTAGGATTCATTTGTGGGGGGTCTAACAACCGTCTGTTTTCCATTGATTTCAATTTCTGTGGGCCATTTGGGATGTTATTTTATAGATTTTTTTAATCCATTGGAAATAGTGAGGTGCCCTGAGAAAATTTATTCACATGTAATGCGTTAAATCTTACAAAAGAAGAAATATTACTGAATGATATAGACTGTGTTCATAGTATTAATCTCTTCTCTCTTATTTTTAAAATTTAGTTCTATTGTTTCCACCCTGCTAGCTCTTATGGATGGATTGGACAGCAGAGGGGAAATTGTGGTCATTGGTGCTACGAACAGGCTAGATTCTATAGATCCTGCTTTACGAAGGCCTGGTCGCTTTGATAGAGAATTCCTCTTTAGCCTGCCTGATAAAGAGGTAAGAATTTAATGTCACTCAAATTTTGACAAAATATATTGCTGTTTATTAATAATAAGTCTTGGTATAGTAAAAATTTGGAGATTCTTGAGTTTTGTATCATGGTCTTGTCAAATGATAGTAAACAACTCAAATGGGGACAAATTTTTATTCTTTTCTTTAAATATAATAATGCCTTCCCAAAATTACTCTTAAAATTATTTCAATTTGAGTGTAGCCTTTGGATGTTCTAAGTGTTGCTTCAGAACATATGGCTTAATGAGTAATCAATCCTTAGCCAGTTTGTTAGCCTTGTCTTTTTCATGAATATCATCATATAATCCTACCGAGTTTTTTTAAGTCTACTTAATCTTCTGGGAACCAAAGAGGAAAATATGTCAAGAGCTGTCTGTACTCTTAAAAACAGCTCTTAATATGCACCAGAATGAATAGCTACTTTAGTAGTTACTTTTCTCTTATTTGTGTTTATGACGAATATAACTTTAGTGCTATAAATGCAAATATGTTTAATAATGAGACTTAAGTTCATTAAACTCTTAAAAGTACATCCTTTTTCTTATTTTCACTTTCATATTTTGCTTATATTGAGTTTTTTTGGTTGGTTGTTTATGATAAAGTCTTGCTCTGTCACCCAGGCTGGGGTGCAGTGGCACAATCTCAGCTCACTGCAACTTCCGTCCCCGGGATTCAAGCAATTCTCGTGCCTCAGACTCCCAAGTAGCTGGGATTACAGGCACATGCTACCACGCCCAGCTAATCTTTGTATTTTTAGTAGAGAGTGGTTTTCACCATGTTGGCCAGGCTGGTCTTGAACTTCCAACCTCAAGTGATCCACCTGCCTCGGCCTCCCAAAGTGCTGGGATTACAGGTGTGAGCCACCGCACCCGGCCAGTATTAAGTACTGATCACTTTAAAATTTTAGATAATCAAAAGTATTTTAATCAAAATTAATGTAATCTGAATAGCATTTATTATTATAGTTGTAAAAAATTAAATTGTTTTTATTCATAGGCTCGAAAAGAGATTCTAAAGATTCACACCAGGGATTGGAATCCCAAACCACTGGACACATTTTTAGAAGAGCTAGCAGAAAACTGTGTTGGTAAACATTGTTTTAAGCAGTTAAAATAAATACTACATTTATTTCAAATATGAAACAAGTTATATTAGGTTGGTGCAAAAGTAATTGTGGTTTTTGCCTGTAAAAGTAATGGCAAAAACCACAGTTTCTTTTGCACCAGACTAATAAAGAAATACAAGGTTATATTTGTTTCTTATCTCTTATTTGTGGCATTTTCTTCTCATGAAGTCTTGGTATTAAATAGAGATATTTGACAAATTGGCCATCAGGGGCAGAGTAGATAATAATATAATTGTACAAAATACAATATATTATTATATCATAATAAGATAATAGCTATTCTTTACTGACCATTTTGTAGTCATCCTTTTAAGCATTTTACATATATTATTTCATGTAATTTTCACATCATTCCTGTGATGTAGGTAGCAGTATCTCTACAGATGAAGAAATGGCTGGAGAGCATTATGTGAATCTTCTAAGGTCATACAGCTAGTAAATTACAAACTGGAATGTGAATCTAGTCTGTGTGATTTTAAAACTCTTGCTTTTGACCTCTGTGCTATACTTAGTGCTTGTGTATTGCACTCTTAAAAGTTGATTGATTGTTGATGGCCATTACTACCCTATAAGTTTACTGGGTAAAAGAGATTTTGGTCTTATTACTCTTAAATATTTGCTAACTATATTCCGAGGCTGATTTTTAATTTTTTTTTTAACCATGGTCATGCTAATAGAGTTTTGTGTTTCTTTGTTTGGTCGGCTGGTTCTTTTCTTCCCCTGGTTGCTTTGGATAGGATACTGTGGAGCAGATATTAAATCAATATGTGCTGAAGCTGCTTTATGTGCTTTACGACGACGCTACCCACAGATCTATACCACTAGTGAGAAACTGCAGTTGGATCTCTCTTCAATTAATATCTCAGCTAAGGATTTCGAGGTAGCTATGCAAAAGATGATACCAGCCTCCCAAAGAGCTGTGACATCACCTGGGCAGGCACTGTCCACCGTTGTGAAACCACTCCTGCAAAACACTGTTGACAAGATTTTAGAAGCCCTGCAGAGAGTATTTCCACATGCAGAATTCAGAACAAATAAAACATTAGACTCAGGTATAAAACTTGATTGACCATTTAAAGTTAGTTTTTATAATCAGTAAAGTGAAATGTTTCATACATACCAGAAATATTTATTTGTAAAAGAATCTCTTGAAAAGAATTTGGTAATGCTTTACCTGGGATATTTGAAGGAAATTTACTCCATGGATTGCCCTTAATTTAACTTATTGTAAGTTTGGGGTGCATTTTTACATTTACTTATTAATTCATATCTACACAAATATTTTTGATTCTTTGAAAAAATTTAATTGAAGTATGCTGACTTGGTAACTGAAGCAATAAAGATTTGCTTTGCAATCCAAAAGTTACTAATGTACAATTTTTTGGTTTTATAGATATTTCTTGTCCTCTGCTAGAAAGTGACTTGGCTTACAGTGATGATGATGTTCCATCAGTTTATGAAAATGGACTTTCTCAGAAATCTTCTCATAAGGCAAAAGACAATTTTAATTTTCTTCATTTGAATAGGTATATTTTTCTTGCAAATCAATGTTTTTTGCATGTGTAAATTTTCTAAAAATAAATGAGATGTGGTTGAAAAAATAAAAAGTGCTAACCAATCTGCTTTTTATTTAAATTAAACTACCAGAAATTTTTTGTTGTTACAGTTGTCACAACAGTAGAAATTACAGTCTATAAAAATATTCCTAAAAACCTTTGGGGGTCAGTTTCCAGAAACTATGTGAACCATGTTATGATTGGTTGGCCTTATTGGCAAGACTTTTTACTTATGAAAGTTTATAGTTGACAATTTAGGGGGAAAATTTAAACTGTTTTTTCTAAAACATAGCTTATTAATCATTTCTCTTTCAGAAATGCTTGTTACCAACCTATGTCTTTTCGACCAAGAATATTGATAGTAGGAGAACCAGGATTTGGGCAAGGTTCTCACTTGGCACCAGCTGTCATTCATGCTTTGGAAAAGTTTACTGTATATACATTAGACATTCCTGTTCTTTTTGGAGTTAGTACTACATCCCCTGAAGAAACATGTGCCCAGGTAATTTGTTGGTGCCCAAGTATAAGACAAAACAGGCTTTCAGAGGCAAAAGCTAAAATTGCCCCATTTTTTTGTATTGTGTTTTTTTGTCTTTCTGATTTGTAACTTTAGGTTTACAAAACAGAGTTATGCATGATTGCTTAGTCATTAAAGAGAATGACTTTAAATCCCACATTCACCCTTAATATCTTTGTGACCTTAGTAAAGTTGTTAGATCTCTCTAATTTTCCCCTTTTGGAAAATGGAGATAATACTACTTACCTCACATGGCTGTTGTGAGAATTAAATGAGTAAAGTACTTAAAATGGTGACTGCTCCTTAGTAAGTACTCAGATATTCTGCAGTTTCTGTTTTTGGTATTTGTATATTAACTTTTTTTTGTTTGTTTTTGGTTTTGGTTTTTTTGAGACGGAGTCTTACTGTGTCACCAGGCTGGAGTGCAGTGGCACGATCCTGGCTCCCTGCAACCTCCGCCTTCCGGGTTCAAGCAATTCTCCTGCCTTAGCCTCCCGAGTAGCTGGGACTACAGGTGCAATGCATGCCGCCACACCCAGCTAATTTTTTTTTTTTTTTTTTTTTGTATTTTAATAGAGACGGGGTTTCACCATGTTGCCCAGGATGGTCTCAAACTCCTGGGCTCAGGCAGTCCACCCGCCTTGGCCTCCCAAAGTGCGTGGATTATAGGCATGAGCCACCGCGCCTGGCTATATTAACATTTTTAAAACATAAAAATATTTTATATTTGTAGTTTTGTTTACTTTTGATTACCACAATAGAAAAATCTTCTAGATTTCTCCAGCTGTTTTCTAGTTGCTTGAAGAAATTATCTTTTTCCAAAAAAATGAAACTTTTAATCCACATTTAAAAATAAGGTTGTGGGATTTTGGAGAAGCATTTTAAAAACTTGAGGACTTTATATGTTACTCCTGGGAGGTTAAACATTGTTTCAGACTAATAGAACTAGCATTATTAACGTGCTGACTCTAACTGAATTTGTTTTGTTCTCTCTCTACTAGGTGATTCGTGAAGCTAAGAGAACAGCACCAAGTATAGTGTATGTTCCTCATATCCACGTGTGGTGGGAAATAGTTGGACCGACACTTAAAGCCACATTTACCACATTATTACAGAATATTCCTTCATTTGCTCCAGTTTTACTACTTGCAACTTCTGACAAACCCCATTCCGCTTTGCCAGAAGAGGTAATTTATGTGGGGCGGTATCATTATACTTTCAAAAAGAGTTGTTTCTACCACAATAATCATAACTTATTGAAAAAATTCAAATGCTGTAGAAGTGAATAAAAGGATAAGTTTTCTTATCAAATATACCATTGGTAACTATTTGGTATATGTGCTCATTGGGCAAGATGGTATATGTATATGTGTATGTATATATTAAGGATACATAAATTTTTTCTCTTGAAAAATGGTATTATATGCCGGGTGCAGTGGCTCACGCCTGTAATCCCAGCACTTTGGGAGGCCGAGGTGGGTGGATCATGAGGTCAGGAGATTGAGACCATCCTGGCTAACAGGGTGAAACCCTGTCCCTACTAAAAATACAAAAAAAATTAGCTGGACGTGGTGGCTGGCGCCTGCAGTCCCAGCTACTCGGGAGACTGAAGCAGGAGAATGGCATGAACCCTGGAGGCAGAGCTTGCAGTGAGCCGAGTGAGCCACTGCACTCCAGCCTGGGCGACAGAGCGAGACTCTGTCTCAAAAAAAAAAAAAAAAAAAAAGTATTTAAAAAATGGGAGTATATGATACATACTATTCTGCAATTTGCTTTATTCATTTATCAATAAATGTATTCATGTATTTGTTAGTGCTAAAGTCTCTTTAAGAGCTGCATGGTTTTTCCACTGTTGATGTACTATAATTTATTTATCCAAAGCCCTATTGATAGGTTTTTTGGTTGTTTTCCAGATTTTTTTCTACTGGACTCTTACAGTGAGCATCCTTGTATTTTAGTTAGTATGAGCACTGGTATGTGGATTTTTCTAGTTTTGATTCCTAGAAGTGGAATAGCTGTAGCTGAATCAAAGAGTATTTTACATTTACAAGTTTTAACAATATTAAATTACTCATTCAAGTTTGTGCCAATTTAGACAACTGCCAATAGTGAACAAAAGGCCATACTGCTTCTGCCTGGAATACTCTTCTCTTACATACTTGCCTGTCATCATTTTTTATTTTTCTCAAATCTCTGCTCAGATATCACCTCAGGGAGGCCTTCTTTGATCAGAGTTTCTCAATAATAGCAATAGCTCTTTCACCCATCACACTCTTTTCCCTTTTCCTGCTTTATTTGTATTGCCTCCTGCCATTAAATATTAATTTGCTTGACTCTGTTTCCCCATCAGAATGTAAAGTACATGAAATTAGGGACTATTTTTTGTCACCTTTGTGTCCATAGAGCACATAACAAGCATATTGTAGGCTTCTGTGTATTTTAATGAATGAGTTTAATGGTTTTTTTTCACACTTTTGACAATTGGTTTACACTTTTTAGAACACTAGTAGGAAGATAAGCTCAAATACTTACTAAAGAAATATTTATTGAGTGCTTATTTTCTCCCAGGTGTGGTTCTAGGCACTGGAGATATAACAGTGAATAAGATACACAAAAACGTGTATCCTTACACATGTAGGGCTAACATTTTAGTTGAGTGGGGGAGAGAAGTTTTAAAAATTTTGTAATACTAACTATTATTGTGGAGAAAGATTTAGCTAAGGGGTACCAAAAGAGTATGGGTAGGTTACAGTGTTAAATAGGCTAGGTAAGGCCTCAGTAAGAAGATGATATTTGGCCGGATGCGGTGGTTCACGCCTGTAATTCTAGCACTTTGGGAGGCCGGGGTGGGCGAATCACCTGAGATCAGGAGTTCAAGACCAGCCTGGCCAACATGGTGAAACCTTGTCTCTACAAAAATTAGCCGGACATGGTGATGTGTGCCCGTAATCCCAGTTACTCGGGAGGCTGAGGTGGGAGAATCGCTTGAACCCGGAAGGTGGGGTTTGTAGTGAGCCAAGATCCCACCATTGCACTCCAGCTGGGGCGACAAAGCAAAACTCCATCTCAAAAAAAAAAAAAATGATGATGATGATGATATTTGAGGAAAGACGTGGAAAACGTAAGGTAGTGAACCATTGGAATAGCTGAGGGACAAAAGGTCCTAGCAGAGGAAGAAGCAAATGCAGAGGCTCTGAGGCAGATCTGTGTCTGGCAGGTTGGAAAAATAGCAAGAAGGCCAGGATGATAGAGCAGAGTAAGTGAGGGATAATGGAGGAAAGGAGGCCAAGGTTATCAAGGGACCAGATTATGTCCCCAGTGACTCTGTATAATAATTGATTACAGAACCTCCAAGTTAAATAAGCTAGGAAATGAATATTAAGTATATATTAGAAACTCTTTGAGTGGGGGAGGTCCTTAAAGGTTTCCAGTTTAGTTAATTATCTAGTTTCATACCCTACACTGTCGCCTTTATGTGGATATCTCATATGTTGAAACAGTTTCTACACAGTTCTTTTTGTTACCTTTGACTCCTAAAAATCCAACTTATTGAAGGAGGCTTTCATTTCTCTTTCTTTTTTTTTTTAACTTACAAAGGGGTCATGCTAATCTTCTGTATTGTTCCAATTTTAGTATATGTGCTGCTGAAGTGAGCACAAATCTTCCACTTCTTAATCTCCATTCATTTCCCAGATTGCATATAGAACTTGACTAATACATCTTCATCATGACAAGTCTTTGTATATTTGAATACTCTTTTATGTCTTGCTGATCCAGGCCTTTTCACATTAAACAGGATATGGTATATTCATTAGGGCTATTAATAAAGTAGAAGTTTATTTCTTACTCACTTTAACAATACTAGGCAGGTTGATTACATTGGCAAGTTTGTCTTCTGCTATGCAGTCATTCAAACACTCAGGCTGAAAGATACTTTATTTTACTTTATTTTATTTTATTTACTTGTTTATTTATTTATTTTTGGAGACGGAGTCGCACTGTGTTGCCTAGGCTAGCAGCGTAGGGGTGCGATCTTGGCTCACTGCAGCCTCAGCCTCCTGGGTTTAAGCAATTATCCTGCCTCAGCCTCCCGAGTAGCTGGGATTACAGGCATCCGCCACCATGCCCAGCTAATTTTGTATTTGTAGTAGAGATGGGGTTTCACCATGTTGGCCAGGCTGGTCTTGAACTCCTGACCTCAGGTGAGCCACTGTGCTCGGCCTGTTTTCTTATTTTCATCATGTAGCCTTCCAGGTCGCTTTCAGTACAGTCAACTGAAAGGACAGGCTCTTGCTTGTGCCTGACTTGGAAGTGGTGTAAATCATTTCCTCTCAAATTCCACTGGCTAAAGCTCAGTCACATAGCCTACTTCATTGCAAGAAAGGCTAGGAAATCTGACCTAGCTGTGTGCCCAAAGAACAAGAATACAGATTGTGGTAATAGTAGACTTTGTTACACAGCACACCAGGTTGTAGTTTCTTCAAAATTCTTGTCACTCTCCTGAATGTCTTTCTTTTTTCTAGTTCTTTTGGAAGGCCAGAGCCAGAATGAATGAAGTACTCTAGCAGTGTTCTGATTAACACAGTGGAAAAAAAAGATTGTTAGCCATAGTATTACTGGCTTCTTATTCTATCAACTGAAACTGTTAATCATTTTGAGATTTGAAATAAAGATAATGGCTTTATGCTCCGGGTAACAAGTAAGACAAACTAGGTGAACTTTGTATGGATGTGGAGAGGTCGAAAAAATGTAATCGGTTTAATCTGGGGAAACTTTTTCGAGAATGTGGAAATTCTATACCAAAAGATCTTTTCTTAAAGCATAGCTTCTCTTACTTTTTTTCTTAGGATAATATTTTCTAAGCATATAATTGCAAACTGGGTAAAATATTTTAATACCACATTCTATAAGTAGGGGAGAATGGGCCAGGGACTAGGAATTACCCATTTTTATAAAATGAATAAAATGAGCATGGTGGTGTGCACCTATAGTCCCAGCTACTCGGGAGGCTGAAGTGGGAGAACCGCTTGAATCTGGGAGGTGGGGGCTGCAGTGAGTCGAGATTGCACCACTGCACTCCAGCCTAGGTGACAGAGTGAGACCCTGTCTCAAAAAAAAAAAAAGACAAAACTTACCATTTCATCCATTTTTTTAAGCATATAGTATAGTCGCATTAAGTGCATTTACAATGTTGGGCAACCATCACCACTATCCAGATCTTTCTTGTTATCCCAAGCAGAAACTCTGTACCTATTAACGGTAATTCCCCATTTCTATCTTCCCACAGCCCTCGGTAACTTCTGTTATAATTTGGCTCTGAATTATTTATTCTAGGTACCTCATATAATTTGAATATGTATTTGTCTTTTGTGTCTTATTTAGTGTAATGTTTTCAAGTTCATCCATGTTGTATCTTGTGTCCAAATTTTATTCCTTTTTAGGGTGAATACTTTTCCATTGTATGTATATACCGCATTTTGTATCCATTCATCTGGTGACAGACGTTTGGGTCATCTTCACCTCCTGACGTTTGTGAATAAAGCTGCTATGATTACTGGAGTACAAATACTCATTTGAGTTTTTGTTTTCAGTTCTTTGGGATCTATACCTAGAAGTGGAATTGCCACATCATATACTAATTCTGTGTTTAAACTTTGAGAAACCACCAAATTGTTTTCCACCGCAGCTACACTATTTTACATTCTTACCAGCAGTCCACTGAGTTTCCAATATCTTGTAGCCCACACTTACCTTCTGGCCTTTATATTTTGGTTTTTGTTTGTTTGTTTGCTTTTTATTTTTGAACAGTTGCTCTTTCTTATATCTCATTTGGGGTTGGGAAAATGAATTAATTGATCTCAACAAACCTTTTAAGTATCAGGACCAGGCACGGTGGCATATGCGTGTAATTGTAGCACTTTGGGAGGCCAGGGCAGGAGGATCACTTAAGCCCAGGAATTTGAGATCAGCCTGGGCAACACAAGGAGACCCTATCTCTACAAAAAGTTTAAAAATTAGCTGAGTGTGGTGGTGCGTGCCTGTAGTCCCAGCTACTCAGGAGGCTGAGATAAGAGGATTGCTTGAGCCCAGTCTGAGGTTGCAGTGAGCTATGATTGTGCCACTGCAATCCAGCCTGAGTGACAGAGCGAGACCTTGTCTCTTAAAAAAAAAAAGAAAACAAAAAAAGTAAAATATCATCAAGTCAGTTCCTTTATTAATTGTAGTTTGGGTTCTTGAGTTCTCATGATTTTTAGTTCCTTAATCTCTTGTAAACATGGTTTATACATAAATCTAACATTCTTTAAAGACTTGTTTAAAAAATATACAATTTAGCTTGTCATTAAAAATATGTGTATAATAACCTGCTATTGTCTTGAATGACTGACACATGCATTTCATATGCATGTGTGTATATATACTGCATACATATGTTTATATACTGTATAGATGCTCCTTGACATATGATGGGTTTATTTGGACATAACCCGATTGTTAAGTGGAGGGACATACTGAATACATGTCACTTTCATGCTGCTGTAAAGTCTAAAAATTGTAAATTGAACCATTGTAAGTTGGGGATCATCTGTATATATGATATATATTGCATTTATTTTCTTTTTTAAGGTGCAAGAATTGTTTATCCGTGATTATGGAGAGATTTTTAATGTCCAGTTACCGGATAAAGAAGAACGGACAAAATTTTTTGAAGATTTAATTCTAAAACAAGCTGCTAAGCCTCCTATATCAAAAAAGAAAGCAGGTTAGTTTCTATATCAAAGTTAATATTTAATAATTTTGAGAAAGTAGGAATGAAATAGTTAATGGCATTGACATGTATCTGATAACACAAGCTCAAAACCTAAGTCATGAGGTTGATGCATCTGCTGCTTAAAAATCTCTATGCTTCCCATTAAAACAGACTAAAGTTCTTAAGGTACACAAAGTCTTTCATAGTATAGCCCCAATCTATCTTTCTAAGCTCATTTTGGGCACTTGTGTTCTGCCTCAGCCCTCCACCCCCACATTTTTTTTCTCATAAAACACTATCTTTAAACCATATGTAACATAATTTTACCTTTTCACTATTTTAGTAATGCTTGCTCTCTCATCAGTAAAGCTTCTATCTCTATCCCCCATCTCTGTCTAAAGAACTACTTATTCTTTTATTTTTATTTTTTGAGACAGGGTCTGTGTCATCCACTGGAGTGAAGTGGCATGATCGAGGCTCAACTGCAGCCTCAACCTCCTGGGCTCAAGCATCCTCCCACCTCAGCCTCCGAAGTAGCTAGGACAAGAGGCTCATGCCAAAATGCCCGGCTAAATACTTGTCCTTTTAGTATACCTCATTTATTCTTTATTATGAAGCCTTTCCTAACTTATATGGGCAAAATGAATTGCTTCTGCCTTTATGACCCATCATACTTTTAAAATACTACTAATATGGCATCACAATGATATAATTATGCCTCTTACTCCCTTAGTAGTTTGTCAGCTCATTGTGGCAGGACTCTAATAATCCTTTTTTTCATCCTGAGTACTCATTGGATATCTATTTAAACAAAATAACCTGTTGGTATATTTGAAACATATTACACATTTTCATTAGTTCAAAACTAGTAAAGAAGGCTTTTTTATAGTTAGAATATTTTTGTCCTGGAAATAATGCAATTTCAAAGTTTAATAGCCTCTTAAATTGTCTTTTTTTTTTTTTTCCTTGAGACGGAGTCTCTCTCTGTCACCCAGGCTGGAGTGCAGTGGCACGATCTTGGCTCACTGCAAGCTCTGCCTCCCAGATTCACGCCATTCTCCTGCCTCAGCCTCCTGAGTAGGTAGGACTACAGGCGCACGCCACCACGCCAGCTAATTTTTTGTATTTTTAGTAGAGACCGGGTTTCACTGTATTAGCCAGGGTGGTCTCGATCTCCTGACCTGGTGATCCACCCACCTCGGCCTCCCAAAGTGCTGGGATTACAGGTGTGAGCCACCACACCCGGCTGCCTCTTAAATTATCTTAAAGGAACAGAGGTAATGACTTGTAGGAATTAGCATTCCAAATTACAAGTTACTAATGATTTCTGGAGGGGACGTAGGGTTAGAGATTATGGTAATACTTTTGTATTTCAAATCTTTGGATTCCTTGCATATATGAGGAAGATAATCCCTCAAATCCTGACTCTGTTTTCATTAAATCATTTGTCAACCTCAATGTTATGGAGGAGCAGTAACTAAATTCTTCCATTCATGTGAAGTTTTGCAGGCTTTGGAGGTACTCCCAGTAGCACCACCACCTGAGCCAAGATCACTGACAGCAGAAGAAGTGAAACGACTAGAAGAACAAGAAGAAGATACATTTAGAGAACTGAGGATTTTCTTAAGAAATGTTACACATAGGCTTGCTATTGACAAGCGATTCCGAGTGTTTACTAAGCCTGTTGACCCTGATGAGGTATTAGTTTAATCTTTGGATCAAGTGTATTCTAGGCCATAATGCTTCACAATCAAAGGATATTTGAAGAGTTTATGTGGTTCTGCCTACACTCTTAACTAGTTTTATCTATTTGGAAACATGTACCGGGTTAGTGTCCTAAGCACATGTAGACTTTAAGAGCAGGGTAACGCATTTTCCTTTCCTGCAGACAATTAACTTTGTCTCCCCAACCTAAACATTCCAGAAGTAATTGAGAATGTCTTATTATTTTTTTTTTTTGAAACGGAGTTTTGCTCCTGTTGCCCGGGCTGGAATGCAATGGCGCGATCTCGGCTCATTGCAACCTCCACCTCCCAGGTTCAAGTGATTCTCCTGCCTCAGCCTCCCAAGTAGCTGGGACTACAGGCGTGTGCCACCACGTCCAGCTAATTTTTGTATTTTTAGTAGAGACAGGGTTTCTCCATGTTGGCCAGGCTGGTCTCAAACTCCTGACCTCAGGTAATCCACCCACCTCAGCCTCCCAAAGTGCTGGGATTACAGGCATGAGCCACCATGCTCGGCCCCCCCTTTTTTTTTTTTTTTTTTTTTTGTAGTAAGGGTTGAGGCCTCACTCTGTTGCCCAGGCTGGAGTGCAGTGACACAAATTATCTTTCACTGCAACCTTGTGGAGATAGGGTCTTGCTGTGTTGCCCAGCCTAGTCTCAAACTCTTGGCCTCAAGCAATCTTCCTGTCTCAGCCTCCCAAAGTGCTGGGGATTACAGGCATGATATTATTATGACCTACACAATTGGAAGAGACCTGGAGAGCCACGTCTTAAGTTGCTCTGAAGGATGGGTGGCAATTGGATGAGGAAAGAATATAGGCTGTTACTGGAGAATACAGCTGCCCAAGAATAAGAAACAATTACTGGAGGATACAGCTGCCCAAGGAATAGAAACAAATACAAAACAAAAACAGCCTTAAATCAAGTGAAAGGTTTTATGTTAAATATATTATCATAATCTCTTACGTATTTATTCTCTATCTCCTATATTGCCTGGCATCGAAACTTGACTCACATGTTATGTTTAGAGTTAATTTTGTGATTTGATCATTTGCTTGAATTTTAGGTTCCTGATTATGTCACTGTAATAAAGCAACCAATGGACCTTTCATCTGTAATCAGTAAAATTGATCTACACAAGTATCTGACTGTGAAAGACTATTTGAGAGATATTGATCTAATCTGTAGTAATGCCTTAGAATACAATCCAGATAGAGATCCTGGAGGTGAGCATTAGTGAATTTTTTTTCAGGGGGTTGAGTTGGGGGGCAGCTAACACTTAGGGTTGATTTTTGTGTCAGGTGCTATATTATAAACATAATCAAAATACTATTTAATCCTCACAACAACCATTTTACAAATGGTAAAAATGAAGTTTAGAAAGGTTAAAAACATTGCTGAAGGTCACACTTCCAGGAAGGGACAGAGTGAGAATTTGAATGCAGGTTTCTTTCATTCCCAAATCCCTGTTTATTAACAATTACATGATAGATCCTCTAATGAGACACAAAATGGCTTGTATACTTTGTATATCAGTGCTCTTCCTCAAAGTGGAAAAGTAGGCACTCTGTAATGAAATAGTTTTTAAAATATTCTATTAGTTAAGACCATTATAATTTTTATTACAAAAGCAATATAATATAGGGCTTACTAGTAGTAATATTTTTAAAAATCTAGTCCCCCATTTCCTTTCTCCAAAGGCAGACACTGTTAAGTTTGAGGATATCTTTTCAGACCTTTTTCTGTGCATATACCCCTTCTGCTTTCACCTATCGCATCTATTAATATAAAATTTAGTGGGTACAATGTATGTTATTTGGGTGGTGGATACCCCCAAAGCCCTGACTTCATGTGCAGTCTGTGCCTGTAACAAAAATTACACTTGCACCCCATACATTTTTACAAATTTTTAAAAATAAAATGTATAAAGGATTTTTAATGATATGTTTGTTCTGCAGCTTGTCCATTTCCAAGAAATGTTCTTTCTTGGGTGCTTATTTAATTTTTTGATGGCTTCCTGTTATTACAGATGCAGAGTTCTTTAACTCTTACCAGTGGATAAAAAGATACATTTTAAAAATAGTTGTTTTCTGTATTCATTTCTCCTCCAGTACATTGGCTTTCTGTTTTTAAATTGGTGGTGCTTGTTAGTTAGATTGATTAGTATAGGAAACTACTAAAATTTTTTTCAACAATTGAAAAGCTTACTATTCTTTCCCTCCCAGTCCTCTAGCTCACCTTCCCTAGGCATTTCCCTGTAGTTCAGAGTTCTGGAGTCAAGCAGTAGGAAACAGACTAACAAGATGAGAACAGTCCATTGTACATAGGAAGAAGAAACGAGGTACCCTGGAGGCAGAGGGCTTTCTCTGTTGCATTGCAATCATGCTGTTGCTGCTGCTCCCTTTCTGTCTATTGTGGCAATCTAAAATTACTTCAGGCTAGTGGTGTCAAATGTTAGTGGACATCAGAATCTCCTAAAGGACTTCATAAAATATGGATCACTGGACCCCATCTCTAGGGTTTCTGATTCTGTAGGTGTGGCCCCTGAGAATTTGCATTTCTAATGAGTTTCCCGGTGACACAGGCTGCTGAGTTCTGGAACCACTACTTCGACCTTGCCCTGACTTTCTTCAGGCCCAAATGCCATGTTAGAAAGCCCACTTCAGCATTCTGCGTGTAATGTACTGTATAACCTGGGAGTGAATTTTGCAATCTCTTGTCCTTTGAGGAGTATTGATGTGGCTCAAGCAATCCTGCATTCACTTATTCCGTCTTCTGCCTCAAATCATATTCCAGTTTGTAGTATTCATACTCTGAGCTTAGGATTTTCCCAGTGTTTCCTGTGGAGGGTTGCTTTTTCATTGTCTTTGTCTATTTTCTTTGTCAATGCAATAACAACCTCTATAAATCTCTTGCAAAATTCTTTCACATTCTTTGTTCACTAATGACACTGATAGCCTTCTCTTTTATTTTTCGTTATCATGTTTAATCTCTTGCTATTGATTGATTCCTTTTTTTTTTCTGATATTTCAAAGGGATCTGAACAGGACAGAGCAGTAAAATTGTTTGGGTTTAGTTTGCCATATTGAATCAGATGTCCAGAACATTAGATTAGCTCCAGAAACAGAATAGGACAATTCCAGTAACTTTGACTATTCTTGGTAAAAGTCAAAAGGAATTGTAAGAGCTACTATCTTAGCCTAATATGCTGAGTTTATTTTTGGTATATTATTAAAAGGGGGAAATTAAAAATTACATTTTTTACTCACTTCATAGATCGTCTTATTAGGCATAGAGCCTGTGCTTTAAGAGATACTGCCTATGCCATAATTAAAGAAGAACTTGATGAAGACTTTGAGCAGCTCTGTGAAGAAATTCAGGAATCTAGAAAGAAAAGAGGTAGGAAAGTGATTTGGTTGATTTGTACCAACCTAATATTATCAATGAATTTCAGAATATATGAATTTCAGAAGCATCTGAAAAGGATGCTTCAGATGTATTTTGTACTTTTAGTTAATCCTTCATGTAATTTTGAAATCTGGAAATCCTTTTGACATCCCACATATCTATTTATAAGGTTGTAGCTCCTCCAAATATGCCCCGTCTTACTACCATGTGATGCCAAAGCAAAATTCCACTCTTGTTGGTGATAAAAGATCAGACCCAGAGCAGAATGAAAAGCTAAAGACACCGAGTACTCCTGTGGCTTGCAGCACTCCTGGTAAGTACTCAAGTAGTTTTCATTTATGAAATTATAACTTTATTCTTTTCTAATGCCATTAACTTTCTCCCTTATTTTCCTTTATTTGTGTTAATGCAGTGAATTACATTGATTTTGTTACTATTAAGACAACTTTGCATTCTTGAAATAAATCCAAGTTTATAATGTACCACTTGCAACCCAGAAGTCACCATCTAATTGTGGACTGTCTTGATTTGAAACTGATGTCTGTAAATTCTGGTCTATTTCTTACTCCCCCTTATTCTTAGAAGGTAACTCCACGTTACCTATTCAAAGCCTGTAGGGTTTTCTAAGGCCTGCCTTCCTTGGCAGACTTCTAATTCCAATTTTTGTTCTTTAAGCCCCTTTGTCAGACTGCTTAGCTTCTCAGCCTCTGTTATTCACTTGTTTTCCCAGATTTTAGCACTGTAATTCCTCACTACCCTTTTTTTTTTTTTTTTTTTTTTTGAGACGGAGTCTCGCTCTGTCACCCAGGCTGGAGTGCAGTGGTGCGATCTCGGCTCACTGCAACCGCTGCGTCCCGGGTTCATGCCATTCTCCTGCCTCAGCCTCCCAAGTAGCTGGGACTATAGGCACCCGCCACTATGCCTGGCTAATTTTTTTTTTTTTTTTTTTTTTTTTTTTTGTATTTTTAGAGAGACGGGGTTTCACCGTGTTAGCCAGGATGGTCTCGATCTCCTGACCTCATGATCCACCCACCTCGGCCTCCCAAAGTGTTGGGATTACAGGCGTGAGCCACTGCGCCTGGCCATTCCTCACTACCTTTTTAGATCTCTGTGTGTGTGTTAAGGTTAGGGTTAGCGGTGTTTGCTGGGGTTGAACCTTCTATTGTATTGCAAGTTTGTCCATCCTCGGGTAATTGATTTGAGATAGATAAAGAATAAGCCCTTCTTTTGAAAAAATGGGAGGAGGCAGCTGGGAAAGGAAAGATAAGAGAAGAAAATTAGCAAGAGGCCTTCACTACCAGAATGCTGACAGTCAAATCAGCTTTAAGCAAGAATATATATATATGGAAATTGGCTCCCTTAAAACAATCGTTTGATAGATACCCAACAGGATTACATATTTTGTGTCCACCAAAAGACATGTACAAGAATATTCAAAGAAGCAATATTCATAATATTAGGTTGGTACAAAAGTGGTTGTGGTTTTGCCATTAAAAGTCATGGTTCAACACTGGGGGTAACTCAAATGCCCATTACCAGTAGAATGGAAAGATATGAATTATTATACAGTGAGAATCCTTAAACGTCAACTACATACAGCAGCACAGATGAACCTCCCAAACAATGTTGAGTGAATCCTAGATACATTTACATGTGAAATAAATTTTAAAATATGTATTTAAAATTTTTATATATGTATGAAGTCAAAAATGGGCAAAACTAATCCATGGTGTCATAAATCAGGATATTATTTACTTTTTAGGATATTATGACTAGAATTAGAATAAGGGTGATTTGGAATGTTAGTATATATTCTGTTTCTCAATCTGGGTGCTGATTATGTGAGTTTCTTCTGTTGGTGGATATTCATTTCATTTTTATGTTCTGAGTACAATTGACCCTTGAATAATACGAGTTTGAGGTACACAGGTCCACATATGTGTGGATTTTTTTCAATAAATATCTTGGAAATTTTTTTGGAGCTTTGCAACAGTTTGAAAAAACTTGCAGATTGAATCACGTAGCCTAGAAATAGTGAAAAAGTTAGGTATGTCACAGATGCATACAATATGTATAGACAGTAGTCTATTTTATCACCACCATAAAATATACACAAGTCTATTTTAAAAAGTTAAGATTTATCAAAACTTACCACACAAACACAGATCGTACATAGCACCATTTGCAGTCAAGAGAAATTTAAACAAATGTAAAGACTCAGTATTAAATCACAACTGCATAAAATTTACTATAGTACATAACTTTACTACCGTAATTTTGGAGCCACCTCCTGTGGCTGTTGTGGTGAGCTCAAGTTTCATGAGTATCTGCTTAAAACGATGTGTGATGCGGTGAGCAGTTGGCCTGTCCAGTAAATTGCTTATTGCAGTAAAAAGTGATTTGCGGTTCTCAAGTATTTTTTGTGTGTGTTTAGTATAGTACAAAAAATCTTGAGTAACACCATAGGACACATAGGAGGTGCCACTAGTAATGCTGGAAGTGCTCCCAAGAAGCAGAGAAAGTCATAACCTTCTAAGATAAAGTTGAATTGTTTGTTATGTAACATAGATTGAGGTCTGCAGCTGTAGTACCCTGCCCTTTCAAGACAAATGAATCCAGTATAAGGACCATTGTAAACAATAATAATAAAGAGCCAGGCATGGTGGCTCACGCCTGTAAACCCAGCACTTTGGGAGGCTGAGGCGGGTGGATCACTTGAGATCAAGAGTTTGAGACAAGCCTGGTCAACACAGTGAAACCCCGTCTCTACTAAAAATAAAAAAAATTAGCCAGGCATGGTAGACAGTGCCTGTAATCCCAGCCACTGGGGAGGCTGAGGCATGAGAATCACTTGAACCCAGGAGGTGGGGTTTGCAGTGAGCCAGATTGCATCACTGCACTCCAGCCTGGCCAACAAAGTGAGACCCTTGTCTCAAAAGAGAGAAAAGAATACCAGGCGCAGTGGCTCACGCCTGTAATCCCAACACTTTGGGAGGTCAAGGTGGGTGGATTGCCTGAGGTCAGGAGCTCAAGACCAGCGTGGCCAACATGGTGAAACCCCGTCTCTACTAAAAATACAACAACTAGCTGGGCATGGTGGTGCACGCCTGTAATCCCAGCTCCTCCTGTAATCCCAGCCCTCAAGGGACTGAGGCAAGAGAATTGCTTGAACCCAGTGGGGCAGAGGTTGCAGTGAGCCAAGATCGTGCCACTGCCTTCCAGCCTGGGCAGTAGAGTGAGACTGTCTCAAAAAATAAAGAAAGAAAAGAAGGAAATTTTGAAGCTGTTGTTGCAGCTGCACTAGCAAATGCAAAAACTTTGTACTTTTTGTGAAATACCTTTTGTCTGATATTGAAAATGCAGCTTTTATCCGGATGCAAGATTGCTATAAGAAAGGCATACCTGTAGACTCTAATACAATTCAAGAAAAAATGAAGTCATTATATGACAAAGCAGAAGGAATTTAATGCCAGCAAAAGATGGTTTGATAATTTTAGAAAGAGGTTTGGCTTAAAAAATATGAAGATAGGGCCAGGCGCGGTGGCTCACGCCTGTAATCCCAGCATTTTGGGAGGCCAGGGTGGGCGGATCACGAGGTCATGTGATCGAGACCATCCTGGCTAACACGGTGAAACCCCATCACTACTAAAAATACAAAAAATTAGCCGGGCACGGTGGCGGCACCTGTAGTCCAGCTACTCGGGAGGCTGAGGCAGGAGAATGGCGTGAGACCAGGAGGCGGAGCTTGCAGTGAGCCGAGCCTGGGTGACAGCACTCCAGCCTGGGTGACAGAGCAAGACTCCATCTCAAAAAAAAATCAAGATAACAAGAGAAGCAGCTTCTGACAACCAAGAGGCAGCAGACAAGTTCCCAAACACCATTAAGAAAATCACTGGACAGAGGCCAGGCACTATGGCTCATGTCTGTAATCCCAGCACTTTGGGAGGCTAAGGTGGTAGGATTGCTTGAGGCCAGGAGTTTAAGACCAGCCTGGGCAGCAGAGCAAGACCCCATCTCTAAAAAACAAACAAAACACTGGCCAGGCATGGTGGCACACATTTGTAGCCCTACCTTCTTGGGAGACTGAGGTAGGAGGATTGCTTGAGCCCAGGAGTTCAAGGCTGCAGTGAGCTATTGATTATGCCACAGCACTCCAGCCTGGGTGACAGAGCAAGACCCTGTCTCAAAAAAAAAAAAAAAAAAAAAAAAGAAGCCACTGGGGAGAAAGGTAATCTTTCATTCTCCTTTGTCATTTCTATTACCTAAAAGTTTTACCACTTCTTTCCAGGACTACTGCTGTGTGGTTATACTGCATCTAGTCTAGACAGAATATTTAACCTCTCTGTACCTTAGTTTCTTCATCTGTAAAATGATGATGATAATGGTAGCAAACTTCATTGGGTTAAAGTGAAAAATTTTTTTTTTTTTTTTTTTTTTTTTTTTTGAGACGGAGTTGCGTCACGCAAGCTAGAGTGCAGTGGCATGATCTCGATTCACTGCAAGCTCCGCCTCCCAGGTTCACACCATTCTCCTGCGAGTAGCTGGGACTGCAGGCACCGGCCACCATGCCCGGCAAATTTTTTTGTATTTTTTGTAGCGATGGGGTTTCACCGTGTTAGCCAGGATGGTCTCGATCACCTGACCTCGTGATCCGCCCGCCTCAGCCTCCCAAAGTGCTGGGACTACAGGCGTGAGCCACCGCGCCCAGCCAGGTTAAATTAAATTTTAATGAGTAAGCATACATAAGGGGCTTAGAAGAATTCCTAGTATATGCTTGATGCAGTGGCATACACCTATAGTTGTAGCCACTCAGGAGGCTGAGTTAGGAGGATCGCTTGAGCCCAGGAGTTTGGGGTTGTAGTGCGCCAAGATTGTGCTTGTGTATAGCCATTGCACTCCAGTCTAGGCAATGTAGTAAGATAGTTTCTAGTACATGATAAATGCTCAATAAGTGTAGCCTATTTCAAGTCTTGCCCTTCTTCCAGTCCATTTCTCATACTGCTGCCAAAGTGATCTTTGCAAAATATGCATTAGACAGATCATGTCAGTACCCTCCTTAAAAGTATTCAAGATTAAAAGTATTCAAGATAGGCCGGGTGCGGTGGCTCACGCTTGTAATCCCAGCACTTTGGGAGGCCGAGGCGGGCGGATCACGAGGTCAGGAGATCGAGACCATCCTGGCTAACAGGTTGAAACCCCGTCTCTACTAAAAATGCAAAAAATTAGCTGGGCGTGGTGGCGGGTGCCTGTAGTCCCAGCTGCTCGGAGAGGCTGAGGCAAGAGAATGGCATGAACCCGGGAGGCAGAGCTTGCAGTGAGCCGAGATCGCACCACTGCACTCCAGCCTGGGCAACAGAGTGAGACTCCGTCTCAAAAAAAAAAAAAAAAAAAATTTCAAGATAAAATCAAAATTTTTTACCATTTTATGGTCTGGGCCTTACCCACTTCTCCACCTTCTCACAGTATGCTCTATTCTTGTTTCTGTATTTTAATCATACAAAATACTGTGGTTTCTCACTATTTATCCTTTCATATATCAGGGTTTTTCACTCTTTGAATTTCAGAAAATGGTTGAATGTTCTTTCATCATTTTTCTTTAAATTTCTTGAAGCTCAGTTGAAGAGGAAAATTCGCAAAAAGTCAAACTGGTACTTAGGCACCATAAAAAAGCGAAGGAAGATTTCACAGGCAAAGGATGATAGCCAGAATGCCATAGATCACAAAATTGAGAGTGATACAGAGGAAACTCAAGACACAAGTGTAGATCATAATGAGACCGGAAACACAGGAGAGTCTTCGGTGGAAGAAAATGAAAAACAGCAAAATGCCTCTGAAAGCAAACTGGAATTGAGAAATAATTCAAATACTTGTAATATAGAGAATGAGCTTGAAGACTCTAGGAAGACTACAGCATGTACAGAATTGAGAGACAAGATTGCTTGTAATGGAGATGCTTCTAGCTCTCAGATAATACATATTTCTGATGAAAATGAAGGAAAAGGTACGTCTTTTTCAATTAAAATAATTTACTGATTTTAAAAGATATTTCAAAGTTTCTAAACACCTAATTGCATCTTAGTTTATTGCTTTTTGCTTGCCTTTCAGAGAGCAGATGTTAGTTAATTAGAAAACAATAGCATTATCTTTACTATTGAGCTAGTAAGGATAGTTACAAGCTGTGGCATCAAACAGACCTAGATTTGAGCCTCCAGTTCACTACTTAGTAGCTTGTGACCTTTGGCAAGATACTTAACTTGTCAGCCTGTTTGCTTATCTGCAAAATTGGGGTAGATAAGATAGTTGCTTGGTAATGAGGCATTTTTAAGATTAAATGTAACAAACTAAAGTATATGATACCCTTTCATTTTTAAGCAAGATAAGAGTCTGCTATGATTCTTGCTGAGTGGTATGAACAACTCTTACCCCGATCATTTTTCTATCCCTTATTGTAGGTTAAGTCCAAGATTATTTATATTTATTCTACTGATCTGCTCCCCAAATTTTCTATTTAGAATTGTTGTCATTTGGATCTTCTGGAGCCCTTGACAGTAGATTTGTTTGGATTTTAGAAAAGCCAAACATTATTTAATCATACAAAGCAAAATAGTGGATAATGGGGCCAAAAATTTATTTTGGTCAAAAATAAGCATTGACTAAGTTAATGGACTTTTTTTTTTTTAGTGGCTGATACACTGAATGCAAGCCTTTTGCAAGGGCTTCTTTGACATGAGCTCTAAGTGTATTTGAGTAATTAGCAATAATAGACTAGGATATACTTTCTAGTGTGAATATTTTAAATGTTAATCTTCTGGCTGTATAATATGTTTTGGTTTGAATCAGATTTGTTTTATTTTTCTTTTATCATTTTCTTTTTAAAAAGAATACTATTTAGCAGTACAGGTACTTGCTTCGATATCAGGAAGTCTGAGTTCTTATCCTGGCTCTCACAACAATTAGATGTATATCCTTAGAAAAGTCTCTCTTCACGGTCAGGCGTGGTGGCTCACACTTGTAATCCTAACACTTTGGGAGGCTGTGGGTGGATCACGAGGTCAGGAGTTCGAGACCAGCCTGGCCTATATGGTGAAACCCTGTCTCTACTAAAAATACAAAAATTAGCTGGGCGTGGTGGCTAACGCCTGTAGTCCCAACTGCTCTGGAGGCTGAGGCAGGAGAATCACCTGAACCCGGGAGGTGGAGGCAGAGGTTGCAGTGAGCTGAGATCATGCCACTGCACTCCAGCCTGGGTGACAGAAAGACTCCATCTCAAAAAAAAAGAAAGAAAAGTCTCTTCACCTCTCCTGGCCTTATTTTTCTCATTTATCATTGAATGTATTGTTCTAAATCATGGATCAGCAGACTTCTTTAAAGAACCAAATACCAGATAGTTAAATACTTTAGCCTACACAGGGGCCCATACAATCTTGGTCTCTGTGACAACTACTCAACCCTGCTGGGAAAACTACATTGACAGTAGATAAAATGGATATGGCTGGGTTGGTTTGTTTGTTTTGAGACAGAGTCTTGCTCTGTCATCCAGGCTGGATTTCAGTGGCATGATCTCTGCTCACTGCAACTTCTGCCTCCTCGGCTCAAACGATCCTCAAACCTCAGCCTCCCAAGCAGCTGGGACTATAGGCATGTACCACCATGCGCAGCTAATTTTTTTTTCTTTTTTTTTTTTAAAGAGATGGGGTTTTCCCATGTTGCCCAGGCTGGTCTTGAACTCCTGGACTCAAGGGATTCACCTGCCTTGGCCTCCCAAAGTGCTGGGATTACAGGCAGGCTGTGTTCTAATAAAACATAATTTACAGTGGTGGGCCAGATTTTGACCATGGGTGGTATTTTACAACCCCTGTTCTAGATTATTGAGGTCCCTTCTAGCTTTTCAGTTCTGTGTGTCTTGTGCTCAAGTAGAAGACATTCTAACCTGTTGAGAATCCCCTTGAAATACTCAATATGAAACATACTTCTCAAACTGTCCTTAATTTTTGAGTGTATGAGTGGCAGTATCTTAATCTTATAACAGAATGAGTTAATAAGCCAGAATTGCTGTTTATGTCCTTAGTAAACATGCCCTGTTTAATCTGCCTAATATTATTATTTATTTTAGACATCATAATATCTATGGACCAAATAATAATCATTTGATTTTTCATTCTAGAAATGTGTGTTCTGCGAATGACTCGAGCTAGACGTTCCCAGGTAGAACAGCAGCAGCTCATCACTGTTGAAAAGGCTTTGGCAATTCTTTCTCAGCCTACACCCTCACTTGTTGTGGATCATGAGCGATTAAAAGTATGTAAATTGAAATCATAATGCTTTTACTCTGCAGATTACTAATCCCCAAACACTGGCTTGTGACTAGTAGCATTCTGGCTACATGGGATTTACATGAAAAAGTAAAACTTTTTTTCCTCCAAGCTTCCCTTTACTGTTCTTCTCCTTCCCCTGTTCCAAATTAAGACTAGGTCAGGCACAGTGGCTCACGCCTGTAATCCCAGCACTTTGGGAGGCTGAGGTGGGCGGATCACCTGAGGTCAGGAGTTCGAGACCAGCCTGGCCAACAGTGTGAAACCCTGTCTTTACTAAAAATAAAAAATTAGGCTGGGCGCAGTGACTCATGCCTGTAATCCTAGCACTTTGGGAGGCTGAGGTGGGCGGATCACGAGGTCAGGAGATTGAGACCATCCTGGCTAACACGGTGAAACCCCATCTCTACTAAAAATACAAAAACAAAATTAGCTGGGCGTGGTGGCTGGTGCCTGTAGTCCCAGCTACTCGGGAGGCTGAGACAGGAGAATGGCGTGAACCCAGGAGGTGGAGCTTGCAGTGAGCCGAGGTTGTGCCACTGCACTCCAGCCTGGGCGATAGAGACTCTGTCTCAAAAAAAAAATAAATAAATAAATAATAGATAAAACAAAAAATTAGTTAGGTGTGGTGGTGGGCACCTGTATTCCCAGCCTACTGGGGAGGCTGAGACAGGAGAATCACTTGAACCCAGAGGTGGAGGTTGCAGTAAGCCGAGATCGTGCCTTCCAGCCTGGATGACAAGAGCAAAACTCTGTCTCCAAAAAAAAAAAAAAAAAAAGAATTATTACTATTATTTTTTAATATAAAATAGATTTTTAATTCTTAAAAAAAAAATAGACAAAGTCTCACTGTGTTGCCCAGTCTGGTCTCGAACTCCTGAGCTCAAGTAATCCTCCCACCTCAGCCTCCCAAAATGCTAGGATTATAGGCATGAGCCACCATGCCTGGCCCAAAATTAAGAATTATATCCAAGGATCTGTGGTAGGAATCAGAGAGAAAATAGCTAAGTGATTCTGACAGCTGTCAGGTTATCTGTTGCTCATTCTGTTCCCCTGCCTGTTCCCCTAAATTCAATTTTCATCCTAACCACTGTAATAAAATGACATCCTAATAGCTAATAATACTTGCCTTTGTTAAATTGAATTCTTCTTGCCATATCTGTAACACTTGACACTATAGATAACTCTTCTTCCTTGACTGTTGTGTCCTTAAATCATCCTTGCCTTCAATTACTTTTGTAAGCTCCTCAGGGTTTTTCTGATCATTTGCTCTATTATTCTGTACTTTTGGAATAGCCATCACCTCTGTAACGGTGAACCTACATCTGGAACCCCACACCCTGACACACCTAAACAACGGTCTTATCTCCTCAACCAACAACTTGGATGTGTTACAGTTGCCTTAACATATTTGAAATAAGATTGATTTCTTGCCCTTTTCCTTCAAAAATAAAAACATTTTGCATCCCAATTCCAATTTACCTGTTTTATTTTGGCCACATTTCAAGTCTGAAAACATTATATGTTTATCAGAGATACATTATTTGTAATACAGATAAGAGTTTTGGCATTTTAGAGGGAAATCTGCCCTGTTTAAGTACAAAGTGAACCTGTTAGTACTAATGAACTTAGGAAAGCCTTTCTCTTGAATGTAGCAGAGCTAATAAGAACTTGATGTCTACACTTCTTAGAGAAGGAAGCAGCAATATTCCTGGAGTAGTTTCTCTCAAAAAACTGTAGTCTTTCTGAAAAACTCTATTAAAAAATATATGTGGAACTGAAAACCCATGTAAATCTCATGACAGTGAAATGTATTCCTAGTGCTGAAACAGGAACTTGTGTGTAAGTTCACCGTGTTATGTTGTTTGGGGTTAAGAGTAGCAATTATTATTTTACTTAATTTTTATAAATTTTACAGCTTTGTTCTGCTCAGTATACATGTATGTCATTCAGAGTCAATTAAATTCATTACTGAGACTATTTCAATTTACTTTTTCTGATCATATAACCCATCAAAATAGACTATGTAATAGTACCATATATCCATTAGGCATGCAATAAATAATGGCCTTTTATGAGAGGATATACTTGCTATAGAATAATTTGTATAAAGGATGTAGTTGGAGGTGACTATTTAATGTATTAAATTGCAGTTTTTAACTTGCTGATCTAAATTATTGGTCCCATACATTGTTTTTATGACCATTACCTATGGCCATTTTAGTTGGTTTTTACTTAACTATAATGGTGTGTTTTTGTTAATTATGAGGTAATGGCAGCATATTCTGGTAGGGCCAGACTTGAAGAATTACAGAAATCCAGTAAGTCCACCATTTTAGTCATGAGAAAAAAAACACTTAGCAGATGGAAAATCCTTTTTATATAAGAACCCTGAAGTGGTGAGGTAGTTCACCATTTATGTAGTATCTTTTTTAGTTTCACATAATAAAATTAGTTAAAATGTACTTATACTATCATAAAATCCCCTGCAAAAAAACTTTGCTTTTCTCCTGTTAATCTAAATTGAGGTTAGTTTTTAATTTGTTTGTAGATGCTTATGGCTAGACTTAGAATTGGCAATCCCCTCAGCTCTAGTTTTTAGAATATGAGTTACTCAAGGTCAAGGCCAGGATTATAGCTAGACTTAAGTACATTTAAATGTCAGAGCCACTGCCAGAGGCTGCCCTGTGTCATCAGATGGCTTGGTCTACCCTCTGTCAGGCTTGTAATAATTGCCCAAACCTTCTAAATTAAGTATCTTGTCTGAGGAAGTTTCTCTCTCACACATATTGACACTCATATTTTCTTTTAGAATCTTTTGAAGACTGTTGTTAAAAAAAGTCAAAACTACAACATATTTCAGTTGGAAAATTTGTATGCAGTAATCAGCCAATGTATTTATCGGCATCGCAAGGACCATGATAAAACATCACTTATTCAGGTAAACTCTTGAGTGGAAACTTTTTACAAATGCTCTTGTGGTCACATTAATATATCACTTATGTAGGATTGTTGAGGCTTTATTTAATCTGTGTAAGAAACTGATTGTAGGAACTTAAAGACCATCTTTCTATTTCCAAAGTTGATGTCCCATTCCATAAAGATCATTTTTAATATGTGGATTATGAATTATTTCTAAATGCAAGTGAGTTTAGTATTTTTCCAATCTATAACTTAATTAGTTTGTTTGTTTATTTATTTATTTATTTAGAGACAGGGTCTCTGTCGCCCAGGCTGGAGTGCAGTGGTGCGATCTCAACTCACTCACTGCAGCCTCCACCTCCAAGGTTCAAGCGATCCTCCTGCCTCAGCCTCCCAAGTAGCTGGGACCACAGGCACCTGCCATCATGCCCAGCTAATTTTTGTGTTTTTTGTAGAGATGAGGTTTCACTATGTTGCCCACGCCGATCTTGAGCTCCTGAGCTCAAGCCATCCAGCCACTTCAGCCTCCCAAAGTACTGGAATTACAAACGTGAGCCACTGCACCCAGCCAATAGTTTGTGTCTTTAATAAATAGTGGAACATAAACTATGAATACCCCTTTTGTGTGTATGTATTAATGAAGAATAATAGCTTCTTTTAAGACTTGTCAGCCAGGCACAGTGGCTCATGCCTGTAATCCCAGCACTTGGGGAAGCCAAGGCGGGTGGATTGCTTGAGCCCAGGAGTTCAAGACTAGCCTGGCCAACATGGTGAAACCCCATGTCTACTAAAACAACAAAAACTAGCCAGATGTGGTGGTGTGCACCCATAGTCCTAGCTACTCGGGTGGCTGAGGCATGAGAATCACTTGAACCTGGGAGGCAGAGGTTGCAGTGAGCCAAGATCAAGCTACTGCACTCCAGCCTGGCTGACAGAGTAAGACTCTGTATGACAAAAAAAAAAAAAAAAGACTTATGTACTTAATCTTCCTTTATAGTAGGTATTATAGTGTTAATTAGAGCATTAATACTTATTTTTGAGACAGGATCTTTCTCTGTGTGCAGTGGCAAGAACATAGCTCACTATAACCTGGAACTCCTGAGCTCAGGCAATCCTGCCTCAGCTTCTCAAGTAACTGAGATTATAGGCAAGCACCACCACACTGGGCTAATTTTTAAATTTTTTGTAGAGATGGAGGTTTTGCTATGTTGCCTAGGATGGTCCCAAATTCGTAGCTTCAAGCGGTCCTCCCGCCTCAGCCTCCCAAAGTGCTGGCATTAACAGGCAGGAGCCACCATGCCTGGCCTTATTATTATTTTTAATAACAGATCATTTCACTAGAGAGTGCTAAATTTTAAAAAAAGATATTACTTACATATGCATATTATTGGTAACTACAAAATATAAAAATGATAACCATTAGTATATATATAGTATTTAGTATACCTACTAAAGTATACTATGTAGTATATATATAATATTGATACCTACAAAGTGTAAAATACTAAACTCTAACTACATCAGTACCTTGATTAATACTATTTGAATTTAACATAAGATGAATGCACCCCAGACTCATTTCAAAGTTATTTAAATAATGAAGTCCTACAGGTAAAATCTATGTGGCAGTCTTAAATACTGAACTGAATGTTTATTTTCACTATCAAATATATACCTGAATATTAATATTCTTAAGGTTGTTTACTGAAAAAGTAATGAAATGTTTCTTTAGCTTATTCCATATTGAAACTTACTATTTGCTCTTCCTCCCCTTTATCTAGAAAATGGAGCAAGAGGTAGAAAACTTCAGTTGTTCCAGATGATGATGTCATGGTATCGAGTATTCTTTATATTCAGTTCCTATTTAAGTCATTTTTGTCATGTCCGCCTAATTGATGTAGTATGAAACCCTGCATCTTTAAGGAAAAGATTAAAATAGTAAAATAAAAGTATTTAAACTTTCCTGATATTTATGTACATATTAAGATAAATGTCATGTGTAAGATAACTGATAAATATTGGAACTTTGCTAGAACAAGACCCTGTAGTAATAGTAATAATAGTTGAAGTTTGGCCAACTCTTAATAAAGTTATTTTGGTAACTAATGTTTTATGGCACTTAAGAATAATTAGCAGCGTTAAATTTTGTTTGTATTAAGCACTTTTAATTTTATCCTTCCTAAAAATAGTTTATTGTATCTGACAAGAAACTTACTTAACCATTGTGTCCTTCCCATCTTTTTTGTCATCTTTGTTTTCTTCAAATGCCCTCCTCCCATCTGCCTTGAGATTCCCTCGTCTTCACTTAAAAGCCAGAGTGCAAGTCATGATTTGCGGGAGGGCTCTTGAACCACTTCTGGCTGCACCACAATTCTGTACTTGAGTATCACAGTCATTGTTTTTGAGACAAACATTTTTATAATTCTAATTTGGGTTAATAAAGATTTTAAATATTTCTTGGTTTACTTTTGTAATTATATACACAACAAATGTATTAATAACTACCTTGTTAAACACCTTTTAATAGCACAAGGTTTTTATATTTGCAAGCTGTTGATATCTTTCTAAAACTGTTTAGGTTATAGTCTATTGATACTTTTTATATACAATTTTATAAATATAAATATTATAATTTTATATTAATGGTACCAAAAATACATTTCTTAAGGTTAAAAGCATGCACTTCCATGCATACTTGCTTTTGGGGAGAGTGGGGAGAAGACATTCTAATAATCAGTTTGTGAAATAGCTTCTGTTGGAAACCTTTTGAGGGGAATAAGGAATGGTCATCTAAAATGAGAGATTCTGGATTTTAATGCAGTTCAAAGTTGAGCTGTATTTTTGTTGTTGATTTATCTGGATTTTTTTTAAAGCCTTCTAAAACCCAGTGAATTCAATACCTTAATTAGTACATACTATCTTATGTAATGCATAAAGCAATGCCAGTCACTGAGAACATTTAAATATATTTATATTCCTGGAGATACACATTCTCATTTTTGTTGGTTTATTATAAATTATTCTTCTAGATGCATCTTTTATAACTAGGATTTCATTTTGTGTGTATAGCTTATGTAATAAATTTTAAAGGTGAAAACTCTCTTAAATTTGTTTCTATTTCTTAAGTATTTTAAAACATAGCAAAGATAATTCTGTGCAAAAGAAGTGTAAAGTCTGTTCTTTCATATATTACTGTGAAAATTTAAAGTGCTGTTGACACTGGAATGTTTTTATATGGTACATGTATTTTAGGTACAACGACTAAAGTGCTTCCTGAAATGTCTTCTACAGATTTTAGAAGTGTTATGTCTACATTCCTATGTAGAGTTTGAAAACCATGCTGAAATTGCAGTGTTGAATGTTATCTCCCATTTGTTGCTCAAAAGTGCAGTTAACGCAAGAAAAACAAAAGGAACTCAGAAAGGAAAAAGTGAAATTCTCTTTATTTACAAATGCCATGATTTTATATGTAGGAAATCCTTTTTTGAGACAGAGTCTTGCTCTGTCGCCTAGGCTGGAGTGCAATGGCATGATCTCGGCTCACCACAACCTCTTCCTCCCAGGTTCAAGCGATTCTCCCGCCTCAGCCTCTTGAGTAGTTGGGACCACAGGCGCATACCACCACTCCCAGCTAATTTTTGTATTATGTAGGAAATCCTGAAGAATCCACAAAAAATCTGTTAGAGGTAGTAAAAGAACTCAGCAGGCTGGATGTGGTGGTGCATGCCTGTAATCCCAGAACTTTGGGAGGCCAACGTGGGTGGATCACTTGAGCTCAGGAGTTCAGGGCCAGCCTGGACAACATGGTAAAACCCTGTCTCTACAAAAAAAATACAATCATTAGCTGGGCATGGTGGCACATACTTGTAGTCCCAGCTATTCCCTGGGAGGCTGAGGGCAGGAGGTCAAAGCTTGAGCCCAGGAGGTCAAAGCTGCAGTGAGCCAAGATTGCACTACTGTACTTCAGCCTGGGTGGCAGAGTGAGACTCTGTCTTTAAAAAAAAAAAAAAAATCAGCAGAGTTACAAGATAGAAAACATACTAAAATCAGTTGCATTTCTATACACTAGCAATGAACAGCCCAAAAGGAAAATTATGAAAGCAATTTTACTTATAATAACATCTAAAACAGTAAACACCTAGGAATAAATTTAACCAAGGATATATAAGAATTTAACATACTGATAACTACAAACTGTTGCCAAAAGAAATTAAGTAAGACCTAAATAAACGGAAAGACAGCCTGTATTCATGGTTTGGAAGACAGTACTGGTTAAGATGGCAGTAATCCCCAAAGCGACTACAGATTCAATGCAATTTCCATCAAAATCCCAATGGCCTTTTTTTGAAAAATAGGAAAGTAAATCCTAAAAATCATGATGTATTGCAAGGTACCCTGAATAGCCCAAAAAATCTTGAAAAAGGAGAGAACTCACTTCCTGACTTTGAAACTTACTACAAAGCTACATATATTAAAGCAGTATAATACAGGCATAAGGTTAGACATATAGGTCAATGGAATAGAAAGTCCAGAAATCAATATATCTATGGTCACTTGATTTTCAACAAGAGTGCCCACATCTATTCAATAGGAAAGAACCATTTCTTCAACAGATGGTGCTGGAACAACTGGATATTCACATGCAAAAGAATGAAGTTAGATCCCTATCTGAGAATAGCTAATGTGTGCTGGGCTTAATACCTAGGTAATGGGTTGATGTGTGCAGCAAACCACCATGGCACTCGTTTACCTGTGTAACAAACCTGCACATCTTGCACATTTACCCCAGAACTTAAAAGTTGATTTAAAAAAAAAACAACAACAAAATGGATTAAAGACCTAAGTTGAATAGCTAAAAGTAAAATTCTTAGAAGAAAACAAGGACATTTTCATGACCTTGAGTTTGGCAGTTAGATAAATTGGACTTCATCAAAATTTTAAAACTTTGTGCTTCAACAAATAATGTATATAACTCCTAAAACTCAACAACAAAAAGACAACCCAATGGATGTGGATATTTTTGATGACATTAACAATATTTAGGATACCAGGCAAATATTTTGGAAGATAGCTATTTTGGAATAGTCTAATGTTTTTCTCATGACCAGACCAGGACTATGGGTTTGGGGAAGGAAGGCAAAGTGGTCATATCAAGGTTGCCTACTAGTGATGTGATTCTTGACTATTGGTTGACTTTGATCACCAAGTTAAGTAGTATTTCTCAGGTTTCTCCACCGAAAAATTAATCTTTTCTGAACTATACTTCTCTCTTTTGAACTGTACTCTGAAAAGAAGTCACACAATGAACAGCCCACTCTTAAGGAGTGAGGAGTTACACTCTGCCATTTATTTTTAGGCCAGTTCTATCAGTGATCCCTAAATGTACACATTGTAGAGTTAATTGAGCTTATTTTAGACTCGTGTCTTCTCCCTACTACTCCCCACCTTATATACAGAGTATTTTATTGTTCAAAGTAATGTAATTAAGAGATTGCTCCCTGACATTGAGGAAAAGATTGCCAACTTGCCTCCTAATATCCATTCTTCCGTTATTTGTAACAAAGTCCCATTTGGAAAGTTATGTTTCATCCATTGCAGCAAAATATGGCCACGTGACTAAATTCTAGCCAATGAGATAGGGAATTGCACACAGTTTCTAGGAAAGCTCTCTGGAAGGGCAAGGATGAGAGTACTTTCTGCCTTCTGAGCTTCCTATACACACACACATATACACATATATACAGTTAAGAAGCATCTGTATGTGTGTGTGCATGATAATTTTAGGGAATTGCTGTTCAGTATCCTTGAGTGGATCTCTGTTACTGATAGTGGAATGTAATTCTTAACCAGTAAAAGCATATAAAATAAATATGTATTTTTTTCAACTTTCATTTACTATAAGCAGCAGATCCTGAGCAAGGCCTTTAGAGACCCTCAAGCATAAAAAATATTGTCTCCAATTCTTACATGTATTTTTTAATTTATTGTTAACATCTTTATTGAGGTATAATTTATATATCATAAAATTCACTGATCTTAACAGTACAATTTAATGATTGTTAATTTACAGAGTTGTGCAACTATCAGCATGAATCAGTTTTAGAACATTTCCATCTCCCCAAAAGAGAGATTTCCAGTCTCTTCCTCGTGCCCATTTGCAGTCAGGCCTCCTACCCCCAACCCCAGGCATTCCCTAACCTACTTTCTGTCTCTATAGATTTGCATTTTCTGGACAGTTCCTGTAAATGAAATAATATATAGTCTTTTACATCTGGATTCTTTCACTTAACATAATGTTTTTGAAATTCATCAGTGTTGTAGCATGTATCAGTAATTTGGTTTTTTTTTTTTTTTTAAATTTATTTATTTATTTTTTATTGATAATTCTTGGGTGTTTCTCACAGAGGGGGATTTGGCAGGGTCATAGGACAATAGTGGAGGGAAGGTCAGCAGATAAACAAGTGAACAAAGGTCTCTGGTTTTCCTAGGCAGAGGACCCTGCGGCCTTCCGCAGTGTTTGTGTCCCTGGGTACTTGAGATTAGGGAGTGGTGATGACTCTTAACGAGCACGCTGCCTTCAAGCATCTGTTTAACAAAGCACATCTTGCACCGCCCTTAATCCATTCAACCCTGAGTGGACACAGCACATGTTTCAGAGAGCACAGGGTTGGAGGTAAGGTCACAGATCAACAGGATCCCAAGGCAGAAGAATTTTTCTTAGTACAGAACAAAATGAAAAGTCTCCCATGTCTACTTCTTCCTACACAGACACGGCAACCATCCGATTTCTCAATCTTTTCCCCACCTTTCCTGCCTTTCTATTCCACAAAGCCGCCATTGTCATCCTGGCCCGTTCTCAATGAGCTGTTGGGTACACCTCCCAGACGGGGTGGTGGCCGGGCAGAGGGGCTCCTCACTTCCCAGTAGGGGCGGCCGGGCAGAGGCGCCCCTCACCTCCCGGATGGGGGGGCTGGCCGGGCGGGGGGCTGACCCCCCACCTCCCTCCCGGACGGGGCGGCTGGCCGGGCGGGGGGCTGACCCCCCCACCTCCCTCCCGGACGGGGCGGCTGGCCGGGCAGAGGGGCTCCTCACTTCCCAGTAGGGGCGGCCGGGCAGAGGCGCCCCTCACCTCCCGGACGGGGCGGCTGGCCGGGCAGAGGGGCTCCTCGCTTCCCAGTAGGGGCGGCCGGGCAGAGGCGCCCCTCACCTCCCAGACGGGGCGGCTGGCCGGGCGGGGGGCTGACCCCCCCAACTCCATCCCGGACGGGGCGGCTGGCCGGGCAGAGGGGCTCCTCACTTCCCAGTAGGGGCGGCCGGGCAGAGGCGCCCCTCACCTCCCAGACGGGGCGGCTGGCCGGGCGGGGGGCTGACCCCCCCACCCATCTCCCTCCCGGACGGGGCGGCTGGCCTGGCGGGGGGCTGACCCCCCCACCTCCCTCCCAGATGGGGCGGCTGGCCGGGCGAGGGGCTGACCCCACCACCTCCCTCCTGGACGGGGCGGCTGGCCGGGCGGGGGGCTGATCCCCCCACCTCCCTCCAAGACGGGGCGGCTGGCCGGGCGGGGGGCTGACCCCCCTACCTCCCTCCCGGATGGGGCGGCTGGCCGGGCAGAGGGGCTCCTCACTTCCCAGTAGGGGTGGCCGGGCAGAGGCGCCCCTCACCTCCCGGACGGGGTGGCTGGCCGGGCGGGGGGCTGACCCCCCACCTCCCTCCCGGACGGGGCGGCTGGCCGGGCAGAGGGGCTCCTCACTTCCCAGTAGGGGCGGCCGGGCAGAGGCGCCCCTCACCTCCTGGACGGGGCAGCTGGCCGGGCGGGGGGCTGACCCCCCCACCTCCCTCCTGGACGGGGCGGCTGGCCGGGCGGGGGGCTGATGCCCCCACCTCCCTCCCGGACGGGGCGGCTGGCCTGGCGGGGGGCTGACCCCCCTACCTCCCTCCCGGATGGGGCGGCTGGCCGGGCAGGGGGCTGACCCCCCCACCTCCCTCCCGGACGGGGTGGCTGGTGGGGCGGGGGGCTGACCCATAAGCGCTAACTTAAGTTAGCGCTTATGGGGGCTGACCCCCCCACCTCCCTCCCAGATGGGGCGGCTGGCCTGGCAGGGGGCTGACCCCCCCCACCTCCCTCCCGGACGGGGTGGCTGCTGGGCGGAGACGCTCCTCACTTCCCAGACGGGGCGGCTGCCGGGCAGAGATGCTCCTCACCTCCCAGACGGGGTTGCGGCCGGGCAGAGGTGCTCCTCACATCCCAGACGGGGCGGCGGGGCAGAGGCGCTCCCCACATCTCAGATGATGGGCGGCCGGGCAGAGACGCTCCTCACTTCCTAGATGTGATGGCGGCCGGGCAGAGGTGCTCCTCACTTCCTAGGTGGGATGGCGGCCGGGCGGAGACGCTCCTCACTTTCCAGACTGGGCAGCCAGGCAGAGGGGCTCCTCACATCCCAGATGATGGGCGGCCAGGCAGAGATGCTCCTCACTTCCCAGACGGGGTGGCGGCCGGGCAGAGGCTGCAATCTCGGCACTTTGGGAGGCCAAGGCAGGCGGCTGGGAGGTGGAGGTTGTAGCGAGCCCATGTATCAGTAATTTGTTATGTTGTATTGTGGGATAGTATTTCATTGTACGGATATGCCCCTTTTGCCTATTCATCCACAGTTGATGGACATTTGGATTGCTTCACATTTTGGCTAATATGAATAGTACTGCTGTGAACATTTACATGCAAGTCATTGTGTGACTTATGTTTTCATTTCTCTTGGATAGATACCTGGGATTAGAATTGCAGAATTATATGGTAAATTTATGATTATCTTAAACTGCTCTCCAAAGAGGCTGCTACATTTCCACTGGCACTGTGAGGGTTCCACCTTGTCCACATTCTTACCACCCTTGTTATCATCTGTCCTGTTTTTTGTTGTTTGCCTTTTTGTGTGTGTGTGTGTGAGACAGAGTCTTGCTCTAACACCCAGGCTGGAGTGCAGTGGTGCAATCTCAGCTCACTGCAACCTCCGCCTCCCGGGTTCAAACGTTTCTCCTGCCTCAGCCTCCTGAGTAGCTGGAACCACAGGCACTCACCACCATGCCCAGCTAACTTTTGTATTTTTACTAGAGATAGGGTTTCGCCATGTTGGTCAGGCTGGTCTCGAACTCCTTGCCTTAAGTGATCCTCCTGCCTCAGCCTCCCAAAGTGCTAGGGTTACCAGGCCTGGCCTTGTCTGCTTTTAATAGCCATGCAGGTGGGTACAAAGTGGTACTCTTTGTGGTTGTTAACTGCATTGCTCTAATGATTAATGATGTTGAGAACATTTTTCATGTACTTATTAGCCATTCATATATCATCTTTGGTGAAATGGCCTTTTGAATATTTTGACCATTTTTTAATTGTTTCCTTATTATTGAGTTATGAGAGTCTTTATGTATTCACTTATTTTCAAGAGAGTCGCCAAGGCAGTTGGGAAAAAATAGTTACTTTTTAACAAATGGTGCTGGATTAATTGGATATTCACATGCAAAAAAAAGATGAAATTAGATCCTTACCTCACACCACATAAAACATTAACTCAAAATTGATCAGAGACCTGTCTATAAGAGCTAAAACTATAAAACTTTTAGAAGAGAGGATAAGAGAAAATCATCACGATCTTACTTTCTTTTTTATTTTTATTTTATTATTTTTTTTTTGAGATGGAGTTTTGCTCTTGTTGCCCAGGCTGGAGGGCAATGGTGCGATCTCAGCTCACTGCAACCTCCGTCTCCCAGGTTCAAGTGATTCTCTTGCCTCAGCCTCCTGAGTAGCTGGGATTACAGGCATGCGCCACTGCGCCCAGCTAATTTTTTTGTGTTTTTAGTAGAGACAGGATTTCTCCATGTTGGTCAGGCTGGTCTTGAACTCCCGACCTCAGGTGATGCGCCCACCTCGGCCTCCCAAAGTGCTGGGATTACAGGCCTGAGCCACCGCGCCCAGCCAATCTTTCTTTTCTCTATAGCTTCATATTTGAAGTGACACATCATGATCTTAAGTTAGGCAAAAAGTTCTTTGATATACTAAAATCACAATCCATAAAAAACACAAAAAAATGATCAATTGGACTTCAAAATTAAAACCATTTACACTCTGTATTTTCTCTATATATGTAAAGGGTCCTCGGCAATGACATTAAAAGAGAAAAGTTGCCAATTTCAGCTATTAGTTGATTACAATTGGAAATATCTGGATTTTTCAGGTAATGTAGGGATGCTGTCGAGGCCGAAGAGAATAGTTTTTTTGTTTTTTTGAAGTGCAGTGGCACAATCTTGGCTCACTGCAACCTTCGCCTCCCTGTTCAAGCTATTTTCCTGCCTCAGCTTCTCAAGTAGCTGGGATCACAGGTGTGTGCCACCACACCTGGCTAATTTTTGTATTTTTAGTAGAGATAAGGTTTAACCATGTTGGCCAGGCTGGTCTCAAACTCCTGACCTCAGGTAATCCACCCGCCTCGGCCTCTTAAAGTGCTGGGATTACAGGGGTGAGCCACCGCATCCAGCTTAGAAGAGTGTTTTTACAGTTCACATGTTGCACAAAACCTTTGTGGTAAGCTGAGAAATTACCCCCTCCTCCAGTCCCAAAGATATGTTTGTCCTAATCCCTGAAAACTGTGAACGTTACATTATATGGCAAAACAAAAAAGGAGGAAGGGTTTCTTTTAGATTTTGAGATCTTGAAATAGGAGATTACCCTGGATTATCTCTGTGGGCCCCAAATCAATCACATGTATCCTTATAAAAGGAGAGCAGAGGCAGATTTTATGCAGAAGGGAGAAGGCTGTGAAACCACAGAGTCAGAGATTGGTGTCCTGCAGCCACAAGCCAAGGTAATGTCAGCAGCCAACCACCAGAAGCTGAAGAAGCACACAACATTCTTCCCTAGATCCTCCAGAGTAGTGCAGCCCTGTCAATCCCTCGATTTTGGCCTAATGATACTGATTTCAGATTTCTGCCTCCAGAACTGTGAAAGAATTTTTTAAACCACCAAGATTGTGGTAACTTGTTACAACGTTTACAGAAAACTAACACAACCTTATACTAACACAAAACTGCCATTTTATAAACAATGCCTTTTCTTGCACATGTATCCCAGAACTTAAAGTATAATTTGAAAAAATAATAAAAGAAAAAAATGCCTTTTCTCTCCCCAGGGCTTCTGTTCAGGCTATATCCTCTGCCAGCAATAATTTTTCTCACCCACTGTCAACTCTCCTTTCACTTGACTACTTTAGGCATCAGAGATGGTCCAGAAAGATCTCCCTAATTCCCTAGGCTAAATTGGGACCTTTTAATTTCTCATAGCTTCCTGTATAAGTCCCTTCCACTTTTAAATTTAACATCAAGTATACAGAATTAATCAGCATGCATTATGACACGCTTGTCATCGATTCATGCATGCCCCCGCCTTTTGAAAGTTTATTTTTTAAAATAATAAATGCCCATAAAAACCTGTTTCTTAAAAGGAACTAACCAAATCACCTATTGGACACATTAACCCATTACCACCCACTATAATTATAATCCTCAATCATTCATCATTCCTCGCTTTCTATTGTATGTAATTTTATTGCATCTGTGTGTTCCTACAAATCACGTTTTAAAATATCAGATTTTTACCTTAGAGAAAGGGTATTATGCTACTACTACATGTGTGATATTTTCTGGAGCTTCCTTTTTTCACGTAATGTTATTGCTAAAGTTTTTTATAGGATTGCATATTGTATATCATTCGACTGCTATAGAATCCATTTTGTGAGTAAACCACAGTTTATCAATCCACTTTACTGTGGGGCACTTAGAGTTTTTCCAGGTTTTGATTATTGTAAACTGTTTTAAGGACATTCTTGCACCTTCCGTCTGTTGTACGTGTTGTGCAAGAGATCCACTTGGGCATTAGGAAACACCATACTGAAGACAGAATAACTCAAGGAAAGATTATTGGTGTAGGGGAATGTCAAGTAGTCACTTGGCCCTAGTTACCTTTCCTAGGCTGTAATGGATGAGGAGTGGCTGCTGAAACCCAAAGGAAGTTGCGTGTAGTCTGCCACCTTGAGAAAAGCAGTGATTTGCAGTCACAGCGTCTATTCAGCCCCAGGCAACATTACCTCATAAAGGGAACCAGGAGAAAAAGTGCTCTGACTTCACTCTCTTCTCTTCAGGCTCTTGCTAGGGTTTCCAGTTAGTCAAACAAGGTCAAAACCACACTTACAGAGCCCACTGCTGTAATCTATATGGTCAGCTTTCTAGAGCAGGGAGTAGAGTGAAGAAGGATGGAGGACAAATTAAAATAATTGGCACAGTCTACCCCTTTTGCTCCCCTGTATCCACTTTTATTCTTTGTCCATGTGAAAAGTATGTCTTTAACATCAGGGATATAAAAAGTCCATTAGATACTGAATCATTGTGTGATTATGTCATTTTACTCATTCCCACCTGAAACCGAAAATGATACCACAACCAGAGTTACTCATATAAGGTAATGGAGGTTGAAGGAAGAGAGAAGATCATTTAAAAACCGGCTGCTATAGTATTTACCTCCGTATCTACTCAAAGGTTTATGTTGGCAATCAGAACTGCCTTTCACCACCCATTTACCTATTGCCCTTCCCTTCCATCAGTACCTCAGTTGGACAGGGTTCTTTACCTAATAGGGTAACCCATATTTTCATTCCTGCAAGATATGAATTCTTTGTGGTCTATTGCAGTGTTTCAGTGACCAAGACTATTGAAAGGGAGTACTTAAAAGCATCCCAAATGAATTCCCTGGGTTGCAAACACTTTTCCTGGCTTCCATATTTCCCCCTAGTATAATCAGAATCAATTACCCTGGTCAGTACAGTAATTGCTGTCTTTGCCAGTTGGTTCAGTGGCATGGGGACCTAAAAGCGGCCAATCAATTGGAACCATGATCATGTTCTCTGGTGAGAGCTTCTTCCTTGAGCACTAAGATAAGATTCTAAAGTCTCTGATCCCAAGGTCTCAGGAATGGAAAGCAAAAATTCCAGTGGGTTATTAAATGCAGTGGTGAGAGGGGACACCAGTTATCCCTACCCTTACTTTTCTATTGCATTTCGGAGTGTGGGGGAGGTGGCATAAAACACTGCTGGTTAACACATATACTGTAAAGTTTCTGGGAAGATGGTGGAGTGGGAAACACCAGGAATCTGTCTCCCCACCTGGAAGACAATTGTACTGGCAAAATCAGTCTGATGTTACTATTTTGGAATTCTAGGGTCTGTTCAAGGCTTGCAACTTCCAGGGGAAGGCTTGGACACTAAATTGTGGTTAATTCAGTCAATTTCAGCTTTTAGCACAGTAGTAGTTACCCATAATCAGCCCTGTGACAGGCAGCTGTGCACGTGTTCCTGCAGCAGCTTACACACAATTTGTTGGAGCCAGAGTGGGCAGAAAGGACCCTGTCCTCCAAATATCAGGGATCTGTGCTCTGATTGCTCCTCCTGGTTACAAAGGTACAGATGAAGGTGGATGGCCATTGTTGCACTTCCCTCCAATGTTGCAAGTCTTTTTCCTGTGGCTCTCGGGGTATTTAAAAGGCTGGCACCCTTTTTCCCTTTGGGGAGCCGGACATTAAGACTAGGCCATTCAAAACAACTGCATATATTGTCAGATGTGGTGGCTCATGCCTGTAATCCCAGATCCTTGAGAGACCAAGGTGGGAGGATCACTTGAGCCCAGGAGTGTGAGACTGCAATAAGACATGATTGTGCCACTGCACTAAAACCTGGGTAACAGAGACCCTGTCTTAAAAAAAAGTGAAGAGAAAAGCCTCAACAACTGCATACACAGGGAAAATTAGAAAGTTACTGTGCATGCCCAAAGAGAGGCTCAGAAAAGCTGAGAAGACCTTAAGTTTACAGCTCAGGCTGATTCTTGGCACAGAGACAAAAATTTTTTTAAAAAAGCAAAAACAGTAACAAAAACAGCAAGCCCTGGGGAAGGGGAAGAATCTGATTTCCAGAGTTACTACAGTAATATATTTAAATGCTCAGTTTCCAACAACAACAAAAAAATCACAAGGCTTACAAAGAAACAGGAAAGCATGGCCCATTTAAAGTAAAAAAAAAAATAATCAACAAAAACTTTCTGAAAAAGACCTGATGGCAGATAAACTAGGCGAAGACTCTTTTAAAAACTGTCTTATACTAAGAGGCATGTAGTATGAAGAAAAAAGCCTGTCTTAAAGAGCTCAAAGAACTAAAGGAAAATGTGGAGAAAGTAAAACTGTGCTATTTATTTATTTTATTGCTTTTACTATTAATAATAAGACACAAACTCTAAATCAGAAAGAAATTCTAGAGCTGATAAGTATAATAACTAAAATGACAAAATTTAGTAAAGAGATTTAAAGGCATAGTTGAACAGAAATCTGCAGAAGAATCAGCAAACTTGAAGATAGGATACTGGGAAGTACTGAGTCTGAGGAACGAAAAAAAAATTGAAAAAAAATGAACAGAGCATAAAGAACCTGTGGAACACAATAAAGTAGACTAACATACACATTGTGGGAGTTCCACAAGGGGAAGAAAGAAAGCAGCAGAGAAAATATTTGGAGAAATAATGGCTGAAAACTTCCCAAATTTGATGAAAGACATGAATATAAACATCCAAGAAATTCACTCTCCAAGTAAGATTAACTGAAGGAGATCCACACCAAGACACATAATCAAACTTTTGAAAGGCAAAAGAATCTTGAAAGCAGCAAGAGAGAGGCAACTCATCACATACAAAGGATACTCAGTGGGATTATCAACAGATTTCTCATCAGAAACATTGGAATACCAAAGGCAGTTAGCTAAAATGCTAAAAAACAAAAATCAAATAAAAAACTGTCAACCAAAGATCTTATATCTGGCAAAAGCTGTCCTTCAAAAATGAGGGAGAAATTAAGACATTTTAAGATAAACAGAAGTTGAGGGAGTATGTAACCACTAGACTTGCCTTGCAAGAACAGTCAAGGGACTCCTGCAGAGTGAAATGTCAAAAAATACTAGACAGTAATTTGAACTTGTATGAAGAAATAAAGAACTGAATAATGGTAAATACATGGGTGATTATAAAAGCTAGTAGTGTTATTGCAGTAATGGCTTGTAACTGCACTTTTTGTTTTCTACATTATTTGAGAGACTAATATATATTTAAAAACAATTATTAGTACTGGGCCGGGCATAGTGGCTCACGCCTGTAATCCCAGCACTTTGGGAGGCCGAGGCAGGTGAATCACCTGAGGCCAGGAGTTTGAGACCAGCCTGACCAACATGGAGAAACCCCATCTCTATTAAAAATACAAAATTAGCTGGGTATGGTGGTGCACACCTGTAATCCCAGCTACTTGGGAGGCTGAGGAAGGAGAATCACTTGAACCTGGGAGGTAGAGGTTGCAGTGAGCTGAGATCACACCACTGCACTCCAGCCTGGGTGACAGAGTGAGACTCCATCTCAAAAAAAAGAAAAAGGAAAACACATGTTTGCTGTTTAAGCCATTACATTTTGGGTGGTTTGTTAAGCAGCACTAGCACAAAACAATTATTAGTACTAACACTAGTGTTACTGTAACTTTGGTTTGTAACTCCACTTAATTTTATTTTATTTTATTTTATTTTTGAGACAGAGTCTCACTCCATCACCCAGGCTCAAGTGCAGTGTTGTGATCTTGGCTCACTGCAACCTCCACCTCCCAGGTTCAAAAAAGAAAGAAAGAAAGAAAGTAATTAATTTAAAAAAATTATTTGTTTATGTTTTTGGAGAAACGGTTTATACGGATGTAGTTTTGTGACATTAACAACATAAAGGATTGGGGATGGAGCTGTAAAAGAGGGTTTTGGTATGTTACTGAAATTAAGATGGCATGAATTCCAATTTGAGCATTATAAACTTGGTAATACCATGGTAAACACAAAGAAAATCGCTATAGAATAGGCACAAAAAGAAACAGGAAAGGAATTTAAACATTTCACAGCAAAATCAACTAAAGACAAAGGAAAACAGTAATGCAGGAAATGAAAGGTTAAAGACTATAAGGCATATAAGGGGGATAAAGCAAAATGACAGAAATAAGTATTTTCCTATTTGTAATTACTTTAAATGTAAATGAGTTAAACTCTCCAGTCAAAACATAATTGACAAAATGAATAAAAACTCATGATTCAACTATATGCTGTCTATGACAGACTCACTTTAGATCCAGACACAAATAGGTTGAAAGTGAAAGGGTAGCCGGGCACGGTGGGTCATGCCTGTAATCCCAGCACTTTGGGAGGCTGAGACGGGCGCATCACAAGGTCAGGAGATCCAGACCATCTTGGCTAACATGGTGAAACCCCGTCTCTACTAAAAATACAAAAAATTAGCCGGGCGCGGTGGCGGGCACCTGTAGTCCAGCTACTCGGGAGGCTGAGGCAGGAGAATGGCGTGAACCCGGGAGGCGGAGCTTGCAGTGAGTGGAGATCGCGCCACTGCACTCCAACCAGGGCGACAGGGTGAGACTCCGTCTCAAAAAAAAAAAAAAAAAAAACAGAAAGTGAAAGGGTAGCAAAAAATATTTCATCCAAATGGTAACCAAAAGAAAAGCAGGGTGACTATAAGACAAAATAGATTTTAGTTTTAAAAAGCTTACGAGAAATAAAGTCACAGAATGCATTCAATAAATGTTTCTCCTTATATCCATCCGTTCACCTCCATCCCGGCTTTTGTCTGTCATCTCCTTTTGTCTGTTAGTCTCTCACTTAATTTTTCTCTTGAATGAAAGGTATACCTAAATTTTGGCTATCTGTGCTGATGGAAAGCAGGTGAATAGCAAGATCTTAAATCTGTAAATTATTCAAAAGACTCTTTAAGGAAAAAGAAAAGTTTACAGGAGACAAAAAAAAGACTTTTATTAATAAAGGTTCAATACAGCAGGAAGATAGAAACATTATAACCATTACACACACATAATGACAGTCCATCAGAATATATCAAACAAAAACTGACAGAATTGAAAAAGAAATAGATGATTCTACAGACATTTGGAGACTTCAGTACCCCACTCTCAATAACGGATAGAACAACCACACAGAAGATAAGTAAAGAAATAGAAACCAACTAATGTAAGAGTCATATACAAAATGCTCTACCCAACAACAGCATACACATTCTTCCCAAGTGCAACATGGGACATCTTCCAGGATACACCATATTTCACAATTTAAGTCTCAATACATGTAAAAAGATATGAAGTATCTTCTCCAATCACATTAGGATGAGTTAGAAATCAGCAATAGAAGTAAAACTGGAAAATTCACAACTTCTGGAAATTAAACAACACACTCTTAACCAATGGATCAAAGAAAACATCATAAGAGGAATTAGAAAATAGAGACAAGTGAAGATGCAAACAACATACCAAAGCTTATGTGACACAGTGAAACAGTGCTAAGGGGTACTTTATGACTATAAACATTTCCATTGAAAAACAAGAAAGATCTCAAATCAATAACCTAGTTTTACAACTTAAGGAACTAGAAGAAAAAAAGCAAACAACCAAAAGCTAACAGAAAAAAAGAAATATTAAAGATTAGAGCAGAGAAAAACAACATAAGGAATAGAAGAACAACAGAGAAAATTAATGAAACTAAACATTGGTTCTTTGAAACAATGCAATCAACAAACTTTTAGCTGGATGGACTAGGAAAAGATGAGAGAAGACACGTTACTAAAGTCAGAAATTAGGCCGGGCACAGTAGCTCACGCCTGTAATACCATTTTGGGAGACCAAGGCAGGTGGATCACTTGAGGTCAGGAGTTCGAGACCAGCCTAGCCAACATGGTGAAACCCTGTCTCTACTAAAAATACAAAAATTAGCCAGGTGTGGTGGGCACCTGTAATCCCAGCTACTCAGGAGGCTGAGGCAGGAGAATTGCTTGAACCTGGGAGGTGGAGGTTACATTGAGATGAGATCGGACCACTGCACTCCAGCCCGGGAGACAGAGTGAAACTCTATCTCAAAAATAAGTAAATAAATACATAAATAAATGAAATAAAGTCAGAAATGAAAATGGGGACATTATTACTGATGTTACAGAAATATAAAGGATTATAATAGTACTGTGAGCAATTATATGCCAACAAGTTGGATACACTAGATGAAATGGACACATTTACAGAAACACAAAACCTACCAACACTAAATCATAGAGAAATAGAAAATCTGAATAGATCAATAACAAAGAGACTGAATTTGTAATCAAAAATTTCCTGATAAAGAAAAACCCTGGACCTGATGGCTTCACCAGTGAATTCTAGCAAACATTTAAAGAACTATACCAATCCTCAAACTTTTCTAAAAAAAAAAAATTATTTTAACAAAGGAACACTTTCTAACTCATTCTGTAGCCAGAATTGTCCTGATACCAAATCCAAAGACAGTACCTAAGAAAACTACAGACAAATATTTGTAGTTTTCTTTAGTATCCTTTACAAACACTGATGTAAAAATCCTCCATAAAATACTAGCAAACTGAATTCAGCAGCATATTAAAAGGATTGTAGGCCAGGCGTGTGGCTCACTCCTGTAATCCTAGCACTTTGGGAGGCCAAGGTGGGTGGATCACTTGTGGTCAGGAGTTCGAGACCAGACCAGTCAACATGGTGAAACCCCATCCCCACTAAAAATACAAAAAATTAGCCGGGCGTGGTGGCTCACGCCTGTAATCCCAGCTACTTGGGAGGCTGAGGCAGGAGAATTGCTTGAACTCAGGAGGCAGAGGTTGCAGTAACTCAAGATCATGCCACTGCACTCTAGCCTGGGTGACAGAGTGAGACTCCATATCAATTAAAAAAAAAAAAAAGGATTGTACGCCATGACTAAGTAAGATGTATTCCTGGAATGCAAGGATGATTCAATATACAAAAATCGATCAATGTAATACACTAAATTAGCAGAATGAAGGGGAAAAACACATGATCATCTCAGTTGATTCAGTAAAAAGGCATTTGACAAAATTTAGCACCCTTTTATTATAAAAACACTCAACAAACTAGGAATAGCAGGAAACTACCTCAACGTAAAGCTATATGTGAAAATCCACAGCAAACATCATACCCAATTGTGAAAGACTGAAAGCTTTTCCTCCAAGATCAGGGAGAAGACAAGGAAGCCCACTTTTGCAACTTCTATTCAATGTAGTACTGGAGGTTCTAGCCAGAGCATTTAGGAAAAAAAATAAAATAAAAAGCATTTATGTTGGAAAGGAAGAAGTAAAACTATCTGTTTGCAGATAGACCTTATAAGCAGAAAAAAACAAAGATTACATGCACACACACACACACCAAAGAAAAAACTGTTAAGAGCTAGTAAGTGAATTCAGCAAAGTAGCAGGTTACCAAGTCAACACACAAAATCAACTGCATTTCTAAACACAATGAACAATCTGAAAAGGAAATTGCAAGAACAATTCCATTTACAATAGCAACAAAAAGAATAAAATATTTGATATTAGCTGAACCAAGGAGGTGAAAGACTTGTACAATGAAAACTACAAGCCATTGCTGAAAGAAATTAGTGAAGACATATATAAATTGAAACACATCCCATGTTCATGGATTAGAAGACTTAATACTGTCAATGAGGTCAACATAACCCCAAGTGATCTACAAATTCAATGCAATCCCCATTAAAACCCCAATGACTTTTCGGGATTTTTTTTTTTTTTTGCAAAAATAGGAAAACCCATTCTAAATTTCATATGGAATCTCACAACACCTTGAATAGCCAAAACCATATTGAAAAAGAAGAGCCGGGTGCCGTGGCTCACGCCTGTAATCCCAGCACTTTGGGAGGCTGAGGCGGGCAGATCACGAGGTCAGGAGATCGAGACCATCCTGACTAACACGGTGAAACCCCGTCTCTACTAAAAATACAAAAACTTAGCCAGGCACGGTGGCGGGCGCCTGTAGTCCCAGCTACTCGGGAGGCTGAGGCAGGAGAATGGTGTAAACCCGGGAGGCAGAGCTTGCAGCGAGCCGAAATCGTGCCACTGCACTCCAGCCTGGGTGACAGAGCAAGACTCCGTCTCAAAAAAAATAAAAAAGAAAAAGAAAAAGAAGAACAAAGCAGGAGGATTCATACTTCCTGATTTCAAAACTTACTGCAAAGCCGCAGTAATCAAAATGGTGTGGTACTAGCATAAAGACAGACATAAGGACAATTGGGATCGAATAGAGAGCCCAGAAATCACCCTCACTTATACGGTCAAGAGACTTTTGATAAGGGTGCCAAGACCATTCAATGGAGAAAGAACAATCTTTTCAATAAATGGTGCTGGGAAAACTGGATATCCACATGCAAAAGAATGAAGTTGGACCCTTACCTAGCACCATATACAAAAATTAACTTAAATGGATTAACGACCTAAATGTAAGACCTAAAACTATGAAACTCTTAGAAGAAAATACATGGCAAAATTTCCATGACATTGGAATTGGCAATGACTTCTTGGATATGACACCAAAGGCACAGACAATAAAAAAAAAATAGACAAATTGGACTTCAGGAAATTTTTTAAAATTTTGTGCATCAAAAGACACTATCAACAGAGAGGAAAGACAACCCACTGAATGGGGGAAAATATTTGCAAATCATACACCTGGAATTAATATCCAGAACATAAAGAAAACTCCTAAAACTTAACAGCAACAAACTCAATTCAAAATTGGGCAAAGGACTTGAATAGACATTTCTCCAAAGAAGATATACAAATGGTCAAGCACATGAAAAGATGTATAATATCACTAATCATTAGAGAAATGCAAATCAAAAGTATGAGATACTGTCTCACACCCGGGAGGAAGACTAACATTAAAACCAGAAAATTGGCCAGGCACGGTGGCTCACGCCTGTAATCCTAGCACTGTGGGAGGCCAAGGTGGGTGGATCACCTGAGGTCAGGAGTTCGAGACCAGCCTGGCCAATGTGGCAAAACCCCATCTCTACTAAAAATACAAAAATTAGCCAGGCATGGTGGTGGGCGCCTATAATCCCAGCTACTCAGGAGGCTGAGGCAGGAGAATCGCTTGAACCTGGTGGGTGGAGATTGCAGTGGGCTGAGATTCCACTACTTCACTCCAGCCTGGGTGAAAGAGAGAAACTCCATCAAAAAAAAAAAAAAAAAGAAAGAAAGAAAATTACAAGTGTTGGTGTGGGTATGTAGAAATTGGAAATCTTGTGCACTGTTGGTGGGATTGTAAAATGGTACAGTCACTGAAAAACAGTATGGCGGTTCCTCATATGATCCAGCAATTCCACTTCCAGGTATATATTGAAAAGAATTGAAAGCAGGACCTTGAAGAGATGTTTGTATATCTACATTCATAGCAGCATTAGTCACAATAGCTAAAATGTAGAAGCAACCCAAGTGTTTATCCATAGATGAACGGATAAGCAAAATGTGGTGTGTGTGTACATATATATATATATATATATATATATATATATATATATATATATATATATGTTAATATTAAAAAGAAGGAAATCCTGACATACGCTACAATATGGATAAACTTTGGGGCCATTTTGCTAAGTTAAATGAGCCAGTCACAAAAAGACAAATCCTATATGATTTCACTTATAGGAGGTATCTAGAGTAGTCAAAGTCATAGAGACAGAAAGTAGAATAGTGGTGGCCAAGGGCTAGAGAGAGGGTAGAATGAAGAGTTGTTGTTTAATGAGTGTAGAGTTTTAGTTTTACAAGATGAAGAGAGTTATGAAGATGGATGATGGTGATGTTTGCACATTATGAATGTATTTAACACCACTGAGCTGTACACTTAAATGTAGCTAAGATCACAATTTTTTTGTTATTTGTATTTTACCACAGTAAAAAATAAGTGGAAAAAAAACAATATATGCTGCATCCTGTAGGACCCCACCCCAAATTCAATGTTGTCTCCCCCCAATGCCATAACAGTCTTCACAGGTCAGTTCACTGTTCTATCAAGCTAGCTGCTTCTAGGTGGTAGGATACATGGTAAGACAAATGAATTCTGGGAGGTAAGCTTATTGCCTACATTGTTTGCCATAAAAACATCTCCTGATCAGAGATGAAGTTGTATGGAATACCCCAAAGATGGTTACGGCAATCTATGTTCACAGATGATGGTACTGGTGGACGCACTATGGTAAGGAATCATAAATCAATATTCAGATATGTTCCGATACTTTATTTTCTGGTGTTTCCATTGCTGTGAGAACAAAGTGCTTCCTCTTCCAATTCCCACCAGGTAGCCAGCCGTTCTCCCTGGGTAATAGTGCCATACTGGGGCCTCAGTATTGATCTTGCTCTTAGCTGTTTTGGTACTACTCAGCAGAGGTAGTAGGTGGGTCAGCCTTGATGAGGACAAGACCATTTTGTTGAGTGCTTGCATAGCCTCCATTCCTACTGCCATGATCACTTTGTAAAAACCTTTCAGTGAGCACTGGGATGGCTAAGGAAAGAAACTAACATCTACAGGATGAGATCATCTTGTCAACTGATCAATGAGAGGTTTTCTGGTTTGAATACTCTTTGATAGACATTTAATAATTCACACACTCTACATACCTATTTACTTTTTCCAAAAACTTCATGCCACCAATTTTCCAATTTCATTCCCTTCAAGTCCTTGACCAGTCAGCCAACCCATTATCCACTTCTCATAGTCCAGTGTAGATCAATACCTCAGGGTCTCTCTCCTTTTACATGATATGGATTACTAGATATACCAAAGTTCTTGCCTGCTGGGATAATTTCCCTTAACTATCGTCTTTCAAGGTTACCCCTAAGTGGGATTTGTAGCACAGTAGTCATCCACTTTTGGGGTTGGTGCCTGCATACTGTATAGATCCATCTGTGAATCAGATCAACACTTTTTTTCTTCATTAATATACATATATGTATGTGTGCGTGTGTGTGTGTGTGTATATAAGTTCTTCATTAATTGATAGGTATATATTGTATATGGTATTTTGTACTTGGTATGAAGTATGTTTTAAAGAATATATATATAATTGACATAATAATTATATAATTGGCATACAATAAACTGCATTTATTTAAGTACACAACTGATAAAATTACAAATAAAGTTGCTACAAACATTTATGTACAAGTCTTAGAGGTGGCTGGATAGTAGGTGTATGTTTAACTTTTAAGAAACTGGTAAACTGTTTTCCAAAATGATACCATTTTACATTCCCACAATAATTCTATTTCCTCCATATCCCGGCCAATACTTGGAATGGTCAGATATTTCTTGTTTTTTTTAGTCATTCTTCTAGGTATTTAGTAGTATCTCATGATTTTAATTTGCATTCCCCTAGTGATTAACGACATTGAGCATCTTTTCATGTGCTTATTTGCCATCCATATATCTTCTTGGTGACATTTCCAAATCTTTTGCCTATCTTACATTTCATTGTTTATTTTCTTATTACTAAGAATTATAAGGCCGGGCACAGTGGCTCATGATTGTAATCCCAACACTTTGGGAAGCCGAGGGGGGCAGATCACTGGAGGTCAGGAGTTCGAGACCAGCCTGGCCAACATGGCGAAACCCCATCTCTACTAAAAATACAAAAATTAGCCATGCGTGGTGGCACACACTTGTAATACCAGCCACTCAGAAGGCTGAGGCAGAAGAATCGCTTGAACCTGGGAGGCAGAGGTTGTGGTGAACTGAGATGGTGCCACTGCATTCCAGCCTGGGCGACAGAGCAAGACTCTGTCTTAAATAAATAAATAAATAAATAAACAAAATAAAAGAATCATGTTCATAATTCCTAAGAGTTTTGATGAACCTTAAATTCATCTGATTAGTTTTTTAAAAAGAGTTCTTTATATACTCTAGATACAAGTCCTTTACAGGCTTTGCAAATATTTTCTCCCACTCTGTGGCTTGACTTCTCAAACACTTACTAAGTATTTCAAAAGCAGAAATTTTAAATTTTGATAAAGTTTAAATATTTCACTTTTTTCTTTTATAAATTAGAGTTTTGACATTTTATCTAATAAATATTTATTTCCCTTAATATCCCAACAATTTTCTCCTGTATTTTCTTCCAGAAGATTTTTTTTCTTCCAGAAGTTTTATAATTTAAAGTTTTACATTTAGAACTGTGATCCATTTTGAGTTAATTTTTGTTTACAATATGAAGTATGTTTTGAAGAATATCCATATGCAGCACTTTGGGAGGCTGAGGATCATTTCAGGCCAGAAGTTCGAGACCAGCCTGGCCAACATGGCAAAACCCTGTCTCTACTAAAAATACAAAAAATTAATTGGGCGTGTTGGCAGACACCTGTAATCCCAGCTACTTGGGAGGCTGAGGCAGGAGAATCGCTTGAACCCGGGAGGCAGAGGTTGCAGTGAGCCGAGATCGCACCACTGCATTCCAGCCTGCATGACAGAGCGCGACTCTGTCTCAAAAAAAAAAAAAAAAAAAAGAAAAAAGAAAAATCCATGTGGAAAGAAGAACTATCCTTTTCCCACTGAATTGCCCTTGTACCTTTGTCAAAAATTAGTTGTCTCTATATGTATGGTTTCATATCTGGGCTCTATTCTGTTCCATTGATCTACTTGATTACTATACTCCATACTATACTATACTATACTGCTATACTATACTATATTATACTATACTATATTATACTATACTATACTCCATACTCTTGATTGCTATAGCTTTATAATAAGTCTTAAAATCAGATAGTTTTAATTCTCCCTCTGTGTTCTTCTTTTTCAAAGTTGTTTTGGCTGCTCTAGGTCTTTTAAATTTCTATATGAATTACAGAATCAATTTGTCAATTCCCCCCCCCCACAAAAAAAAGTCCCACTAAAATTTTGACTGAAATTGCATTGATTCTAGATCGAATTTAGGGGAAAACTGACATTTTAACAAGTTTGAATCTTCCGATCCATAAATACAGTGTATCTTTCCATTTACGTAGATATTCTTTGATTTCTCTCAGTAATGTTTTATAGTTTTCCTTACACAGATTTTGCACATTTTCGTCAGATTTATTCCTAAGTATTTTATATTTTTGAATTCTATTGTAAATGATACTGTATGGTAATTTTATTTTATTATTATTATTATTATTTTGAGATGAAGTCTCACTCTGTCACCCAGGCTGGAGTGCAGTGGTGCCACCTCAGCTCACTGCAACCTCCGCCTCCCGGGTTCAAGGGATTCTCCTGTCTCAGCATCCTGAGTAGCTGGCATTACAGGCACATGCCACCACACCTGGCTAATTTTTGTATTTTTAGTAGAGATGGAGTTTCACCATGTTGGTCAGGCTGGTCTCGAACTCCCAACCTCGTGATCCACCTGCCTCAGCCTCCCAAAGTGCTGGGATTACAGGCGTGAGCCACTGCACCCAGCCTCTGTATTGTAATTTTAATTTCCAATAGTTTGTTGCTAATACGTAGATAGACAATTTTTTTCCTTTTTTTAAAACTTATTTTAGGTTCAGGGTTACATGTGCAGGTTTGTTATACAGGTAAACTTGTATCATGAAGGTTTGTTGTACAGATTATTTCATCACACAGTTACTAAGCCTAGTACTCAATACTAGTTACTGGGATCAGAAAAAATACAGTTATTTTCTGATCTTAAAGGATTAGAAAAAATACATTCCTTCCTCCCACCCTCCACCCTCAAGTAGACCCCAGTGTCTGTTGTCTCCCTATTTGTGTCCATGAGTTCTCATCATTTAGCTCCCACTTGTAAGTGAAAACATGCAGTATTTGGTTTCTGTTTCTGTGTCAGTTTGCTAAGGACAATGGCCTCCAGCTCCATTCAGGTTCCCACAAAAGACATGATCTCATTCTTTTTTATGGCTGCACAGTATTCCATGATGTATACATACCACATTTTCTTTACCCAGTCTGTCATTGATGGGCATTTAGCTTGATTCCATGTTTTTGCTATTGTGACTAGTGCTGCAGTGAATATTTGCATACATGTATCTTTATGATAAAATGATTTATATTCCTTTGGGCATATACCCAGTAACGGGATTGCTGAGTCAAATGGTAGTTCCATTTTTAGTTCTTTGAGGAATCGCCACACTGCTTTCCACAGTGGTTGAATTAATTTAAACTCCCACCAACAGTGTATAAGCATTCCCTTTTCTCCACAACCTCACCAGTGTCTGTTATTTTTTTACTCTCTTTAATAATTGCCATTTTCACTGGTGTGAGATGGTATCTCATTGTGGTTTTGATCTGCATTTCTCTAAAGATCAGTGATATTGAACTTTTTTTCATACACTTGTTGGCCACATGAATGTCTTCTTTTGAAAAGTGTCTGTTCACGTCCTTTGCCCACTTTTTAATGGAGTTGTTTGGTTTTAGCTTGTAAATTTGTTCAAGTTCCTTATAGATGCTGGATATTAGACCTTTGTCAGGTGCATAGTTTGCAAATATTTTCTTCCATTCTGTAGGTTGTCTGTTTTCTCTTTTGCTAGTTTCTTTTGCTGTGCAGAAGCTCTTTTTCCTTAGATCCCATTTGTCAATTTTTGCTTTTGTTGCAATTGCTTTTGAAGTTTTTGTTATGAAATCTTTGCCTGTTCCAATGTCCAGAATGGTATTGTCTAGGTTGTCTTCCACTAGCCACTATGCCCGGCTGAAAGCAGGATCTTGAAGAGATATTTGTACACCCATGTTCATAGCAGCATTATTCACAATAGCTAAAATGTGGAAGCAACCCAGGTGTCCATCCATGGATGAATGAATAAGCAAAATGTGGTATATACATACAAAGGAATATTATTCAGCATTAAAAATAAGGAAATTCTGACATACGCTACAGTATGAATGAACCTTGAGGCCATTTTGCTAAGTTAAATGCACCAATCACAAAAAGACAAATCCTATATGATTTCACCTATAGGAGGTATCTAGAGTAGTCAAAGTCATAGAGACAGAAAGTAGAATGGTGGTTGCCAGGGGCTGTTTCTGGGGAGTCGTTGAATGATACAGAGTTTCAGTTTTGCAAGATGCCAAAGTTCTGGAGATTGGTTGTACAACTACGTGAATATTCTTAACATTACTGAACTGAACACTTAAAAATGGCTAAGATGGCAAATTTCATGTTATGTGTATTTTACCATAATTAAAAAACAGAAATAAAAGACATACAGATTGGAAAGGAAAAAGTAAAATTCATATATAGCATGATCATCTGTGTAGAAAATGGAATCTACAAAAAAAAAAGGAATCTACAAAAAAAAAGGAAACTTCTAGTACTAATAGTTCAGTTTAGCAAGGTTGTAAGATATAAGTTTAACATAAGAAAATTGTCTTTCTGACTTAAATGTAAAATCCAAAACTATAAATCCCTGGAAGAGCTGGGCACAGTGGCTCACGCCTGTAATCCCAGCACTTTGGGAGGCCAAGGTGGTTGGATCACCTGAGGTCAGGAGTTCAAGACCAGCCTGGCCAACATAGTGAAACCCTGTCTCTACTAAAAATAAAATACAAAAAAATTAGCTAGATGTGGTGGTGCATGCCTGTAGTCTCAGCTACTTGGGAGGCTGAGGGAGGAGAATCGCTTGAACCCAGGAGGCAGAGGTTGCAGTGAGCTGAGATTGCGCCACTGCACTCCAGCCTGGGTGACAGAGCAAGACTCCATCTCAAAAAAAAAAAAAAAAAAGATCCTGCTTCCATGCCAGGCATAGTGGCTCATGCCTGTAATCCCAGCACTTTGGGAGGCCAAGGCAGGCAGGTCACTTAAGATCAGGAGATCAAGAGCAGCCTGGCCAACATGGCAAAACCCTGCCTCTACTAAAAATACAAAAAAAAAAAAAGCTGGGCATGGTGGCACATGCCTATAATCCTAGCTATTTGGGAGGCTGAAGCATGAGAATCACTTGAACCCAGGAGGCGGAGGTTGCAGTGAGCTGAGATCGCGCCACTGCACTCCATCTTGGGTGACGGAGTGAGACTCCATCAAAACAAACAAACAAAAAATGCCAGGCGTGGTGGCTCATGCCTGTAATCCCAGCAGTTTGGGAGGGCAAGGCGGGCAGATCATTTGAGTTCAGAAGTTTGAGACCAGCCTGGCTGACATAGTGAACCCTGGTCTCTACTAAAAAATACAAAAATTAGCCAGGCATGGTGGCGCACACCTGTAATCTCAGCTACTCAGGAGGCTGGGGCAGGAAGAATTGCCTGAACCCAGGAGGTGAAGGTTGCGGTGAGCCAAAATCATGCCACTGCACTCTAGCCTGGGTGACAGAGCAAGACACCATCTGAAAAACAAAAAAATAAAAAATCCTGTTTTCAATTTTTTTTTATTTTATTTTACTTTATTTATTATTTTTTTGAGACAGGGTCTCACTCCATCACCCAGGCTGGAGTACAGTGGTATGACTATGGCTCACTACAGCCTTGACCTCCCCGGGCTGAGGTGATCCTCCCACCTCAGCCTCCAGAGTAGGTGAGACCACAAGTGCATGCTATCACACCTGGCTAATTTTTGTATTTTTTGTAGAGACAGTGTTTTGCCATGTTGCCCAGGCTGGTCTGGAACTCCTGGGCTCAAGCAATCCGCCCTCCTGAACCTCCCAAAGTGCTGGACTAACAGGCGTGATCCACTGTGTCTGGCCCTGCTTTCAATTCTTTTGAGTATATACCTAGAAGTGAAATTGGTGGATCAAATAATAATGCTATTTTTAATATTTTGAAGAACTGCCATACTGTTTTTCATAGCAGCTATATCATTTTACATTCACAACAGTGCACAAGTGTTTGAATATATGACTAACCCAGTCCTAGAATCCTATTTTGAGAAGTTTCTTTGTTTTTTGTTTTGTTTTAACCTAGGTCTGGTGTCAATTACTGTATCAATCAGTGTCTTAGCATGCAATAGTACCTGTGAAGAGCATTTATTTACAAATGTGAGGGTGCATGGTGCTAGTTACTACCCCTAAGCCCAAAGGAACAAGGGCGGGGAATAGTTACTGAAACCTGGAAAGAGAAAGAGTCATGTAGACTCTGCTACCTTGAGGGAAACAGTAACCATCAGATAAGGGATATGGCCACCCCACAGCAACCTCACAGAGGGAATTGGAATAAATGCCCTAACCTCACTCTCCCTCTTTTCCTGTTGTTGCTCCCCAGTAGCTAACCCAACCAGAAGCAATGGTGTATGGGATCCTGTTGATGCAGTCCATACAAGTCAGACAACTTAGTGGAGAGCAGGATGAAGAAGGGCGGAAAGCAGACCTGGAGGGACAAAGACAAAGTATCCAACACTGCTGTATACCTAGAGTCATAAGGCATGTGAATGTCCACCTTTAGGAGGTGATGTCAAAGTGTTTTCAAAATGGCCACAGAACTTCCACTCCACTTGTAGTGTACAAGAGACTTTGTGAATGCATATCTCCTCCTCCAAAACTCGACAATGTCAAACTTTGTAACATTTGTCTACTAAATGGGTGTAAAATGGCATCTTACTGTGGCCTTGATTTCCATTGGTCCAGTCATCAATGATTTTATACATATTTATGGTCCGTAAGTAATTCCTCTCAGTAAAATACTTGTTTATATCTATATCATACCACTATCTCTGCTTATTCTAGGGATCTATAAGCTTCTTGAGAATAAATACTGTGTCTTTGTATTTCTAGTGATAAAAGTACACAATAAATACTTGTTAAATAATTGAATTAATGCTAGAGGCAAATGCTAGAACCAACGTTTCATTCAACAGAAAACTGGTGGAGTTATGATTGCCTGGAAGTAATGATGGAAAGAAAGAACAAGTATTTTAAGTTCCTCCCCTTGAAGTGGATCTTCCTCAGAAGATGGGGAGGTTGTCATGTGAGAATAAGGTGAGGAAGGAAATGAAAGAGGTTTTGAATTCATTTTATATGAAGGAGAATTTCTCACCTTGGAGTAGGAATGCTATAGATTTCAAAGAAAAATGTAGGAGAATGGTTTTCGCTTTTTAAAATTTTTGGTCAGGGAGAACATGATTGGAATAGGGCATAGCAAGTTGCAAAAACACTTCTTCAAACTAGTCTAAGGGGATCAGTGACAGCCATGTGACCGAATCAATGTGTACTTTTTTAGTCTTTTTTAATATTCTGTCACTTAGCATCATTCCATGAAATACAGCATACAGCTTTCTTGAAACAAATTTTTTCTTCTGCCTGCTTTTTTATGCTGACTCTACACTCACGTGGTTTTTCCTCCAGATTCTGTGGCTGTTCTTTTGTTCTTAAACATTTTGCCTTTTTTTTTTTTTTTTTTTTTTTTAATTGAGGTAAGTCTCCTCTGTGACCCAGGCTGGAGTGCAGTGGCACAATCTTGGCTCACTGCAACCTCCGCCTCCCAGATTCAAGCAATTCTCCTGCCTCAGCCTCTCGAATAGCTGGGATTACAGGCGCCTGCCACCACACCCGGCTAATTTTTGTATTTTTAGTAGAGACGGGATTTCACTATGTTGGCAAGGCTGGTCTTGAACTCCTGGCCTCAGGTAATCCGCCCACCTCAGCCTCTCAAAGTGCTGGGATTACAGGTGTGAGCCACCGCGCCCGGCCTTTTTGCCTTTTTGATGGCATCCTCCTCTACCTTTAGCTTCATGTTGTTCTGCAGAGTTGGTGTGGGGTTCTGTTCTCTTACCAGTCGACACTGTTTTCCCAGGTGGTGTTTTCTACTCTCAAGGCTTTAAATACCATCTGTATATCAACTGCTCCCAAATTTCTATCTCTAGGCCATATCACTTTTCTGAACTACAAGCCCATGTATCTTGATCTTCCCCTGAAACCTGCTGCTCTTCCAAAGTTCCTTGTATCAATAATTCCACTACCATCCATCTAAATGCTGAAACCAGAAACAAAGCTTCTCTCTCCCTTTTTTTTTTTTTTTGGAGATGGAGTTTCGCTCTTGTTGCCCAAGCTGGAGTGCAATGGCACAATCTCAGCTCACTGCAACCTCCGCCTCCCAAGTTCAAGCGATTCTCCTGCCTTAGCCTCCGGAGTAGCTGGGATTACGGGCGCCTGCCACCACGCCCGGCTAATTTTTTTGTATTTTTAATAGAAATGGAGTTTCACCATGTTAGCCAGGCTGGTCTCGAACTTCTGACCTCAGGTGATCCACCCACCTTGGCCTCCCAAAGTGCTGGGATTACAGGTGTGAGCCACTGCGCCCGGCCTACACTTGTCCTTTTTAAAGTTCTTTTTCTTACCTCTGGGCTCTTTCATATGCTGTTCTTTTGTCTAGAATGCTCTTTCCTTCTCCTGTACCTATCTAACCTCTATTCCTTATCCTTCATTTATCAGCATAGAAGTCACTGTCTTAGAGAAGTTTTTCTTACCCCTTGAATCTAAACAAGACTTCGTATTTTAACCTCTCATTTAATGTACAATATTCCTATATTACATATTTCATGATTTTTAGCTAGGTATTTTTTTAAAGGTATCAAAGTGGCCTTTATTCATTTAATTTTCCTTTTAACTTTTATAAATGCTATCACAAATTCTAAAAATCTAGACTTGAGTGAAAATTTTTTATTATGAAGATATAGATCTAAGAACAGAAGGATAACTATATGCTAGCTTATATATAGTTCCTTGTAAAAATAATGATACATTTAAAAAATAGTAGAAAATAAAAATCTTGGCTGGGCACAGTGGCTCACGCCTGTAATCCCAGCACTTTGGAAGGCCAAGGCAGGTGGATCACCTGAGGTTGGGAGTTCAAGACCAGCCTGATCAACATGGAGAAACCACATGTCTACTAAAAATACAAAAATTAGCTAGGTGTTGTGGTGCATGCCTGCAATCCCTGCTACTCAGGAGGCTGAGGCAGGAGAATCGCTTGAACCTGGGAGGCAGAGGTTGTGGTGAGCCGAGATCGTGCCATTGCACTCCAGCCTGGGCAACAAGAGCGAAACTGGGTCTCAAAAAAAAAAAAAAAAATCTGAAAACTTATCTGACATCTGAAAATGGTAAGTAACTTCCTCTGCGTCTTAGTTCTGATCACTTCTGCAGAAGAATCAAGCATATTTGGGTGAAGAGAGTATTTAATTATTCTGTTTTTATTAATAATATAGTGTGCCCTTCAGAAATTGGTGTAGTCTTTTTTTTTTTTTTCTTTTTTTGAGACTGAGTGTCGCTCTGTCACCCAGAGTGGAGTGCAATGGTGCAGTCTCGGCTCACTATAACCTCCTCCTCCCGGGTTCAAGCGACTCTCCTGCCTCAGCCTCCTGAGTAGCTGGGATTACAGGTGTCTGCCACCACACCCAGCTAATTTTTGTATTTTTAGTAGAAACGGGTTTCAGTTGGTCAGGCTGGTCTCGAACTCCTGACCTCGTGATCCACCCACCTCGACCTCCCAAAGTGCTGGGATTACAGGCGTGAGCCACCGCGCCCAGCCAGAACCTGGTGTAGTCTTTAAGAATCATCTGAAGTTTCTGGCTCAGCATAATGTTCCCTCTGGCCTTCAGTCTGCCAGTAACAGATGCCTTCTGAGGGTCAAGCTTGCCTAGAACTACCTCCATGAAATCTTCATCTGAAAGTATGCATCAGCAAAACCTTTTCCAGGTTTTGATACACTTTTCCAGAACCACTTTTCAGGTCACTTAGCTGCAATATTTCCACCTTTAGTAATATGCCACTCAAATACAGCATTTACTTTCTTTGCCATCTCACGCCCAACATCCTTAAAAGGCAGTAAGTGACCTTTTTCCTCAAATACAAGGGTATTCTGAAGTTCCTCACCTTCAGAGGGTGTCTTAGCTGAAATATCAGATGTTGGCATAAGATTCACATATGCATTTGAAATGACAGTGTCTCCAGGTCCTTGGACCGTGGTTTGAAAGTGAATTCTGTTTCCTTCCTTCCACATCTCAGTTTGTAGAGTTTGCCCTGGATATACTGGTTTTGCAAAACAAGTCTTAATCACTTTGAATCTTGACAGATTATAAAACATGCCTGGCAAAAAATCTAAATGTACATAATCCATGTACACATAATCCATGTACACATGTCAAAACATGCTAGGCTAGCAAAGTGAGGATCAACGTGTAACAGATTTCAGTTTCTGCTGAGGCAGTACAAAGCAGCCTGATTAAGAGAAATGGTATCTGCAAGTATAGCATCAGGTGGTCTATTAGGTATGGCTACAGCTACCTTGACTTTCAGGTCCATTTTCCACCAAAGCCTCCAGAGCCAATGAGAAAGAGAGAGGACTGATTATAGCACATAAATTCCTTCTTAGAATAAGAATAGACATCCATAAGAATTACTACACCAGATCCTTTATCTAGGACATCAGCAACAACTGTTTCACATTTTCATTTTCCTGCTCTAGGAAGTGGTTTATATAACTGCAAGTATTGTTCCCCATAAAGAACCTTTGCAAAGTTCCTTGAAATCCCAGGAACTTCTGCTAATTCTCCACCCATTATCGATTTCTGACTTATGATAACTCCAAAGGTAGGCAAACAGAAGAAATCAGAGCTTCTTTCATGAACAAATTTAAAATCTTTTGGATCCTTGATTGATGCTCCCACTCCAAGGGCATACATAATAGCTTCCAGTTCTGTATAAGCAGAAGAAAACGGAGGGAGTTTATGGCCAATAGCTCCAGCAAATCCTGATGTTGCTGTAGATGTTGCATGACTGATATGATTTGTTGAAACTCCTCCTTCTGAATCTATTTTACTTAGAACTACAATGATACTGCCAGTTGATTTCTGGATACTCTGAGGCTTGCTGGCATTCTCGAAGTCACATGTCTTCTTCCAGTTAGCCTTCACTGCTTCAGCAGTCATCGGCTGATTTTGTCTTACAACCACTCCAAGGGTCCGGTCCCAGAATAATTTTCCAATCCATCCTGCTCCAACCTCAAACAAGCCCCCATTCTCCTCACAACTCTTGGCAAAGCCGAAGGACCAGCGATGCTACATAATCTGGCTTTAGGGCTTCCACAAAATCTTCAGGCATAATCGAGTCAACCCTGATTCAGCATTAGGAGAAATAGTGTTACAATGAATGTTGCTTTTCCTGCCTTCAACTGCAATAGAATTTGCAAGGACCAGAAGACCCAACTTCGCAGCACTATAATTTGCCTGGCCAAAGCTGCCATATATTCCTGAAGCTGATGAAGTGATAATGATCCTTCCATATTTCTGCATCTTCATGTGATCCCATGCTTTCCAGGGTCACTTGGAATGAGCCCCGCAATTGAACTCTGTGGATGATATCCCAGTCTTCATCACTTATCCTAGCAAAAGAATGGTCCCTCAGAATTCCAGCATTGTTGACCACAACATCTATTCCAAAAGCATCCAGTGCTGTCTTTACAACCTTCTCTCCTGTTTTCACTGAATCATAGCTGGCCACTTTTCCACCTTTGTCTTTTATTTCCTCAACAACCTTATCAGCAACTAAGGATGCTTTACCAACTTCCTCTTAAATAATTCACAACAATTAGTGCTCCTTTTTCTACGAAAGCCAGGGCATAGACTGGGCGCAGTCCTCCCTACACCAGTGACCAGTATCACCAGCTGTTGAAACTCAGTGGTAAGACCATGAGTCCAGCCTGCAGTGACACATACTTTGACTAGGTTTTTTTTTTTTTTTTTTTTTTTGAGACGAAGTCTCGCTCTTGTCCCCCAGGCTGGAGTGCAATGGCGCGATCTCAGCTCACTGCAACCTCTGCCTCCCGGGTTCAAGTGATTCTCCTGCCTCAGCCTCTGGAGTAGCTGGGATTACAGGTGCCTGCCACCATGCCTGGCTAATTTTTGTATTTTTAGTAGAGATGGGATTTCACATGTTGGCCAGGCTGGTCTCGAACTCCTGACCTCAGGTGATCCACCCACCTCAGCCTCCCAAAGTGCTGGGATTACAGGCGTGAGCCACTGTGCCCGGAGACTAGGTATTTTTTAATGCTTATTTATTTAATATTTGTCTCACTATGAGATCATAGGCTCTTTAAGGTCAGGAACTAAGTTTGTTTTGTTTTGTTTTATGATTATAGATCTAGCACCTACCACAATCAATTCCCAGTTGGCACTAAATAGGTATCAGTTGACTTAATTGCTGGATAAATAGATAAGAGGATTAAGAAAGCAGAATAGAAAGATATGAGTTTACTAAGAAATGGAGGCACATATAGCTACGGTGAAGGGAAGCCCACACTTCAGAAGGAGAGAAGGATCTTGCTAATAATGGCTTATTTTTTAAAAGATACAAGATCATCTTGATTATATTTTTAGAAGCTGCTTCTGTTAGATTTATCTCATTCCAAGGCCATGAAAGAACAAATTTTCAGTTTGATTTGCTTACAGTTAATTGTTTACATATTGGGCACCTTCCTGAGATTGAAATCCATTTAGTTATGACTGTATATTCTACGCTTTGCATAGTCAGTCAGCAAAATAACTGCAGAAAGGACTGAAAGGTTGTGGGAGTTTTGTTTTGTTTTTTACTAGCTCTGGGAACAAGTATAAAATACCAAGAAATATTATATTTATATAAAAATATTGATAAAAGAAGAGAGCATCCAGCAGTTAATTAAATTATTAGGTTAAAAACAGATGGGGCCGGGCGCAGTGGCTCACACCTGTAATCCCAGCACATTGGGAGGCTGAGGCAAGCCAATCACCTGAGGTCAGGAGTTCAAGACCAGCCTGGCCAAAATGATGTAACCCTGTCTCTACTAAAAATACAAAAATTAGCTAGGCGTGGTGGTGCATGCCTGTAATTCCAGCTACTCAGGAGTTTGAACCTGGGAGGTGGAAGTTTCAGTGAGCTGACATCGCACCACTGCACTCCAGCCTGGGTTACAAGGTGAGACTCTGTCTCCAAAAAAAATAAAATAAAATAAAATAAAATAAAAACAGATTGGTTTTTGCTGGACACAGTGGCTCATGCCTGTAATCCTAGCTCTTTGGGAGGCTGAGGTGGTAGGATCGCTTGAGGCCATGATTTTGAGACCAGTCTGGGCAATATAGCAAGACCCATCTCTACAAAAATAATAGTAATAATAATTCGCCAGGTGTAGTGGCGCATGCCTGTAGTCCTAGCTACTTGGGAGGCTGAGGTAGGAGGATCACTTGAGCCCAGGAGTTTGAGACTTCAGTGAGTCATGATTGCCCTACCACGCTTCAGCCTAAAATACAGCTCTAAAAAAAAACAAAAATAAAAAACAGATGGGTTTTATTGGTTAAGATTCTTTGGTTGTAAGTAACAGAAATCCTCTAACTTTAGCAAAAAGGCACATTTTTGAAAGGATGTAAATTACCTCATGGATGTTTAGAACAACCAAAGGTCAATGAGAGGGAACTAGTCCTGCTTCAAGCCCTTGGCTGAAGTTCCTAAAATAGTTGCCATTAATGTGACTTGACAAAGACAAAGCCACCCAGGCTCAGTGATTCTCTGTTCTAGACTTCATAGTACCCTCCTGGTTCCAAAGAATTGGACTGGTCCTGATGTCCACCCTAGTTCCTGCCAGAGACCAATGTCACATAATTTAGACATTATTAGGGGAAACCCATATTATAAGAAAGTGTGACCCTGGCAGGCGACCCGGGAGTTGTCTGCCACAAAAGTTTAGCAGATAAAATTTGCTGACTTACTCTCTCATGTCCATTTGAGCCAATTATTTGATACATACGGTGAACACTCACCTTGTGTGCAGTTTACACACAGTATCTCATTCATACTTACAATGGCCATAAAACGCCTAGTAGGTAGGTTCTAGTATTATTTTTCTTTTACAAATAAAGAAACAGATGCTGAGACTGATTAAGTCATTCACTCACTATCACATATAAGTGGCAGAAGCAGGACTTAAATGAGGTGTCTGTGACTCGAAACCCATGCTCGTAACAACCTTCCTTGAACAGACACTGTATGGCTTTGGCACTCAGCATTCCAGTATGCGCCAGTGGCAACTCCTGCAAATGTTGGTAACCCTACACCTGAGGGTTTTCTCATGACTCACGGTGGAGGTGGTCTGGAAGTGGCAAAGAGTTAACACCCCTGTGAGTAGCTTCTGGCTAGACATAGATGGGAGTTGGTGAATAATAACCCGTTCCCTTGGCCCTTTGGTGGGATATCTCTGAGGTGTGTTCTACACTTTATCTCTAGGTTCTCCATTAGAGTTGAGCACGAGGTCCCACAGCAGCAACCGGCTAGAAACTGTACCGTTGCTAGCTTCCTTCCCTTCCCTTTCTTATATCCCCACTCCCCTACTCATTCTTTTTGGCATCACCTCCCAAATGAACCACTTGCCCTCATATCCTTTACTCAGGGTCCGTTTTAGGGGCAGCCCAACCTAAGACACCCACTCTCTTTAAAAAATAAAAGTAGGAAAAATTAAATACTCCAACAATAACTTTTTAAAGGTTTCGCAGCTACCAAACCTCACAAACCAGCATTAATATCCCCAATATTTTATTGTGGAAGCATTACAATTTTATTTTCAAATTTCTTCCCATTTTAAAGACTGTTTTATTTATGGCAATGTTAAATTGTGCTTCTAAGAGGGAAAATCTGGAAGTTTTGTGTTTAGGCTATGTAATTTTAGTGTGCAAAGGTTGGAAATGAAATCACTACATTTGAGCCATCAACCCTGCCAACATCCAAGCTCTGGCTGGGAGTCAGAGAACAGCACTTAACATGCAGCGAGAGGGCTCCTGAAATACTTCTACCTTCACAGCACATGCTGAATCAAAATGATTTAAATGCCCAAAAGATATGGAACTAAAACATTTAATAGATCAAAGGGAGCCAGACATGAGTACTCTGGACATACAGACATTGTGAGCTACAAGTACTGATTTAAAGGACCATTGTGAAACTTCAACAGGCTTGAAGATCGACTTGTGAGGAAAAAGGGAGGCTTGATGCAACAGATAATGTATTCATGAAATAATTTGGAAACTGATTACGTGTGATGAATCCTAATTATAGCTATTTACTCTGGTGAATATTTAGGAAAATCAGGACCTTAAAAAAAGACACAAGCTTTTGCTTTAATTATTTAGGAAGAAAAATAAGTTACCCCCAGTTTTATGTTCTGTAATTTTTTTTTCATTCAGTTTACGTGTTTTATATTTAGGACCACTACATATGTCTCTTTTCTGTTTCTTCCTTAAATTTTTCTTAAGTCTTTTTTCCCATCCCACTAGGGAGAAAATGTAAATTACCATCAACCAAACGAATTCCCTGGTTTCTTCTGAACCTTCACCTCACAGCTGTTGCATGAAATATAATCACTAAAATACTAGCTAAATGAAAAATGTCTACCCAAAAAGACTTTAAAAAATATTCTTAGACCAAATAACCTTGCAGGAGAATAGGCAGAGACAACTACACATTTTCTTTCATCTAAAAATAGCCAGTTTGGAAATACACTGAAATGCTAATAGTGGCTAGGAAGGGAGAAACATAAATGGATTCTCACCTCTATTTTTTAATGTTTCTGTAGTGAATATATTCCTTTGTTCATACAAATGTTTTATAAAAATTTAAAAATTGCTTTTAAGCCAAAATTCTTATTTTGTTATAAAACCCGAAATATCTTAAAGGCGGGCCAAAAAAGATCAGAAAAAAAATCCTTGTGTTTGTAAACTGAAAAATTTAAAAATATAAAATAAATTTAAATATAAAATACAAATAAGTATAAATAATAAAATTTAAATATAAAATATAAAAAAAATCTTATATTTTTATATTGTCCCTCAACTGTCTTTGGGCGAGTATTTTTCAAGAAAGTTGTTAAAAGTCTACAAATCTATCTGTATGATCAGAAAGGTGTTTAACCTTTGGGTATATGTGTAACATAAGCACAGCAATATATTATCTTGTTAGCTGTAAACTGCATACTTGCAGTTTCATATCTGGATGCATAAGCTATGAAACAGGAGTGAAATAAATGTGTCAGTAGACTACAAATTGAGAAATTAACTTAGTGAGAAGTCCAAGCTAATCAGTCTATATTTAAAAAAATTGATTTAATATTCTAAAAGCATATGTAGTAACACCTAGGTCTATATTTTCAATTTTTAACATTCATAACTAAAATGAGATCAAGGTAGCTAAAACATATTACAAATGGCAAGACCCAACACTAATTTAAGTTATGATTAGGGATTTTTTTTTTTTTTTTTTTTGAGACAGGGTCTTGGTCTGTCACCCAGGCTGGAGTGCAATGGCGTGATCACTGCTCACTGCAGCCTTGACCTCCCAGACTCAAGTGTTCCTCTCACCTCAGCCTCTCAAGCAGCTGGGACTACAGGCATGTGCCATGGGGCCTGGCTAGTTTTTTTATTTTTAGTGGAGACGAGGTCTTACTTCAAGACCCAGGCTGGTCTTGAACTCCTGAACTCAAGCGACCTTCTAGCCTCAGCTTCCCCAAGTGTTGGGATTACAGGCATGAGCCACTGAGTCCAGTTGGGGTATTTTAATTATAGTCATGAGGGCAGAGACTGTCTGTTTTGTTCCATAAATATGTGCTAAATTTATGTATATATAAACATATAAGCTATATTAAAGACCTACTGTGTGCAAGGCATTAGGAAAGATACAAATATGAATGCAATATGGTCCCTGCCCCCAAAGAGCTTATAATACAATAAAATATGTCAAGTTGCATCTAAATCTAATGTAAACATCCAAACTGCATCATACCTCACCAAAGAGTTTAGGTTTGCCTTGACTTTTACTTTTTTTTTTTTTTTTTTTGGCAACGGAGTCTCACTCTGTCTCCCAGGCTGGAGTGCAGCAGTCCTGGCTCACTGCAACCTCTGCCTTCTGGGTTCAAGAGAGTCTCCTGCCTCAGCTTCCCAAGTAGCTGGGATTACAGGCGCACATCACCACGCCCGGCTAATTTTTGTATTTTTTGTAGAGACGGGGTTTTGCCATGTTGGCCAGGCTGGTCTTGAACTCCTCACCTCAGGTGATCTGCCCAAGTGCTGGGATTACAGGTGTCTCCCACCGTGCCCAACCTGCCTTGACTTTTTTAATCATCCAAGGCACAGAAGGATGGACTGTAGGCTTTACTGTGTGGTGGAAAAGGAGGGCCTGTGGAGTCAAACATGTGTTTCAATCTTCTTGAATAGGTTCTCCAAAAAAGATGCCTTTTGTTAAGGTAACATGGAAGAAACATTTACTGCTCACCAAAATACCTATTTGCTCTACCACATTTCCCATAACTAGCCACATTTCTTGTATATGGCCAAAAAGAGGAAGCAGCCTGGGTCCCTGAGTCACCACTTAGAAGCGAATCGCCCTAGAGAATCACTGAGGGCCCAAAGAAGCCTCGATGACTGAAAAGTTATGTTAAGACTGGGTATTTGGGGTTTGTTACAGCAGCATAGCCTAGTCCGTTCGGACAAATAGAGATAATGTGTTCACATGATGGTTGTTGACCTTCTGATGGAAAGATCTCCAGCCCTACCAGAGTCCTGCAACCCAATATTTGAACTTCTGCCTCCACAATTTGTGGAACTTGAGCAAACAAATCTTACGCCCCAATTTTCTTATCTACAAAATGGGGGATGTAGTATTAATGCTCATAGGATTGCTCTGAAAATTACATTAGATTATATAGAAAAGTACTGAGCTCAGAACCTGGCAGGTAGAGGTTCTTCATATAAGTTGGTTACCTCCCTTCCCCCTTGAATGAGGCCAGTGGTTCTCAAAACTGACTGCATTTTGGAATCATCTGGGAAGCTTTTTAAAAACAAAACAAAAGAGTGCCTATATCTCACCATAAACTGAATAAATCAGAATCTTCGGGGGGGTAGAGCTGGGGTGCAGATTTTTTTTTTTTCTTTGAATAGACCAATAAAAAATAGATGTTTTCAGAAAACACCAGGTGATTCTATTGTCTAGCTGAAAACCATTGCCTTTGGCAATGTGGAAACAAAATGCTATTTGATTAAACATAAGATAAACTCGCCATAATATAAAAAGCCTTCAAAAAGTAGCCAGTATGACCACCCTTTTCATAGACTCGGAACTTTAAAAAATTACAAACCACAGAGAGTCAGTAAGTAGTTACTGAATATTCTTAGGGACTGAAAGACATTCGGAAATGCAGAACTGTGGATAAGCCCAGGAAAGAACAGGCTGAGATACTACTTGCATTTTGTAGTTTATAATGATTACTGTTTTCCTCCTACTATGGGCTGAATTGTGACTCCCTCAGAATTCATATGTTAAAGCCCTAACTCCCAGCGCCTTAGAACGTGACCAAGGTTGGACACAGGGTCTTTGCAGAGGTCATTTAAAATGACGTCAGGAGGGTAGATCCTAATCCTGTGTACTGGTGTCCTTATAAGGAGAGCAAATTTGAACACCAACATATACAGAGGGAAGATGATGTGGAGACGCAGGGAGAAGATGGCCATCTGCAAGTCAAGGAGACAGGCATGGAAAAGATCCTTCCCTGATAGCCCTCAGAAGAAACCCCAACCCTGGCTAGGCGCAGTGGCTCACCCCTGTATTCCCAGAACTTTGGGAGGCCGAGGCGCGCAGATCACAAGGTCAGGAGATTGAGACCATTCTGGCTAACACGGTGAAACCCCGTCTCTACTAAAAATACAAAAATTAGCCAGGCATAGTGGCGGGCGCCTGTGGTCCCAGCTACTTGGGAGGCTGAGGCAGGAGAATGGTGTGAACCTGGGAGGCGGAGCTTGCAGTAAGCCGAGATTGCGCCACTGCACTCCAGCCTGGGTGACAGAGCCGGACTTTGTCGCAAAAAAAAAAAAAAAAAGAAATGTACAGAGAGGAGATGGATTTTATAAGGTCCTTGAAATTGAGTCCTTTCACTATTTGATGGAAAGGTAAACTCAAATTGTAGAGAAGGCGACATATGTCCAGGAGATGTAAAGCGTTGTCTTTGCTGGCTCACAGCCATCTTCTGAAGGAACCGTCGTTGCTTACAGCCTCTGCTGCCCAAGTAAAACTGCTCTTTCCCCACAAGACTGGCTTCCCCTCCTAACCTGGCAGATTGCACTAAGCTGACCTTTTAAGAAGAAATGTGCTGGACCAATCAGGTTCTCTCTTTAGATTTGGGAATTGGGGCATTAACTCTAATGAACAGAGCTCAACAGTCATGTTGGACTCCTTGGCTGAGGCTACTTAGCCAGGCCATGTTCTCGAGGAGACTTAAAAGGAGTCAAGAGGCCAGGCGCGGTGGCTCATGACTGTAATCCCAGCACTTTGGGAGGCCGAGGTGGATGGATCACATGAGGTCGGGAGTTCGAGACCAGCCTGACCAACATGGAGAAACCCCATCTCTACTAAGAATACAAAATTAGCAGGGCATGGTGGCCCATGCCTGTAATCCCAGCTACTGAGGAGGCTGAGGCAGGAGAATCGCTTGAACCTGGGAGGCGGACGTTGCCGTGAGCCGAGATTGCGCCACTGCATTCCAGCCTGGGCAAAAAGAGTGAAACTCTGTCTCAAAAAAAAAAAAAATTTTAAAAAAGGGAGTCAAGAGAGGAGACGATGGAGTAGACCTGCAGGGTCAAAGAGTAGCTTTCGTTCCTGGATTGAGCTAGCTTAAGAGAGTTTCGGTACCTCACAACCAGAACTATGTTGACTGAACAGTATGAAATCAAGAGTAAGAAAATCAGGGCTAACGTCCTTCCCTGAGGAGCCACATAAATCAGCCTGGTCTCTCTTCCATGCAAATTCATAAGACTTTCAGGCTGGAAAGACCATAGAGAGCATCATCAGGCTGATATTTTCTGGGAAGTTAAGGTAACTTTTCATCAACTATTAACCCTTTGATATAGGACACAACAATTGTAATGTTATCTTCATTTTACAGATGAGTGAAAACATAGACAGGTTAAGAAACCTGCCTTCAGTCACATAGTGTGGTAACTCAATGACAGAAATGGCCACAATTATTTGCCGTTCCTGTAGCCTCATCCTTTGCAATGTGACTTTGCAGCTGCTTTCAAGAGGTGGGATCAAGCGGAAAATGGCAGTGCACGCCTGTAGTCCTAGCTACACGGGAGGTTGAGGCAGTAGGATGCCTTGAGCCCAGGAGTTCAAGGCTGCAGTGAGCTATGATTGTGCCACTGCACTTCAACCTGGGCAACAGCAAGACCCTGTCTCTCTCTCTAAAAAAAAAAAGGAGGTGGAATCAGGGCTGGCTCTGTGATTGGCTTTGGCCAGCAAAATGTGGCAGAAATGACAGTTATGTCAGCTCTGAGCCTAGGCTTCAAGAGATCTTAAAGGCTGCTTCTGGCTTTCTTGGAACACTGTGGCTGCTTGTGAATGAGTCCAGGCTATTCTACTGGAAGATGAGACAAAGTGGCCCAGTTCCTGCTGTGATCAACAGCCAGCCATCCACTGAATGTGTGGCTGAAGCTGTCCTGCATAAGCCAGCCCCTGGATATATGAATGCAGCTGTCCGAGACCAGGCAGCCCCCAGACAGCCCACCTGCTGACCACAGATGCCTGAGCAAGTCCAGCCGAGATCAGCCAAACCTGCTCCAGTTCAGAACTACCCAGATTAGCAGACTCAACCAGCTGACCCACAGACCTCTGAGGTAACTAATTGCTTCATTTTTTAAGCCACTAAATTGTGGTGGGTTTGTACTTCTTGATACCGTTAGCAAGTGGCAGAGAATCTGGGATTTGACAGTGACCATCTGACTTCAATGACAGTGAATGCTCTCAAATCCAGTGCACACTGTAGCTTGGCTAATGCAATGCCTTCTTTCTTAGAAGCAGTGTATGTAACATCTTTATTAGGATTTAGGACTGGTCAGGATGGATTCAAAATCCAGCTTACTTATCCTGGGTAGGTTAATCTCTCCAAACTTTAGCTTCCTCATATGTTAACTGCAAACAATACCCACAATCTCACAGAGATACTAGGAGGGTATAATGGGATAACATATCTAAAGTGCTCAGAGTTTAATGAGCTGTGACCTTTCCTAGAATATGGAAAGTCTGCAATGGGTCCGAAAGTTCTTATTGACTGAAGGCATTTCCTTCCCAGTGTTGATGTCCATGTAACTGACAATTTTAGGAATGGTATTTCTTTTCAGAGTTTTTGTAGCTTGTAACCCTTAGTTATTTCTACAAGAAATTTTTCCTTAATTATAAGCGTTTGTTTAGACGAGTATTTCTCAAAGTCTGCAGCTGCATGTCAAATGCAGATTCATGGCCTCGTCCCAGACCCACTGAATTAGACTCTTCCAGGAGTGGGGTCTGAGAATCTATTTTTAAAGAAAGTTCTCCATAATTTTCATGAACATTAAAGTTTAAGGACTGCTACTTAGACTTCTCTGCAAAGACTGAAACACAGTGAATTATTGCATTTTCTCACTCTAGCATTGCTTTCTAGTGGAGGAGTGTTCCCTAGGGTTATTTGTATGCTACATTTTTATGTTAAAAAATAGATACTGCCACTTTTTCCTTAGAAGTCATGCTGATACAGCCACTAAGGTTTTTTTGGTTGTTTGTTTGTTTGAGACAGAGTCTTGCTCTGTCACCCAGGCTGGAGTGCAGTGGTGCGCTCTTGGCTCACTGCGGCCTCTGCCTCCCAGGTTCAAGCGATTCTCCTGCCTCAGCCTCCTGAGTAGCTGGGACTATAGGCACATGCCACCACGCTCGGCTAATTTTTGTATTTTTAGTACAGACAGGGTTTCACCATGTTGGCCAGGATGGTCTCGATCTCCTGACCTTGTGATCCACCTGCCTCAGCCTCCCAAAGTGCTGGGATTACAGGCGTGAGGCACCCTGCCTGGCCAAGACACTAAGTTTTGGTGGATATAGAGTTACACACCAATGAATGAATCAACCCAGATGACACTATGATTAAAATATAAAGTGTATCAATGTGTTACTCTTTGAATGAATACTGGAAAATCAGTTTTCCTCTCTGTTTTTCTTGTTTTGCATCTATAGTCCTGTAGTACTATATATGGTCCTATGCTAGAAGTAGAGGGAAAGAGTGGAGTGGGAAGGAATTTTACAAGTACCAAGAATATTGACTTGTTTTTACTGTTGTTATTACCAATAACATTATTATTTTCACAGAGCAAGCACTAAGAGAAACAGGAAATGGCTTGACCCCTAAACTGTCTTAGAAAGTTTATTCAGCCTGAACTAGTTTTAGTAGGAACATTTTTGTTCACCTTCTAATGTAGCCATTACAGAAAATAGTGGGAGCACTTCACTAGGGCTAAATTCTTAAGTTCACCTAACTGTAGTCAAAAGTTTAAAGTGTCTTAGTTTGATGTCTTTTTGGCTGGTCTATTTCATGGTATCATGTTTTTAAAAAGACTTTTTCACAAAAAGTGGAAAAAGGAAAAATAATAACAGAAGGGAACTACTACAAAAAGTGCTGTTGGAAGCCTATTCCTCTTCAGATGACACCAGAGCTTAGAACTTTTTATCCAAAGCTCTTCATTTCCTACCAATATTTTTTTTTCACTGTTCCAAAGGTGGAAGAGGCTCTGAATAGCAAAAGTGCTGTGCTTTTTAAAACCTGCTGAACAACTTCTATCTCTAAGAGTACTGAAGTTTTGCCATACCAGTTTGAGTATGACAAACTGCAAAACATATGCATAAAAAAAATCTAGACTTCTAATTGTGCCAATCCATGGTTAAAAAAAAAAACTCCTGGAGCCACGCAGCTGTTAAAATCCATCATATTTACAATTTTTATAAATGAATTTATTTTAATAAAAACAAGTTACTCTGTGAGCCTGATCTCTAAGCAGATTTATGTGGGCTGGCACAATCTGCTATGCTAAACATATATTCATATTGCTTAAGTCTGCAACCAGTTTTTTTTTTTGAGTGGTGATGATAACAGTCTTGCTTTGTAGAAGGATACCAAGTAATTGGCAGCAATTCAGCTAAGGACATTGTTCTCAGCACTGTGTTTTCTTGGACAGAATTGCCCTGTGGGCATGACCCTAAACTGGGAGAATTCTGGATGGCTGGCATTGGGCAGTGAACCAGGGAGACAGCTTATAGGGAGGAGGAGGTGACTCTATAAACTAGTGCTAAAGTAGAAGAGGAGAAGGAAGAATAAAGTGAGGGAGGAAGTGGGGGTAAAATGTGAAGTTACAGTCAACAGCTCCACATCCCTAAAGGGGTCTCTTCTCATCTTTCACTTGACACATCTTTATGCTCCTGTTTTTTGCTTGGCTACTTGATTGTAAGTTCCTGGAAGACAGGAAAGTTGACTAACTCAGCTGTACATCTCCCACAGTGCCTGGCATATACTGGCACACACAAAACCTAGTCATCGGCCGGGTGTGGTGGCTCACACCTGTAATGCCAGAACTTTGGGAGGCCAAGGAGGGCGGATCACGAGGTTAGGAGTTCGCAACCAGCCTGACCAACATGGTGAAACCCCGTTTGTACTAAAAATACAAAAATTAGCCGGGTGTGGTGGCACGCGCCTGTAATCCCACCTACTCAAGAGGCTGAGGCAGAAGAATGACTTGAACCCAGGAGGCAGAGGTTGCAGTGAGCCGAAATCGCACCATTTCACTCCAGCCTGGGCAACAGAGCGAGACTCCGTCTCAAAAACAACAACAACAACAACAACAAAAGAAAACTTGTCATTAACTGTGTAGACAAAAGAATGAATTTCTCTATTTGAAGCATTTCCAGACCTCTTCCTCGGTCTAAAGAGGTTCCCAGCGAGGGCAGTACTGCCCCTCAGGGGCATACTGAAATTTTGCCGGGACAGTTTTTGTTTTGCATTCTATTGGTGGCAGAGTATTTACATTGTGAAAACTCTGTTATTTTAAAATTTTTCTTGATATTAGTACATACAGTATTTTATTATGAACTACTTTCTCCTTTTTCACCTTTATTAGAACATTACATTGGTTTCTTGAAATTATTTGTAGAGATAGTTTGCATTAGGAATTTAACTCCAGAAGAGTAAAGCAGTGTTATATTTTTTGTTGTAAATACAGGGCATTGAATGTGGCAGGGTTGAATACCTTTGCTTATAAAATTAAGCCTTATCCTACACAAGTTTTAGGATTCCAGGATGAAACCTACAAATAAAAAGAATATTGTAGAACACTGATTTCAACGATCAGATTCCACGGCCAGGCGCGGTGGCTCACTCCTGTAATCCCAATACTTTGGGAGGCCGAGGCTGGCGGATCACTTGAGTTCAGGGGTTCAAGACCAGCCTGGCCAACATGGCGAAACCCTGTCTCTACCAAAAATACAAAAATTACCCCGGCGTTAGGTGACGGGCCCCTGTAATCCCAACTACTCGGGAGGCTGAGGCAGGAGAATCGCTTGAACCCGGGAGGCAGAGGTTGCAGTGAGCAGAGATCGCGCCATTTCACTTCAGCCTAAGCGACAACGCGAGACTCCGTCTCAAAAAAAAAAAAAAAATCAGACTTCCACTTGAAGCAATTGCATCTTTTAGGATTAATGTGGCTCAGCGGAGCTCTGCTGTGCTTTTAGGATTACTGTGGCTCAGCGGAGCTCTGCACAAAGGGTCCGCGACTGGGATGGGGGTGGGGAGTGAACGTCAAGGGGCCCAGGAGCGCTCGAGCGTCCAAGGCCCGGCGTGTGGAGCAGCTGGAGGGTGAGTCGCCGCTCTCCGCTTTGGTTCTGTTCCTCCACGTTCTGACCGCGGTGCGGGGGAAAGGGAAAGTGAGTAGGGAGGGGCGGAGACGCCGGGCAGTGTTCCCGAAACCCCTGGCCCTCGCTGGCCCCGCTGCGGGGCTGGTTCCCTGAAAGCCGACGGGATGTGAAGCCCTCGACTCGGACAGAAGCCTCTGGAAGAGCGAGTGGCGGTTCGCAGGGAGGAGGGCGGCTGAGGGGCAGAGGGCGGCTCCGCCTTGCCCGGCGGTTCTGAGTGCAGCTGAACTGAACTTTCGGTGTCAGCGGGTGGAGCTGCGGCCCGCGGAGGAGCGGGGTCCGAAGCGAGGAGAGGTGGAGCTGCCGCTGACAAGGGGCGCGGCGACTTCTGTCAGGGCGCTGGGCTCCCGGCCGGACTCGCAGCAGCCCCCCGAGGGGCGGGGCCTGGGTCGTGTCGCCCCAGGGGATGGGCGTGTGATGACAAGGGGCGTTTCAGTAGAAGCCAGCATGCTTACCTCTCACGATCCAGCAGTGACATTAGGAAGGCGGAGCGCAAGGAAGGCGGGGCTGCCTTCTGTGCTGACCCGAGAGAAGACCAGGCTTCAGTCCACAGCGGGCGGAGCGGTCGCAGGCAAAGGGCGGGGCCATTTCGAGCCCTGGGAAGGCGGGGCGTCTCCTGACAGGGGGCGGAGCTTCCGCAGTCTGGGGCGGGGCTTCTGTTGACAGGGGGGCGGGGCGCCTCCCTACCTCCCGCGGTGCGCCAATCCCCGGACTAGGGGCCGGGGTCGGACCCCAGTGGAGTAGCAGGGTCTGGGCGTGGAGAGCTCGGCGCCGCACGGGGTGGGGGCGCGCGGAGGACGCGCGCGCGGGAGGGCCCCGCCTTGGCCGGCTCTCTCCCTTCCCCCTCCGCCCCCGGACGGCCGCTGGGGCGCGCGCCTCTCCTCGCACCCCCACCCTGAGTCCCCACACTCCGCGGGGCCACCGAGCTGCTGAGGCCCCTTTGCGGGCCCGCCGAGCGGTTCCGGGTTTAGGGTTCACAGGTCAGAGTTGACTCCCTGAAAAGTGCAGCCGGTTTGAAATGCAAGATGGCGGCGGCGTGGCGCTGAGAGGCGCGGCGGCCCCTGCAGGTAGTGGCGCGAGCCGGCTCCGCGACCAGCGGGCCCGGAGACTCTGGGCTGCGGGTGGGAACTGGAGCGCAGAGTCCGCGGCCGGCACGGGAAAGGCGAGTAGCGCGGGGCCTGGCGGGAGGAGGGCAGCCTCACAGCAGAGACCCCTGGGGCTGAGCCCGCTCGCGGCGGCGGGTGGCGGGGTGGACCCGGCGTGGGGCGTCCGAGGGGGAGGGACGGGGCCTGCCTCGCGGCTGGGTAGTCGCCGCAGAGGGACAGACAGACCCACAGCCTCCCTCGCTCTTTTTGGGTGTCTCCGCCACCGAAAGAGCTTGGGGGCGGGGGGCTCTCTGGAGGGAACATCTCAGCCCCCTGCCTTGGTGAGGACCCAGCAACTTAGGATTGTTGAGAGGAGTGAAGACTGCGTATTCCCAGCGGAGGGCGCCGCCGGAGGGAGCACCCCAGTAATGTTGGGAGTCCTAGAGGAGGTCAGGAGCGCTGTCCTCCGGGGGCGTGTGGCTGCCTCGTGGGGGACCCAGTCTCCCTGAGAGTAAGGAGAGATTCTCTTGCTGGAGCTGAGCGCACTGACTGAGGTTGGAGCCCCAGCAAACCCTTCAGGAGAAGTCTTTACCTCCAGTTCAAGGAAGGCTATGCGCACCCGTTTCGGGGCCAGGCCATGTCCCAACTTTGGGAAAGACTGGGAGTTGAGTCCTTAAGAACCATATTACGATTGTGACGAAGCCCTGGGATTTAGGGAGAAGTTAATTAAAGAGGATGGTAGGGGCGTGGGGGTGTGGGGGCTGACCCATGGGAATCCTCCAAGCCTTAGGGCCCACAGTGAACAATCTACTAATACCTCAAGGGGTATAAAAGGCTGGGAAGGAGAGGTGTGAGAGGAACAAGGTCTAAGGGCAGGAAAGAAGAGCCCTGGCAGATCCCCTTTCCTTATATATTTACACCAAAGTTGGAGGTAAAGGGACTTGGCAATTCTTTGTTTTAGTACCTTTCCTGTCCTCTCTCCTCCGTGGGTAACTGTAAGGAAAGAGCATAGCCCCTGAGAAGGAAAAGATTCCATTTGATATCCTTAGCTTAGGTTAGTGAAGGATCCAGCAGCTGGGAAGGCGTCAATGAGAGACAGCAGGCGGGGGAATTAGAACAGAGACTAGGGATGAGAAAAGAGGAATACAGGGAAGATATCGGACAGAGCAGGAATTCCACAGCCCTTTTCTGTCAACTCAGCCCAGCTATTAGAAAAAAAAAAAAATGCGAAGAGCTAATATTTGAGAGAAAAATGTAAAGGCTGAGAGAGAAGTCGTGATGTGATTAGGTTGGGATTCCATGTAACTTAAGCAGTTCTCTTGGAGGTTAATGTGATAGCAGAAAAAGGAAAATCACAAAATTGGAAAATATACAGCGGTTCACGGTTAGGGAGGAAGAAGCAGTCTCCCCCCAGGAACAGTGAATATTTGGTTTGGGGTGTGTGTGTGTGTTGTGTGTATACATATATAAGAGCACTTTAGATTTGCTGGTGTTGGTCATTGTTTCTCAGTCTTTGTCTGAAAGCTTTAATTTGTGTTATATGGTGCTACATTAATTATCTTCGTTTCTGAAAAATTATTCTGAAAAAGTCATTTGTTTTTATGTCGGGAGCGAAGGTGAGCAGGAGTTGGTTTTAACAGGGAAATTGGCCCTAGTATACCCATCGATTATTTTAATTTCTAAAGTAGCAATTCTGACTCCTGATTTTAAGCAAAAGAAATGTGAGTGCTGCCAATGACAATAATGCGGTAACAGGACATAAAAGAAAAAGGGCTTTCATGAATATTTTTTTCCTTTTAGCTTTTCTCTCCTTTCCCAAAGCATGTTAAGGCTAAGCAGACTAATTTTATACAAAGTAAAATGTATAATCGTGGACCTTTTCGATATAAAATGATAGCATTTCAGTTATCAATGAATCTTTTTTGTTGAAGTACCTCTTCAGACGCCTTATTTGACAATCAGGATTAAAATGAGAAAGGGTAATACTTGGGTAACTGATGATAGTGATGATTCATAGAGATTTCTTGAACCATTCTTGTATTTTCGAAAGAGCTTTAACGTCTTCAATGGAAATGTTTTAAAGATACAGTTCAAATAGAAACTAGTTTAGAACTTTACATTTGGAACATTTTATGCACGTGTGCTGTTCTTTGGTTTCCTCAATGTTCATGTAGCTCTGGTTTTATATTCAATTCTGAACAGATTAGGCTGGGTGAACCAGAGAGGCATTAATGCCAGATGGTTTGAAAATATGCTAAATCCGAAAACATAAATGTGCCTGTGCTAGTGAACACTCATTAGTGGATTTCTTTCCTTTATAGCTAAGCTTATTATTTCACCGGATTTGGGGGGTAGTTCATGCATGATGTAGCAATTATTTCACCTTTAATGATAATTGTAAGTTCTTTTTTTTTCAATAATTGGGGACAAAGTTTTACAGTTATTAGCGAAATTAATAGCATAGGAGAGGTGGTTCATTTTGAAGATTTTTCTCCCTTTTGTATTATTATATTTTATATTAAGATGGAAAGGTTATATTATGATGTATTATATTTCTTATGCTAATTAAGCATAAAATGTGATATTTGAGACTTAGTTTGCTGTAAATTATAACTTAATACTTAAATGAAAATGCTTTTAAAATTATTAAAATGATCACAAATGTAGCTGAGGAAATAACCCTTTTATTTGTGTTGCAGCATTGTGGATTTGGGCCCAAAGACTTTACTTAAATAAACAGTGTTGAAAGTTCAGCACCTAGTTTTTAATCTAATATCATAGTCAGTGCAATTATTCAGAGAGATTTTTGGAATTATCTATTGTACTGTTTATGGTGCTAGCCAGTAATACACATTTTTTAAATCATTATAAATATTTATTTATGTTGTGATAAGCACATTTACTGTTAAGACTAAATTTTTTGAACTTAAAATCCTTTTAAATAATCCTACGTAGTTTCAAAAGTAAGTTATAGTTCTGTTTTTAAAACTGATACTATCTTTAGAATAAGAGCCAATGTTTCTATACTATTATTGATAAATTTTATTGTATCCTTGTTGCTCTGATATATTTGTAGTCATCAATAACCAGATTTGCATGACTAAAGTTGCTGACTTAGATTATTAATCAGAATATACATTTGAGTTTACATTTTGGAGATCTGCATTTTATACAGGATATTCTTAAAGTAAATATTAATATGTAACTTTGTATGTAGTTGCCAGGTTTTGATCTTAAAAGATACTTAATCTTGGCATTTTATACAATCAGTTTCCAACTTAAGAGGTAAGACTGTATACCTTTGGTCTAAACAAATGTGATGATATACTTTGTAAAATAAGTATATATGAGCAGTTTAAGAATTATGTTTATTCAAGGGAGCCAGTTGAATACATTTTTTTTTTTTTTTTTTTGAGACGGGGTCTCATTCTGTGGCCCAGGCTGGAGTGCAGTGGCATGATCATGGCTCACTGCACCCTCAAACTCCTGTGCTCAAGCGATCCTTTCTCCTCAGCCTCTTGAGTAGCTAGGACTACAGTCATGTGTCACCCACGCCCGGCTAATTTTTAATTTTTTTTTTTGTAGAGATAGGGTCTTACTGTGTTGCCCTAGCTGGTCTCAAACTCCTGGCCTCAAGCAATCCTTCTGCCTTGGCCTCCCAACATGCTGGGATTACAGGTGTGAGCCACTGCACTCAGCCAAATAAATCATTTTTAATGCAAGATTTTAATTTTCAGTTCTTAGTTTTAGATTTTAAAAAATATTATCAGAATTTATCTTAACAAAATTAAAATATCGAAGTCATAGCCATATCATATATTATTGTAAATAAAATAACTCTTTCATTAAATTTTGGTGATTTCCTATTTCTCAAGATTTCTAACTTCCTTTTTCCCCTTCTTAAAAGTCTTTTCCTTTTTTGTTTTTTAGTGAGAAATGAAAGAAGATAGGAGGTTCTGATATTTCTAAGCACTAAACTAATAATTATATTTTTCTTCTAAGTTTATTCTCTTTTACCATCAATATTCTTAAAAAGAAGTTTGTTAAAATTTTGCTAGACATGGGCTATACTTGGGAGTGGGGAAGATCATGAGAACAATTTCTCCTCGTTACTATGATAAAATTACTTATATCAGATGTTTGCTAGTTCTATGAAATACCCCTTAAATATGTCATACAGTAATGATTTATTTTGAAGCTAAGGTCAGAAAAAGTTTGTGGGGGGAGAGGTTAAATTTGATTGATTAGTATCTGCCTTTTGAAGCCAACTTGTTCCAGCATGATTTAATATGCTCAGAGGTATGAAATGGCAAATAAATTTTGTTGGTTGGTTGTTACCCAGATTCTTAAAGTATTTTATCACTTGTCAACAGTTAGCAAATTTTAAAGAAAGATTTCTTTGCTAACATTCATTGTGTTCTAAGTACCAAGGAATATTCCAGAAACTTTACACGTGTTACCTATTCCAATCCTCACAACAACCCTATTAAGTAAATAGTATCCTATTAATATTACCAGTCCCATTTATAGATGATGGGGCTGAGGCACAGATAGGCTAAGCCATTTTTCTAAAGTCACACAGCTAGTAAGTGGCATGCTGTATTTGAACCCAGTCTGTTCCAAATTCCAAGCTCTCAGTCTTTTTTTGTAATCCATCTACTACCAGAACAGCTTGTTCTGTTTTATTATATAATGTACATAGCTGAGATGAGCTCTTTAATTTTTGGAATTCACTCATACTAAATTAAGAAAAATACTTTGAATTAGATAGAAATGTTCTAAAGTAATCCCAGTATCAGGAACTTAAATAACATCAGGCAACTAGGATTTTCATTCAAAAGCACTGATGAGCTCATTTTTGCTCCTCTGGTATCCTGGTGCCTTTACATGTCTTGGCAGCTCTTCTCAAGAGACTCATTCGGTAAAATATCTTGCAATTACTGTGTGATTTTAAGAATGGATTGAAGTAGGTTACCAGATTCCTAAAGTATTAATAATTCATTTTGGAAAATAACCTTCCCTCTTTGGCAGCTGTTTCCTATCTTCTCTTCTAGTCCACATCCTGTAGATTGATGGCTAACGAGTGGCGGAACAAGGAGATACCAGGAAATGAAACTGTAGAGTCCCAGGCTACAGAGATAATAAGATGCTCCACTGGGCCTACCAGGAAAATGCTCTTTTGCTTTTCATGAAAATAGTGTACTTATTCAGCCTAAGTTTTAACCTAACCTAGAGGTATTTTACTAAAGGACTGGTGTATTTACATTATTTCTTGATGTGAGAAGTTTCTTCATAAACTTGTATGTAATAGTAGCAGGAATAAAAAAATAAGGTTAATTGGGAAAATACTCTTCCTTAATATTTATTCATTATAGTTTACAGAGAATAGTGCTTAAAGAATACAACAAAAGGCCGGTTAGGGATCATGCCTGTAATCCCAGCACTTTGGGAGGCCAAGGCGGGCAGATCACTTGAGCTCAGGAGATAGAGACCATCCTGGCCAACATGGTGAAACCCTGTCTCTACTAAAAATACAAAAATTAGTTGGGTGTGGTGGCGTGTGCCTGTAATCCCAGCTACTCGGGAGGCTGAGGCAGGAGAATCGCTTGAACCAGGGAGTCGGAGATTGCAGTGATTCGATATTGCGCCACTGCACTCCAGCTGGGCGACACAGTGAGACTCCATCTCAAAAAAAAAAGAATACAACCAAAATGCTTTAACCCTTCAAAAGTGTTATTTATGACTGTTCTAGTAAGAAAAGCAATTGTAGCTTTATTAAACTTTTCTGATGGGTTTAACTGATCTAGATTATATACAACAACATATTTGGACAGTAATTGAATTTTCAGAGAATTATTTTCTGTTTATTTGATTGCATGATGTTAATACTTCACAGTGCACTGATTGTAAAGCCATTTGGTAGTAGCTTTCAGGCAAAAACGACATGGCTAAACACCAGTCATTTTGTTAGATAACCCCATGTTTGTAGATCAAGTACTACTAGTTTGTTTAACTTGTTTTGGCTTGTGTTGTCAGCATTAATAATCCTCTCCATTCTGATTAACATAATAAATTAGGATACAAATATCACTAGGTTTATGTACTAACACATAAACATATACAACTACTCCCATTTCTTAGTTTAACTAAATTGTCTTCATAACCTTTGTATACTTATTTATTTATTTATTTATTTAGAGTCAGAGTTTCGCTCTTGTTGCCCAGACTGGGGTGCAATGGCGCAATCTCGGCTCACTGCAACCTCTGCCTCCCCGGTTCAAGCGATTCTCCTGCCTCAGCTTCCCGAGTAGCTGGGATTACAGGCATGCGCCACCACGCCCAGCTAATTTTGTATTTTTAGTAGAGACGGGGTTTCTCCTTGTTGGTCAGACTGGTCTCAAACTCCCAACCTCAGGTGATCCGCCGGCCTTGGCCTCCCGAAGTGCTGGGATTACAGGTGTGAGCCACCGCGCCCGGCCGGTATACTCATTTTAAAGAACTCCCAATTTCTGCATCTCAATTTTCACACTAGAGACGGCATATATTCACGTTTTGAAATTTTATTCAAAATGGTCTAATAGTTATTTAGTTGTTCTATATGATATAAATAGAGTTTTTTTAATGTGTAGTTTTTGTGTTTACTACCAATATTAGGATTGGTATTTAAATGGTTCTTTTAAAGTTTTGATGAGGGAATAAACTTTTTTTTTCAAAATTACATTTATTTATTAAAAGCTAAGGCATTAAATTGTAAAAATTTCCTGACTAAGGCTAAATTATATCTAGAATAATAAAATATGACTTTTTTGTAGGAGAAGACAGACTGCTGCTTTGGACCTGTTGGTAATGATGGCCTGAGCTAAACATCTAACTAGAAGGGATACCCTTCCATTTCAAAGAACAGAATGCTAAGGAAGCTGTGGCAAGTATGTGTTTCATTGTTTTGGTATGGTAAAACTCAGATACTGAATGTACTCACTTTAGATCCCATGATACTATATTTGTCTAAAGTTTTTAAAAGCTTTCCTTAAAAAGCAGCAGACATATGCTTAACACTTTTTTTTAATATACTTTCAAATTTTAAGAGCTATAAGTATAGGACTGCTTTAATTTAAAAGGAGACGGCATCATACTTCATAATAAATCTTGTATATTTATAATTGATTTTAAAATTAGTATTTGATAAAATCTGCTGTGTCAGGCACTATACCAAGTGCTGTGATAACAGAGGTAAACAAGACAAAATGTACCTTTGGTATGGGGAAATTGATCTAGAAATTTTGCTATGCTTTTGCCTATATCCAGAAAAATGCTTCAGGATGTACAAGAACAAATTCTGAAACTGTATTTTCAAAACGTAGGCTACTAATAATAGTTAATTATAAGAGTCAGGATATTAATTAAATACTCTTACTTATATTAACCATACCAAAACTTAAATATTTGAATATTGATCCTTTTGTAGTTCTTAAGTGTGATGATTGGGTTTTCATGCTTATGTGTGAAATGTGCCTTTCTCAAACCTTGTTATGACACTGGCACATTACCTGTGTGACGTAAAAAATATATATATATTTGAATGTATTTGTACATAATTGTTTTTATATTTTATCTGATTAATTAATTGGCTTTTATAAGAAGCATTTGTCCTATTGTTATTTTAGATGATTCCAGAAAATACTAGGAAAGATTTGATAAACATTAATGTGGCAGTTTTCATTTTTAAAAAATGGATAACAGAGTTCTTATAAGTTGATATTACCAATACTGATTACTATTATCTTTCAAAGTATTTTGAAAAATCAAATCATTATATCCTCAGTGAAGTGGGTAACAGTTACCTTACCATTATAAATAGGGAAGATAATGACCAGATGAATGGTTTTTCAGTCTTCAAAGGTAATCTCACTTGGAACTGAGAATAGCATTCTTGTGTTAGACTGGCTGTAAAAGACTTAACACACCTTCTTGAGAAAAGTAGGGAAAAATTGTTTTCAGTAGAAAATGACTTTTCGATCACATTCACAAACTCTTCACAAGATAAGAGATTTCATGATACTGCTAGTTTATATATCACTTTCAATGTATTACGTACTTACCTACCTACCTGCCAGCTGTGGGGAGAAAACTAGGATGTTAGTGTCCTAGGGAGAGACCTTTCAAAAAGACATTTCACTCCCGCAAATCTGTGGTCAGAGCTTGCCAGAAAAAAATCTGTCCGATTTGGATTCTTCTTTTAATCTTTAGTGTCATTAAGGTCTGCTTTCTCAGATGGAAAAAAACAGATAGAGAGGATAGGGTTTCTTACCTTTCAGCCTTAATTAGCATTAGCAAAGGTATCCTCTGACATTTGATTATCTTTGACCACAATTTCTTAGATGCTTTCACTTTTATTATTTTTATTCCTGTTTGTATATTCACTTTAATACTTGATTTTCTATTGTCTTGAGACTATTTTTTACAGTTTTCTTGAGACTTATCTCTCAGGTCATGATTGTAGGTTACCAGCAATCTTTAAAAACATTTGCTGTGGATGTAAATTTGTGTTGTCAAATTCCTAATTTAATTTTTTAAGAACTTGATGTTTCTAAATGTTTTAACATTTTATTTTTATTTTTACATTTTAACTTTGAAAATACCTTAATTGTATAAAATCACCTTTATTTTTTTTAACACGGTGGATACCTTTTGTTTTAATATGACCTAATTCTTTGTTTGTACTGTTTAGGCATTCCGTGATTTTTGTGGATTTGTAACTTCTAGTTGAATACAAACGTGTTAAAGTATTTTCAGCTGGCTAAACAGAACTCTTGACTCAGAGAGAAGTGAAACTAAATAGAATACAGAGTCCCAAACATTCTCGGTATATATACAAATGCAGATTCCAAGGGATTCTCAGTGTGTATATTTTTGCTACCTAAGAACAGTTTTATTTTTGATGCTACATCAAAATTAACATGATCCCTAAAAACTATAGTATCTTCTAAATGCTCTTTTTTTTTTTTTTTTGAGACAGAGTTGTGCTCTTATCATCCAGGCTGGAGTGCAATGGCGCAATCTCGGCTTACTGCAACCTTCTTCTCCCAGGTTCAAGCGATTCTCCTGCCTCAACCTCCCGAGTAGCTGGAATTATAAGTGCACGCCACGACGCCGGGCTAATTTTTGTATTTTTAGTAGAGACAGGGTTTCACCATGTTGGCCAGGCTGGTCTCAAACTCCTGACCTCAGGTGATCCACCCGCCTCGGCCTCCCAAAGTGCTGGGATTACATGCGTGAGCCACCTCACTCAGCCCTAAATGCTCTTATTTGACCCAGAATTGTTGTAAAAAACAAAGTTTGTGGCCAGGCACAGTGGGTCATGCCTGTAATCCCAGCACTTTGGGAGGCCGAGGCGGGTGGATTATGATGTCAGGAGTTCAAGACCAGCCTGGACAAGATGGTGAAACCCCGTCTCTACTAAAAAAAATACAAAAATTAGCCAGGCGTGGTGGCGGGCGCCTGTAATCCCAACTACTTGGGAGGCTGAGGCAGAGAATTGCTTGAACCTGGGAGGCGGCGGTTGCAGTGAGCCGAGATTGCCCCAGTGCACTCCAGCCTGGGCAACAGAGTGGGACTCCGTCTCAAGAAAAAAAAGTTTGTTTTTATTCATGTAAAATCTTACCAAATAGCATGCTTTTGTGGCTAACCAGGCCAACATATTGTTATCTGTTAATCATTTAATTTGAAGTCCAAACAGCCAGAAAAACCAGAAGCTTGCAAATTCAGTGCAGTTGTGGCTCTGTTTAATTATAAAATATTTTAGACTTTTTTTTAGTAGTGGGTAAGCATAGAATTTGAAACAATCCACTAACTTCTTATAGTGTATTACATTGAGGACTTATTTTTAATCTTTTTTAAAATGTAGTAGAACACTGTTAAAGTATAGTTTTCTCATAAAACAGAGAAGTAATGATTCTAAGTGCAAATTTGCATTTGCTGTCTTTATAATAACTATACCCTTTTCTCCTGAATTTCACTGCCAAAATCATTCTTTGAATGTTTTATCTCCCTTGTTTTACTCTTAATTCACAGATTTAAATATACTCAATTCATATATAAAACTGATGTATTACAATGACATTTTAGATGTTAGTAAATGTTTATTGAATGTTCATTGCTGTACTTTAGTAAATAGAATGTTTTAGATTCAAGGGTGTTTTAATATTCATGACTAAGGTAATTTTTATTAAGAATTTTACCATCGAAAGTAATCTATAGTAAATCAAGCACAATTGTTTTTATAGCTCTTCTATAAATGAGTGTTTAATGAAGTAAAATGTATGTAATAATACATAGTATAGTTATATTTAAAGATTTTTTTTTTTTGAGACGGAGTCTTCTTCTGTCGCCCAGGCTGGAGTGCAGTGGCGCGATCTCGGCTCACTGCAACCTCTGCCTCCTGGGTTCAAGTGATTCTCCTGCCTCAGTCTCCCAAGCAGCTGGGATTACAGGCACCCATCACCACACTCAGCTAATTTTTGTATTTTTTTAGTAGAGGCAGGGTTTTACCACGTTGACCAGGTTGGTCTCGAACTTCTGACCTCAATTGATCTGCCCACTTTGGCCTCCCAAAGTGCTGGAATTACAGATGTGAGCCACCATGCCTGGCCTAAAGATACTTTTTAGCAAACATTATTGGGGTCCTAATAAGTATTTTGTTGGGCCCTGGGAATATAGTGGATAGCTAAGTAGATACTCTTTCTGATCATAAAAGAAGAACTTGAATAAGAACTCTCAAACTTTTTAGATTGTGATAAAACACATTTTGCTTTCATTAAATGCTTTTCTGTAGAGAACTATTACCTGTAAAATTGTAAAAATTGTAATTGTTTTGATGAGTTCAGAATCATAAGTTGATTGATGGGTATCCTACCCTCAGGAGAAGATCCAGTATACAGATAGATCTACGGAAACTGGCTAGTCTAGATCTACACCCTGGAGATTGTGTTTGAGTGGTCTTGAGAGCTCTTAGAGCCAATCTGACTTCTCAGAGCTCCAAAAACTATACCTGAATGCTACATACTGAGGGATTCTTGCTTCCCTGGAAAATCCTTTTTTTTTTTTTTTTTTTACTTTGATATTTCCTTCCTTCCTTCTTCCAAGCCTCCCTTCCCCTCCACTCCTCTCCCCTCCCCTTCCCGCTTCTCTTCCTTCTCTTTCTTCCTTCCTTCCTACTTTCCTCTCTTCCTCCCTCCCTCCCTTTCTTTTCTTTCTTTTTTTTTTTTTAAACAAATTTGCATGTCATCCTTGCCCAAGGGCCATGCTAATCTTCTCCGCATGGTTCCAATTTTAGTATTTGTGCTGTGGAAGCCAGCACTGGAAAATCCTTTATGTAGCCATGTTTTTTGCCTTAATAATAGAAAAGAAACCTTGTTTCCAGCTTGACCGTAGAAAGATTGGTCATAAACTGGCCATAGAAATATTTTAGTCTATTTGCAATTTTAGGGTCTTGAAGCTGTTGTTTGTTGTACTTTATAATAAAGCAATGTGATAACAATATTAAAGAAAATTTGTAGGCTAGGCAGGATAGCTCATGCCTGTAATCCCAACACAGGGAGGCAGAGGTGGGAAGATTACTTGAGCCCAAGAGTTCAAGACCAGCCTGGGCAACGTAACGGGACTCTGTTCTCCCTAAAAAGGAAAAAAACAAAGCAAAAGAAAAAGAAAACTTGTGAATATCACACATAAAAATGTCACCCATAATCTCGTGAAATTTTCATTTTTTTACATACTCTCATTTCATCTTTGTTCACATGCATACATATTTCCTCACAGTTATTATAATTATATGCAAATTTTCTGAGTTTTAAAAAATTTAATAGTAAATGGGTAGTTTTTCCATATTCCTTAATTACTCTTAAGATTATCAATTTTAATGGCAGTATAGCAATTAAATTAATTTGATCAGTTTTCTAAAAACACTTCCCGTACTGAAAAGTTAACTGAAAGCAGTTTTGAAAAGTAATTACATTTACAGTGCTGGATGCATTGACAGCATACTTTTTTTTATTGGCCAACTTAATTTTAATTGTGTTTTAATTGCAGAGTCACCTAGCTACTGAGTTGTGCAACTGACCTCTAACCTCTTTTTATAGGTAAATAGTGCAAGCTTCCCCAAATTGATTTTGAGCCCTATTTTTAGTTGACCTTCAAATAGAGGATGTGATGCCTTCAGCTAATAGTGATTTCTATACAGCAATTTTCCTGTCCCAGTCCCATTGCACTTTAATGACAAAGGGAGATGAATAGGAACGACATCCTAGAAATTCTTATTCTGTATTTTTACTTTTACTTTTTCATCCAATTTTTGTGCATTTTCAGCTGATTAAGTTGCTAAAAAAAAGTGAGAGAATTTATAATATTAAAAAATGTTATTTTTTTCTGGAAAGAATTTTTCAGGGACTGAAAATAGCATCAATTAGGCACCTGTTTTGTATCAAAGTAAGTGAAGGAAGCATTTTTACTTCCTCTGATGTGGATACTACTATTTCTTTTTCCCCCAGGGAAGCCTTCTCTGCTTCTTTTCTAGAAGCCTCCTGCAGTGTACTGATATCTTTCTTACTGCACTGATCATAGTTATTCTAAGTAATTGTTTACTGCTTGCTTTCCTTGCTTCACTGCTGGTACCTGAAAAACCAGAGACTGCCTGTCTTGGTCACCATTGCATCATTATTGCCTTTCATGTGGTTGACATTCAACAAATTTGTTGAATTGAAGAATCTTGAGAAAATTGAGGTTGAATTGAATAGCTCTTCCAGGCACCTAACTACTAATTGACAGAGGTGACTGCAAAACCTGTGGCTTTACCCTATTCACAATGACTTTATGAATTAATTACTCTGGGCCTGGGATTCTTCTTCCATAAAAATGGGGCAGTTGTACTAAGATTAAGATCCTTGTTTCCTCCAAACTTATGACTTTATAATAATAATTCCGAGGATACCTTTGTTTGCCCTTTGGTCTATTTTTAGACTATACACATTATGCAGAATTGAGCTTTTGGACCAAATCTTGAAACTCTTTTGGGACTTCTCAGTCTCTTTTTAGAAATATGTTAAATAATACACTGACCTTACTTTTGTTAGCAAAATCATGGGGACCTGACAGTGGATTATAGCAAGCAAATAGTCTTTTTTTTGAGACAGAGTCTCTCTCTGTCACCCAGGCTGGAATGCAGTGGTGCGATCTTGGCTCACTGCATCCTCCACCTCCCGGATTCAAGTGATTCTCCTGCCTCAGCCTCCTGAGTAGCTGGGATTACAGGCGCCCACCACCATGCCCAGCTAATTTTTGTATTTTTAGTAGAGATGGGGTTTCACCATGTTGGCCAGGCTGGTCTCGAACTCCTGACCTCAAGTGATGCACCGCGCCCCTGCCAGCTTCCCAAAGTGCTGGGGTTACAGGCATGAGCCACTGCACCTGTCCTCTCAAGATGAGTTTTCAAATTTCATGGCTGAGCAATGGCTCAATGAGAGGAGGATTTTTGATGAAACTGATATATTGTCTTGAGATCTCTCTCTATATATATATGTGGGGTTTTTTTTGTTTTTTGTTTTTTTTTTGAGATGGAGTGTTGCTCTGTTGCCCAGGCTGGAGTGCAGTGGTTTGATCTCGGCTCACTGCAACCTCCACCTCCCGAGTTCAAGTGATTCTCCTGCCTCAGCCTTCCGAGTAGCGGGATTACAGGTGCACGCCACCACGCCCGGCTAACTTTTATATTTTTAGTAGAGACGGGATTTCACCATGTTGGCCAGCCTGGTCTCAAACTCCCGACCTCAAGTGATCCATCCTTCTCAGCCTCCCAAAGTGCTAGGATTACAGGCGCACCCAGCCGATATGTTTAAGTTTTAAGCAAAAGGCTTTTAAACACATCTCAGAACCCCTGAAAGGTGGAAGTGGGGATTGTAAGATTCGTGGAATTTGGTCAGAGAGTAGTTTAGCCTCTGCCTCCTCCAACCAGATAGCTCTTCTTTTTTTCTTTTCTTTCTTTTTTTCTTTTTTTGAGACAGAGTCTCGCTCTGTCACCCAGGCTGGAGTGCAGTGGCTTGATCTTGGCTCACTGCAACCTCCACCTCCCGAGTTCAAGTGATTATTCTGCCTCAGCCTTCCGAGTAGCTGGGATTACAGGCGCTCGCCACCACACCTGTACGGCTAACTTTTGTATTTTTAGTAGAGACGGGGTTTCACTGTTGGCTAGGATGGTTGATCTCCTGACCTTGTGATCCACTGGCCTCGGCCTCCCAAAGTGCTGGGATTAAAGGCGTGAGCCACTGTGCCTGGCCGATGGCTTCTCTTTTATCTGTTTTGACCTGGGATTTCTCATAGCATTTTGTTTGATGAAAGGGCTCCCCTGCTTAAAACAAAAAGTTTGAAAACCACCACTTTGAGGAAAAAGTTTCAGAAAGAAACCCTCTTGCCTTCCAACTATTATTATACCCCAATTAAATATAGTCTCTCTCAGATTCCAGGAAAGTAACAGTCACAAAATAGGTTACTCCTCTGCCTTTCAACAATTCCCTTTACTGTTCAAAATATGAGTGCTGCTCATTTATTACTCTTCCACTTACTATTTTTTTTAGAAACAGTATCTTACCATGTTGCCCAGTCTTGAACTCGTAGACTCAGGGAATCTTCCTGCCTTAGCTTCCTGAATAGCTGGATTACAGATGTGTACCACCATGTCTGGACCACTTATTTGGAGCCATTTAAGGAATTCCCTGTTTCTAATGACAAAAAATGATCAAACATCTGTGTTGATACTTGAAAAAAAAAATGGCAACCCCTATTTGATTAAAAGATAACATTGGCTTAGTTTATAACATTTGGTTAAGAAATAGTTGTAAATATCAGTGATTTCTTTATAATATCTTAGAAATCAAGAGTGTTTTAAAGAAAAAAAGAATGACATCTTTGAGAGTAGGGATCTGGATTATTAATACCACTATTATTTTTAAACTGATGCTCTTTATTTGGTAATATGGGAAATTAGGGAACAAAGGACATTTAGTCCAATTTTCCTTCTGCTACTTGGATGTGTAGTCTGTATTTGAATAATTCCAGTGAGGAGGATTTTACCGTCCTTCAAAGTCAGGATATTCTCTCTTAGGACTGCTCTCTTTCCTAAAAATGTCTCTCCATTTACTGACTAGATGTATTGTCTCATAGGGACCTGGTTTTGCTTAATAATTTTTGAAGCAAACTCTCTTCTTCTCCATTCAGCTGGGATGCCAGTAAATTAAAAATAGCTCTAATTTGTGGTGAAGAATAAATGAAATCACTTACCCATTTTATTCGTTTTCAGTTGGATTAGACTTCAGAAACACAAACTTTACTTAGCATAAAACTTTTTATTTTAAAAATTTTAGGTATAAAATTTATTTAAATATATTTTATGATCCTAATTCATTTTTTCTTGATTATTTAAAGTTATTATTGTGAATTTCAGATACTGTTCTCTATGGTGATGCCTCCTGCAGGTCCTGTTGAGTTTTGTAGGACTATTTTCCTCTTCATTCTAGTCAATTTAATAAACATTGAGTGATTACCTCCCTAAATTCAGGCTTCTTATATGCACTTGGGAATGCAACATTAATGAGATGTCAGCCAAAATAGCTCAGCTGGGAGAGTATTAGGTTGAAGATACAAAGTTCCTTGGCTCAATCCAGAGTTTGGGGGACTTTGTTTTATCTCAAAAAAGCTGTGTCTCAGTCTCTTTGTGTTCCTATAAAGGAATACCCAGAGCTAGGTAATTTAGAAAGATAAAGGGTTTCTTTGGTTCACAGTTCTGCAGACTGTACAAGAAGCATGGCTCCAGCATCTGCTGCTGGTGATGGCCTCAGGCAGCTTCCACTCATGACAGAAGATGATGGGGAATGCATGTGGGCAGAGATCACATGGCAAGAAAGGAAGCAAGAGAGACAGTGGGGAGGTGCCAGGCTCTTCCTAACAACCAGCTCCTGCAGGAACTGGTAGAGCGAGAACTCACTCATTACCACATGGACAGCACCAAACTGTTGATGAGGGATCTGACCCCATGACCCAGACACCTCCTATTAGGCTCTGCCTCCAAGATTGGGGATCGAATTTCAACATGAGATTTGAAGGGATCAAACATCCAAATTATAGCAAGCTGTTATTAAAAATGAGACACAATATCTAGAGTAAGGAGACCACAGATATGGATGGTGGTGCAGGGACAGAAATGTAACATTACTCTGCCATGTACAGTATGGTAAGTACTAGACTAGAAAATAAACGGGAGGAAATGGGACCAAATGAAAGGGAGAAGGTGATCTCTAGTAGGGGTCCCCAACCCCTGTGCCATGGACCAGTACCAATCCATGACCTGTTAGGAACTGGGCCGCACAGCAGAAGGTGAGAGGTAGGCAAGCAAGCATTACCACCTGAACTCTGCCTTCTGTTAGATGAGCAGCAGCATTAGATTCTCATAGGAGCACAACCCTATTGTGACTGTGCATGCGAGGGCTCTAGGTTGCGCACTCCCTGTGAGAATCTAATGCCAGATCTGAGGTGGAAGAGTTTCATCCCAAAACCATCTCATCCCCTCGCACCGCGGTATGTGGAAAAATGGTCTTCCATGAGACCAGTCCCTGGTGCCAAAAAGGTTGAGGACTGCTGTCCTAGAGGGCACACAGATCAACACATCAAGTGTCCTAACCTAAGGAAGGGCCTGAGTAAGGGTCTGAAAGTGCATTGAATGTCTGTGGAATGGCAGCCATTTCTGGTATACCTAAAGCATAAGGAAACAGGAGGAAGGAAAGTGAGGTTAGACTAGGTTGTGAAAGGGATTATATGTCCCACAAGGAGTTTGAACTTTATTCCTTCAACATTAGGAACCTGTGTCAGGAGACTGATGTGATTAGATCTGCTTTATAACTTTTGGTAGCATTGTGGCAAGTGCTAAGAATAATGTTTCTGGTAGGCCAGGCACGGTGGCTCATGCCTGTAATCCCAGCACTTTTGGAGGCCAAAGCGGACAGATCACCTGAGGTCAGGAGTTCGAGTCCAGCCTGGCCAACGTGGTGAAACCCCATCTCTACTAAAACTACAAAAATTAGCCAGGCGTGGTGGCAAGCGCCTGTAATCCCAGCTACTCAGGAGGCTAAGGTAAGAGAATCATTTGAACCCAGGAGGTAGAGGTCACAGTGAGCCAAGATTGCGCCACTGCACTCCAGCCTGGGTGGCAGAGTGAGACTCTGTCTCAAAAAATAATAATAATAATAATAATGTTTCTGAAACTTTGATCATTCATCCTCCATCTTTGCTATTTTTGCCATACTTGAAGCATGCTTTTGGCTGATGAGATAGACCAGTAGGAAGAAGAGGACATAACTAATGAACTAATGGATTAAATTTCTTGTCTTTTTTTTTTTTTTGAGATGGAGTCTCACTCTGTTGCCCAGGTTGGAATGTAGTGGCATGATCTTGGCTTACAGCAATCTCTGCCTCCTGGGTTCAAGCGATTCTCCTACCTCAGCCTCTGGAGAAGCTGGGACTACAGGCACCTGCCACCACGCCTGGCTAATTTTTGTGTTTTTAGTAGAGACGGAGTTTCACCATGTTGGCCAGGCTGAATTTCTTACACACTTAATGGCCATAATATTTTAGTATCTGTGAATGCTTTTTATAGTGTTAAAGTTCCTCCTTGTTAACATTGCCATTTCACATTAATAATAGTGTGCTTGCCAAAGCAGGCCCTTTCCCCCTTGTCTTCTAATATATAGCTGGCTAAAAAATTTAAATGAATAAGCTTGTGTCTGACCCAAGGTAAAGTACTTAACATTCAATGAGTTGGCCTGGAGAGATTTATTTTGATCTTTAGAGGACATTTTTTTCTGATTCTTATCTTATTCTAGATCTTTGTAACTGAGCTATCCAGCCACTTCATATAAGTGAACTATAACTATAATTTGTTTAAAAGATCATAGTTACTCATTTTAAAACATTTTAAAATTTATTTTAATGTAGGTGATTGGAGTTGTGCTTCAAAAATTTCAGAAATTCAGCAGTATTTTATCTGCCAACAATAAGCTCTTTACTTGATTGCACCATGAGAAAGCTGCTAATGAGACTTGTTGAGCACAAAAATGGACTTGAAGAACCAAAAGCCATTGTTTTCAAATGAAGAACACTGAACAGTTTTAAGCCTCGATGCTTTTTAATCACCACTGAGCTTTTCCTCATAACATCAGAATGGCAAGCAGGCGAAAATCAACAACACCTTGCATGGTCCTTGCCAGTGAACAAGATCCAGACCTTGAGTTGATATCAGATTTGGATGAAGGTCCTCCTGTGCTTACACCTGTAGAAAACACCAGAGCAGAGAGTATCTCAAGTGATGAAGAGGTTCATGAATCTGTGGATTCAGACAATCAGCAAAATAAAAAAGTTGAAGGTGGATATGAATGTAAATATTGTACTTTTCAAACTCCAGATCTAAATATGTTTACTTTTCATGTGGATTCGGAACATCCCAATGTAGTGCTAAATTCATCCTATGTTTGTGTCGAATGCAATTTTCTTACCAAAAGGTATGATGCACTTTCTGAGCATAATCTGAAATATCACCCAGGAGAAGAGAATTTTAAGTTGACTATGGTGAAACGTAATAACCAGACAATCTTTGAACAAACAATAAATGATCTGACTTTTGATGGTAGTTTTGTTAAAGAGGAGAATGCAGAGCAAGCAGAATCTACAGAAGTTTCTTCTTCGGGAATATCTATCAGTAAAACTCCTATCATGAAAATGATGAAAAATAAAGTGGAAAATAAACGGATTGCAGTTCATCATAACTCAGTTGAGGACGTTCCTGAAGAGAAAGAGAATGAAATCAAACCAGACCGTGAAGAAATTGTAGAAAATCCAAGTTCTTCAGCTTCTGAATCTAATACAAGTACTTCCATTGTAAACAGAATACATCCAAGTACTGCCAGCACGGTAGTGACACCAGCAGCAGTTCTTCCTGGATTGGCACAGGTGATAACTGCTGTATCTGCTCAGCAGAATTCTAATTTGATTCCCAAAGTCTTAATCCCTGTTAATAGCATTCCCACCTACAATGCTGCATTGGATAACAATCCCCTTTTACTTAACACCTACAACAAGTTCCCTTACCCAACAATGTCAGAAATTACAGTTCTTTCTGCTCAAGCAAAATATACAGAGGAACAGATCAAGATATGGTTTTCAGCCCAACGTTTAAAACATGGTGTTAGTTGGACTCCCGAGGAAGTAGAGGAGGCAAGAAGGAAACAATTCAATGGAACAGTGCATACTGTACCTCAGACCATAACTGTTATTCCTACACACATTTCCACAGGGAGTAATGGTTTACCATCTATTTTACAGACATGCCAAATAGTTGGTCAGCCTGGTCTGGTCCTTACTCAAGTGGCTGGAACAAACACCTTGCCAGTTACAGCACCTATAGCCTTGACAGTGGCAGGCGTTCCAAGTCAAAATAATATACAGAAAAGTCAGGTACCTGCTGCTCAGCCTACTGCAGAAACAAAGCCAGCAACAGCAGCAGTTCCAACTTCTCAAAGTGTCAAACATGAAACTGCATTGGTAAACCCTGATTCATTTGGCATTCGGGCAAAAAAGACAAAAGAGCAACTGGCAGAATTAAAAGTTAGCTACCTTAAAAATCAGTTTCCCCATGATTCAGAAATTATCAGACTTATGAAAATAACAGGCCTGACGAAAGGAGAGATTAAAAAATGGTTTAGTGACACAAGGTACAACCAGAGAAATTCAAAGAGTAATCAGTGCTTACATCTCAACAATGATTCCTCTACCACCATTATTATAGACTCCAGTGATGAAACCACGGAATCCCCAACTGTTGGTACTGCACAGCCTAAGCAATCCTGGAATCCTTTTCCTGACTTTACTCCCCAAAAGTTTAAAGAGAAAACTGCAGAGCAGCTTCGTGTCCTTCAGGCAAGTTTTCTCAACAGCTCTGTACTTACAGATGAAGAATTAAATAGGTTAAGGGCACAAACCAAACTTACCAGAAGAGAAATCGATGCTTGGTTTACAGAGAAGAAGAAATCAAAAGCTTTAAAGGAAGAGAAAATGGAAATAGATGAAAGTAATGCAGGTAGTTCCAAAGAAGAAGCTGGAGAAACTTCTCCTGCAGATGAATCTGGTGCACCTAAGTCAGGGAGTACAGGCAAGATATGTAAAAAAACACCTGAGCAGCTGCACATGCTTAAGAGTGCATTTGTCCGGACACAGTGGCCATCACCAGAAGAGTATGACAAGTTGGCCAAAGAAAGCGGGCTTGCTAGAACAGACATAGTTAGTTGGTTTGGGGACACCCGTTATGCTTGGAAGAATGGAAACTTGAAATGGTACTACTACTATCAGAGCGCCAATTCAAGTAGTATGAATGGTCTGTCTTCCCTTAGGAAAAGAGGGAGAGGGAGACCCAAAGGACGGGGAAGAGGAAGACCGCGTGGGCGGCCTAGAGGAAGCAAAAGAATTAACAACTGGGACAGGGGACCATCACTCATAAAATTTAAAACTGGAACTGCAATACTTAAGGATTATTACCTGAAGCACAAGTTTCTTAATGAGCAAGACCTTGATGAACTTGTTAACAAATCACATATGGGCTATGAGCAGGTCAGAGAGTGGTTTGCAGAAAGACAGAGAAGATCAGAATTAGGTATAGAATTATTTGAGGAAAATGAGGAGGAAGATGAAGTTATTGATGACCAGGAAGAGGATGAAGAAGAAACAGATGATAGTGACACTTGGGAACCTCCACGACATGTGAAACGGAAGCTGTCTAAATCAGATGACTGAAATGTAAGTTAAGAAAATTTTTAATCTGCGTATATGTTCATCAACCACATACATTTTGAACAGTCACCTTGTTGTATCAGTCATCTTCATTTTTGATATTTTCTGAAGTAGTTTTTCTTTTCCCTAATAAGACTAGGTACCACTAGTATAGCTAAGAGATAAATGATTATCATGTGTAGTTTTATTATTATTATGTAGAGTTTAATGTCTTAATTATTATTTTTCATATGAATTGGGTTTTTTTTACTTTGTTTTGAAGGAAAGTTACCCAATCTCTATGAAGGGAGACTGGCAGGCAGGTTGAGGGGATTCACAAACAAATACTAAAGATAACTAAAATGTATTTTATTGCAATGCCCCCTTCACTAAAGCTTCATTTTTTGCCTATTTAAGGAAATAATTCAAAAATGAAAACTAAAAAGAAGGGGAAAAGTACACCAAAGGAAAGACTTACCACAGGGTTGAGGATTGTGCAGTTTTAGGAAACTAGGTGAAAATGGGTATCTTTTCATCTTCATTGCATTGCTCCCAAAACTTTACTAGACTTTTAACTAGAGTTTAAAATGCTTTATGTATTTATGAAATTACTCAGTATCTTTTTAGTAATTTATAAAATTACTCAATATCTTTTTCTGTTAAAAGTCAAAGGTCTGTTTTAGGCCATATATAAATTCATGTTTGCTTAGGCGGCATCTGTCTTTGAAAACTGTGATATAAATTATTTCTGTTTTAGAGATCAAAAGGCAAATAACAGATTTGATATAAACCCAATTGCTTAAAATATCTTTTCATTCTTTGGTATAAAACAAACCTGCTACCAGCACTAACATTGTATTTGATTTAAAGTATATCTCTGTAGTCTTAAAAATGCAAATAAATATGGCTTAAATTTGAAAGGTTTTGGCATGTTCCTTAAATCTTAGTTCTTTTATAAATTGGATTAATTAAAGTTGAACTGTAGTTGCAAATCAGATACCTGCTTTGGAGTTAGGAATTGAATTCTTAATACTTCTGGAATTTAATAACATAGTTTTATTCTTTGCTATTCTTTGTTTTGGAGTGTTCCGGGGTAAAAGTACACTGTTTTGAAAACAATGCAGTTGTCATGAAATGTTTGTGTATGTCTGTCAGTAGTCCAAATAGCATCTTGCTATCAGAAATGACTGCTGTGTTCAAACAGTAAGGAAGGAAATGAGACGTAGACCCTCATTATTATTTTATACGTGAGCATGCTTACTTATTTCCTTGGCTTTTTGCATGAGTATCCCATCCCCTACTTTTATGCTCTGTTATTCTGTGCAGTTTTTCCTTAATTCCCTTACATCTTCTCTCTGGTTTTATTTATTTTAACAATTATTTATAGAGAGCTTAATATGTACCAGGCACTATTCTTACTGCTTGGCAATCCTTTTTCAGGTTTTCTCCTTGTTAATATTTTTTAAGGGATAACAGATGAAACTAAAAATGTACCTGTTTTAATAAGCAGTATAAATATCATTCCAGGTTATAGGGTATAATGTAATCATTTTAGGTTATAAGAAGTTAAACAGTTTCATACAGCTTTATCCTGAAGTGCAGCCCTCCATTTCCTAATGTCAGAAATCTTCAGAGCAGGCTTTCTTCTGACCCAGATACATAAAATATTTTTAACAGGCATTTTTTTTATTGCTAAACACAAGAATGTGCACTCAGCCAAGATTAAATCAACAAATTTGTTGCTGCAGTGAATGTTGTTGTTGTAACCTCTGCAATGATTTTTTTGGGGAGTTGCAGTCTTCCAAAAATAATGTGAATTTTTCTGTACAGTTTAGTTTGACCTTTAATTTTGTATAGATAATTCTTATGTTATATATTAACACTGTAATGGATACTAATTCTGGTCAGAAAATTCATCCTAAAACTACAGTTTTCAAAAGACTGTATGATGTATGCTATACATGCACTGTATTAGTCCATTTTCACACTGCTATAAAGAACGACCTGAGACTGGGTAATTTATGAAGAAAAGAGGTTTAGTTGACTCACAGTTTTGCCGGCTTAACAAGAAGCATGACTGGGAGGCCCCAAGAAACTTACAGTCATGGCAGAAGGCGAAGGGGAAGAAGGGGAAGCAAGCACATCTCACCATGACCGAACAGGAGAGAGAGCGAAAGGGGATGTTCCACACAACTTTCAAACAACCAGATCTCCTGAGAACTCACTCACTATCATGAGAACAGCCAGAGGGGAAGTCCACCCCCATGATTCAGTCACCTCCCACCAGGCTCCCTCCCCCGACACTCCCTGATTAAAAGTTATGTATGGGCTTATACAATTTCAAATGTAAAAACAGCCTATTTACATATGTTGAAACAATAAGATTTTGTGGTATCACTGTCCCTTAATAATTACAATTCAAGGTAAGATTTGGATGGGGACACAGAGCCAAACCATATTATATACTTTTGTGATAGCATAGAAGCATGCCTTTTTAAATACACAAAAGTCTAAATTTCTGAAACATCAAGTTATCCTTGGCTGAGTAAAATAATTTTTCACTTATAAGAGGATTCACCATAGCCTTCTCTAAATAGTTATTTCTTCATTTAAATATTGTTCAATTTACCAAAAAAGTTACCAAAACCTTCCCAAAATAGTTATTACAGGAAGTGAGGTACATATATATCTTTTGCACCTTGTATAGAAATAGAAAAAAGTACAAGTCTTTAGATTTCATAGTCTGCTTATTACAGATACTGACAATGAAATATATACTCCCTGCTCATACAGTTTGAAATAAATTATTACATAAAGATGATAAATGTTTATAAGCAAATCTAGCATATGAAGAACATATACATAGATGAGTTGCACACAAAGCCTAGTGTATTATGGAAGACATATGTGGCAGGTAATCTCAAGAGAATACAAAAGATGTATTTTCACTTTTATTTCTAAAAGTAGTAAAAATTAAAATATGGTTTTCTTTAAATTTTCAGTTTTTTATGATGTTTTTCTTTTTTAGCTGCCTAAAACGTTGAAGGAGAATCAATTCTTCAACTCAAGATGTCTGATTTACTGTGAATTTGCCCAATCTTTGATGACATTGAAAACGTTTTGGGGCATACACACTCAAAAAGCAGGATCCAATACCCAAAAGAAATGGAACTTAATGTTGTGCCAAAGTTAAACTACTGCAGTTGGTGGAAGTTCTGCAATGTAAATAGAACACTAATTAAAAAACAACTTGTAAAAATGCAATTTAAATTTTAATACAGTACATTTTTCTTCTAATATGATGGAGACATTCTGAATCTTAGACTTTCTGAGGGGGTTTAATGACCACTAGAGCTTGTCCTCATATTCAGTCCAGTTTAATACTGTATGTCTAGTAAGATGGGCTATATATTGCCTCTATTCTTTGAGATGTGATTAAGCTTAGAACTTTGACCAAAAATTTTACAGTAAAAATTGTTAGAAATGGGTAAAAAAAAAAAAAAAAAAAAAACCCTGATTTATTACTATGTCTTATTTATCAGACCCTGCACTAAGATTAAAAGTTGTGCATGGGCTTATACAATTTCAAATGTAAAAACAGCCTATTTATATATGTTGAAACAATAAGATTTTATGGTTTCACTGGCCCTTAATAATTGGATCCTTCATTAAACACATCCATGAATACCACTGTTTCTACTGTTACTTGTTCCATTAGAAGCTGATTTGCTTTTTATTAAACTGCAGGAAATTAATTCTGAAGAAGGAAAAGAAACTGACATGGTAATTTGGATAGGGTGAAGCTTTGAAATAAATACTGCACCAAAAATGTGAAAAAGAATCACGTAGTAAATGTATACTTAGTGTTTTCTTACAATCGTGGAAATCAGAAATGTTTATACAGGTGTCAGATCAGAATTTTTAAGAGTTATCTTTCAGTGAAATTTTATAACAGTTTCAGTGAATAGAGAAAAAATTCTGAACTGATCATAATGAGTTAAAAGTTAGCTTTTCACTTATGAATCATGGGAGTGTTAACTGTTAACTCTTGCCGTATCAGGAGACTGAAAGTTCATACTAATTTACAAACTTTGTAAAGACTGGTGCTGTTCATTCATATTGGGAAGAACCCTTTCTTTTGTGACCATAGGACCATTTTTCAAAATGCGCTTTCTTCGTAGAAGAAATGTTCAGTTTAATTAGCTTTGGATTTTAACATGTTTTTCTGAATGACCAGATGTAGGCTTAGCCAGTTTATTTTCTCTAATTTAATGGATAATAAATATTAAGCTCTTGGTTAAATGTTTTTCAGCCATTGAAAATGTTATGAAAAAGCCTTGAATATGCATGCTGCTTTCATTTTTATAAACTTTTTATTTTTTAACTATAGCTTTATTAGTAATTCCAAAATGCTGCAATGTAGCTGATTTCCTCACTCAGACAGCTGGCTTTGTGGGTGGCTTTTTTCATACTACTGTTAACTTTTTTAAAAAAGAAGCAATGTAAAGACCGTAATGCACTAAGCTTTTTTTTTTTCTTTTACACGTTTAAAAACTTCTTAAAGCACTCTGTAATATAATGATTAAATTGCTCCCTTTTATAAACATTGCTAATGTGGTCTGAGTTTTGTTTGACAATAATTTTAATGTTCTCAAAATTTGAAATGTCAAGTATTAGAAATGAAGCCTTTGAATATAGTTGTTTCCCTTGCAATATGTTAACTCTGTGTAGCTGTATATAACTATTAATTTCCCTCATCTCTTTTATAGGCCTGATAAAACTCTTCTCTGACGTTTGCTAGCTTTTAAATATATTTATTTGACAGAGCAAAAGAACCCTCTTCTGGTTGATTGTGACCTTGAATACAAAATAAAAGTAGTGATTAGTAGTTTACAGTGACCTTTTTTTTTTCATTTTATTAACAAAGTCAATTTTTAAAACATTGTGGTAAAATATATATCACATACTATTTGCCATTATACCAGTTTTTAAGTGTAAATTCAATGGCATTAATTATATTCACAGTGCTGCACCACCTTCACCACTTTTCCAAAAGTTTTTCATCACCCCAGACAGAAACTCGGAACCATTAAGCAATAACTCCCCATTCCTCCCAGCCCCTGGTAACCTCTAATCTACTTTTTGTCTCTATGAATTTGTGTATTCTTGATATTTCAAAGAAGTAGAATCCTAAAATATTTGCCCTTTTGTGTCTGGCTTATTTTAACTTATAATGTTTTCAAGTTCATCCATGTTTTAGCGTATATCAAGACTTTGTTTCTTTTCATGGCTGATTTATGTTTTATTGTGTGTGTGTGTGTGTGTTTGTCTGTACACGTGCACTTCCTCCCACACACATTTTGTTTATCCATGTATCTGTTGATGGAAACTTGTTTTTTTCCCGCCTTTTGGCAATTGTGAATAATGCTGCGGTGAACATTGGTATACAAGGATCTGAGTACCCATTTTCAGTTCTTTTGAGTATATCAAGGAGTAGTATTCCTGAATCATGTGGTATTCTGTGTTTAATTTGTTGAGGAACCACCAAACTCTTCCACAGTGCTAAAATGTTCTCTGAAGCATCTGTACCATTTTACGTTCCACTAGCAATATACAAGCATTCCAGTTTCTCCACATTTTTGCCAACACCTTTCATTTTCAGTTTTAAAAAGTGATTATAAGCCCAGTGCGATGGTCTGTGTCTGTAGTCCCAGCTACCAGGGAGGCTGAGGTGGGAGGATCACTTGAGCCTAGGTATTTGAGGCCAGTGAGAGCAATATAGTGAGACCCCATCTCTAAAAATAAAATAATAAAAATTATAACCATCCTAGTAAGTATGAAGTGGTGTCTCATTGTGGTTTTGATTTGTGTTTCCCTAATGATGAGTGATAATGTCATTAGGAAAATGCAAATCAAAACTACATCTTTTCACATAATTATTTGTATATCTTCCTTTGAATATATTGAAAGTTTGTTCAATCCTTTGCCCAGTTTTTAATTGGGTTGCCTTTTTGTTGCTGAGTTTTAGTTCTTTATATATTCTGGATGTTACAGCTTTATCAGATACAGTTGCTTCTTGACTTAGAATGGGGTTTGTCCTGATAAACCCATTGTAAGTTAAAATTTTTGTAAGTTGAAAATCCATTTAATACCCTGATGAACTCACCATAAACTTGAACTATCATAAACTATTACTATTTTTTGAGACAGAGTCTCTGTTGCCCAGGCTGGAGTGCAGTGGCACCATCTTAGTTCACTGCAACCTCTGCCTCCTTGGTTCAAGCGATTCTCATGCCTCAGCCTCCCAAGTAGCTGGGATTACAGGTGCCCGCCACCATGCCCATCTAATTTTTATATTTTTAGTAGAGACGGGGTTTCACCATGTTGGCCAGATTGGTCTCAAACTCCTGACCTCAGGTGATCCACCCACCTCAGCCTCCCAAAGTGCCAGGATTACAGGCATGAGCCACTGCACCTGGTCACAATCATAAATTATAAATCCATGTGTTTCTCAGTTTACTATGGGGTTAGGTTACCATGGGATTATGTGTTAGTAAATCCATCTTAAGTCCATCATAAGTTGGGGACTGTCTGTATTATGATTTGCAAATAAGTTGATCCTCATTATGGATTCTGTATATGCAAATTTGCCTACACATTAAAATGTATTTGTAACCCCCAAATCAGTATTCATAGTACTTCCTTGGTCATTCCTGCACATGTACAGAATGGCAACAAAAAGATGTTCCCAGCAAAGGTCAACCAAAGAGATGCTTTGCCTTGTTTCAGGTCTCATACTGTAGAGAAGTGTGTGTGTGTGTGTGTGTGTGTGTGTGTGTGTGTGTGTGTCCATAGGAATGAAAAAGCATCCTTTTGTAGTCTATTTAGTGCTGTGTTTTCCATATTTTTCTGCTTTCTGCAGTTTAAAATGGTCCCAAGTGTAGTGCTGAAGTGTTGTCAGTGTTTCTAAATATTAGAAGGCTGTCATGTGCCCTATGGAGAAAATATGCGTTAGATAAGCTTCATTCAGGCATGAGTTACAGTGCTGTTAGTCATGAGTTCAGTGTTAATCAATCAACAGTATTAAATAAGGTGTCTTTAAACAGAAAAATACAAAACATGGTGATGTTTTGATTGATTGATAAATATATTGTGACCAGAGGCTCCCAGGACCCTAACCCTAGGAGCATGTGTTCAGGATTTGCTAATTCAGTGTGACTTTATAGAATGTAATAACTGTGAATAATGAGAATTAGCTGTATTTTTCCCATTCTGTAGGCTGTATTTTCATTTTCTTGATAATGTCATTGATGCACAAAAAAGTTTTTAAGTTTTCCGAAGCCCAGTTTATCTATTTTTGTTGTTGTTGCTTGTGCTTTTGGTGTGATAGCTAAGAATCTATTATCAGGCTGGGCGCAGTGGCTCACACCTGTAATCCCAACGCTTTGGGAGGCCAAGGCAGGTGGATCACCTGAGGTGGAATTCAAAACCAGCCTGGCCAACATGGCAAAACCCTGTCTCTACAAATATAAAAAAATTAGCTAGGTGTGGTGGCACACTCCTGTAATCCCAGCTACTCAGTAGGCTGAGGCAGGAGAATCACTTGAACCCAGGAGGTGAAGGTTGCAGTGAGCTGAGATCGCACCACTGCACTCCAGCCTGGGTGATAAACCGAGACTCTGTCTCAAAAAAAAAAAAAAAAAAATCTGTTACCAAATTCAAGGTCATGAATAATTTTCTTCTAAGGGTTTTATGATTTTTAGCTCTTATATTTAGGTTATTAATCCATTCTGAGTTAATTTCTTAATATGGTGCGAGGCAGGGGTCCAACTTCATTCTTTTGCATGTGGTAATCCAATTGTCCTAGCATCATCTGTTGAAGCAATTATTCTTTCCCCCATTGAATGGACTTGGAACGCTTGTCAAAAACCAATTGGCTATAAATGTGTGAAGGTTTATTTCTGGACTCTTAGTTCTGTTCCATTGGTCGATATTTCTATCCTTATGCCAGTACCACACTGTTTTAATTACTGTAGCTCTGTGGTAAGCTCAGGCTAGAGAGGCCGTGTTTGGGATGTGTACAGACAAGGCAGAGAAAGCCATTCTGCCTAGACAAACAGAATAAATGAGAGTACCTAAGGTGCTAGAATATGGGGCAGGCAGAACCAGCCAGTGACAGACAGTTCTCCAAGTCTCCATGAAGCTCTGCCATTTTGTTTTTGGGGGATATTTAACAACATGTCAAATAAAGTTAACTTTGAACTGATCTGCTCACTGCCTGGGACTTTAGACAAGTTACCTCTCAGATCCTATTAATATTTCCTCATCTATAAAAATGGGAATAATAGTATCTAAACTCAGAGAGATTATGAGAATAAATAAAAACAATAGGGTGCCCATAGCATGACCTCATTATAGATGCTCAATAAGTGTTGGTTCTTTCCCTCCCCTACTTGCAGATAGGACATGAACAACTGACTTAGAACTGAGAAGTGCTCCTCTGTTCCTTTTGCCATTTCCTGGTCCTCTCTCTCTCTCTCTCTTTTTTTTTTTTTTGAGATGTAGTTTCGCTCTTGTTTCCTAGGCTGGAGTGCAGTGGTGTGATCTCAGCTCACCGCAACCTCTGCCTCCTGGGTTCAAGCGATTCTCCTGCCTAAGCCTCCTGAGAAGCTGGGATCACAGGCATGTGCCACCACGCCTGGCTAATTTTGTATTTTTAGTAGAGATGGGGTTTCTCCATGTTGGTCACACTGGTCTTGAACTCCCTATCTCAGGTGATCCGCCCGCCTCAGCCTCCCAAAGTGCTGGGATTACAGGCGTGAGCCACCTTGCCCGGCTCCTTTCTTTCATTTACCCATTCACCCATCCATTCAACAGGATTTGGATCTCCATAAATCAAAAAAACACATTTATTGCGGTGGTCTGGGCCAATCCCTGACTGGGGGCTGAGTTGACAAGAGTGAAAAAGACACCACCTCTAACCTCCAACAGTCCACAGAGTGCTAAATGCCACCGTGGATGGATAGAAGCATGGAAGAATTACAGGAAAGAAGGAGGGCTGCCTGGAGGAGGTGCTGGTTACCTTGTGATGGGGAACTCAATCAGTCACCTCAATCAAAAATCAGATTTTTATAGATAAAATTCTACAGAAACAGGTTTTAATCACAACCACACAATTTTGGATACTTGCAGAATTCCAGTTTCCTAACACTGCCTAACACTTGGCATTTCCTTAGTGTATAAGGTGGATTTAACAGTCACAGAGCATATAATACCCTTCTATTTTATTGGTTTACTTTTGAAAAATGACATTACCCTAGCGCCTCTCTATCAAATGAGGCAGTGGTGTGTAACTTGGGGTCCCAGACCCCTGGTCCTCAGTAGTGATAGGAGTCTTTGAAGTGTTTTCATTATTGCCAGAGGTCCGATGCTAATCATATTTTACCTTTCTTCAGGCTTCCCAGGGCCCTAAGAGCTGGTGCTTTGCTTTCAAGTGGAATTCTAATGTACAATGAGGCCATGCCAGTAGACTCAGGCTGGGTAGAAGTTTGGATTGGCTGTTATATAGGATCTGGATTCTATTTTTTAAAGGAAAAATAATTATTAGCTAATAAATGCAGTTTTATTTTATATAGAAATCCTCCACAACTTTCAGGGAGAAACTGAAAGGGTCATTAGTGGTAAAAAGGCTGGAAACACCCGAGCCCAGGAATCCTGAGTCTAAAGGGCAAATAACTACCTTTTATCCATAAGCACCCTAACACTTCCTGACCGTTTCAGCAGAAAAAAAAATTTTTTTTTTTTTGAGGCGGAGTTTCGCTCTTGTTGCCCAGGCTGGAGTGCAATGGTGTGATCTCAGCTCCCGCAACCTCCGCCCCCCAAGTTCACGGGATTCTCCTGCCTCAGCCTCCCAAGTAGCTGGGATTACAGGCATGCACCACCACACACTGCTAATTTTGTATTTTTAGTAGAGATGGGGTTTCTCCATGTTGGCCAGGCTGGTCTCGAACTCCCGACCTCAGGTGATCCACCAGCCTTGGCCTCCCAAAGTGCTGGGATTACAGGCGTGAGCCACCACTCCCGGCCAGAAAAATGTTCTTAAGTGGATCTTGATGAATTCATTCATCAGTAACTAATGCCTGGAGGCTGTTCAGCTGGAGCCTCCCACCTGAGGCTGCTGGATAAATGAGCTGGTTCTAGATTTTGGCAATAATTAGCAGAGAGATGGATTCTGAAACCTGGGGGAGTGGATTAGGTGAGTTTGTGGAGGAAAAAGTTGGGTTGAAGAAAGAACGCTGAACCTGGTCAACATGAAAGAACCCCTCTCTACTGAAAATACAAAAAAGTAGCAGTGTGTGGTGGCCCGCGGGAGGCTGAGGTGGGAGGATGGCTTGAGCCAAGGAGGTTGAGGACGCAGTGAGCCGAAATTGCGCCTCTGCACCCCAGCCTGGGCGACAGAGCGAGACCCTGTCTCAGAAATAAATAAACAGATAAAATTTTAAAAAAGAAACCTGGAAGACAGATAAATGGTGGAAGAGAAACTGGTGAGAGTGAAGAGGAACAGGAAAAAAATCGGGGAAAACCTTTATGTTTATTTCCTACTGTGTAATATGGCACAATATTGTGCTGTACAGTATTGGCCAGCATTTTGTCAACAATCTTTACTTTCTAGAGTCAAGAAATATCTTAAAAGTATAAGAATTGTAGTAAATGTTAGTCTTAGAATTTTGAGATTTGGTGTTCTCCAGGTCGAATGAATGCTCCCTGATCTAGCCTCCCACGGTATATTTCTGTGTCTTTTCTTTCATAAATGCGTGAATGACTCCGGTCTTTGTTATTGGTGGTAGTGTCTCTTGTCCGGAAGCACGGAGAGTACGCATTCATTTCTGTATTTCCCAAGTTTCAGCCACATAATGACCGAAACTTAACAAGTTACTTAACCTCTCCAAACTCCAATATCTTCAAAATAGGATTTGCAAAATGGGAATCACTTTGGCTTTCATAAGGTGGTTGTTAGCCGAAAAGAAAAAATGTGCTTAACACAGTGACGGGAATGCACAGTGGTTGACAATTGGTACTTGCACCGGGCTTAGTGGCTCACGCCTATAATCCCAGCACTTTGGGAGAACGAGGTGGGCGGATCGCTTGAGATCAGGTTCGAGACCAGCCTGGGCAACGTAGGGAAACCCAGTCTCCACAAAAAATACACAAGTTAGACGGTCATGGTGGCGCGCGCCTGTAGCCCCAGCTACTTGGGGGACTGAGGCGGGATGATAGGTTGAGTCTGGGAGTTCGAGGCTGCAGTGAGCCATGATCTCACCACTGCACTCCAACCTGGGCGACAGAGCGAGACCCTGTCTCGAAATTATTTTATTTATTTTATTTTATTTTATTTTTTATTTTGAGACGAAGTTTCACTCTTGTTGCCTAGGCTGGAGTGCAATGATGCGATCTTGGCTCACCGCAACCTCCGCCTCCCGGGTTCAAGCGATTCTCCTGCCTCAGCCTACCGAGTAGCTGGGATTACAGGCGCGCGCCACTACGGCCGGCTAATTTTTGTATTTTCAGTACAGACCTGGTTACTCAATGTTGGTCAGGCTGGTCTCGAACTCCCGACCTCAAGTGATCCGCCCACCTTGGCCTCCCAAAGTGCTGGGATTACAGGCTTGAGCCACCGCGCCCGGCCTCTTATTTTAATTTTTAAAAAGGTACCTGCGAGTTTTAAACAGCTACTCTGGGGCCAGCGTGCTTTTTGATGCGTGCAGGTAAGGATCATTCTGTCCATCTCCTGACACAGAGAAGTCAAAACCTCCGTCCTGGGGTTCGGTCAGTTAGTGGGTCAGATAATCATCTCAGCTCAACCACTACTCCCAACCAGCAGCGGCCACGTCCCCGCGTCGCCCTCAAAGACTACAAGTCCCAGCGTGCCGCGCTCTGGGCCGTGGAAGCCCCGCCTTTTCCGGCGGGCCCCGCTTCCTCGTTGCCCCCGCCGCGGGCGCGAGATGGATTCCGGGTGCTGGTTGTTCGGCGGCGAGTTCGAGGACTCGGTGTTCGAGGAGAGGCCGGAGCGGCGGTCAGGACCGCCCGCGTCCTACTGCGCCAAGCTCTGCGAGCCGCAGGTGAGAAGCTGGGGCCTCTTCGCCTTATCCCGGGCCCCAGGCCTCGCCCTCCGCGGGGCCCCGGCCCCGGCCTCGGCCCCTCCGTCCGCGCGAACGCAAACCCTGGCAGGCTCCAGCGCCCGCCGCGTCCCCCGCCGTCCCTCCTCCTCCACGGGGAAGCGGCTTTCCCAGGCCCCATTCCGGGTCCATGGGCGAGAATCCCCGCGTTGTAAGCGGCTTGACTCCCACTTGGCATTTGGCCGGCCTGGCTGCTGCCGGCTGGTCTCAACGCCCCTGCCCTGCAATCTCCGGTACCTCCCGTTTGTCTTCACTGCTCTTACAGCTGGGCAGTCAGGCCTCCCAAAACGGTGACCTCCGGCAAACCCACTCTCCCCTCCCTCTTCGGCGAGCTCCCCCTGCCCGTACCAACCCCGCGCTGATGGTTAAAGTCCTTCAGTTATATCCGTTTTTCAAGGCACATCTTAAATGTCATCTCCTCTAGGAAGTCTTTTCTGATTTCGTCTTCCAGCCAAATATTTTTGTCTTTGGCCCCCTTCCCTCTATTTAGCTTCTACTTAAAGCACTTGTCAGTATTCCCACAAAGTCCTGAGACCCGGAGTGCTAAATGATCGCACCAGCATGGGTTCTTGATGCCCTTGGCAGTGCCTAACAGTTTTTATTAATAATAGTGACTCCGCGAATATTTTTGAATTAGTAGAGTATTACTTCCTATTCTTTCATGAGTGTAAATAGTTCATCAGTCAAAACTAATATTTATGGAAAATACGGAAGTGTTCCGGGCACTGTGGTGGGTTCCTTCGCATATACTGTCTCATTCGTTCCTCACAATTGTACTGACAAGATGCCAGGCACTCGATAATTACTGAATTGTGTTTTTGGTTATTTCAGTTGCATTTTCTCCTTATCACATACGATCTTTCAAAGTTACCTTCAGCCCTGGATCATGTAGACTCAAAACAGGGATTGGGCTTGGAAATCATGTGGCAGAACATTAAAAAAACTCTGGTTATGAGATAGGACTCTTGAATTCCAGTGTTGGCTTTAACCACTTGCCTTGAAGGTGTCAGCTCCTTATTTGTCCCTTCAGAAAAATAATACATGCTGGCTCACAGAGTTATCGTGGGAGTGAAATGAGATAATGTATATGAAAATACTTTGTCAGATCTGATGTGCTGTACAGGTGCATAGAATTTAATATAAATTCTAAAATGAAGTGATTTTTTTCTTTTCTTTTTTTTTTTTTTGAGGTGGAGTTTGTTGCCCATGCTGGAGTGCAGTGGCGCGATCTCGGGTCACCCCAACCTCCACCTCCCGGGTTAAAGCGATTCTCCTGCCTCAGCCTCCCAGCTAGCTGGGATTACAGACGTGTGCCACCATGCCGGCCTAATTTTGTATTTTTAGTAGAGACAGGGTTTCTCTACTGTTGTTAGCCAGGCTGGTCTCAAACTCCTAACCTCAAGTGATCTGCCCGCCTCGGCCTCCCAAATTGCTGGGATTACAGGTGTAAGCCACTGCCTTTCCCTACGTTATTTATTCAATAGTCAAGCAATCTCAGTCTCACTTTCCTTTTTATCCATAGGATTTAAATCAGTAGAAAAGCAAATAAAGTATCCTAGATGGGCATTTCCTCAGACTTCTCTCCTACAGGTTTTTGGTATTTGGTTGCATTGGAGCCTCCTTCTAGCCTTAATTTCTGTCTCCTTTGCTGAAATTCTAGTTTTTTGCCATTATGACATTTTCATAATAGCACCATATCTATAATTCTTCTTTCCTATGTCCTTTCAGTAAAGAATTGTCAATCCCTATTCCAGTCACACTAAAGTTTATCTACAAGAAAGCATGTCTCATTTTAAAGAACCAATGTGGGCTGGGTGCGGTGGCTCACACCTGTAATCCCAGCACTTTGGGAGGCCAAGGTGGGCAGAGGCAGGATCACTTGTGCTCAGGAGTTCAAGACTAACCTGGCCAGACTCTTGAAGAAGTCTTTTTTTGACGTTTAATCAATTATATTATGGGAAATTGCTTCTGAATATGAGGTGGAAAAGCATAGCTCACTCTGTAATAGGCTATTTTCATGATTTCAAGTGGTTTTATGAAGAAACAGAAAGCAGTGATGATGTTGAAGTGCTGACTCTCAAGAAATTCAAAGGAGACCTGGCCTACAGACGACAAGAGTATCAGGTAGAATTCAACATATGGTGCTTGAAGTGGGCTCTTGTTTTATCAGTTATGGCATATGTAAATAACAGTGTACCAAGTTAGTGTGGTGTTTATGAAGATGAGTTTAATCTTTTGTGATGTGTGTTTATAATCTGAGGCTCCCAAGTTTCCGTTCTTTTCTGCTTGGCTCTGTATGATTTGTTTGTTTTCTGTAACTCCAACAAAAGGATCTCTTTGGGGTCCTTGTCCTTGTAGGTTTATTCCTCAAGGTTCTGAATCTCCTCATTACTTAGGACCCTCTAGCACAGACATTTCACAGTGCCACAGGAGCAAATCACCCCAAAATGTATAAGAAAAAGAACTAACAACTAGATGTTAGATTGCGTTACATATGTATCTCATTTCATCTGCATGAGAATCCTGTTTTTATTTTGCTGATGAAAAGGTTATAAAGTAAGTTAGTGGCAATACCAGAATTCAAAGCCTAGTATATTTGGTCCCAGAATGTTCTTTCTGCTATATCATGATGCTTTCCATAGTAGTAGTGATTATATTCTCTAGCCATTCCTTCTCTACCTTTTAGGAAAGTAGGATTGACTAGATGTATTAGTCCATTTCCATACTGCCATGAAGAAATACCCAAGACTAGATAATTTATTTAAAAAAAAAAAGGTTTAATGGACTCACAGTTCTACATGGCTGGGGAGGCCTCACAATCATGGCAGAAGGTGAAGGAGGAGCAAAGTCACGTCTTACATGGCGGCAGGCAAAGAGAGTGTGTGCAGGGGAACTGCCTTTTATGAAACTATCAGATCTCCTGAGACTAACTACCATGAGAATAGCATGGGAAAAACCCACCCCCATGATTCAGTTACCTCCCACCAGGTCCCTCCCACAACATGTGGGGGTTATGGGAGCTGCAATTTAAGATGAGATTTGGGTGGGGACACAGCTAAACCATATCACTAGAATAGTGAAATCTTCTTTAATTCATTTAAATATTCATGTAATTCATTGGTCAGTTATAACATTACTTTCCACCTAGGAAAAAAAATCACCCCTATTCTGAATCCTTTTTTCTGTTATGTTTTCCTCCTTTCATTTCTTTATTTAACAAATAATTTCCAGAAAGCACTGCAGGAGTATTCCAGTATCTCTGAAAAATTGTCATCAACCAATTTTGCCATGAAAAGGGATGTCCAGGAAGGTCAGGCTCGGTGTCTGGCTCACCTGGGTAGGCATATGGAGGCGCTGGAGATTGCTGCAAACTTGGTGAGTGATTTTATTGCTTATTTTCACACACATTCCTATAAGGGTGGTCGAATGGTGTATTTTTTGAAAACAAAACAAACTTCTTGCTAGTAGCAAAATCTATGGGTTTGGATAAGCAGAAGAAAATTGTCAGGGGTGTGAGAGTTTTATTATGATGAACAACTTGGAACCTAGACATAATCATTTTCTTGTAATATTTTTCTTGTGTCATGCTCAAAATTCTGTATTGCCTGAAAATCTCCTTTGCAGAGGTTTTTCTCTTGTTAGGAGTAACATTCAGTGTGGAAGGACTATGAGTGATCTGTTTTCTTCGTTAGATTGTTTTTAGACGTTGTTCTCCAAAATTTCTACAATGAACAGTATTTTTCTAAGCCAAAAAAGGTCCCCCCCCCAAAATGACTAAATACTCATTACCAAGCCACACTTAGTAGTCCTTTTTATTTTTAAGTGGAATTTGCAGAATTTTTTTTTCTTTTTCCTTTTCCCCAGTCAACGAAAGGGACACTTTATGACACTTTATTGAGGCCCCAGGGCCATGAGGCCTGGGCAGGACGCCGCTCTTTGGGGAAGGAAGAGCCTTCTTTGTCCTTCGTCTTGGGGTACAGGTTGTTGGTGTGGCCGCGCTTCTTGCGGGAGTTGACAGCACGGGGTGGTGCAGGCGGGCACAGCACTTGCGGCAGATCATCTTGTTGTAGTTGTATTTCTGGGCGAGCTGGCGGAGGGAAGGCTCAGTAATGCCACCTCGCAGGCGCAGCACCAGGTGCAGGGTGGACTCCTTCTGGATGTTGTAGTCTGAGAGAGTGCGGCCATCCTCCAGCTGTTTGCCCGCAAGTATCAGACGCTGCTGGTCAGGTGGGATGCCCTCCTTGTCCTGAATTTTGGCGTTGCTGGGCTCGATCTCAAGGGTGATGGTCTTGCCTGTGAGGGTCTTCACAAAGATCTGCATCTCTGCATCTGGAGCTCGGCAGCCTCGCTGAAGAAAAAGGGAATTTTTCTTTCTTTTTTTTTTTTTTTGAGACAGAGTCTCACTCTGTCACCCAGGCTGGAGTGCAGTGGAGTGATCCCGGCTTGCCGCAACCTCCGCCTCCCGGATTCAAACGATTCTCCTGCCTCAGCCTCCTGAGTAGCTAGGATTACAGGCATGCACCACCACGCCCAGCTAATTTTTGTATTTTTAGTAGAGACGAGGTTTCACCATGTTGGTCAGGCTGGTCTCAAACTGACCTTGTGATCCGCCCGCCTCGGCCTCCCAAAGTGCTGGGATTATAGGCGTGAGCCACTGCACCCGGCCTTCTTTTTCTTTAAAAAAAAATTTTATTGCCTTTTTCCACACATTCTAAAGCGGAATTTTTTTTTAAGGGATAAAGAAAGGTAGTTCTTTCCAGTTCTAGATTTTATTGCTTTTGTTTCTAGGTTAAGGCATTATTTGTATTGATTGTTGTGTAAATTTTATATGGGAATTAGTCTAAATGGACTAGTTTTCTTCCTCGGAGGAAATTAAGGAGACACTGTGGCACCGATTTTGAGCTTTGTGGATGTACCGCCCAGCGATCAGATCAGCCTAACGTATGCACACAATTGAGCTGACATCTGCCATCTCATTAACTAAGAGAAATCCCTAACCTTTGTTTGCTTAAGCCTTCACTGCATAGGACCTCAGCCTCTTGCAATTCGAGGAAACTTTGGCAGTAATTGTTCTAAGAACATGGAAAACAGCTGTGTTTTGTTCTTTCTTTTCTGTTCTCTACTAATTGGGGGTTAGTGCTTAAGCTGAAAGATAGATAAATCGACTTCCTAAGCGTTTGCATGAGCAGTTAACTTGATGGGATTTCATTGTGTTCATTTCTAGTCTTCCCCAGTCCGCAAATTAACAGTGCTCTTGGCCCTTCCGGTGCCTTTCTGTAGCCTTTACTACTGTCCTGCTCGCTCGGCGTTTCTTGCACGTCACTGTTGTGCTTCCTCCTCCTCCTCTTTGATTGTTGAAGGTAGTGGCAGCTGGATTCCTGGCAGGGGTTGGGTCATCTCTGGTTCCTTCTAGCTTAGGGAATCTGTTTCGGTGGCTCAGAGAAGGATCTGTTGCCAATCAGCCGATGCCAGGTCTCCGGTGCTGGGGATGGTTACTAGGCAGGAGAAACACCAGTCAGAAAACCCTGGACTTTCAGAACTGTGCATCAGGCGTCCTGGCAACCTGTTGGGCAGGACTGTCAGGTGGAAAGCGGGCTCGTGGGGTTCGCCCCTTTCTGTCGGCTTCACACATGATCTCAGCGGACCTTGCGTGTCTGCACGGCATTCTCATTTCCTGGTAAGCTGTGTTTTGTTTTGTTTTTTAAAATTTCTTCTCTACCTGAGGACCCTCGCCTTTTGTTACTAGCTCTGGCCCATATCTGTTTTTTTGTGACGGTGGTTACTGTCTTTTCACATTCTGTAGGGGGACCTGTCGCAGTATGTAACATTGAACAAAATAGACAGCAAGTCCCGGGGTGGCCATCAAGATTCGAACATTTTCTGTTCACAATTTCTGCTGAAATTCATTCACCTCTTTTCATGATTTTTGGATAAAATTTATAGTAGGACTTATTTCTTAAATAATTACAACATTTTCTTATAGTGGTTGGTATTCCTGTGTGGTAACTGTGGTAAGAAAATGGCTTTCTGGTAGTAAGTGACTCCTTTTCATTTATCCACTCAGCACTCAACAAACATTTCAGTCCTACTATTTTCCTGGTTCTGGGTTCGATGCTAAGGAGACAAACAATATATCGTGTACATGCAGTGCTCATCTAGTGTCTGGTCGGTTTAGCCAGCGCACATATACATCAGCTCTTTTTTTCTTTTTGAGATGGAGTCTTGCTCTGTTGCCCAGGCTGGAGTGCAGTGGTGCGATCTTGGCTCACTGCAGCCTCCTCCTCCCAGGTTCAAGCAATTCACCTGTCTCAGCCACCCAAGTAGCTGGGATTATAGGCATGTGTCACCACACCTGGCTACATTTTTTTTTGTTTTTTTGTTTTTGTTTTTGTTTTTTTGTTTTTTAGATGGAGTCTCGCACTGTCGCCCAGGCTGGAGTGCAGTGGCGCGATCTTGGCTCACTGCAACCTCCGCCTCCTGGGTTCAAGCGATTCACCTGTCTCAGCCACCCAAGTAGCTGGGATTAGAGGTGCCCGCCACCACATCTGGCTAATTTTTTGTATTTTAGTAGAGACGGGGTTTCATCATGTTGTCCAGTCTGGTCTCGAACTCCTGAGCTCAGGCAGTCCACCCGCCTCAGCCTCCCGAAGTACTAGGATTATAGGGATGAGCCAATGCGCCCAGCCTTTTTTGTATTTTTAATAGAGACAGGGTTTCACCATGTTGGCCAGGCTGATCTTGAACTCCTGACCTCAAGTGATCTGCCCACCTCGGCTTCCCAAAGTGCTGAGATTACAGGGGTGAGCCACCTTGCCTGGCCATATCAGCTCTTCGTAAGTACCTTTTATTCCTTGACTTTTAGTATAACTGACTGTAGCTCTCCTGCTTACCAGCCACGTTATGGCAGGCAAGTTATCTAACCTCTCTGTGACCCAGTTGCCTTATCTGTAACATAAGGAAAATTACTGAATCTATTTTAAAGCACTGTCAGGAGGATTAAATGAGGAAAACACTTAGAATAGTGCCTGGCACTGCGTAAACACTCAGTAAATGTTAACTGTCATCATCATGTTATTGTTACAGAAAGAGTTGCAGTATTCTGGAAAAATCACTCACTCATTTAAATAGATTTTTTTTTTTTTTTTGAGATGAAGTCTCGTTCTGTTGCCCAGGCTGGAGTGCAGTGGCATGATCTTGGCTCACTGCAAGCTCTGCCTCCCGGGTTCATGCCATTCTCCTGCCTCAACCTCCTGAGTAGCTAGGACTACAGGTGCCCGCCACCACACCTAGCTAATTTTTTGTATTTTTAGTAGAGATGGGGTTTCGCCATGTTAGCCAGGATGGTCTCGATCTCCTGAACTCATGATCCGCCCGCCTTGGCCTCCCAAAGTGCTGGGATTACAGATGTGAGCCACCACGCCCGGCCTAAATAGAATTTAATTTCCAGAAGGAGTTTACTAATCCACCTCTCAAAACCCTACTATTGACAGGGCGCAGTGGCTCATGCCTGTATTCCCAGCACTTTGGGAGGCCGAGGTGGGCGAAGGTCAGGAGTTCAAGACCAGCCTGGCCAACATGGTGAAACCGCATCCCTAATAACAATTTTAAAAACTCTCTTGGTGTGGTGGTGGGCACCTGTAGTCCCAGCTACTTGGGAGGTTGAGGTGGGAGGACTGCTTGAACCTGGGAGGTGGAGATTGCAGTGAGTCGAGATCACGCCACTGCACTCCAGCCTGGGCAAAAGAATGAGACTCCATCTCAAACAAACAAAACCCTGTCATCAGGATCATAGTTTGTGAGTAACAGCCTCCACCCTAACACACACTTGCTTTATCAATATCAAAATGTTTTTGAGGCTGGGCACAGTGGTTCATGCCTGTAAGCCCAGCACTTTCAGAGGCCGAAGGGGGTGGATCACTTGAGGTCAGGAGTTCGAGACCAGCCTGGCCAACATGGCAAAACCCTGTCTTTACTTTATGCAAAAATTAGCTGGGTGTGGTGGCAGGCACCCGTCATCCCAGCTACTCCGGAGGCTGAGGCAGGAGGATTGCTTGAACCAGGGAGGCAGAGGTTGCGGTGAGCTGAGATCGCACCATTGCACTCCAGCCTGGGCGACGAGAGCGAAACTCTGTCTCAAAAAAAAAAAAAGTTTTTGAACAATATAAAGCCCTATAGACTGGTTACAGAAGAAGGGTAGCATTTGTTACAGATGTAGTCTATACATGTTGTTTTCCTTATAAATGACATGATTTGACTTTAGAAAAGTCATTACTCAAACGTGATTTAACATCTGTGATGGCCGAGGAGCTGTGCTCTGTACTAGGAATTTACATTGAACAAAAGCTCTTATGGAGCTAAATGGTCTGTTGGGAAGGACAGATGCTGAACAATAGTAACAATAAAACGAGATGTGTTCTGTCTTTGGGAAGGTACAGTGTCAGCAAATCAGTCGTATGGGGCTTTATCTCCTATCTTTTCACTCAATGTGGGAATATTTAGAGCTGCCCGCAGGCCTTCACTTGCTGGTGTACAGTTTCCTGGGGCCGTACACCAGGTAGTTTTGCTCATGTTTCATGCTCAGTGTGGTTCTGTGAGGGAGCCTGATCTGGACGCTTGCAGGCCAGGCTTTCCTTAGACCTCACATCAACTTGAAGGTAATTTGAGTCTGCCATCTGCTCTCCGCAAACTTCAACTTACAAAAAGCAGGCCTGTTTTTACTAACCCAGAGGACATTTGCCATATGGCAAGTTAGGCAAGAGATGTTGGCGCTGGTTAAGGAGATTTGAAAAGGATTTTCTGATCAAAAGGAAACTAAGCAACCCCTTTTGGCCAAAAATTATAATTGACCTTGGTAATGGTTACCAGGGAAGGCATTTGGATTCAATTAGAATGCGTCATGAAGCATGGAGAGCTTCAGGGCTATCCTGTTTAAAATGTCTAAGCCAAATAAAATTTGGAAGTGGAGTTTGTTCAAATCCTCAAGGAAATTACCATTTGGATTTTTAGAAAGCCTTGAATATTACAATGGAATCATTAGGCCAGGATCTAAGAAAAGTGGCTGGGTCTTTCAGATACCTGGCTGAAGACAGTAAAGATTATAATAAAAATTGGAAATAAATGGATATTTATGTTTTTGATGCTGAACATTTGGCAGGCCACCATCTAGGAATTGTTAAGTTATTATGACATTAGGATGTTTGGGAATGGCTGGTGACTCTTTCTCTAGGTAGCATATATCTCTCTGGGTTTACGGTTTCAAACATGAGATATATTGAAATATATTTAGGTCACTCGTATAGCTACTGAAAGATACTTCTAATTTATAACATATACAACTTGGTTTTTTAGGCATTCTCATTTTATATGGAAAATGCTTTGAAGTTTAAACTTCTTAACCTTTTTTTTTTCTCCTTAGGAAAATAAAGCAACCAACACAGACCATTTAACCACGGTACTCTACCTCCAGCTTGCTATTTGTTCAAGTTTGCAGAACTTGGAGAAAACAATTTTCTGCCTGCAGAAACTGATTTCTTTGCATCCTTTTAATCCTTGGAACTGGGGCAAATTGGCAGAGGCTTACCTGAATCTGGGGCCAGCTCTTTCAGCAGCACTTGCGTCATCTCAGAAACAGCACAGTTTCACCTCAAGTGACAAAACTATCAAATCCTTCTTTCCACACTCAGGAAAAGACTGTCTTTTGTGTTTTCCTGAAACCTTGCCTGAGAGCTCTTTATTTTCTGTGGAAGCGAATAGCAGTAATAGCCAGAAAAATGAGAAAGCTCTGACAAATATCCAAAACTGTATGGCAGAAAAGAGAGAAACAGTGTTGATAGAGACTCAGCTGAAAGCATGTGCCTCTTTTATACGAACCAGGTAAGCTGAGAGTCACTTAAGCAACGCTTGGTAATCAGCTCAGAGTAAAGGCTTTATTTTCTAATTTTAAGCTTCAAAAAGTTCTAGGCTAGACATTTGGTATATATTTTTGAAATTTTCCTATGGTTGTGTTGAACGTTTGTCATTCTAGTGTGTAATACTTGGAAACAAAACTACATTTGTTTAAGAATACAACCTGTGTTAGCTGGTGTGGTAGCACATACCTGTAATCCCAGCATTTTGGGAGGCTGAGGCAGGTGGATCGTTTGAGCTCACGAATTTGAGACCAGCCTGAGCAACATGGTGAAATCCCATTTCTACAAAAATTTTTTTTTGAAAAGTTAACTATGCGGGCCGGGCGCGGTGGCTCACGCCTGTAATCCCAGCACTTTGGGAGGGTGAGGTGGGTGGATCACAAGGTCAGAAGATCGAGACCAGCCTGGCCAACATGGTGAAACCCTGTCTCTACTAAAATACAAAAAATTAGCTGGGCATGGTGGCACGTGCCTGTAGTCCCAGCTACTCAGGAGGCTGAGGCAGGGGAATCGCTGAACCCGGGAGGCGGAGGTTGCAGTGAGCTGAGATCGTGCCACTGCACTCCAGCCTGGCGACAGGGCAAGACTCCGTCTCAAAAAAAAAAAAAAGAGTTGACCAGGCATGGTGGTGCGTGCCTGTAGTCCCAGTTACTCAGGAGGCTGAGATGGAATGATTGCTTGAGCCTGGGAGGCCAAGGCTGCAGTGAGCTGAGATCACACCACAGCACTCCAGCCTAGGCAACAGAATGAAACTCTCAGAAACAAAAAGGAATATAACCTGTGTCATTGTCCAAGATGGAATGTTAAGATTAGAAAACATTAAAAAATTAGGAAAATAAAAATGTATAAAACACTGAAAAAGGGAGAAGACATATTTTAAAGAAGGAATTTTCTGTTCGTATATTCCACAGAAATCTACTAAAGAAGAAAATTAGCTCTTGTATTTGAATTGCTGATAATGGGAGTAGATGATGCTTAATTCATTCTACAGAGAATTCCCATGGTTTGTGCCTAGGGATACCAAGTACTTTTTATCTTTAAAGTATGAGTTTGAGGGAAGGGTAGGGAGAATACACTTGACCAGTTCTATAAATGATGAGAGAAGAAGCAGACTCTCTCATGTTTCAAATGGTACCAAAGAATATACAGATTTTTTAACTCAGGAGGATTCAAGAAATATTAACAGTGAGGCTTACTGAGAAGTGGTATCTATTTGGCAAATTTTATTTTATTATTATTATTTTTTTTTTGAGACGGAGTTGCTCTTATTGCCCAGGCTGGAGTGCAGTGGTGTGATCTCCGCTCACTGCAACGTCTGTCTCCAGGTTCAAGCAATTCCCCTGCCTCAGCCTCCTGAGTAGCTGGGATTACAGCTGTGCACCACCACACCCGGCTAATTTTTGTATTTTTAGTAGAGACAGGGTTTCACCATGTTGGCCAGGCTGGTCTCGAACTCCTGACCTCAGGTGATCCACCCGCCTCGGCTTCCCAGAGTGCTGGGATTACAGGAGTGAGCTACCGTTCCCAGCTATTTGGCAAATTTTAAAATGTATTCAGTGGATGCTTGTTTAGATTGACCATGTCACTAATTCAGAGGCACATTGAATGACAACCGTGTGCCAGACATGTGCTTGGTGCTAGGATCACAAAGATCATTTAAAAAGCAGTCCCTTATGCCCCTCACTCACTCAGAGAAATGGTATGTCTAGCCTGTAACTGCCAGCACAGGTGCTAAATAGTATATCAGTGCTGTGACCAACGTCAGGGAGCTGTTGGCGTGGCCAAAAGAAGGAAGCCTTTACAGAGGGGATGATGCCTCTGCTGAATGGTCCCTGTAGGAACCCTTGTCAGTTGACTGAGTGCTAGATGCTTTGTATACATTATTTCATTTTAATCCTCATGACTCTGGGATACCTATTGGGATCCCACTAGATGGATCAGGAAACTATTAAAATCATTCCCAAAGTGGTGCAACTGTGAAGTGCAGGGCCAGGATTTGGAGCTGGTCTCTGATTCCAGACCCTGTATTCTTTCAGCTTATCTTGCTCACTCCACGTTAATATTCCCCACGTGGGAAGAGGCATGCTAGGTAAAAAGAAGGCACCGCCCAGAGGGGCAGAGGATCCGTTCTAGAACAGTGTTGTCACATTGTCTGGTGGTAAGAGCAGCATTGGTGGTAAGGGCTCAAGGTAGGCTGTGGCCACAGTGCCAGGGTGGCAGAGGAAGTAGGAAGTAGGACTTTGGCGTCAGAACTGGTTTTGAAGAACTTAGTCAATTGCTGATGCTAAGTGGATGAACCTGAACTCTTGCAAGCGGTCTGACCTTGCACACATTCCTTAAACTCTGCTCTCTAGTTGCTTAATCTTGACAGATGGAGAAATGGGGAAAATGCCTGCTTCCTGGGGTTGTAGAATTAAAGTATTTAAAGTACTTATTGTCCTGCATGGTATGTAGTAGGCATTTGGTAAATGTTAGATTAGTACTTTTATTTTTGTTGTTTTTATTGTTAACACAAGATGTTTGGTGTCACAAGGGTTTGGTCTTTGTGCCGAAGGCCTGAAGAGTATTTGCAGGTTTTAAATACAGGAGCATGTGATAAGACCTGTGTGTGTGTGTGTGTTTTGGGTTTTGGTGTTTTTTTTTTTGAGACGGAGTTTCACTCTTGTTGCCCAGGTGGGAGTGCAATGGCGCGATCTCGGCTCACCGCAACCTCTGCTTCTCAGGTTCAAGCAATTCTCCTGCCTCAGCCTCCCGAGTAGCTGGGATTACAGGCATGCACCACCATGCCAGGCTAATTTTGTGTTTTTAGTAGAGATGGGATTTCTCCATGTTGGTCAGGCTGTCTCGAATTCCCGACCTCAGGTGATCCACTGGCCTCGGCCTCCCAAAGTGCTGGGATTACAGGCGTGAGCCACCGCGCCTGGCCAAAACCTGTGATTTAGAGAGCTCTGGTGACTGCGATGCTGGATTAGAAGGAGGAGCTAAGGACTAGAGGTTGTAGAGTAATTAGTGGAAGATGATGAGGGCCTGACCTAGGCTGGTACAGTGGTAATAAAAAAAAGAAATGGATGTCACTGCACGATAGAATAGACAGGACTTGGTGACCAGCGGAGTGTGTGGGAAGGTTGAGGGTGAGGAGACCGGAAGAGTCTCTGCAGAGTCTCTCGAGGATGCACAGGTGGATGGTGGTGCCTTCCGCTGAGATAGGACATCTGGGAGGATGAGCAGAGCCGATTTGGGGTGGAAGGCAATGATTTTAGGCTTGAAGTACCGAGTCGCGGGTGCCTGGAGTATATCCAGAGGGCAGAAAGCAAGTTACATCAAAGGGGTAACGAAGGTGAATGCTTCCCGAGGCCGGGTAGGTGATGTCAACAGGTCAGACTGAAGCAGACAGATGATCATTTTACCTGTGAGTCAGGTCAGGCTCCTTTCTGAAACGCCCGGATGGCTTCCCATTGCACTTACGTCAATTCCGCATTTCTTTCCATGGCCTGCAAGGTCTGATTTGAATTGGCCCTGCTTTTTTTTCCCACCTCATTTACTACACATTTTTCTCTCTGACTGTGTTCCAGCCACAGTGATCTTAGTGATTTTCAAGCATATCAAATTTGTTCCTGTGTCAGAGCCCCCTTCTCCCTGGCCAAGCCCTCGCCACCAGATGTTCTCCCACTGGTTCCTCATCAGGTAGCTCGTAGCTTGCCTGGTATCTCAAGGAAGCCTTCCTGCCTATACCGCCGCATCTGAAGAGGTTACTGTGTCCACCCTGTCTTGGGTTTTTTTCCATAGCACTTGTCACTACCTGAAATACTTATGTGCTATCTCCCTCCTTCCATTCATTCCATGAGGCCACAAGTGTGTTTTGCTCATCAGTATCTCTCATTGCCTAGCGTAGTGTTGGGCATGTTCCACAGCATGGAGAGCCAGTGCTTCTGGGCATTGCAGTAGGTACCAGTGAGAAAAAAGGGGAAAATCTGCATATTGAGTATTTATTAAAAAAAAAAAAAAAAAGGAGCCAAATGAGGAAGACAGGAGGAAGTTAAATGAGAGAGGAGACCAGCTATGATCATGACAGGGAAGTCAGTGGTAAGGTATCGCAGAGTGGTTGTCAGAGGGTCATCAAAGATTTGGCCCTGCTTGGGGTAATTGAAGTGTGCTAGCGAATCTAATTAGTCCTTGCGGTCAAGTTGCTGTGGGGTCAGCGAGATGGAAGGGTCACAGAACACTGACTTCAAAGGAGCAAATCCAGAGGGCCTGTGTGAGAGGAGTCTGATTGGGAGGCTCGTTCCTTTCACTCCAAATTACTTATCCTTTCAATCCCTTGACTTCCACAGGAAGCTCTTTTGAGGCCGGAAGCTCTTTTCAGGTGTTGCTCTCTGAAGATTTCTTTGAGCAGTTTTAGTCTTTATATTTTAGAAAAGATGAATCTCCAATGTAAAGTTGGGCAATTGATTCCAAGTCGGAAGCTTTAGGGATTGAAATGATAGTTCTAGTGAGGGTGGGTACCTGCTTTTTAACCTGGTGGGACTTGCAGCCGACTCAATACCTGGGCTTTCTGAACATTTCCTCGCGGCTTTCCTTTATCTGGAAGCGTTGGGACTTTTCGCCACGCATTGAGACTTTTCGGTTTTTCAGGCTTCTGCTTCAGTTTACCCAACCTCAGCAAACATCGTTTGCTTTGGAGAGGAACTTAAGGACTCAGCAGGAAATTGAAGATAAAATGAAAGGGTTCAGCTTCAAAGAAGACACTTTGCTGTTGATAGCTGAGGTGAGTGTATCCCTCGGGTTTATGTGAAACGAAGCATCATAGATATTTTCCCTGGCTCTGATAGCATTTTTTATAAAGCAGGGCCAAATTTAATCTACTGAAGGACTTGTCTCCCTCCTCTGTGTGCCTTTTGATCACTCAGCAATCACCAAGGCGGCCTCTTGATCGGCATTCCCCTGCAGCGTGCGGGACCGCAGGGGCTGTGTTTCATGTACTTGTCAGTGCTTGTTAGCACCTGCCTGCCTGAACATCATCAATGCCCAATAATTGTTTGTTTCAGTGCTGAATAAATGAATGAATGAATGCTTACATTTGTGTAGCAGTTCTATTTTTTTTCCTCCATTCATCATAACAGCTTGTGAAGTTGAGTAGAGCTAGAATTGAGGCTCAGAGAACTTGTGACTTGCCTGCGGTCAGATTTTCAGTGGGAGAGCTGGTCTGGAGCTTGTGTTTGCCAGCTGCAAGTCCATTTTATTCCTGCTCTACCCTGTTACTACTTTGATGGTTGCATAGAAATTCAAAGGTAATTTTTTTTAAACTAACATGTAAACCTTCATTAACTTTTTTTTTTTTTTGAGACAGAGTCTTGCTTTGTCTCCCAGGCTGGAGTGCAGTGGCACGATCTCGGCTCACTGCAACCTCTACCTCTTGGGTTCAAGCGATTCTCATGTCTCAGCCTCCCGAGTAGCTGGGATCACAGGCATGTGCCACCACGCCCTGCTAATTTTTGTATTTTTAGTAGAGACAGGGTTCACCATGTTGGCCAGTCTGTCTTGAACTCCTGGCCTCAAGCAATCTACCCACCTCGGCCTCCCAAAGTGCTGGGATTACAGGCCTGGGCCACCATGCCTGATCTCTTCCTTTTACTTCTGAGAGGCTACACTGGTTTGTTTTTCTCCTGTGTTTCTTAACGTTCCTCTGCCTCTTGGGACTCAGCTGGTTTCTTCTGTAGCGTAAGTAATGGCATGCTAAAGATTCCCTTGGCCTCTCTGTTTTCTACTTTTCTGTCACAGAAATCATCACCACACCCCTAGGTTCCATTGTCACCTCTGGGTTGATTACTCTCCAGTCTTTATCTCTAGTCTCATCTCTGGGACATGTGTCTCACATCAGATTAATTGCCTACTAGGTGGTTAACCTGGGATAATTATTGATTACTCTTCTGTCACTTCAAGTACAAAATGTCTAAAATGGAACTACTCATCAGAACACTTCCTGTAATCTCAGCACTTTGGGAGGCCAAGGTGGGTGGATCACTTGAGGTCAGGAGCTCAAGACCAGCCTGGCCAACATGGTGAAACCCCATCTCTACTAAAAATACAAAAAACTAGCCGGTTGAGGTGGCAGGCACCTGTAATCCCAGCTACTCGGGAGGCTAAGGCGGGAGAATTGCTTGAACCCGGGAGGTGGAGGTTGCAGTGAGCCGAGATTGTGTCACTGCACTACAGCCTGGGCAACAGAGGGAGACTCCATCTCAAAAAACAAAACACAAAAAAACACTTCTGATCAGTCTTTTAATTCTCCCAAGTTCCACATCCTCCAGGAAGCTTTTCCGGAATATTCTGCTCTGTGGTCATTTCTCCTTCCTCTGAGCTCAGATAGTGATTGCTTGAATAGATAGCTCTTTGGGCCCTAAGAAGACATAAGAATGTATCTTATGTTTTCAACTAGATACTAGGTTCCTTATAAGTAATAGTATGTTTTGAGCATCTTTGTATTCTTCACCATGCTCGATAAATCTGTTGGTTGGGTGGAAGAGTAGTTTCCTGTGTAGACAATGCATGTGATATACCAGTGGAGCTTTTTAAAAAGATGGAAAATGTCTGGGCCCTCGTTAGGATTGTAATTAGGATTATAATGTACATTTTGTTTTGTGCTTATTTTTATTTTTTAAAAGGTCTCATTCTGTTACTCAGGCTAGGCTGCAGTGCATAATCTTAGCTCACTGCAGCCTGAAATTCCTAGGCTCAAGTGGTCCTTTCACCTCAGCCTCCCAAGTTCGTAGGATTACAGGCACCCACCACCATGTCCAGCTAATTTTAAAATTTTTTGTAGAGGCAGGGTCTTGCTATGTTGCCCAGTCTGGTCCCAAACTCCTGGCCTCAAATGATCGTCCCGCCTTGGCCTCCCTAAGTGCTAGGATTATAGATGTGAGCCACCATGCCTGGCCTTTATTTTGTGCTTTTAATTTTAGTTGACTTGTAATAACATAGCCCTGTATCCTTAAATATTCTATGATCACATGCTTTTTTTTCCTGTTTGTAATTCTTTTATTTGAATTAGGATCCAAATAAGGTCTAAATACTATATGTGGCCCTTTTGTCTCATGTCTTTTTTATTCTATAACAACTGCTCTTCTCCCTCTTTCTTTTTTACTCTGATAAAATATGTAACTTAAATTTGCCATCTTAATCATTGTTAAATGTACAATTCAATGGTATTAAGTACGTATACAGTGTTGTGCCGCCATGACCATTATTTCCAAAATTTTTTCATCACCCCAAACAGAAACTCTACCCATTAAGCAATAACTCCCTATTTTCTTCTCTCTCTACCCACTAGAACCTCTAATCTACTATTTTTCTCTGTGAATTTATCTATTCTAGATATTTCAAATAAGTGGAATCATGCCATATGTGTCCTTTTGTGTCTGCTTTATTTCACTTAGCATAATGTTTTCAAGGTTTATCCATATTTAGCATTTATCAAAACTTCATACCTTCTATGGCTAAATAATATTCATATATATGTACATATCTCATTTTGTTTATCTACTCATCTTTTGATGGATACTTGAGTTGTTTCTACCTTTTGGATATTGTGAATAATGCTGCTATGAACATTAGCATATAAGTATGTTTAAGTCTCCTTTTTTGTTTGTTTTTTTTGTTTGAGACGGAGTCTTGCTCTGTCACCCAGGCAGGAGTACAGTGGCACTATCTCGGCTCACTGCAGCCTCTGCCTTCCAGGTTCAAGCAATTCTCCTGTCTCAGCCTCCCAAGTAGGTGGGACTACAGGCGTGTGCCACCATGCCCAGCTAATTTTTATGTTTTTAGTAGAGAAGGGCTTTCACCATATTGGCCAGGCTGGTCTCGAACTCCTGATCTCAAGTGATCTGCCTGCCTCGGCCTCCCAAAGTGCTGGGATTACAGGCATGAGCCACTGCACCCGGCTAAGTCTCTGTTTTTAATTCTTTTGGGTATATACCTAGGAGTAGAATTACTGGGTCATATATTAGCTCTGTTTAACTTTTTTAGGAACTACCAAACTGTACATTTTATTTTCTATGTTCTGATATTTACCTAACATTATGACATGGGCATGACCCTATATCCTAAATATTATTTGAGTACATAATTTTTAATGACTGGATAGTCAATTTTTGGACAAACTATAATTTACTTAGTTCCCTGTGTTGAACATTTAACAAATACTCAGTACCTATTTTAATAAATCCTTGCAAGAAAATCAATATGTGCCTTTGTACCTTTTGGAACAGATTATTAGAAATAGAATCGCTGGATTTAAATATATGAGCATTTTTAAAGACTTAAAGCACATTTCCAAATTATCATTTAGAAAGGTTAGTTCAATTTATATATCCTCTAGCAATATGTGAAAGCATTGTTTTTTCTACCCTGATCCTGACTATTAGATTGAACCATGTGAAATCAATCATTTTGACCTCTGTTTTATATAATTTAACTTAATAATATTACTTTAAAAATTGGTAGCTTGGTAGATAAAAATGTAATGTTTTTAGCATTAATGTTTATTTACTATTAAGATGAACAATTTTTTCATGTGTTATTGGCCATTTGTATCATGTCAAATGCCTAGTCTTGCTTTTGCTTCATTATTCTTTCTGTTTTTCATAGCAATTTTAAGAGTTCTCCCTATATTAGACTTAAGTATCTTTCTATAGTTACTATATTTTCTGAAGTTTATGATTTTTTTTGGCATATGGAAGTTTAAAATGTTTATGTGGCTGAATGTTTTGGCAGATTTTTGACACCTGTAAATATTGTGCCTATCTGTCCCTCTTTTGGGAATAGTGTGTTGTTTGGGTCTTACTATTATTCATTTATCTTTTTTTAAGAAAGGCATTTTTGGTGTTTTATCCCAGATTTTAAAATACTACATTTCACTGAATCCAGGAAATCATCAGTTTTAAGACATATCATTTGATGTGTCACTAAAAGAAAAATAAGATGCCTGCCGGGCGCGGTGGCGCACGCCCGTAATCCCAGCACTTTGGGAGGCCGAAGCGGGTGGATCACGAGGTCAGATCAAGACCATCCTGGGTAACACGGTGAAACCCTGTCTCTACTAAAAATACAAAAATTAGCCAGGCCTGGTGGCGCACGCCTGTAATCCCAGCTACTTGGGAGGCTGAGGCAGGAGAATAGCTTCGATCCAGGAGGCAGAGGTTGCAGTGAGCCAAGATTGCACCACTGCACTCCAGTCTGGGCGACAGAGTGAGACTCTGACCCCCCGCCCCCCAAAAAAAAGAAAAATAAGATGCCATTTACACTATCACATAGAGCCTCACTCCAGTGGTTATCAAATACATTTTTTAAAATTTTTTTTGGAGGTGGGGTCTCACTCTATCTCCCAGGCTGAAGTGCAGTGGCACAGTCATAGCTCACTGCAGCCTCCAACTCCTGGGCTCACGGCATCTTCCCACCTCCGCCTCCCAAGTAGTTGCTGGGACTATAGTTGAGTGCTGCCATACCCGGCTGATTTTTAAACAATTTTTTGGCCGGGCACAGTGGTTCATTCACATCTATAATCCCAGCACTTTGGGAGGCAAAGGCGGGTGGATCAGTTGAGGTCAGGAACTCAAGACCAGCCTGGCCAACATGATGAAACCCTGTTTCTACTAAAAATACAAAAATTAGCTGGGCATGGTGGCACTTGCCTGTAGTCCCAGCTACTTTGGAGGCTGAGGTGGGAGAATTGCTTGAACCCAGGAGACAGAGGTCACAGTGAGCCAAGATCGCACCACTGTACTCCATCCTGGGCTACAGAGCGAGACTCTGACTCAAAAAAATGATACTTTTTTTTGTAGGGACGGGGATCTTGCTCTGTTGCCCTGGCCGTTCTCTAACTCCTGGCCTTAAGCGACCATCCTGCCTCGGCCTTCCGAAGTGTTGGTGTTACAGATGTGAACCACCACACCTGGCTCAGATACATCTTGATTTTAGAGATGTTAAAATACAAAAACAAAAAAGTATCTTAGAACTGGTGAAATACCAGGCTTTAGTAAATACTGACTGTTGCCTAGTGAAGCTTGGCTCTCACTGGCAATTTCCTCAAACAATATGTAATCTTTGAAGATTTAAACCCAGTCCGCAAAACCATTATTTGAGCCTGCTTCTAATTCATTATAATTTGAGTTTTCATGAACACATTCAATATCCGGGTTTGCAGGAACCTTGGAGATTATCTAATGCAAATCTATGTGGAACTTAAATTCCCTCTACAACATCCCTGCTCCATGACTACATAAGCTTTCGTGACAGATGGTATGAAATGTTTTGGAACTTAATTTTAGTTCATTGTCATTACCCAAGGTCAGTCTGCTTACTTAGTGGGTTCAGGTACAAGCTTTCTACAACCTAACTTTGTGATGTCTTCTCAAAGAAACTAACCCAGAATCTTGGGACATGACCCTGTGTTCATCTGGGCCTGATTCTGACCAGTAGGGAGCAGTATTGTACCTTCATTGGTAACGGGCTCCTTAAATCCCCAAGATTGCTTTGGTTATAGAGGGATTAGAGTCCTTTTGGGTCAGGAAAAGGTGGGCCCAGCTACATGCTACAGTTGCATTCTCACCAACAGAATATGCTCTTTGAAACAAAAAGGGTAACTCAGTACTCCTGGTAAGCCAAATAGTACTGCTGCTGCAGCAGCACCAAAGTGATTCTTTCACTTGGGGAGAATGAGGGTAGAAATATGGGATATTTTATTTGTCCTTGGATAACTACTTCTGAGATCAGATAAGATCGGGCACAGTCAGGGTGGTATGGCCATAGACGGATAACTACTTCTGAACAAACATCTTTTCAATGTGTTGGGAATGTCCCCTGGCTGCTCAAGTATTTTCTGCCTTTGAATGAAAGCCTTCGCAGTTGATAACTAGCATTCCATGTCTCTGCCTCTTTTATTGGGACAGTTTTTTTTTTTCCTCCTGTTATAGGTTATGGGAGAAGATATCCCAGAAAAAATAAAAGATGAAGTTCACCCAGAGGTGAAGTGTGTTGGCTCCGTAGCCCTGACTGCCTTGGTGACTGTATCCTCAGAAGAATTTGAAGACAAGTGGTTCAGAAAGATCAAAGACCATTTCTGTCCATTTGAAAATCAGTTCCATACAGAGATACAAATCTTGGCTTAGTGGGTTATAAAAAACAAAACCACAAATATCTTGTACTGTATTAATTGTCCTTGTTTACTTCAGACAGGATCCATTGCTAATCATGGAGTATAAATGATTATTTATGTTTTATAAAACTGGCTTCTGTCTCAAATGATTTCTACTGCATTCAGTTTATGTTTTGTTTTCTTTATTTGGATTTCTCCTATCCCGTTACAAGTACTGTATCTTAGGACTATTATGCCTTTGGAAGATAATCTGTTGGGGAAGTGTATCAAGGAGGCTTTTAGATTTGTGGTCTTTTAAAAACAGTTACTATATTATAGCCAGCAGCATAAGAATCCACATTGGTTAGGTAAATTCATTGGGAATGACCAAGAATGTTGAGATGTGAAACTAAGCTATTTCTAAGAAGGGTGTGCCAAGCATTGTGAAGGGTCTGAGATCTTACCCTACTTGTAAGCTAACAGCTTAGCCTCTCCCGCTTTTCATGGATGCTGGCAGAAAGGAGACTCCTGGGTCAGAGACAAAGGATTTTATGACCCATGGCCCAGCAAGCAGTATAAACTTCAGTGTATTTGCATCAGTTTCTCTGCCTCCAAGTCCCAAGGGCACATAATGGGCACAGAAGGAATGCCTACGTTCACATACAGTGAATGTGCATTACCATGTCTCGTGATGCAATATGACTGGTTGCCGTACAGGAGAGGAGTGCTGAGTTTGGGAAACTCTAGACTTTGATAATGGGCAGTGAGCATGCTTGCCCTTTGCTCCAGAGGTAGATGCTGTCTCCTTTTTAAGGCTGTTCGCCCTGCAGACATCTTGGAGAAGATAGACTGGAACAAAGAACACTGAGTGCCTCTCTCACAAGATGCACAGAAACACGAGAGAGCTGTGGAGCTTTGTCTGCCAGGTTGATCATCCTGTCCTTTTTCAGCCACATGACTTTTAATCACAGTCTGTAACATCATCTTAAATACAAAGGGTGATTACCTTACTCAGTGAATTAGCTGGGATGGAAGAGCTCCCTGATGAGGAATTTAATAATAAATCAAAAACCAGCAAATGTTGTCCTGCACAACTTTTTTTTTTTTGAGACAGAGTCTAGCTGTTGCCCAGGCTGGAGTGCAGTGGTGTGATCTCGGCTCGCTGCAACCTCTGCCTCCCGGGTTCAAGCGATCCTCCTACCTCAGCCTCCCAAGTAGCTGGGATTAGAGGCATGCACCAACATGCCTGGCTAATTTTTGTATTTTTGTCCTGCACAACTTTTATTTGATCTCTCTCAGCAGAGGAAGAGAATGCCAGCCATGGGCTAAAAGGTGCAGTCATCAGGGTTTCCCTTCCACATTCTTCTGTCTCACTTGCCCTTTCTAGTACTCTCCTCAAAACAGGCAAAGAACTGCTCTTATATTTTGAACAACTCTTTTTTTTTTTTTCTTTTTGAGATGGAGTCTCACTCTGTTGCCCAGGCTGGAGTGCAGTGGCACGATTGCGGCTCACTGCTGCAACCTCTGCCTCCCAGGTTCAAGCAATTCTCCTGCCTCAGCCTCCCAAGTAGCTGGGATTACAGGCATGCACCACCACGCCCAGCTAATTTATGTATTTTTAGTAGAGATGGGGTTTCGCCATGTTGGCCAGTCTGGTCTCAAACTCCTGACCTCGTGATCCACCTGTCTCGGCTTCCCAAAGTGCTGGGATTACAGGCATGAGCCACCGCGTCCAGTTGAACAGTTCTTTTAGTGACCTCGATAGCATGACCAGCAGTTGCACATTAGTCTTAATGTGAAGCCAAAGACTGTATAATTAGTAGACATTTCAATTTTAGGAATTAAAAATTGTGAAGATCCTTCCACAGCACCTCATTGCTGTCCCTCTATGCATTCGGTCGTTAGCTATCAAGTATTGAGCTATGATGTGTCAAGCATTGTGTGGTTGCTGGGGAGACGCTGGTTATCGTGGAGTTTGTGATCTAGCTGTGGATTGCCCTCGGGATGGGACATAGACTCTAGCATGGCTTGCCAAGCCCTTCGTGGTACAGCTCTGGCTACCTAGAGCCCCATCCTTCACTGCTGCTCGCCTTTAAATGGACTGTGACCTTCACCTCAACCCATCCCCGCCCCCATCCAATGGCTAATTCACATTCATTTTTCAGGTCTGGTTTAGATGTAGCTTCCTGGAAGTCTTTCTGACCTGCCAGTGGTGGGAGGTTTCCCACTTCTGTGCTCCCTTACTGCTGGTTCAGTCCTATACTGACTCTTATTCCTGTGTTTTGTATTCCATGTTTGCCTGATGGTTTGCCACTAAATTTTTTAAAGTCAGGGACTGTGACTGTTTTGTATATATTTGTGTCCCCAAGGCAGAATAACCTGGCATCTCACTAAATATTTGTTGGAAGAATTACTGAATGAATTGGCCAGCATCTTAATTTTGCAAAAGGTTAATACCCTGCAGATGTGATACTGTGCTGAGGCAGTCCTAGCACTCTGCCTGTTTCTGTCTGTAGCTAAACCTCTTCCTTCTGTCCATGTGATCTCCCTAGAAATGCCCCATTTTTTTCCTCTAACCCCTCTCGGCTTCTGGTCTGTATCCTAGCCCACTTGCCAACTTGGCCCTTGCTTTGAGCGTTTCATCTTCTGGCTTTCCTCTCCAACTTGCTGTCTGCATCATCCTGAATGCCCAAGTGGTCTTCACAGATCCTACTCACACCTCACTTCCGCCCCGCCTCGCCTTCCTGGCAGCAGTGTGTTGACGCAAGTGAGAACCTGGCCTCTTGAACTCTGATGCCTCTGCTGTAATAAAGGGTGGGAAAGGACACCCAGGAATACTGGGCACCTCTGGGTTTCATCACACAAAGTCATCACAATCATTTCCAGCACAGATGGTGAAGGTAATTGAGCAATGATTACACTAAAGAAAAACCTTCAGGCCTGCCAATTCAGACATCACTACCCTTAACAGTGAGTGAGTCACTTAGAAGGTGAGCAAATGTGCACCACAGATGTGACTGCACTCCAGGTGCATGGGGTGGGACCTAAGGGAAATTTCTTGCCTCTTCCACTCTCAAAAGGCCTGTCTTCAACATTTGCTCCTCAAGGGGAATCTATGCTGGATGTCTGAGCGGGTAAGAGTCTTTTTTTTTTTTTTTTTTTTGAGGTGGAGTCTTGCTCTGTTGCCCAGGCTATAGTCCAATGGCACGATCTCGGCTCCCTACAACCTCCCCCTCCCAGGTTCAAGCGATTCTCGTGCCTCAGCCTCCCAAGTAGTTGTTGGGATTACAGGCACGCACCACCACACCCAGCTAATTTTTGTATTTGTGGTAGAGATGGGAGTTTTACCATGTTGGCCAGGCTGGCTCAAACTCCTGAACTCAGGTGATCTGCCTGCCCCAGCCTCCCAAGGCTCTGAGATTACAGGTATGAGCCACTGCGCCTGGCCATCTTTTGTCCTTTATATTCTCACACCCCTACCATCCTCACACTGGGTCAGAGGGATCTTGGAAAGATATTCTCACAGTCCTGGCCGGGCACAGTGGCTCACTCATGTCTGTAATCCCAGCACTTTGGGAGGCCGAGGTGGGTGGATCACGAGGTCAGGAGTTCAAGATCAACCTGGCCAAAATGGTGAAACCCCATCTCTACTAAAAATACAAAATTTTTTAAAAAAAATACAAAAATTAGCCGGGCATGGTGGCAGGCACCTGTAATCCCAGTTACTCGGGAGGCTGAGGCAGAGAATTGCTTGAACCTGGGAGGCGGAGATTGCAGTGAGCCGAGATCGCGCCACTGCACTCCAGCCTGGGGAACAGAGTGAGACTCTGTCTCAAAAAAACGAAGAACACATCATTCTCATAGTCCTTCATGAGGCCTGCGAGGCCCCACATGGCCTGGCCCTGACCCACTCCAGCCCAACTCGCTTTGCTTCCCTTGGTACTGTACCCACCCTGGTTTCCTCTCTTGTTCTTTGACTCCTCAAGCTTGCCCTTGCTCAAGCCTTTGCCCATCCAGTCACCTCCACTTTGAACATTCTCCCCTGCACTCCCCCAGCCCAGCCTTAAACGTCCCCTTCCTGTGGATCTCCACCCAAAGGTCACTCTCAGACAAGATGCTCCCGATCCCCAGACTGGCTCGGGTTCCCCTTCAAATGTCATCATATGCCCTGTGCTTTTTTTTTTTTAATGGCTTATTGGAATTGTAATTAATTTATTGTATAATTCCTCCTGGCCAGATCACAAGCTCTAGGGCGGTGTCTCTGGTTTGCCTTCTGTGGTGGAGCTGAGCTCCATGGACGTGCAGTGGCATCTGTCATTGCTGCCTTCCTGGAGCTCAGGCCCTTGCAGAGGCAGTCTGAGGCATGGCAAGCCACAAGCGCACAGCCTGTCCCCACCAAACCCCACTTCTGGTGCCAGAGGTGGCCCTGTACCCTGCACAGAACCATGTTTCAAAAAAATGTGCTTCCTTTTAGGAAAACCTTGGGCAAAAAATCTCTACAAAACAAATCTAAGGCCACCATTTATTAAAAGATGTTTTAAAGGGCAGCTTTATAGTGCTTTTGAACTTGAATCTAGGTAGTCTGTTTACACCCTGCTTTCCAGGGGATTAATCAAAACAACAAAACAATGAGCAAACAGAGAGGGATGTGCAGAAGAGCCCAGAACTCTGCCAGTGTGGCTGCACACGCAGTCAAGTCGGACTCGGTCATCCACACGCGCTCGCTTTCTCTGTGCCTGGCCCTGTGCTGTAGGGTCAGAAGCTGAAGAGAATGCCCCCCGAACCTGCAGAAGAACATTCCGAAGAGTGGCAGCTCCATTTCTGTTTTCCCAGTCAAAATGTGTCCATCAGGAGACTTTGCTAAAGAAGTTTGGAGAGGAAAGGCATTTGTCCTCCTTGTCCTTTTCTCCCTCCTTCGCACGGGGTGGCTTCATCACCTAGCGCTTTGGTGTTGTATCTGCCCAGCTTCTGAGCTAACCACCACCCTTGCCCCCCTCCTCTCTCTTTCACAGGGGTGAGTACCTAGCAATCATGTTTGTACTCAACTACCTTAACTGATGCGGGAGTCGGGGGGTGTACCTGACCCAAGCTGTACCTGGCTAATCAGATTCTCTCCCAGAGGTTCAGAAATGATTCTTCTCATGGGTCTGACCCTAGCAAGCTCAAAAGTAGGGGGGTGGCTGTGTTCTGCCAAAGTGACTGAGGAATAGACAGGGCAGGACTGCAGAGAAGCAAAATGAAGGAGATGCCCCAAAGGGGCAGAGGGACAGTTCTCTGCTTTGCTACTTTTTTTTTTTTCTTTTTTCTTTATTTGAGACAGAGTTTCACTCCTGTTGCCCAGGCTGGAGTGCAATGGTGCGATCTCGGCTCACCACAACCCCTGCCTCCTGGGATCAAGCAATTCTCCTGCCTCAGCCTCCTGAGTAGCATTCACCACCATGCCTGGCTAATTTTGTATTTTTAGTAGAGACGGAGTGGTCTCGAACTCCCGACCTCAGGTGATCCGCCCGCCTTGGCCTCCCAAAGTGCTGGGATTACAGGTGTGAGCCACCACCCCTGTCTGCTTTACTACTTAGGATTCCAGGCTCTTCCTGGTCTCTAGGGCCTGAGGCCTCCATGAGAACCCTGGAGTGTGGTCGGCGTGCCCACATCCTAATCCCCAGAACCTATGAATACATTAGGTTACATGGCAAAGGGGAATTGAGGTTTCTAATCAGCTGACATTAAAATAGGTAGATTATCCTGCGTCATCCAAGTGGGCCCAATGTCATTGCTGAGATCTTTAAAAATGGAAGGTCGAGGTGGAGAGAATCAGAGTTGGAAAGATGCTACGGCACTAACTTAAAGATGGAGGAAGGAGCTATGAGCCAAGAAATTTGGGTAGAAAAGGCAAGGAAACATTCTCTCCTACAGT